>NC_000005.10:72609807-73859807 GCF_000001405.40 Homo sapiens | reverse complement strand
GAAGGGCTCAAGTCCACAAGTCCACCCACAAGGGTGGAACAACAACCTAGGAAACACATGCCCATCACACGAATGAACTGACCGCTGAAGTGTGGGCAGGCCAGAAACAACCCATAAACGATACTTGGAGCAAATCTCTAAAAATGTAGGAAGTTAAACCACATCTGAGCAGCCTGATGCTACTTCAGATCCAGGAAAAGAAAGAAATCAAGTTTTCAAGGAAAGCAAAATTCAAACATGCAATAAAGTCAGCATAATTAAACACAATGTCAACTGTGAGAAGAAAATTCAATCTGCCTGTAATGTCATATGTGGATTGTATTTTGATCAGATGTCCAGCTGTAGATACATCTAAATTTTTTAATTCAATCATTTTCAACAAAGTTTATGAGGAGCTTCAGAGGTAAACTTCCCCTGCTCCTCTGTTCCCTTTGTGCTCCCATCCCACCTTCCAAATATTCCCACAATTCTGGCGATCAACAAATACCATGAAATCTATTCCACCTGCCTGCGCCTCACTACTTTTTCTCTGAATTATTCTTTCATTCAACAAATACTTACTAAGCCCCTGCAATGTACAAGGTATTGTTCTAGCCACTCTGCATATAGCAGAGAACAAATTCAACAGACAAAAATCTAGCCCCCATATGCAAACTGTATAGTAAGTTAGATGGTGGTAAATATTATAATGGGAAAAAATGCCAGGAGGAGGGCAAGGATGAGCCAGGCACTGGGAGATCAGGAAAGGCTGCCTGAGAAGCTGTTGTCTGAGTGATCCGTGTGGGTATCTGAGGAAAGAGTGTTGCAATCAGAAGGAACAGCCAGAGAAGGCCCTAAGGCAGGAGCATGACTGCCATGTTCGAAAAACAGCAAAGATGCCAGTGTGACTGGAGCAGAGGGAGTAAGGGAGGGGGAGGACAGATCACATGGGAACTTGCTGTCATTGTAAGCACTTAAGGACTTCAGTCTATACTTGAGGTATAGGAAGCCATTGGGAGATTTTTTTGAACGCAGTGATATATGCCTTTACCAGCTCACTCTGGCTAATGCTTTGAGAACAGACTTTAGGGGTAAAAGCACAAGGAAGTCAGTTGGAATGCTGTAGAAATGGTGGCTTTAGACCAGAATGATATCAGTGGTAGGGGTGACAAGTGCCTGGTTTTATATGTTTTCTGAAAATAGAGCCAAGAGGATTGTTGATGGATTGGATGTGGGATGTGAGAAAATGGGAGGTATAAAGATGTACTCCAAAAGTTTTGGCATGAACATCTGGTTGGAATGATCAAGTTGCCATTAAAGGCCGAGAGCATCAGCTTTTAGGTGAGCACAGAATGGGGAGATGTAACATCTGAGACGCTCTTTAGACATCCCAGTGGAGACAGGCATACAAATCTGGGGTTCAGACAGGCTATCAGTTATGGACAAAACACACTGACTCTAACCAGTATCAGTCCTTGCTTGGTAAACGGTTCAGTCATATGTGTGGCACTGAAAAGGTTTATGTAAATGTATTGAGCAATGAGCCTCTTCCCAAGGTTACTGTCAGGAGATGAAAACAAAGACAGCGCACATAGACCTGAGAACTTACTAGAACACTGCAGTGACTCTTTCCCCAGGAGTGTTTTATCACAAACCAAACACTGCAGAACCCCAGAGAATGTTCCTGGGGCAAACTGATGTCGATTCAGCTTCTCTTTATCTTTGGCATCCTTGCTTTTTGTCTTCAGATGCAGCAGCAGCAGTAGGAAAGTGGGGAAAAATGAGAAAAGGAAAACGCTGTGAGCCAACTTTCTTATAGAAATCATCTGAGCAAAGTCTCTACATTTTCCATCAGAATATAAGGACTGCACACAGAGGGACACCATAACACCTAAATGTTATATTCTGGGCTTTAGCAATATTCCATAAGAAATATGTGTAAATAAAATCTAAGGTAAGTGATTTCAAAGGGAAAGTGGAAATTATACTAACTGCTGAGAAACTAAAATGTCTATATTTTATAGAAAATAAGTGAATCACTTTAATTACCTTTGATTTATTCCGAGGGCTAGTCATCCTATTCATGAGGAAACTGAAAGTTCGACTCACTTTATATTTTTCAGACTCTGATTTGGCAGGTATGATGTATTTATCCCATTCTTCTTCCTGAATTCTACAAAAACAGAATCTGTTATCATGGCTCATATGACTTAGGAAGAATAGCATATACGTGTGTGTGTATGTGTGTGTGTGTGTGTGTGTGTACACATATATGTATGTGTATGTATTTTTTCAGGTTTTAGTGGCTGTTCTAAAGAGAAAAACAATTCATTAAAAATACACCCTATAGCATAAGTGAACAGACATGTGATTAGAGCAACAATCTCACAATGTCAACAATTATAGAACATAGGTGGTGGAAGTGGGTATACACTAGATAATTCTCTCAACTTTTCTGTGTACTTGAAAATTTTCATAATAAAATATTGAGGAAATAAACCTTAGACTTATAATTTTACCCTGAAAACACTCAACTTCCTGTTTACTATGCTAGTAAGAATTCCCCAGAGCACAGAGAAGCCAAATAACCAACAATATGCAACTGGATTTTATTTATTTTTGGAACGCAGAGATAATACTCAGTAGACACGTGTTTCCTCTGTTGATACGGCCTGAGAAACAGACTGACTGCCACTCGGTGCAGCCTCTCCCACTCAGTACAATCTGAGACTCTCTAGGTTGTGGAGGAGAGAGGCTATGGATACTCCATAAAATAAGAAGCAAGGTAGAGGTAACTGTACCCAACCCATGAATACCCTGAACACCGTTTATTTTCTTCTAATCCACAATACAATTATTCTCTAGAAAAAAACATATGCAGACTATGAAAGTTACAATTCCCCCTAGAGCTTCCTCTGATAATCTTATATTTCTATTATTACTGAGGAAAGAATAAATTAAAAATCAACCTAAATATCATGTCAAACCAGGTAACACTTCTGTAGATGATTGCCATAGTGATTATTTCCTAACTAAAGTCTCTCCTACCCCCTAAAATTCTCACCTTTCCATACTGATAACTAACACATTTATCTCTGGGAAGTATTTAAAAGCAATAAAATCACTGATTTACACCAAAATATATATCATTATATTTTGTGAAAATATTGCTTTCAATGACAACTTTCTAGGACTTTGATTGTTCTTATGTAATTAATATCAGGCTTAGACTAAATTATTTCCAAGACCCCTTCCACACTTTAATATGGTACATATTATAATAAAACTTTAAGTTATTTAAGCTCTATATTAGGTTTTAGAGCTCAAACCTATTAATGCATTTAGAAAAAAAAAATACATGGCTTAAGAGCTGCCTCTTGACCATGTAGATCTAAAGGTATAGTCAGAACAGTGTTATGTCCTGTTACTTAAAGCCTGCACAGTAAATGAAATTGGGTTTGCTGCTTAGAGAAAACATTTTAAAAGGCAGAAGGAAAAGGAAGTGAATAGAATTAAACATACCCTATGCCAACAGAGTAGTGAAAGAATCTCAGACCCTTTTAATTTCCTTTCTACTTCCATGCTACCTCTAGTCATTTTTACCTAGGATAACTGACTGGTTAATAGAATCCGAAATTTCCCATAAACCTCTGGTGTCTTACACATCCTAATTTGCAAAATTTGTGCCATAATATTCAAAAGGCTCACTTTCAAAATTGGGGGAAAAAATACATTTGAGAGTTTGAAAAGACTCCTCTCTTAGAAGGCCTTTTTTGACCCCACCAAATGCTATCCAACGTCTAAGAGAAGAGAAGAGTGATGAGGAGACCTAATATCGGAATTAAAGAATGGTTAGGTCACTGTGGATTTTGAGGTCAAGAAGCCCCTTTTGTACTTCCCAGCAGGAACACAACTAAACTATTGCAAATAAAAGAAAATTAATTATTGGTTACCCAACTCTACTCCCAACTCCCTTGTTACAGAAGACTATATAAAAAACGACAGTTTCCACATTGATTAAAAACTTACAAATGCACAATTTATCATATATCCTTCATACTTCTACAACACGACACTTTAACTTTTTTTTTTTTTTGAGATGGAGTTTTGCTCTCGTTGCCTAGGCTGGAGTGCAATGGCGTGATCTTGGCTCACTGCAACCTCAGGCTCCCAGGTTCAAGTGATTCACCTGCCTCAGCCTCCTGAGTAGCTGGAATTACAGGCGCCCACCACCAGGCCCAGCTGATTTTCATATTTTTAGTAGAGATGGGGTTTTGCCATGTTGGCCAGGCTGGTCTGGAACTCCTGACCTCTGGTGATTCACCCACCTCGGCCTCCCAAAGTGCTGGGATTAAAAACGTGAGCCACCACGCCCAGCCGATACTTCAACTTTTTAAGCTGAGGTTGATAAGACCTGAGATATAACAGTGTAAACATAAAAATGCTTTTTTAAAAATATTATTAATTATGAAATATGAAAACTTAAACCATCACCCAACCTGGTAGAAATGTGAATATCATAGTCATAATCCACTATCAGATTATGAAGATGGGTAATACTGTATAACCTCTGGGCAAATGTAGAAGGTTGGTTGCTTCATTTCATATCTAATTTAATTATGTGATATTTACCTATATCAAAATCAGGCACTTTAGAAAATAATTGAGAAGAGAAAACCTTCAAATAATTTCATAATAGAATTTAAATAGCTTTTACATTTGTAAGAATCTGGAAAGATTAAGTTATTTTTAACATCCCAGAACAAGAACGTCTAATCTCTATTATTAGTTTGATGACCGATAGCATCACTCACAATAAAGTTTTACAAACCCTTCTCAGAGCCTTTAATGGTACTGCCTTTTCAATAGGTAAATAGACATTTAAAACATATTAAGAATATGGATTCTTAATATTTTAACCCTTAATCTATTTAAAGAATTGGCATCTAAAGTGTTTTTTTGTTGTTGTTGTTGTTTTTGGGTTTTTGTTTTTTTTTGAGATGGAGTCTGGCTCTGTCGCCCAGACTAGGATGCTGTGGCACGATCTCGGCTCATTGCAACCTCCGCGTTCCAGGTTCAAGCCATTCTTCTGCCTCAGCCTCCTGAGTAGCTGTGATTGCAGGCGCCTGCCACCACACCTGGCTAATTTTTGTATATTTTAGTAGAAACAGGGTTTCCTCATGTTGACTAGGCTGGTCTCAAACTCCTGACCTCAGATGATCCGCCCGCCTCTGCCTCCCAAAATGCTGGGATTACAGGCATGAGCCACCGCACCGGGCCTAAAGGGCTGAAAGAAGTTCCTGCTATGCAGATTGAAAATTGACACAGTGGAACTTCTGTTAACACTCAGATCCTCAGATTTGAAGAAAGAGGAGGAGAAGGAGGAAATACATACAATAGATTTAAGACAGATGGTGGCAGTAAAATAATCAAGTCATGCCATATAATCTTTAAGAAATTAGAACAGAGTGTCTGCTGAAATGAGCCTGCAAGGTATAGAGTGAGCTCATTTTTTACATGGATGTCCCCTTTTCTAGAAACTAAGTGATTAATACAAATAAGAGAATATCAAAGAAGGCATCATCTCAGGTAAATACCTGTAACATGACCAAAGCAAAGCATTAGGTATGGCTTGGGATCTTATTGGCATATCCAACAAGATAAGATAGCAGGAATAGAGTGGGTGAGATGAAAGATCCACTCTACTAGATACACCAAGGCATATGACTGAGAGAGTAAGATGCTTTCAGGATGTGGACCAAGAAAGATTAAAGAATAGAAAGGAACAGAAAACAAAAACAAGAGTGACAGAGAACGAAGAACCAGATAAAAAGAAACTTCATAAAGATGCCATCAAAGTGAAAATATTTTATAGGCTACTATTTAGCCAAGTATAACATTGGCTCCTTCGGTCTTAAATCTCTCTCCTAATGACAAATGAATATTTTTTATATTTTTAATTTAAAAAATTCTTGATAACAATCCATTATTTTTCCAGTTGTTAAAAAGATGACTGTTAATCAAAATGATGACCAAGATGAAGATCAAATTCCAGAATGAGGAAGTAAATTGCTTAAATGAGATAATAAATGTAAACTGCTTAAAACAGTACAAGGCACATACAAATGTTCAATATTTGTCAGTAATTACTGCTTTTGCTATCATCATCCTCATTGCCATTGTCACGAAGTCAACTTGATCATCATCCTATCTTTCAAGGGCATTCTTAATCTTCCTCTTTTGTATCATTTGAAAGTTTCTATTCTGGTTTCAAAAAAAAAATAGAAATGATCCAAAGGAGGCTTTTTCTTATTAATACTTTGATTCCAGGATTTAAAACGAAACACCCCATCTTGATCCGTATACTAAAACGTTTAAAACGTTTCAAAGTTTTAGTATTAATCTCAAACAAAATTAAACCATTTCACTCTTTTCAGATGGTCTCTTAAAGTCAAACATGTGTGCCATTCTGGCACTTGTTTTGCATACAACCCTGGGGCTATTTCACAGTGTGACTCATGGGCAGTTAGTTATTCAACACCAACAGAAACCAACAATCATGCTTGCACACTGGTCTGCTTCCCAAGCTATACTCCAACAACAGTTTTACCTTCTAGGAGAAAGAGAAGCTTAGGTTAAATCTGCATCTCAACCAGGAAACTGATCATGCTTAAAAGTCTTCTGCATTGTTTATTCTTTGTTTCCAGCTGAAGGGCTACTAGGCAAAAATCCATAGAGAGACAGTAGGGATGTTTAGGCACTTTCTATCATTGACCACCCAGGGTTCTGTTACTAAAGTAAGTCCCCTTGTCATGGTGGAATAGAGCTGGAGAAAACATGTTGTCTTTCTAAAACAGGTGGTCCCCTCACACTGCTCCCCTTGAGGGTATTTGGCTTTGAAGATACCCAGACAGAACATGCTGTCCCCAATCCTGAGGCCTGCACAGCCAAGGACTGAAAGGGGAGGGCTGGCAGATCTATCCTGATACAGATCCCAGAGGGAGCAAAGGGTCTTAGGCAGGCTTGTTACATGGAAACCTCTCATGAACTAGTGAACAGATAGCAAAAATGATGTGTGGACATTTCCAAAGAAGGATCATGCAGTTCCTCAGGAAAATTGGAATAGTTAAAAGTACCTGTTTTCTCTTGGTGGCTCCGATAAGCTGTAAGCTCTTTGCTCTACAAGACACAGAACAATAAAATGAAAACTAAGGCACACAAACTGGCAGTCATATGTTAGTCTGAAATGCATACTCAACCATATTGTATCATTATACACACTACCAGCTAGAAAATAATGAGAAAATGAGTTACCTTATATAAGTAAGGCATTGCTCTGGATTTTTTTAAATCACTTTCTGTAATTTAAAGAGGGTAGGGAGAAACATGGCCAAAATATGCCAACATTTAATGACTTCATGAACTAAGTTAGCATCAGCAAGGGACAGCAAACATTTTCAGAAGTGCAGAAAATTAGCTCTATCTTTTTGGATACTTTTCACTAGAGTCATCCCTATTCTTCATAACACTAATGCCCTAACATACAGAACCAATAAATAACTGCTTTTAAACAAAGCTCAAATGAAGTCTTGAAGGACAGCATAAGAAGAGTTAATTTTCATATAGCTGCAATGTCCTCATAAAATCCTAGCAGCAGCAAGTTCAGAGATGTGCTCTGTGGCTCATGGGAAAGGGAGGACCATTTTTTTCATTGGACTTGTGGAGGGGGCCAGAAGGGAGGTTCATGCAAGCAGCTTGGAGCCATCTTGTTTCCAGAGTTGAAATACTTACTACAGGGGTGGAGTAGAGACACTGATTTAGACAGTGAGAGAGCCTGAAGGAGGGGGCAGTCACTGTGGAGCACACCATCTACAGGGCAGGGACAAATCCTTCACTCTCACAATCCAGAACAGTGAAGAGGCATAACTAGGTTGCAAAGGGAAATGATACATAAGGAGGAAAACAAATACATATCCCCTGAAATGGGTAATATCAAATGTTGCACCTAATACTATCTTGTATGTAATAGGAAATCTACTTTGAAGAATTTGAAGCCTTTATTTTATAGCCATTATCAAGTGTTCCTCAAATTAAGTCATAGGCAGAACTCACTATTCTTATGGTAAATAGGCTGAAGTACCAAGAGAATAAGCCACCAACTGTTCAAAATCCAATTAAATTCCATCCATCAGCTCACAACGTTTTCAAAAGTATGTTTACGTCATTCCTCAAATTCTTAAATGCTGAACCCCTTTGTCCCCCTTGGTGAGACTGTAGTTATCATTTTAATATTGGCAATGTTCCTTTCTGCCTAAATCTATAATAGACCAAAGGGAATTATAAAACTGGATTTTGTTTTATGTATACAAACATCAAAAATAAAGTTGCCATCATCGTACTCTTGGCTCAAAAAAAAAAAAAAGACGCATGAGAAATTACAGTAAGTAACTCTTTGGAAGTGACAAGGAAGACAGAACATCACAAATAATAATAAAAAGGACCGAAAGCATCCTAGGTTTGTATATCTGCATTACAGCTCTCATATGGGAGCTTCCCTCTGGGACATAAGGAGACTTGGACTCTGTTCAAATAGACCTGAAAATTTTTAGGACTATTCAAAACTCATCAAGAAAGGATTTATGGCAACACAAACCTCAATTTACTTTTGATTAATCCAAGCCGACTAAACAATGAAACATTAGAATATATCTTTGCATTAGGCAAGCTTTCACATTTGTGCTTTGATTACATAAACACAGATAAAATTATTCCTTCTTCATTAGTGGTTAATTTATTTTTCATAGTCCTATGGTATTGACTGACCTAAATGGTATCAATCCAAATGTTTGCAGCCATATAAGTCTATCCACTGGAATTTTCATATATTTAGTGAGTAGACTCAACCTAAATTGCCTGGTTCTAACTGTTACCTTCTGGATAGTATCAAACTTCACTCAAGTAGCCTTGTCTTTAAATATACCGTCTAAAGATAAGGTTTCGTTTACTGAAAACCAAAGCAGTTGAGATCAGCTTTTTATTCTAACTCATATGCAAAGGTTTCAGGCTTGCATGTAAGGTAAAGACACCCTTCCTTGATCATTAAAGAATAAGTAAATTAGGGCTATTTTCCCTTGTGAACAATAAGTTTCCTCTTAATTGTGTGGTCAATAATTTCAAACTCTAGAGATATCTGACTTCATAGATCAAGGACCACAGATCTAAAGGCAAAGCCATAATTTGAAGCACAGAAAACTTAAACATGTTTTCCAAATAGTAACAATGTGAGGTTAATTCATCAGCTGGGACTATCAGTGAAAAGGTGTCGAGCTATTAAAAATACACCAACCTAAACTAAGGCTGGGGAGACCTGGAGACCTAGAAAGAACCCATGAAGTAAAAAACAAAAATCCAGAACAAATTCAATCCATCTTATTTATCCTGCCCTCTCAAGGTAGTTGTATCCTTTCTTTCTCTTGTAACTTTTCTTCATCTCCCCATCCAAAAATAAAAACTGACATGTATTATCAGTCTTGCTCTCTTCTCTTCTAACAGTACATCCCAGAAAAAGGAAAACAAAAATCATGGTAGCATTTCTTTTGTGTTTTATCTATCTTTTTCTCATACTCATTCAACAAATATTTATTGAACATCTAGCATATATGTCATTATTCTAGGATAGCTGTTTCAAGCACCAAGATTATGTTTTCAGTATTGTTCTGCATGGCATAAAAATGCAAAATAACAATTTAATAAGCAAGAATAAGAAAAAAGAGAGGGAATAAAATAAATCCTATTTTAAATATTTTATCTTAAGAAAATATTTGAGTAGTACTTCAGAGTACTTAAGTTCATCTCTTGCTTTCTGAATCTTTTAAGTCCCTTAAGGATAATAGACAATAAAGATATTCTCTAAGACATTGACAAAAATTTCATTATAATGCTATGTATTATGCATTGGCATGAATACTTTCAAATATGCTTTTTAATACAATTATTACATATTAATTACAGAAAGTATGAAATAATTACATTTCAAAATGGGGGCAGGTGAAAATGGGAGGAGTGGCTTAGAGAGGATACAAGGGGAGCTCTAAGTTGTACATAATTTTTCCATTTATAGATCTGAATTCACTTGAAAATTCAAGATGCATATTTATGATTTGCACTCCTTTTTGTATGTATCCTACATTTAAATTAAGTTTATTGCCTAAAAGTTATATTTCTAATTGCCTACATTGCCACCAAAAAAATGTTGAGATATATTTAATCATGTTACAAATATGTTATTTCAACTCTCCAAAGTCCCTTTCTAAACAAAGAAAGAAGAAAATCCATTCTGCAACACTCTGGCTCTGAGGAGTTGGATTATGTTAGCAATGTATATATGAGACAAAAGTAATTTTTATAATTTACTCAAATAAAATCCTCTAAGGCCCTCATAATAATATAACTGGAATCAATTCTAATTTACACTATCCTTGAGGAAAACATTTTATTCAAAGAATAAAGTAACAGAGAGGTGTGCATGTATTTGTAATTTCATCAAAATCAAATCTGATCAAAATCAAATTTGGCTGTTATCCAATAAGAAAAGAATTTTGTCAGGCTTAGAAAAACCAGTTATGAAAACAGAATGGAAAATTCTTGTCTGCTGTTCTTGAATATTTTATGTACTTATACTAACTGAAAAATCTGTTCTGGAATAGAGTGTTTTCAAAGCCAAATGTTAAATGATGCTTACCTTCACTTGAACTGCATACTGTTAATTCACGCACCAAACGAGTTTTTCCTAAAGAAATTTTGGGTGATGAGCAAGAATAAGAACGTGAGCGAACTCCAGAAAGCAGTGATTCCTAAAAGAGATTATAATAAAGTGTTTAAAAATTTATACATGGTCTGAAAATATATATTCACCACCTCAAATGTTACTAAATTTGCACCTTTGAAAAGAGATTCAACCTGAACATTTCTGATATGATCTCATTATGTGTTTCTGTTTTCCTCTCACAATTTTTAAAATGTTATTGCCATTTTAATACTTCAGCAACCTTCAGCTTGGGGAATAGTTCCTGTATATACTATAGAATGCAACTATGATATCCTAGCCAACTTGGCTAAAAATGAAAACTTAAGACAAATGACTTTTTCTTTGTATATTCAACAATGAGTTTATTATTTTTACCTGAGGTGTCAGTTATTTTGTTATTTTACTGTAGCCCTCTAACAAAATTCTATATTAACTGAGATTTCTATATTTAAGGATTACTAGAGGATAGTGGAATAGCCACTTACAATTATAAGAGATTTTTAGACTTCCAAACCATGATTTAAGTTTATAATGTTAGCTGCAACATTTAGGGAAAAATATATCCAGTTAATATACAAATCCTTCCAATCTGTACTCAATTTTTGATAGACCTTCCATCTAGCACTTTCTGGGGTGGATGTTTGGATATCACTAATTTATACATCCTTAATATTACTACTTTAAAATGACTTGCCGGTTTTGTTCCTGTTGTCCCAATTACTTATTATTCCTATTATTATATTGGCAACATACATGAAAATGCAAGATGGCAAGATCATTAAAACATAGTTTTCTTATGTTCCAGAAAATTTAAGTGAATATGCAATAGAACTCCACTGAAGCCATTTATAGTACCCAACTTCTATCCTATAAAGCCCTTAGGACTGATCCTGCCCATGCATTTTTAAGATATCACTTAAGGTTAAGGCTAAAAGAAAATAATGCAAAACTCTTTACTAAAATTAAACCATCAGAAACTGACCTTCAGGAGCACTGGTCTCTTTTGTTTCCTCTAAGGAAAAACACATGGTTACCCTAACTTCATTAGTTTAGTTAAGGAGCCTGGAGGAAAGTTGAAAAATGGAAGCCTAACCTTGCTTCAAAGGGCCCTTGGGCTTTGGCTCCTATCTTATTAGGGAGCACCTACCGGGCCTAGACGTCAAGAAGGCCAACCCAAGTTGTCCTATAACCCTAAACAGTGAGCTGGCCACTAAGGGCCCTCTTCAGAGTCATGTATACGTGGTAACCATTTGTCATGACAATAGAACTTTGAAAATTGTCCAAAACTTTGGCAAAAAGTTATACTGGTTAATTACAGAGGCAAGGCAGATATATTTATGGTTCAGATTCTTCCTAAAAATGAGCAACATGAAACTGTTTCAAGAGACTGGATTATTTTTCATCCAAGTAATGATGAACTTTTCACAGTTCCACTCAACATGCAAAACTAAGAAGTATCTACATAACAACCATACAAACTTCTCATTATCCAGAAATATCACATGACCTTCAGATGCAAAAGATTACGGCAGCTCTGCAGGTCTTAGAGCAGAGGGTAAAGGATACAGGATCTGTGCTCAAAAGACCCAGAATTGAGTTCTGAGTCTATCACCAAGCTGGTGACACAAAGCTGGACAGAACTCCAACCCTTCCAGAATCTCATCTACTCAAAAAATAAAATTAAATAAAAGCACTACTTATGTAATAGGTGAGTTATGAGGCAATTATATATTTTGTACATACATAAAACATATTTTGTATATTGTAGGGCATGCTACAAAAAGAAGGTATTATCATAACAACCATACGTTAGAAAGAGAAGTTTTGCCATAGCACACATTGTTTTATAGTAATAAGTAAACTTAAGAAGAAAACAAGTAGAAAATAACAAATCAAACAGGGAAAAAAAATCTGTTCAAACGCAAAAGGGCTTTCTTACATTCAGAGCAATGTATTTAGTTTTTTAATAAATAAATAAGTAAATAAATAACAAAAAAACAAGCACACCTAAATGAAACTCCAATGTGAAATAGCCAACAAGATAAAACCTGGCTCCTATGGAAAAGTTGACAAAATCTGTGATATTCCGGATTAGTTCAAGCAGCCAGAAATGCTCAATAAATATCACTTCTACCTTATTAACATCATTTACCTCATCATCAGGGCCATACAATTATTTACGTGAGCAAAACAAGTTTGATCACTTAAACTCATTTAATACTATCGGTTTTTCTCCCTTTGCTTAAGAGATGATGGGAGAAATCATTGTAAAATGATAAAATTTTCCAAGTATGTGAAAGAAAGATGGTATGTACTCATGGTGAATTAATGAAAATGTAAATCAGCCATTTTGAGTAAAGATTATAAAAATTAAAACAGAGTGGGAAAGATTAAAAAGACAGACTCAATCAGATATCACATGGGTCTCAAAAAAATAGTTCATATGTATGAATAAAATATAATATGTCTTTCAGATACAGATGGGTAAATGCAGACAACATATTCTCCACACTTGCAATATACCAAATTAATAGCAATAAGAATACCTTCGACTGTAGATTACTTGATAGAGGAAGGGATTCAGCCCTGGAGATATTAAAATCCGGTTCAGTGTTAGTCTCAAAAGAGTCCAATTCATCCCCACTAGGAATCCCAGTTCTTGAGGAGCTCTGAGACCCTGGAGTGTAACAGATGTGGGATGGCTCAGAATGCCCTTCCCCTTCACTGTCGGCGTCCAAGGCATCAAGGCTAGAACTAAAGCACAAAGCCAGCAAGTAAGTAAAGAAGCAAGGAAGGACACAGAGCGTCATTGGTTTCTACTTCTCTGAATCCAGATTCTTTCACTGGGGCGGGGGGGGTGCAATAGGTATTCATTTAATTTCCAACTAGTATTTAATTAGCCTTTTTCTCCTCCCTCCAAATCTCTTTTTAAACAAAATTTTATGTTACCCCGAATGAACATTCCTACCTAGCAAAAGCCATTTCTTTCTTTCATTTTCTTTCTTTCTTTCTTTTTTTTTTTTTTTTTTTTTTTTGAGACAGTTTTGTTCTTGTTGCCTAGGCTGGAGTGCAGTGACACAATCTTGGTTCACTACAACCTCTGTCTCCCAGGCTCAAACAATGCTCCCACCTCAGCCTTCAGAGTAGCTGGGACTACAGGCGTGCGCCACCACGCCCGGCCAATTTTTGTGATTTTTGTGTTTTTTGCCATGTTGCCCAGGCTGGTCTCAAACTCCTGGGCTCAATGGATCCACCCACCTCAGTCTCCCAAAGTGCTGGGATTGCTGGAGTGAGCCACCACGACTGGGGCAAAAGACATTTCAAATGCCTGAAGAAACAAAAGCTGGTTTGAGTTAGTACTAACCTCACCACTTCTGTTTTGTAAATATAATTATTGATATCGCAAGTCCCAAATGGTAACCCATCAAATATTTTAAATGCTGGTGGAAACAGAGTCACTGGGCTGTTTGCAGGGAAGCTTCTGGGGGGGATTTGCATGTGACTAAGCTGCAGAAGTGTCATTCTCTCCCCTGTCCCTCAGCTGGGAAGCTCGGGAGGGCAGAGGCACACCAAGGAGAGATGTGTGAAGGTCCCACCCATCCGCCCCAGGACCATGTCAAGACACAGTTCAGAAGTGAGTCGTGCAATGTCCCAAACATGTCATACTAAATGATCATTTTTAGAGGTTAAAAAAAGATGATTCTGAGGCTGGGCGCAGTGGCTCACGCCTGTAATCCCAACACTTTGGGAGGCCAAGGTGGGCGGATCATGAGGTCAGAGATCGAGACCATCCTGGCTAACACGGTGAAACTACATCTCTACTAAAAATACAAAAAATTAGCCGGCTGTTGTGGCAGGCACCTGTAATCCCAGCTACTTGGGATGCTAAGGCAGGAAAATGGCGTGAACCCAGGAGGCAGAGCTTGCAGTGAGCCAAGATCACACCACTGCACTCCAGCCTGGGCAAAAGAGCAAGACTCCGTCTCAAAAAAAAAAAAAAAAAAAAAAAATGATTCCTTTGAAAACTCTACCTTAGAACCAGGTAGTAATGCTGCTTGACAACAACTTTTTTCCTCATTTAACTTTAATAAACCATGAAATTAAAAGGAAAGAATTTGACCCTCTACATCCCAGGTCTATTCCATAACATTACGTTTTAAACGACTCAAACTTGGAGGCCAACAGCTTTCCTGGGTGCATGTTAATGCACGAAGCATTTCAAATGTGTGTTTTGTGGTTTTTTTTTTTTTTTTTGGTTGTTACAGTTCTGGAGTTATAATTTTAATAACAAAACAATGAAACTGTCTTGATTTTGAAATACAAGAACCAGAAAATGAAACTTTGAATTAACCTGTTTAGGTTATTTAAAAAAAAAAAAAAACATAGGCTTTTTTTTTTATTTTGAAATACAAGAACCAGAAAATGAAACTTTGAATTAACCTGTTTAGGTTATTTAAAAAAAAATAGGCTATTTAATGGACACAGTAAGTTAACTGAATACATGGTATGAGTCCTGGTCTTATTCTACTATGCCTCTAATGCAAACACAGATTAGTTTTTGAACTAATCTAATAATTACAGGTATTTCAAGTTGCTACGTGGTTTCCTAGTACAACAATCTGAGACGGAAGGAGATTTCAAGGCGGGCTGAAGCTTGCCCATGTCTTGTACCTCAGCACTTGTCTTTCAACTTGTGATCTCTGTACTAGTGGAAAATAGTTCTTCAAATGATTGGCAGCCCGCAATAATATCCGATTTTAACACAAGCCTTTCCAGTTACAGACAGCATTTCATCATCACTATGAATACATCCTAGAAGTATCAGTATTTTATTTTGCATACTATAAAACATTGTTTCTATTCATTCAAATGGGGCTACTACTTTTATTTAAGCTATTAACCTAAGATATTGGTGGCACAGGCAATATTCTTCAGGATAACCTCTAGGTTCTTGTTTTACGATATTATTTTTCTAATTCCCAGTAGTGGGATAAGAAATCAATTCATTAGGTTGTAACTAGAGTTTTTTAAAAAATATATAGAATAGAAAATATCAGAATATGTTGCACAAATCATTTTATAAGACTTCACTTAAATTTTATGGGAGATAGGGGACGTTCATGGTGTGACATGCATTTCTTGCTCTGTAGTTTTTTTAAAAGGTTTGAAAAATACAAGCTTTAGAATGAAACAAACACTTGTCTGCTGCTTAATTTTTTGCTGTATAGTATTTTTAAATTAATGTTTTTATTACTTATCTTCCCTTTGTGGCTTCTCAAAACAGTTATTACATTTAAATAATATAACATAATGGTTACATAGTATACATATTTTAGTTTCACCAAAATATTCTTTTAAACCCTAGAAAACTTAGGACTCAGGTCCCAGTCAGCTATGTCCTTATATTAACTCCAGTTTTTACTGTGTGCCCCCAAATTTCTCCTTCATTAGAGGTTTCCAGCCTCTAGGGCTATTATCTGCTTATTAACAAATTAAGTGCATTTCACTTTGAGTTTGTTATCAACTGTGCTTCCTACCATGACATCCACTGAAGGAAGGGACCCACAGCCACCCCAGGGCTTTCCAGGGATTGCGACTTCTCTCCCTTCATTCCTACATTTTTCAGAGGAGAGGGAGGGCAAAGGAGATGAAGTCAGCTCGTGGAACCAGCCAGAAAGCTTTTCTGTAGAATGGCTTCTCCTTCCTCTCCTGGCTTCCTCCCTTTCCCCTGAGCAGTGACATCTTCACAGAAGCTTCTAATTACCTGTACTCAAAACAGATATTTTGTCTAAATTATATTCTACAGAGGAAAAATTCTATCTGTAGCAGTGAAATGTTAAACTTTCCAAGACAAGACCATGATCAGAAAGTATAATTTCGATACTCTGCAAGTATCTGCATAAGTATCAATAAAACAGACAGACTATTTTGTGTCTTTTCCATGCTATATTCCTAGAAGACTTCTAAAGAACTTATTTATCTCTTGAGATCTGGGGGCTCACACACCTGACAGACTTTTTTTTTTTTTTTTTTTAAAGACAGAGTCTCACTCCGTCCCCCAGGCTGGAGTGCAGTAGTGCCATCTCTGCTCACTGAAATCTGTGCCTCCCGGATTCAGGCAATGAGCCTGCCTCAGCCCCTCCCCTGAGTAGATGGGATTAGAGATGTGTGCCACCATGCCCAGCTAATTTTTGTATTTTTACTAGAGCGGGAGTTTCACCGTGTTGGCCGCCTAGGCTGGTCTCAAACTCCTGACCTCAGGTGATCCACCTGCCTCGGCCTCCCAAAGTACGGGGATTGCAGGTGTGAGCCACCATACCTGGCCACTTGACAGATCTTAAAGATCCACTAGAATGCATTTATCACACATAGCTCAATTTATTTTTGCAAAACTGTATAGAATCTTGTGTGGACTGGCAGTCTCTTGTCCCAAGCAGACGTGTGGACAGTTCAAATTAGCCTATCACTTCAAATTATAGTAGTGACTACCCAGCATCTACAAAACCATAATTCACAAAGTATAAATCTAAAGCAAGTCTTTTATTATTTACACATCACACATAACCCTTGGTACCAATATGTGCTAAAGTTTTACAACCTCAAATTGCATGTTGTGGTGTATCTCAGTGATGGACACCTACTGATTGCTGGTTCCTCTACCTTTCTCTCCCCTCTATATTAACTCCCTGCTGAATACTCATTCACCTATGTGCATGTTCATTCACAGAGAAATATTTATATACATAGTCACATATGTGTGTGCATTTTATGTTCACTTTGATTCATTTTATACGTGAAAATGAACATATAATCACATGGGTAGGATATGGGGGAAAAAAAAGCTACTCCCTAAGGAAAGTGTGATCAACAGGATAAAATGAAATTAGTGGAAATTGGCCTGTTCCCAAAAGAAAATAGACAATCAGATAGACAGATACAGATATACAGATATGGACACACATGTGTGCACACACACTAATATATGTAATCATATCAGATGCAATGAAACTATCATTTCAATGAGTTTTTATATATGCAAGAAAATATAAGGTAACTGAAAGTAAAATAAATATAAGATAAATTTTATGTTAAAATATAAAATACAAACATATGTTAAATAAAACAAACACTCATGAGCCCACCCACCTTGAAACTTGGATACTGGCCATCTACCATGGAAACTCTGTTATGATTCATTCCATTCCCATTTCCCTATTTCCTTCCCTAGATGTAACAACTATTTTGAATTTAGGAATTTTTTCCCCTTCATTATTTTGTTTTTCTTTTTCTCTCTTTTTTTTTTTTTTTTCTTCTTTTTGAGACAGGTCTCACTCTGTCACCCAGGTTGGAGTTCAGTGGTGCCATCTTGGCTCACTGCAACTTCTGCCTCCCAGGTTCAAGCGATCCTCCCACCCCAACCTGCCAAGTATCAGGACCACATGTGCGTGCCACCATGCCCAGATAATTTTTGTATTTTTGGTAGAGATGGGGTTTTACCATGTTGCCCATGCTGGTCTTGAGCTCCTGAGTTCAAGCATTCTGCCTGCCTTGGCCTCCCAAAGTGCTGGAATTACAGGCGTGAGCCACCACGCCAGGCCTCTTGTTTTTCTTTATAGCTTATGCACATATGTAGGTGCCCTATAATAATATATTTTTTAATTTGCATTCTATAAAAATGAAATCTAACAAGTATTTTGGGGCTTTTTTTGTTCCTTCATGCTTCTAAGGTCTATGTTATTATGCATGCAGATGTAATTGTAGCTAATTCATTTTCATTACTGTACAGTATTCTATTGTGTAACTATATATAAGTTATTTATTCCACATTTGGGTTATTTCCTGCTGCTATAATAATACTCCATATAGGTCTCCTAGTACACGAGAGGAAAATGCATATTTGACTTTACAAGATAATGTCAAATTATTTTCCCAAGTTACACAATTTTCTCTCCTATCATCTTTATGCAGGAATTTCCATGTTATGCATTCTCACCAAAACATGGGATTGTTAGATTTTTTAATTTTTGCCAGTCAAGTGAGTATAAACTGGTATCTCATCGTGGTTTTCCTTTATCATATTTTAGTCAGTTTTCTTAAGTGTCTTACTTTCAAATCAGTGAATATAGGAACCTAAAAGGGGACATTTTGATGGGCAAATAAAAGTGGTAGAGACAATAAAAAGTTTAAAACTAGAATTTTTGAAGTCTACCTATAAGGTTCTTTGATGTTCTACAGTTTTCCTCTACAATATAGACTCTTACCTTCTTTTCTTTAGATGACTTTGTTCCTTTTCAAATCCATGCCAACCAAAAGAAAGATTCAAGTTGGAAGCACACGAACTTGATGGTGACATGAAGGACTGCTGGGCTTCAGTGTGTGCTGTCCCTTCGACATTTTCACTAAGTGGGTACACACTGGGACTGGTTTCTGTAGGAAGGGTGTGTTTGCTGCTCTGAGGCCACAGAGTGCAACCTCTGGATTCAGGGCTGGTAGTGGCAGTGATTCCCTCTATATTAATATAGCTGATATCCAAATCACCAACCTGGAAGTTGAAAGAAAAACATTTCCTGAGTAAAAGCAGGTAAGATTGGCCTAGCTAAGAATTAATAAAATTTTCCCAATTTAAAAACTTCTGGCCAGGCGTGGTAGGAGGCCGAGGCTGGCAGATCACTTGAGGTCAGGAGTTCAAGACTAGCCTGGCCAACATGGTGAAACCCCATCTCTACTAAAAATACAAAAATTAGCCAGGGTGTGGTGGCGGGCGCCTGTAATCCCAGCTACTCAGAGACTGAAGCAGGAGAATGGCCTGAATGGGAGGCAGACGTTGCAATGAGTAGCGATTGCGCCAGTGCACTCTAGCCTGGGTTACAGAGTGAGACTCTTGTTTTATGTAAACAGAGAATTATTTTATATGTTTTTGTTCACATGGCAGCTATCCTATAATTCACATAAAGGAAGACCAACTGAGTATTTTATAAGGTTGTTCCTTTATTACAAAACCAGAAGCTGATTATGCCTCTAACATTTTATGAACCACTGACTCAAAATGAGGGGGAAATGTTTTAAATACTTGAGGAGAAAACTAAAGACTATACAGCTTCATTCAAAAAGTAGCTCATAGGAATCTGGGTACCAAGGTAATAGTGGTCACATA
Source organism: Homo sapiens (assembly GCF_000001405.40). Classification (NCBI taxonomy): domain Eukaryota; kingdom Metazoa; phylum Chordata; class Mammalia; order Primates; family Hominidae; genus Homo; species Homo sapiens. Next base: position 73,839,867 of record NC_000005.10, on the reverse strand, counting down.
AAGCTGAGTCTCACAAAAAGCAACACCAAACAAAAAGAACAAATAAAGCTACATAAAGTGCACGTACATAGCATCATTAGAAGAAAGAAAATGCCCAAATTTCAAATTACCTGTAAATAATAAAATCAACAGCAAATCCAGCAGGTAAGGCCTCGTGCTCCTGCTATAAGACTCTGCGGAGGGTAAGGGGAGTCGGGAAACTCTGAATGGCAGAGAAAGGACGGAACTTCTGGAGGGCCTAAGACTTACTTAAAAATCCTCCCCAGAAAGAGAAAGCTCAACCCACATGCATGAAAAAGAGTCCTAGCTGATGAAAGCACTTGCTCTAAGAAAGGCGTACTTTTAAGCACTCATGATTTGAGGTGGCGGTCATCAAAAGGCATCAAGTCTGGAGTGAGGACAGTAAAAATGAAGACAGTAACACCATTTAGAGATAGAGCAGTGAAGGGGAAAAAGAAGCAAAAGGGGAAATGTTAGAATCCTAAATCATCGAGCATCATCATAATTTATTAAAGCAAAAACCATTAATGAATGCTTAATTAATGGGTGAAAGTCTAATGAGCAACAGGATATTTACAAGGGCTTAAAATATCTCCTGACATGGTACTTAATAATTTTTTAAAAACAGTAATTTTACTGAAAAAGGAACTTGGCAGATGAAAGATATTAATAAAATCACCAGTAATGGGACAGATTGATGTCCTATGCCTTCTGATACAACTCACTGAGAAGCACCCATCATCACTTCCGTAGTATTCCTGCCAAACATGCCTAACCTGAATCCAATTATGAGGAAATATCAGATAAACCAAAACTGAAAGACACTACACTCTTAGCAAAACACAAGAACAAAAATACTGGTCTGTATTCTTTTAAAATATCAGTGCCATAAAACACAAAGACTGAGGAACTGTCCCAGATTAAAGGAGACTACAGAGACACAACAACTATATGCAACACATGTAATGGAATTTTCTTTTGCCACAGGGAACATTATTGGGACAACTTGCTAAAATTGAACAAGGTCTGGAGATAGCTAATAGCATTGTATCGATGATAATTTTATGATTTTGGTAACTGTACTGTGCTTACGTAAGAAACTATCCATGTTTTTAGGAAAATACACCATGAAAGATTAAGAGGTAAAGGAACACCATATTTTTCATTTATTCTTACATGGTTAAGAAACATTTATAGACATAATTTAACTATTTGCATGCACACATAACCACCCACTCAGGGAATGACAATGTAAAATGTAGTAAAATATTACCATTTGAGGAATTTGAGTAAAGGGTATACAGGGATTCTCTGTACTGAAATTATGAAACAAATGTGTTTTTCTAAGTAGTTTATATGACAGAAATTTTCAAAGTAACTTTCATCATGTGAATTTTCTCAACAGGAAGGTTGATAACCTTGAAAATTAATGGGAAACATTAATATAAGCTAGTAATGTTTTTAGGTTTCCTTGCCAGGTTGAGGAAGATAAAGAAAATTAGATAAGATTATTTTCAGATATTGCCAGAAAGCATTTTAAATATGCAGAATTTGTATTCCTTACATTGTCCTTGCTATTCAAATAGATATAGGGGCTATAAAAAAAAAAGTACTATGCTAATATAATGGACTTTGTGATTTTGTTGCAGATTTAGTTTTATTTCTCAGTTTACAATGCACAACTTGGCAATCTGCTATGTTGCAGTTTGTTGAATTAACTTGTTTGAGTTCTCTCTAAATGCATGCTTCACTTTTTTTTCTTTTTGGCTTCACATCATTAAAGCAATACTTCTTTCACCCAGAATATTCCAGAATAAAAATTATATCTTGGCCGGGTGTAGTGGCTCATGCCTGTAATCCCAGTACTTGGGAGGCCAAGGTGGGCAGATCATTTGAGGCCAAGATTTCAAGACCAGCCTGGCCAACATGGCGAAACTGTCTCTTCTAAAAATACCAAAATTAGCCGGGTGTCATGGTGCACACCTGTAATCCCAGCTACTCTGGAGGCTAAGGCACAAGAATTGCTTGAGCCTGGGGGGTGGAGATTGCAGTGAGCCAAGATGGCACCATTGCACTCCCACCTGGATGACAGAGGAAGACTCTGTCTCAAAAAAAAAAAAAACAAAACGAAAGAAAGAAAGGAAGGAAGGAAGGAAGAAAGAAAGAAAGAGAACGAAAGAAAATTATATCCTAACCTTTTATTTACCAAATCTTTGGTTTGGTAAATTTTGCATTTTTAATGTATCTGAGAACATATAAAAGCATAATATATATAGTTTTCCCCACATAATATTGAGTAATTTACAATTTTAGTTACTTGAGGTAAATGGAAATACTATAGTTACAGTATTCACTAAGGCTCAGAACAAAAAAAATAAGGGCTCAAGAAGTATTTTATTTAAACAGCTAAGAAAATATGGCAGCAGAATAAATCTATTAAAATCAAAACATGACAAAAATATATGCACTGAAAACTATAAAACATAAATGAAAGAAATTGAAGCAACACAGATAAATGGAAAGATATCCTATGTTCATGGATTAGAAGAATTCATATGAAAGATATCCTGTGTTCATGGATTGGAAGAACTCATGTTGTCAAAATATCCATACTACCCAAAGTGAACTACAGATTCTATTTAATCTCTATCAAAATTATAATGGCAATTTTTCACAGAAATAGAAAAAAAAATCCTGAAATTTGAATGGAATCCCAAAAGACCCAGAAGAGCTCAAGCAATCTTTAGCAAGAAGAACAAAGTCAGAAGCATCACACTGCCTAACTTAAAATTATATTACAAAGATATGGTAATCAAAACATTATGGTACTGACATAAAAACAGACACATGGGCACATGGAACAGAATAGAAAGTCCAGAAATAAACCCACACATAAATACAGTCAATTAATCTTCAACAAATGTGCTAAAAATACACAACAGAGAAAAGACAGATCCTTCAATAATGATACTAGGAAAACTGGATAGCTACATGCAAAAAAAATGAAACTGGATCCCTATCTTACCACATATACAAATATCAACTCAAAATGCAATAAAGGCTTTAACATAAAACCTGAGACCATAAAACTCCTAGGAGGAAGCACAGAGGAAAAACTCCTTGACATTGGTCTTGGCAATTATTTTTTGGATGTGACACCAAAAGCACAAGCAAGAAAAGCAAAATAAATAAGTGTGACTACACCAAACCAAAAAATCTCTGCACAGCAAAGGAAACAGCAAAATAAAACAGCAACTTATAGAATTGGAGAAGATATTTACAAACCATGCATCTGATACGGAGTTAATACCCAAAATATGTAAGGAACTCACGCAACTCAATAGCAAAAACAAACAAACAAACAAACCCACAAATAACCAGATTTAAAAATAAAGTACCTAAATAGACATTTTCCCAAAAAATGACACACACAAATGGCCAATAGGTATATGCAAAAGTGCTCAACGTCACTAATCATCAGAAAAATGAACAAAACTACAATGAGATACCACCTCACACCTGTTAGAATGGCTATTACCAAAAAGACAAAAAAAAAAAAAAAAAGCTGACAAGGATGTGGAGAAAGGGGAATTCTTATACACTGTTGGGAATGTAAATCAGCACAGCCACAGTGGAAAACAGTATGAAAGTTCCTAAAAAAATTTAAAATACAACTACCATATGATCCAGCAATCCCACCACTGAGTATATATCCAAAGGAAACAGAATCACTATCCCAAAGAGATGTCTGCACTCCCATGTTCACTGCAGCACTATTCACAGTAGCCAAGAGATGGAATCAACCTAAGTGTCCAACAACAGATGAATAAAGAAAATGTGGCACATATGATTTTCTGAAAATATAGGGATAAAAACAGTCTTTTTTTCTATTCTCTTACTCAACAATCAACACAGAACTCTTCTGTGACTAAATGTGTGGGGTTTTCCCCCGACATGCAGCAAGGAAGCAATCCACCACTGAATTTCCTCTAATTCAGTTCAATTCAATTCTGGCACTATCGACCTGGAGATGGAGTCTGGTCCCACAGGGCTCAGTCCCACAAGACTCCCCACTACTTCCAATGACAACCACAAGCCCCAGATTGTTTTATCAACCAGCTATAAAATGGGGTTCCCACAGCCCCTCCTCAGGTTCAATCAATTTGCTAGAGCAGCTCACAGAACTCAGGGAAACACTTACATTTCCTGGTTTATTATAGTGAATATTACAAAAGATACAGAGAACAGTCAGATGGAAGAGATGCTTAGGGCAAGGAACTCCGGAAGGGGCACAGAGTTTCCACACCCTCCACAGGTGCACCACCCTCCAGGAACCCCCATGTATTCAGCTATCCAGAATCTCTTGAACCCAGTCCTTTTGGGTTTTTTTTTTTTTTTGAGACAGAGTCTTGCTCTGTCACCCAGGCTGGAGTGCAGTGGCACAATCTCGGCTCACTGCAAGCTCCGCCTCCCGGGTTCACGCCATTCTCCTGCCTCAGCCTCCCGAGTAGCTGGGACTACAGGCACCCGCCACCACGCCCTGCTAATTTTTTGTATTTTTAGTAGAGACAGGTTTCACCATGTTAGCCAGGATGGTCTCAATCTCCTAACCTCGTGATCCGCCCGTCTCGGCCTCCCAAAGTGCTGGGATTACAGGCGTGAGCCACCGTGCCCGGCCCGTCCTTTTGGGTTTTTATGGAAGCTTCATTATGCAGGCATGATTGGTTAAATTATTAGTAATTAGTGATCAATTTAACCTTCAGCCCCTCCTCCTTCCGTGGATGCTGGTAGGTGGAGCTGAAAATCCCAATCCTGTAACCCTGCCTTGGCCTTTCCGGTGACCAGCCCACATCCTGAAACTACCTAGGGGCTGCCAGCCACCAGTCATCTCACTAGCATACAAAAGACTATCACTTTGGAGACTCCAAGGATAAGTACAGTCATTCCTCACTTAAGTATGTAGATATGTTCTGAGAAATGCATCCTTAGTTTATCTTGCTATTGTGCAACCATCATAGAGTGTACTAACACAAACCTGCTAGTATAGCCTTCTACACACCTAGGCTATATGGTATAGCCTATTTCTCCTAAGCTACAAATCTATACAGCATGTTACTATACAGAATACTGTAGGCAACTGGGACACAATGGTAAGTACTTATATATCTAAATATAGAAAAAGTACAGTAAAAATATGGTATTATAATCTTATGGGATCACCTTTGCATATGGATTCCACCATTGACTGAAATGTGACAGATTCCATATACCTGCACACACAAACACACACATGCACACACACACACACACACACACACACACACAGGAATATTATTCAGCCCTAGAAAAGAAAAAAAATCCTGCCATTTGTGACAACATGGATGAATCTGGAAGACATTATGCTAAGTAAAATAAGCCAAACACAGAAAAACAAATACTGCATGATCTGACTTATATGTGGAATGTAAAAATGTCAAACTCATAGAAACAGTGAGTAGAAGAGTGCTTACTAGGGGTTGGAGGGTGGGGGAAATGGTGAAGTGTTAGTCGAAGGGTACAAACTTTCAGTTACACAATGAATAAGTTCTTGAGACCTAATGTACAACATGGTGACTATAGTTAATAATGCACTTTGTACTTGAAATTTGCTGTAGATCTTAAGTATTCTCACTACAAAAATAAATATGTGAGATGATATATGTGCTTAATTAGCTTGATTGTGGTAATTATCTCATAATATGTACATGTATCAAAACATTACATTGTATTCTTTAAATATATATAATTTCTATTTGTTCATTATACCTTAATAAAGCTGGAAAAAAATAAATAAATACTAGAACATGGCTAGAACACACCAAGTCCAATTACCCTGTGGTATGGTTTGGCACTGTGTCCCCATCCAAATCTCACTTTGAATTATAATAATTCCCATGTGTCAAGGGCAGGACCAGGTGGAGATAATTGAATCATGGGGGGTGGTTTTCCCCATGCTGTTCTCATGACAGTGAGTTCTCACGAGATTTGATGGTTTTATAAGGGGCTTCCCTCTTCACTCAGCACTCATTTTCTCTCCTGCTGCCCTGTGAAGAGGTATCTTCCGCCATTATTTTAAGTTTCCTGAGGCCTCCTCAGCCATGCAGAAGTGTGAGTCAATTAAACCTCTTTTCTTTAGAAATTACCCAGTCTCAGGTATTTCTTCATAGCAGTGTGGGAAGGGACTAACACATCCTGTGTCTTGAAAATCTCCTCAGAACTCCCACTGTGTCCTACACTCCATGACCCATTCTAGATTTCTATAACTAGGACTGACCTTCAGTTAGTTTATACCAAAACAACTATACCAGTTATTTACAGCTGAAGTCCATTCTGATTTATTGGTTTCTCTGTCATTATGACTACCATCCCAATCTGTGCTGCATTTGATATAACAGTGCTTTGTAACACAAAAGGAAAATGCAGAGATGTGCTACTGAAGGGCTGAAATTGAGCTCTAGATGGAAAAAAAAAAAGTTTAGATCACAGAATATATCTATAAATAGGGTAAAATACATGCATACTAACAACATAAAAGGGTTAAATGTCTTACTGCTCAGTGAGTAGATAGGGTGGATCTTATATAGGGATTAAGTTTTAAAGTCAGTTTATAAGGCAGACTTTGTGTCATCAAAACTACCCTTGAAAATCCCTTAAATCCTCCATATATTAGTGTGTAGAAATCTTCAGATCTATAATTTTTATAAATACTAAAATTTGAAGATCACTGAGCTAGAGAAAAGAACAAAAGACAAGAAGATGCCAGCACATTCAAACCATCTGCTTCTGTGAGATTTAACTCAAAAGTCTCTATCAGGGACTGGGTGGAAAGTTCCAAAGGATTCCAGCTTCTTTATAATATGATACCATTCTGTATTAATATGAAAGCTCTACAATCTTACTACATGTTAATAGATGCGTTGTATCGATTAAGCAAGTAATTTATGTGACAGTTTCCTATGGTGCTGGGACCAAGCACCTGCTCATTACATTTGCTGGATTTGAATACAAATATTGCATAATCAGGTCATATACATACTGTTTTTTGAAAAGCTGTAGAGGAGACATTGGTTGCACAGTTGTCATTTCCTACTTGGGCCCCGAAGAAGAGCTCTCACACTCTTCCCATTTGGCAGTATCTCAAGACCCCTCCCTGACAGTGCCTCTGGGTTGAGTAAGGTGTCTTGTGTTCTGAAGTAAGCACCTAAGTTAAATGCTTAAATGCTCATACAATGAGACCCCACAACAGCATCCTCTTTGCTGCTCTTAGGCTAAAATTGTCAAAGGAACACAACAATGCTGAATCTATTTCTTACAAACCCAGGTTTTGGAGAGAGGTAGAAATCATCCTGTAATGTCAGTTGGGCCTTACCTGATCAATCACCATACAGTTAGCGTAGACTTCATCACCTCCATTCAGCATGTCTGAAAGCCGGCCTGCAGCAAGCAATGTCGAGGGCGGCTTGGATTTTTTTAGGATATCGAAGGAGCGATCTAGAGTACAAAAATGAAAACAGGGCAAATAAAGGAGAAGGGGCTTATTTTACAGTCAAGCTTTACCTTCTTAGACCATAAGAAAAAAAGTCAAGTGCATTTTTTAAGAGGGCTTTTGGCTAGATTTTAAGATCTACATGCAAGTAATTTTTCATCTATATCCAAACCTCAGCTATCTAGAATTTTTACGTAGGATGAAAAGTTCTAGATAGATAAATATTTGCCCACTTCAAGCGTTATTTTCCCCATCATTAGAGGCCTTTGTAAAATCAATTAAATCTTTGCTTTTGATTTCTACTATATTTTTAAATTAAACTTCATTTCCCTTTATTAGTAACTAAACTTCAGGCCGGACATGGTGTCTCACGCCTGTAATCCCAGCACTTTGGGAAGCCAAGGCGGGCAGATCACCTGAGGTTGGGAGCTCGAGACCAGCCTGACCAACATGGAGAAACCCCATCTCTACTAAAAATACAAAATTAGCTGGGCATGGCGGCGCATGCCTGTAATCCCAGCTACTCAGGAGGCTGACAAAGGAGAAGCACTTGAACCTGGGAGGTGGACGTTGCGGTGAGCCGAGACCGTGCCATTGCACTCCAGACTAGGCAACAAGAGTGAAACTCCGTCTCAAAACAAACAAACAAAAACTATACATTTCCCTTTATTGATAACTAAACTTAATTTCCCTTTATTAATAACTTAGAAGTATTAGTGACTGTACTGTGATCCTCAGTTTCCACTGACATGCTCAGATTCAATGACCCTCTATCAAAGGACCCAAGAGAGTACACAGCCTAGCAGTTCTGGCTCGGTACTGCTTGCTAACATGCAGAATCTCACACGTGGAGAATTTTACTTCTATTTTGGTTACGGAAATGTTTATGCTTGCTTTCATGTCTCAGCTTTGTTCCAAATAGATGAGGTTGCCTAAAATTGAGTCCCAGAGAGTTAAGCTGTTACTGTGTTTGTAGAGAATGAAGAGTCAAAGGCAATAAAACACATTCGAGCTAGAACGCCTTGTGTCTTGTGACCTTGGCTAGTTTACTAGCCCTCTAGATATCTTCACAAAGTTTCCTCATCCATAAAAGCAGATTACTATTATGCTTTCCTCATAGTGTGGTTATGAGGATTAAGTGCGTTCAGACATGTAAAGACTTGACACATGCCTGGTAAAAAGTGCTCAATAAATATTATTGGTCAGAATTACTATTAAATTTGTAATTATTATGGATAGCAATTTTTAACCATGTTCAGTGTGAAGTGCAAGGTTATTAATACTAATCATAGTGTGTTATGGTAATAACAGATTTTCAGTATGTTTAAATGACTTTCACAGGGCAGAGTCAATGTTATACCTATAGTAAATGCCATCCTCACTAACATCCCCGTAAATTTTCTTGAATAGGTACATAGGAATAGTACTGCTGTTAGTCCATTAGAAATGTCACATGTCCCACTGCCTGTCTTATCTATGTCATAACATAAAACCTGATAAGCCCATGGGGGTGAATCAGGAAATAAAAAAAGATTAATAACTGTTGGGCTGAAGTACCATGAGCAAAAAAAAAATCCATTCTTTCTTGGAAGGTAATGAGGACATCATAAAAGTTCCAAAGTTGTATGAATTGTAGTTTCACAAGTCAAATGGCCCTGGCTTCAGATTCTGCTTCTAAATCTATCTCTTCTCCACACAGAACACTGAAGTGTGAGATTCATTAAGCTTCTGGAGGAAACATACGATGTTAAAGAAAAACATTTTCTTTTTTTTTTTTTTTTTCTTTTTTTGAGATGGAGTTTCGCTCTGTCACCAGGCTGGAGTGCAGTGGCGCAATCTCGGCTCACTGCAAGCTCCACCTCCCAGGTTCACGCCATTCTCCTGCCTCAGCCTCCTAAGTTGCTAGGACTACAGGTGCCCGCCACCACACCCAGTTAATTTTTTGTATTTTTCAGTAGAGACGGGGTTTCACCGTGTTAGCCAGGATGGTCTCGACCTTCTGACCTCGTGATCCAGCCGCCTCGGCCTCCCAAAGTGCTGGGATTACAGGCATGAGCCACCACGCCCGGCCAGTCTACATTGTCTTAACTGCAATTCTGAAATCCAGAAAGCTCTGAAAATCAGAATTTTCCCCATAAGTTTGGTTCAAAAACATATTCTGTGGCACAATCTGACCTGAGCCCACATTGGACCATGCATATTCTTTACTTGCTCTACTTGGTGTCAATGTCATACATTTTGCTGCAGAAATATTAATACACTTGATGATAGCATTGCCCCAGTGTCTCCTATGGGAGTCATATCATATCAGTATGAACACCAGGCCAAAAAGATCTGAAAATTCGGAATTCCAAAACAAATCTGGTCCCAAGAATTTCAAAGAAGAGATTGTGGGTCTCTACAAAATCAGCCATATTAGATATTAGAACAACACTTCCCAAGCTTTTCTCATTCTTCTACCAAATTCACAATTTTGCCATATTTACATATCACCTATATTGTTTCATGGATATATTCACCTATATTCTTTAGTACCCATCTTTAAATGGACTCGCCTTTTTTCTTTAAATAAAATTAATTTAAAAAATACCTAAGATTAAGAAAAATCTTATCCCCACTGTACATAGAAAGCCAATATTATTCCTGTCAAAAGTAGAAGGGAAGGCCAGGCGCGGTGGCTCACGCCTGTAATCTCAGCACTTTGGGAGGCTGAGGTAGGCAGATCACAAGGTCAGGAGATCGAGACCATCCTGGCTAACATGATGAAACCCTGTCTCTACTAAAAATTATAAAAAATTAGCCGGGCATGGTGGCACACGCCTGTAGTCCCAGCTACTCGGAAGGCTGAGGCAGGAGAATTGCTTGAACCCAGAGATGGAGGTTGCAGTGAGCCGAGATTGCGCCACTGCACTCCAGCCTTGGCGACAGAGTGAGATTCCATCTCAAAAAAAAGAAGAAGGGAATTATATGTACTGAAATCATGCAAACAAAACAATGAAATTAGATTCTGACTCTTTGTTGCAAAGGGAGATTCTGAAGGATTCAAGAAATGTTAAAGATGCAAGGGTACCACACTGAGACTTTCTCCTTCAATCAACAGAATGATTGAAAGAAAATACCTGCATGACTCTATGATTCAATGTCATCTTTGTGTTTGTGGACATCTCCAAGATGGACTATTCCTAGAAGAATTCACCATATACTTTCAAAAAGTGGCCTATGCCAGGTACGGTGGCTCACACACCTGTAATCCCAGCAATTTGTGAAACTGAGGCAGGTGAATCACTTGAGCCCAGGAGTTCAAGACCAGCCTGGGCAACATGACTAAACCCTGTCTCCACTAAAAATACAAAAATCAGATGGGTGTGGTGGTGCACACCTGTAGTCCCAGCTACTCAGGAAGCTGAAGTGAGAGGATTGCTTGAGCCTGGGAGGTGGAGGCTGCAGTGAGCTGTGATAGCGCCACTACACTCCAGCCTGGACGACAGAATAAGTAACACCCTGTCTCAAAGAAGAAAAAGGAAAAAGGAAAAGAAGGAAAGGAAGGAAGAAAGGAAAGGAAGGAAAGGAAGGAAGGACAGAAAGAGAGGAAGAGAGAAAGAAAGAGAAAGACAGAGAGAAAGAAAGAGAAAGAGACAGAGAGAAAGAAAGAGAAAGAGAAAGAAAGGAAAAGGAAAGGAAAGGAAAAAGGAAAGGAAAGGAGAAACAAAAGGAAAAAGGAAAAAAGAAAGGAAAGGAGAAAGGAAAAAGGAAAGGAAAGGAAGAAAAGGTGGCTTAGCCCATGTCATCTTCCTGTCACTCGGGTAATGGCTCCACCGAGACAGTAAGTCTTGTGAAGGACATAGGTGTGCAAGAGCATAATCCAGCATAATCTCCTCTCTACTTCTGTCACCTAGAACCTGACATGTAGATTTAATCACTTGCTGCAATCATTAATAACATTGGCACAAACATCCTTTTGAGTATTTTTCTGAGGCATACATAGCCTCTGCTTGTCAAAGGATGCCTCAAGACAATAGGATCTAGAAGTGAACACAGACTCACAAACAAGAAAATGATGCAGACTAACAGGACCACCACTCCTTTATTAACTTCAACACTAGCCACTGCAAATAATGGGCTTAAAACCAGCAGAAGACTGATCGTGAAAGGAAAATAAGCCTTAAAGGACACTTTCAAGTAAACATCAGCTACGTATATTGAAGTGGCTAATTGCTCTACCATGTTTCAGCCTATTCAAAGGAAAAGCTATAATAGTTTCATTTTTTTAAGTGTTACAGCCCTTTTCAAATTTGTCTAGCAGGCTTTTTGGGTTAGGTCAGAAAGTCCCCAAAAATAGTTTCTTTTTTTAAAGGTATCTTTTCAATATTTTCAAGAAATATGATTTTATCACTTCTATATGTAACTACTCCAGTAACAAATTAAGTGAAAAAGTTATTGACCCCAAAAATGGACTGCTTTTTCAATGAGCATATAGAAATAATTTGCAATAAGAACCAGCTACTTGTTTTAAATTAATGCTGTCTTATAGGAAGTTTTTCTTAGCTAAAAATTAACATTATAGTTTTGTTGATAATTTTTAATATTTGGTAAGCATATATTTCAAAGACAATATAAAAGTAGCCAAAGCTCAACTCCCATTTTAGAAAAATGGCTGCAGATTTTAAATTAGTGAAAAACACTCGTGTGTTGCAGTGGTTAAAAGCATGAGCCCTGAACTGCCTGGGTTCAAGTCTCTACTCCACCACCTATTAGCTGTGTGACTGGGGCAAGTTACTTAAGCTCTCTGTGCTTGCATTTCCTGATCTGTAAAATAAGGCAATAATATATCCATCTCATAGAATTATTCTGAAAATTAAATGAGTTAATATTTTAAGTGATTAGAGCAGACTCTGACATAGTAAGCACCCTATAAATTCTTTATTAGTTATGCTTCCTAAATATTTAAAAAGTAAATGAGGTTGCATAATTTTAGTTCTGATTCTTTTTAAAAATAATTTCAACCCCTGCTATAATGTTACACATTCAAAAACAACCCAAGGCCACTGGCATGCACAAAACATTCCATTTGCTTCACGAAGCACATTTAAAATGTTGTGACTTTTATATCAGACTTAGCTGGTGTTAAGAAATTTTGAAAAATCTATCCTGGACATGGTTAACTGAAAAACATAAAATGTGAAGAGAAAGAAAAGCCATCAAACTGCCTATAGGATTTACCTCCAAGGACTGAAGGATGAGCTCTCATGAAATGGGAGGGATTATAACTGCAGGATAAAGTTAGACAATCAGAGACAGCATTTCTCAAGAACAAAGGCAAGATTTCAGAAACTAAGATGTCCTAACATGATGAAGTGGACTCGGGCCAGCTTCTCACTGCAAAGTGCCTGGAGGATAAACAGCAACTCCAAGGGGATCCCCAGCTCTCCTCTCTCCTATTCTCACTGCTTTGTAATGTGATCTAGGTGACTCCACAAGGGCTCCGTGAGGTCAAAATTTTCATCAGCCCATCCTTCCTGTACTAAATGCTCTAATCAGGTGACACAGGGGAGACAATTGAAAGTAAATAGATTCCACCCATAGAAAGAAGGGGAATTGGAACTAGTAAGGGGGAGAGGGAGAGGCAGTTGCAGATGCCTCCCTTCTGACATTGACAACTACTTCAAGTCTAGCAGGAAACAGTTAATGACACGGCCCAGCCTAGGGCTTCTTCAACTGATTTCCAACAAAATCCACCTCTCCCTTAAGAAGCTAAGAGCCTTGTAGCTAAAGCAAAATGTGGCCTACTTGACTGGTTATGTAAGAGACCCACGCCCAGACATAAACAAACCCAGCTAAGGCAGTTTTCTGCAAACCTGCTGCTGACCTGGTTTGGCCCACTCTGGATGCCAGAGCGCGAAAGTCAGGTGAAGGCCTCTCAGTACAAGTATCTCTTAACTGTGGCTGAGTAGATTGGTTTCATTCATTCATTGTATTTTGTTTTAACTCTAGACCTTTATGAACAGCAGAAACGTTCACTGAGAATAACTAACCACCATAAAAAGGGTGAGCCTTACTTTAGAGTTCAATTCCTAACACTCTGCTGAAACAGTGCCCATCATGGTCACCAAAGACCTTCAAATGACAGAACCTATAGTCAGCTCTCAGTCGCACCTTCTGTGACCTACAGCAGTATTTAATACAGTTGATCATTTCCTGTCCTTATCCTCCAGGACACCAGGCTCTCTAGGTTCTCCTCCCACCTTGCTGGCCTTTTCTTCTCAGGCCCTATAGCAGGTTCCTCCTCATCTTCTGGATGTTGGCAGGTTGTACTACTTTAGGGTCAGTCCTCAAACTCCACTCTCTCCACTCTTCCCTTGGTTATCTGACAGCATGGCATCACACACCATCATATGATGATGACTCTCACATTTTCAACTCCAGTCCAGATGTCCAGACCACTCCCCTGAGTCACACTATCCCCTCAATATCTCCTCCTAGTTGTTCTAGCAGTCATTTCAAGCACAACAGGTCCAAAGCTGAACTCTTGATTCCCACCCCAACACCCAGCTTCTCCTCCCAAAAAATGGCAACTCTGTCTTTCCTTGGAGTCACCCTTGACTGTTTTCTTTCTTTCACAACTGGATTCAGAATCTGACCTTTCTCATCACCTCCACTGCAACACCAGGCAAGCCACCACGGTCTTCTTCCTAAACTGTTACAACAGTAGTCTCTCTGCTCCTACTCTTGGCCCTCCATAGCCTTTTCGCCACAGGATAGACAAAGGAAATCGAGTCACGTCATGCCTCTGCAACGTTCTCCAATGGCTTCCCATCTCATTCTGAGTGAAGGCCAGAGTTTTCCATGACCTACAGTGCCTCCCGTTGCCTGCCCCTCCTCCACTCTCTCCCAGCCTCTCGGAAGCCCTGCCCACTACTCTACTCCAGCCCCACAAGCCTCCTTGCTGTTTTTGCCTCAGGCCACTTGCACTTGCTGCTCCACCTTCCAGCAGGGCTCTTCCCCTGGATATGCAGATGCCTTGCTTTCTCACTTTCTTCTCATCTCTGCCCCAGTGTCATCTTACCAAAGAGGCTCTCCCTGATCATCTTATATGAAATGGCAACCGCCAACCCTTGCTTTATTTTCACTCATGCCCCTTACCATCACCTAGCATAGTAGGGATTTATTTGCTTGTTGTATGTCATCTGTTTCCTTCCAATAAAACATATGCTCCATGAGAACAGCAACTGCAAAGACAGTTTTGTTCACCATCTCCCCAGTACCTAGAACCATACAGGCAGGCAGTGGATAATGAATATTCACTGAAGAGATAAATAATTTATCATCAAGAACAGAAAATTCTCTTCAGATCTAGTAATGTTTTCTCAGATTCTGAGGTTTTCTTGTGATAGGCTCTCCTTGCTACACGTTGTGATGGGAGTGTCACTGTCTTCTTTCATTCACTTATTCACCCATTCATTCATTCTTTTTTTCAACACT
Source organism: Homo sapiens (assembly GCF_000001405.40). Taxonomy (NCBI): domain Eukaryota; kingdom Metazoa; phylum Chordata; class Mammalia; order Primates; family Hominidae; genus Homo; species Homo sapiens. The sequence goes on along the minus strand of NC_000005.10, from coordinate 73,824,863 downwards.
TACTGAGTGTCTACTGATCACCAGGTACTGTGCAACCTGCTGGGCCCAGGATGGAGCCCTCAGCCTCTATCAGCGACTCTTAAAAAAACATCTTCAGGTCTGGCGCAGTGGCTCACACCTATAATCCCAGCACTTTGGGAGGCCAAGGTGGGTGAATCACCTGAGGTCAGGAGTTCAAGACCACCCTGGACAACACGGCAAAACCCTGTCTCTATTAAAAGTACAAAAATTAGCCGGGCGTGATGGCGCATGCTGTAATCCCAGCTACTCAGGCAGCTGAGGCAGGAGAATCGCTTGACCTGGGAGGCAGAGGTTGCAGTGAGCCGAGATCATGCTACCGCACTCCAGCCTGGGCAACAGACTGAGACTCCATCTCAAAAAAAAAAAAAAAGTCTTCAAACCCCAGTGAGTATTGTCTATTCCCCAGGAGGTCCCCTGACCCAGCCAGGAGGCTTTCCTTCTTCTCTGAGCTCTTTCTATTATCTCTGTATTTTGTCCTATGTCATCTGTCACACTCTGGGAATGAGAGTTTTATTTTGCTCTTCCTGGTAGGATAAGTAACTTCCCGACTAGGGTCTCAGCTACAAACAGATTGTGTAAAACACCACAATACCATGCACCTCTTATGCCTTCTGGTAGCAGTAGCCCAAGAGTATTACTGTTTAATCCTTTACTTAAAATATCAGATAGGCTACCCCTTTGCTAACAAAATAATGGGATGATCAGGCAGATATGCAAAGTAAAGGTACTGGGAAGAAGATATCAGGAAGAAAAACATTAAAAAGTAGGAATTAGATGTAAAATATGAACTGCTATCACAGTCAGCATCTCTGGAACACCTGCTACACACTGGGTAATTATACCAGACACTACTACTATTGTAGCTAACATAACTATGGTGCTTACTCTGAACCAGGCACTGTATGATTAATATTTATTAACACATTTCATCCCCAAAACAATTCCATTTGACAGATGAGGAAACTGCAGTGCTATTTAAGTAACTTCCCAAGGGCACACAGCTAATCAATGGTGGCTCTCTGCAGACACTCTGCTATGTAGTTCAAAGTCCTTTATGTAATAATTAGGGTTACCAAGTATCCTATTTTGAACCAAAGAAAATGGTATTTGAGCAATGTCTGGTATTTTTCCATTAAGAAGTTTCATTAATGTGTTACAGTGTGACTTGTACCTAGGTATGTTCGCCCACTTCCTGGCCCTGTCCTATTCACCCCTGGCAGTTTGCTGAGTCTTGCTGAGAAAACATTCACAGAACAGTAGATACATTATCTCATTTTGTTTAAGAGTACAACAACTTTCAAGATACTCAAGACTCAAAGACCTAAAAGATAAACTAAGATGTCAACTGCTATTTCTAGGTGACAAAATATAAGCAGTTTTTATTTTCAACTCTTTACTATCTGTAATTTCTAGATTTTTAAGAATAACCATCCTTAGACCTAAAATAAGAATCTGAAAAAGTCATATTTTTAAAATGTGCCTCTTAAGTAAAGCTGTGTAATTTTATGCAAAATGGTAGGTTATCAGTAAGTCGACCATATCTGATAATATATGTATAAATGTATTAACTGGAAACGTTTTACCCAAGAGCATACAGAATTGTTTTTAACCATCTGCCAAACTTACTCTCCATAACTGCATGAGTCATTACTATATTTGTTTTGTAGACAAGAAAGCTAAGGCCCAGGGAAAGTGATTAACCTGCCCAGGTTATTAAGTGGTTGAACCAGAACGCAAACACGGTCCTGACAGAGAGCAAAGCCCAGCTGCTGCATATACAATCTCCCAAATTTCCTCATTCAAAGGGACCTTCACCAAGTTCTGAAGTTTATAGAAAGTCCTTTTCACCAATGGTCTTAGTGTTACCCAGAAGAAAGAAAGAAAAACTACCCTCAGAATGAAAGTGAACATTTCTGAGCTGGGTGCAGTGGCTCATGCCTATAATCCCAGCACTTTGGGAGGCCAAGGTAGGAGGAATGCTTAAGCCCAGGAGTTTGAGACCAGCCTGGACAACACAGCAAGACCTTGTTTCTACAAAAAAAATGAAACAAATTAGCTGCATGTGGTGGTGCATGTCTGTATACGCAAGCTACTCAGGAGGCTGAGGCAGGAGGATCACTTGAGCTCAGCAGTTAGAAGCTGCAGTGAGCTATGTTCTTGTCACTGCACTCCAGCCTGGGTGAGACTCTGTCTCTAAAAAAAATGGGGTGGGCAGGACATTTCCAGAGGTAAACTAGCATTCATCTCCTCGCCCATTCCTCTTCTAAGGTTCTCTTAGGATTTTTCCTGATATTAGTCTTGGCCATACTCTTCTGAGTTGGACCTGAGGTTACAGAGAGGATACATCCAAATTCCAAAATTATCCTCAGCCCAGGAATTTCCTGTGGGTCATATGTAAGCTAAAGTAACTCTGTAGATTTTAATATGTAGCAAGAATATCTGAGAGAACCCAGGGAACCTCTGTTCACCACACTAGAGTCTCAATCCAAATACCCAATTCACCCTCATAACTTACCTAACCTTCCTGGGATCCTTTAGAAAGAAAAGTGGTCCCTGGAAGGAGGTCGGGCCTCTCAGGGCAGTCCTGTTAGCCACAGAAACAGCTGGGGACAAAGCCAGTGGATTCCAGAGGTGCTGGGAGTGAGAGCTGTTTCTCCAGCTCCTCCTTCCCCCCGGAAAAGCACAGTTTAAACCCCCTCGTAAATAACAAGTACACTTTGGGTCTCTAAAACCAGATCCTTAAAAAGAGTCCTATTCTACTGTTTTGAAGGAACTAATCAACATTATTGAAGAAGAAAACAAGCCTTTTCCCTTATAATAGGGGAGAGACATAGGGGGAAGTCAGGAGAAGATGGGGAAACTGCAGGCCTCTGAGAACAAAAACCAATCTTTCCAAGTCCTCACTCCGCATTGTAGTAGCACAAAGTAGCCTTCAAGACTCCCTACATTTATGTTTGGAAAAAGGACTCTTGAATGTATAAATAACTTTTTTTCTTCCCTTGCTTCCCTCAAGCAATCAAGCAGATATTCAGTCATGTGTGGTGTGTGGACTTCGGCATGATTAGATTTAATCAACAAGCCCCTTCCTTCTTGATGCAGTTCTCCAAGGCCTAAAGCAAATTAGTCCACATCAAGGAAAAATTGGCAAACCGAGAGGGGAAGAACCTAATATATAAAAACACCATGATAAAACCAAAAGACCTCAAATGAAGCGGCGGACTCTGACAAGACCACTTCAAGTGACTCCAAAAATATAAACAAACTAATGAGGAAGATGCCCCATATGTCATCATCACAAAGAACTCTACGAATAAGTCAGATCCCCTATAATCTAATGGAAAGACACTGGCACACAAAAATGATTTTCTTCCTTTCAAATTCATGAGGAGCTCTATTCTCCAGTGCCTATCCCTAGAGCCATATGTGTTTCGGCTCCCCTAAATATCCTCAAAAGTAATTGAGTTCTATAGACAAAAAACTATGCTAGCAAAATAGAGAATTCTCCATGGAAATGTATGTTTTTTCCCTTATTTTTTATGTGTCCTCAATAGAAACATTCTGAATGAATGAATAAACGGAAGAATGGCTGAATGAATGATGAAAGCCAAGTACTACCTGGCATTCCTCCAAATTGTTCTGTTTCTTCTGGTTGAGAAGCCCTACTTAATTCCTGAATCCTGTTTCATTATCCTGAGCAACTCCGAGATACTACCGGGTAGGTAGGGATGAATGAGAGCTGGATGTGGGATTTGTCAACATTCATAACCAGGACTCTCGATTGTCAGGGATGACACTGACCAGGTAGATGAGACAAGTGATTTCCCTGCCTCTGAAGAACAGTGTGAAATAAGCTATGGGCTACTCTGAGGGTCGGTGGGTTTTTCCTGCTTCCATCTGGGACTCTGCAGTAGATCACTTTGCAGGCTACCCCTCACCATCATGAGGACAACCATTACCAAGCACACTTGCAGGAAGAAAAAGGTCAAGCAGCAGGGCCAGGCTCAGCTTCCCTGGGCCACTCTCAGGTGCCTGCATGGTGAGAATGGGATCCCATAAATCCCGAAGCCCTCTGAGAAGAACACGAAGTGGCCTGAATTGAGCACCTGTGGCCTGCCATGAAGCCCACCATAGTGCGAAGGAAGAGACCAGATGGCAGACGTTTCTGGGGGAAGCATCTAGGTCAGCAGCCAGGGGAAGAGAGTCCAAGGTTTCTGTAGGGTAAGAGCCAGGGTGGGGCCAAGTCAGGGTGAAGCCAGAAGGAGAATCACCAGGTCCTGACTAGCACCACAATCCCAGCTGCTGACCTTTATCACAGATGCCAGAACACCCAGTAATAAAGCACTCATACCTCAGGGAAGAGCCTAGGCCAGTCAAGCCACAGCAGAACCTAGGAGGACCCAGGAGGTGCAGTGTAGATTGAAGGATTGGGACTTTCCATCCCTCCACCTCCACCCCCCATTAACCTCCACTGTCACCAGGAAATCACATTCAACAACAGCTTGACAAGGAAGAGTAGGAGAGGGAAGAAATTTGAGACACTGAATATTTTACGTAAAGATACCCATCAGTCACCAAAAATGACTATTTACATTATTGTATCAGACCAAGTTTTCTATATTAGGCTAAAATATATCCTTTCCCCTCCCCTGCCCCACTGCCTATAGAGTGGGACCCCATGAAGATGATCAGATCAATTGTAGATAAAGACTATCTGGGTGTAGTGTGGGTAAATTTGTGCCACGAGGCACTTTCAATATTCACTGCCTACTTTCTGGGATCCAAGTGCTGGAGATGTGATAATGGGCTGGCCGCCTTCAAGGAATTCAGTGTCTTAGGGTATAGAGGTTTAATAACAGCTGTGATACAGTAACGAGAGGGCCTTTCCTAAAAACGTACGCAAGGCAGAGTGACACAGGAGATACAATGCTGAACCCCAAGGGAATTCAGAGAATGCCTCCTGGTAAAAAGTACACTCAAGCTGCATCTTAAACAGCAAGTTGGAGATTAATAGTTAAAAGTGGGAGAAATATTTACCTGACTTTGCTAAAACAAAAATAAAAGAGGGAGGGAGGGAGATGTATGGAAGGCATGTGAGGGTGGCTCACAAAACTAAAAGAATTAAGCATCCAAGCCTTGAGAGGCAGGAACCTGGGCAACAACAAGGGCCCAGAACACAGGCAGGACCCTCTCACTCATCTACTTCTCTTTACATGTTTGCAGTATTTCCTCCTACTACAGGCTGGTTTCTTCCAGCTAACGGTTTTCACTCCAATCTATCCAGCATTGCCACCCAAGAAAGAAGACACTGCCATCCAAGAAAGAAGACATCACCCACCAACCTCCAGTTTGAATAATCCCAAGGAAGGATTCCGATTGGCTATGCTTAAATCATGTGCCCAACCCAGGCCAATCATTGTGACCCAGGCAGGAGGATTGCTGTGATCAGCCTAGTCTGGGTGGGGTTCCCATCCCACTGCACTCAGCAAGGCAAAGTTATGTGAGAAGTTGGCAGCGTCATTTGGACCTATGGCCAGAGTAATGGAGGGACCACCTCCTAAAGAGCAAAGGGAAGAAACGTACTAAGCACGCAAAACTAACCATCCAGGCCAGCGCAACATTTGGCACCTCTCTGCATTTCTGTATCGCCATGAATCAACAGGCCACAAGGCTAGGCTATTTTCTATCACTTTGATACATTCTCTGTATATCTGACTCTGTCCATTTGCTTAGAAGGAACATCCTGCCATTAAAACCCCATCAAGCTCACCACAGGCTTACAGGCTATTGAAATGACATTCTTTTTATGATACCCCCAACTTGAACTATCCTCTTTGCCTTGAACTTTGACAGTAATTTTTCCTGATCTCTCCTATGGGACTTAATCACTTTCTACCTTACGTAATTAATGTATCAGAATAAATAATCATTTGTCCTTCCCTAAAACTAGAAGTGATGGAGAGGAGTCCCCTGAACAAGAATATAGTAAATTATAATACTATCTCCCTTCCACCTGCAGAGATTAATGGAGAATGATACCTTGTCCAAGAATTTGAGCAGCCAAAAATAAAGAAAAATTTACTTTCAAAAATTTGGCAAAGTATTTGTTTAACTAAAGGGAGCTTTGAGGGTATGCAACTATGTTGTTTGGCAAAGAGTTTGTAATGGGCCTCCTCTACTCTGCTGACAATGGTAGTAGGCCTCTAGGCAGAGTCTGGAATTGAAACTGCTCTGTATGAGGTTAAACACTCCCTTCATTGAGAGCCAAAGAAATCTTAGCAGGTTATGTCACCTTTAGAAAAATGTTTCCCTTCCTTAATAAGGATTTCTCTAGTGACTTACTCATCCTATGGTATTCAGCTATCATTTGGGGAGTTTTTAGACTGAATACTCACTTGCATATCCACATGCATGTGTACATCTGATGAAACTTGACAAAAGGGAGGAAGGGAAAGAAAAAAAGACAAATAAGCCCATGAGATAAAAGTATCTCACCTTTAAAAATCATTAACATTTCTAAAATGCCATCATACCTCTGCCTACTTACTGTGTCAAGGATTATTTTTTCAGATTAGGTACCTGCCCTGTAAACATTAAATGAGCTCATGAAATAGTCCAAAACAATGGTCTCAGGGTCTTAGGTCTCCATTCCCCGCATGCCTAATCTCTCTAACTGTATCTTTTTGTCCGGGACAAACCTGTAAACTTTCCAGGCCACAGTGGAAAGCACTCCCAGCCCCCTCTTTTCCCAATTTATCCTCTGTCTTCCTCTCCTAAGCCAACCACCCTGTGCTCCAGATGTCTGTGCATCTGTTCCCAATCCCAATCCAATGATGTGTTTAAGTACTATATCTGTGTATAGGAGGAAGGTATCAAGATGCACAAACAACCCTACCATCTTGCTCCTCCAGAGTCTCTCCCTGTCACTTCTCCTCCTAGTAAAGATACACAGAGGAGAGGGAGAAGCTAAGATGGGGAGGCACAATGGCACCTTTTGAACCCAAGGTAGCTACCCATTGAAGTTTACCATCCCTTACCGCTACTAAGAGGTGGTGAAACATACCAGGAAGGACACTCTCGAGTGTCCTGGTTCTTGGCCTGGCTCTGCCATTTATTAGCTCTAATTTGTGGCAACTCATTTCTCCTCTCTGAGCCTTGGAGACCCCAACTAATAAATGAAGATGACAATCACATCTAACATACAGGTCTTCTACAAGACAACATGTGCAAAAACCACATTATTCATATGTCATTCTTTCATCCCTTCTCCTTCTTTATTCTACCATGGTTACTGTTCCCTGTGTTTCCTGGTATGACTTTGGGAATAACTGTAAAACTCAGCCTCAGTTTCTTCACCTATAAAACAGAGACAATATCTGTACTGCAGAGTTATTTTGGGACTCAGATATCATAGATGTAAAGCATGTACTATAGCTTAGTAAAGAGTAGTTATGATTAATAGGGTACCATATAAATATTAGTTATTTTCATTATGATTAGAGAAAATATGGTGCTATCTAAGCTCTCCAAGGTTGTCAAGCTTTCTGGTATGCATTGCCTTCTTTGGCAATTGTAGCCTGGTTTTGCACCAGCAAAAAGAAAACAAATGTTCACACTATGTGTCACTGGAAAGGCAGCATATGATATGAGCTGGGGAAGGAGAGAACGAGGGAAGTTGCACAAGTGGATAAAAGGCATAAAGGAATAAACATTTCAACATTTCCTGGGGCCTAATGATTTATACTAAAGTATGCATTTTAAAGATTGAATGACAATTATGAGAACCTTGGGTAAAGCCTAATTCCTGTATTTTTCAATCGTTGATTAATAAGCAATACATTTCTTGATTGAATCTCCTATTTAAAAAAAACAAAAACAAAACAAAACAAAAAAACAGAAAATCAGGCATTCCTGGAGCCCTTGAAGTGGAACAGTAATGGATTCTGGCCCACTCCAATCATTAACTGCTGGGCCGCTAGTATGGCCTGTCCTGGGGCTGCCTATGCAAGGAACAAGCCAACTTTTGCAGACCCTAGGAGTACATCTTGGGCAGCCTGGTTTTAACTGCTTTCATCATGCTCCGCTCTGGACATGGGTCATTTCCAAAGGCACTGCTTCTAAGTCACATCCTCTTACCTTCCCGCTGAAGGCATAAGGATAAGAAAGTACTAGATATACTTTTGAATTGAAATATGGTATTAGCGAGTTTCTGCTAATGTTATTTTCCTCTTGTTACCAAATCCTTGCTCTAAATTTTCACATCACTCCCTCCACAAGCCAGTAACATATATGTGTTCAGGACAAGGAAAGAGCAAGAGAGCATATCAGACATTATTTCTGACCTAACTCAAGAGAGGTTTGCCAACAAGCCAGTAATTCCAAGCTCTCAAAGCCACTTTCATGATTTCTCAGGTGACTTGAACCTACATATGAGAATGATGTTGGTGGTGATTAGAAGGAAGGGAAGAATGATTAAGAAATTCAAGCCACCTCAGTTTTAAAGACTGACAAAAATACTTATGATATCCTGTAAGCGACAAGAGACTACAGTTCACAAACTGGCCATCAGGATAAAAAACCAAGTCCCTTATATTTCTCCCACTATATGGAGGGGGCATGTCTGGGTCCTGGGAGATGGGTCCCCATGTTAAGATCCCTGTAAGCAGAGACAGCATCTGTGAGGGTCATTACTTCACCATACCCTCAAGAACAGTGCCTGGCACCCCCCACCCCAGATGTTTGTTGAACATATGAATAACACCCCCTCATCTGTCAAATGAGGGAATTGGACCAGATCATCTCTAAGGCCCTTTAGGCTCTAAGGATCTGTGATGCTGGGACTCTGTCCAGCTCGCATTACAGCATGACCAAACCCGCTCTTCATAACTAAATCACCATGATTTAATAAAGAACGCAAGTGTGAAACATGGTCTAACAATCCCCACCTCTCTGCTACCAACCTTATTTTCACTCATCTTTTATCAGTGGCAAATAGTTAATCATCTCCATATCCCAGGTACCTGCTTTCACTTGAGTCATGTTTAATTTATACATAGCTATGCTATGACTTTCTGTTGCAGCTCGTACTGGCCATGCTTCAACTTTGGATTTAAAAGGAGAGCATGATAAATGCATTCCCTACAACTCCAATGGATTCTCAAAGTTCTCCACTGGCCTCCTCATCATTAATCCCATGTCTCTCCAGTGTTGGGCTGCCCAGGCCCCAACAACACTGGGCCACATAAATACAAAACTAAATAAAGCAGATTACAACCCAAATTTAACTGGGTTAGAATTGACACAGAGATTTGGTAGACTCTACAGAACGGTACCTATCCTCAAGAAGCTCTCAATATACCAGAACTGATAATATTCACTCCAAAGTAATAATGACTTTGTGTATCTCCTCCCTCAAAAACAATTTACATGGTTTTTTATTTACTATTCAGGAATAATTTCAAACTTACAGAAAAGCTCAAGGATATCCACTATTTTTTTTAAAAAAGCTGAAAGAATAACAGCAGCACAAAAAAATAGCAATATATACTATTTACCCAGATTTACATATTGTTAACATTTGACTGCATTTTCTATTTGTGTACGAGCTTGTTTTTATAAGCGCATGCTTGTGCTCATATATATATATATATATATACCCCCTGAATCATTTAACAGTAAGTTACATATATCATGGCCTTTTAATATACGACTGTATCCACCAAAGATACACAGGCTTTCGTGTTGAAATTTTTTTCAGTCTGTTCCTTATAACATCTATAAAATCAATAAAATAGAAAAATCAATTTTCTTAGATAAAAAGTAAAATTAATCTTTAAAACATTAATTTTAATGTCTTAAAATTGTATATTGAATATAAGCTATTAAAGTCTTCAATGATAGAATTTAAAGGATGGCAGCTGAGCAACATGAAAAATGTGTTCAGGCTGAGTCTTTCTACTAGCCCTAGACGGTAAATGCATCTTATTCCTGGGGTTGGCCTTGATCTAAGCTAAAGAGCAAACAAGCCAAATAAACACTTCTATTGTATTTCAGAAGGAAGAAAGAAGATGCTTGAAGCTAAGCTGGTTTGCTGACAACTGCTAGCGTCCATCCTCCTCTGGGAGAAGCACAGGGTGACAGGGTAAGCCATCCTGCTCCCTAGAACAGGTATGCTCCCGAAGGACAGCACTGCAGAGGCAACCCGCTTAGAAACACCTTTTCTGCTTGTAAGCTTATGAAAATGTTCCTTTTCTCCTTGAATTGAAAACATAAGCACACGCGTCCCTGCACAAGACAAGAACGGGGAAGGATTACACACTATCTTATTTTTTTAAACCTCAGAAGGCAACAATCACTGCCAGCTAAGCCCAGCCGAGGATGGGATAACAGCTTCTCAGGGCACTTCCTCTACACCCTAACACCAGCTTGCTCCTTGTTTCCATGGCCCACACTACAACAAGAATGGATTGCAAGTAAGAGAGAATAAGTAATGTAAACCCATTCCATTATCAATCACGCTCAGATAAATGGCTCTTCTTCCTTCAGCAGTAAAGGATTTTACTTACTTGATCATTATTTTTAGTAAACTATTTACAATGTGACTGTATTCTCTGAAGATACACAGGCTTTTGTGTTGAAAGTATTTTTTTCAACTCCTTTCCTTATAACATCTATAAAATCAATAAAATAGTATAAAATAGAAAAATTTTCTTAATTACAAAAATTTTTTTAAATTACTATACACTTGAAAACTAAAACAAAAGATGCAGAAGCTGGGTATGAAACACATGCGTATTCTCTGCAAATCCCACTAAGACTGAACATGTTTAAATCAACAGGACTGTTTATTGCCAAGGTAACTCCAAGGTAATTCTGAAGAAGTGAATCCAAAACATTTACCTTATACTAAACTCCCTTCTTTTTTTTTTTTTTTTTAAAGAGAATTGCACATACATAATAACACCAAGGTAGGTAGATTCAAAGTGAAAGGAACATAAGAAGAATTAGTAGGTTTGCCTCAGAAACCTATATGTATCTGTACAGTGAGTGTTTTATAAAGGCACGTATAAACACGCGCTACATTGGAAAAACAGTCTGGCAAAGAAACACGGAAAAGAAAGAATAGGATGTCTGGTTTTGCCCGTGAAGGAAAGAAAAGATACTGCAATCTACCTTGTTTGGACGTCCTTCTTCGAATCTTCATTTTGGGAAAGGAAGGCCACGAGTAGTTAAAAGGTGAGTCGGAGTCAGAATCCATCTTTTTGTTTTGGTGAAATCAACAGATGAAACAGTAGAGACTCAGGAAGAACTCGGGGCGTCCCCAGCCAGGAGGCAAGCCTCCCCATGTGATGTAAAGGGAAGGAATGAGATTGGATGAAATAGCTCCTGCACACCAGGGAGGGAAAGGCAATAAATGTTTTGCTTCCTTCGGGCATTCAGGCGTGTAGACCGACAAGGAGGCTGTAAATATTAAAGCCAAACTAGGGAAGTAAAGGAGGGAGAAGTGGGGGAGCTAAGAGTGGCTGAAACACTGCAGTCCACTTATTCAAAAGGTCATTGGGAGCAAATGAATCATTAACTCCCCTCTTCTGGTTGCTGGAAATGGAAATGAAGGAGGAAGGTAACTGGGAATTGAAAGAGAGCTGCCTGTGATTCAAGAAAAGCCTCCCAGTGCAGGCTTGTTTTGCTCGGAGTGAGAATATTGCTTCTCAGAAGAGCTACCCGGTGCCGTGTTAGATAAAGGTTGAGGTTTATGTGTGTGGACAGCCAGAAAGCTTGATCCCCAGGCAAATGAAGGCCAGCAGACTCCAGGAAGAGCTCTTTCCAGAGCAGACTATTCTTTCATACCATTGGCAGCTTGGGCAGCTTTTCGGATCTAAGAACCAAAACAGCTCTCATAATTCATTTAACAATCCAGTCTCACCGCCCTTTTAATCCTAATGTGGTTGGAAGTTTTAACTTTTATATAGATTGTACTCATTTCATTAGATTTATACAAAGTTATCTACCACTGTTTAGCACAATTGGGGTATTTCCATATTGGTACTGTCACCAAGTCTGGCCGTCAATCATCAGGATTTTGGTGCCTTTATAGCTCCGATCTAAACTTTCAGTCCACCTCAATAGAGCTGGTGACTAATTTACCACAAACCAACAGTTCTTGCCGTCTCCCTGAACAATTCTCCAGTAATTAGCATTCAGGAGAAGCTCATTACTGCCTCCCCATAAATCGTGGCACTGCTCAGGCTCACTTCTCCGCTTCCTATAGGCACATAGATATCCATGCCCCAAATAAGCTCAAGCACAACAGCCGAGATCTGCAGTGGAAAAAAAGGATATCCCAAATGTTATCAGGCAGTCTCTTTTAAGCATTTCTTTTAGTAGAAACAATAGCAAGAAATGTTTGTTTTGTTTTGTGAGGTCACCTGATGTCCAAATAAACTAAACGACATTGGAAACATACAATATGAGGATCCATTAAGTCTGCAGACTTAGAAGGTGACAGTATGTGTCTTAATTAACATTCATTTCTTTGCTTCAGTTATTTCCTAAATTGTCGGTACTACTGTGCCACGCTGTGTAAGAAAATAGCTGCATAGCCTGCTCCATGGAAGCTAATCCTGTCTGATTGGGTAGGGGTTGAGTGAGGCATACAGGGAGAAGAGGAGAAAGGGGAGAGACCACTTAATTTCAAATTTAAATCAAAATCAGAATTACATAAATCACTACTGTGTTTTTATATAGTTTGTCACATAAACATACAACTAAAACAAAATACAACTAGAGTATAGTTACAAACATTGCAACTAAGTGGAAAGAAATACTGATACATTTTCTATTTTGTGGCTTTTTTTTTTTTTTTTTTGAGACAGGCTCACTCTGTCGCCTAGGCTGGAGTACAGTGGCAGGATCTCGGCTCATTGCAACCTCTGCCTCCTGGGTTCAAGCAATTCTCCTGCCTCAGCCTCCTGAGTAGTTGCGTCTACAGGCATGCACCACCACACCCGGCTAATTTTTGTATTTTTAGTAGAGATGTGTTATTTCTACGTCAGCCAGGCTGGTCTCGAACTCCTGACCTCACGTGATCCACCCACCTTGGCCTCCCAAAGTGCTGATTACAGGCGTGAGCCACCATGCCAAGCCTGTGGCTTTTAATTAGGTGAATAAGTACGTATTATTCTCAACCAGCTGGGTATAATTATAAGGATATGTAACTTTCAGCCCTTATATCCAGTAAAAGAGTTTTAGTCCATATGGATCTTTAATTAGAAAATATACCAAATCTTGTGGAAGAGCATTTACATTCACTCTTGATTTTAGAGCACAGAATGGTGCCTAGGACGCTGTAGGCAATTGCTGAAAGAATGAATGATTTACAATAGTCGGTCTGCCATGTCAATGACCTTTACCCTGTGGATGAAGAACCTTTACATGACAACTGATTAAAAACACATATTTTGACAAAAACATCTACAAGAACTATTATAAAGTGTTTAAAATATATATTTGTATTTTATTTAGCACAACAGTTGTAAAAAGGACAGTACTTCTGGGTAGAGAAAACCCATTGTTCTGAGGCTGCAGACAATGATGGGAGTGTGCATAGGTCTATGGCCTTTTGGCTGCTTCTAAGTTGTCTGTAGACCAAGGAAAGGGGACCTTCACTAGTGTGGACAATCACCAAACCAAAATAGTGTTGGATCAGGAGATACTGTTATTTTTCTTCAGCTCTACTTGCTACCATTAAAGAATCCTTTGAAATGCAAAATTTCCAAGGCGGTTAGAAATACTAAAGTCCTCATCCTGAATTGGTAGGAGTGGGTTTTGTAGCTCCTTGCTACACATGCTAAACCTCTACTATACCATCCCCTTAACTAAAGGTATAGGAATACTATACTTCTTACAGTTGACTGATGCTATGGGAAAGAGAAAGACATGTTTCTTATTAAATTACAAACAGAACAAAAGTAATACAATCTATAGGGGCTCCCTAACTTGTTTTATTAAGTTGGTCAGAAATGTGACAAAGCGTTCAGAAGACTACAAATGTAGAGAAAGCAGAATCGGGGGCAGAATTTCTCAGAGGCATCAGAATGGAGGAAGGGGCCTGAGGGAAAACTGTTCATTTTAAATGCAGATTATGAGATTCCCATCCCAGATGTGTTGAATCAATCTCTCTGAGGGTGGCCCAGGAATCTGCAATAATTTACAACAAGCACCACCCCTATGCCAAGCAATTCTCATGCCTATTGAAGTTTTAGAGTCACTCAACTAGGAGGTAGATAAACCCCACATCAGCAAGTTACTGGAATAGGCTGTTCCTCCCGTGACTACCAGTGACAGGTCAGAAGAACTTCAGGGCAATATAGACAAAGAGAGAGATGAAAAAAACTGCATAAAAAGTATTTCTATTAGCTGAGATTCCAGACAGATTCATCCTAATCTTATTCTTCCAAATGCAGTCCTTGTTGACCAGTTACATATCAAGTGATTCTTGATGTCAAAATTATTCTGAAACAGTATTGAACGACCTAACCAATACATGTGAGACACCCAACTGACATATGTGAAAATAACTCAGATATCAAAAGAAGAGACTTTCCAATGTACTCATTTGCTTTACCATTTATCAGTGTTTTCTAAAGAATAAAATGATTTCTACTGACTAGCCATGAACAGTTAACATACAACTAGAAAGTGAAGTCAAAAATAGTGTTTGCACAGCCCTTTTTATTTTTAGGCCAGCTTACCTCCTTGCTCACCAACACGTTTCTTCTGAATGTGGATCATTTATCCTCCTTGTTTTCTATAGTAATTGAAGTGGGTTTTTTTTCTGTAGTTTATCAATATAATTGCATTTAAATTAATTCAAGATGCTATTTACATCTCATTCATATTCAACAGGTGACTGTTACTGGCTGATTGTAATTGCAGACAGCAGAATTCAATGATATATCCCCCAGGCCACCCTTTCACCATATATCATACAACCATTACCATGTAAGAGTATGAATGCTTTCATGGAAGATACATTCGCCTGAATGTGCCTCCTTTAATTACAAAATTCTTCACCTAGAAAAGAACTTCCATGAGGTTATAATTATTCAGAGAAGATACTGCTGCCTTGAAGTTTCAGCTTTCTAAAAGACCCACACAGAAAGGAAACTTTCCTTGATCTTCATTTAGACATTAACCTGCCTTTCAACCTTGTAAATCTCAAAGAAGTATTTACATTTTGATCTGAATTACAGTATTTGCACAGTTTTCTCATCCTCCAGGGGGACCCAAAATTTTTTGTGGGCAAGAACTGTGTCTTACATTTTTAGTGCACCACAAGCTAAAAAGAAAAATCATGGGTTTGGGAGACACAGATATCCGGGTTCAAATAATGGCTCCGTCAGTTAGTGGCCCTAACCAAGTCATTCCCATTTTCTGAGCCTTAGTTGTCTCATAGCGAATGGAATCATATCTATACTTTAAAGGGTTATTGTGAGGATCCAGTGAGATTATAACAGTGAAGAACTTAACAGAAGTAAATTTTCAACAAGCTTTAAATGTTGAATGTAAATAAAATTTCCCTTTCATATATTATTCTTCTGTTATAGACACTGAAACAGTTTTTTGTGTTTTGTTTTTTTTTTGAGACAGAGTCTTGCTCTATCACCCAGGCTGGAGTGCAGTCACATGATCTTGGCTCACTACTACTTCCGCCATCCAGGCTCCAGTGATTCTCCTGTCTCCTCAGCTTCCCAAGTAGCTGGGATTACAAAACATGCACCATGGCCAGGCTGGTCTTGAATTCATGACCTCAAGTGATCTGCCTGCCACGGCCCACCAAAGTGCTGGGATTACAGGCATAAGCCATGGTTCCCAGCCACTGAAATAGTCTCACTTTGACCCTGAGGAGTAATCATTTGATTTTTAAAACTGAGACATGGCAATGTGCAAGGAAGTTCCAAGAAAACTATACCAAGACAGAAACAGCAGGAGGAGGAGAAGAAGGAGGAAGAAGAAGGGAAGGAGCTCAAAGAGGAAGATTTGCTTTGCTTCTCTACTCCACTGTTAAGCCACCAAGACACCACAGTTTTTAATACTACTAGACATTGTTCCTGGAAAGTCATAAAATATCCAGATAAAAGGAGGCAAGGCCTCTGAGGCTAGGATAAGCCTTTCCTGGATAAGCTGAGCCAGTGCAGTGACAACTTAAATATATGCTTCATCATATGCAGCCTTAACTTCTAGCATAAGGTGAAAATCAGGGATGGATAAAGCCTTCCTCAAAATCCCTTAGAAGCCACCATGTCATTTCTCAGCAAGCTCAACACAAACAGTCCTTCTGTGGATCTAACTATGGCCAGGCACCCGGTGAAATGGGTGGCTTTCACAGGGAGGCTATGTTGTACAGAAAATGAAGATCTTTATAAGCTCTTACCCTTGTGCCAAGACGCTGTCACTCTGAGAAGCATGGTAGAAACAGCACATTCACATCTGCAGTGTCCCACTCACTCACGGACTTTATTCTCTCAAAATGAAATGATGGGTACAGCCACCCCGAGGTGTGAATTCTGATTTTCCTCCCTACCTCCCCCAACCCCCAGCACTTTTTATTTTTTACAGAGCCCATAAAATTGAATTCACATAAAATAGACATGAATCGGGAGCATGGTACAACCACTGTTGTCAAAAATTGGAATCACATGATGCCACTGTCCATAATACCATCTTGCTTAAAACAAAATGTTTGAATTTCTTATCTGCCATTATTACCTTTATTTATTTGAACAAAAACATTTATGTGCACCTGCAGAGGTTCTGATATGGTCTTTACATCCCCTATTCTCTAAGAGGAAAAAAATGAATATCACCTAGAAGCCCAGCTAGAAGAAGTTACTGATATATGATATGTGTCTACATATAATAAGAAAACAAGAAAATACTCAAAACACCTCAGGGCAGGAAAATAGTAATAATTATAATCTATTATTAATAAATATAAATATTAAAATATTAATGATAGATTTCCTGACTGAAGCAACACATGTTAAAGAATTATATTGTTGAGCCAGACGTGGTGGCTCATGCCTGTAATCCCAGAACTTTGGAAGGCTGAGGCGGGTGGATTGCCTGAGGTCAGGAGTTCGAGACCAGCCTGGCCTACTTAGTGAAACCCCATCTCTACTAAAAATACAAAAAATTAGCTGGGCATGGTGGCAGGTGCCTGTAATCCCAGCTACTATGGAGGCTGAGGCAGGAGAATCACTTGAACCTGGGAGGTGGAAGTTGCAGTGATCTGAGATCACACCATTGCACTCCAGCCTGGGCAAGAAGAGTGAAACTCCATCTCAAAAAAAAAAAAAAGAATTACATTGTCAAAGCTTCCACCATTTGGTTAATATTGCTACAGATATGTTCTACCTAGATGAATATCTTAAGAAAAATAACAGACAAACAACAGGAAACCTTGATGAAGCTCTTTTTGTTTTAAATGCTGAAGTTTCTGAGCATAACCTGAAATGAAAGAATTAGGAAAAATTTGCTCAGTTGTTCTGAATAATAAATCATATGGAATTTTGGATTTATCTTGCATAGGCAACACAGATAGTGGATGTGAGGGGCCCTGGAGGTGGCAGAAGCAAGAATAAGAGCCCCAAGTCTGGACAGAGCAGGGGTGCAGGGATAGGGAAGTTCCTGGTATAGCCTAAGGAGAAAGAAATCCCTCCTATTAGGAAGAACCCACGGACTTCAGGAGAGCAGCATCCGATAATGTTACATTCCAATTTTCCCAAACCTTCAAAAAAAAAAAAAAAAACCTCTTACATGCCATAGACTTGTTCACAGACTTAATAATTTTAAAATGCAAAGTTTAACTGACTATATTTTATATAGATTTAATATTGTATATATAAAGATTTATATATTGTATATAGATTTTATATTGTTTATATTTAGATTGTATATATATAAATATATACAATATATAGATGTATAGTATATATCGATATATACCATATATACGATATATCGTATATATGGCACATATAGATGTATACGATATATCATATATATGGCACATATAGATGTATACGATATATCGTATATATGGTACATATAGATGTATACGATATATCGTATATATGGTACATATAGATGTATACGATATATCGTATATATGGTACATATAGATGTATACGATATATACTATAGATTGTATATATAGATATATACTATATATAGATAGATGTGTAGTATATATAGATATATACTATATACATACTATATATAGATATATACTATATACATACTATATATAGATATATACTATATACATACTATATATAGATATATACTATATACATACTATATATAGATATATACTATATACATACTATATATAGATATATACTATATACATACTATATATAGTATATATCTATATATCTATATATGTATATATATCTATATATCTATATATAGTATATATAGATAGATAGTATATCTACATAGTATATATATACTCTATAGAGTATATATATACTATATATACTATACTATATATACTATCTATGTATATATATCTATATATACTATATATCGATATATAGTATATATTGATATGTACTATATATCGATATATAGTACATATCGATATATACTATATACAGGTATTGCTATCCACATGTAAATAAGTTAACTATGAGGTAACTATGAGGTAACTATAGTAACTATGAGGTAACTATAGTTAACTATGTAAATAAGTTAACTATTTTATATTGTTATCCACATGTAAATAAGTTAACTATGAGGTATCAAATGAGCAAAGAGTTTAATAAACTGTAATGAGCAAAGAGTTTAACAAATAGTTTAATAAATGTTTAATAAACAAATGAGCAAAGAGTTTAATAAACTATAAATTCCATAGATCTGAAGCTAAAATTCACATAAAATATGATAGATAAAACTCACTTAAAAAGAAAAAACGGGCAGGCTCGTCCTATATATGCTTCTGGGGTGTGGTTCCTTCTAGGCACTCTTAACTGCCAGATCAAGAAAATATATAAATGTATCCTAACCTATGTACATATATCTACAAATATTTCTGTATGCAACCGTGTGTATCTATGTTAACTGAACATGAGTGCATGCTGATATCTACAACTCTAATCTGTTACCACATGGATCACTCTAGCCTCTTCCCCCTGCTTATCTGTAAGCACCCACTCCAACAGGGAGAAACGTGGCAGCTACTAGCCACAATCCATTTACTTATTTGTGCAATACATGTAGAGTGGTATTAAAATTCTTTATCTTTTTGCCTGCGAGAAAAACTGTATCAACCAAAGGACAGTGGTTATTGTAGTTTCTTTTGCCTTTATTCTTATAGACTCCACTCATTTGCAAAGTTAATAGATCTGCACCTCTCTCCACCACACCCAAAATTCCCTTTGGTAAGGTTATTTCTTACATTTTTAATACAGCTAGATTGTTTTGTCACATTCTGCATCCCATCCCCAACCTCAAGGTTTTCTTAAATTTGCATACATTAAGGTTTACTCGGTGCACTCTAATGTTCTGTGGATTTGGATAAAGGCATAGTGTTGTGTACCTACAATTCAAGAATCAAAGAACACCTTTACCACCCTAAAAAAAAGATATATACAATGTTGATGATATGTAAAAAGGATACAAGAGCCAACTAAAAGAGTTCCCAGCTACCAAAACTGGAACACTTTGACAACAAATAAAGTAGTATTTGATTATTACCCAAAGTGCAAAATAAATATCCATGACTCTATACAGGCATACATAAATGATTGAATAAGTAATGGGGGGAACAGACAAATTTCCCATGTAGAAGAATTCCAAATAATTTATGTAGACACCACACCCACAAGTATACAGATTAACTCCTCACTTTTTCCTTATGTGTGGGCTACACATAGTGTGGAAAGGCAGGTGAGGAAGAGTAACTTTACAGTGGAGAAACCAGACCAACACTACCTCAGCCAGGTGATCAAGGTCAATATCAACAGTGACAATGAACATTGATAGTATGTACCTTTTATATGGTGTGATGAAAACAGCACTTTACCTTTGGGTCTTCTTCCCAAAACCCATAATTCTCAGTGTAATGATGAAAAAAAAATCAGAAAAAACCCAATTAAGGGACATTCTACAAAATTCCTGACTAGTATTTATTAACGGCAGCTTGATCCTAATGGGATCCTGGAATAGAAAACGGAAATCAGGTAAAAAGTGAGGAATCGAAATAAAGTATGTAAGCCTATAACTGTTCTTAAAAGATAAATTTATTTAAAAAAATTTTAAAGAATGGGAGCAACAAGTATAGAATCTATATTCACTAAATGTTTGTGGAACCGATGCTAAAACAATGTTTGCATCCACATTCACATATGTAGAATTCAAGTCCTGCATTAAGCTCCATTGATTTTGCTTAAGTTCTTACTTTGTGAAGTTGCCATGTAACTCTGAGGACACTAGTTAAAGTATATTGAAAATAATTCTGATTCACAGGAAAAAAAACAGTGTCTCCATGGGGTTAATAAGATCTCAAGAGTGAACTCCCTGAGAGGTTTCCATTTGGCACCTGTGTGGCAGATGAATCTATCTGTTAGATGGGCTGAAATTTCATTGGCAGACAAATCTCAAGAACCTGGATGAACCTACCTAGCTCATTCCAAGTTTCCTCAAGCTCTGGACACCATCAACTTGACTCTTTCTTTTTTTTTTTTTTTTTTTTTTTTTGACAGGGTCTCACTCTGTCATCCAGGCTGGAGTGCAATGGTGCAACCACTGCTCACTGCAGCCTTGAACTCCTGGGCTCAAGCCATCCTCCCACCTCAGCCTCCTGAATAGCTAGGACCACAGGCATGTACCATGCCCGGCTAATTTTTTAAAATTTTTGTAGAGACAGGGTCTCACTATGTTGCCCAGGTTGGTCTTGAACTTGTGAGCTCAGGTGATCCTCCCACCTTGGCCTCCCAAAGTGCTGGGATTACAGGCGTGAGGCACTGCACCCAGCCCAACTTAACTCTTTATTCTGATTTTCTGTTATTTTAAATATTATGAAGAATCAACAGACTGCTTCCTAGTGGGCCTCCTATTTGACCTCTGATTGTATCACTTCTCCCTATACTTGAGCGACACATCTTCAGTGAAGCCTCATAATGTAAAGAATAGATTCTGACAGCAGTGGCAGAGGTGGTGGCTCAGGCACATAGAGTCCCCATGATTCTTCAGAGGCTCTTCAAGTTCTCCTCTGTCATTCGGTCAGTAGTCTCACTCCCTTTGCAGAAGAACATTGGTGTCACACAGTGGCATTTAACAAGAAACTTGGTCCCATACAGAAACTCTTCGTGGACAACATTAGGGACTACAAATCTAAGCCACAGGCATCTGGAGGACCTGCTGATACTGGCCCAGAGCACCAGCAAGAGTTGGAGAGTAAACTTCTGCTGAAAGCAGACAGGAATATGTTATCTAATTTCAAATGCGAAGATTCTAAATTTGAAACCATCGAAAAACCCCAGTCCTGAAGAAATAAAGTAAAAATTAATCTGGTAATTTGTCATGAATTTGTTGCACAACTAATCAGAAGTATCAGAGTAAGTATACATTTCATAACTGTCAAATGTTCTTTTAATTCTCATTCCAAATCAATTATTTGGTGATGTTGCAGGGGAAAAGGAATAAATTCTGTTGGCTTTCTTGCCCATGCTTCAAGTAAGGAGCCACGTTTCATAAAAATGTTCTTTAAATTAGCCACTCTAAAAGGTAAAGTAAATTGTACCAATAAATTGTTAGAACTTGTGCTGCCTGGCATAAAAGCTAACCAGAATCTTAATTGCCCTAAAGTCCCTTCCAAGGAATTAGCCACTGGATACTCAGTATAAAACAAGCCTACCAACACACACACACACACACACACACACACACACACACACACACACACACACAGCAATCGAGCTTGCTGGCCAATTATCCCTTTGTAAATGTAATTTTTTTTTTTGTAAATGCCTATATACATGGGTATTCTGAAGTGTTTCAACACAAGAAAAGGGGAAGAAATCCCTTAGTGGTATTATTTTAACTTTTTATAAAACAAACTTTATAGATACCATTTCCAGAATATATTTCATATTTTTCACCTGTTTCATGTTTTGTACATTTGTTGTCACTTTCTTAAGAGTTTCTATTTGTTTGAAGTTTATAATCTAATCATTTTATTGAAATATCAAACTAAGGGAGTCTTTAGGAATGGAATACATGAAATCTGCTTAGTCACTAAGCTGGTTTATTTGGGGTCAAGGATCTTATTTTGGAGAAGGAAAATTTAGAGTTCAGAGAAAGTACTGCCATTTTTCCCTCCCTTGTTACACTTCAGAAAGTTGTAAAATGAAAGAAAAAGGTAATTTAGAATGTACTAAAGGTAGGTTAGTACTAATGCCAAGCATCAGGCATCCTCATAATGCCCTTAAGACATCAGTGTAAATATCAACCCACTCCCTTCATCCCATTCTGTACACTTCAAAGTCCAACAAATGACCCTGTGACAGCAAATTACAGTCACTTGATTCTTCTTAATGTTCAAAAATAATTAACTTTTAAAGGTTTAATCATCTCATAAATTGAAGTGGTTAGGAAATTCTTTCAACACTTTTTCCCCCCAAAGTTTGCCTATTTCCCACAGATCTGTGATCTCACTGGTGATAATCATTGAAAATCTGTGAACCTAATACAAATGGACTTTCATTAATACCTTTTGTAATCAGTTGAGATAAAAGTAGAACTCCATTTCTCTAATTCCCAAAACTACTGAAAACCTAGTACGTTAGGGGTGATTTCAGCATTGCTGAGCTCCCTCAGGGATCTCTGACCGTGATTCTCAACCTTGGTTTTGAAACCTCAACAACCACAGTAAGAAAATTTCCTTGAACAAAAAGAATAAAATTTGAGTTGGAATTTATACAAATAACTTTGCCTTCCCAGTGGTCTTCTTGGGATATTTCACTGTCTCCAGCCCCTTTACTTCAAAATGATTCACTGGGAAGCTTTAGTTTGTGGTAAAGAGATAACCCCCCAACTCCCCAAAAAAAGAGAAAAGAAAAAAAGAAAGGACTACACAGAAGCTCTGTAGCCTGGGGTGTAGAGAGAGATCTGCCAAAAATTAGGATTGAAAACGTATTTTTCAGAAGAGTTCTGCTAAGGTCCCCCCCTCCCATGTTTCACGAAACATTCTTGCGGTTTCAGTCTAGATACACATGTGTTATTAAATAACAGCCAAGAGGGTCAGCTTCCACTCACAGGGGTCACAGCTTCTAAGATGCCATGCTTAAGATCCTCTTCATTTATTTTTTATTTTTTTATTTTTTTTATTTTTTGAGATGGAGTCTCGCTCTGTTGCCCAGGCTGGAGTGCAGTGGTGCGATCTCGGCTCACTGCAAGCTCTGCCTCCCGGGTTCACGCCATTCTCCTGCCTCAGCCTCCCAAGTAGCTGGGATTACAGGCGCCTACCACCACGCCTGGCTAATTTTTTTGTAGTTTTAGTAGAGACCGGGTTTCACCATGTTAGCCAGGATGGTCTCGATCTCCCGACCTCGTGATCCGCCTGCCTCGGCCTCCCAAAGTGCTGGGATTACAGGCGTGAGCCCCCGCGCCCGGCCAAGATCCTCTTTAAAAACATCTCAAAACGTTCTTTTCCACAGGCGACTTACAAGTGCTACTTTATAATAGCACTTTTAGTTAATATAAGAACTTTTGGTTAATATAAGAAGAGAAACTAACCTAATTAGTTCTATTATCTGGTTGTTTGCCAAACTAGCACTTATTGACTGCACCATTTCCCCCCAGCTCACCACTAGCACATGTAGGCCTGCACTCTCCCAGTATGCCCACAAATGGAGATCCTGAAAACCTGTATTACGTACCACCTAACATTCTGTTTAGGAGGACTGTTTCTTTGGTTCTTCCAGTCATTTCCTACCAGTTCCCTTTTCCCAATGTTTTTCCTTTCAGGGGACTTTCGGGGTGGGGAGGCTTTGTTTCTCTCTCGGTCTTGTCTACAGTCATGAAAGATCTGTGTCTTCTTGGTAAAGAAATCTGAACCTCATATCCTATTGTTTGTTTCTGCTTCCTTCTTTTCCCAACTGGCCTCTAGACGGGTTTTTTCTTTCTTTTTTCTGTTTTGTTTTGTTTTTTTTGGTATGAAGTTGGGTTTCCTTCCATATCCAGCTTTGGTTCATCTGTCCTCAATGCCCTCCCTCCCAGTCCCAACACCCACCAAAAGGTTGTCTTTTCCTCATCTTACATATTAGTAACAAACAATAATAGCAATGAAGTAACCCGAAGTATTAAAGAATAGCTGTGATTTGAGCCCCTACATGTACTGATCAGGTCACTCTATAAAATCAACAATACATATTATAAAAAGGGGGTTTGGAGGGAAATAAATACTTGTGCATAGGATCTACATTTTCCCTTTCGTCTTATAGAAGTAATCCACATGCTTTATTAAAACATAAACAAACAAAAACAAACATACAACATCATTTTAAGTTACTTTCTATAATGGAGCTTACTTATGGAATATGTCAAATGAATAACACAGGACACGAATTATCTTGTTTTCATGATCACAGCTACGTAAAAAAGAAATGCATGCATGAGAAAAAATGCTGGTAGGAAATATACCCAAATTTAATAGTAACTGCCTTTGGGTGGGGATATTATAGGGATTTCTTTTTCTACTCTTTCTAAAATTCCCAATTTTTCTATTGTGAACATTTATTATTTCTATAATTATAGAAGACTAACATAATTTTTTTCCAAGAGGCTTACTTTGCAAGATACTATGCTTAATATCTTCTCTTGCACTTGCGCCAAGCCCACTCTCTACCAGCCAGACCTGGAAGAGTAGATGAGGCAGCGCTTCATGCCTAGAGCTTCAAAGTACTGAGACTCTCCAAGCAGAAAGGAGGATGCCAGCCAGTGCTATCCTCATGTCCCCTATCACCTATAGGGAGTGTCTCTATCTCCCTATCACCTTCCCTCATAGGGAAAGTCAAAACATGCTCACACAGTTCTTGTTTTGACATGTCAGTTTCACCAACCCTTCATTTTTTCCATCCAAATAGTCATAAGATATTCAGCTTTGGCCAAATAAATTTCATGTCCTCTTTAATCTAATGCAGACCATGAGTGATATATTATTGCAGGAAAATCAGCTTCAGTATGAGTGTCACCACATCTGGTCTGTCACCCACAACCTCACTCACACTTTGACATATTATTCGATGAAAGAACAGGAGCATCATGTTCCAGGAGCTTCTGTAATTCCCCCTGAGACACTGGCATTATGGTTTCACAGTCCTCAAGGAGGAACTTAACATTTAACTGGATATCTTAATTTCTAACCAAAGCCACATAGCTTTATTTTTTCAGATTCAACCTCTTAAAAGTAGAGTTTGCAAGATAGTGTCTAATCAAGCCATTCGCAGCTTTGCTGATTCAGTGATGGTTTATGCATCTTTGTTTGCAATTGGGATTCCAGTTTTACAGCTGAGACTCCCCATCTACTCCATTTCCCACAGGCTGTCCACTTGTTCCTGCAAGATGTTCACTCCCCTTCTCCTTGGCACAACATTTGCTGCTGCCCAAAGGGTCCATTTGGCTCAAGTAAATGGCATTAAATATGATTAAGAAATAGGATCAAAACTTTAAGCAGTTCCTATTTGTTTTTGAGATGGAGTCTCGCTCTGTTGCTCAGGCTGGAGTGCAATGAACGGTGCGATCTTGGCTCACTGCAACCTCTGCCTCCCAGGTTCAAGCCATTGTCCTGCCTCAGCCCCCCAAGTAGCAGGACTGCAGGCATGCGCCACCACGCCTGGCTAATTTGGTATTTTTAGTAGAAACAGGGTTTCACCATGTTGGCCAGCCTGGTCTCAAACTCCTGACCTCAAGTGTTCCACCCACCTTGGCCTCCCAAAGTGCTGGGATTCCATGCATGAGCCACCACGCCTGGCCAGATCCTATTTCTTAATCACGTTTAGTGCCATTTACTTGAGCCAAGTAGACCCTTTTTTTCTTATTTTTGGTATTGACCCATTTCATTTCATCTACCTTCTTTTCTTCTGTTTCCTTCAAATGCTTTGCCATTTTTCCCCATCCTACCTGCCTAGAATATGAAGGAGTCCCACTCTGCACTATGATAGCAACAGAAGCAGATCTTAGCCCTTCAACTGATGATTCTCCCCTTCGACAAAATGCCGACCCCTTACAGCATCTGCAGAGAATGGGGCCATAAGTCCTGCATTAGACATAGATGTCAGCTCCTTGCGGAGCTGGTTCTGGGGCACCGGCTTGGATGAGCTTGCCAGTTGTTACTCACCCAAGACATTTCTCCAACCATCATTTTCAGCTTATAAACTAATGGTAAGTGTTAATTCTTGATGCCCTGAAAGGTCAATAAAACATTACAAAGGATGGGTACAAAAAAAAATGGAAAGAATGAATAAGACCTACTATTTGATAGCACAATAGAGTGACTATACTCAACCTAATCTGTACATTTTAAAATAACTTAAAGAGTGTAACTGGATTGTTTGTAAACTCAAAAGATACATACTTGAAGGGATGGATACTCCATTCCCCATGATGTGCTTATTTCATATTGCATGCCTGTACCAAAACATCTCACGTACCCTAAAAATATATACATCTCCAATGTACCACAACAACTTAAAAAAAATAGAAAACAATAAATGCATAAAACACTTCTAGAAGGAGAAAGAAAACACCACCACAAAGGGAACTTACTCTGTTCTGCCCTGTCCAATACAATAAAATTAGATAATTAAAAATCCGATTCCTCAGTCACATGTCACATGCTCAATAGACGTAGGTGGCCACAGGCTACTACACTGGATAGAACAGCTATAAAATGTGTCCATCAGCACAGAGGGTGCCACTGGAACAGCACTTGTGTCACTGATGAGGCCACATCCACACCACACAATTCTGAATAATACAAGTCAGCAAAGACTTACATATCTATTTATCAGCATTTATCATGTGTTTATCCCACACCATTTATCAGCATTTCCTCAGAGACTGGGCAGAATAAAGCACTTATAAAATAACAAAAGAGGCCAGATGTGGTGCCTCATGACTGTAATCCCAGCACTTTAGGAGGCCGAGGCTGGCAGATCACTTGAGGTCAGGAGTTTGAAGGCGAAACCCCGACTCTACTAAAAATACAAAAATTACCTGGGCATGGTGATGGGTGCCTGTAATCCCAGCTACTCGGCAGGCTGAGGCAGGGGAATTGCTTGAACCCAGGAGGCAGAAGTTGCAGTGAGCCAAGATGGCGCCACTGCATGCCAGCCTGGCTAACAGAGCAAAACTCCATCTCAAAAAATAAAAAATAACAGATAACAAATAACAAAAGAGTGTTGAAGTGGCCTCCAGGGAGAGCCCATTTCCTATTCCAGACTGTGTCTGACCATCTGACTATTGCTCACAGCTTGCTGTCCCCTTCTCTCTCAGGTTCTTTGAAAATCTGTTATAATTTCCTTTGCAAAAACTCAGGGGACTTTATTAATTCAAAAAGTTTAAATGAACCAAAAAGAAAATGCTAGCACAACAAACACTC
Source organism: Homo sapiens (assembly GCF_000001405.40). Lineage (NCBI taxonomy): Eukaryota > Metazoa > Chordata > Mammalia > Primates > Hominidae > Homo > Homo sapiens. The sequence continues at coordinate 73,797,178 of NC_000005.10, read as the reverse complement.
ATCATGGTCCTTTTCATAAATCACTGGACTAAAGTTGTGCTCATTTATCTTTCTCAAATCCTTCACAGACTTAATGATGTTACTGACAAAACACTCAGACGAGGTCAGACTACTACAATTTCCGTAGCACATGCTTCTTGCTCACAAGTTTACAAGTTTGAAACTAGAGTGAGTTTTTAAAACCTGAAATTAAGATCGTCTCAGTGTTTAATACTTTTAGTAGCCTACCTCCCTCCCCCAGCAATTCATCTTAGCAAACATTCTTCAAAGCTAACATTCCCAGGAGCATGATGCAATTTGTAGCTGAGACATCCTGTGTGCGTGAGTAACAGCAATGGCCCTGACATCAGTGGCCCACAACAGCCATCTATACAGAGATGTTTGCTCTCTTTTTGCCTTCCTCTTCCCCTCTTCTGTAAGTAAATCATTACTCTTACCTTAAATAGCAAAAATATTAAGGACGTGTATATTGCTTAGTGTGGGTCTAAATTTCTGTTCCAATTTCAGTAGGGCCACATGCAGCAAGATCCTGGAAACCACCTCTGGCATGTGGCCAAGCTACTAGCAACACCATCAACCAACACCAAGGGTGCTTCCTCCTTGCTCTGCTCTACACAGCATGATTTCCGAATGGTTGTAACTGCTCTGTCGTGTGTTGGCACAGCATACCAACCACACTCCCTCAGCCTCCAGGGAGCCCCATGCACGTGTAGGCTCACGGTGACCCCGTGGGTTACCCACCTTCTCCATTAATCTCACTCTGAGCATTGATTTAGCTTTTCCTGATTTCACATCAGCTTGAGCCCTCAGTCACTACCATCAGCAACACCTCACCCCTTGCAACTTCTAAGACTGTCCTGCCCATGTGTGCCTTCCAGGTGTGTGAGATGCCTCAGCTTCACAGAACCAGAGGAAACCAACTGGAGTGGTTCGTGCTCATCTGCCTCTCACTTGTCAGCCCCAGAGGTCTTCACAGACATCCAGGTGCCCAAACTCAGCCTCTGCTGATAGCTCAGCCTGTATCTTCAAACACCCCATTAGCTTCATTATGCTCTATTCACCTCTAAGTAACTCAAGAGATAGGGCTGGGGTCCAAATTAGCCTTGAAGAAATAGAGAGTACCTGGGAGGAGATTTAGGAAGGGGTCCTCAGGGAGTTGTGAAACAGAATATTGTAATCAGATGAGAATTCCCAGGTCAGAGGGAGGAAATACCTCTACCTTGCCAAGGGTGGAGGAACACCTGGTTCCTCTGAAAGGACACTCACATCAGACTCAAATCCCAGAACAAACATCTGGTCTTTTCCTGAGCTCAGCAGTGTAGATCACATAGGCTCAGCTCCAAGGGGACCCCACTGGGCATCAAAATGGGATTTTGGTAAGCTTGGAGATTCTAGGGCCAGGTGGAATGAAGTTATGAGTCTCGGTTCCACCATCTACTCTCCACCAGTGCTTCAACTGCTTCACCTGAACCTGAGACTGGTAGTGCCTACTTCACAGAAATAACAAGGGAACATATGACAAGTCCAGAGCCAGCTTCTGGCTCAGAGTAAAACTGTTCAGGAAAAGCTTTGATTGCCTTGTTTTTTAGATTGTAAATGGAGTCTCAACCTCTAGAGTCATAGTATTACAAATGATCCTACAAATAAAATTTATCTGGATGCGTTTCAGGAAATAGATAAGGTTACCAGGAAGGAATATTTTATGTTAAAATTTACTTGCTTCTTGTCCACTCTAAACCTGGATCTGGGATGCCCCTACGAGTATAGGTAAAAGCGTTATTTCATACCCAAATCTAGGCTGTGCTGGTCTTCATGTTCATTGTGTTGAACCACCAGGCTTTTGACACGCTGGAAGAGATAAAGTCAGGTGGATTTTTAAAAAATTACATATATGCTACACTAATGTTTATTTTTGTGAACTAGAAAAACAACCTTGGAAAGCATCAATGAAAACATGTTACAAGTATCATCACATGTAAACAGAAAACTAGTCTTATACTTAATATTATTTAACAGCTAAAAGTGAGTAATGAATCTATCCCAAGCTGAAACACACCTGAAAGCTGTACACAGGTTATTTTATTCTCAGAGGACATCTCCCACATTTACTCTTGTAATCACATTGTTGTCAAATATCTATAAACATCAAACTTCAAGTAGAAATTTGTTTTGCAGAATGTATTCAATCATCTTGCATATACAACTACAACTCAGAAAGATAGCTAGGTTTGGTTATAAAGAATAGGGATTAAGAATTTGATAAAGAAAATGGGGCTGGGCACGGTGGCTCATGCCTGTAATCCCAGCACTTGGGGAGACCGAGGCGGGCAGATCACCTGAGGTCACGAGTTCGAGACCACCTTGGCCAACATGGCAAAACCCCATCTCTACTAGAAATACAAAAATTAGCCAGACGTGGTGGTGGGCGCCTATAGTCCCAGCTACTCAGGAGGGTGAGGCAGGAGAATCATTTGAACCCAGGAGGCAGAAGTTGCAGTGAGCCAAGATCGTGCCACTGTACTCCAGCCTGGGTGACAGAGCGAGGCTCCATCTCAAAAAAAAAAAAAAAAGAAAGAAAAAGAAAACAGAATTTCACATTATTCTGAAAGTGACTTGGGGCACATCCTTTTTTTAGTGTTTTTTAAACATTTTTATTACCACTAAATCTTCATTTCTACTTTATGGAAAGACGTGCAAAGAAAGAAGCAGGGAGTCATTCATTACCTTTATATCTTCCTTTTCAGCTGCTGATCTGCTGGACACTGAATTCTTAATCTCTGCAAAAGAAATAATTATCAGGATCTGCTGATGGGAGCTTTTGTTAAGAAGAACAACAACTACTAGCTGACAAGTGTAAATGAGTTGCCCAGGAGCCTTCTGCACAGAGATAGGTTTTTAGATTAGGCCTCTTAAAAATCAGCTCTCCACAGAGCAGAGTGTCTAATAACCCGACTGTCCATACTCTGGTATTATCTGTGTGGACTAAGATGGAAACAAGCCCAGGAGCTCTCACAGGAAATCCTGAAGGGGAAAAAATTATCATTAAATAAATAAATGCCCTTGATTCCAAAGGAAGGCTGCTCACTACCGCAAGTTCTTCAAAATAGCAGATTGTAAGGACGTGACTCGTACCCACCTGAGGAAATCCCACATGTCTATTTCCTCAAATACCACAGATTTCAATATGTTTTAAAAGAGCGTAATTCATTATATAAGAGGTCTGGCTTTTCCTTACACATCACTGAAGGTCAAGAACACCAGCATAGCCCTCAGCTCCAACCTCAGCCCCGGGCACACCGGGTGTCCTCTTTCTGAATAAAGGGTTTCCTGGAAACAGTAGTGGTCAGGATGTACTGGGATGAAGAAAAAAAAAAAAAAAAGGTTCACCCAAGGCAGCATTTTTATCTGTGGTTTAATTGATTGGTTCTGTTCCCAAATACTCAGTTGCCCTTAAACAAGAGCCGCTATTGTCGAAATAACCACCAAGAACAGGTTTGGGCCTGGGGAAAATTAAAGCACTCGATATCCCTAGCAAGGACATATGACTGAAAGTCTCTACCCCAGATTTGCATTAACATACAACATTGTGGGGTCTCACTCCTTTTCTGGAATCTCCACATCCCTTCCCCCACAGCCCTGCTTTATGCTAATCCTGGGGAAACGCCTGAAGTTTTCCAGCAGGTTCATTACCTAGACCTTCCCTATTCCGTTTTGTCACTCCTATTAATTTATCTAATGCCCCAAATCTGCAGGTGGATTTATTCAAGCTCTTCTCACTTCTGGGCAACAATGCTAGGAGTTATCATCCATGTTTATGCTTAGAAAATGTATAAGGTATTCATTTATATGGCTCTACATGACAAATCATAATAAAGATGACAAATTACAAGGATGGAGCTATAAGTAATAAGATCAGGATGGAGCAGAGAAACCAACAATCCTTGTCTTGTGTTTCTAAAAATCTGGACAACAATAACTTTGAATTTGCTTTGCAGAAAGCAAGTAATACTACATTTGCATGCCACAATAGTATATTGCTCTTGAATTTATAATGCATATTAGCTTCTATGATTAAACCAACAAGGAAATAACCAGCGAACAAAGTAATAACCCCAATTTTGTGTGGTCATGTCAACTGATCTCAGCAGGGAATGAGGACAAGATCATAGTGGACACCCAGCCCAGGCAGCTTGTGTACACAGCATCCCTGCCGGCCTTTAAATGCACATCCCACAGAAGGCCTCCAGGTGGCAGCAGAGTAACATTGCCAGAGGTAGGAATGTCAAAATGGGCTAATTTCACCCTTCAAGGACCTGCTTTCAAGTGCCAAAGTCCAAAACACATAGTTAAAATTAGCATTTTTGTCCCACTACATAGATGCAGAAAATTGATGTGAAGCACCTACCATGGTATTTGGCACATTATAAGTGTACAGTAGGGATTTGGTTTGGTTTTGAAACTCATATACTCAAACACTAAAAATTGGGATAAGTAGGAAAGAAACCACAAAGGCGTTAAAAAAAAAAAAAAAAAAAAGAAGGGAAGGATAACCTGGACCAGAGTTTCAACAGACACATCTGCACAGACATCAAGAGTCACACCCTTTTACTTTGCCTGTTTTAGGACATTCATTCCTTTAAAGTCATCTCAGCCATAAACTCTTAAATGATCATTATATTGCATTCCTAAAGAATTCTGTACATACAGCATTTATTCGGAAGAACAGTACACATTTTATCCAGATTGCTAATGGAAAAGGCAATCTCATCTGTTAGTGAAGTTTGCAGTTACAGAGGATGTGTTCACACCTGGTAGTGCATTTAGGTTCCAGCTTCCTTTCCCTTCTCAAAAGGCCAGTGAACTAGTTTTTATAGCTTGCCATGCCTACGTTTTTCCGTGTAGTCCAGTGCAATTTTTTTCACTTCAGAACAAGTACCACAAACTATATTAAAATATATGTCTTCATTAAAAATTGTACCTCATCATTTAAAAAATAACTTAAATGTAGAAAGTCTTTATCCAAAAATCATTTAAAAATATTAGTGATACTGTGCTGATTCCAGATAATAATGTATCTTTAATTAACCTAGAACTAAACAGAACCATATCTTAGAGCTTTCAAAGAATTTGGCATTCATTCTAATGGATTAATTAAATTGCTCTAGGAGAGTTTCTGTTAAATTAGTAGGATCCTTTTACACTAACCCACTGTACCACCAATTACACAGTGCAATCAAACCACTCATTGCTATAGCAACCTTTAGCAGATAATGGTATCAGTAACTCTACCTATTCTGTTTTAAAGGCCTATTAATCTTGCCCTCAAGCCCACCCAGAAGTAAGGATTACTCCTCTAAATCAGACTTGCCAAACTTGATAAACATGGTTTTTGTTATTGCCAAACTATAATGGAACAAGAGATAATCTCTAAGACTTATGTTTACTAGTGACACTGCACCAGTGAACAGGGTTAAGTCGCTGTAAGATTCATGCCAGTGTCTCATTAAGAAACAGATTCGCCTAAAAAACTCACCTCTATGCACATGTCTTACTGTCTTATTTTGCAAATGAGACCACAGAGTCTAGACTTAAGCAAATAAAAAAGCTTACAACCAAAAACACAGGATGCTCAGTATTCTGATTTTAATCACCATTTGGATGTGGCAGAAGAATCGTGGTCAGACGCAGCCAGACCACCAGTGTTGTCTTGTTAACAACCAAGTCCACCACTGGCTTACATCTACAGGGTAGTGTCAAAAGCACAGGTGGAAAACCAGGATCATGCTCTCAGTTTGCTCTGCCTGCCCCCACAAATGTCAGAAAAACACCCTGATGGTAGTGTTCATAGCAGCCTCTGTGCCTCTCTGGCATACATGGTGGGTAGTTCATAGTCTTTGAATGAATCTTTTTTTCTCAATAGGCTGTAAATTCTGGGAGAGCTGGGACCAGATCGATTTCCGCTCAACCCTTGTATCCCCAGCACCAAGCTGGGTGCTTTGCACTTAACAGGTGCTGAATAAATGCTTCTCATCTCCACCTACATCTGGTGGCCCAAAATATACATAGCTGACAAGATGTGGTGGATGGTTAGACAAGCTGTGGATCAGGACAGAGAAGGAAAAGTTGTTTACTTTTTAGAATTAACTAATTGAAACACTTCCAATACTGGCGCTATTTTATCACAACTTCTGAACTGCCAGATTCATAGACAGATGAATCCTTTTCTCCTTACTTCCTCCCACCCTTCCAGCTCTGTAAGTCCAAAAGCCAACCCTTTTCCTCTCCACTTAGTAAGTATTGCTGTTTCACTACTAACTACTGCACCTGCATGTGTTGCTACAATGTTTTATCCTAGTGTACAAATTCAATTCACAATGGCCAGAGAATTAAAATGGCAAAGGCACTTGAGAGACTACTTGCCACTCTTAATTCAGAGACTGTTGTCACACTTTGAAAGTTTGTTTCAATATCCCAGTTATTCCTTTTTTTTTTTTTTTCCTAAAAGTGGGACTACTAATAAGAACTTTCATTTTGCCTGCTCGGTATAAATATGGACTGGGAGCAACAATGAGGCACTTATTTACAGAAATATCAAAATGAGACTTATCAGTGAGTGAGAGCCCAACATTCCACTCAATTCAACAAGCTCCACTGGTCCCTACTGAGCAGCAGCTGGGGAGAAGAAACCAAGATGGAAGAAATCCTTGGCCTCAAGCAACTCCAAAATGTGCTCCTTGGCATATCATTTTTATATTTCTATTCTATATTGTTTCAGAAAGAATTTAAGACATCTTCTTTAAAATACAGGTTTTTTTTCATTTAAATTACTTGTGTTTCTTTTTTTAAAGACAAAAGTAATTATTTAAGACAGTGGAGAAGTCCCTCCTCTTACACAGTTTTTTTTGTCTGGAGGTTAACATATGATCCAATTCTGGCCAGAGTCTTAATAGAAACTTTCCTGGCACCTCTCCAAAAAAGGCTTCTATCACTAATAGAAAAAAAAAAAGTTGCAGGGCAAAAGGATCTTTTTCCATTGCTCTTTTTGTCTGAATAGAGTTCAATGAAGAAATGATTTTGGAGCCACAGTAGCCCTCTTGCAACACCAGACTGCTGCAGGCCATTCTCCATGGTGTGCCTACTCTTACTGTGAAAACTTTTCTACCGGATTATCTTTTGAAGGATGGTTTTGTGGCCAACAGTCTTGAAACCGAGAAATAGTGTTTCCCCTGGGGATGAAGGCAGATTTGTTTTCAGACCAGGGTAGTAAAGATAACAGCCTCTTCCAGTGCAAGGGTTGGGCAGGCTTGCTAGCAGTCTCCTTATAAGATTTGGGATTTCTTAGTTTGGGGTTCCTCAGCTGTGACACAAACTGAGTGTGTGTGCAGCATCTATCTGAGCTGCTCACAAGGCTCCTGGGGGACTTGCTGGGCAAGGAGAACCAATGTGAACATGAAGCCCATGCTGCAATAAAGTCTTTTGTATCAAAAAAATAAATAAAATAAATAAAAACTTGGAAAAAAAACTAAACAAAAAAATCAATATAACTACCATTAAATGTTGGTATATACTCCCCCATATATGTTTTTATGACAGCTTTATTAAGGTATAATTCATATACTATACAATTCACCCATTTAGAGTATACACTTCAATGGGTTTTAGTATATTGAGTTCTGCAACCATCACCATAATCAATTTTAGGATATTTTCATCACTCCAATGAGAAAACCCCACACGCATTAGCAATCGCTCCACATTTCTCCCCAACCACCTCACCATCCTCCTTCCACACCCCAGCCCAAGGCAACCACTAATCTATTTTCAGTCTCAACAGAATTGCCTATTCTGGATATTTCATATAAATTGAATTGCACAATATGTAGTCTTTTGAAACTGGATTCATGTAGCATAATGTTTTCAAGATTCACCCATGCCGTAGCATGTATTAGTACTTCATTCCTCTTTACTGCCAAATAGTATTCCATTAGATAGATAGGTAGATAGATAGATAGGAGGTATCTACTTTGTTTTGTTTATCTATTCCTCAGCTGATGGATATCTGAGTTGTTTCCACTTTTTGTCTATTATTAATAATGCTGCAATGAACATTCTTTCAAGTAAAAGTTTTTGTGTAGATACATGTTTTCATTACTCTTAAGTATATGCCTAGGAGTATAATTGTTGAATCATATAACTCCATGTTTGATAAATTTTTATGATACAGATTTTTACATCTCCTGAACCCCCACCCCTGCCCACCATAGAAATCTCTAAAGCAAAGAATTCAATTATGGAGAGAAAGTATCCTCAGCCCCAAAATTTGGTTGCAATTATCAATTACACAGAAGCTCTAAATCATTATACAGTTGATCCTTAAACAAGACGGGTTTGAACTGCATGAGTCCACTTTTATATGGATTATTTCCAATAAATATATTGGTAATTTTTTTGGAGATTTTTTGACAATTTGATAAAACACGCAGACAAACCACCCTTTCCTAATCCTCCTGCTCCTCAGCCTACTCAATGTGAAGACAACAAGGATGAAGACCTTTGTGGTGGTCCAGTTCCACTTAATAAATGGTAAATGTATTTTATCTTCCTTATGATTTTATTAAGAACATTTTTTTCTCTAGCTTACCTTATTATACGAATATAGTATATAATACATGTAACATACAAAATATATATTAATCAATGGTTTATGTTATTGACAAGGCTTCTGGTCATCAGTGGGCTATGAGTAGTTAAGCTTGAGGAGTGTCAAAGTTACACATGAATTTTTGACTGTGCAGGGGATTGGTGCCCCTAATCTGAGTTTTTCAAGGGTTAACTGCATTTTTAAATTGAAGCCAGGGCATAATTTTCCTAAGTTAATCAATGGCTTGAATAAAATTAAGCAAGTCATCTTTCAAAGACATAAACAAAATTCCATTTTTACCAAACTTAGATTCTACTTTAACTCAAGAAAGAAACTAACCTTTAGCTATATTTTCAAGTAAAGATCACTGCAATTCTATTAGAATACTTAGTTGAGTTTAATACTTTTTTTTCTCTCTAGGCTGCTTATCTGACTCAGCTAGAATAAAGTATCTCAGATATGAGCCAAATGTGTTGCATCTAGGTGAGCTCTGGGGAACCTCTGAGTTTTGAGCTCAAACATACAGTGGGTTTAACCAGATGATCTCTAAAGTTCTTTCCAAGTCAAACTATGATTCTTTAATCCTTTGATAAACTAAGTGGTGAGGAGAATTTTTATTTCTGTGTGAGAAAATACTGATTTTTTATAATAATATACAAAATGAGTATCATATCATCATGATATCCTATCCATATCATGGTCCCTTTAATGATGGAGACTGTTCTTTCCTGTGACAAGGAGAAGAAAGAGGACTGGCAAAGTCAGTCACTAAAGGAAATACAGAAAAGGCTGAATTGCTCTGTAAAATGCAGCCATAAAAAAGAGTATGAGTTCATGTCCTTTGCAGGGACATGGATGAAGCTGGAAACCATCATTCTCAGCAAACTAACACAGGAACAGAAAACCAAACACCACAAGTTCTCACTCGTAAGTGGGAGTTGAATAAAGTGGACACAGGGAGGGGAACGTTACACACCAGGGTCTGTCAGAGGGTAGGGGGTAGGGGATGGATAGCATTAGAAGAAATACCTAATGTAGATGACGGGTTGAGGGGTGCAGCAAACCACCATGGCACGTGTATACCTATGTAACAAACCTGCACGTTCTGCACATGTATCCCAGAACTTAATAATAATGATAATAATACTAAATGAAAGCAACAGTTACAAATCATTTCCTAGGGCTGCGTATGATTTTTGTTGAAAATGCCAAAAATACCCTACTTCTAGGAAAACAATATTTTCAAGTGCTTGACCAGATATTTCACATGAGAGTCAAGGTAGAGCTGTGTATGCAAGTGAATGATCAGCTCTGCAGAACGGCCTGCCTAGTACTGCTGTCTTAAGTCCCCAACACCCAGGTCCCAGCTGTCCTGGCTTAAAGGACCTATATCTTGATATCTAAACCATCTGCAACAGTTCTCCTAAAAAGCCCTTGAGCTAGAGTGTCTCAAATGAAAAATCTTGGAAACAACACTTTGTGTGGATAAGAGCCCTATTGTTTTCCCAGTAATATCTCACAGGAGATATTCAAATAAGGAAAATCCACCACACAACTCTCTCTACATTTCACAAACCAAATCACAGAGGGAAGTGCTGCACCCTTGTCTACAGAATGTTCAAGCAAAAATCTGCTCACTTCTAGTCACCACGACACGAATGGCTGGGTCCTGGTATCTCAAAACACGTATCTTTACCATTGAATCCACCATAGGCGTGTGTTATATAACTTGCACTCATGATTAGACATCATTCAGTAAACATCCACTATGTTCAATACTGGGCAAGGTGCTTTATCTGTATTTTCCCACTGAAGTAAGTATTAAATGACACCGCCACCTCCACCCCACCCCATCATTTTCCACAAAAGCAAACAGCCTAATCACTTGCATTATGCTCAAAAGCCAGTTCACGGCAGAGCTGAGGATTTTAGCAAAGTCAGCTTATTACTGGCATGTGTCATCGAGACATGTCTGTGCCTGCGGGTCATAAGGACTTGAGAGAGATGAACCATTTGGAATAGAGCTCATTTCAAGGCAATGTTTCCAATGTTTGCGCTTTTTCTATCCCCCAAATGCTGAGAGAACTCTAGACGAGCAGTCCAGACGCTAAATAGATCAGTCCTCTGCTCTATAGGGGTAGTGGGAGTCTATAGTGTGGTCGGTAAGGGAGTGGACTGATCACCTGAGTTCTGACGGCTTGGGCCAGTGTCACCTCAGGTAAGTTACATAACTTTTCTGTGCTGCCACTTTCTCATGCATAAAGTGCGTAGGATTGACTCCTGACTCCCAGAAATGCCCCTCCCGATGACCATAGGTATGAGTGCTCCATGAGTGTATAGACTTAACTCAGGTTGTGACCAGTGCCTAGAACAATGCCTGGCACGTAGCAGGTGCTAACAAATGCTTGAGTGAAATTAAATGCAAGCAAACTACTTGAGGGCAAGGTTTTTTCTCTTTGCCTTTTTTTTTTTTTTTTTTTTGGTTACTGCCAAGAACAGTGGCTGGTATAAAGTGATGGGCAGTCAATACATATTTACTGAATGGATGGATATGGAAATGGGCCTAAGGACACGTGTCCACCTGTCCAGCCTGAATCTTGCATTTGGACCAACAGCCTCTTCTGCCTCCCACACAGAATCACAAAGGGGAAGCCACTTTGAGCCGGTGAGAGCGGCTGCCTCCACCCTGAAGGAAATGATTTTGCCCTCTCTTCTTGGTGATTGTAACACATGTTCCAATCCCTATTTCCTTGTCAATGAAAATGTGGAAGATAATTTATGGGGAGAAGCCAACAAAGTAACAAATGAGTGACACCAAGTTAAGACAGTTAGCAAATGCAGAGCGTTTTTGAACTACAAAATAATTTTTTAAGCGGATTCATACAGTGGCAAATGGTACTGTAGTTGTTCTCAGGTTGCGTTATAGCCCAGTAGATGCCAGGCAGGCAATAGCCTCCCATGTGATATCAAGAATTGAAGTGGGATGTCGAGGGAGGCATGAATGATCTGGAATATTCAAGATCACTGTGAACAGTTTGAAAAATTCTTTCTTGCACTTCTCTGGTGTGCGCATTACTGGACTAACAGATGGCGGGAACCCAGGTGATAGTGAAAATGGAGGACATAAGATCCAGAGAGGGAGGTGCCACAGAGTTGAGGAAGAACAACATTTTCAAAGTACCTTTCACAGACGGTTTCTATGAGAGGTTGAGAACTGCGAAAAAAGGACTCTCGTGTGATCCATTAATTTAGAGAACTGCTAAGTTAAACAAGATTATATAGGTTTCTTGACTTACTAGAGCCCACAAAACATTAAATGCATTCCAAATCTCAAAAGTGGGAGTTTCATATACAGTAGCCCCTGCCATCAGGGATTTCATGTTCTATGGTTTTGATTACCTGCCGTTGACTTCGGTCCAAAAATACTAAATAGAAAATTCCAGAAATAATTCCTACATTTTTTTAAATTGCAGACCATTCTTGAGTAGTATGATGAAATCTCATGATATCTCACTCCTTCCCACCAGGAAAGTGAATTATTTCATTGTCCAGTGTCCTTATGCTGCCTATGCTACCTGCCCATTAGTCTCTCAGTAGCTCTTAGTTATCAGATCAACGGTTTCAGTATGGCAGTGCTTATGTCCAAGTAACCTTATTTTACTTACTAATGACCCCAAAGCACAAGAGTAGTGATACTTGCATATTGTTATAATTGTTCTACTTTATTATTAATTATCATTGTTAACCTTTACTATGCCTAATTTATAAATTAAACTTTATCATAGGTGTGTATGTATAGAAAAAAACATAGTATATATAAGGTTCAGTGTTATCCAGGGTTGCAGGTATCCACTAGAGATCTTGGAACTTATCCCCCAAAGATAAGAGGGAACTACTGTACAGCATTTTCTACTTATTTGGCCAAAGAATCCTTATTTTTCAAAATAGCTTCCAAGATCAGTGTTCTGTACAATGCTCTTTAGGAAATCCTAGGACAGAGAGATCAAACAAGGATAAGAAGGCAAGGGGAAAATATGGAGCCAGGTTTTTTATTAATACTAATAATTAGCTTATTAATAGGAGCATATTAAAATAAGAAGACTTTTTGGCCATTCATTTGAAATAATGTGCCATTATTCTGGGAGTACAACTAGAATCATAAAACTATAGAAACATAACTGGATCGTAGGCAATAATAAAACCATTTATCACACTCACAGAGACAGCAAAGTTAATGTCCAGGCTAGAATTATTATAGTCTTTTAATTAATAGCAGCTACAGATATAAGCTTAGAGTTTCCCCCCTACTACACATTGTCCCAGAGGGGACAGAAAAGCATAATCTACTAAGAATCTTCTAATAGATTTTAAAGAGGAAGTTTGCTTTAGGGTTTGTTTGGTTTTTTTTTTTTAAGAGGAAGCTCTTATGCTCAAAATGTTTTGTTCTTTCAGTTGAGTCTCCTCCAGACTCATGAATGGACAAAAACTAATTGAATGTTTCCACTTTAGTTGAATATTGCCCTCTGCTGGAATATGCATACAGTTTCTAGTACTCTTTCAAGGGTAGACAAATACAAAAGCATTGTCTAGATTCAAGGGCTCTAAAGTATACCCATTAATTATTTGGAGTCAGAGGGCTTGGATTTCTGTCCAAATTCTTGTGCTTATTGGTTAATTTCAGTCAAACTGGCAGCCACGTATATTAACTTGGCTGCCCCAAACACCTGTCAAATTCAACTTGTCTAAAACTGAACGTATATTTTGTCACAATTCTGCTTCCTGGAAGGCCCATCCCACCCAGTGCTACACCCCAGGAATGGAGACACCGTCCTTCTCCCTTACCACTGACAGCCAATCAGATCCTACACTTTCAGGACCTCACTCATGTGTCCTCAACTCTCCCATCTTGTCACACTGCTGTAGGGCAGATTCTCTTCTGCGTTGCTTTCAGCAGCCCCATGGCTGGTCCCCATCTTCCACTAGGCCTCTCCCATCCATTCCCCATACTCCCACCAAAGTGAACTTTACAGAGCTGTCAGGGTAGAATTCTAACAACTTGCTTCACGTACAGCCATGCCAATCTGCCTACTTCTTAAGCCTATGTTCTTGGCATCACTGCCACCACCATACAGAAGCGCGCACACACACACATACACACACACACACACACACACACACACACACACACACACTATATTCCAGGGCTTCAAAATGAGCTGCATTTTCCCCAGTACGTCATTTGGCTCAGGACTTTGTATTGCATGTAGAATTCCCTTCCCTCCATTAGATCACAGCTCCAGGGCCACTTCTTCCAGGAAGCTTTCCCTGACTGCTCCACTGTCACAGTCTACAGCATGCTAATACACAGAGCTACTTGCAAATAACTCCTGTAGCAATTATCACACTGTGCCATGAGAGCTTGTTTTTCTGCCCCAACCTCAAACTGTAAGCCCCTTAAGAACAACTTGGAATTAAAATACTCCTTTAGACCTCAGTGTTCTAAATTAATTTGAAGGTAGAATACAAGAGAGGAAAAATTTGCAAGAGGATTTTTTAAAATCAGAAGTTGATTTTAAAAAAGAAAAAGTAAGGGCAGAGGCTTAAATAAGCAACAAGGTAATATAAAAAATGCAGTCAGCATTGCCATAGGCCCTTGTAATCAAGTGCCCAGAAACTTAGCTCCAAGTTTATCAGAAAGCTAGAAGTAAGAAACTTGATCGGCTACAGGTACAGCAGTAAAAGTGAGCTGAGCCAGGCACTCAGGTGAAGCTGTGTTCCCAATACAAAACCAGAAAGAGCTTTCTCCTACAGGTCTTCAAGGAGAAAGCACAAAGTGCCCACCACCTTCTTGGGCAGCAGGGTAAAGAGTGGCTCCGTCAACACAGCCAGTAGCGAGTGTCACCCACAGGGGAGAATAGTAAAGGCAATTCCCTTGGGCTCCAAGAAGGTGCAGTCTGAGGAGGAGGCTCAGCTGCTCGGGCTTAACCCAGGAACATATGCAGTCGGGATGGGCCACACAGACTCAGCAACTCACCAGAAATATGCCTTCTCTAACACTAGTTTTTTTAATCTTGTTTTGTTTTGTTTTGTTTTGTTTTTTGAGATGGAGTCTCACTGTGTCACCCAGGCTGGAATGCAGTGGCGCAATCTCAGCTCACTGCAACCTCGCCTCCCAGGTTCAAGCAATTCTCTTGTCTCAGCCTCCCGAGTAGCTGGCATTACAGGTGCACACCACCACACCTGGCTAATTTTTGTATTTTTAGTAAAGACGGGGTTTCGCCATGTTGGTCAGGCTGGTCTCGAACCCCCGACCTCAGGTGATCCACCCACCTCGGCCTCCCAAAGTGCTGGGATTACAGGTGTGAGCCACCGTGCCCAGCCAAGACTACTTTTTTTTTTTTTTTTAACAAACATGCAGGTAAAGAGTTTAAGATCATAGTATCTGACAAATACCTAGAATCCAACTCTTCTGTGAGGCCAGTTAAAAGCAGAATCAAAAGTATTGACCAGCTATTAACATTGGTGGCTTAGGAACAAGCGCCTTGTCATATTTTTCCTCCCTAGCCCCAGCATCAAGCTTGGTGGTTCTCAACCCTATCAGACCTATGCCCTTTACATTAACAGGTATTTTGTGTTGCTTCCTTCACTATCTTGAAATTGAGTTAGTAGATCACATAACTCTACCCCCTAGATACATATAACCTTATCTTCATGTCTAATTAAAAATAAAAATCAATATAATATCCTAACTAAAATATGAAGCAAATGGAGAGTAACTGATAAGAAGATAATATGTATTTCAATGCATAAAACCTTTACCCTAAATACCCTAGGAGACGCAATAATGTGGTTAGATTTTTGCAACCACCGGGTTTTGAAAACACAAAATCAGGATCTGTTCCAGACAAGAAATACAGGAATATGCAAAAATATGCTTCCTAGAATGAAAACTTCTGTTTATTACCATAACTTACTAAAAGACCAAAATTAATTTGCATATGGAAAAGCAGAAGTAACCTCAAATGAAGTAAGAATTGCATGCATAGATAAACTGTCAAGTTGAGGAAAATGAGGAATGATGATGTTCCTGCATATGAGCTAGGTATTATGCACAAGTGGGGCATCAGAATGATTCCATGTGGCATGTTGTGGAATAGAGTAGGAACAATGTATTATAAAAAATATATCTTCTTTTATGAACTTCCACCACAAGCAGAATCACACATGCCGTCTCTGAATCACCATCAGGACTGTAAACAGCTGTACAGGACGACTCTTAGTTGCATAGGGCTGTTCTGTATCTTGATGAACATCCAGCAGCCCTGATGCCTCAATTCTAAATGCCAGTGGTGTCCCCCGACCCTCGTGATGACAAAAACTCCTTCATGACTTCCAGAGTATCCTTGCTTAGCAAAAAGTAGGAGATCCACAAAGGTGGAAGAAACTAAAGAACAAATGATAGAATGAAGGACTCAATGAATGAACAAGCTGAATGAGGAGAACAATCAGAATGTCAAGAGAGCATCCTGAAGATCAGGAATGCGAGAGGACCTGGCCCAGGTCCCGGCAAACAGCACTCAGGACATTCCAGTTAAATGGAGAGTGGAAACAAACAGTATACTTCATTTGATGCTGTCCGAGGACCCAGGGGCTTTGCTGTATCCCACACCCCTGATCTTGCCTCTGAGCCCCTTGATTCCTGGCCGGCTTCACCACACACTTCAACGGACTGGTTAGATTGTTGGTCCAGAGCACTCTGTGGCTGCCATAAGTGGGAAAGGAGCATGCGTACCTTCTTCAGTTTCTGCACCGCTGGAGGGCATAGCTGTTCTTTCCTCTGGCCTGGCTTCTGGCTCAAAGGCCTAGGAAACAATGGGGAAAAAAAAAACAAAAAAGCACAGAAAACCATTTGAGGTTCCAGATATACAACAAAGAGGCAAAAGTCACTATCAATGATCTCAGAGCTAGGAGGTTGGGAAATAGAGGGTGGGTGAAAGCCGCTGGGAGAACATATAGCCAGCACCCCAGCAGGAGGGCGAGCAAAGTCAGGAGAAACTCCAAGGCAGGGGCCAAAGTCCCTGCCACTAATCTTTTATTGCTTCTGCAGGTCACACCAAGCAGAAGGTTCTCAGGAATATCATGCATGTACCAGAAAGAGAACCGAAAATCTTGACGCCAGAAAGAAGGGCTTCTGGCCTGTGCATCTGCCACCTGGAGCAGACCAAATCCACATCCTAAGACACAGGAATCTCAGAGGACCAGGTGAGGGGCTAGGACCGTGATCACAAGGAAGATCCAGGATGACCATGGGCCCTGAGCTGCAGGTTGGCACACGCTGGTGCAGGCTGGCCCTGGGTGAAACTAAGTTGATGAGCCTTCCAAAAGGCTTTAGCGAAAAGTTGCCCTCTTGGGACCATCCGAATTTCCTTTTGACAGATTCCCCACAGCCAGTGAAAATGTGAAGAAACACAGAATTATGCATTGATGTGCTGAATAGTAAGCCAGCCCAAGACACCCCCAGCACAGGTTCTAAAATCAATCATCAGTATACTTGGGCAGGTAATCACATAACTGACATAGGTCCCTTATCCCCTTGGGCGTGTCATTAAGCCCCGTGGATTGGGTGCTTCATTCTTTGACTACTTAGGAACAATGCCCTGCAGCTGGAGTAAAAGGAATATAAAAATATATACAATTTAGCAAACCACAAACAGGCAGGGAGCAACAAGTGCCTGGTTGCCCACCCCCCATGGGCTGTAAATTCACCCCAGCCCCACTTCCAGGACACTGTGTTCTCTTCTAAGGCCCACCATGGAATGAGTGGCTGGACCAGGGCAGGTCCATATTAAGGGGTAGTGATGAGATGGCCACATAAGCACCCAAGGATGGAGGAGGGGTCACCACACAGGCTCAAGGTCTAAGACAGCCAGCCACCTGCCCCATGTGTCTACTTGGGCTGAACCTTAGCCCTGACCCCCCGTCTTTCAATGAAGAGAGTGAGAGTCGCCAAGGCTATGTGAGAAAAGAACATCAAGGCAATGCTGGTTTCTGATTACACAACAAAACTTGAAATAAGGAAACGCTATTTTCTCTTGAAAATAGAATATATTCAAACTTAATTTTTATCCTTATAAGTAATTTTGAATATACCTTGAAAAACTTAAATTTCCTAGCTGCTTATTAATTTTAGCCAAGCTGTGGAGTGAAATTATCAGCATTTGGATTGTTATGAGGAAATAACTAAAAAGTGATTAAAAGATACGGCTACGAGTTTGCCTATTATTTAATTTCCTAATATTCTGTCTTTACAGTTTGGATATTTAGCACCACCTTCCATTTTAACATTTAATATTTATTAGAAACTGTCAGGCCATCACTGTCAATTGAAATGTAGTGCGAAAGTATGAACCCTTTACAACTCTGAAAGTATGGCTTCTGACTGGGTTCACCTGGAGAGCTCTTATATATTGTAAAGCAAACTCAGGTTTCCACAGCAAGGTTTTACTGTCATTGTTCTACAGGACTACAGATAACTAAGCAATGCCCAAACCCGGAGACTAAACATGTCCCCTTGGAGAAGACTGAGTATGGGCTGTAGTTCAGTGAGTACAGATCAGTCACTCAAATCAAAGTCACCATCTATAGCTGTCATATAAAAACAGACTTTTAGATAAGATTCAATAAAGCAGGAATACTTTTTATACAAAATCTATATGTAATCTCATAATATTTATCATCCAAAGTTGTAAAGCTTCAGTGTGGACAACCTATAAAATAATTACCACCTGCTTATATTTAAAATAATATCTAACCAAGTAATATGCATCACAAAAAATTTAGATAAGAATACAATAGAATCCCTTTGTCAGGCAAGTAAGAATTAAGGTCTTCGGAAGCCATAAAGAATCTCTCAGCCCTTCCTTCTCGGTCTCTCTGCTCACATCAGCCATACACCTCAAGAAAGGAAGGAAAAAGAGGGATGTGGAAACTTGGAACATAAGGCCATTCCACTCTAACTGATTCTTGTATCAAGTGTTTTTCATAAGATGAAAATCTCATAGAAACTGGAGAGCCATCTCCATTTGGCCTTTGTGATTATAAAGTCCACTCCAATAAATTATTGAGGTATCTAGATTTACTCATCATAAATCTTCCCCAAGGTCATCAGTATTATCTCAAATGTATATGAGAAATCACAAATCTAGCCTAAGACTTTAGAAGATTTTATAATGAAGCAAATGTTCAATAGAGTTTGTTCTGTTCTTTTCAGGATAGTCACCAAGTGCCATGCCGCTGTCTGAGCATCTCTTCTGAGGAAAAGCACTTGGCTGAGCTCTGCCCCCATGGAACTGATGCTGGCAAAACCAAGCGTCTGCCCAGCCAGAATAACCACCACTTGGTGCTTTGGTGAGAAACCACAGTGATGGCTGAAGGCTTGAGTAGCATTTTTTTTTTTTTTTTAGACGGAGTCTCGCTCTGTCACCAGGCTGGAGCGCAGTGGTGCGATCTCGGCTCACCGCAACCTCCGCCTCCCGGGTTCAAGCAATTCTCCTGCCTCAGCCTCCCAAGTAGCTAGGACTACAGGCGCATGCCACTGCGCCCAGCTAATTTTTGTATTTTTAGTAGAGACGATGTTTCACCATGTTGGCCAGGATGGTCTCGATCTCCTGACCTCATGATCCACCCACCTCGGCTACCCAAAGTGCCAAAGTGCCAGGATTACAGGTGTGAGCCACCACGCCCAGCCAGCTTGAGCAGTTTTAAATGACAAGCATCCTTAAAAGAAGACCCTCATTCTGTATATACTGGATGTGATGCTGTATGTCAGAAAATTACACACCAAATTCCCTAAAACCCAGCAAAGAGAGAAAGATCATACTCTGAAGACCATGTTTTATTTTAACTGATTAAATAAAACTCTATATGGAGTAAGCCAATAATAATCTTTGTTTGATACATAATGTTTTTGGCTAACTCATTATTTCAATTATGTGAAGCAAATATTCTACAAAAGCTGAAACTGTGGCCAATGATAATATTGGTTTTCTAAGCTGACTTTTTACTCTGTAAAGCCTAAATAGTCACGAGACCTGTGTCTTGTGAAGGAATGTGCTTGAGAACACAGGAGGCCATAGGATCTGGTTAGTGTGTTCAATAGACCCCGGAGCACTGCCAACTAGATTGACTCAAGCCTTATTCAAGCCTTACTCAAAATAACACCTTGATTAATCATAATTAAAAGATGGAAATATTCTTAATATTCTTTCAAAGTCTACCAAAAAAAAAAAGAGAGATAAAGTTGAAATGTTTTAAACCCTGAGACTGGCATGCTATGATAGCACCCAAAGGTGGGGTTTGGACCATGATGGGAAGGTGAAAACCTCTTTGGAAAAGAACTAGGATTTTACCTGTTTCCATTCAAGCAGAATCTGTACTGGATTCTGTACTGGATTCTGCACTGGAACAAATGCTTAACTACATTTGAGCAATATGATAATCCAGAAGTAGATATTATACATGTAAGATAGCCCTAAATGTAACTGCTTTAGATAATAATTATAATACAATCAATAAATTAATGAAAATATCCAATATTAAAGTATTAAAACCCAACTATGGAAAAGACTGGCTCAGAAAAGAAAATGAAAATATTATACAAACTCCTATAAAATATATAATAATCTTCATTCTACTGATCTAATGCAGTTTCCAATTTCATGTCCCCCAAGGTTTCATTAAAAAAAGTCCTACCCCCAAAAAACACTGTTCTCATAATAAGAAATTGATGCCTGCATTCTCTGAAGCATGCATTATCACATGCTAGAATCACTATGTACAAACCTTGACAAGAAAGGCTCTATCCCAAAAGTATTTCCGGAAGAGTTTAATATCTGCCTCCAACAAATGCTCGGCTGTGTGGTTCAGGGTCAGGGTCAGCGTTTCCGATGAGTGAATGTAATGCAAGGAGGCTTCTTCACTGAGCTGCACTCGGGAGAAGCTTGGGGACCATCTGCCCTGAAAACTGAAACAACACAAATCAAAACCCACACAGAGCTTCAAAGACACCAGCCCCAGGATCCCAGCCCTTAGGATCACTGCCCCTGATCTTACAAATCCAACTGGCAAAATGATCCTTGAAAGTCACCTACGTGCAATAAATACATAAGATCATAAAAACAGATACTAATAAAGCCATCTTTCTTTTTCCACCTAGAGAAGAAGTCTATTGGAAACCATTGACATATACTACATACTTTAAAGGTTTACATAAAGAATGAAACAGTACTGAATTTTAAACATAGTACTTTACCTCAACATTTCATTCTCCTTTTAATCTGAAAAGATGCCTCTCACTTTAATGGGGCTACCTGTAGTAGAACAAATTAGCTGGCAGCCAGTGGTTTATTAGGTGATTACTGTGGAAAACAGATATGATCTCCAGGGAACATGGTGAGGTTTGGATGTCATAAATAAGTGAGATATTCATAACACATGGTACCACTGTTGTAAATTCTTTCTTATGCAAATTAAAACATGCACAAATTTGATCATGTTGTATTTCTGAACACACTCACACACAAAGGAACGACATTTCCAACCTAAATGTTGTGTTGATTCAAATTATGTGTTTTTTGGAGAGTCATGTATATTCAAGACTTGAATATACACTTATTTTCTGTTATATCTTGGCTGAGAACATTTGTACATTTGTAAATTACATTCAGGCTTCATGGTTAGTATCGCAATATTCTGGATGGCTTATAAGGTCCTGTAATAGTAACAGTAAAGAAACCTCAAGGGGAAATATTAATGTTCTTGGGTTACAGCATACCTCAGCATGTCACATCCCACCAGATTGTTCCCAGATTCCTCAATTCACAGAACTAGCTCTATGCCCCTTTCCTCTTTTAACATGACCTAATTTTGTTAATGAATGTTTGCTTTACAAAAATATAGTATATTTCCAATGAAGGAAATGTTATCTCCATCAGATGGAGTGACAAAAAGAGATCCTTAAAGAACAGTTTTACTCTAAGTCTTGGGGGACCTCTCCAAACTCTTGACACTCATTACTGGCAAGGACTCCAGAAGTTTCCAGAAAACAACTCCCCATGCCAATAACAAGCCACTGAGATGAATGGTCTCTGAACCTGAGCAATAAGGTCACTGTTGTTAATTTAGAATATGGAAGCTCTATCATCATATCACCAGAATTTAGCTTACACTCTACTTCTAATCCCATCCATGAATGGATTTATTAGACCTGGAAACATTTAAAACACGTATCTTCTCGTCTTGGACACAGTAAAAAGATACAAAGCTACCAACAGATGAAGTGTGCCTCTAGGACCTCAGTAGAACACAGAATTGTTCACGATGAATGAGTCAAAGGAAGTGTTCTTGCCTTGCCCTTTTTAGCCAAGGAAGTGGGGTCATGTTAAAACAAGGAAAAGGACAATTCCCTCCAGATAGGCTTGCCCCTTGGCTGATGGTCATTTGATCAAATGAGAAACAAAAATAAACCAAAAGCTCTGATTTCTACTCTAATGTCCACTTATGTACTACATAACTATAAATTAATTACATTGAGTTCCATGAGCCAAACAAGAAAAGCCAGTCCATTTGAACATGCCACATAATAATACTCTAATAATATTTAATATTTATGTAGCATTTACTCTAACAATGGTTAATATTTATGTAGCATGTTGTAATTTTCAACATACTTTCCCATTTATACTTTGGTTTTTTACCACGTTAAGTCAAAAAAATCACTATATATGAATCCTTCTTTCATAAGCTAAGAATAATGGCTGACCTGAACCTTTCTAAGTAACCAACAATACACTCATTATTCACTGGAAGTGTTGATACCCTCATTAACACAGAGAACATTATAGTTTACAAATTATTTCCTTTACATTATTTCATTAGACCATAATGACCACCAAATTGACTAAATCATACCATAGCATTTGTCTGTTATTCATTGATTCAAAAAAAGATTTATATCCTTTCAACAAATATTATGTGCTGGACATTGTACTAGAGCATTGCAATGGGTAAAACAGAAATAGTCCCAGACCTCAAATGATTAAGAGATATATATGAAACAAATGACCACACATATAATTATAATATTGTGAATTAGTCATAATGTTACTCTTATTTAACATTCTGAATTAATCATAATCATCAAAGAGAATAACACAGAAGGGGTTGACATTTAAGCTGAAATCTAAATGCTAGTGTTTCCCCAATTTTTTTTCATTATCACTCCTTTCAGAGCCTTTTGAGACCTTTTTTCCTATCTCACCCTCATGAAACATTAATACCAATTATCCCAGTATATCTGTTTATATGATCTATATATATGCATGAGAGCTAACAGTAAAACATAAACCAACATTAGCTTGTGGTTTGGTTATTTCCATTTTTCTATAATGCTTGGCCGACTTTATACAAATAAGAGAGAGACTATCAAGTAGCTAAACTCACTTTGTGACGTCTTCCACCAGCTTGGAGTGTCCTTCACGTAAAGCTAAGTCTAATGGTGTGGCACCCTCTTCGTTGGGTAAAGCCAAGGCCTGGACTCCCCCCGGGAGACACAAGAAGAACTGGGAAAGTTTAGCCAGGCCCCATCTCATAGCCAGGTGTAGAAGAGATTCTCTGTGAGAAGATACTGAAGAGGAAAAAACACATACCATATTAGTTCCTCCATTTACAAAGTTTGTTTTACACATTTTATCAAAGGGACAGTGTATTTAGACATAATAAGAATGTCAGAGTTGGAAGAAATTAACAATGGCACCCAATCACTGTATCTCATTTTACAAATTTGGAGAGTTCAAGATTTTTGTGAATGCCCAGGTAGGCAGTAGGTGCTGGGGCCAGGTCCGCTGAGCACAGGTAGAGTGTTCTTTCCACCCATTGCACTACACATTCACGTCATCTTTCACTAGACATGCAGTGCAGTCATCTAGGGAAGCAGGTTCTAGGAAAGGACCATCCTTTGGAAACAGACACTTGTTGATATGCAAAGAGTTCCTTGAGGAGATCCTGCTGCTCAGGCAGGGAGGCTTTTAGAGGCTGAGACTGTAGAGGGACTTCCGTTTCCACCCTTTGTCCTCAGAGCCGCTCCTCCCCTGATAAGAAGCCGCAAGAGAAATGGCTTCATATGGGTCATTCTCAAACTTCACAGCAGTGCTTCTACCCATCTACTAAATCCCTGAGATTATGTCAATATTGCCAAAGCCACCCCGTTGCTCTGCTCAGGAGGCTCGACCTGTAAGGCCCCTGCACAGAGGGCCCTTGGTCGGTCCGTGTGCATCAGCTCCACTGTGGTGTTTGCCGCTCTCTGTTGTCATCTTCCAGGCGGAGGGGTCCTTGAGGTATTTTATTCCTAATACCTAGCACAGTATCTGGCAAATGAAAGCCATTTAGCATTTGAGGAGTTGAATGACAATTGGCTGTTAAAATCTCTACGGTTTGTGTGTATTTAAATTACTTAGTTTGAATAGTCTGTACACTGAATTGTTCACTGTAAAATGGACACTGAGAACAAAATGACCTACTTCTCCACAGTTTCCTGTCCATATTAACGCTATCTTACTATTCCATTATCTTCATTAGCACAATTTTACTATTCCAGGAGCCACTTGCCCAGGCAAATGAATGATTGCTCATTATAGGAACCTTCCACAAGACTAACCAACTGTTCAGTAGAAACCAATAAAAGGCAGTTTGAACCCTAAAAGCAATCTTAACTACATTATGATCCTTCCCGAGTCCTGATCAAGCTCCTTTCCTGTCCAACATGCCCCACCCACCACCATCCCCAACATTAAAAACCCTTATAAGGCCAGGCGTGGTGGCTAATGCCTTAATCCCAGCACTTTGGGAGGCCAACGCGGGAGGATCACTTGAGCCCAGGAGCTCAAGACCAGCCTGGTGAATGTGGTAAAACCCACTGTCCACAAAAAATACAAAAATTAAACAGGCATGGTGGCACTCGCCTGTGGTCCCAGCTAATCAGCAGGCTGAGGTGGGAGGATCGCTTGAGCCCAGGAGGCAGAGGTTGCAGTGAGTGGAGATTGCACCACTGCATGCCAACCTGGGCCACAAAGTGAGGCCCTGTCTCAAAAAAAAGACCCTCATTAAGCCAAACTTCAAGTTCTCAATAAATTCTCACCTCACCTCACAGCTCCCCCTTCAAGACACCTCTAAGGCCCTGTGGAGGTGGTGTTCTCCCATACCATAGTAGGCAATAAACTCAGCTTTGTCCTACCTGCAGGCTGTGGTAATGATGATACTTGGGAAGCCAGGTTTCTACAAAGCTCTAATTTGAAACAATTAGAAGGAAACACTCCACCATAAATGAATGCAAATAAAAGGCTTAGTTTACATTTTTAATTATTTATATATCTATATCTATAGAGATATAGATAGCTAGATCAATGAATGTAAGGCATTATACTTAAAATATGTAAATGAACTCATCACAGTGAAATGCCACCAACTTACCAGTATATTTACTCTATCAATCATCTGTGTGACATGGAACACTTCCCCTCAGTAAAATAACATTCAAAATACCAAAATATCTAAAAACAGACAAGGCAATACACTCCTGCCAGACATTTGTTTAATATACTTGATATCTTCAGCTTTATGAAAATTAAAAAACTATGTTAGCTATTAGAGAACTTATCTTTGACTATTTTATCCTTTAACTTTTGACCATTATACTCCTTTGAATAAAAAGTGAGGTTTTTGTTTTTAGATTCCCAGCAGGGTATCTAAAATGTTGGATAATATTTGTATTTTTCTTCCTTTTTAAATAATAACCAGGAATAGACTTGTTAAGATCAGGTAACAAATATACATATGCACACATATGTGCATGTGTACTCCCCAACACAGGAAAACCTGTCAGCATGAGATATTAACCAGGCATACTAAGATGGAATTTCTCTCCTTTTTTTTTTTTGAGATGGAGTCTCACTCTGTTGCCCAGGCTGGAGTGCGGTGGTGCAATCTTGGCTCACTGCAACCTCTGCCTCCCAGTTTCAAGTGATTCTCCTGCCTCAGCCTCCTGAGTAGCTAGGATTACAGGTGCGCGCCATCACCCCCAGCTAATTTTTGTATTTTTAGTAGACACAGGTTTTCACCATGTTGGCCATGCCAGTCTGGTCTTGAACTCCTGACCTCAGGTGATCCACTCGCCTTGGCCTCCCAAAGTGCTGGGATTACAGGCATGAGCCACCGCACCCAGCCCGGATGGAATTTCTAAGACATATCTCCTAATCTGAATATAGTGAGAAATATTCCATAGTTGTATGGATTGTAATTTTCTTTCCCCTCCCAAAAAAATGATCAAAAGGGAACATCTAAACCTTTTGTGTTCCCTTTTCAAATTATACCATTGGTAAAGGAAAGCATGGTATCAATTTAAGTAACACTTTCTGCCATGTCTGGTGCAATGCCCTAAATACCATTGAACCTGGAGTGTATTTCACTGTATTCAACCTGACCAACAGTGTGAGTGTGGGCAGATCTGTTTCCTCTACCACGAGAGCTCTCCAAGCTTGTTCTGCTAATCCAGCTCCCTCTTCTCTCCTTCTGGCTCCATCCTCACATCTTGTTCAATGAGAGAGAACAGTAAACATGCAGGCCTGAATGGCTCACTGTTGCCTCTCTTTCTGAGAATCTACCCACTTCCCGGGGAGGAGGTAAGGCAGGGGAAGAGAGAATCTTCTGATGTTTAAAGAAAACAAATAAAAACTGACCAAAATGTTGTAAGAGAGAGCTTTCTCATTCAGTATGAAAGTTCAGAGTGCAGAGCGAGGCAAACAGCTTGAAATAGGAAGCATCATGACATATATAAATAATTCTGCCTGTTATAGAGTTTCAGATTTCTTAACGGCAGCCAGCAAAACAAACTGTGGAAAGAGGTTATACAATTTGGCAGAGGTGGGAGTGTTTAAAATAATTTCTTAAACTAAATAAATGTCTCTTCCTGTTTGGTTGGTGCCAGGAGTTATTTGAACTAATGTAACCAATGCAGAATTACTAATAATTGCTGTAATGGCAAACATTAAAAGGTACGACCTATAACATCATGAGAGCATGAAAACCAAGACACAAAAAGGAACTGAACAGGCTGTGCCATTCAATAAGCCATTCCTTACTGCATAACAGGAGTCCAACTGCCCCAGATAGGAAGGGAGTGTGGAGTTTGTGCTTCTCACTCTGCCGGGCATCAGTTTCTTTGCCCATGAAATGAGTCTGTCACAATAAAGATCCAAGGTTCCTAAGAGTATTCAATCCTGTCCTAACTCTATGGTTACTATCTGCAAAAACAGCACAGGTCAAAGCTTCCAGGCATCTGAAGCACAAGGGCAAGGAAGGTCAGACAGTTTAAGTGTTACTAAAGGAAAGTGGTTTTGTTACTGGTCAATTTAGAACCATTACCATATCCACACAAGATCTGGCCATACCTTTCAATTAGCCAAAGGCTTAGCTTGGAAGATTAAAGAATAAATTAACCTCTCAAATGTAGGCTAATCGATCATAACCAAATGTGCCACTCTGTGGGGCGTATTGATAATAGGGGAGGCTGTGCATGTGTAGGGGCAGGGAATATATGGGAAATATCTGTATCTTCCACTCAATTTTGCCATGAACCTAAACCTGTTCTTAAAATGTCTATTAAAAAATAATAAAATAGGTTAAATAATTAACCAAGGTCTCCAGAACTCACAATCACTGCTAGAGGAAATGTAAACTGTTACAACCCCTTTGGAAAACACAGCAACATTATCTAATAAAGTCAGAGAAACTAACGCAAATCCAGTCCACAACAATTCCATTCCTACCTATAAACCCTAGCAAGAAACCATGCAAAAAATATAAATGGTCAAAATTCAAAGTAATCTTAATGTTCATCAATGGAATAAATTGCAGTGCAATCATACAACAATATTCTAACAATCAAAATGAATTACAGATTAACACAGAAGGAAGTAATGAATATAATGTCAAAAGGGAAAAATCAAGTCACAAAATACACAGGATATGTTTCAATTAATATGAAGTTCAAGAAGAGTAAAAGTTAAAATTATTACTTAGGCATATATACATACGTTGTAACACTGTAAAGAAAAGCAAGGAAATGGCTACTATAAAAGTCAGCACAATACCTGTTAGGAAAAAGAGAAGAATGTGACTAGGAAAGGAGGAGGGGTATTTGCACTCCTGAGGTCCATTGGTATGAGTGTATCTCTCTGTTTTTCTGTCTCTGTCTCCCTCTGCCTCTCTCTCTCACACACACACATATATATATACACATACAGACACAGGGTAAAATATTTTTTCTGATATTTGTGTGTGTATTAGTCCATTTTCATGCTGCTGATAAAGACATACCTGAGACTGGGCAATTTACAAAAGAAAGAGGTTTAATGGACTTACAGTTCCATATGGCTAGGGAGGCCTCACAATCATGGTGGAAGGCAAAAGGCACTTCTTACATGGCAGCGGCAAGAGGGAGCTTGTGCAGGGAAACTCCCATCTTGAAAACTATCAGATCTCGTGAGCCTCATTCACTATCATGAGAACAGTGCAGGAAAGACCCATCCCCATAATTCAATCACCTCTTACCAGGTTCCTCCCATGATACATGGGAATTGTGGGAGTTATAATTCAAGATGAGATTTGGGTGAGGACACAGCCAAATCATATCATTCTTCCCCTGGCCCCTCCCAAATTACATTTTAAACCCAATCATGCCTTCCCAATGGTCCCTCAAAGTCTTAACTCATTTCAGCATTAACTCAAAAGTCCACAGTCAAAAGTCTCATCTGAGACAAGGCAAGCCCCTTCTGCCTATGAGCCTGTAAAATCAAAAGCAAGCTAGTTACTTCCTAGATACAATGGGGTTACAGGCATTGGGTAAATACACTCACTCCAAATGGGAAAAATTGGCCAAAACAAAGAGGCTACAGGCCCTACGCAAGTCTGAAATTCAGTGGAGCAGTCAAATCTTAAAGCTCCAAAAATGATCTCCTTTGACTCCATGTCTCATATCCAGGTCACACTGATGCAAGAGGTGGTTTCCCATGGTCTTGGGCAGCTCTGCCCCTGTGGCTTTGCAGGGTAAAGCCTCCCTCCCAGCTGCTTTCATGGGCTGATATTGAGTGTCTGTGGCTTTTCCAGGCACACAGCGCAAGCTGTCAGTGGATCTACCATTCTGGGGTCTGGAAGATTGTGGCCCTCTTCTCACAGCTCCACTAGGCAGTGTCCCAGTAGGAACTCTGTGTGGGGGGTCCCACCTCACATTTCCCATCCACACTACCCTAGCAGAGGTCCTCCATGAAAGCCCCACCCCTGCAGCAAACTTTTGCCATGGACATACAGGCATTTCCATACATTCTTTGAAATCTAGGTTCCCAAACCTCAATTCTTGACTTCTGTGCACTTGCAGGTTCAACACCATGTGGAGGCTGCCAAGGCTTGAGGTTTGCAGCCTCAGAAGCCATGGCCCGAGTTCTGTGTTGGTTCCTTTCAGCTACGGCTGGAGCAGCTGGGATGCCAAGCACCAAGTCCCTAGGCTGCACAACATGGGGACCCTGGGCCCAGCCCATGAAACCATTTCCTCCTAGGCCTCTGGGCCTATAATGGGAGGGGCTCCCATGAAGCCCTCTGACATGCCCTGGAGACATTTTCCCCATTGTCTTGGGGATTAATATTCAGTTCTTCATTACTTATACAAATTTCTGCAGCCAGCTTGAATTTCTCCTCAGAAAATGGGATTTTCTTTTCTATTGCATTGTCAGGCCAAAAATTTTCCAAACTTTTATGCTCTGCTTCCCTTATAAAACTGAATGCCTTTAACAGCACCCAAGTCACTTCTTGAAGGCTTTGCTGCTTAGAAATTTCTTCCGCCAGATGCCCTAAATCATGGCTCTCAAGTTCAAAATTCCACGAATCTCTAGCACAGGAGCAAAATGCTGTCAGTCTCTTTGCTAAAACGTAACCTTCGCTCCAGTTCTCAACAAGTTCCTCATTTCCATCAGAGACTACCTCAGCCTGGAATTTATTGTCCATATTGCTATAATCATTTTGGGCAAAGCCATTCAACAAGTCTCTAGGAAGTTCCAAACTTTTGCACATTTTCCTGTCTTCTTCTGAGCCCTCCAAATTGTTCCAACCCCTGCCTGTTACCCAGTTCCAAAGTTGCTTCCACATTTTCAGGTATCTGTTCAGCAGCACCCCACTCTAGTGGTACCAATTTACTCTATTAATCCATTTTCATGCTGCTGATAAAGACATACCTGAGACTGGGCAATTTACAAAAGAAAGTGGTTTAATGGACTTACAATTCCATGTGGCTAGGGAGGCCTCACAATCACAGCAGAAGGCAAAAGGCACTTCTTACATGGTGGCGGCAAGAGAGAGAGCTTGTGCAGGGAAACTCCTATTTTAAAAACCATCAGATCTCATGAGACTCATTCACTATCATGAGTATAGTACAGGAAAGACCCACCCCGATAATTCAATCACCTCACACCAGTTTCTCTCATGACATGTAGGAATTGTGGGAGTTACAATTCAAGGTGAGATTTGGGTGGGGACACAGCCAAACCATATCAGCATGTTTTCTTGCTAGGGTTTATAGGTAGGAATGGAATTGCTATGGAACAGATTTGCTATGAGATATTAGTTTCTCTAAATGTATTAGATAATGCTGCTGTGTTTTCCAAAAATGGTGGTAATAACTTACATTGCCTCTAGCAGTGATTGTGAGTTCTGGAGACCTTGGTTAATTATTTAACTTATTTTATTATTTTTTAATAAGACTGATGTTTAAGGCCCTCTCCAGAAAAATTAAATCAGAACTTCTGGGGCAGGGCCAAGTCATCACACTTTTCCAAATATTCTCAAGTG
This sequence comes from Homo sapiens, assembly GCF_000001405.40. Taxonomy (NCBI): domain Eukaryota; kingdom Metazoa; phylum Chordata; class Mammalia; order Primates; family Hominidae; genus Homo; species Homo sapiens. The sequence goes on along the minus strand of NC_000005.10, from coordinate 73,766,589 downwards.
ATTCCAATGCAAAGCCAGAGTTGGGATCTGCTAATTTAAATTAATAAGTGGTTAGCAAAATACAAACCTATATCTTCCTTTTATAACACAGCCTACCCAGTCAGCTCTTAATTAAGATCTATTAGGTATAAGATTTTACCAAAGAACAACAAAAAGAGTTTTCTGTGAGTTTTACAAGTTATTTTTAACCTACATTACTTACTGCTAAACCAGGAAAGAGCTTAAACATTTAGCAAAATATTAAAGCAAAAATGTGATGGATACCATAATCTAAAAGCAAATAATATTTTTCAATACAAGTTAATTCAGAAGTACTTATATTTTTTAGGGCTAAGTAATGTTTCACAACACCTGAGTGGAGCCATTGAAATGTATGCAACACAATACGTTTTTGTTTTGTTTTGTTTTGTTTTTTGTTTTTTGTTTTTTTTTTTTTGAGATGGAGTCCTGCTCTTTAGCCCAGGCCGGATTGCAGTGGCACACAGTCTCAGCTCACTGCAAGCTCCACCTCCCAGGTTCACGCCATTCTCCTGCCTCAGGCTCCCGAGTAGCTGGGACTACAGGCACCCGCCACTGCGCCTGGCTAATTTTTTGTATTTTTAGTAGAGACGGGGTTTCACCATGTTAGCCAAGATGGTCTCGATCTCCTGACCTTGTGATCCGCCCACCTCGGCCTCCCAAAGTGCTGGGATTACAGGCGTGAGCCACCGCGCCCAGCCCACAATACGTTTTTAGAAGACTAATTTTTTTTTGATTCACATTAAATTCAACTCATTAAAATAAGTTTTATTCTGATTTCCAAAGCCACATATGTATTCATGCAGGTCTCAATTTGTTCATCTAAGTCATTCAGTAGACAAACATTGAATGAGACCATTATTATCTGCCAGGCCCTGTGGATACAAAGATGAGTGTGGTGGTCCCTGCCCTTGAGAAGCATACAGCTAGCTTACTTTTGTTCAGAATAAAATACAGATACTCTTTGACTTACGATGGAATTATATCTCAATAAACCAGTCATAAGTAGAAAATAGTGTAAGTTGAAAATAGGTGTTTTGTAGATATGATGGGATGGCCAAACACAAAACACAATATCCAAAAACCACTGGCCACACAATGCACTGTGGAGTATTGACTGATTACTCTTGTGATTGTGTGGCTGGCTGACTGGGAGCCGTGGCTCACCGTTACTGTCCAGCATCACAAGAGTATCATACTGCATATGGCCTAGCCCAGGAAAAGGTCAAAATTCAAAATTTGAAGTACACTTTCTACTGAATGTATATTGCTTTCACACCATCACATTTCACACAATGATAAAATCAAAATCATAAATCAAACCATCATAAATCAGGGACTGTCTATAAATATCTGGCCCATGAAATCACTATGTGATGAACTACAGCTCTAGGCTTACTTCATTGTTTGTAGTTCTAGACACAAAGAATGTGAATAGAAGTAAGGAAACTGTCTGGACTACAAGAAAACAAATCTGCATGTTAAATTAATTCAACCTACATCATGTATCATGATATGAAAATTTACAGATATTTATAAAATGCCAAAAATGATGAACAAAAAGTACAATGAAAAAAATTATTAAAAATTTACATAGAGAGTAGAAGAGAGAATTTGGCATGGGTATCATACACAATCTTTAAGATGTTTTCAGGATTCTCAATAAGAATGAGAAAAGGGTTGTGCCTTAGAGCATCTTCCATTTACACAGCCTACTCAGAGCTCTGGCATGTAGATAAACAAATCAGCCTTTTGTAAACAGGAGATCTGAGGTTGGTGAGTCCAGGATAGGAACTGCAAATACAAACACACTCATAAGAAAGACATGAAATCAGGACATTCCACAGAGCGCAAGACCAACATGGTTGGCATGGCTGGATCATAAGCCCAAAAGGTAGAGGAGGAGGACTGAAACAAGCATAATGGCAGGTTTTTCCTCCCTAAAACTTGTTTTCTGCTTCAGCACAGTCGAGACACTCATATTACAACCACCTCCGGCTGAAAATCACCTGAAAATAATTTGGGAAAACACCCATCACACACACATTCATTCCAGAAAATTCACATAGTGCTGTATAACACTGGAATGTACTTCCTGGATTTTGCATCTCATATTGGCAAGATATACTTTATTTTAGCTTGTGGAACGAATACTAAATCAGTTGCAACTTTAAAAAGTCTTCATCAGAATTTCAAGATGGCAACTCAATTTTTGACCTTCACATTCTGAGGATATTTCCAAACTAAATTATGCATATAGCCACCAGTATAAGATATTAAGAATCCAGATACAACACTGTATGGTACAAAGATGGGGAGACCAAGGATTCAAAGCTCTGGATTTGAACACATAGCAAGCCTCCAGCTAACAGCTAGAATGAAATGGAAAGCCATTTAATTCTCAAGTTTCAAGTTGCTTGATCTGTAAAACGGACATGATAACTGCCCAGCCTACTACCTGGGATTGCCAGGGGGCTGTAATGAAAATAACAAATGGGACAGGGCTGTCAAGAACTATAAAAGCCAGTATTGGGGGGACTAAGCAGTTTTACACATTTGTCTGATCTTTTTAATACAAAAAAACTACAATAAACAGTCACTAAATAGATATGTGGTATGTCTGAAAACAATTTTCCTGTGGTCACAATTTAAAGGCATAATTGTAAGGAACTAGCTGCCTGCTTACCGTGCACTGTAATTGCATCAGATGTGCTATTAAGACAAATGTGCTGTAATCCCATGCTTTGGGCAGCAGGCGGTCATTAGGTGTTGTAAGTAGCAATTATGGCATACCTCCTCCTTTCCAGCCTTTATCGATTTTTCTTTCATTTGTTAATGTTGCTTCAAGGCTATGATTCAAGTCCACCATTCATTTCACTCAACAGATATTTGCTGATAGCCAACTGTGTGCAGGCACTCTTCTGCAAGATCTCCCCTTATACCCCAGATGAGCTAGAATTCTCAGACGCCCTCCCACTTGACTCTCCAGGGACCCTGTTCTGTTTGGGAGACAAATGAAAATACATTGCAGTCTAATTTTATTATTGACAAGCAGAAAAAGTGTGGACTCATCATGCCTCGCAGATGGCCCTTTGAAGTCTGCATTGGAAGTCTGCCTTCAAAGACAACCAGGAAACTGGCCATTCGCCTACAGCCAGGCAGGGTCCATTCAGTGCCCTTGCACTGGAAGCCAGTGTCTTGTGTCCAAAGTCCCGGATTGAGAAATATTAGAAATATTACACTCTTTGGGTATGAGCTACAGCTTCAATGGATGATTTCATCCTTTCCTTCACCTGTAAGGCACAATCAACAAGGGATATTCTGGTGAGACTAGAAGAGGAAGGTAAATGGGATAAACCAAACCGGAAATCAGTATAAAAGATGCTGCCATATCTGGAGGGAGGAAGGGGAGGTTGGAAAAAAGTCAACCAGGAATACAGATGGACAACGATTATCCATGAATGAAAAAAAGAAATGAACCACCACACCAACATTTCTTCTTTCATTCTTACTCAGTGTCAGTGACTATGATAAGGATTTTACCTTTCTTGTTTCTATAAAGAGCTAACCTTTATTCAGCACTTTATATGCGTTATCTCATTTAATCCTGACAGCCATTCTATGATGTATGTACTATTACTATCCTTATTTTATAGGGGCAGAAACTAAGCCTTGACATAATTATGCAATTGCTTAGGCTCACTTAAGTAGTATATGGAACATGAAGGATTTGAACCTAGATTTTTCCACCTCCAAAACTCAAGTTCTTAACTATTATGCCTCTCATTATACAAAGGATGGCTTGAATTGGCCCCAACTGCAGTGATATATCTCATGTACTTGTCAAGGAAAAATACATTAAAGCCAACAACAAAAAAAAATCAAGACTATAAAAATTAAATGTGTTGACAAGAAACATAGGAGAGTCATATACTACAAGAATTGGGGACTACTTTTTAAAAATCAGGAATTGACTCATGTAATACTTATATACCTGTATCTCCTATTATAAACTGCAGATGGGAAGATGGGAGTAGTGAAGAAAAATTTATACAAGAATAAAAAGCTCAAAATAGATTTTGTTGTTGTTGTTTTGTTTTTTTTTTTTTTTTTTTTGAGAGGGAGTCTTGCTTTGTCACCCAGGTTGGAGTGCAGTGGTGTGATCTTGGCTCACTGCAACCTCCATCTCCTGGGTTCATGCAATTCTCCTGCCTCAGCCTCCCAAGTAGCTGGGATTACAGGCATGCACCACCACGCCTGGCTAATTTTTGTATTTTTAGTAAAGACACGGTTTCACCATATTGGTCAGTCTGGTCTTGAACTCCTGACCTCAAGTGATCCACCCACCTCAGCCTCCCAAAGTGCTGGGATTACAGGTGTGAGCCACCACACTCAGCCTCAAAATAGATTTTTTTAAAGAGGGCAAGGAAAGATAGAACCAGCCAGGTGTGGTGGCTCATTCCTGTAGTCCCAGCTACTCAGAGGCTGAGGTAGGAGGATCGTTTGAGCCCAGGAGTTGGAGACCAGCCTGAGAAATATAGCAAGACCTTCATCTCTAAAAAAAAAAAAAAAAATTACCCAGTTGTGGTGGCACACACCTATAGTCCCAGTTACTAGGGAGGATGAGGAAAGAGAATCACTTGAGCCCAGAAGTCTGAGACCAGCCTGGGCAATACAGCGACACCCCATCTTAAAAAAAATCAACAAATTGAGAGTGAGGGAAAAATAAGCAGAAGGAACTTGAGCTGAGCAAATTCTAAGGACCCAGGCTCACATCCGTCACTCATGCTTCTCCTCTCCTCCAGATATTGACCTGATGTGTCGCCACTCACAGTACACATACATTCTCATGTCAAACTTGCAAAATAAAAGCAACTACAGTTATAGGTGTGGAAAAGGACAGTAGGTATATGGGGACCTAGGGTAGGATTACAGAAGATTTTTTGAGGTTTCTATCCATACAGCTTCATCCCCACACCAAGGCTTATATTTGAGAGAGTCAAGACAAGGCCTCTTAAACAACACTGGGCCAAGTAAAGGGGGACTTTGGAACAGGACGCACAATTATTCATTTCCCTAAGAATGTACCATCTCTTCTGGCTCCCTGCCTCACTCTCCTCCCCAGATCTCTCCTACCCAACTTTTTCAATCGTGGGGATTTTAACCTCCAAACATTGGTAGTTTTAAAACCAATGTTTTATCTACAAACCAATATTTCATTTGGTTTGTAGATAAAATAGTACAAGGACAACTGCCAGCATTCAAATCCCATTAAGAAATCTATGAGAATAGCAAAATTTTAACTTTCTCCTTCAAGGTTATGAAGATATTCCTTGGTTACTGTCATTTTTTAAATTCAGCTTTAATCCTCTGCGTGCAAGCAAAAACTGCTATATGCATCCTGCTACGTTTTAAGGGGAGAAAAGCCCCAGAGGAGGTAAGCCAGGAATGGGACTTCAAAAACCTTCTACAGTCCCGAATCCTTTGGGAAGCACATTGGGTAGGCTGTTTGCTTCCATTTACATTTTTTGTTCTTGAAAATTATAATTGAGGGAGAGAGAGTGACCGGAATCCAACTCTACGTTCTATTTCCCAGAAGTGGGAGTAAGTGCGTAATTCTCTATTCCAGTATAAGGGCCATTGTTGCCAGACAAAAGTAGGAAGCTTATTTTTTAAGGAAGAGTTAAGCTGCTGTTTCTTATTTAACATGTAGTACCTTAAACAGAGAATGTGTTCAATAAGAGTTTACCTACTTAAACTGAAAAATGAATTCAAATGATTGGGGGGAGAGGAGTCCTTTTCCTTAGAAGTTTAATTCTATATTAAATTCTTTACTGCCAGAAAACATATTCCTCAAAAATTAAAAACTACAAAAGGAATGTAAGACAAAGAAGACATTTTAAAATTAAGGATTTAAAGCTTCACAAATAATATACATATATATAGCTGAGAACTGTAAAACAATTTTATCGATTTACCATCATAACAAGTGCCATAGGATCTAAAGAACATTCTCTCCACCCCTAGTGTTCATCCAGTGGGTTGCCTTAGCAACAGAAGGAGTATACTACCAGCTTGAAATGTCAGAAAAGGTGTAGAGATGTTTGTCCCATTAGATACTATCAGAATTGACAGAAGGCTAGACAGCAATACTGAGTGTGTACACAACCCCTTGAAAAATGTCAAGATTTCCAAGAGAAACATACAAAACCCCTGAATCAGTTGTTACCCATAATGTATTGATTTCAAAACTTAAAAAAAAAAAAACACTGGAAACTTGTATTTCTTGTATTTTGTAATAAATCTGTCCTTTATGGGTTTCCTACCCACTGGTGTTTCAGCTAATGTTATTTCAAACTTGCTGTCCAGTACAGAGCTTTATGGCAGAGTAACAAAGCTGACATTTTACTTCATCTGTGGGCCAGCAAGTAAGTCTTATAAATCAGTTTGCCCTTCTCTGGTTAGTAAGACCTGGACACAGTGCAGTCATCAGGCCAACCCACAGTGCCAGGCTCTGGGGCCTTGCTCTATTTTCTTTCTATATCTACAGCCAGCAGACAGTATTCAAAGATAAAACCACAAGCCACGCTCCATTTCAAACATTAAACAAATCTTGCTTCCTACTGGCTACAGATCTCTTTTCTGTATTCAAAGAAAGAGAAACAGATATTTTTCTCTGTCAAACATTGCTAGGCCACATATTCCCTTCTCTTGTTGCCTAGAAGTTTCAGGGTATGTGGCTTGAAGCAAGATGTGGCTGTCACATAAAATGAGTAGTTCCCATCCACTCTTTTGTAATGAACTGTTAATTCCTATGTAATGGCTTTTCCTGCAGATAAGAAGCAATATTAAAACTGCTTTTTAAACTTAAGTGAACACCGAACAATCAAGACACATTTTAAGAACTGCTGGACCAAACATCTACTGTTCCCCAAAAAGCTATTGAATTAAAAATAATAATAAATTTAGGGGAAAAAAAGAACTGCTAGATAACCCTAACTCTTATAAACGTCTTCTAAAGTCCTTTCGGGCCTCTGTATTTCTTTTCCTTTTCTTTCCATTATGTGTAAAGCATAGAAAAACAAACATTCTCCTTCAAAAGGAACTAATTTATGAAGACCCTATTCAGGCAAGAGCAGAGCGTTATACTAACGACCCTTCTCCATAGTAAGAGCATCACATTACTTTACCTATACATTACATGTGTGGGCCATGACAAGGTTTTCTATATTTCCTTTAACTTACTACTCATTATGCTGTGACTTGTACTTGGATTTGTCCTTGAAACTAACAAATCATTTCTCTAATTTCTGGATTCAAGTTTAAATCTGTTGTGGTTGTTATAACTCTATTGGTGTTATTTGCAAGTTAAGGAGTGTACTCTTAATCTGACTTTTGGAAAATATTCAATTCTTAAGCCACCCTCAGTGGGTCCTGCTAGTTCCACCAATTGGTTTTCTTTGGGGACAGCTCTCCAACCAACCATGGACCCACAGAATGAGAAGCTGGATCCTCTAAATACATCAGCTGTGTTGAAGTCCAAAACATTCCTATAGAAGAGTTCCAAAAGTTCAATTGGGTTACCTTAAAATTTTCTTTCACTCATAGAACCAATCACAAAGGCAGGAGAAAAGCTTAACTCTTTAAACCTGACGAAGCAATCTGCCAGGTAATACTTTGTTTTGTTAAACACTTTAATATTTTTGCCCTGCAGATTCAATTCATGCTAGTACCTTTACAAAACCAGGTTTGGCACTTTGCGAGGCCGAGGTGGGTGAATCACTTGAGGTCAGGAGTTCGAGACCAGACTGGCCAACATAGTGAAACCCCATCTCTAAAAATACAAAAATAAGCCAGGCGTGGTAGCACACACCTGTAATCCCAGCTACTCAGGAGGCTGAGGCAGGAGAATCATTTGAATCCGGGAGGCAGAGGTCACAGTGAACCAATATCATCCCACTGCACTCCAGCCTGGGCAACAGAGTGAGACTTCGTCTCAAAAAAAAAATAAAAATAAAAAATAAACAGGTTTGGTTATGTTTTTATGATGGATATAACAAAGAATGCACCTGTTCCATAATGAGCAGAAGAACTTCTGCCTGTTAGGAGACCTTTGATCACATGAACTACTTTTACCTAGACAACTGGAAGAGTCCAAGTTCGTTTTTGAAAACAATAGTAATTTACTCTGGCAAAAAATATCTTGAGTCTTCCAAATTGTTATATATTAGTTTGTAAGTGTAAACATATGTGAGAAATATTCTTTATATGACCTCTTTGTTTTTTTAAGGAACTGGGCTTTATTTTTCTCTTAAATTAGAAATCCTAACCAGGACAAGCTCGACCTACTCCATAGGTTAGGAGAGAAGCTACTGTGTTCACAGGAACGATGCCATCTGTCTTTGGAGATACCATTTGTAGTACCCTTGGGTTCTTTACCCACATGGCAGCCCCTCACTGGTGTTGGCAAGCTTGGTGCTTGCCAGCCATATCAAGCTACTGGGAACACAAGTGGAGGGAGGTAGTTTGATGGAGCAGGAAGGTCGAGGGGGCTTTCAACTCCAAAGTCATCTGAGCATCAACACATAAAACATTAGAATGTGTTATCCCAGTTAACCTAATTGTCAAAATTATACAAATCTCTGAGAAAAGATTTCTGCTCAAAAAACAAACAAGCAAGAAACCCAAAACAAAAAAATAAAAATAAATTGTGAGATTCTGTTGAATAATTATATTACTATTCAATGCTTTACTCCAAATTTGGGCTTCTGAGACCCTGCACAAGGCACTATTATGAATGCTATTTCATAAAAGGAATGGTCTTAATTTTATGAACTAGAAATCCAATTTTATTTATGGTCTAAAATTAAATAAAATCTGGGATATTTCCTTTCCTCAAACACATAATGAAGTTGCATTGTGACTAATGACGGGTAAGATACAGGGCTGAAAGAAGGCTCTGCTTTTTGTTACAAGATCCATGCTCTACTCAGACTCTGGCCTTTTTCCAGATTCCCAGTCCTTCCTAATAACTCTCAATGATTGACAAGGGAAAAAAATGAGAAGTTCATTATAAAATGCAAAGAATACAGTAATGTGTCACAGCAGGGTTTTGATCACTCTTCCAAGACAAAGTCATTACAGAAATCAATGAATACTCCTTCGGTAAGATCTATTTATATTTGAAGAAATCATAAATAAATAATCACAAAAAAATTTTAATAAAAGTGAACACTGAGCATTAAAATAATTTTTGGACAAGTACTGGAAGAAAAATTACTAGGAAAGAAATTGTTTTCCACCTGTGATGCCACTGCCACTAATACATTATAATGTCCAGTGGGTCCGATGGCACAGTTTATTTTTCACATCATTATTATAATTTATCTACCTGAAGACAAGCAACACAAATAAAATATGTATACTAAAAAAGACCTATAAGCACATAAGAGGTTTTAAACTGCTTAGATTAAAACTCTATTAAATTAAAAATACAACAAAAAACAAATCCAAAACAGCTCAAGATTAGTGGAACCCCACCAAATGGTTATGAATAGGCAATGAGTCAAAATACATCCATAGAGTATACATGTGCATTGTAAAAATCTAATATAATCCAGTTAATCTAGGGCATTAATGTTAGTCCTTCACCAAATACTCTTGTTTATTCCCAACTATAAAATGATTAACTTATGTCCAACTACTTGATTCAGTAAATACAATAAAAACTCCACGTTTTCCTTCTACCTAGTATCTAATACAATTTCTAAAGTACAAAATTAAAACTGACACAGAAGAATTTATATTTGAATCTATTCATCTAAATGCCCAATTTGTTTTTTTTAACGTGGAATAATTTTGACAGAAATGTACTGATAAATACATCTGTTAAGACCTACCAATCTAAACTTAGCCAATATCCATATATGAGCCCCTACATACATACATAACAGAACTGAGGTGTGAACAGGCAGATACAGAGATTTAAACACATGGTGGGCTGAATCAAATCTCATAAGATGGTCATAACCTTCAGAGTAAAATTCGACTTCAAACATGAGCATTAACCCTGTCGCTTGACATTGATGTTGTAGAGAAGCTACACTACAAGTCTAGGCTGCAGACAGTTTTACCTCAAGTACTACAAACTGCCTTTAGAGAAAGTCTAGAAACATTCCTAGAAATTTTCAAAGAATTGCTTACAATGCCAGGATTTTATACTTTGCCTTCAGCTTCATTTGTCCAAACCAATTGTATCTGCTTTCTACCTATGCACATATAAGTACATACAATACACTCTATATATGAAAATTTATTCACATGCACATACCAACATCACCTTTTACTGAAAACTTAATATGTTTAGATACTCTTCTAGAGGTCTTGCCATACATTATCTAATTAAATCATCACAACCAGCTAATGAAGCAGGTACTACTATGCCTCATTGTAGAAATTAAAAATGTGCAGCACCAGAACTAAAATACCTTGCCCAAGTCTCACAGCCAGGAGGTAATAAGGTCAGGATCTGAACCTGCCTCCACAGCACACATTCTTAACAACTAGGACACTAGAATAGAAAAGTGTTTTACTATGAAAAGAAACCACTCCAGTTTTTCTCTCATGAAAATACATATAGTATGTATAAATACTGGCAGAGGGGTCAGAAAGGACCTCCTGGTGACATAAATCTGTCTGTTATAAAAATATGGATAAATCAAAGGCCATGACAGCTAAAAGCCTGGCAAACAAGAATGTATCCCCAAATAGCAATGAAAATGGCAATAGGATGGCCCTCGACAACATGAGTTGTCAAGCGTTCTCCAAACTTATTTTTTTATGTATCTCTACCAGCAAAAATAACTTTGAGCAGGCATGCCCAGCATGGAAAACTGTATGCTTCTATTATTGCAATCCACGGATTAAATACTAGAGAGTATGAATGTATTTCTAAATATCGGCATAAAAAATAAATATAGTATGCGGGTAACATGAATTCCATTTTGGAGACCCTTAGTTTAAGCTATTCATGTGCAGTTATGAGGTTCCATGACCTTCAACAATTTGTAATTTTTCAGAGGCACAAATTAAACCGCTGCAGGCACCAAGCTGCTGTGCTGAGAGACTTGCTGGCCTGGGGAGGGGCTGTGGGACTAACCTGCATCTGCCCCTGCGTGAGGCTGTGATGCTCTTCCTTTACTCATGGGAAATCATGAAACTTTTGTGTCTTTGTCAAAATGGATCCACACCCCCCCAAAAAAACACCTTCCAATATTATAGTTAGAAATCTTTTTAAAAATCCAAGAGGCTTAAGATGAAGTTTCTTAGCCAGAAAACATTATATGTATATAATATTTAGATATAGACAATATGTATCATAGATATATAAATTTATATATACTATATCTATATTAATGTAGATCATACATGTCATCTATCACTTACATATGTGAGATAGAAAGGGTGTATCTCCAGACGATCAAGTATTACTATTGCAATTCCCTTGTATATAAGGGCTTAGCACATAGCAAGAGTTTAAGAAATATTTGTTGAGCCAGGTGCCTATAATCCCAGCTACTGGGGAGGCTGAGGTGGGAGGCTCGCCTGAGGCCAGGTGTTTGAGACAAGCCTGAGAAATACAGCAAGACTCTGTCTCTAAAAAAATAAATAAATAAATAAATAAAATAAAAATAAAAATAAAAATTTTAATTAGCCAGGCATGTGACATACACCTATAATCTTAGATACCCGGGAATCTGAGGCAGTAGGATCACATGAGCCCAAGAATTTGAGGTTGCAGTGAGCTATGATTGTGCCACTGCGCTCCAGCCTGGGCAACAGAGCAAGATGACCCTGTCTCATCAGCTAAAGAAGCAGGTACTACTATGACTCATTGTAGAAATTTAAAATGTGCAGCACATTTACTTTATTAAATACTTTATTAAAAATATTTTATTAATACTTCATTTTTAAAAAGTATTTGTTGAATGAATGAATGAATGGTGTATCCCAAGACCTTTCAAGTATCATCACTGCAACTCCCCCTTATATTTCATATCTCCTTGCTGAATCCTTGGGGATAATAGCAAGCAGAACAAACACCACCCACACCCTCAGGGAGCCCACGCCATACGTATCAATTAGCCACCACACAGGAGAGTACAGCACACAGGATTCAGGCATGGCTCGGTGCTGGACTAGACTTGTGACTTCCCTCATCCAAGGTCTTAAAAACAAGAGACGTCTTTAAGTACCCAGAAGAGTTTTAGTGTGACCCTGATTAAAGGAAAGAAACAGAGATCCTTTTGGATTGTGACTTATGGCTTTATAATTCTGTTTACAAAATTCACACCCCTTTACCCAGAGCAGTGCATTTAATCTCATCCATGATCGAATTTAAGCCAACCTGAAACTTACAACTAGAATTTACCAGGAAGCAGAAACTCTCAAAAATAGCATCATCTGACTACAAAGCTAAGGTCACAGGAAGGATAGCAAAAAAAAGCAATAATATATGTTGTATTTAATAAATTACAAAACAACATTTGTGTATTTCCAATAAAATTATATATAACTTGTAATCACCAATAAAAAGCAGCTATTGGCTGGACACGTGGGCTCATGCCTGTAATCCCAGCACTTTGGGAGACTGAGGCAGAAGGATCACTGAAGTCAGAAGTTCAAGTTCAGCCTGAGCAACACAGTGAGACCCCATCTCTCAAAAAAAGATTTTATTTTTTCATTTTTAAAAAGCATCTATTGATCAGTTTAGCCTCATGTCTAGTAAGGGCCTATATATAACATCTATAGCCTTGTTCACACGCAGATTCCAAATACTTGGTATTCAGAGTCCATTTGGTCTTTAGAACTCCAAAAACTAGTACAAATGTAACACAAATGCTCTCAGTGACACTGACACTTTCAAAGATGTCAATTCATTGGTTATGTTTCCCATGTGGTCACATGTCTTCCAGGTGTTTCACAGAGTTGGTGACATGATCTTTCTTGTCCAGTGAGCCTACCTATTTGGAAATGGGGCAGCAATGTCCCCTTCCCACAGCAAGAAAACTTGCCAAGGGAAGTGGAGCCACAGCCCAGAGCAGCTGACTCAAGAGCATACCATAAAGAAACAGTCTTTCCCCACTTGAGACAAGGCTCTTCCATTTATCCCACACCTCCTGGCACGGAGTCACATAAACCAGCCCAGAGATGAGTGGCTCAGGACCTCAGGGAGCCCCTCCACATCAGAGCAAGGTTCAGGTAAAAAGTGGGCAGGAAAACCTGCCGAGGGGAACACACAGTATAGCATAAGGTACATTCTGAACTTGACACACAGAGGGGATATCTGAATTTTCTGGTGATGACCCACCTTCAAGTGAAGAACTTCCCAACACAGTCCACTCTAGAGGCAATTCCAGATGGGTCAGAGCCAGCACGAGCTCCTCATCCAAGGCAGGCAGTGCTCCTGCCGTCAAGGCAAATGGGGTCAGCAGGGTCTGGTGGCTGCAGGCTGTGAGGCGATTGGCCTGCGTCACCAGCAGACGAGCCAGCCTGCAAGCCATGTTGTCCACGTAGGTCACTGAGCCAGAGCCCATGGTCACCGGAGAGTAACCTTCCGAGCAGAGGCACACAGATACCGTCACCGTCTCCTGAAGCCCATGGCCTGGACAACAAGACAGTGAACAGTTCACCCCAAGTCTGTAGGAGATGCTCTCACAGGGGTCCAATGTGCTAGCCCCACCACATAGCTTAAGCAGACAACACGCTCCAGGAGAACAAAGCAGAAAGGAAAGCCAGCCCATTACCCTTACACACTGCCAAGCATGTGGGCCAAACTAATGCTGACTCCATCTTCTTTCAGTTACTCCTGATTTTAAAACTTACCTTTACGAGCTCTGAACACTTGAGCATCTGTTCTCCTATCGTTACCAAACACTGCTATTCAGCATTCCTTTAACCTTTTACTCCTACCCTGACCCCTGAATTTGTGTTTGTTGTCTTCAAGTCCTTTGCTCTTTTCCACTCTGCCATTTCCTCCTGAGTCACATATTTTTACATATTTAAGCAATAAGTTTATAAGATAGCACCATACAATTACACAAGTTTGCCCTAATTCCATAGAGCTCCTTTGAATGTGAGTTAAGGTGGGTGAAGACTACCCAAGAGAAAACAAAAGGGAAAATATATATATACATATCTATGTGTGTGTGTGTGTTGTTGCTCACTGCCCCCTCTTCTGACAATAGTGTCTCTGTCTTGTAGGTGTTCTCAATATTTCTCCTGAGAGTGTCACCAAATCCTGCTGTTTGTCCCTCCCTTCACTCTTCCTCTTCTTTGCCCCACTCTCTTATTTTGCCAGAGCTGGGAAGCTCTTACCCAGGTACATTTTTATGCTGCCCTTGGCAGATTTTTCAGGAATTGGTGGCAGCAAATCACTATGATCATGATAATCATGACTGGACAGAGAAGAGTTATTCAGCTACCACTGGTTCATAGCACCCTGTTGCCCCCAGTCAAATGGCTAACAGGTACAATCATTCCTCCTCTGCCTTATTCACCAAAGACTTTTCCCAGAGGCTTTGCAGCTAGGGCTCCAAGGAACAAGACTATCCCAAGTTTACTGAAAGAGAACTAGTGTCACTTTGTCATCGACTCTTAAAAGTGGTCTCATGGTACGGGCACAGAATGCACCCACCTCCCACCAGACTACACATACCCAGGAAATATTAAATAAATCTGTCTTACAGATTTTGAAAGGTTGTCCTGGTAAAAGCTGTCACCAGGGAAATTCAAGGTTCAGAAATAGAAACTGTCACCTGCCTCTAGATTCTGTTAAAATGAAGATAAGAAACCTCACTTTTAAGTAGACCACAATATAAACAAAAGATTATATTACCTTCCTCCTAAGGAAGGAGGAGGAGAGTCGCCACCACATGCAAGTAAAGAAAAAGATAAAAAGTTTTGAAAATAGGAGTGGCACTTTAGTTATTATTTTTTATCCTTTCTCTATAAGGGCTTGATAAAGGAGAAAACCAAGAAAAGGGAGCAAAACGAAAGGTAGGGAAAACATTAGCCAGAGCAAAAGGGCAGAGGGAAAGCAACCAACAGCTGAAGTAACTATGTGCCGTTAATTAGATTTGTTTTGGTTTTTGTTTTCGTTTTGAGACAGAGTCTCGCTCTGTCTCCCAGGCTGGAGTGCAGTGACATGATCTCAGCTCACTGCAACCTCTGTCTCCCAGGTTCAAGTGATTCTCCAGCCTCAGCTTCCCAAGTAGCTGGGACTAAAGGCACCGGCCACCATGCCCAGCTAATTTTTATATTTGTAATAGAGATGGGGTTTCCCCACGTTGGCCAGGCTGGTCTCAAACTCCCGACCTCAGGTGATCCTCCTACCTCGGCCTCCCGTAGTGCTGGGATTACAGGCATGAGCCACCATGACTGGCCCATTAATTCGGTTTGACTGTCTTTTCTTTCTTTTAACGATGCAGATTACTGGACTAAAGACAGAAGTGCTTAAAATTGCCGATGGTCTCAGAAATTGGACAACAGATTAATTCAGTGACCAAGACCAGGTAGAGCTAAGAGGTATCTGCACTTCTCTACAATTCTCACTGTGTCTGTGTTGTTTGCATGTTCACTGGCTACCTTCTTTCCACGTGTAGCAGATATGTTACAGAAGCAGGTAGGGACAAGCTCCTTTAAAAATGATCTCAATCTTAACTCTAATAAAAATTAAAGAGTCTCTTTATGATACAAATTAAAAGGGCCTGAAAGACCCACAGTTAAGAAAAACCAACCAATCAATAAAAAAGAATTCTAAAATGCCCTCCCTGTCCTGTAGGTAATGACATTTTAATTCCACCATTAGGTTAAAGCCTGATGACTCTTAAATGCACAACCCACATACCAATAAAAATATAAAACAACTATATTGAGAAGGGCTATTAGCTCGTCACAATATGTGAACAGGATATATTAATTTGTCATCTATCAAGAAGACAACAGGGGAAATTACAGGTTTCCAAATGTAAGCATTTTGATGATGGGGAGAGAAAGTTCTGGAGCTGGAGATCCCCCAAGGAAGATTCTGGATGGACAGGGCATCAAGGAAAGAACCCCAGTGACCAAACGGAGCAAGCAGAGGAGAGGCAGACCCATGGCTGCCAGGCTGCTTACAGAAGAATGAGGAAGAGAGAAGACAAACTTTGTCAATGTCAGTTCTGCCTGAGCCAACCCTGGCAATGAGTCTGAGGTTATAGGAGGTGATTAGGAGGTGATACTCAATAGACAGTGTTTCCTCCAGTTGACTGCATGCAAAGCACACCCAACCATAAAAGTTGGGTGCAGTCAATAGGATGGGTCTGCCTGGTCTAAGTTAAGACTCCTAATTAAGCAGCAGATACAACTGGAAGAATCTCAGATGTGAGTGTTCTTCCTAATATACACATACACACACAGGCACGCACACACTCCTGACCTTGCAGCACTGTTTTCTTTTTCTTCCTGGCTCTCTTCCTGGCCTACAGCCCTGGAGGGAAGTTATTTGCAGACTAATTTCCCAGCTGCACAACAAAGAGGACACCTCACCTGGGACGCTGGACTGGAGAACGTTATCCTCGATGCGCTCTGCAATCATGACATGTCGCTGATGAGATCCGTCATAAGTAAAGTAAAACTCAGCATCTTCAGGAAGATACACATTTTTGTCAAACTTCGCATAGATCATCATCTGCCCCTGAAAAAGGAATAAGTCGGGGCATTGTCAGACTTCCTTGTCCTGGCTCTAAGAAAGCACAATACAAAGGACCTGGGTCCATAACAGTGTCATTTGTTATGTTCACTTCATGTGGTTGAGTTCAAATAGCATGAGTGCTTCCTTCCAACAACAACACATTTGACATTAGGGAAGATGCTTCCTGATGTATTTAGGTATGGGTATCAGAGCTGGTTTGTTCTGTTTTTAAAGTTAAAGAACTTCAGGGCACAGGAAAGAATTTTTTCTTTCTTTAAAATGTACTAGATGTAGGAGTGTGGTACTTCGTTGCCGTTTGCTTTTCAAAAATTATTTTTAGAGACAGGGTCTCACTATGTTGCCCAGGCTGGTCTTAAACTCCTCTGCGCAAGCAATCCTCCCACTTCAGCCTCCCTGGTAGCTGGGGCTACAAGGATGTGCCACCACACCCAGCAGTCTTCTACTCTGAATTTCTACCAGCTGAACATCATGGCTTGAGTTAATTTTTATCCTGTATCCAAAATTCCATTATTAGTACAAAAGTTCATGATAATTATTCTTAGCTCTGGCCTCACCCTGTGCTAGACCATAGTCAGCTGTAAGAATCTTAAATATTTACAAACATTGCCAAATAAATAGGACTACTCCCTCCCCCTTGCTATGCTATTTCCATTTGCTATTTCTCTTCTCTGAGGGGTTTCCAAGTGCTCTTTCCTCACACTTTCTCTTAAGAGCTTCTGGTTGGCACAAAGCCCTGCAAAGTGCCTTGGTCCCAAGGAGAGGAGCTGCCACCTCAGGTCACCGAGGCATCCTCTGAGGACTAATGTCAAAGGAAGTGGGGCAGCAGGCTGGGGCTCTCGGGTATTTCATCATCCTGAGGCTTTGCGGAGGGGCTACAGCAGCCGTGTTGCACCCAGGGGAACAGCAGCTATGGTAGGGACTGCCAGGTCATCTCCAGACCCCAGAGGCTTTGAAGGATTTGTGCTACTCCCTACCGAAAACACAAAAAGCAATACAAAGTGGGGCCTCCAGAGAGAGAGCGCATTCTGCCCAGCCTGTGGGAGTGGCGGGGAAATGGAAACCTGGAGGTGGAAAGGGTCGCCCACTTTGGAGGGCTTCCAGAGCTCGGCCCTGCGTGGAGAAGCATCTGGGCTTTTGTGTGCTTGTCCAACAAAAACAAACCTGCTCGCCAAGATATCCTTACCCTATGATAGAGGAGAAAGTGAACAGATAAAAGCCTACACAGACTCCTTAACATCAATTTGCCTCTGACAAATATTAGCAAGATATTTCACAGGACACTAAGAGTTAAGCCAATCAGGATCAAAAACAAAATCGGTGTAGGGTTTTCTAGTAGTCACATGGTTATTTAATCTCAGTTTTTTACAATAAACAAACAACTATGCTTTTCTAGTGGTTTAAAATGTATCACACACACAGTTATCGGAAATTATGAAATGGTATAAATACAAAGTATAGAGTTCTGAAAAAAAATCACTGGTTGGCAGTTTTGAATTGCCCTTTTTCTGCATATGAGCATGCGTGTGTATGTGCACACATAAACGTAATCAATAGAAAAGCAACACGCCAAGAAAAATCTACCATACAATAGCTTCCAAAAAAGTTCAGGAAGGAGATCTGAAAAGCAAAAAACAACAAATGTCTAACATGACTGAGAGAGGAAACTTAGACAAAATTCCATTTCCTAAAAAAGGAAGAACAGCTTGCTTTAGTCATGTTCCTGGTTTCTAAAGAGACTGTTAACTATCCACAGGCAGAATCTGACCTGACCTGTTCGTGATTTTTTTTAAATAAAAAAACAAATTATATAAACAGATCAAAAATTTTCACAGATCACAAGGATATCTAATCTGCATCTATTCAAAACAACGATCATATTACTATTTTATTCGGTTGGGTGGACAAGGACTACAGCTTATGAGAGTTTAATTGCAACCCTTTCCAACACAATACAACCCTGAACATTACAGTCTTGTAATTCATCACGCCTGCCTTCCAAGAACCATGCCATGCTTTACACTAGTGAAAGGATAACCAACAGTCATGTGAGTAATAAGACATGCCCATTAAGGAGATTAAAGAGAGATGCCCAGAAGTCCTAACACTCAGAAGATATTCAGCAATAAAAAAAGTCTCTTATATGGTAACCAGAAAAACATCAGAAAGACCCAGTTAAAGATGCTATGGAAGAAGAAGGGGGTGATACAGAAACCAACAGAGAGACCCACTTAGACAGAAATGGATGGGCAGGAGAGGAAGACAAGGAAAGAAAATATGAAGATGAAATAACACGGACATTTTCATTCAGAAAAGGCAGATAAAGCTCAAAGGAGACGGATTTAGATAAAGCTACTTAGGAGATCAGCAGGAAGAACGGCCTTCTGAAAGAATATGCAAGTACAGCTTAAATAGCCAACCACAGGTGGCAGTTTTTTGGGTAAGAGTGGGATCTTTCTAACCACTGAGTCCACTGAAAATCTGCTACTTTTCTAAAAAGGCCACCGATTTCATATATGGCAAAGACAAAATTCCAATGTACAGAATTCCAAAGTATCTCTTTCAGTTCCCCATCTGGATCCAATTACATTCTTTGTTTCAGGCAATTGAAAACTAGAAACTTTCCTAGATAAATTTGTTGGCATAAATATCAGAATCACTCTGCTTCTACATAGAAACAATAGAGATGTGTTCTCACCTTTCTATAAACTCACTATATCCAAAATAAAAAACACTCAAATATGCCACTGAAATTTCTGGAAAAAATAAGAAGCATGCTAGGCAAAATTATCTCCCCAAATTAATCAACAAGTTTAGTGTATTCCAGTCAAAACCCATTTTTCAAATGAAACTCAACAAGCTTATTCTAAAGTTCATCTGGAGGAGTAAATACACTAGAATCGAAATGATATTTTTGAGAGAGAATGTTTGGGCTGTCAAAGCTTGCTCTACCACAAAGCAAAACATACAATAAAACCAGGGTCATTTAAACAGAGTAATGGTAGCATAGAGACAGACAAGTTCAAAGTCCGAGGCAGACACATGGACCCATGGAAATTATGTTATAATAGGTGGCATTTCAAATCAGCAGGGAAAGAATGGACAATTCAATAAACAGTTTTAGAACAATAGCTATCCATTAGGAGCAAAAACATGCCTTCTACCAAATGATTAAATTTCTAATTAATTCAATATCTAACATAAAAATCCATAAAAGCATAAAATTAGAAGACTGTTTAAAAGTTTTCATTATTGAATAAATAATAGCAATTAAAGGTATTTAGATTTCATCTGCATTGACATGATCCTAAACTATCAACCTTTTTTCATTTTTCCTATTCTCTTCCAGTCTTTATTCATATGCACAGGTAATTATTACACAGCTATACTCATGGCATAATACATTAATACATACTGTGTGGTTTCTTCTCTTCTATCAAAAGTATTTTTCTACATTGTTACAATCTTTGGCACCCTTTTTAATTGCATTCCACCAAGTGTTTGATGTTCCACAATTGCATGATTACTTAAATATTCATCTACTGTTCGTTAAGTGTACTTCTGACTTTTTAACATTTTAAACAACTCTTTATAAACATTTTAAGTAATTTTTATCCTTTGAGATGTTATTTTAGAATAAAATTCTAGAAATGCTTCCAAAAATATGAACAAGTTGTCACAAATTGCCAAACTTCTTTCCAAAAATTTTGTATCAACTTTTATCACATGTGCTGGTTAAGAGTATCATTTTCACCCCAACCTTGCCAAAACTATCTTTGGAAGTATTTCCTGTGTTAACAGATCATAAACAGTTCCTCGCTGATTTAATTCACCTTTTTCCATTGCCACTGAAATTTATTGCTCACTTTCATAAAAGTCTATTGCAAAATAATGTAAACATTGCTGGTGGCCAAACCAAATCTCAATTTGAATAAATTTAGTCTTCCCTCTTCTGTTTCACATATGAATTCACCTACAAACTTTGCCTTTGGCAGGTCAAAATTTTTAGTTTCCCAAGTGAACCAGTTGGAATCAGTGTCAGAATCATTCCCTTTCCCTGTCAAATAGTGAAGGTATATCACCTCTTACCCAATCATGCCCAAATAAAAAATACTCATCAGTACTCCCATAAAATCTTGGAAGGCCAAGTCACATGGAAAACAGGAATCACAAATGTAGAGCAGAAAAGCTGAACTGACTAGAATCATACTAAACATAGTTCAATATAAATACACACAAAGAATCAGGTAAATTAAACTAACATTTTTTACCATCAAACATCCTCTAGAGAAATTCTACTCATAAAACTCAATAATTTTCAAAGACCAATCCTTCTGCTGAAATGCTGTGACATCTATGGATTTCTTCCCAGAGAACCAAAAAGGTAACAAATGTTTTTGCCACCTTAAACTATCTCATCCAACTTTCCTATTCCTTTCCAGATGGTATTTAAAGTGGAAATGGTTGTCAACACCAGTTTGCATGTTCTAAAGATTTTTTCATTAATCTATGTCTCTAATACCTTGAGTAATTGAGTGGCTGTATTAGCCTAATCACTGGGTATTCCTGTACTCATGTTTTCTCTCCCTTCCTCCCTTTCTTCCCTCCCATTATAAACAATGCATCTGTATATAATTACACTTCGTTAATAACAATGCTATTTGCTGAACAACACCTTAACTCTCTGGTTTCTTAAATATATGGCATGACTGGGCAATGAACAAATACTGTATTTTCAAATTATGACAATTAGAAAAAAGGATACATCTTTTTATAGTGGGGTTTCTTAACCAAGGGAAGAATCTGAATATGGATTTCAGACAGTTTGAGGACCTCTGAAAATTATTAGCAAAACATAATAATGTTTTTTGTGTGTATATATGTCCATTTTCTGAGGAAAGGTTTTTTATGGCTTTCATCATAGTCTCAAAGGCATCTAAAGATTCAAAAAAAGTTTATGAACTCTAGCTTTTATAGTAACAGGCAAAAATGGGAAGTTAATAAATACTTTTCAATGGTAATTGTCACCTTTTTATTTGACAGGAAGACATAAACTATCTTCCAATGGATTCTAGTATTATACACAGCCTTTATATGGGATGATTTAGGGAAAGAAGCATAATAAAGGTAAATATAAGTTGACTGTTAAATATTATAATCAATGTTTACTAATACATGCCATGAAAACTATTATGCTAAAATACAGTGCTAAGTGAACTATCAAATTTGATTTGTATTCAATATTTGAAACTTGTCTTCTTTACAATAAGAAAAAAAAATCTATACAGAGCCTTTCCTGTAGAACAAGTGTACTGAACTTTGTAAGATCCTTGAAAAGTTAAAAGAAAAAAAAAGCATGCATGGTTATTATCCCATTTTATAGGTAAGTAAATACAACTATAGGTACTACTGCTAACTAGCTCAGGATCCCAGAGCCAGATGTGTAATATTAGGTTTCTTGATTTCTGCCCCAACCCCCAAGTTAGGTTATCCTCTTCACAATTTCTCAAGTACAATAGCATATGTGGTACCAAAGGAAGCACCGTGGGCACAAAGTATTTTATTCAAATTACTGTGTTTAGCTGAAGTACTTCGTTAAAAGGAAGTGTGGAGATGCAAATATTATTTCTTATATGTGTGTGCACATGTATACAAATACAGATATTGACATATCTAACTACTTATACATATTATCTATGTGTACAGCACACCACAATTTATACAGTGCTTTCTTGTGTGTTTTCTTGTCTTATTCCCACAATAATACCTGGGAGGTATTATTATGAACCTTGTTTATTAAAGAGAACACTGAAAATATTGGATCTAGTGAGGAGCAGAGCCAGAAATAAATCTACATCTTTCTGTGCCAGGCTCAGTACATTTTCTCCCCACCATGTTAGTGAACAAACAGCAAATGCACGAATATTTAGTGACTTATCTACAGCTTTTCATTTAACTCAATCTTTCCTTTATGTTCTTAATGTAGTTCCCATCCTGAAATCTACAGATAGATACGGTGAGGGGAAATGTACCCTAATCCTCCGGAAAATGTATGCAACAGTTTGGGGCATTTATTTGGGGAGTCTGTCTATCAGTTACAGATTCTGAGAAGAGTACACAAAGAACATGTGAATCAAAAAACTGAAGAACCCCTGATCTGATTTGAAGCATGTTTAAAAGCGTCTGACTTTTATATAATTTGAAATATCAAGATTATTCAAATGTATTGTCCCATTCACGTAAATACAAATTGGTTAAATCCAGGGGGAAATATCAGAATGCCAATTTTTTAAAAGAAGGTTAACTAAAATAACTTAAAAGACTTATAACACATTTTTTGAGAAACAGCCTTTATAGTAGGTGTCCATCTCCAGATAGGATAAAATAGACCACAGCAGGCCAACAGTCCGGCTGAAAACAACCAGGAATAACAAGGGCTGGCAAATAAAAAGTCATGGAAACAATGAGGACATAAATGTAACAAAATACCAGAGAGGAGAACCACTCAGAGAAGTAATGGAAGCCAAAAGACAATTGGGTAATATCTGTAAAGGGATGAAAGAAAATTCCATATCTAACAAAAATATCTTTTAAAATGAAACTGAAATTAAAATGTTTAAGACTAATACTGAGAGAATTCAGTGCCAACAGACCAGCACCGAAAGAAATACTGAAGGAAGTTACTCAAGAAGAAATAAAATAATCTCAAACAGAAACATGGAAATGCAGGAAAGAATGAGGAATAGCGAGTAGGTAAATATGTGAATAAATATAATTAAATCAAATATACAAACAATTTTACAAAATTATAAAATTACATATTTTGTGTAATATATAAGAAAATGTTTTACAAAATATTATAATGTCACGGAGTTTAAAATATCTGTAGAACTACAATGTGTGACAACAATAATGTAAAAGGTAGATGAAATTAAAGTACCTAGCAATATTAGGAAATTGCTGAAAGTACTTTTTTTTTTTTTTTTTTTTTGAGACGGAGTCTCGCTCTGTCGCCCAGGCCGGACTGCGGACTGCAGTGGCGCAATCTCGGCTCACTGCAAGCTCTGCTTCCCGGGTTCACGCCATTCTCCTGCCTCAGCCTCCCGAGTAGCTGGGACTACAGGCGCCCGCCACCGCGCCCGGCTAAGTTTTTGTATTTTTAGTAGAGACGGGGTTTCACCTTGTTAGCCAGGATGGTCTCGATCTCCTGACCTCATGATCCACCCGCCTCGGCCTCCCAAAGTGCTGGGATTACAGGCGTGAGCCACTGCGCCCGGCCTGAAAGTACTTTTATCATATTTATAATATATTAAATATACATATTTTGACTTGAGAGTAGCCACCAAAAGAATGCATAACTAATAAGTTATAGAGAGGAAACTTAAATAATAAAAATAGTTGATTCATCAAAAAGAAAATAAGACAGGTGAAACAAAAAACATAAAAATAAAACATGCATGCCAAACAGAGAGCAAATAGCTATATGTAGATATACATCCAACTATATCAGCAATTATATTAAATGTAGATAGACTACTCCAAATAGTACACCAAGTCTGCCAGTATGGATTTTTTTTAATCTAAAAACAATAACGATACCTATACACTGCCAACAAGAGACATACTTTAAAAATAACACAGAAAGCTTAAAAGTAAAAAGACATCCATGCAAAACTAACCAAGAAAAAGCTAGCACAAACAAAATAATATCAGACAAAGCAGATTTTAAAGCAACACATATTACTAGGGAAAGAGAAATCTTTCATCATAAAAAGAGTCAGTTGAAGAAGATAATATCATAATATTACTTCTGTATGCCCCTAATAACACATCTTCAAAAGATATAAAGCAAAAGTTAACAAATCCAATAGAATAGACAAATCCACAATCACAGTGGGAAACTTTAACAGGCCTCTTTCAATAGCTAATAGAACAAGTAAGCAAAAAATTGACAAGGATATCAAAGATCTAAATTACACAATTAAAATAACTTACCCAAAGAAATAATTAACATAATTAAATGCATATATTAATATTTGTAAAAGATACCCATTATTCAAACCTCTGCATTAAACACAATAATTCAAAAAATATAAACACACAGGCCAGGTGCAGTGGCTCATGCCTGTAATCCCAGCATTTTGGAAGGTTGAGGCAGGTGGATCACGTGGTCGGGAGTTTGAGACTAGCCTGGCCAACATGGTGAAACCCCATCTCTACTAAAAATACAAAAAATTAGCTGGGCTTGGTGGCGCACACCTATAATCCCAGCTACTTGGGAGGCTGAGAAAAGAGAATCGCTTGAATCCAGGAGGCAGAGGTTGCAGTGAGCCAAGATCATGTCATTGCACTCCAGCCTGGGCAACAGAGTGAGTATACATATATATATATATATATATATATATATATATATATATATATATATATATATATATACACACACACACACACACACACACACACACACACACACACACACATATAAATTTAAAATCTAGACGACTTTCACCCTTGATGGAATGATTCACCAGTATCAAATTGAAATTGCCTTTGTTTCTATAACACAGCAGAACTAAGTAAAAGACAATTCATGACAGAGGTCAGCAAATGACTCCAGATTCCTCACAAGACCAGAAGCAGGCTTTATAAAGCCCCTTAGCTTGCTTCCTTTTCAAATCCCTAACTTACAAATTCCATGGAGACAGAGAACTCCTAGTAAGTGAAAACAAGTATCTGGCACTTTAAGCAGCAGATCATAGTGGGAAATGTACTGGCTTGGGTATAAGAAAAATTGTAATCACTCTTGCCTTATTCTGATAATCCTTTAGGAATAAAAGCCCTATACTGGCCCCCAAATCATCAACTACATAAACCAAGAAGGAAGCAAAATGCAGTTTAACAGTTAGACACAAGTTGGGATTTTAATCAATAATCCACTAGCATCACTGAGGGAGCAGCCTGCCCTACCCTATATTGATGAAAATTTAGTAACTCCATTAAGAGTGAGTATGGTCCAGCTCTGCTTTATACCTGTCAGACACACCTGGGCCATGGAATACTTTAATACAAATATAGACAAAGCTGACAACACGTTCAGAGGAAAAGGACAAGGATGCCAAAGGGATGCAAAAAGCATGCTGTCATATGAAGAACAATTGAAGGAACTGGGACTGTTTTGCTAAAGAAGAGACGACTCATGGGTAAATGGTCACCGCTGCAAATATCTGAGGGTCTATCATGCAGACATAGGATTAGACATGTTCTGCAGGCCCCAAGGGAAGAGCACAAAACAATACAGGGAAGGACAGGGGACAGAGTTCAGCTCCCCAGTGAGAGCCCTCTAAGCATCAGACATCCAAAGACGACAAGGATTGCTTCAGCTTAGGAGGAACAAGCACTACTAAGAGATGGTGTGTTTTGTTTGTTTTTCTGTTTTGCTTATTTGCTCTGAGAAAGAATGAGGCTAAAGAACTTAAAGAACTATCTAATATTCAGTGTCTAGAATCTATAATATCTGGTATATAATTCTAGATTGATTAATTGCTTCAATATTTTTTAAAATGGGGGACCTAACATAACTGGATTTGGATTTCGTGGGATTTCTGTTCATTTTTCGCTTCTCCTTCTTTTTTTTTTTTTTTTTTTGAGATAGGTTCTCACTATATCACCCAAGCTGGAGTACAGTGACATGATCATAGCTCACTGCAGCCTCAAATTCCTAGGCTCAAGGGATCCTCCCACCTCAGCCTCCTAAGTAGCTAGGACTGCAGGCACCACCACCACACCACACCTAGCTAAATTTTTTTTTTTTTTTTGGTAGAGACAAAGTCTCACTATGTTGCCCAGGCTGGTATTGTACTCCTGGGCCTCAAATGACCCCCCCACCTCAACCTCCCAAAGCGCTGGAATTACAGACATGAGCCATCACATCCAGCCCCAGGTTTATTTTTTATTTTTATTTATTTATTTATTTATTTATTTATTTATTTATTTTTATTATTATTATTATTAGAGACAGGACCTTGTTCAGTACCCCAGACTGGAGTGCAGTGGCATGATCTCAGCTCACCACAATCATGGCCTCCTGGGCACAAGTGATATTCCCACCTCAGTCTCCTGAGGAGCTGGAACTACAGGCACACACCACCATGCCCAGCTAATTTTTTGGTAGAGAGAAGGTTTCACCTGTTGCACAGGCTGGTCCTGAACTCCTGGGCTCAAGCGATCCGCCCGCCTCAGCTTCCTGAAGTGTTAGGATTATAGGTGTGAGCCACTGTGTCCAGCCCCAGGTTTGTTTTTTAATTTCTCTCTTATATTTTTGCTTTGGTTTATTTTTCTAACTCCTTGGATTTATGCTTAGTTTATTTTTATTCTCTGTATTAATGGTTTTCAAACTGAGATCAGGGGAACCCTAAGTTGTAATGGGAGGATGTTGGGAGTTCATAAACATTCCATTTAAATTTCATTTGGGAAATATGTTTCCAATTAGTATGAAATCTAAAAGGATTATCATCCACTTAAATTTATTATTTACCAAATTTTAAGACATTGGAGAGGACCTAAAGTGCCAGGTTGTCATTTTTCCATCGAATTGACAAATGCAATAAACTTAAAGAACACATTTATAATAATAAAGTTTTATCAAGATTACATATTAATGTTCCTCATAATACTTGTTTGGAAAAAAAAAAGGTTTCCTTTTATCCAATAAGAAAGAGTCTCTAAGGCCCCTCTAAGGACTATAGGATACCCTCTGCTGTCTTATGGGAAGACAACTAAGTTCTATTAGTGACCAAAGTCACTAATGGCCTAAGAAAATATTCCTCTAAGCCCTTTTTATGGTTCATGTCTCAAACAAGCTTTACATGTGCACCACTGTAAAGACTACAATTTGTCAACTTCAAATTCACCTTGAACCCACACAGACAGTAACCTCACATGGTTATTATTTAGCACTTGAGGTCTACAGATTTATGTCAAATCAACTGCCATCTGAAGGTTATTGTGGGCCAAGTAACAGCATTGAACATCTCAAACTAAAATGAAGACTATCAGGAATACAAACAACCCCAGGTCTCCATGGATTGATTATCTCTGGGCATAACCTGATCATAACTATCCATTCTTATTTCATGGTGGACCACCAAGTCCTTGTGTTCCACAGGCAGTCCCTCTCCTTTGTACAAAGGTATAAAAGCTGGAGACAGTTCCCCTTGTCCCTCTCATCTGGCCAGCATCCGTGCGAGAATATTCCTTCCACCTATCTATCCTCGGTGTACGTACACACACACATGCACATACATACACACACACACACACACACACACACACACACACACGAGGCCACTCTTAAATAAGAGTGCTAAAGACTCTGCCAAGCAATGCTCATTGTAAGATACTGGGAATCCTTAGTAAGAAAAGTAGAGATTCAGAAATGTACAATTTAGAGATCTGAAAGAAGCCTTAGAGCTCATCTGGATCAAACCCCTTACATTACAGCAAACTGAAGACCCATAACCTTGATCTAGGTTCCATCACACTGCTAACCTTGGACCAGAAATCCCTGGTGGTCACCTTCCATCGAATACCTTTCCCACTCCCCCAAGCTACTAGTGGGGAAGAGCAACAGTCTGACCCCCAGATGAATCCTATTCCTCCCCCAGGGACTGGGAAGAGCCTTTATGAAAAGAAGTCAGGATCAGAATCAATGAACTCCCCCTAAAGTTCCTCAGCACCCACCCCGACAGCATCCCCAGCCTCCATTGTCTTGTCTCTTCTCTTCTGGGCTCCCGTCACCTTTGTTAAACCATAGAGCGCTTTCAGGTCCTGTAGCTCTTCTCCTCAAATCGAAGCAAAAGCAGGAAAAAGGCCAGCCCAGTCATAGCATGGAAAACTTGAAGTCCTGATGGAAACTAGAGAAGCAGGGCACGTGGAAAGAGCAGGTAGCAGTCAGTCAGCCCCAGCTCCAAGAGCCTACAGAAGAGGGGAAAGAAAAGGACACAAGGGGCTGGGCATGGTGGCTCACGCCTGTAATCCCAACACTTTGAGAGTCCGAGGCAGGCGGATCACCTGAGGTCAGCAGTTCAAGACCAGCCTGGCCAATATGGTGAAACCCCTTCTCTACTAAAAAATACAAAAAATTAGCTGGACGTGGTGGCAGCGTGCACCTGTAATCCCTGCTACTTGGGAGGCTGAGGCAGAAGAATCGCGTGAACCCGGGAGGCAGAGGTTGCAGTGAGCTGAGATCACACCATTGCACTCCAGCCTGGGCAACAAGAGCAAAACTCCATCACAAAAAAGAAAAGAAAAGAAAAGAAAAGAAAAGAAAAGAAAAGAAAAGAAAAGAAAAGAAAAGAAAAGAAAAGAAAAGAAAAGAAAAGAAGGAAGAGGGCTCGGTGGGGAGAGAAACAAAAACAACGGCAGTGGGCTGGGGAGTGATGACGGGGGCAAGCAGAGAAAGAGCTGGAAAAACAAAGCAACATGGAGCTTAGTTGAAATAGGAAAAGCGTGAGAAAGATGGAAAATAAATAGATAAATAAAAATGAGCAGGAGAGAGAAAGATTCACCCCACCAGGAATGGCAATCTGGAAACACTTTTGTAAAAAGGAGGAGGGGAGAGGGAGGCAGAAAAGAATTTAAACTTTGGTGCTGACAAGGAACACTGCATCTAAATCAAGAGCTGAGGGCCAAAGAAGCACCTCGGATGTGTCTCATTGAAACACATCATAAAGTGGGGGTGGGGAGGTTTCACACTACTCACATCCTACTAATGGCACATCCCCATTCTGGGGAGCCCATCCTTCCATACAACCCTGCAGGGAGAAAGGAGAGCACACTTGGGGACTCCTTTCTCATTCCCAGCCACTTTAGGCAGAAGCAGCCATGGCTTTAAAACGAAGGAGCTCCTTTTTCTGACCTTGTCCTTTCTTGCCCCTCACTGTTTCTTTCTCCCTCTTCTACCTCCCTCCCTCCCTCCCCTCACCAACTTTCAATGGTCCCATAAAATTCGACGTTGTTTACAAACCTTACCATGGCAGGTACCTATTTGCAGATATTTTACTGTTATCAAACTCCTACCATATAGATGTTACTGAAGCAATCTCAGTTATAAAGGGACATCAGGCACTGTATTAACTCACATTAAATATGAAATTTCTCATTTCCTAACAGAAAGCCTTAATGCAAAAACAGTAGTATTTATCAGTTTATTAATTGTGGTTGCTTAGGAACACATAAGGATAAAAATGGCCATGATAGGACCCTTTGTGTTTTAATTAACAGTACTGTGCATTTGAATGTACCAAGTACCATTCTAAGTGAATTATCTCATTAATTCCTTACAATTGGCCTATAAGGTAGAAACCATCATCCTCATTTTATAGATGAGGAAAGAGAGACTTCGAGAGGTAAATGCCCTGATAATTATACAGTGATCTGGAGGGTCAGGAAGAAGCAGGAGTCAAACCCATGCTTCCTTCTTAACTCCCAGCAAGCCCTGCCACTGTGGTCAGTGCTGCGTCCCCCACAGCAAAGCCTCTGCCGAAAACAAGAGACAGCCCGGTGCATTGATTGGCTCCGTGACCATTTCCTCACACCTAACTCCACAGTGAAGTCTTAAGAAGTTACACATGAGTATCCATTGAGTACTTCGAAGAAATGACCATGTTCAAGGACTGTGAATATTATGACCTCTTTTAGATTATTTTCTCTTATTCCTTCATTCAATAAATACCTGATGTGTGTCAGGCACTGTGTTAGGCACAGATGGTATGAAGACGACAAGACCTATCCTTTCTTTCTTCACGGAGCTCACAGCCTAATAGGAAGAGAAGAGCTTAAACAAACACAAGTGAGCACAAGAGTCTCTGTATGGATGGGAGAGGGAGTAACAGGTCAGGAAAGGCCTCTCTGAAGATGGAAAGGATGCTGTGAATGGAAGGGAATTCCAAATAAAGGCGTGAAAACCAGTGAGAGAATGGCTCATTTGGAGAATGACAGTTTATTATCGCCAGGCTGTGATTCCTGAAGTAGAAAGTAGGATAGGAGGAGAAGCTGGACATGAAGGCAGAGGCCATCGCATGGAGGGCTTGGAAGACAAAGAGTTCCTGGAAGAGTTTTGAGCAGGGGAGTAACACAATCAGATTTGCATTTTACAAAGACCAGTCTAGGAGACACAGGCAGTTATGCCAGGAAGGCTGCTATCGAGATTGGCTTTCCTTGAGCTACAGTCTCTTTCTCAGTACCCTGCTGCTCTGGAATTTTTAAGAGTACCAAAAATAACCTAGAGATTAGAAAAACATGGGTCTGGCTCAATGACTGTACATGCAGACCAGAGATACTGGTCTGGATCTCTAGCCACCTCCTGAAGCTCTAGTGAAAAGTGTAAGGCCTCAAAGATTCAAGCAGACCTGGACTCCAATCCTGGCTGCCTCTGCTACTAAATTGTAAAACAGGAATAAAAACAGTGCCTGCCTATCTTAGGAAATTCTTAACATTGCTAAATGAAATAAAATATATCGGCACTTGCATAGCACTTCTGACACTTAATAAATAAATAAATTTTAATTTAATTTAATTAATTTTAATTTAATTAATAAAAATTAATAAATGTATTAATTTATTAATTACTTAATAAATTAATAAATTAGCCAGCTACTCAGAGATTACTAAAATCAATATCACTCTTGTTATTCAGTATTGTTCATTGAAGAAACATTTATTGAATATCTAATGAGTGCCAGGCAGTTTCCTCAACTTTCTCAAAACAGCACAGTGAGGTCGGCAGCGCAGCATCAGTACCCTCATTTTACAGAAGAGGATATTTTGTTTAGAAGGCTACATTATTTGACCAAAGTTACAATGACCCTCCTCAAGTTCTCCAAGCTGGAAACAGGATTCAGAGAAATAAAATAGAAGGTGTAGTAAGCACTCATTTGAAAGACTCCATTTTATAAATGAAAGTCCTCTCTACTTCAAAATAGTCTTCCCTCTCCACTGCAAAAACACAACTTAAAAAAAAGAAAAAGAAAAAACAGAAGTATTTTTATCCTGAAGACAGTTCACTCTAATTTGGCAAAGTGGTATCAGTTCTTGCATTCTTCTGGAACTGGATGCTACTTACCATCTGTTTAGAAGATCAACAGAGCACTCATTTTCCAGGATCTTAATCTACCTCAGTTGTGTATCTGATTTTTTTCTGGGATATAAAGTGGTACAAGCACTAGCTTATGAGGGCACAGAGAAATGTTACCTGTGCTATATGCTAACTCCTCACTTTGTCTATCCTTTATGTGGCCTTCCAAGGACACAGGATCATCTTCCTTCCTCTTTAATGCACAAATTCTATCAGCACATTTGCCTAGAAGTGTGTCCTGCTCCTCTGTCTCCCCAAAGACCCTGAAGTGAAATCCTCAGGATTTCATACCTTTCATTACCAGTGAGCATGCTGCCCTGGCCCTTCTGCTCATCCCAACCCCAGCTATCCTGGAAGGCCCCACTCTTCTGGGCATGCCCATGATGTCCCTCTGAATTTCAGGCCATCTCATCCCAACCTGTCTCGTAGTATTTAACTGTCCCTCCCTATTCTTCTCTTTTCTCTCTGCCAACACTACAGGCCTTCATTTTACCAATTTATGCCCCTTCCATCCTTTTTTTTACCCTCTTATATAGTTTAGATCCATGTCCCTACCCAAATCCCATGTTCAATTATAATCCCCAGTGTTGGGGGTGGGGCCTGGTGGGAGGTGATTGGATCATGGGGGTAGCTCCTTCATGAATGGTTTAGCACCATCCTTTTGGTGCTGTTCTTGTGATAGCGAGTTCTTGCAAAATCTTATTTAAAAGTGTATAACGTGTCCCCCTTTGCTCTCTTGTTCCTGCTCTGGCCATGTGACTGTGTGCTCCCCCTTCACCTTCTGCCATGACTGTAAGTTTTCTGAGGCCTCCCCAGAAACCAAGCAAATGCCAGCACCATGCTTCCTGTACAGCTTACAGAACTGTGAGCCAGTTACACATCTTTTCTTTATATATTACCCACTCTGAGATATTTCTTCTTTTTCACGCCTCATCTCATTTCTTAATTTCAAGAAAAATCTGATTTTTCTTGCCTTAATGAATTATTGCTGTAATAGTTGTCAAATGATGATTTTCTAATTCCATCATTCCTTTTAAATTATTTTTTCTTTCAATAGTTTTCGGGGTACAGGTGGGTTTTAGTTACATGGATAAGTTCTTTAGTGGTGATTTCTGAGATTTTAGTGTAATCGGTCTTAGATATTTCTTGATAGCAATGCAAGAATGTACTAACAGACCCTCCCACATAATGAAGGCCAGAGAGCATCATGGTTAAGTCAGCCAGCCCTGGATCTGGAGTCAGTTGGCCTGGATCCCAAGCCTGACTCTATCACTTATCACTGTTTAGCTTTAAACAACTGGCTTAATTTCTGTAACTTAATTTCCTTTCCTCATCTGAAAATGGAATTAAATATAGTCCTTTAGATTTTAGTGACAGTCAAATGTAATAATGAATGCCTCTGCCTGGCATGGAGTAAGACCCTATTATGTGTTTAGTCTTTTTATTTTTCATTGTTAAACTACTCCAATTTATTTTAGGAATAACACAGGATATACAAAAGCATAAAAATGATACAATGGACTTTGGGGACTTGGGAAAGGGTGAGAGGCAGGTGAGAGATAAAAGACTACACATTGGGTAAAGTGTACACTGCTTGGGTGATGGGTGCACCAAAACCTCAGAAATCACCACTAAAGAACTTATTCATGTAACTAAACACCACCTGTTCCCCAAAACCTATTGAAATAAAAAATTTTTAAAAAGCTAAAAATGAATAAAGCAGGATATAAAGTAATTATTTCCTCTCAAATTTCCCTCAAATATTCTTATGCACAAAAAGGACTCAAAGTTAATTAACTAGAATGGGAGAACATTTTTGTAAACCAAAAGAATCATTTCCTACTGTTTGTGTGTTTCCGCTATGCTTTCATATACCACTTTTTTCTTAGTAAAATGTAGCTTTATACATTAATTCATCAAACATATATTAAGCCCTTATTAAAATATATTCAAAACACTGTTCTAGGAACAAGGGATGCAGCAATAAACCGAGCAAATCCCTGTTCTCATGGTCTAGAGCCTTCTGTTGGAAAGATAAAGTAAGAAAATATCAGATAAGTGCTATACAGAGAATTAAAAATAGTAGAATAACCCTCAATATTTACCAAAAGGAACTAAAAACTTACATCATACAAAAACCTGCACATGGATGTTTACAGCAGCTCTATTCAGAATTGCCAAAACTTGGAAACAACCAAGATGTCTTTCAGTAGGCAAATGATAAATAAATTGTGGTACATCCAGTTGATGGTATTAGCGTTAGCATTCAGCATTAAAAAGAAATGAGCTATCAAGTCATGAAAAGACATGAAGGAACCTTAAATGCATGTCACTGAGTGAAAAAAAAAAAGCTGATCTGAACAAGTTACATACTACATGATGCCAACTCTATGACATTCTGGAAAGGGCAAAACAATGGAGATGGTTAAAAACCCAGTGGTTGCCAAGGGTTGGTAGGTGGGGGAGGGATGAATAGGCAGAGCACAGAGGATTCTCAGGGCAGTGAAAACACTCTATGTAATACCATAAAGGTGGATACTTTATCATTATACATTTGTGCAAACCTATAGAATATACAACATCAGGAGTGAACCCTAATGTAAACTACAGATTTTCGATGATGATGATGTGTCAATGTTAGTTCATCAATTGTTAAAAAAAAAAAAAAAAAAAGTTCACTAAATTGTGATATTCCTGGTGGGGGATGTGGATACTGGGGGAGGCTATGCTGACCACACACACACTACCCTCTCCCTCTCAATCTCAACAATTTTACCCCAAATGTAGTGCTAGATGTACTTCTACAAGTGTCCCTTAATTCAGAAATGAGAAGAGCTAGGAGAAAACAGCTTCATTGATAAATAACTGTTTACATAATAAAGAAAAACTGTATCATTTTAAATGCCATTTCTAACAATTTACCATACTTCTGACACTGTAGATTATATTAATATTATGCTGTCTACTCTGGGCCTCTTGAAATCACCCAAAACCCCAGCACATGTAATGAATACAAAAAGCTTTCCAGAGACACATGACTTTAAAATTTACCTAGCAGAAAGGAAAGCAATTCTCATTCCATGACCACCCTATCCCTTCAAAAACAACTAAAAGAGAAGTTTGCTGGCCACACAGTAATTATGGGTCTTCCCTGGAAGTACATTATGACACAGTAACTTGTCAAATATCCTGATGACTGTGCCACAGTATCCCAATTCTTTCCTTAAAACCAAATGGCCACTATGTATTACATAAGACCCCTTCTCTTTGAACAAATTTTTTAATAGCCAAGCAAAGGCATGCTTCCAAAACTTATGATGATTTGAGTTTTTCAAGGTATATGTCTAACTGAAGAAATCCTTAAGTTACAGCAACCCCTTAAGTTATCTCATTCCTGACAAGATAGACACAGATCCGCATTTTGTTTTTTTAACTGGTTATACCCTCCTTCCAAACTATACAACTCCAAACCTTTTGACCACATAATGAAAGCACACATAACTACCAAGTCAATAAAAACATCTTCCCAACAATCACAGAAACTAACGCATTCCCATTGAAGTCCCACATGCTAAATTAGGTTGAGCACAGTTACTAAAAATGGATTATTCTTGTCACAGAGAACATCAAGAATTTTCTACTTTTCTGCATAAGAGATTAGAGGGTTTTTTTTTTTTAGCTTAAAGGCAGAGAAGAAGAAAAAATTAAAGAATTTCATCTGATCATTGCAAAAAAAAAATCTAGCTCAGTACATACTGTCCCAAAGACATCTAAGATGTTAGTTTTCAACTGTTTAATTAAAGACTCAACACAGAGCAAGTAAAAAACCAAAAGATTCTAAACAGCTACTTAATTTTTAGGATAAACTAGAGAATAAATTTTTCATTTTCAAATCTAAAATTTTAAACCATTAAAAATATCAACCTTCAAAACAGTTCCAACCTGTGCAACATGGCAAAACCTTGTCTCTACAAAAATATACAAAAATTAGCCAGGCATGGTGGCACACACCTGTAGTCCCAACTACTCGGGGGCCTGAGGTAGGAGGATCACCTGAGCCCAGGAAGGCTGAGGCTGCAGCGAGCTGTGATCGTGCTACTGCACTCAAGCCTGGGCAACAGATGAAACCCTGACAAAAAAAAAAAAAAAAAAAATCCTCCTTATGGTGGACAGTTTGAACCTATATTGATTATAGGTTGCATACATGATCAAGTCAGCAGTCTACTGAAATATATTTTCCTTTATTTTGCCTTAAAGGTGCCTACCGATGCAAGGCAACACTGGAATCCAACAAGATAAGTAGGACATCCCTACCTATCTAACCACCTACATGGCCATCACCAGTCATTCTCCTAGCCTTGCGAGCACCTCTTAACAGGGGAAGAAGCATTTTTACCCCCAACTACTTCTCTGCGGGTCACAGATATATACAACATATCTGACTGGGACAGTTTACTATTTAAAAAACTCTACATTTGAGGATAAGTTGAGTAGATTTCATTAAATTCATTTTATAAATTTATAAACAGAACTATAAGCTATAAACTTAACCACAAACTATAAGTAATATGCATGTTAATGCTTTACATTTAAACTTGAACCTTAGAAAAACTGTTTTTAGATCAGAATTAGATGGCGATATATTCACTGAATAACTCTGGAAACCACTATTTGGCAATACGTTTAAATCTCACAACACTGCAAGCTAGGTTTTGTTATTCCCACCTTATAAATGGGAAAGTGAGATAGTACAAATTGGAAGGTCACAGCTGGGACTCGAATTCAGGCCTATCTACTATCTACTCCTTGCTCTTATTTCAAGATTAAAACAATAGTTAGTGTGTAACTGGTTCATAGGTATTTAAAGGCGCCAAAAAGACAAACTCCCAACTTGTGAAGTTCTACTCTCTAACACTAACAAAAATAGTCTATACAATTTGAGTAAAATTAGCTACTTACTACCCACCTTATCGAGGAAAGATATGTATCTGCCTCCATAATATCAAAAGAAGCTGCCCGCCTGAAATGTGATCGGTGACTAAATAAACTTGAGAAATCTAACACATTCTGTGTATTTAAATAAAGGGTGATGTTGTGATGAAGAATACAAACAAAAGTATGGCCATCTAAATGACTTTTAGAAACAGAAAATCTAAAGAATGAGAATTGTTCAATATTTATTTAGCATTGTCCTTGGGGCAAGATCCAGCCAGCAAACATGAATGTTTCACTCTGTTTCACAGGAGATAGAGTAAATACTGCAGCTCCCCCTAAGGCAGCATTCCTTTAGCCCAGAGGATATGTTCTTAAAAATAAAATCAGCACTATACATGGTCATCCTCATGATTAGAGCAACACATATCATCACCTAGCCAACCTGTCAATCTCAGTTCTAACAGCTTTCAGTTGATCAGTTTAATCCCACAACAGTCCTTTGAGGTAGGTGTCTATTATAATCCTCATTTGACAAATGAGGAAACTGAGGCAGGGAGCACTTAAATAACTTGCCTAAGATCACACAGCTTGTCAGGAGGCTGAGCCAGGCAGTCTCTTAAACTCTCACAGCCAAGTCCTCACAGCGATGCAGCTACACACACTGGCAATCCTTACAGGTTCTTGAAATCCCTTGAAGCCAAGAATTGCCTCTAGCTATCCACAACTGTGGGTCAGTCCCTTCAGACTGCAGTGATATTTATGAGGCCTCTTATCATATCCAGGGCTTTCTGCCATTTTCTGCTTTTCTTTGTTATTTATTTTCTTGATTGTCCCTTGAACTGCTATAAAGCTCACATTTTAATGCCAGCACCGTAGTCTTCCTTTGTTTCTTGGGGCAAGTTCACACACCTATGGTCAACTATCCTGCACCAAAACTGCTCCTTTGGAACACAAGATATATGTTGGAAAGAGCAGCCACAGAAAGCAACATGATTTGCAGAACCTACTCAACCTGGAGTCGTTTGGCAGCACTCTCAATGGCTGATCTCATCAGGGTTCTCCAATGAGAAACGTTTTCTCTTTGGCCAGAACATTCAGTACCGTGTATTTAGTACAGGGTGCCACAACATCTCTCTGTGGCTGACAACATTCTTTAGCTTTCTGGACGAGAAGGAAAAACATTAACCTTTCGACTTGTCTTAACTATAGGTGATAAGTTAAAAGAGGGCTTTGTTATATTACTTGCTGTACTATTCTCTATGATTCCAATATTTCATAATTTAAACCCTTTTTACAAAGCAATTTCCAACACTTGATTTAGATAGCACATCTGACTTGAAAGAAAACTTGTTTTCAGACTTGCAAGGCTAAGAATTTGAGTGAAGGTCTGTAGGGGCACAACAAAGGGAAGCCACCAGTTGTGACCCATTTAATCAGCCACTAGCCTGACCATTTCTTTACTACATTGGGATGAAACAAAGAAATTATCATTTTAAAAATAAGAAGGCTTTCCACAAGACAAGCAATGCTCTACTTTGTTCTACATGTTTACTTATGGCTTCAATGACAGCATAGATATCATTATCAAATTTACCAATGGTAGAAGCAAAGTTGGAAGGGTCAGTCAGGATGAATCAAGTCTCAGAAAGACCTCAACAGGACCAACACTAACAAGACGAACTTCACCAACTAACAATGAAAATGCTGTACTTAAGTTAAAGAAA
Source organism: Homo sapiens (assembly GCF_000001405.40). Lineage (NCBI taxonomy): Eukaryota > Metazoa > Chordata > Mammalia > Primates > Hominidae > Homo > Homo sapiens. Next base: position 73,728,029 of record NC_000005.10, on the reverse strand, counting down.
ACTCAGCAGCACAACACAGGATGCAAGAGGACCAGATAAATAGCATTGACGTGGAAAGGACCTAGAGATTTCAGACAGCAGTAAGCTCAGGATGGGGCAGCAGTTTGATACAGTCACCCAAAATGAACTCAGACTACCTGAGACTGAAGGACAGTAGGCAGAACAGGGAAGGTGATGACCCCATGGTCCTCTGCATTGGCCATGGCCTGCTGAGGGATTCTGTTCAATTAGAGGCACTGCATTTTAACTGGATGTTGAGGGCCACACTATGAGAAGAAAGGCTTTTGAAATCAGGGATTTATTCTGGCAAAGAGGACACTTAACGAGAGGATATGACAGCTGTTCTCAAAGTCTTAAAGGATGATATCCAAGAAAAAACAGAGTTACTACACAATGTCTCAGGGGGACAGAACCAAGAGCAAGTGGAGAGAATTACCAGAGGCAGATTTTAGGCCACAGTTAAAAATTATTTTATAGCAAGTAGAACTGTCCAAATATGGACTCTCTTCCTTATCCAGGAAAGTGGGTTCTTGTCACCATTAGAAGAGCTTAAGGAGAGTAGATGACCATCTATTCCTGTCATTAGAGGGAATTGCTACACATAAGATTCCATGATAAAAATCATTCAAACTTACAGTGGATATGTATATTCAGAGAATCACAAAAGCACAAAGTGAAAGTGGTCACAAAAGATTATTTCACTCACCCCCTCAGGTCTAAGCAAGGAGACAAACTCCCCAAGAAGATCACTTTTAAAATGTTTCTTTATATGTTTCTAAGAAGAAACTTGCCCATCTTCTTAGTATTCCCACAGTTCTGGCTTTTCAGAAAGTTCTTCCTGATGCCTAATCTGAATTTCACCGGCTCCAATTATACCAATTCACATGGATACCAAAATGGACTTTGTAATGATCATGACAGGAAGAAAACTGACATGAGGACAGGTAATGAAGAAAAATATTTGCAGAGGAAAAATATTAAGCAAAGAATTTTAAAAGCTTCCAATCTCTAAATGCCAATGTCATTCAGAACAGTTATAAAAACCATTAGAAATCTGGTTTACATACTTTCTTTTCTGAGTACAAACACTGACCTCCTTGTATAAAAGCTCTGCTTTTATTTTCAGACCCAGCTTTCTATCTCTGCAGAAAGAACAAGACAAAAACTTAATGTGTTTAGATTACGACCACTCAACACTGAAGGGAAACTACAGTTGGGCAGCGGGAAAAAAAGATAGTTTTAAAAGGCTGGTGACAACATTAAGTGCTTAAACATGCCTCGTTCACATAAAAGGTACCAAAGTACAAATTAAATAAAACATGTTCTCTCATTTCCACTAACTGTCTGGGATATGTTGCCAAAATACAAAGTCACCCTGAAACGCTATTCAGCATAGAATTCTGGATGGCCTTATTCCTAGCAACTTACACTGTGCTTAGTAAGTTCATCGTATACTGTATTGATACACTTTTGCACCGAACTAATTTACCTATTTGTGGGCCAATCAATTTTCTGTTAAAACTCCCTATATCTTAGTTAGCTGGATAGCATATTTTAGATTCTCTTTAAATGCTTCCCTAGCAAAAATAAAACCAAAGCTAAGCTCTAAATCAACTCTTTGAAAATAAATTATTTTTTTGTAACTGCTACAGCTTGGTTTTAGATAAAACATGTCAGTAAACAAGACAGCAAACTGGTATCTATGTAACTTGAATTTTGTTTGCAGTTTGGCTAGTCATACCTGGCAGACAGGGAGTGCAGTGCCCAGAAGTTCCAAAGGACTTCCTTGTCATTTTGAAGACTGAACCCTACTCTGTTCTGGGCTGGCAGTGAGCTTTTCACTGAGGGGTATTTGTGCACACACAGGCACACATATGCACACACACTTTCTCCCCTGGTTTAAACTTTTAGGGATATGGTCTTTGCAACCAAACTCAGGCTAATAGGAAAATTTAGATTAAAACCACTCAACACAGGGGGAAACTGCACAAGTTACATACTGCCCAAGTCAGTCACCTTGACTGCTAGTTTAACAATTGACCCTGACAGGAATTTTATTGTTAATGCTCTCTTAATTCAGAAATGTATGTCTTGCAGTTGAGCCCTGAAAGAATAAAGGGTTGATACTTAGGTAAAGAAAAAGTTTCCAGACATCCAAAATAGTAGCCAAATCTTTAAACTCTTCTCAGACCCTTTTTCTACTCTTCCTCATTGTCCAGTCAAATGTCATGAGCCTATTCTTCAGAAAATCAGGAAGATAGACCTGGCTTTACAAATCAGGCATGTGAATGAATTACACCACACCCCAAGCATATCCCTAGCTTTCCCAAATACCAACGAAAACAGCCAACTTACTGATTCTCTCAAAACAGAGACCTCACTTGAACCACTAATGCAGCATTAAAAAGAAAATAAAAAAGATTTTTAGTGATTAGCTGGTTATTTAACATGATAGTCCCTAACCTTAATTTCACTTAAGAAGATTAGTATAAATTATTTTATGAAAGTAAAGGACAATAATGTTCTTACAGTCACCATTTAAATAACAGTTAAGAGGTATTGAGTTTATCCAAGGGAAAAAATAACGTCCAGTGGACCAACATTCTATTCATACCTATAAGCCTCAAACCTAAAGGGCGTATCTATACAAGGCAATTGGCCATATTAGTTTTAACTGTTCCTAAATGAATTCATATAATAGAGGACTACGCAAATATGAGAAGGTGTGTTCAAACAACCACAAAGATTCTAAGTTCCTCTGTACAAAAATATCTCCTCTATCAGTCTGCCATGGTTTATGATACTCCTATCATTAAATGTACTTCTTAGGTATTATCAGAAGTTATTTAATATTTAATGACACAGAAAATATTTGTGAAACAAAAAATAGGACACCAAACAATTGGTAAATAGATTATGCACATACCCAGATGACAATGAAATACATATGGAATTAAGGGTTTTTTTTAACCTTTTTGGTACTTTTCTATATTTTTTAAGTTTTCTACAACAAACATACATCACTTTTATAATTAGAAGAAAAATAAAATCTGAAATACATTTAACAATCTCCCTTTGATAAATATAAACTTACCATACGACCTAGAAATTCTACTCCCAGGTATTTATTTAGGTGTTGTATAAACTTATATTCACATGAAATCTGTGTATGGATGGTTATGGCAGCTCTATTTGTAATCACCAAAAACTGGAATCATCTCAGATATCCTTCAGTGAATAAGCTGTGTTACCTCCACACAATGTAATACTACTAAGAAATACAAAGGAACAAAGTTTTAAAACATGAAACGAATGGATGAATCTCAAATGACTTAAGCTGAATGGTAAAAGCCAGACTTGAATGGCTACATAACATAGGATTCCAATTATATGACATCTTGGAAATGTTATCTTTTACAGCTATAGGGAAAAGAACAGCAGTTGACAGGGATTGAGGTTAGAGGAAGCACTGGCTACAACAAAGGGGCAGCACAGGGAATTTTGGGGTGATGTTAATGTTCCATATTTGGTTGCAGTACTCTGTGTATTTGTCAACAGTCAGAACTGTACACTAAAAAGGGGGGGATTTTACTATATGCACGTTCACACTGCATATAGTATCTGCCTTTTTCAAAAGAATCATGCATTTAGAACTGAAATTCTATTCATGTCCAGATTATATTTAGATTCTGGGCAATTCTTTCTCAAAAATGTATCTATATTTCCTAAGGGAAAAAAGAGGTTGATTTTTAAGATTATGTAATTATTACCTAGTAGGCACAGAATTCTTAATTTTTAATAGAGAATTTTAAACAGAGATTTGAGAATTTTGCTTGAACACCCATGACAAATCAGACACTGTGCTAGCTGTTTCATCAACCTTTGGTCTAATTCCCACAACATTTTAATAGAGGAATGAGAATTTTTAACAGAGGTGCATGGATGAAATAAGGTTCAGGATGCTCAGGCCTGCCTGGGATGCCCCCGCAGACCCTGGCACAGGTACCTCTGTGGACCACTGGACAACCACCCAGGGATTCCAAGGAGCTTGAGAGAAAAGGGAACAGAGACAGAGGCCTGATACTTTTGGGAACTGCCCCCAAATGCAAACCCCAGAATCTACTCCAGAGAGTGGATTTAGGTGTAGTTGAATACTTCTAGTTTTCTTCATGCTCATGCTAGAACCATTCCTAGACCAATTAATGCATGGATAAATAGTCACAAGGCCAATTCATTTTGCTCAATTTAGGGCTTAGAATGCCCTCCACGCCTTTGTGATATTAGAAAAATATGTCTGAGAGGTGACAGAGGAGATTTTGAATGGCTTATCCTCTTAAATGGATTTGAGAACAAGAAACTTCCTCTTGAGCTTAATGGGGGAACTGGTTTTTTTGTTTTGTTCTTTTCTTCCCCCTTCATTTAGAAAAGCATACAAATAAACCTTAACTGATCTTTGTTGAAAATTAAAACAACATAATTAGACCAAAGATGTGAAACTGATTTTCATAAAGCAAGAAATTGTTTTTCTTAAAAAACATTCTTGGGGCTGGGTGTGGTGGCTCACGCCTGTAATCCCAACACTTTGGGAGGCCAAGGAGGGTAGATCATGAGGTCAAGAGATTGAGACCAACCTGGCCAACATGGTGAAACCCCGTCTCTACTAAAAATACAAAAATTAGCTGGGCGTGGTGGCACGCAGCTGTAGTCCCAGTACTCAGGAGGCTGAGGCAGGAGCATTGCTTGAACCCGGGAGGCAGAGGTTGCAGCGAGCCAAGATTGTGCCACTGCACTCCAGCCTGGCGACAGAGCAAGACTCCATCACAAAGGAAAAAAAAAAATTCTTTTCCTTCAAATGGAAAACAGTGATACCCATTTTCTATGGAGAAGATAAGAGAGGAGACTAACCTAGAACAGGGACAGGAATAATTACTGAACCACAATTACATTAATCTCTTTCAGAGACACTTTGAAAATAATGTAAAACTTTATTAAATTAGAATATGGACTAAAATATATCTTCATACTACATAAGAAAGGATGGCTAGCAAGCTAATGTTCTTGAAAGGGAATGCTTTGGCTAATTAAGATATTAAATTATTTTAAGGCCTCAAGATGACGGTCTAAATTAAAACATAAAAAACTACAGTACTATACTAATCTGTTCATTAAAACAGATCACAAAAAATGGCTACTTTAAAACATGGTTAGCCTTATTTGTTAATATATATGGATAGAGAGAGATATGTATGCATTTGCCTTTTTCATCTTCATTGCCTCTGAAATTCTGAATGAATAAGGATTTATCATAAAATAGATATCTATCTGCCTGTTTCTCATCAGGGATTTTCTGGAGATTAAACTCTCATAGGAGTCGTACTTTGAAGTTTAAATCAGGAACCAAATGTTCAACAATAAATAGGAGTAAGAATATCCACACCCATTATTTTCATGTCCCATTCAAAGAAAAGTGGGTCTTCCTAAAAGATAAACAAAGCGTTTTATGTTTTGAAACACATGGTGAGATGAGAGACAAATGGTAATGTGAAAACTTGCCTGGGCTGCAGGCCATTTCATTCACATTCCATTCATCCATAGCACAAACATTTATTGAGTCCTTACACTCTGGTAGTCCCAGGACATCTGGTAAATAGCTGTGCAGCTTTGGACACAGCATTTATAATTTCTCTGAGTTTTAGAGAGAGGAAATCATACTTAGCACACTGGGTAAGTAATGGGAATTAAATAAAAGGTTGATGAAACAGCTAGCACAGTGTCTGCTATGTCATGGATGTTCAAGAATATTAATTATCTTTCCCTCCCTTCCTTCGGAAAAGCTATTGTTACATATTCACGACGAATCTTTTTGCTTAGCCTATTAAATAGTTTAGCATAGCAGCAAGCTTTTCTATCTCTAAGTCACATGTGTCAGATATATCTGTGTGCTACTGCTTAATTATTTTTCAATTACCACTGAATAGCAGCAAAAGATCATAATTGACAGGCTCCCAGATATACTCATTAGATATTGTGTGCCTAAACCTGCAAAGAAATTTCTAGATTAGGGTGGGGCCAACACTGAGCTCATGACAAAACTGCTGCTGAGCCCTTTATACCAAGAGCATCTCTAACAAAGGGAATACCGACAGATGGTAACAAGATTCCTAAATAGTTCCCATGCAAAGGGCACTGGCCTGACAACTATTAGTTATGTGATCAAAAATCAAGGATACCATTAATTTTACAAATAAATAAAACCTCTAGGGCAATTCTCAATCAAAAACAGCTAGTTTAGGGCTGGGCATGGTGGCTCATACCTGTAATTCCAGCTACTTGGGAGGCCAAGGTGGGAGGATCCCTTGAGCCCAGGAGGTCCAGGCTGCAGTGAGCTATGATCACACCACTGCACTCCAGCCTGGGGGACAGAGTGAGACCCTGATTCTGAAAAAAAAAATTCAGCTAGCCTAATAAGCCAATTTCAGGTTCATTTAAAACAGAGGCTTCAACAGTGATCACAGCAGAGGCAGCTTCTGGGGGGAAAATATACCTGAAGTCACTGACCAGTAGCCCAAACCCAGGCACTATAGAGGTTTCAGATTTTTCCCTATTTGCACATTCAACAGGATCTAAGTAGGTAATGCTTTTACTTTACTTCTCAAGGGTTTCACTAGAGGGTTCATGTAGGCAGTGACTCAAGAAGATGGTAAAAGCGAGAAGGTTGAAGAAAGAAGCTAATAGGTGTCCCCAAAGCCCTGAAGTAGAAATTCATACTACAGAGTCCCCACAGACACCATGGCAGGACAATGCAACCCAGCCTATTCCCAGGCCCCCATCCTTCCTCATACATGGTGGAGAGCAGCCTCTGTGGCTTCCCCTGCTCTTCCAGGCCAAAGGGAGAAGAAAAAGAGAGAGAGAAGGAAAGAGATGTCCAGATTCAAGAATTTCCTGTTCTTCAGATTCTCAAAACAAAGACTTTAGTTAGAATTAAAATAACAAAATTCTCTAACCTCTATTTTAAAACTAATGATGAATGGAATGAGCTTGAACTTCTTTTGCTATGAAGAAATTTGAGAAGCAATATGTTATATAAGCCGTTATTTTGAACAGGCATGGATCTTTCAGATTCTCCCAAAGGTTCTTCAGATCCTAATGTGGTCAGCAAAATCACTAAGTATATGTTTCTTTGATTTTTCTCAGAGCTGGCACTTTAGGTTGTTGTGGGGTTGTTTGGATGTCAACTTTGAGACATACATGTTTATGTGCCATTTGTAAGGAGCAATCGGTCAGCAGGAAGAACAATAAACAAGGCTAGAAGACCTGGATGCACAGCTCTGGTCCATCCAGCCCATGACTCTCCTTCACGCCTTTCTTCAAGGCTCAGAGGAGGACATTTCTCTTTTCAAACACCATCTGTGAGCCTCCTTCCAACTTGTCGAATTTTACCATCCCACCCGTCATTCCCCTTCCTCCTCTTGCATTTTCCCTATTTCCCTTCTAACCCGCCACACTCTGGCTGACATCTCACCTCTGAAATCCCTGGATCAAAGCCTCCACTGAGGTCTTAGAGGCTGAGTCCAATCTCTCCTGACCTCTCTCTGCCTGCTATTTTTGATGACTACTCCTTTGTCAAAATTCTACACTTCCCTCCCGTCAAACTACCATTTTCCCTTCCTTTTTCTTCTTTTTCAACTGTCCCTTAGTTTTCCAAGGTTCTGTCATTCATTCATTTAAAGAGAAAGACCATACTTCCTCCAGGGACCACCTGTCATGTCTATTCATGGGGTAATTTGACCCTTCTCATCTGTAAAATACAATGATTATTCATCTCTACAATCTAAAATGGCACAACTGGAAATACATGTCTATGTTGTTTTAAATATTTATAACTAATACTCCTTAGGAAAATTGCCATACTCAAAGCACCTTAATATACATTAACTCATTTGTATTTTATAGGAACTCATTTTTTATTTTTACTATTCGCCTCTGCGGCAACAAGCAGAATTAATATTGGAATCTGTGCCTGCTCATTCTTCAGCCTATAGTTTTTCTTCATTGCATGGTATTCAGCAGCTTTCCTTTAATGACACCTGGCAACTAGTCATATCCAGTAATTAGTTAGAGATAAAATCCCCAGTGTAAGAATGTAAACTGCCTTGCCTCGATTACACTAGTAATCCATTATAGTGGCACAACCGAGGGCTTGCCTCCAGGAACAGACACCTGCTGTGGAATGGCAAGCATTCACCTTGCGCATATTTACATACTACAGTGCTATGCACATATTTTCAAACTTGTACAGAAGTGATTATTTATGAATCACTGACATCTACTATAACACATTTGAAAAATCATGATGTGCATCTTTTTTTCTTTCTCATTTTGTGTATGGGAGCTTTCTTTTGTCAGCCTGAAACATCCACCTGCCTTGGGGCTCTTGGGGCTGGAAGTGAGGAGAGGAAACATTTTAGCACTGTTGCTGCAGAAAGGAAAAGAGAAATGTCAGTTTCTGAAATCCCAAGTATGATTTTTACAACAAGACAATGGGCTGGAAATGCAGGCCTTATGAAGAACAGAGTTTGAAAAATTCAAATCATGGTGTCTTTTTTTTTTTTTTTTTCTGAGACGGAGTCTCCCTCTGTCGCCTAGGCTGAAGTGCAGCGGCGTGATCTCGGCTCACTGCAAGCTCCGCCTCCCGGGTTCACGCCATTCTCCTGCCTCAGCCTCCCAAGTAGCTGAGACTACAGGTGCCTGCCACCATGCCCAGCTAATTTTTTGTCTTTTTAGCAGAGATGGGGTTGATCATGGTCGCTTTTGTGGAAGACAAAGCTTCTTATTAATGCTAGGGATGAAGATGGCTGCCTTAGGATAGGAGAAGAAAAGAGGGGGAAAGCCCAACATTGACTGGCTTCTGGAACCAGGGAATTACAAGGAGAGGCAGGAGGCAAAACAGCTGAGTCTTGATCTCCTTTTCTGGGTTTTGGCCCCAGAGAAGGAAATGGTTGTCAGATAAATTATGACACACTTCTGAGTGAGTGGCAGCTGACTCTCTGTGATTTGGGGAGGCTGTTCTTGCGTCAGCCCAGGAGATGAACAGAGCACAGTAAACACAGCAATGCCGAGAGGCTGGGTGAGGGAAGGATAGTGTTTAGCTTTCCCTAGCCAGCTTCAGTTCTAGTGCGGTGTGGATGGGACCAGAAGTCCCTGTGCACCCCTAGGGAGGATGAAGATAGTAGTGAGTTGAGTGGCAACAGGCTCAGCCTGGTGAGAAGAAAGATGTCCCTCAGGAGTAGAGTGATTACACGAGTGACATCCTAGGCCATGGGCTGTATGGAGAATGTGACAGAGATTTGGAGGGGTCCAAACAGCATCAGCAAGAACTAAGAGGAAGTGGGGTCAAGGTCAGCTCAGGAACACATCTGGGCCCAGACATGGCTGAAAGAGACCAACGTACCGTCTATGCCTGCAGACACAGATGCAAGCAGACACTCAAAGATGAATGAGTCACTGAGGACTGCATGAAGCCAAGGAATCCCTCACCTCCAACACTCCCCTGTCCCCATACATTTGGAAACCATCCTGGAAAGGTGCAGAGTAAGAAGTCAAATAGTTAGGAGGCTGAGTATTTTATCTAAGTAAATGAGCATGCAAGACCTAAACAAATTATTTAGATCATTGCATCAGACAACATCCCTAGAGCAGAGTCATTTTGTCATCTTCTGCTACCCAGCAGACAGGGGATCAGGAGGATCAAATGGCTCTCAGAAAGACCTGAAGAAACTACATTCTTCTTCATACCTGAGTATAACTTTGGGAGGTCTATAATCCTGCTAACTAGTATACATACCAAAAACAAATTTTGGCCCAGTGTGGTGGCTCATGCCTGTAATCTCAGCACTTTGGGAGGCCAAGGTGGGTGGATCCCTTGAGGTCAGGAATTCGAGACCAGCCAACATAGTGAAACCCCATCTCTACTAAAAATCAGAATTAGCTGGGCATGGTGGTGCGTGCCTATAATCCCAGCTACTTGGGAGGCTGAGGCAGGAGAATCACTTGAACTCAGGAGGCAGAGATTGCAGTGAGCTAAGATGATCGCGCCAGCACACTCCAGCCTGGTGACAGAGTGAAACTCTGTCACACACACACACAAAAAAAGACAAATTCCATATTGATAAATACTATTTTCAGTGTAATAGCATCATTTCCATGTCCAACAGCAACAGTTCATTATTGCTCTGATTGATACAATAATAAACTTACACATGACACTCTTTCAAAGGCTTATACACTATCATCATGATTTACCTTTCTTCTACCTTATCTATGAGCTCTCTTCTTGTTGTATTTCCAGCACCTAGTGCAATACCTGACATGCAGTTGGCACTTTTAACTTTTTACTGAATAAATGAAAGTAGTAACAAATGATGAACTTTCAGTAACAAATAAAAACACAACCACTTTCTACATTATTATTATTGGTGGTGTGGCTATACTGCCTGAAACTTAAGTTATTGTAATCATTACAGTTTTCGCAAATATTATATTCATATTATATAAAGGGATTTCCCAGAAAGGACTAGATGGTGGCAGCTACAGGGAAGAGAATAGGGAGATTGGCTACAATGTGAAGAAGACAAGGTTAAAGACGAGAGAAATAAAGGAGGGTAACCATCCAACTGACATGAACAATTTAATAAGCAGATTCCCAGGAAGACAGTCAGGAGATAAGGAACGGAGAGGAGGAAGAGGGGGCAAATAGGCCTCAGGCTTGAGTCTACAATGGGAACAAAGCCAGCATACTAAATAATTTGTTTTGTTAGAGTAGCAACAGGCCTGCATTTACAAAGTTGACCATAGCTACAAACTATCACTGTGGAATTATGGAGTCGCATTCTGTTAATTAACCTGAGCTACCTAAGGATTTGTTTGGGTGGATTTTTCAGGATTCTAAAAAATTCATTCTGGATCCTCTGTCTCAAGAAATTGTCTAAGGTCAGCAATTACAATGATTCAAATAAAGAATACATTTCAAGGATATTAAAAAGTCACATCTAAAAGCAGCAGTATCCTTTTTATACTGGGAAACCAGTAGAAATTCCAAGCACAGGAGGCATAGAGCATCTCTTAGTAACAAGACTTACATGCTAAACATGAACTTTATAATAGTCACAAATCCTTAGAATCCAGAGTTTCTTTTCCTAGTATTTAGTTTAACTAAATATTTTTAAATAAAATTTGTTTAGCTGAAACAGACATTTTCTCCAAGCCATCAAATAATCCTTCAAATTGCCTTCATCATTGAGCACTGATATTACTACGGACAATGCTGAAAAACAAGCATTCTGAAAAAGTCTAAAGAAGGTAACTAAGAGTCTGCGGTAGCTGGGGCTGGCTAGGTGTGACATAAGTGGTGTATCCACAACAAAGCAAACTGAAACACACAGTGGCCTGAGCTCAGGTGCTCAGACTCTCCCCACAATGAGGACGCTCCTAGGGCCACAGAGTCATCCTGCAAACACTAGTTGGATGGGACACTACTGCCCTAAATAGGACACTGGCTGCACTAGCAATAAGCATTATCTTCCTCTGAATTGACTCAAGTCAAAACAAACATAAGCAAAATCCAGGCCACAACAGGCTATGTAACAGGTGAAGAAACCTACTGTTAATAGAAACAAATATCCTGAATAAAAAGAATAGAATGTCTCCAAACAGGCCCTCAACATTCCAAACCCTTCATGCTGGCATGGACACTGCACAGAATTTTGATCTGATTCTCAAGATTTGCTATCAAAACACAAAAAACAATAATTCTCAGCTAACAGAATCATGACTGGTTAGGTGACAACATTAATTTAGGAAATAAAGGTGCCGGTGCATTACAGCTTGTCATAAAAAAAAAATTAGTCTTCCCTGGATAGTTTTTAACTTCTTAAGGACAAGTAAATTAAATTTACATTGGTCTTCATTCCAAAACAAACCTATAGTTTTAATCAGAAGAGATTATCCTCCCTTCCTTTTGTAACAAATTAAACTGATAACGCCTCATCTTTGAGCAACTGCTGAACTGAACGACAGTAGCTGATACCCGTGTAAGTGCGTGAAGATGGAACTCCGATTAGCACATGTCACCTCTCAGTTGTAGGCAAGCCTTCTTTGCAAAGCCAGATGCAAAGAAATGACATGGAAATAATTTTATTTGAAAATTCAAGGCACAACTCCTCAGAGATGACTGTTAGGAGTTCCATGAATGGTTAAATATGCAAGTGAACAGCGTATCACGATAGTAGCACTTTGTTCTGCAGGTACCTGGCATCTTCTATCCAACACATAATTATACTTTGGATGTGCTATGAGCTATAGGTAAAATCTATTTTGGCAGTAAATTATGGCTCTAAAATAACATCAAAATAGCAATAATTAAATAACATTAATAAAAGAAACTTTAAGGTATTGTAGACATTTGCCTTTTGGGTTGTTTTGTTTTTCTTTTTTTCTCTGAACAGCATCCAAACTTCCTTTCTATTTTTAGAGAATCACCCATTGTGTGAGTTTCAGTGGCAGAAGAGACCCTACCTTATAATACGGAAGTGGACATTTCCTCTCTTGGTCCTTAGCAGTCATATGACCTAGGCTCAACTCTTGTGTCTCCTGCTAGGCTTTGAATTTGCAGTGAGTGACAAAAAGGCCCAGGGTCCTTAGAGCTTATTCATGGTAGTGGCAGGGGCAACCACAATTGAGTCAGCAGCACAATTCAGCAGCAGCAACAGCACCAGAGCCAGACTCCACCTTGGACAGGACAAGGCTTTGACTGTGGGTCCGGTGACTTTCTGTTGTTCCTATCTCTTTTCTGAGCTTGGTTTCCAGCCACCTCGCAATTACTTTATTTTTTGCCTAAATCAGAGTTCTGTTGCTTGCAATTAAGAGCTCTGATTCATACAAGGGGAGAAATGTTTTCACAAGGGTGGTAAGAAATGAATAAACCTCATGAATTAGCATTCACTTTGTATTAAGGAGTGATAATATATTTGTTGATAAAGATATCATCAAAGATCTCACCTTTTTTTTCCTAAGTTAAACATTTTCGTGTCTTGCTGAAGTTTTACTTTCTCAACACTCACACGCTAGGGAGAAAACCATTCTATTCACACCTTTTACTGCAAGAAACTAATCTCTTATGATACAAGTCTAAATGGTGTTTATCTTTGGAGAGGGTAATGACCAGAAGTGGGCACAAGGGACCGTTGGGGTGCTAGAAATGTATGTCTTGCTCTGGGTGATGGTGACACAGGTGTACATATTTGTAAAAATTTATCATGTATACTCTTAAGATTTGTGCATATGACTGCATAGAAGTTTATCTAAATAAATAAATATGCATATATACACACAGAGTCATACACCCAGAGATATAGGGACATATGGCCCAAAAATTGTGTTGATGTAGATACCATAGTATTGGTGGTAAAGCAAACACAGGATGTCCTCAGAATAATCTTCACTTGTGCTTGCTCTCTCCTTTGACCTTGGACTTTCCTGGGCATTCTCTTCTGAGGATAGAAGAATTATCACTGGACACATTTCAACACCCGGTGATATTCTTTAGTGCCTCCCGGGGATGGACCACGTGATCAGTTCCAGTTTTATTTTTCTTCACACCTTCAACCTTTTATTCAAAAACTCGAAAAAGTTCCAACAGAAAGAGCTCAGTCTTGCATTCCCCACCTCACTACATCTTAATACTCAAAGCTAGAAACTGATTTCTTTGTTCTTTATATCCTGCCCTCATACTTCCTATCAGTTTCAAGTGACCTTGATCTTCTCCTTATCTGGTCCCAAAGATGATAATAACGATAATTAACTATTTGTCAGTCACTGATGCAGGCACTTTACATGGCCAAGTGCTACACATTATCCTCACTCTACGCTGGAGAAAACCAAGACACAGGGCGGTTAAAGTCCCCAGTTTAAGTGCTAATACAAGAGATGTAGCTTGACCTGTACCACCCAGCTCATTCCTCTTATTTAGGTCTAAAATCCAAGATATGTTTAGCCTCTTTCTTTCCTTCATTTTCCCTGATGATAAATTAATGATTTCTGTTTAAAGACATCTATTTGCAATTTTTAATTTTGCAAATATTTCCTCTCTTTCTCTCTCTCTCTGAAAAACATCAATAATGCCAAAATAAGAGAAAAGGATACTTCAACCCAGAAGCTGTATATATTGTTAGTCCATGTCTTCCTTTAAGATGTGCATAAAAAATATTTAATTTGCCATGCAAAATTCTATAGTCATTCCTAAGTTTAAAAAGTCTACTTCATAAATAACATGTATTCAGAATAGCCTACCCTTTAGTGACCTTTCTCGCTTACCCTCCCCCCACCAAAAAAACATGTTTCTGTGTTTCCAGACTTCTGAGTGGTGATAATATTCACAAACATGTCAAGATTACATCTTAAATAGTTCTGCTAGAACTTCTATCTGTTCAGAATTGAAGTAAACAGGACTGAAAAGATGCTATGGCCCATCTTCCTCTTAACTCTCTCACTCTCCCCATCAAGTACATCTCTCACCCGTTCCAACAGGTAAAGGTAAGTTGTGACTGCAAGAAAATGACATCATCTTGGATTTAATACTTAGCCCTGAATTCTCAATACCAGCTAATAGACAGAAAAGAGATAAAGATAGAGAAACATAATAAAAACAAATAAGAATGTTGAAAAACAAGTATGAAGAAAGCAAAATAGAGAGAAGACCTAGGAGAATGGTTGCATGCATTTGAGGATATATGTCATTGGAGTTCACTTGGGAAATACGTTCCACCAGGCTGACCACTGACAAACAGATTTTCTACACTGACTTAAACCCTTTGTGGGGAACTTAAAATTTTTTCACAATTAGAATATTGACTGCCTCAAATACTTCATTTTCATATAAATTTGGTCTTCATACAGTAATTTTATTTCATTTCCTTAGGGTGGGTGAATTTACCCCATCTGCAAGAGAAAGGGAAAGAAAATATAATTACATTTGGGGAAACCACAATAAATGGTGAATAAAGAAACCCCCTCAACTAATGCTCATTGTATTTATATTTAAATATTTACATTTAATAGATTGATAAACAAAGTAATGATCTCCAATCCCAGAACAAAGTTATATTATCATACAACTTACTTATTTCCTTCCATTTTTCCTCCAAACAAGATTAAAAGAAGGGCAACTCATGAACTAGGTTATGAGCCTGGAATGCAAGTAGTGGGAATATGATTCTGTTCTATTAGTTTAATGAGGACTTTTCTATTGTTCTGTGTATAATAGAAGCATGCTGATAATTTCGAGGGAAAAGTTCACTGAACTTTGTGCCAGTTCCAAATACTTATTTTTCATTTCTCCTCACTAGCTAACATGCATGCAAAATTCTATGCAAATTGGGTCTCAGTTTTCTGGAATTTTTAAACACTACCCTTTGCAGAAGGCTGGCACAGCTTTAGCGACAAGATATATGCCTGCACTGGTGCTAGCACTGTAGGTACCAAGCCACTTATGGAGGAGAAGAAAGCATGCACTCTACCAAGAGGCAGAGAAAGATGAACAGAGATCAAGAGTTCTACAATTTCACCTCAGTCAAAAAAGGTAGACTATGTATAGTATCACAGTATTATTTACCATTTTATTCCCTCACAATTCACAAGGACAAAGGGTTCCTAGTCTACTTATATGGAATTCATTTCTTCAAATAAAATAGAATTATATTAATACCAAAACCTGACAAAGATTTTACAAGAGAACTACAGATCAGTAGTCCTCATGAACATAAATATAAAACTTATCAATAAAATATTAGCAAATTAAATCCAGCAATACATTAAAAAGATAATACATCACAACCAGTGGGGTTCATCCCAGAAATGTCTCGTTCAATATTCAAATATTAATCAATGTAATTCACCATCTTAGCAGACTAAAGAAGAAAAACCATGCCATCTAATAGATGCAGGAAAAGCATTACAAAATTCAACATTTGTTCATAATTTAAAAGTAAAACTCTCAGTAAACTAGAAGGAAAATTTCTTAACCTAATAAACAGAAAAAAAAACCCAAACCTAGAACTAATACTTAACAGTGAGAGACTAAATGCTTTCCCACCAAGATCAAAAGCAAGAAAAGTATGTCCTTTCTCACTAACTTCTATTCAATATGGAAAAAAATGGCACAAAGATAGGAATAAAAGAAATAAAACTGTATTTGTAGATGACATGATTATCATCTACAAAAAAAATACAGAGATTATCATCTCTGTAAAAAAAATCTCAAAGCACCAATAAAAAAGCTCTTACAACTAATAAGTGAGGTTGGCAAAATTACAGAATACAAAAGTTAACCGTATTCCCATATACTAGCAATGAACAACTGGAATTTGAAATTTTAGAAACAAACATCATGATAGCACCAAAAATTAAAATGTTTATGTATAAATCTAACAAAATATGTGTAAGATCTGTATGCTAAAAACAATAAAACCCTGATGAAAGAAATAAAATAAGACCTAAATTAATGGAGAACATACAATGTTCATAGACCACAAGCCTCAATATTTTTAAGATTTTAGTTTTTCCCAATTTGATCTATAGATATAACACAATTGTAATCAAAATCTCAGGAAGCTTTATTCATATATATAGTTAACTTGATTATAAAATTTATGTGAAAAGGAAAATAGGAATAGTCCAAATAATTCTGAAAAAGAAGAAAGTTGGAGGACCAACGCTGCTCAATTTCAAGACAATAAAGCTATAAGAATTAATACAGTATAATACCAGTGAAATGGCATATAATCTGGAACAACAAAACACGGTACATAGCCTATAAATGTACATATATTAATAAAATACGTTAAAATAATAAAATCAGTTGCCTTAGTCAACTGATTTTTGACAAAGTGACAAAGGCAGTTCAATGGAGAAAGGACAATATTTTCACCAAATTGTGCTGGAACAATTGAACTACTTATTTAAAATTTGTTAAGGCCGACAGCGGTGGCTCGTGGCTATAATCCCAGCACTTTGGGAGGCTGAGGCGGGCAAATTACTTGAGGTTAGGAGTTTGAGACAAGCCTGGCCAACATGATAAAACCCTGTCTCTACTAAAACTACAAAAAGTAGCCAGGCATGGGTGGTACACACCTGTAGTCCTAGCTACTTGGGAAGCTGAGGTGGTAGAATCACTTGAACCCGCGAGGCAGAGGCTTCAGTGAGCCAAGATCATGCCACTGCCCTCCAGCCTAGGCAACAGAGAAAGACTCTGTCTTAAAAAAAATTAATTCAGAGGTATCACAGATCTAAATGTAAAATGTAAGACCACATGATTTCTAAAAGAAAACATTTTTTTAAAACTCTGCATGACCTTGAGTTTAGCAAAGCATTTTTAAATACACCAAAAGTATGACCTACAAAAAGAAAAATTGATAGACTGCACTGAGTTTATCAAAATTTAAAACTTTTGCTCTGTGAAAACCATGATTAAAATACTGAAAATATAAGCCAGAGACTAGGAGAAAATATTTTAAATCACATATCTGAAAAGGAAGCTGTATCCAGGACCCTTACATCTCAACAAGAAAACAATCCAATAAAAAAGGAGAGGGAGTAAAATATCTGAGCAGACACTTCACCAAAGAAAAGCTATAAATAGCAAGTAAGCATATGAAAAGATACTCAGCATTACTGTTCACTAGGGAAGTGCAAATTAAAACCACAATAAGATACTACTACATACCTTTTAGAAGGGCTAAAATAAAACAACTGATAATACAACATGCTGGTGAATATGTGGGACAACTGGAGGAACACTCATGTTTCTGGTGGAAATACAAAACAGCTACTTTGGAAAACAGATTTGCAGTTTTTTATAAAATTAAACATAGCTTATAAGACCCAGGAATACTACTCTTAGTAATTTATCCAAGTGAATTGAAACCTATGTTCACACAAAAACCTATTCACAAATAACTGGAGCTGCATTATTCATAAGCATGAAAAACCAGGCCTTCGACACATGAGTGGTTAAACAAACTGTGGTACATCTATGCCATGGAATACTACTCAGCAATATAAAGGAACAAACTATTGTTTCACACAAAAGCAGGAACAAATCGGAAATGCATTTTGCTAAGTATAAGAAGCCATATACAAAAGGCTATGCATTGTTGGAGGCCGAAAGAATGCGGGTCATGACCAACTCAGTATACCACTGGAGGCTCTATGAGCAAACAGCTCATGAATGCAGGTTGTTGGCAAACTGACAAACTGCATCTGCTGCCCAGAAGGAATGCTGAGGGCAGTCATACCCCAGGTGCAGTGTTTCTTGTGATTATCTACAAGGCACATCTGAAGCCTGTTAGCAATCATGTGAACCTGTGATAAATCAAGCAGCTGACCAACCGTTACCTCCTCCTCCCTGCTCTTTCTACCCAATAAATATGAAGGGCTTTAGAAGCTCAGGGCCCTTGCTCAATAGGAACAAGCTTTGTCTTCATTTCTGCATTCATCCCCCTTTGTTCAGTGCCATAGTAACCATCACAATGTATTATAGGATTCTATTTATATTACATTCTAGAAAAGGCAAAACTATAGGAAGGAAAAACAGATTAATGGTTGCCAGGGATTAGAGGTGGGAGCAGGGTTTGACTGTAAGAGAGCAGCATGAGAAAATTTGATAGGTGATGGAAGTGTTTTATATGGTTCTGTGGAGATGGATACAACACTGTACATTTGCCACACTCCACAGAAATCTACAACACAACAAGTAAATTTTGCTGTATGTAACATTTTAAAAATCAACCAGGATTACAGGAGAATCCAGAGTGGAACATAGACTGTAGCAATGAATCTAACTGTATTACAAACGTATGACAGAAGCATACCAAAGAGGATTGTAAAGAAAGGAGCTGACCTATACAGCCTTGTTTTAGGTCAACAAGCCAAAAACAAATAACCCCATTCAAAAGTGGGCAAAAGACATGAACAGACACTTCTCAAAAGAAGACAGACAAGTGGCCAAAAGGCATGAAAAAAAGCTCAACATCACTAATCGTTAGAGAGATGAGATATTATCTCACACCAGTCAGAATGGCTACTATTAAAAAGTCAAAAAATAATAGATGCTGGTAAGACTGCAGAGAAAAGGGAATGCTTATACACTGTGGGTAGGAATATAAATTAGTTCAACCACTGTGGAAAGCAGTTGGGAAATTTCCCAAAGAAATTGAAACAGAACTACCATTTGACCCAGCAATCTTATTGCTGAGTATATAATCAAAGGGAAATTAATTGGTCTACCAAAAAGATATACATGCACTTGTATGTTTATTGGAGCACTATTCACAAAGCAAAGAAATGAAATCAACCCAGATGTCCATCAATGGTAGAGTGAATAAAGAAAATGTAGTACATATACACCATGGAATACTATTCAGCCATAAAAAAGAATGAAATCAAATCATGTCCTTTGTAGGGCCATGGATGCAGCTGGGGGTCATTATCCTAAGCAAATTAATGCAGAAACAGAAAATGAAATACTGCATGTCCCCAAGTATAAGTGGGAGCTAAATATTGGAACACACATGGACACAAAGATGGGAATGACAGACACTGGGGATTATTAAGGTGGGGAGAAAGGGAGGGAGGTAATGGCTGAAAAACTACCTATTGGCTACTATGCTCAGTGTCTGGGTAGCGAGATCAATTGTGCCCCAAACTTCAGCATCATGCAATATACCCATGTAACAAACCTGCATATATAACCCGTGAACCTAAAATAAAAGCTGAAATTAAAAAAAAAAAACTTTGACAGTAAAGCTAAAGTGTTTTGACTGTAAGACAAAAAGAACCATATACAAACTCTTTATCTAGTTGGTAAATCTATATTCTAACAGGGGACAGGTCTATATTCTCTCAGAAGGTAGAGGTTAGCAATATAAAACTACAAGTATACTAGGCTTGAAAATATAGTAAATATATTGTAGATCATGATAGCCAAATTTCCCATTGTCAGAGAAAAAGTCATAAACAAAGAGTGAATACTAGAATGAACTTTGTGGTATTAGACTGGAATAAAAAAAATCAGTAATACCAGCCAGGATAGGATTACTCATCAACTTCTATTTTCCAGAGATATACATAACTTTTCATACTAGAAAGTACAAAAAATTTTGCCATTAATAGGTACTATGTTCATTTTGGGTTTTCTCTTTGTATTTAGCTTAATTAGAACAGAACTAATGACTTTCTTTGGTTAATGGAGAGAGATTCTTCCAAGACAATAAAAAATTCACATAAGTTAAAAATGACTTTACAAATAAAAAAAAATAGAAATCCATGAGCTTGCCTCTGCATACTAGTCAGGGACAGTTAAATTAAATTGACCATATGGCTATATTCAAGAATACATAGGATAATAATTTGCATCTGCATATCTGGAAATTCCCCAATTTCTGCTCAGATTCAGTACTAAAAGACCATTTATAGGCCTGCTCTTTGGAACTCCCCAGCTAGCCCACTCTATCAAGCCTTTCTCCTATGTGAGACTGAGATAGGAATGCCATTTCCTGGACAGAGGCAGATATGAATCCCCACTAAGCTTTGGATGGCCAAACCATAGCCATCCACTTACTGCCAGGTGGATTTCCTTCCACACTTTACATACGGACACCATCACTATCGTCACAAAACAAACGTGCCTTCCAAACATTCCAAACTTCTGAATTTGCCTCTCTGCTCTGGTCACAGGCAGCTATGAGACCAGCCAGGAAGAGCCAGGACTTAGGGGACACTGATTATAAAGTCCCACTCTAGCCAGCTGCTCGCGTAGGGTAGAGCATGTGATGCTTTACTTCTGGGGGCAAGGTGGCAGCCACACAGTCCAAGGGGAGGACCTGGGGTCAGCAGGGAGGTCAGACTCAGATGGACCAGAAAACAGCAGATTTCAAGTGACCAGGCCAGGATCCCAATTCTAGCACTCTCAGCTCTGCAGAGCCCAAGCTGTACAGGGACAGGGCTACTAGTCTAGAACAAGGTAGGGTACCCCTATTCACTAAACAGCCCTGCAAGTTAAGGACTCAAGTCATACATTATTCATACACATCCTCAGATAATCATATTTGCTGATGCTGTGGCCATAGCAGGAAGGGAGGAGAGAAGAAAGCGGGGAGGAGGAGAGAGGGCACCTACCAAGGAAGTTGTTTGCCCCGCTGGCAGCATCTTGACCTCCCCTAAGTAATGACTTCTGGTCTTATTCAGGGCACACACTGGGATGTTTTCTCCCAGTTTTCTTAGTTGACCTAGAGCTTCCTTAAAAGTTGAGATTTATAAATATAAAACTAAGTATCATTTTCTTTTATGTAAGCTTCATTCATTCATTCAGTCAATAAATACTTACTGAGTGCCTACCCTGTGCCAGACACAGTATCCAGAAATCGGCAGGAAAAACCAGAAGCAAAGTTTCTGCTCTCACAGAGCTCATATTCAAGTGAGAAAACAAACTAATTGTGATACATGAACTTCAATAGACTCTTTTTTTTTTCAATGTTATATGTTTCTCCATGGGATATTTAACACAGAGAAATCAAAATCATCGTCAATGTGGTTTTGTTTCTGGTTTTTGTTGTTGTTTTTGTTGTTGTTGTTTTGAGACAGAGTCTTGCTCTGTCGCCCAGGCTGGAGTGCAGCGGTGTGATCTCGGCTCACTGCAACCTCTGCCTCCCGGATTCAAGCGATTCTCCTGTCTCTCTTGGTTTATTTTTAATGGGCTTCATTTGAATAGTCTACCTTAGAGGCTAAGGACAACAAACTAGACTTTGTCTGCTTCCTGTCCGGGCTATTTCAGTTCCTTCGGACAAGAAGGCTGCCTGAAGGAGTGTGGCCCAAGGGTGTGAAAATGCAAGCCCCTTCTCTGGCTCAGCTCCACTCAGAGCTTTGATGGCTGCTGGAAGTTCCACCCTTCTGGGTAAACAGTTTATTCCACCAGAGTTCAGCTAAGTGTACCAGCATAATAACGCAGTAGTTGCTGAACACCGCCACGTGCTCAGCACTTCTGAAACCTGGGTCTAAGCAGACGGTAGACAGGGAGTCACTGGTTTGCACTCACCTGCCTACCAATAAGTCACTTCATTCACTGCCAGGGTCATTTCTATCATTGGGGGTCAACATTTGAGATGACAACATGGTCTATGAAAACATATCCTTCAAACACCTAGGAGAGTCCAGGAAATCACAATCTCTGAAAACTCTAGCCAGAGACTGGATTTCCCTTAGCCCACAGCAAGTACTCTAAAATGAGGACTCCTTCAGCAGGCTGCCCTTATCCCCAGCTCCCCTTCCCATCCCATTAAATCAAAACACAAATCCACATGGCCAGCTCTTTCAGAGGCATGCACACAATGGCCACCAGGTGGTCTTAATTTATGGAAAAACCAAGAAGGACAGTGCTAATCACAGTATGAATAGTCTAGTCAATAAGCATGTATTGAGTGCTTATTATGTGCCATGTGCTGCTTGATGCTCACATCAAATGTCACATAGTTTAAAAAGAAAAACAGCCAGAAAGAGAAAGACAGTAGGTGGAAGGTATAAAGTGGGCAGGCATCAACAGAGAAGGTGAGAGCCATGGATGAGTAAAGAAGGTTGAAACTGAGCTAGAACAGAGGAGGAAGAGTGTAACGCAAAGAGGTGGCAGTGAAGTGTGTATCTTTAAAGTGTTTTTTAAGCCTGATTCAGTGGTTGGGTTGCTTGCCTTGGTTGCTTCTGTCCCAACGTGCCAATGGCTTTCAATAGACAAAAGCACCTCCACTTCTGTTTTAAATGCTTTACGCAGACAGAGCAAATCAAGGGGTTAATTGCCACCTATAGAAAAGAGATCACAGGACACAAGTAGAAATATCATAGTTCTAAAATGTCTAAATACCTCAGTTCTCAAAATGTTAACTCTTTCAACATGCACATGAAAGTGTTCCATCTACCTCTCCAAGTTGTGTACATGAACCTCCTGTCCCCTTCCGGTCCTGTCTCTGTTAAAGATTGACAAATAGTAGTGCAGACATCACAACACACCAGGATAACATCCCAGTGAGCCAAAGTGCCCTGACTATTATGGGACTTCTGCTCAGATGTGATGACACCGTGGTGGCCATCACGGCCAATCACAAATCCCAACCAAAGAGGTTTAACAACTGTATGATGAGGCAAAATGTGGCCTTTCTGGGCACACATTTTATGTTTTCCTGCCTTTATTTAAAAAAATAATAGTAATGGGCGGGTGTGGTGGCTCATGCCTGTAATCCCAGTACTTTGGGAGGCTGAGGCAGGTGGATCACTTGAGGTCAGGAGTTTGAGACCAGCCTGGCCAACATGACAAAACCCCATTTCTACTAAAAATACAAAAATTAGCCAGGTGTGGTGGCACACACCTGTAATGCCAGCTACTCAGGAGGCTGAGGCAGGAGAATCACTTCAACATGGGAGACAGAGGTTACAGTAAGCCAAGGTCGCTCCACTGCACTCCAGCCTGGGTGACAGAGTGAGACCCTATCTCAAAAACTAAAATTAAATAAATAAATAATAGTAATAATAATCCTCTGTGGGTTCACAGCCAGGCTTCCTGCCTCTGCACTGGTCATGTTTGCAGTTAGACAGGCTATTTGGTCTTTTCCATGTGACAACCTATGAAAATAAGAAGATTGAAGCAGTTACTTTCTAACAGGTAGATGATGTCCTTTAGTTATTTTAGAAAATTCACTGACCTACCCTGGGTAAGTGAGTAGATTCCCAAAGGGCTGTTAACATCATGAGGACAACATAGTAACATTCACTAGTCTATCTGGGGAGAAGCATAGACCTCCCAGCAACTTGTCTTAGTCAAAGCAGGAAATGTCCTAAATGCCATTTCCCCATTCCCTCCCCATATTCCCATCCACATTAAGTGACTTTTATTTTTACAATTTTTTTTTTTTTTAGACAGAGTCTCACTCTGTCATCTAGGCTGAAGTGCAGTGGTGCAATCTTGGCTCACTGCAACCTCTGCCTCCTGTGTTCAAGCGATTCTCCTGCCTCATCCTCCCAAATAGCTGGGACTACAGGCGCACGTCACATTTTTGTATTTTTAGTAGAGACGGGGTTTCACCATATTGTCCAGGCTTGTCTCAAACTCCTGACCTTGTGATCTGCCCGCCTCGGCCTCCCAAAGTGCTGGGATTACAGGCATGAGCCACTGCGCCTGGTCACAAATTATCTTCTATACCAACCAAGACTTGTAAAAAAGAGTGGAGTTTATACTTCTATACGAAGATAGACAAAACTCATAACACACACACACACACACACACACACAATGCTGGGAAAGGATAAGTAGAAATTTTTAAAGCCTTTCAAGTAACTGAATTAAAGAGAGAGAGGAAAGCAGGCAAAGTCTATAACCTTCCCTCCTGGACTCCTTGAAGGTAGCAGGTGACCACAATAGACTTTTATTTTATTTAAATACTCCTGTGGGCTACCTGACCTCCTCTTCCTCGGGACTCCTGAGTCTGGCCAGGCCCAGGGCCTGAGATCCACCTGAGTGCCGTCCTGTTCCCACGGGAAACCCCCAAAAGGAGCCAAATTCTACCCTACTTTTTCATACCTCCTAAGAGCTTGCCTTCTAGGAATCAAAGTAAAGAATCAATACATTGAGAATCAGAGAACCCCAACCCCTGAAAAAAAATCTAGATTTGGATTTGCAAGGCATTATAGAAATTATTATTGTCTTCAGTACCATTCAGGCAATTTGACTAAGTGCTATCAATTTAACCATGGAACACAGAGTTGCATAAACTGACTGAGCTTTCCCTACTATATTGTCTGTGTGCCAACTGACATTAAAATAGAGATAACCTCCATTCTCTAAACTTCCACACTCTGAACTCTGGCTTTCCAATTGGATTCAGGTAACTTTTTAGATTAATCTATTGTTATCTGATCTATCACTTTTCCTACCCAAACAGATTTAGATATTCTTTGCTATCTAAACTCACCATATAAACTCTTGCTATCTCAACTCAGGATCCAAACACATTCAGATGTCAGGGAATGCCTACAAGTTTAGTGATGCATAAATCAACTTTAATCTCACTCTGAGGGAGGATGAAGATTGGTTGCAACTTGAAAGGTGGGAAGGACCCTAATCAGAAATCCCTACTCCCAAAGGGGCTACATAATCATTTCAAATATCTCTATCAAAATCTATACCATACCACTTCATACTCAGCAGGATGGCTATTATTTAAAAAAACAGAACATAAAAAGTGTTGGCAAAAACGGGGAGAAAATAGGACACTTGTGCACTGCTGCTGAAAATGTAAAATGGTGCAGCCACTGTAGGAAAGTTTGGCAGTTCCCCAAAAAGCTAACACAGAATTACCATATGATCCAGCAATTCTACTTCTAGGTATATACCTAAAAAATTGAAAGCAGGGACTCAAACGGATACTTGTACATTAATGTTCCTAGAGTAATAAAATTCATAGAGGCAAAGAGTAGAATGATAGTTGCCGGGGGCTTTGGTAAAAGGAAGGATGAGGAGTTATCACTCAGAGGATACCGAGTTTCAGCTGGAGAAGATGGAAAAGTTCTACAGATGCATAGTCCTAACAGCAGCACAACAATATGAATGTATTCAATGCCACCAAAACTATACACTTAAAGATTGATTAAATACATGATATGTTATATTTTACCAGAATTTCTGAAAAGAAAAACGATCTATACCAGAGACCATAATGAGACATCACTATACACCTATCAGAATAACTAGAATAAAAAATAGCAGTAATGCCAAATACTCAAAAGGATGCAAAGAAATTGGCTCTCTTGTATGATGCTGGTTGGAATGTAAAATGATACAGCCATTCTGGAAAATTGTTTGTCAGTTCCTTTAAAAACTAAACATACACTTACTATACGACCCAGCAATCATACTCCTGGACGTTTATCCCAAGAACATCCACATTTGAAAAGTTATGAAAATTATGTCCAGACAAAAACCTATATACAATTGTCCATAGCAGTTTTATTCATAAGAGCCAAAACCTGGAAACAACCTGGAATGGTTAAACAAAGTGGAATGGTTAAACAAACTGGAAAAACCTGAAATGGTTAAACAAATTGGACACCTATATCATGGAATATGACTCATCAACAAAAAAGAATGAGCCCTCGATACGCACAACAACTGGTTGTTTCTTAAGGGCATTATGCTGAGTGATTAAAAAGGCAGTCCCAAAAGATCATAAGCTGTATTACTTCACACATATATAACATTCTTGAAATGACAAAATTATAGAGATCAAGAACAGATTAATGGTTGTCAGGGGTTAGGAATGGTGGGGGGAGGGGAGTGAGGGCATATGTATGTCCCATAGTTTATCTACTCATCGATGAAAGCTGAAGATACTTGCAATTCTGAGCCATCAAAAATGCTTCAAAAATTATTCTGCACCCCCATTTTTAACTAAAGACCACATGCAATTTAATGGCTAGTAGCCCCCTCCCATCATCCCAACTTCCACTAAGAGCACAATGGCGGTTACCAATAGAAATCTCACTGACAATGTGTCAGATATCACCTTATATGGCTTATTTTTTACCCCTTTGCCTGGGGGAAAACTCCCTATTGAGTTCAGTCAGAAGTTTTGATACAATATCATATATTTTCACATTTAATCCCCTGCCATCCATGCATAAATACCTTTTTAAAATTCAAAAACACAATGACATATAAGGTGTTCCCACTTCAAAACAAACCTAGTATTTAAAAATCTGATTTCAAACATACAATTTAGTGTATTTATCAAAAGTGTTCACCACTGGGTTTTATTAAAGAGGACACTGTACTGCTAAAACAGGATTTTATGTATAGGTAACTTTTCTAAAATACCTTTATTAATAAATTCTTAATGAAGAATTCAGTAAAGATGTAAAGAACAATAAAAGTCACAATTCAAAATAAAAACAGAGAACTGCATTATTATGAAAGCCAATCTTGGACTTCCCACTGAAAAAGTTATTTAACTCATTTTGTTCCACTAACCCTTGGGATATTCTTGTCTCAACTCACGGGAAGTGTTTTCAGTTTCTTACGAAAATATGCACTATTCCTTTCACACAATATTTTATGGTGACTTTATTTTTTTAATTTTCTTTCAGACCTCTCAGGGATGAATTTAATTTTTAATCAATAAATTGTAATTATACATATTTATAGGGGACACTTTGATATTTTGATATGTACATATTGTACAATGATCCAATCAATGTACTTCGTGTACTCAATCACCTCTTGCACTTATCATATCTTTGTGGTGAGAATATTCAGAAGCTTCTCTTCCAGCTCTTTTGTAATATACGATACTTTACTGTTAACCATAGTCACCCAACTGTGCAATAGAACACCTGAACTTATTCCTCCTCTATAATTGCAACTTTGTACCCACTGACCAACCTATCCCCATCCTCTCCTCTCTCTTATGACTTTAAATGGAAAAAATCTGTGATTCCTGCTAGACTCACAAATTCTTTTTAACTTTTTTCCTCTATTTAAAAACAGATTATACAGTTTGGGCTCATAGTAAAAAATTCAAACAGTAGAAAAGTGTGTATATAGAAGGTATTCCCCACCCCCACTCCAGGAGTTTGGGTATCATTCTAGAAGTGTTCCGTCAATATATAAGTATTTTTCATTTAAAAACACACACACACGGGTTCCCATATTCTCCTACAACTTGTGTTTTTAAAAAACCACCATATTTCATAGATATCTTTCCACTTCAGCACATTCAGACCTCAATCATTCTTTTCAAAGACCAGATAATTGATCTAACCAACTGTCTAAAGATGGACATTGTGATTGATCCCAGTATTTTATATGTAACTTTCTTTACATATTAGAACATTGAATGGGAGTGGGTGAGTCCTAGGAAACATTCTCTCCTAAAAGCTTACATTTTTCATTGGCTAGAAGTGATCAAAATAGATTCTACTGATGAGAATAGACTTTTGAAAGCAGTATGGTCAGGTTGGCAGGTGAGACTCACACATTTTTTAAATCTAATTTATGACTGGTCAAGTAAATTTAAATAGATTAATGCCTTAATGATGGAACTTTATTAGATAATCTGCTGAAAATGAATACTTCATTAATCACTTTATGTTTTCTGTAGATTCATGGTTGTCTGTTCTCAAAAGGATACAAGAAGCTGTTTCCTCTTCCTACACAGTCACTTTCAATAACCACAGCCATAATCTAAACGATAGTTATATTAGATGCTTAAATGTATTGTTTCAGTAACCCAGATTTTCAAATTCCCTCCCATCAGCACGCCTCTGCTCAGCACTTTTCTACACCCAGATGGCCCACAAAGAGAGCCCTCCCGTATATGTTACTCCACAACCTGGTCATTTCTAATTCCAAGGTGGCACAAAAGTCTTTGGCAACTTTATAAAAGGCAACCGTAAGTCTTTGACATGGTGTATACCTGCAACTCTTCCTAAATTGTTTAGAGTTTTCCCCTAAATCAATCTCTCTCTCCTCTCTCCCCTCCCCCCGCTCTCTTTCGTTCTCTTTCTCTCTCTCTCTCGATTCCCCTTATTATTGATCTGCACAAAAGAAGGAAGGGCTGAAGACAAGTCCCTGGGGAAACATGGAACCTTGCTAGCCATGCACCTCAAAAGATTCCCACATCAGGGCCACCTTTCATGACCATAACTTCACGGTTATTCAGAAATTGCACTCCCCACCCCACCACACACACACAAACACACATACACACACACACACATACACACACACACACAGCTCTAGGGGAGAAACTAGGGCTGCCTCTTCTGCCACCAATAATTCCACCATCTGTAAGCAAAGCTTGATGTTCTTCTCTACACTCAAAGAAAAGGGTTCGCAAAATTAAGTATAAGTACATGGAGAACACAAGGACCATCATATAATGTGGTGATGCAGGTAGAGGCTGAAGACATGGGTTCCAATGCCAGCACTGCCCTCACCAGAAGTGTGATGGCTCCAGCCTCCTCTCCCAGGCTCACAGCAACCCTCCCCTCCAGTCAGCCGGTGCCAACCAGTGCAGGCACCCTCTCTCAGACCACGCCTTCTCCTTGGACCACCCTTCACCTGCCTGTGACCCGGCTAATTCCAGTCTCCATTGTGAACCCAGCTCCTACACAGGCTCTGCAGTCCATTTGCCTCTCCTGTGGCTTCAGGAGCATTCTCAGCATGTTCTTATCCAACACTTATCACAATTATCACACATAATCACTTTCTGTAATGATGCGATTGCCTCCCCAGTAGCGAATTCTCAAGGGCAGGGCAGCCAGTTTCCTCCATCTTTGAAAAAAAACTCAGAAACCAGAGGCAGATTTTCCATATCACACTAATGAAGCTTCAAGGCTCCCAAAGACGTCTTTCAATGCTTAGGGAAGACCCTAAGCAAAATGGTCATACAGTCATTTCCTTCTAATCTGCAGTAGCAAGAGACTTTTCAAAATGGATCAAATTTGACCTGTACAAATCAGGGGTGGTCACCAGATTTCCATCAGAGGAAAGCAACAATAACAACATAGAATATCACAAGATTAGCTTGTAATTTGATGTTTATCCAAAGTGTTCTTGGTGGATGATGTTACAGAGAAATTAAAAGTATTCTATGCAGGGTAAGGGGTGGGGTATTTTAACTACAATTTGTTAAGCTGGCTTTCTCTTTCCATTCAATTTCCCCTCGGACACACTCTCCTTCCTGTTGGGTGGCACTGGAATGTCTGAGGGCATTTTCAGGACCTGGATAAGAGGAATCTGAATTGGAAATGTTACGTTTATGGAATTTGCCAGCTTTTTAAGATTTGTTATTTATCGTTATAAATGAATACTCACTTTCAATCTAATTTTATTTTTATAATTGTATTCCTTTTCTGAAAGGGAATCCTTCCAATGGCATAATCTTCAGGCCTCACAAAACCTGCATCTGCCCCTGCCTGTATTTCACTTAGTATTTGAAACTTAAAATCTGTCATGTGAATTAATGCACATACAAATGCACATGGGGCAAGTCACTTAACATCACCATGTTCATCTCCACTGCCAAACGATGTGTGGTTCTGATGAAATGGCTAATGTGTGAAAACATGTTGTAGGGCACCATGAGATGCTCTAATCAACTAAGGTAGTAACTTCATGGTTGCTATGGTTTGAATGTCCCCTCCAGAAACTCATGTTGAAATTTAATCCGCATGTGGTTGTATTGAGAGGTAGGGCCTTTAAGAGGTGATTGGATCATGAGGGCAGAGACCTCATGAATAGGTCAATCTATTCATGATTAATGGGTTATTGTGGGAGGGGGACTGGTGGCTCTGTAAGAAGAGGGAGAGAGACCTGAGCTATCGTGTGAGCACACTCAGCCCCTCAGGTGAGATGGCCTCTGCCATCTCAGGACTCTTCAGAGAGTCCCTACTAGCAAGGCAGCTCTCACTACACGTGCCCCCTCAACTTTGGACTTCCCAGCTTCTAGTTCTATAAGATATACATTTTGTTTCTTATAAATTACCCAGTTTCAGGTATTCTATTATAAGTAATGGAAAACAGATTAACATAATGATTTTTTCAAAGATGCAAATTACAGTAACTATAAGTGCTGGGAGATACTAAGTAAAGAATGCTAAAGAAGGGGGTAAAAAGAGTTCATGTGACATCGTTCACAGATAATCTTTTCTGAGTTAGGAGATTCTTCAGGAACTTCCTGTCTGATAAAGTAAGCTTTTCATTCCCTACAGTTTTAACAAAACTTCCTGTTAAGTTCTAGTTCTCAGCCAGGAATTGTCTACCTCGAAAAGACTTCCTTAATTTTTTATTGCATAATGTTTACATATTCCATATAGTACCTTAAAAATGTTAAGTTTCAAACTCTGAGACATGTTCCCCAAACCTCCAAATTTACTGAAGATTATGATGACAGCACCTTCCTGCTGGACCATCTCTCTATCTCTTCGTGCAGCTGGAATACAAAAACTCAAATGACAGTCCCAGTCCCAAAATAGTGATGGTCACATACCTGCTGGGAAAACTCACAGTACAGAAATAAGCAAACAACAAAATTAAAGAGTGCTCCAGGAGGAGCCTCAACCGCTGTTTATTGAATGGCACTAAATTAGAACTGTGTACTAATTCAACAAATATTTATTATGTAATACATGCCAAGCACTAAACTAGTGTTGGAAAATCAGTGGACAAAAACAATTGTCCACTAGAAGATTATGCCATTGGAAGGATTTCCTTTCAGAAAAGGAATAAAATTATAAAAACAAAATTAGATTGAAAATGAATATTCGTTTATAAAGACAAATTACAAATTTTAATTGAATGTTTGAGTCTCTGTTGTATTGGTGCTTACAATAGAAGGGACACTAAACAAAACAATAACAACAATACTCTCTCAAAATAGAAAATGTCTAGAGGACTATATTAAGGATGTGACATTTGAGCTGAAATCTGGAAAATGAGTAAGAATTCAATTATACAAAGGGGAAGGAAGCAAGAGTATGCTAGGTGAAGACAACCGCACATACAAAGGTCCTGGCCAGGAAGAAGCATGGCATTCACGAAGAACTGAGAGCAGAAGGGTATGGCTGGAGCTTATGGCGTAAAGGGTTTCTGCAGTCCTACATATGTGACCCCAAATCATCTTTAATTATCAACACTTTTGTCAATGGGACCCTCCCCCTAATGACCACAGCCATTGCCTGGAATGCTCCTATAAAGGGTCAGAGAGCAAGCTTGCCTCCCCTCAATGATTCTCCAGAAACTCAATCCACAAACGTTTAGTGAAAGCCTACAGTGCGTTGGGCACTGCACTAGGTATTGCAATGTAATGAAGGGTAACAATCTGCGTTCAGGAGAGGATGCACGGCCAAATGCATAGCTATCCAAGGTCATAACCAACATACCATATTGCATCCCATTCCTACCTTAGTGGCATTCCTGGATATGGAACGAAAACAGCTTGGGTGATGTCCTAGAAATAAGAGAATGAGGAAAGTCCACTAGGGTAGAGAGGACTTGTCTGATTAGAACAGATAAATGATATGGCTGCGAGTTGCGAGATGAATGTAGGGAAATAATACTTGAAAGACATGATAAAGTCTTCACCAGTTCTGAGAAAATGGCAACTCTGAAGAGGCCAGGGGCAATAATCCAAAGGTGAATTAGAACAATGGCTGAGGAGAGAGAGAGGACAGCCATGGCCATCAGCAGGTCTTGATGACTGATCAAGACAGAGGACAAAGGTTGGAGGAATTACAAAAACTCAACTTAAAGCAGGACACCTGGGAGAGTGGTGGGATGGTAACAGAAATCAGGAAGTTGGAAAGAGGAGTTGCTTAGAGGAAAACTTGGAAAACTTTTAAAAAATATAACAGTCTGAACTTAAAGTCAAATCCTGGCTAACTGAGTGATAATAGCAAACAGGCCAGCTGGAAATGGAAGACGAGGCCTGGGCAGAGGTCAAGACGAGAGGGCCCACATGTGGGAGTCTTTCAGGAGGAGTGGTGGTCTAAATAACAAGAATAGATGAGCTCGCGAGAAAAAGAGGGGAAAGCAGAGGGCCCTGGGGAACACCCACACAACAGAGGAGAGGAAAGCACAATAGACAAAGAGATAACTTGAAAAAGAACCAGCAGAGTTCACGAACATTGAAAGTACACTTTTTAAACATAAATCAAATCATGCAACTCCCCCACCAACCTATGGGCATGACCTGGCCCCTCCCACCTCTCTGACCTGTCTCCTCTCCTCTCCCCTCCCTCACAATGCAAGGGCCATGCTGGCCTTTTGTTGTCCCTCAAATACAAAAAGTTCATTTCCACTCCAGGGCCTTCGTGCTTTCTGATCCCTCTACTAGACTGCTCTCCAGGAGATCCCAGAGAGACTAATGACACACACACACAATTCTCTGCCATGTCATAGCCTTGTATTGTCCTAACCCATACTACCATCTGAAATTCTTATTTGTTTATTCGTTTACCTACTTACTTTCTGTCTCCTACTCCCAAGTGCATTCTGCGAGAGCAGGGACGTGAGACCTTGTTTCTCACTCTCTGCTCTTACAGTGCATGGCACTAAATGGGGACTTGAGAAAATAAACACCTTAGATTAAGCAAGAGCAAACTTAGTGACCTTCATAAGATCCGTTTTGATAAAAGTAACAGCATCAAGATATGGAGAGGAAAAGAAGGCAAGAGCTAGAGACACTTATTTAAAACATGCACACCCTCCTCAGGTGTAAGCAGGAGGAACTGCTGAGAAGGTAGTATAGCTAAATCACATCTTCTATAAGGGCTGCCTTTCTGGAATATGGAAATAAAACATTTTACCTGGATCACGTTATTTCTTTTACTGAGGCTTCTCCCAGAGAAAACTCTAACCCATTTCCATCATGCCTAAAATCCTTACTTAGATGGTAAAACATTTTAAAAACTCAAACAGAACAAAAATATCGGCTACTTCAAGTTCTTTATTAAAAATACAGGCTGCACACCACCCAAATTGTGGGAGCTGTCACTGAAATACAGGAAGTGAGGCAGCATCAGACTTTAAGCACACTTGGCACTTACTTACCCACGGACCTGAAACTCACACCCACTAAGAAATTTCTTCAAAGCTGGGTGCTAGGCTGACTCTTCCTGTGGTCTTCTGTAGTTGTATATTCACCTTTGGGCCTTTCCCCAGAAGCTTATCATCTCAGTTGTGACAGTAGGAGGGGGCACCATAAAGTGGCATTGTATTGAGAGAAGAGGGAACTGTTTCTTTCAAAATGTGAAATGGGATGAAGCTAATGGAGGATTTGTAAAATGTTTGTAAGTCAAAGGTTTTGCTAAAGTCTGAGAAGCTTTTCCTCTCTGCTCCTGCCAGAACTACCAAGCAATCTCCTGCAGCAGCTAAGGAGCTTCAGACTTCCCAGGAACTGACATCTCGTGGCTGCTGGCCAGGCTGGGTAAAACAGTTACCATGGTCCTCTCTTTGCTCTATGGCTAGAACTGCTGCTTTGGAATTTGTTTGCCCCCTCAGAAGGAAAACAGGAGACAAGGCAAAGAGATAAAAGCAAGGCCATTCAGAGAGGATAGGAAAAGGTCAAGTTAAGTTAGTAGAAAACAAAAGCCAGCAAAGAAAACCAACTTCAGGGAGCACAGATTAACTGACAATGGCAGAAACACCCCAGCAGGTGGCAATCCTCTGAGATGCACATGCTGCTGTGTTTTAAATAAAGACACAAGTAAAGTTAATATAATTCGCTAAAAACAAATTTGCACAAAGTAAACACGTGATCTAGAAGTTGCATTCAGGCAAAAGCCCTGCCCGATTCCATTGGCTAAGCTAGACTTAGCTGTACTAACCTGTTTTGAAAGACACCCTTACCTACCACCCTCTGACACCTGAGCTAATGAAAATTTCTATTATTTTGAGCTGGGAAGAACTGAATGGAGCAAATGACCATCAATTAATAGGTCTGGCTTCTTGTGAGCAAATGAGCTTCAGAAGGTCAGGGCTTGCCTAGACATAGTTACCAGCAGCATCCTCTAGTGAGATAAAAGAAAAGAGAGACCCTTTAATTTAAGGTCCATGAAGGAGCCCCATTCATGTCAGAAAGCTCAAAGGCAGTTGCAGGACAGGAAAGGATAAAATGGTGCCTTTGAGTACTTGGTCAATGAGGAAATGGAGATGTGGCAGAGCAGTGGGGAAGGTCGTTACCAGTGAAGGTCGGAAAACCCCAGGCTTATTGTGGGATCTGCCACTAACAAATTTTCTGAGTCAAAAAAAATTATTCTTATGACTTCTAATAGAGCATTTTAAAATCCAGAGTGTCAAACCAGCTGAGTTAACTTAGTCAAGCCAGTCAATCTCCCTCTTGGAGACTAATCTCCTCATCAGCAAAGTGAGGGTGCCCAGGCAAAGGTCCCCAAGATGCCCTCATAGACTAATATTTCGAGTTGATGGGCATGAGGCCAGTCATAGGTAGCCCACTGGGGGATGGAGGGCCACCAAGAGAGAAGGGCAGTGTCTGGAGGACAGGATTTCCTTCCACAGGACCCAAAAGCCACAGGGAATCTGCAGGGAT
Organism: Homo sapiens; assembly: GCF_000001405.40. Lineage (NCBI taxonomy): Eukaryota > Metazoa > Chordata > Mammalia > Primates > Hominidae > Homo > Homo sapiens. The sequence goes on along the minus strand of NC_000005.10, from coordinate 73,692,834 downwards.
CCGGAAGAAGGCCCCTGCTGGGTGACCCCAGAACAAAGCCACCAAGTCACTTACTACCTCAATAAGAAGCTGCTTCCCTGAGCTGGGGAAGAGTCCATCCAGACAACTTGGGCCCTGTCCTCCGGCCCTCCCTGCAGAAGGCTGGGACCAAGGGGAGCATGCTCCACCAAGTATTCATGGAAGCTATACCAACATCCAGAAATTAGAAAAGGCTGAATAGGATAGAGTTTCCCCCACTACCTCTAGACATCAGATTATACCTTCAACACCCACAATGAGCCCAGCAGCAACCAACATTCTTGGGACCAAACACAGCAGGAGACAGTGACTCAGAATAAAAGAATAATATAAACATAAAATGCTAAGGGAATAGCGAAGTATCTTAGATCCAGCTGGAAACAAGCTACTGAAGCAAAAAACTCCCACTGCCCAAATGGTTATACAATTTGCAGCCTCCAGAGAAAAAAGTGATTACACTCTTCTCAGTCAGTGGCTATGATTAACATGTCTGCACAGCACCTCAGAAGGGTGGAAGGGAGCAAGAGCCCACACACACAGTCTCACACATGCACCCTCTGCAGATGTTAAAAAAAATCTCCACGGATTAGTCAAATTCTGACTAATAGATGCTCATATTAGTCAGAATTTGAGAAATGGGAGAAATAAAGGACACTTCTAACCCTTCACCAACTTAATCAACATACAAAATTTAACATCCCTCCTTTCTTTGCACAATGAAAATGAGAACATAATCCCCAGCTACATAATTATCAGTTATTAAAGCTAAAGAAATAGACATTAAATATTTCTGAAAGTTGCTGAATAAAATGTCAACTATTAGATCTCATTTGCAAAGCAATCCACTAAAATTTAAAATATGTATGCCCTTCATCCAGCAATTCTACTCCTAGGAATCTATCCCATAGAGATGAAAGTATCAACATATAAGGACATATGGACAGGATGTCTGGTGAATAATTGTTCATGATTGCCAAGAACTGAAACAAAGTGAATGGCCATCAATAGGGAATGAGCTTGACCCATACCTATTCATTAATTAGAGTGAGTTTGAGCTATGTCTGATGGCTTATAGGAGTTTATACAAAGTATCACTGAGTTGGAAAAGATACAGAAGTCCACATAATATGATCCTTCTACTAAAGCTTGTATATGTATATATGAATACAGAAGAACATGAAAATGTTTGCACTAAGTCCATGGTTCTCAATCTTTAGCACACAGCAGAATCGCTTGAAAGTTTTATTAAAACACAGATTGCTGGGCCCCATCCACAGAGTGTCTGATTCAGTAGGTCCAGCATGAGGTCTGAGAATTTGCATTTCTGGCAAGTTCCTAGGGATGCTGATGCTGCTAAGAACCCCTGCAGGAGATGACTCTAAGGGTTAGCTCAGAGTACAGGAACGGGAATTATAAAATGGGGGTGAGGGGAAATGGGGTCCTGTCCATTATAATAAAAACAGCATTCCCGTATAATTCCTTATGAAATATCATGAGTGTGTGTGTGTGTGTGTGTGTGTACACATTTGCCAAACAAATTTTAGTGTTTACCAAAATACTAATAAAGTTCTCTAAAAAGGAGAATTTCACTGGGCACAGTGGCTCATGCCAATAATCTCATCACTTTAGGAGTCCAAGGTGGGTGGATCTCTTGAGCCCAGAAGTTTGAGACCAGCCTGGGCAACATGGCAAGACCCCATCTCTACAAAAAATACAAAAATTAGCCAGGTGTGGTGGCTCATGCCTCTAGTCCCAGCTACTCTGGGAGCTGAGGCAGGAGGATTGCTTGAACCCAGGAGGTGGAGGCTGCAGTGAGCCAAGATCGCACTACACTCCCCAGCCTGGATGACACGGCGAGAATTTGTCTCAAAAAAAAAAGGTGGAACTTCAACTGATCTTCACTTTCTTTTTAATAATTTTACTTACTATTATATTCTTTATAATAAGCAAGTGTTATTTAATCATTTTAAATAAAGCCATTTTAATTGAGGAAAAATGGAAAAATCTTCGGAACCAACAATTTCTCAAGCAAGACTTTTCTGTTTTATTCACAGCACTAAACTGATATTTCAGAAAGACTAGCATTAATTATACTTTACAAACAGCTTTTGTTTTTGTTGAGATAGGGTATTGCTCTCTCACCCAGGCTGGAGTGCAGTGGTGTGATTACAGCTCACTGCAGCCTTGAACTCCTTGGCTCAAGTGATCCTCCCACCTCAGCCTCCCAAGTAGCTGGGACTATAGGCTTGAGCCACCACACGTGGCTTTTTTTTTTTTTTTTTTTTTTTTTTGTAAAGACAGAGTCTTACAATGTTGACCAGGCTGATCTAGGGAGGACTAAGCAGCCTCTCAAAGTGCTGACATTACAGGTATATGCCACCACACACAGCCAATTATACTTTATACAAAAATAAAATATAATTAATGTAAAAAAAGGAGCTCTTGGATAAATAAGTAGAATAGGTATTTGTTTTATAATTCTCCTTGATTTACAAAATGTAGAGAAAACTCAATATAAAATGTAATCAAAAAGCATTCATTAGCAAAAACACAAATTGGCTTGTAAATGCAAAATCTCTTCCTCTCTCAAAGTTTAATTAAATGCCCAGTAAGCAAAATCTCTCCTCTTAAGCTGTCCTTGCATCGTTTCCTATCTCTTTTTACACACAAACTAGGAAAAAGAAGACTAAGAGCAATAATCTAAAAATAAAATTATCTACTTTCTCACGGCAACGTGAAATCTTAAAATAATTAATTTAAAAATAAAACCAAAATAAAAATATCTTTATAATTTCCAGTACAGAACTTTTAAGCTCCCAAGTGGTGTTAACTGAAGAATTTTCAGCCAGAAAAATAAACACCTTAGGTTCCACTGATTCTAACTTACCCTTTTCCAGGCTTTTGCACTTCTCATTAGCTTCACCACCACAATTCTTTCCAGCTTAAAATACACCTCCTAATACTATTGTACCATTCAGTCTAAAAACTAAGCCTAGACTTCAAACCAGACTGCAGGCCTCTGGTGTTTTTTTTTTTTGTTTTTTCTTTTTCTCCTTGGAATAAACAGACTAGCCTTCCAGTGCTGCTCCTTCAGTTTCTTTTCAAGCACGAATGCAGGAAGCTGCTTAGAGACTAAAAATTGGATTTGCAATGCTCATATATATCCCTAGGTTCCACAAAGTGATATTATAAAGCTCTTGGCTGCCAGTCTTGCCAATTCCTGCTTCTTCTCTGATCTTAGTAGTGTTTCTCTTTTTCTGCAACTGCAACTCAGGGAACTGCCATGGATTCTTTTAAAAATTAGACTAAAGCTGACCATGGTGGCATGTGCCTGTAGTCCCAGCTACTGGGGAGGCTAAGGCAGGAGGCTTGCTAGGGCCCAGGTGGTCGAGGGTGCAGTGAGCTAAGATCATGCCAGTGCACTCCAGCCTGGGCAACAGTGAGGCCCCATCTCAAAATAAATTTAAAAAAATAAATCAAATAAAAATTTAACTGAATCTGTGGCTGAGTTCAGGAATATTACTATATCTCCAAGAAGAAAATAGAGTCTCCTTCCTAAAAATGAGCAAACAGAAATGAGCCAAAAAAATTCTACAGCACAAGAGACAGAGCCAAAGACTGCACCTCCTTCTGAAACAGATTCCTGAAAGGTACAGAAAAACAAAAATTTAATTCTTGCTTTGTGCTCATAATAAAATGTAAAAGATTATCTCTATAAAACTACGTGGGCATAAAAAGGCCAAGATTTGACAAAGCTACATAAAAACTAAAAGTGATAGAATCTAAAATTGTGCTGGCAAGCAAGGAACAAAACAACTTGATGCTACTGAAAACTTAAGTGGAAAACAAAGATAAACATTATTGGCCTGGTGTGATGGCTCACACCTGTAATCCCAGCACTTTGGGAGGCCGAGGTGGGTGGATCACAAGGTCAAGATATCGAGGCCATCCTGGCCAACATGGTGAAATGCCGTCTCTACTAAAAATACAAAAAAATTAGCTGAACGTGGTGGCATGCACCTGTAGTCCCAGCTACTCAGGAGGCTGAGGCAGGAGAATCACTTACCCAGAGGCTGAGGTTGCAGTGAGCCAAGATTGTGCCACTGTGCTCCAGCCTGGAGACAGAGTGAGACTCCATCTCAAAAAAAAGCCTTCCAGAATGCAACCCTCCTCTCTCCCCAAAAAGAAAAAAACAATCCAATCTTTGGATATTAGTTGTTCTGTCTAGAAGGGGAAAACAATAGTGGAAGAAACAATCTTTAAAAAGAAAAATAAAAAATGTTCTTTATCAATCCAAGCAAAATGCATGGGGAATTTAAGAAAATATTTACATCCATAGATTTTTCTATAGGTATAAAGATGTCTATCATCTTCAGGAAAGATTCTCTAAAGTGACCCGACAAATAGAGACAAAGAAGAATTTTAGCCATAAAAATGTTATAAGAATTCCATCAAAACAGGTTATAAGCAAAGGAATAAAAAATCACCTATAAGACCTATCTGAATGAGGTGCCCTTTTTTGAGAGGTGGGTAGAAATTGGGGAATAATTTCAATCAATTTTTTTCCTTCCTGATTATTGTTCCACTTACGTAATCTAATTGTCCTTGAGGTAAATCTTATTAATTTATATATTTTTAAAAGTCTGTTGTAATTAGATTTTCTAGTGCATTAACATACAATTATGCATAGTGTTATTTTATAATTTTAATATAGCCTCCCAATATGTAATGGATTCTTCACAAATTCCAATGGAGAGGATATCTTTATTACACACTTGCCAGAGTTATTTTGTTTTTCCAAAAGAAATAGTCAAAATAACTAAGTAGGATTACTTGAAGTACATACATAAAGTCACCAAAATTAAGAGATTGAATAAATCACTATCAAATGAGAAAACACTGTATCATCTAAATAAATGTCAAAAGGACCCTTGATAAAATTCAACAGAGATATAGATAAAACTCTGGAAAAATCTGTATCAAAATGTCAACAGAGCTTATCATTCACCATGGGATTAAACATGAGGTTTTAATTTTTTCTTTTTGCTGGGTCTCTTTCTAATATTTTACAATAAATATATATAAATAAGAAAAAATATTAAGGGCTTATGAACAAAAATTTAGTAAACTAAGAGAAACTAGAAGTGAATATTTACCAAACCTCTGAAGATAGAAGGGCAGAGAGCAGGTTCTTCCCCAAAATACAGAAACAAATTGTAGGACAGTTTTGAGTCTGCTCTGTCTGCACGACATTACCCATTTGGTAGATTTTGGTTTAAGACTCATTTTCATTATGACATATCTCTAATGACCTCTTGCTGGATGAGGCCAAGTGGCTAGATTGGCTTAATTCATTTTGCAATAATATTGACCAGAAATGTTAAATTAAATTAAAAAATGTTATATACTCTATCATATGTAGTGTCAGTTATGTTAAATATATTTCATATATTTTATCTAAGATATCATTATTTATAATATACATTTAATATTCTACTAGAAAAAATGCCAACTAGGATGTAATTTTTAATTACCTAGAATTTTATATTTATTAAAAGACCTTTTCTAAATTAATCTATACATAGATTTTATCATGTAACATGCTGTTATTTCCAAGTCTTTCTAGTTACATAGTAACTTTGCCTTATAATGCTAGATCATGGTGAAGTCATTTTGAAAGCAATTAATTTATGTAGCACCAGCAAGGTATATAAATAAACTGAAATGACAACAATATGAACCCCTGTAACCAAGGTCACACACGTGTAGGTAATGACATCTGCCAGGAAGCACAGTGAATGTAAGAGCATCTCAATTTTAGAGATGTTAAAATGAGAAGAAAAATTACACCTTAAAAATGATAAAATATATTAGTATTTTAATATAATAACATTATCCATGGGGGTGAGATTATGACTTATTTTCTTAACACTTTCCTGTACTTTTCATTTTACTCTTATCAGCATTTTTTTAATAACTAGAAACACTTGGTTTTGGCTGGGCACGGTGGCTCACGCCTGTAATCCCAGCACTGTGGGAGGCCGAGGCAGGCAGATCACGAGGTCAGGAGATCGAGACCATCCTGGCTAACACGGTGAAACCCTGTCTGTACTAAAAACATACAAAAAAAAATTTGCCGGGCGTGGTGGCGGTGTCTGTAATCCCAGCTACTCAGGAGGCTGAGGCAGAAGAATAGCGTGAACCCGGGAGACGGAGCTTGCAGTGAGCCGAGACCGCACCACTGCACTCCAGCCTGGGTGACAGAGCCAGACTCCGTCTCGAAAAAAAAAAAAAAAGAAAAGAAAAAGAAAAAAGAAAAACTTGTTTTTGTTTTTATTTGGTTCATTTAAATCTCTTCTCTCCTTGGGCAATGTGTATTGGTTTTTCCCCAAATCTGGTCACAATCTAGTAAGTCTATGGTCAAAATAGCTACATGAGGAGGTCGGTCAGCTACAAGGCTTCTATCACGATTAGGCTTGTGGATTTGTCTGTTTTGAGGTAGGGGAGGAGGGTGGAATGAGTGAGGAATAGGAAGGCACACACAGAAAAAACAGCAGTAAGATTTGGGAGTACTTTACAATTTAGCCTCAGTCCAGCCTTTTTTTTAATCTTTAATCATGTCTGGGCCAAACCCAACTGTCTACAGGCACATTTTATGGCCTGAAAATCACAACCTAGAGAGAGTACTAGAGATCACTGGGCAACTCAAGGGGCAGCTTTTCTACTATTCTGGAATCAATTTGGTTTATGACTCTGTCTTCCTCCAGAGAAGTATGTGTCATGTGTAGAAGGGAGTGAGGGTGAGTGAGTAGGCACTTGGCTGGGTAGTGAAGTGTGGGAAGTGGATGAATCTATTCTCATCAATTGAGGATTCTGATTAAATTTGTTCCAATTCCAGCCGGGTGTGGTGGCTCATGCCTGTAATCCCAGCACTTTGGGAGGCCGAGGCATTCGGATCACGAGGTCAGGAGATCAAGACCATCTTGGCCAACATGGTGAAACCCCATCTCTACTAAAATACAAAAAATTAGCCAGGCGTGGTGGCATGTGCCTGTAATCCCAGCTACTTGGGAGGCTGAGGCAGGGGAATCGCTTGAACCTGGGAGGCGGAGTTTGCAGTGAGCTTAGATCATGCCACTGCCCTCCAGCCTGGTGACAGAGTAAGACTCCATCTCAAAATAAATAAATAAATAAAAAATAAAAAAAATAAAATTTGTTTCAATTCCTTGAAATTTTGCTCTAAACTCCAGTCTCCTCACACACCCAGGCCCACCTGCCCAGGCCCCACCTCACACCAACACAGTTCCTTCCCAAGAAAGGAAGTTTTGTCTGAAATCAGAAGGAAGGAGGAAAGATGAGGCCATCTGCCATTTTCTGTGTGAGGAAACAATCTGTTCACTTCCCTGTTACCCCCAGGAGTTGTTCTCAGAATGGCATCCTCCTGGGCCTAGATGGCACATCTAAGTACAAATCTCCTTGGGCATTCCTGTCCCCCCCAGCGCCAACTCCCACTTCTGTTTATGTCCCAACACTTTTTGTTTGAATTCTTATTTCATACTTTTAGCTGACACAATTATCATGAAACCTTCCCCTCAAAAAGACACACATAGAAAAGTTCTTGACTATTATCAGGATATTATCATAAAATAATATATTCACACACCACTCATATGAGTGAACTGAGTGTTTGAATCCAGAAATTACACACTTAAAAAAATACTGAGGGAAATATAAAATCCAGAGTTTAAAACAGGAGCCAACCAGTTTTAAAACGCTCCATGCAAATACTTGAACTAGACAGTAACGCTCAGTGTGTTGTTTTTAAAAAGCCTTAACTCAATAGCAAGAAAAACATTTCTCCCCACTTCAGTCACATGGTTTGGAGTTAAGAAAGGGCCCCTTGGACCTGAAGCCCCGTGCTTAGCAACTTACGTAAAGAGGTGCTTCGCTGCAGCTCAACTCCATGGCTTTCGCATCTGCAATGAAAATAATAAACAAGAGAAGTTATTGCAGGAGGCCCCATGGAACCGACCAGCAGAGCTCTCCAGTTATCAATATTGTGGAGGGAGAAGCAAACTCATTAGATAGGAAAACTGCAGAGACAAAATATGAAAGAATAAAGGACTAAGATGCTATCTAAATAAAATATCCTCCCCTAGAACACAATATGATGGCCCCTCAAAATATTACACGTAGAATTACCATATGACTTAGCAATTCTACTTCCAGGTATATACCCAAAGAATTGAAAGCAGGGACTCAAACAGAAATTTTTATACCTATGTTCATAGCAGCATGATTCACAATAGCCAAAAGATAGAAAAACCCAAATGTCCATTGACGGATGGATGGATAATCAAAATGTGGTATACACATGCAATGGAATATTATTCAGCCTTGAAAAGAAACAAAAGGCTAGTACATGTTATAACACGAATGAGCCTTAAAGACACTATGCTAAGTAAAACAAGCCAATCACAAAAGGACAAATACTGTATGATTCTACTTATATGAGGTACCTAGATAGTCCAACTCATAGAAAAAAGTAGAATAGAGATTACCAGAAGCTGGACGTTGGGGAGAATGGAGAGTTATTATTTAATGGCCATAGAGTTTCAGTTTGGGAAGATAAGGAAGTTCTGGAGATGGCTGGTGGGGGTGATGGTTGCACAACAATGTGAATGTACTTAGTTCCACTGAGTTGTACCTGAAAAAATGGTTCAAATGGTAAACCTTCTATATATTATCAAAATTAAAAATCATAGTAATTATAGTACATGTAGTGTCTACATGAGGCAAAATAAAAACAATTTGAATTTGAAAAAATATATATCCCACCACCTTTATTATTTTATATTAGTTTCCACACATATGGAAACCCTATGACCCCAGACACTATCCCATAGACTGCTCCTAAAATAAAAATATTTCAGAAAGCCAAGAAAGGTCAATATAAGCATGTTGAAAGCTTCACCTGTGTTCATCGCTTGGCTCCAGGTGATTCCAAAGTCAGAGTCCACTTTTGGCCAGGTGAGGCAGAATAGCATAGTGACAAGATAGTTCTATTGCCTCCCTTACACAGAGGGCCAGAGAGTTCAGCTGCATGAACACATGGGTAGGATGCAGCCCACTGTCAAGCTAACCAACCTCTCTGCCAGGTGTGTGCACCTGGATCTGCCTCTCGGTGTGCCTGCCCCTTTAAAAACAGCACAGATGGATGGATAAACAAAATGTGATATACACCTACAGGGGAATGTTATTCAGCCTTAAAAAGGAATACAATTCCAACACATGCTACAATTGGACAAGCCTTGACAACATTACCCTAAGTGAAAGAACTCAGACAGAAAGGAAAAATACTATATGATGCCAGTTATATGAGGTACCTAGAGTAATCAAACATGAGTTTGACATGAGAAACAGAAAAAAAAATGATTGGTAGTTGCCAGGGGTGGGACACAGAGGACTTTATTCTTTATTGGATATGGACTTTCAGTTTTGCATAGATGAAAGTGTTCTGGAGATGGACAACGGTAATGGTCTCACAGCAATGTGAATATACTTAACACTACTGGCCTATGTTAAAAATGGTTAAGATGGTAAATTTTATGTTGTCTATTTTGCCACAGTTAAAAATTTAAAAGTAAACAAATAGCACTTAGAAACTTGTTTCCTACTTAGAAAAAAAACAAAAAAAACCCAGCATCACTCACTGAACACCAACTGCGGGCCAGGTATTACACAAAGATAATAAAGACATGCCTTCTGGGTCCACCAGAAAGTGGTCCAGCCCTCAAGGAGTTCCAAGCTGAATGAAAGAGAATGAAAGATTAGGAGAAATGGAGGAGCAGGCTGCAAGAGAATTCTAAATGGGGCAGACAGGAAGACTCACTTGTCCCTGCACCCTTGCCTCCCTCCCACTGCACATTTGAGGCCTGGGTTCTGCTCCTTAGGCCAAGCCTGGCTCTGCAACCTCCGCCTCCCAGGTTCAGGCGATTCTTGTGCCTTAGCCTCCCGAGTGGCTGGCCTTACAGGCATGCGCCACCATGCCCAGCCAGAGCTCTGCTGCAGTACTTTAGAGGCTTCTCTTAAGAATGAATTGTGGGGCTGGGCATGGTGGCTCACACCTGTAATGCCAGCACTTTGGGAGGCTGAGGCAGGTGGATCACCTCAGGTCAGGAGTTCAAGACCAGCCTGACCAATATGGTGAAACCCCATATCTACTAAAATGCAAAAATTAGCTGGGCAGGGTGGCAGGCACCTGTAATCTCAGCTGGAGGCTGAGGCAGGAGAATCGCTTGAACCCAGGAGGCAGGGGTTGCAATGAGCTCAGATTGTGCCATTGTACTCCAGCCTGGGCAATAAGAGTGAAACTCAATCTCAAAAAAAAAAAAAAAAGAATGAATTGTGATATTTAGTACAGTAATCCCCAGAGGATACACTTGGCAAGAAAGTGAATATGAAAAGTTCTATTTTGAGGTACTTTTTATAAAACCATTTAAGTTCTACTAATACTTCCTATACACACTGGTGATAGCATCCTCCTAGGTCCCAAGTCATGTTTCCTAAGACATCTTGAGAGATGAGTGAGGGTCCTACAAGGCAGAGGGTTTGACAACAGGGCCCTTCTCAGCCCTCAATTTTATTTAAAATATCATGCCCCTATGGCAGTTTATGTGGACCCACTTAAATGGGTTTATAGATTATAATAATCCATTTATTATTGTTATTATTTGAAACAGTATCACTCTGTCATCCAGGCTGGAATGCAGCAGCACAATCATAGTTCACTGTAACCTTGATATCCTGGGCTCAAGCAATCCTCTTGCTTCAGCCTCCCACATGGTTAAGATGATAGGCGTGCTAAGTTGTATTTTTCTGTACAGATAGGGTCTTGCTATGTTGTTTAGGCTGGTCTCAAACCCCTGGCCTCAAGTGATCCTCCTGCCTTGGCCTCCCACAGTGCTGGGATTACAGAAAATAATCATCAATTTTTTTTTTTGAGACAGAGTTTCGCTCTGTTGCCCAGGCTAGAGCGCAGTGGCATGATTTTGGCTCACTGCAAACTCTGCCTCCCAGGTTCAACCAATTCTTGTGCCTTAGCCTAGCGAATAGCTGGTATTACAGGCATGCACCACCATGCCCAGCTAATTTTTGTATTTTTTAGGAGAGACAAGGTTCACTATGTTGGCCAGGATTGTCTCCAACTCCTGACCTCAAGTGATCCGCCTGCCTCAGCCTCCCAAAGTTCTAGGGTTACAGGTGTGAGCCACCATGCCCAGCCTATAATCATCAATTTTTAATGAAACTAACTTTACAAACCAGAGTCTCAGAAACTTCAAATTAAAGATAATACTAACAAGAATATGAAAGAACTGAGACTCCTATTCCGAGTATAAATTGTTCACCAGCCACCCATAAAATAAAAATAATGGCCAACCCAAGAACATTAACAAGTTGATCCTTCCAAAATTCTAAATTATCAAGAAGGCATTTAAAAAATTAATTTATATCCACTAGCATATACTATGATCCTCACCTTAAATGTCTGCTGCACTTCAAGATATTAGCAATTTGTCATCTATGTTTATAGTCATGCCTTATACAATTCCAGTCTTTCACAAAATTTGCTTAACTTGATGATAAAATTAGAAGATCCTTATGTATTTTTGTACATAATCCCAGTACTTTGGGATTTCCACTTAATAGCCAAAAAAAAAAAAAAAAATGCATTACTATAGGAAATGTGGAAGCTAAAAAAAAATAGCTGAAAGAATACAGAGAAATAAAGCAGCAAACTAAAATGCATTCCTTGGCCAGGCTTGGTGGTTCATGTCTGTAATCCCAGCACTTTGAGAGGTCGAGGCAGGTGGATCGCTTGAGCCCAGGAGTTTGAGACCAGCCTGGGCAACATGGCAAAACTCCATCTCTAAAGAAAAAAAAAGATAAAAGGAATTTCTTTATGAGTAAAACTATTGAAGACTGTTGAATATTTTAAGAAACAAGTCTATTAGAGCAAATTTAATTGTGCAAGAAGTTTGCTGTACACTTAGAAAAAAGTACAGATGTTTTTCACAACTCAACTTGTGGTATTTGCTAGATTTTATCTGATAAAATATACTCAAAATTTTTTTTTAATTTTTATTTTTTACTTCAATAGGTTTTTGGAGAAACAGGTGGTGTCTCGTTACATAGATAAGTTCTTTAGTGGTGATTTCTGAGATTTGGGTACACCTATCACCCGAGCAGTGTACACTGTACCCAATGTGTCGTCTTTTATCCCTCACTCCCCTCCCATCCAAAACCCATCATTTTAAGTGAGAATATGGAGACATATTCTGAAGAGTGAATCCCTTTTTTTTTTTTTTTTTTTTTTTTTTTTGAGATGGAGTCTTACTCTCTTGCCCAGGCTGGAATACAGTGGCTCAATCTCAGCTCACTGCAAGCTCTGCCTCCCAGGTTCAAGAAATTCTCCTACCTCAGCCTCCTGAGTAGCTGGGACTACAGATGCCCACCACCACGCCCAGCTAATTTTTGTATTATTAGTACAGATGGGGTTTCACCATGTTGACCAGGCTGGTCTTGAACTCCTGACCTCAGGTGATCCACACACTTCAGCCTCCCAAAGGGCTGGGATTACAGGTGTGAGCCATGGTGCCCAGCTGTGAATTATTTTTTTAATAAAAAATAGTGTTCTATCGAAAACTGTTCAAGTACAACCACTGGTAAGGCAGCTGCTCTTATAAGAAGTTTTAAAAACACCACACACAAGACTCATTCACTTTGTCATTCATGAGCAAGGTTCTGCAACAAAGAACTTGAAGCCAAAAGCACAAAATATTCTATGGGACATTAATCAATCAACATGGTTAATTTTGTGGAAATAAGAACTCCAATGTGGTCAAATCTTTGCAATTTATGTAATGAGATGCGAAGTAACCATAAAAATCTATACTACATTGAGACGTGCTGGTTATATTGTGGCAAAGTACTTTAAAAAGTTGTCAAACTTAAACATGTACTACATAATTTTCTCTTACAAAAATAGAAGTGCTATAAACCTACTGGTTTTTCAATTAGCCTGTTCCTTCAAGAAAAAAGTAATACTTTCTTTTTCTTTTTTTGACCTGCCATTTCAGAAAAAAAAGTGATATTTTAATAAGTGAAAGAGAAAATGTATTTCAAAAGAAACAGATTACAGATATAGATAGTACATGCCATAGTAAGAACTTTTTTTTTTTTTTTTTTTTGAGACAGAGTCTCGCTCTGTGGCCCAGGCTGGAGTGCAGTGGCGTGATCTCAGCTCACTGCAAACTTTGCCTCCTGGATTCAAATGATTCTCCTGCCTCAGCCTCCCAAATGGCTGGGATTACAGGTGTGTGTCACCACACCCAGCTAATTTTTGTATTTTTAGTAGAGTCAGGATTTTGCCATGTTGGCCAGGCTGGTCTCGAACTCCTGACCTCAGGTGATCTGCCTGCCTTGGCCTCCCAAAGTGCCGGGATTACAGGCATGAGCCACCATGCCCAGCCAGTAACAACATTTTGAAAGAGTATCTGTCCATGTTTCCATTGCTTTTGTTGCAAAAAAATCATTTAAAGTTTGCTACCTACAAAAGCTCTCACATGGCATTCTGTAAATTTTTGGAGAAAGAGATTTCTAACTTTTTTTATTTAATCTTCCAAAGAGAACATGTCATGGAGTTTGAGATCAGCCTGGGCAACATAGCAAGACCCTATCTCTACAAAAATAATTTTGAAATTAACCGGGCACGGTGGTGCATGCCTGTAGTCCTAGCTACTCAGGAGGCTGAGGCAGGAGGATCTCCCAAACCCAGGAGTTGTAGGCTACAGTGAGGTATGATCGTGCCACTGCACCACTGCCCTTCAGTCTGAGCAACAGAGCCAGACCCTGTCCCTAGTCAAAATATATATACATTGTTACAGTAATATGATTTATAAATGACTATAAATAAATACATTAAATAGGGTACATGCTAACTCCCCCCCTTTTTTTTTTAACTTGATAAGGGTACATTTTGAAGATCTGCACCTAAAAAGTGAGCCTTTTTCCCTAGTTGTCAAGCTATAAGTATTTTTCACAGTATTTTTCCTTCAGGCTTTGTAGAATTAGGCATAGCCTGTGGCGTGTGGCAAGCTCACGGGAGCCCATGTAGTTATGTATTTACACAGTGAGAAGGCAGGCTACAGTGGACTACAGTCCAAAGTCCAGAATCACACAGCTTCACGAAGGACCCAGATGCCAACGCTTTGCACTTTTCAGTCAAGAAGAAACCAGCTGTATCAAAGGCCTCCCTCAAATTTGGATTATACTATGATCTCAGCAAAAGGTGAAATGTCAAGGGCTAGACAATGTTATTTACATTTCACTTTATAGCCAATAACTTGTATTTCATTATTCATTACTCTACCATTTGCCATTTTTCAGTACAGAAATTTAAAAACCATTTGAACAGCAATTAATTTTGTTTTTCAGAGCAACCACTTTTCACTCCTTGAAAAAAAATAAAGTCACCACAGTACTCACCCTCAGTCCTAATCCTTCTAAAAGCCCTATAGAATTTCATAGACTAATTGTAGAAAAAAATATGCTGGAGCAAATATATACTCAATAAAACCAGGAAACTTCAAACTGAAATATATTTTAAAATTTTATATTCTCATTTGGATTTTCCCCAAGTTAATTCCTCTTTCACAGTAGAGCACTGAGTTCCATGCTCACTTGCAGAGCCACATGGCTAAACCATGCTGTGCCTCCTTTCACACCAAGTTTGATAATAAAACAAATTTGTATTTGCTAGGCAAGTTACAACTGCTTAAGTCCTTGATGTGCTGTCACTTTTCACTATATAAATGCCACCCTCTATATTTCATTCTATCTGTGAAAGTTTGAGTTCTTCATCTGCAATTACCAAGTTTTTCATAGTCAAGTACTTAAAAAAATTGTACCACATTTTCCAGAAATGTTTCTTGGGACATAAAAAAACCAAAGTATTTCCAAACATTTGCTGGCAGACACCAGGGGATGACTTGGGGCCTTAGTACACAGCCAGAATTTTTAAGTTTGTTCCCCAAATGGGGGAAGCTCTTATAAAAAGAACATCAAGATACAGTATTATAGACTTACGGGGAATACATAATATCCAAATATCTTTTATTGTTTGTTAACTCTAAAAAAAAGTATTAGACTATTTTAAACAGGCTAAAAATGTTTTTAATAAAAGAGGAAAGTAAATATAACATTTACATGGAAAAATATCAATTCTTGACTTTATGAAATTCTGAATTTTTCACATTTTTCATCTAAATAAAATATTCTAAGGCAGAATGACTATAAAACCTATCACTTTAATTTTGTCTTTGAATATGTCGATAAACATTGGTTTGTGTGCCTTTTACAAAACTAATTAACAGGTAATACTCAGGCACCTTGCTCAATATTCCGCAATTATCATCTCAGATGATCCTCATAGCAGCCTTGAAAGGAATATATGGGAAGTCCTTGTTACTTAACGATTCCTTTCCAAGTCCCTGCCATTACAAGGTTATATGAAGAAGCCAATGCTATCTACAGATAAAAATACTCAAAAAATGAACTGAACGCTTATATTAGAAAATAAAGCTTACGCAAGCAACTGCCTCCCCGATCATTCTCTATTCCCCTCCACTCCACTCAATGCTGGCATCTATTCTCTAATCATTCCATATTTAGAGAGAACAGATTTTGTGTATACTGTTTGTTTGCATTGGTCTTGGTGTTGTTACTGAATGGTGTAAATAAAAGACAAATCAACTTACAATACATTTAGAACATTTTTTAAAGCATGGCATTTTTAATAAAGAATAGTATCATGAGAACTGCTGAAATTATATATGAAGCTATCGTTCGATGAGAATTTTACTTGATAAGCTTGCCACACACCATAGGCCATGCCTAATTCTACAAAGCCTGAAGGAAAACTACTGGGAAAAATACTTAGAGCTTGCCAACTAGGGAAAAAGACTCACTTTTTAGAGGCAGATCTTCAAAATGTACCCTTATCAAGTTAAATGAACCCTTGTCAAGTTAAATGAGAATGTGGCAGAGACCCATTAACAACTTAAAAAGAAAATCATGATAAGACAAAGGTCTCAAAGATAACAGTGTCCATATTAAAGAAATAAGAGCACCTTCCCCCTCCTTGAGAAAATGGAAGAAGTTTTTGGGTATTTCTAATAAAAATGACCCTCACAATCATGCTTTGAAAATCAAATGTGAGGCCTGGCATGTTGGTTCATGCCTGTAATCCCAGTACTTTGGGAGTCTGAGGCGGGTGGATCACCTGAGGTCAGGAGTTCGAGACCAGTCTGGCCAACATGGCGAAGCCCCATCTCTACTAAAATAATACAAAAAATTAGCTGGGTGTGGTGGCAGGTGCCTGTAATCCCAGCTACTTGGGAGGCTGAGGCAGGAGAATTGCTTGAACCCAGGAGGCAGAGGTTGCAGTGAGCCAAGATCACACCATTGCACTCCAACCTGGGCAACAAGAGCAAAACTCTGCCTAAAAAAAAAAAAAACATTAGCTGGGTGTGGTGGTGGGGGCCTGTAATCCCAGCTACTCAGGAGGCTGAGGCAGGAGAATCACTTGAACCCAGGAGAAGGAGATTGCAGTGAACCGAGATCGCACCATTGCACTCTGGCCTGGGTGACAAGAGCAAAACTCTGTCTCAAAAAAAAAAAAAAAAAAGAAAAGAAAATCAAATGTGACTGGTAGATTGTATGGTGCGGAGTCAATCAATTTGATCAGAAAATTTCACACCCCCCTCCTTAATTAATCATATACTACACACACAGACACACACACGGTTCACGTTCTATCCATTCCTAGAATTACCACAAAATTGAAAAATATAATTTGCATAAGACTACATAGTTAGAAAATTGCATAAGACTACATAGTTAGAAAATGGTGTTCAAATGCAGCCTGTACCACTAACCATGATCCTATGTTCCTTTTTAGCCAAGGAATTGAAATATAAACTTTATAAATATGCTTATTTTCTTTTTTTTTTTTTTTTTTTTTTGAGACAGAGTCTTGCTCTGTCACCCAGGCTGGAGTGCAGTGGTGCGATCTTGGCTCACTGCAAGCTCCACCTCCTGGGTTCATGCCATTCTCCTGCCTCAGCCTCCCAAGTAGCTGGGACCACAGGCACCCGTCACCACGCCCAGCTAATTTTTTTGTATTTTTAGTAGAGACAGAGTTTCACAGTGTTCGCCAGGTTGGTCTCAATCTCCTGACCTTGTGATCCGCCTGCCTGGGCCTCCCAAAGTGCTGGGATTACAGGCGTGAGCCACCACACCCGGCTGCTTATTTTCATACTTTATTTTCATTTTCACACAATGGAACCTCAGGCAAGTCTTTTTTCCACCACTGCTTCCTATGAAATGTTGGTCTCCATTTTAAGGAGATTCACATTAAGGGACATCCCTGTGACCCACTCAGTAGAAAAAAAACAGTTTCTTCTACTATAATCTCACAACATGCTTCAGCAGGGGGATGGGGAATTTCCTTGCTTGTTGAAGCAAGCAAGCAATTCTGCAGCAGACACAAGCTGGGTGTCCTCCAATTCCCATACTACCTGGAGATAGCATCAGATCCCACAGGTTGAGGACTCAGTCCCACAAGACTGTCCCACATTTCTGATGCCAATGCAAGTCTCAGGTTGTTTCACCTGTGCTCTGACCAACTGACTATAAATCAGGGATCCCACAACCCTCTCCTTGGGTTTGACTAATTTCCTAGTGTGGCTCACAGAACTCAGGGAAACACTTACATGTACTGGTTTATTATAAAGGATATTACGAAGGGTACAGATGAAGAAATGCATAGGGTGAAGCATGTGGAAAAGGGCAAGGAGCTTCCCTACCCTCCCCTGGGTGTGCCACCCTCCAGGAACCTCCACGTGTTCTGCCATCCAGTAGTTCCAAGAACCCAGTCCTTTTAGGTTTTTAAGGAAGCTTCATTACATAAGCATGACTCATTGCATCATTGGCCATTTGTGATCAGTTTAGTCTTCAGCCCCTCTCTTCTCCCCAGAGGTTGGGGGGTGGAGCTGAAAATCCCAATCCTCTAATCTTCCCTTAGTCTTTCCTGTGACCAGTGCCTATCCTGAAACTACCTAGGGGCTGCCAGCCACCAGTCACCTCATTAGCATAAAAAATACATCATTTGGGAGATTCTAAGGAGTTTAGGCATTGTATGCCAGGAAACAGGAGAAAGAATGAAGTCAAAATACCGTGTATGTTTCACAATATCATACCTGCTATCCTCAGATAAGGGGACCTCGCATGTTCCTGTCCTCACTTTACATATGAGGAAAGAAAAGCTCAGCAAAGTTGTGGCACTTGACTGAGGTCCAGCAGCTAGAAGTGGCTTAGCAGATGTAAATCCAGCCTGTCTGATCCCATCCCATGTTCTCTGTAGCCTCAGCACAAAGTCCTTTTGTAACATACAACTGGTCTGAAAGACAGTGATTTGCTTGGCTAAAAGACAGCAAAAGCTTCACAGTTAGGAATACAGGCTTGGGAACAAGCTGCATTGAATCTCAGCTATGGTATGTTTTGTTTTTGGTTTTGTTTTTGTTTTGAAACAGAGTCTCACTCTGTCACCCAGGCTGGAGAGCAGTGGCACAATCAAGGCTCACTGTAGCCTTGACCTCCCCAGTTCAAGTGATCCTCCCACCTCAGCCCTCTGAGTAGCTGGAACTGCAGGAGCATACCACCACACCCACCTTTTTTTTTTTTTTTTAAAGAGATGGAGTGTCACTCTGTTGCCCAGGCTGGTCTTGAACTCCTGAGCTCAAGCAATCCTCCCACCTCAGCCTCCCAGTGTTGGGATTACAGGTGTGAACCACTGCCCCGGCCTACAGTATGTCTTAATTGCATGACTTTAGGTTCACTATTTTACTTTCCTTGGCCAGTTCCTCGTCTGTCAAGTAGAATTAATCATAGTACCTATCCCAAAGACTGTTGTGACGATTAAGAGATTTGATAGGGTAAAAAGAGAAAAAACTTAGTGTCTACCAGAAACACTAAATGCTAGTTGCAACTATTAACTATTATTATTATTATTACATGTTAAGTATATAAAAGGATTTTTTAAGACTTTGAATATTTATTTCAAATGAAATCACTCAGAATCTCTAAATATTAAACTGACCAAAATGACTCAGCAGTAACTGGTAATTGGGGCCAGGAGGGTCTGAAATAGGCCTACCCAGCTCAGCCTAAACCTGATGGCCCAGAGAAACCTCCAGGGATCAGGAATTCCAAATACATTGTACCAAATAAATGTAAGACATAAAGCTCCACAGAATTTTATTTGATTTTATAGAGCTGAATGGTCCCCCTACAGTTTGAAAATTCAAAGGACAGAGCAACAACTATTGAGGTAATTCTATTTGCCATGTTAGTTTGAAACTTTCTGCATTTGGAAGGAAATGCTGACTCACAGTTCCTTATACTAACCTAGGAATGTAGGCTTATAATTGCATTTCACAACTGTTATACTAACTGGAAAAGAACAGTAAACAGCTGGGAGATAAGGCCAAGTCTAAGTAAAAACCTTCAATGCCAGCACAATGGAAATGGGTAGGGAGACAGTATTTGAAATAAACCTATTATTGAACACACAACAGTGTCTATAGACCTGTTTCAGACTACAGTTATCTACCTGAGTTATGCAGGTCTAAGCTGCTTTAAGTGAAAGGGTTGAATTATTTGGTAAACTCAGTGGGGAGATGTCTGAAGATTAGAAAGGAAACAACAAAGTAACTGTTCACTAAGATCTCATTAATTCAAACTAATGGTGGTTGTGGGGATAGGGAGGAAGGAGAGCCAGTCAGTCTGAAATTGTGCAGCCTAACGTTTATAAAGTACAAAGAGGAGCACAAGCTAGCTGCTAACAAAATGTTCCGCCAAACCTGTCACACTCACTTGTATTTCGCAGGATATATTTGCACACAAAGTGATTAAGCCCTTTAAAAGCTTGTTCTCAATCTATCAGACATCACCTTTACAATCTTACTTATGCTATGAGTCTGTTTAATGTATTGTTCATGTCAACGCAAAGCTCAATCATCACTCAAGCATCATGGGCAAGATACGACCTACCAAGGTATCAATTTCCTCATTAGCAATAAATTTCTAAAGTATGTCTTTCATGTCCAAAACCCAATGTACTGTCACTTACTATGTGCAAAGCACTATGCAGGCCATCTAGGGAAGGATATTAAAATATATAGAATGCTGACTGTATCATTGATGAGCTCAGAATCTAGTTGGGATAATATGATCTACATCCATGAGAAGCTAGAGGATGCAAGGAGGAAGACCACTGGACTGGCAGAACATGGTAATGTCAGGCAAGCATAAACAGATAAAGAAGTTCTGTAAATGGAAAGTCGGAGTTCAGTATGAAGACAGATAAGGACATGCTATCTTTAGGAAACACAAAGGAGTTTGAGGGGTTGAAGCAATAGGTTTATGAACCAGAAAGAGCAAACGTCATCAGCCTCCTATGTTTATACATAATCCATCCTTAAAACACACATACTACATTTGTGACAAAAATGAATAGACTTATAGGGGCCAGGAGTCCTTTTGCCAGAGACCCAGCAATAACACTCTTAATTACACATTTCCTTTTAGCCAGAATTTTCAACAACATATATTCTAGCTTTTCCTACATGTGCTTTACTTTTGCCCTCCCCTCACAATGAAATATATTATCAAGTTCTTTGGGAGGCCAAGGCGGGTGGATCACCTGAGGTCAGGAGTTCAAGACCAGCCTGACCAACATAGTGAAACCCCATCTCTACTAAAAATACAAAAAATTAGCCAGGTGTGGTGGCAGACGCCTGTAATCCCAGCTACTCTGGAGGCTGAGGCAGGAGAATCGCTTGAAACCGGGAGGCGGAGGTTGCAGTGAGCTGAGATCGCGCCACTGCACTCCAGCCTGGGTGACAGAGCGAGATTCCGTCTCAAAAAAAAAAAAAAAAAAAAAAAAAAAAAAAAAAATATATATATATATATATATATATATATATATATATATATATATAATCAAGTTCAATGAAAACCCAGCTGATACTGACAATTCTCTGCTTGGGCACACCTAAGTATCGCTGTATTGTTTCTCACAACTGCATGTGATCATATCAAATTTATCAGATCCTTGCTTCTTCATCAATATCTCATTTCTATTTATTTTCCCCTCATTTTTATAAAGGTAGAGCAAGAAAAGTAATAAATCACATAGACAAGAGTCATGCTGCTAAAACTGAACTGGCGGGTACAAAAGCCCAAAAGTTCATTCATTTGCTGATACCTAAAAGTCTGAGTTCAGTATGAAAAGATTGCTTCTTGTGGAGTAGCTCTTCAATCTATCAACGTTTAAGGTAGCAATCTGGCAATGTCTCCCAGAGAAGTAAAGGAATGTATTACTGTGAAAGGAACACTTGGGTCAGGTCCTAGATAAAGCCTGGCTGAGAAACTTGCTCTTACTTTTGTAAGCTACAGGGTTTCCCACTTTTTACTTTGATGAGGGAGGGTAACTCTCCCTAGAGTCTTATGTGGGATTGCTGGAAATTAATGCAACATTAATTAAGCCATGAGTTCATAACATATGGTCCATCAACAAACTTTATAGAGGCCATGAATTCCATGAAATTAGATGCAAATTATTCTGTGCATGTATATTTTTCTGTCAAGATTCTACAGTTTTCATCGGATTCTCAAGGGCCCGTTAGACCTGAAAAAAAAAGGCTAAGAATGCTTCTTTTAAACCATGCCAGACATCAAAATTTCGCTCTGTGAAAGCCCATGTAAGGAGGATGAAAAGACATGCTCCAGAGTGGGAGAAAATATTTGCAAACCACATATCCATCAAAGGGCTAGTATGCAAAATATATAAAGAACTCTCAAGCAATGCAATTAGAAAATTGACAAAAGACATGAACAGACATTTCACTAAAAAGGATATACAGATGGCAAATGAATATTTTCAACATCATTAGCCATTGGGGAAATGGAAATTAAAATCACAATGAGATATCAATGCATACCATTCAAAATGGCTAACACACAAAAAAAGTGCCATCACCAAATGCTATAGCAGATATGGAAAAACTGGTTTTTTTGCTGGTAGAGATGCAAAACAATAAAGCCACTCTGGAAAGCAGTTTAGCAGTTTCTTAAAACCGAACATGCAACTGCCACCAGCAACTGTGCAAAAGGGCATTTTCTCCTTGGAGAAATAAAATGTGTTCACACAAAAACCTGTACATGATTGTTCATAGCAGTCTTATTTGTAATAGCCAAAAATTAGAATCAGCCCAAATGTCTTTCAACAGGTTAATGGTTAAACTTCAGTATTATAGATAATACAGAAACCAGAGCAATGTATACTACATATCAATAAAAGGGAGCAAACTATTGATACATACGAGAACATGGATGAAACTTCAGGAAATTATGCTGAGCGATAAAAGCCAATCCTAAAGGTTACAGTCTGTATAATTCCATATATATAATATTTTTAAACGAAAAATTTATAGATACGGAAGACAGTGGCAGATTAGTGGTTGCCAAAGGTTAGACACCACACTGGGGGAAGGGAGATGGCTCTGACTATAAAAGGGTAACAGGAGGGATCCTTGTGGTTTTGGAACTGTTCAGTATCTTGGCTGTGGTTGTAGATACATGAACTTACACAAATGACAAAATGTTATTGAAATTTTAAAACACACATACTAAAATATAAGTAAAACTGGCCTAGCACCGTGGCTCACACCTGTAATCCCAGCACTGTGGGAGGCCAAAGCGGGTGGACCACTTGAAGTCAGGAGTTCAAGACCAGCCTGGCCAACATGGCAAAACCCTGTCTCTACTAAAAATACAAAAATTAGCTGGGTGTGGTGGTGCATGCTTGTAATCCCAGCTACTCGGGAGGCTGAGTCACCAGAATTGCTTGAATCTGGGAGGCAGAGGTTGCAGCTAGCTGTGCCACTGCACTCCAGCCTGGATGACAGAGTGAGACTCTGTCTCTAAATAAATAAATAAATAAATAAAGTAAAACTTAGTAAAGTTGAATGAGATGGATAAAATTGTGTCAATGTCTATATTCGTTGTTATATTAAGACTACAACACGTCTGAATATAGCTTTATAAAATGTTTCCATTGTGGGAACTAGGCAGAGTATACAAAGTATCTCTATTGTTTCTTACAATTGATAACATGTGTCAATGTCTAGATTGGTTGTTATATTAAGACTACAAGAAGTCTGAATATAGTTTTATAAAATGTTTCCATTGGGGGAATTGGGCAGAGTATACAAAGTATCTCTACTGTTTCTTACAACTGCATGTGGGTCTACAATTACATCAATTAAAATTTCAATTAAAAATTATGCTAGAATGTATGCCTCCTATTAGTTTTCTCTCCTTTGTGGTGGCTACTATAGGTGGTGTTTTCTTTTTTAGTATTATTATTTACATTTTCCAATGAGTTTGCTACTACTGAAAACATTTTTAGAACTTATTTCACAGCTTGTGACATGTTGTTTGGATTATTTTGTGTGGCAGAAAAGCTTTATCCTTTAAGAATGAATTGGAATTTTTAAAATATATTAAAAAATTCACACCCACCCTACAGAATATAGCTAATGAACAAGGTAGGATATGCCACTTATGGGCAAATACAAAGAAATTGCTAAATCATGAGATTGGTTTTCTTTTGGGAGATCATGGGTTTAGTTTAAGGTTGTGAGAAT
The DNA here is from genome assembly GCF_000001405.40 of Homo sapiens. Lineage (NCBI taxonomy): Eukaryota > Metazoa > Chordata > Mammalia > Primates > Hominidae > Homo > Homo sapiens. The sequence goes on along the minus strand of NC_000005.10, from coordinate 73,668,985 downwards.
CGAGAGAAAAAAAAACATTCTTCTGGTTAAAAATCTCCTTCCAAAGGCAGCAAGAATTTACTGAAGCGTTTGAAGTGGGGCAATAACTCACCTAAAGTTATATTTTCATGAGACTAAACCAAAGACTGCTGAATAGACTGAACAGACAAAAAAGTGGAGGTAGAAAGAGTAGTTGTGGACACACAGGCACTTGAAAAATCTTCCTGCTACTTAGAAGGGTTTCCAAGTAAGAGTACTCAGAAGTTAATAAATCTAACTACTCAGAGACAACACCACCTCTCTCTTTTGTCTGCATTTTCAGGCAGCCTATTCATAGGGCTATAACCACTTCCAGGGCTATTGAGAAAAATGTATATGGGTGGTTACTGTGGTTCAAATGTGTTCCCCAAAAAGCATGGGTTGGAAACTTAAACCCCGTGCAACAGTATTGACAAGTGGAACCTTTAAGAGGTCTCTGCCCTTGTGAATGGATTAATGTGGTTATTGGATGAGTGATTTTGTTATCATGAGAGTGGGTTTGTTATAAAAGTGGGTTTGGCCCCCTCTTGCTCTGTCATGCTCTCTTGCCATTCCAACTTCCACCATGGGATAGTGTGGCACAAAGGCCCTCAGCAGATGTGGTCTCCCAATCTTGGACTTCCCAGCCTACAGAACCATAAGCCAAATACATTTATTTTCTTTATAAATTACCCAATCTGTGTTATTCTGCTACAGCAGCACGAAACAGACTAAGACAGGAAATTGGTACTGAGAATGGGGACTGACCATAACAAACACCCGAAAATGAAGCAGCTTTGAAACTAGGTAATGGGTGGAGGCTGAAAGAATTTGGAGGGGCAAGCTAGAAAAAGCCTAGATTGCCGTAAGTGGAGCATTCAAAGCAATGCTGGTGAGGGCTCAGAAAAAGACAAGTGCCGTATGGAGAGCATAAATCTTCTCAGGGATTCCTTAAGTGCCATGACCAGAATGTGGTAGAAATATGAATGGTAAAGGCCATTCTGATGAGGTTTCAAACAGAAATGAGGAACAAGGTATTAAAAACTGGAGTAAATGTCATCCTTGTTATAAAGTTGCAAAGAACTTTTCAATTTATGTCCATGTCTTAAGACTTTGTGGAAGGCAGAATTTAATAGCAATGAACTAGGATATCTGTCAAAAGAAATATCTAAGCAGCATAATATTCAAAGTGCTGCATAATATTCAAGCAGCATAATATTCCTTTGGCCACTTATAATAAAATGAGAGAAGGCAATTTTTAAATGAAATTTATAATTAAAAGGAACATACAACATAAAGGTTTGGGAAACTCTCAGCCCAGCCATGTAAAGAAGAGAAAAGCTGTCCAGGAAAGAATACTAAAGGTGTGGCCAATCAACTGTTTGCTAAGAGATTAATACGGATAGAAGGAAGCCAGAGTCTATTCATCAAGATGATGGGAGAATGACCCTGATGGCACTTTGGAGATTACTGTTGTCACCTTCTTTCATCACAGGTCCAGAGTGCCAAGTCCTGGGAGAAGGAAATATGTCAAAAGAAAGGACCAGGGCATCCTTGGGAACTTGGGGCTAGTTTCCCAGTGTTGTCCTCAAGTCTTTGCTCTCCATATTCTATGGCAGCACTCCTTAGTTATACCAGGTATGGCTCAAGGGACTCAAGTGTGGCTCAGGCCAAAACTTCAGGAGGTATGTAAACTAAAAATAAAATTCTAAGCCCCCCAACTGATGGAACAGACCATCTCTTGGCAAAGGGGACCCCAAAGTAACCTTGAAAACTGAATTATTGGCCACGATAGGAGGGAGGCTCAGACACACCTCTTGTAACACCCACTCCCTCGCTAACCACAATGAGGTTTTCTTTCCTCAAGGCTTTACAGCTCTTTCAAAAGACTCCACCACTGATATCAACCAACTACCTGATGCTGCCCCTCCTTTTTTGCCTAAGAGACCACCAACCACGGAGTGGTTCTGACCAGTCTACAGAGAATGCACAGTAAGGGTTTCTGTGCCCTCTGCTACGGCTTTTGAGGTCAGAGGGCCAAAAACTCCACCCTTGGATTATGCTAAGGCTGCCAGTTTTTGAACATGGGACCCTTGAAGGGACATGAAGCTCAACTGTGCATGCTCATGTTTCTCCTTTCATAAATATTCATAACTTCTCCTGTAGCTTATTGAATATATATATTCAGCCACCTCACTTAGCATACACTTTTGTTCTTTTTGTCCCTCTCTCAAAGTATCTGTTTTGGGCTTCTGGCAGGTGGCTTCCCTTTCCAGTCTGTCAGAATGGCCACTCTGCTGGCTGCAACCCTTTATGAGAAATAAAGTTCTTCATTTCAAATTTATGAACCTCATCATTCTACAGTTGACAGGTGCAGGCAGCAAATCTTGGCAGCATCCACATGGTGTTAATTCTGCAGGTGTGCAGAATGCAGAAGCTGTGGGGCCACAGCAGCATCCACCTACATTTCAAAGGACACGTGGGACAGCCTGGGGACCAACACAGAGACTTGTCACAGGAATGGAGCCACCAAAGAGAGCCTCCACTAGGGTAATTCCGAGTAGAGTCATGACAGTGAGGCAACGCCTGAGACCCCAGAACTGTAGGGCCACCAGCTTGCAACTCAAGCTGCAGGCACAAGCCTCCAACCTGTCAGAGCTACTGGGTTGAGTGAGCCCAACAAAGATATAGGGCAGGGCTTCCTGAGACCTTGGAGGTCCAACCCCCACCCCAGTGTGCCAAAGGTGTGGGACATGGAATCAAAGGAGATTATCCTCTGGCTTTAAGACTAAATGTTATTTTTCCTGTTGGGTTTTAGACTTACTCAGGAGCAGGTACCCCTTTTTTTCTTGCCTTCTTTTCCCTCTTGGAAAGGGAATGTCTATCCTATACCTGTCCCATCATTATATTTTGGAAGTACATATTCTTTTGATTTCACATGCTCACAACTGGAAGGAACTTGCCTCAGGGTGAATCATGCCTTGAATCTTCCCCATTTCTGATTTATATGACAGTTTGTACTTTGAACTTTTGAGTTGATGCTGGAATGAGTTAAGACTTTCAAGACTATTGGGATAAAATGGATGTATTTTACATTGTGAGAAGAACAGGAATTTGGGGGGTCCAGAGGCAGAATGCTATGGTTTGAATGTGTCCTCCAGAAAAGCACCTGTTGGAAACTTAATCCCCAATGCAACAGTATTGAGAGGTGGGCCTTTAAGAGGTGATTAGGTCATGAGGACTCTGCCCTCATGAATGGATTAATGTCATTATCATGGGTGTGGGTTTATTATCATGAGAGGGTTTGTTATAAAAGGACGTTTGGCCCCCTCTTCCTCTCTCATGCTCTCTTGCCCTTCTGCCATGAGATGATGCAGCCCCACCAGCTAGAACTTCTCAGCCTCCAGAACCATGAACCAAATAAATTTATTTTCTTTATAAATTACCCCATCTGTGTTACTCCATTAGAGCAGCACAAAACAGACTAAGACAAAAACAAGTTAGCCAGATGTGATAATAGGTGCCTGCAGTCCCAACTACTTGGGAGGCTGAGGTGGGAGGATCTCTTGAGCCCAGGAGTTTGAAGCTGCAGTAAGCTGTGATTGCACCACTGCACTCCAGCCTGGAAGCAAGAGCAAGACCCTGTCTCTAAAAAAATAAATAAATAGACTAAGGGAATGGTAGTAGGAGAGAAGGATGGGAACCTTTTCTGTACCTCAATGATATGTTTTACTAAGTATTGTGAACTTCAAGCCAGTAAGTGGATTTTTAAGTGGGGAAGGGATGTGAGGCAAATTGTTTTTTTAAGATCTTCTGGCAGAAGGTGAAGGATGGACTAGAAGAGGAGAAAGATCAAAGTCAGGGAAACCAAGTAAGAGACCACTGCTATCCTTCAGGCAAAGGACACTGAGAGGCTGAGTGAAAGCAATGTCATACAGAGGGGAAAGATAAATTCAAGAGATATTAGGAGACAAAATGGACAGGCCTTGGTGCTGAACTAGAAGTAGTGGGAAATAAGAACTAGGCAGAATTAATGTGACTCCTTGGTTCCTAGCATGGGAAACTAGGTGGATGGTGCCATTGACCAAGGAGAAGCATATGAGAAGAAGAAAAAAATGAAATGTGATGACTTGTGTCTAGGAAGGGTTGAAAACACAGTTCTGGAGCTTCAGAAAGAGAAGTCTGGGCTGGAAAGAAAGATTTTTGATCTGACATAGTAGTTAAGGCCATTGGGAATCAATGAGTTAATCAAGGGAGTTGCTACTTGCAAGGCCAAAATTACTTATTTTCGAACAGAAACTTGGAGAACTCCAAGAGAAAACTAGAGGAAGAGGAGCTCATAAAAGACATCAAGAAAGAATAGTCCAAGAAACAACAATCAGAGCTGACATTTTTGAGCACTCTATTATACTAGGCAATGTTCTGAGTGCTTCTTAGTTTATTTAATCTTTACAACCATATATTATACCTACTATTATTATCCCCATTTTACATATAAGGAAAGTGAGGCACAGGGAGGTTGAGCACCTTGCCCAAGGTCACACAACAAGAAAGTGACAGAACCAGGATTCAAACCTAGACAAGATTCGAATCCAGATCCCTCACTCCCAATCACCCAACTCCATTGCTATGTTAGAAATGTAGAAGGGGTGTATATGACAAAATCCAAGAAAGGAGACAGTTTCAATAAATAGATGGACAAGAAGGCAAATGTCTTAGGGTAAATGAAGCAAACAAACAAAAGAACTGAAAAGAACCCACTGGTTCCATGATTTGACAGGTTGTTGGCCCCTTGGCCACAGCTGTGTTGGTAGAAAAAGTAGCATGACCTAGGCAGGTGGAGCAGTAAGGAGGGAAATGTGGGGATGACCGAGTTAAACATTAAGTGCTGTGAGAGTTCAGGAAAAGACAGGGCTTTCTGGCTGAAGTCATCAGAAAAGCCTGCACTGGGAAAAGGACTCATGAGTGGTGTTTTAAGAAAGGAGAAACAATGTGAGAACTGAAGATCAAATGGTTTCACTGGTGAAAGGTGAGTCAAAAAATTGCTATTGTGATTGAAATCCACCTCTACCCTAGGGCTCCTGTAACTTGCACAAACGTAACTACATATGCTGAGAACAAGAACTACAAATTTCTCTCACATACAAAACAGACTTGTGAAAGTCAGCATTTAAAATCCAAAGTTAAAACAAAAAAGAACTTTCCTACAACACTCCAATGAGTTACAAAGAAATCTTCAACTAACAAATATTTATTTTTAAAAATCGTCCTGAATATTACAAAGGGCATGAAGAAATACAAGGTCCTGCCCTTGAAAAGTTTACAGACAGCCAAGTCCAAACACATGAACTGTTTGCCAACAATTGAGAGCTAAACAAATAGTTTAATAGTAATGCACAATGCTCGGAGCTTACAGAGGACTGTGGTGAGGCCAAGAAAGACAAGGACTGAAAAGGGCCATAGTCTTTGTAAACCAGAAAGCTGCTAGTTACCAGTTCAAGTGCAATGGATATAAAATGAAGGGAGCTTTTGCTTTATGTTGGTCTTTAAGTTAGTGGAGACCTGTGCCTGCTTGCAAGGACAGAGGAAAGAAACGAGGGCACACCAGTCCTGGAGAGAGCAGATCCAGCACTCGGTGCCTAGTGCCCACAGATATTAAATGTCCTGTAACAGGAACAGTCCTGCACACTGAAGAAGTGTTCCACATCCTTCTTTGAAAATTGGTCAGATTTTGGCTGGGCAAGGTAGCTCATGCTTGTAATCCCAGCACTTTGGGAGGCCGAGGTGGGCGGATCATCTGAGATCAGGAGTTCGAGACCAGCCTGGCCAACACGGCAAAACCTTGTCTGTACAAAAATTACAAAAATTAGCCAGGTGTGGTGGTGTGCACCTGTAATCCCAGCTACTTGGGAAGCTGAGGCAGGGTAATCGCTTGAACCTGGGAGGCGGAGGTTGCAGTTAACCGAGATTGGGCCATTGCACTCCAGCCTGGGCAGCAGAGTGAGATCTTGTCTCAAAATAATAACAATTTTTTAAAAAAGAAATTTAGCCAGATTTTAATTTTGCTTCAGTTACTTAGCTGTACCTTTTCCTTAAAGCAAAGAGAAAAGGTTAGCTCCCTCCAAAACTTCTCCAGAAAGAGTATTCCTCACAGGCAGGTTCCTACATTCTAGGAAAGTCATACCAGTTAACTACATAATAAAATCCTTAGTGTAATCCCCTAGGAAAGTAGTATATAAATTTCTGTCTTAAAAGATACCTACCAGATAAAATCCTGAATACTTTAGCTTACATTATAATTTAATTGATAACTCATACTTTATATTAAAATCCATGTTAAGTAAGGTATGAAGACATATTAGTTGTATTCTAATATTTCAAATATTTTGTGAAGAAAATTAAAAATGTATAATCTGCATAGATTCCATTGCAGCACATGGTTTTATTTTGTGATATATAAGTTCCTTATTGATATTTCACACCAAGAGAAACCAAAGAATAAGGTTTTCTCTTTCCAGGCAATCTTCACTTGGACAAGTGTGTAACTCTTAATATTGGATGTGCTCCAAAAAATGCCATGCTTGCTGTGAGGCAGAAAGAACTTGGGCTTTTTCCTTCTCCACAGTATTAACTTATCCTCAAATCCTCAGAAAACTAAAAGTCCCCTTCTCAGATCATATTTCCTATGGCTCTCCCATATCAATGTGTTTCCTAAAGCAACACTAAGCTCAATATTTTGGCCAATGCACTATTATAAAGACACTAGAAACTAAATGCTAAGTTTTACAGAATGTAAGTCAGTAAACGCCAAATGAAAGCAGATCTTCACATGTCATGAACTGAACTACTCTCTACCTGTTCTGGAAAAGAAATGTAATCCAAGAAACTAACATTAGCAGCAACAGGATACGCAAGCTTGTGCATACCAAATACAGGCATGTCTTGTTGTGCTTCAAGTTACTGCATTTTGCTTTTTTGTGTTCTGTGCAGATATTGTGTTTCTTACAAACTGAAAGTTTGTGGCAATCCTGCATTGAGCAAGTCTATCCCCACTATTTTTGCAATAGCATGTGCTCGCTTCGTGTCTCTGTGTCACATTTTGAAAATTCTCACAATGTTTCAAACTTTTTCACTATTATTATATCTGGCATGGTGATCTATGACCAGTAATCTTTGATGTTATTGTCATTGTTTTGGGGTGTCATAAACTGTACCCACAAAATATGGTGAATTGAATAAATGTTATGTGTGTTCTGTCTGCTCCACCATCTGGCCATTCCCTCTTCTCTGCCTCTCTCCTTGGGCCTTTCCTATTCCCTGAGACACAATATTGAAATTAGGCCAATTAATAACCCTACAATGGCCTCTAAGTGTTCAGGTGAAAGGAAGAGTTGCATGTCTCTCACTTCAAATCAAAAGCAAGAAATTATTGAGCTTAGTGAGAAAGGCACATCAAAAGCCAAGATAGCTGAAAGCAGGCCTCTTGTGCCAAACAGTCAAGGTGTGAATGTGAAGGAAAAGTTATTGAAAGAAATTAAAAGTACTTCTCCAGGAACACACGAATGATAAGAAAGTGAAACAGCCTTATTGCTGATACGGAGAAAGTTTGAGTGGTGTGGATAGAAGATCAAACTAGATACAACATTCCCTTAAGCTAAAGCCTAATCCAGAGCAAAGCCCTAACTCTTCCATTGTATGAAGGCTAAGAGAGGTAAAGAAGCTGCAAAAGAAAAGTTGGAAACTATCAGAGGTTGGTTCATGAGGTTTAAGAAGCCATCTCCAGAACATCAAAGTGCAAGGGAAGCAAGTTCTGATGTAGACTCTGCAGCAAGTTATCCAGCCAATCTGGCTAAGATCATTGATGAAGGTGGCTACAGTAAACAACAGATTTTCAGTGTGGACAAAACAACCTTTTTTTGGAAAAAGATGTAATCTAGGACTTTCATAGGTAAGGAGGAGGTGTCAATGCCTAGCTTAAAAGCTTCAAAGGACAGGCTGACTCTCTCATTAGGAACTAATACAGCTGGTGACTTGAAGTTGAAGCCGATGCTCATTTACCATTCCAAAAGTCCTAGGGCCCTTAGGAAGTATGCTAAATCTACTCTGCTTGTGCTCTATAAACAGAACAACAAAGCCTGGATGACAGTACATCTTCCTACAGCATGGTTTACTGAATATCTTAAGGCCATTATTGAGACCTACTGCTCAGAAAACAGATTTCTTTCAAAATATTACTGCTCACTGACAATGTACCTGGTAACCCAAGAGCTCTGATGGAGATGTACAAGGAGATTAATGTTGTTTTTATGCCTGTCAACATAATATTAATTCTGCAGCCCAAGGATCAACGAGTAATTTTGACTTTCAAGTCTTATTATTTAAGAAATGCATTTTGTAAGTACAGTTGCCATAAATAATGATTAATCTGATGGATCTGAGCAAAGTAAACTGAAAATCCTCTGGAAAGAATTCACCATTCTAGATGTCATTAAGGACATTTGTGATTCATGGGAGGTCAAGATAGCAACATTAACAGGAATTTGAAAGAAGTTGATTCCAACCCTCGTGGATGACGTGGATGAGGGTTTGAGGGGTCCAAGGCTTCAGTGAAGGAAATAACTACTGATATGATGGAAACAGCAAGAGAATTAGAATTGGAAGTGGAGCGATAAGATGGGACTGAACTGCTGCAATCTCATGATCAAACTTGAGTGGATGAAGAGTTGCTTATTATGGATGAGCAAAGAAAGTGGTTTCTTGATATGGAAACTACTCCTAGTGAAGATGCTGTGAACGTTGTTGAAAAGACAACAAAAAATTTAGAATATTACATAAACTTAGTTTATAAGGCATAGGCAAAGTTAAGAGGATTGACTCCAGATTTGAAAGAAGTATTACCATGAATAAAATGCTATTTCAAACAGCATCACATGCTACAGAGAAATCTTTCATGAAAGGAAGAGTCAATCAATGCAGCAAACTTCATGACTGTCTTATTTTAAAGAGCCACCCCAACCTTCAGCAACCACCAAACTGATCAGTCAGCAGCCATCAACATCAAGGCAAGACTCTCTACCAGAAAAAAAAAAATTGACTTACTAAAGGCTCAGATGATCCTTAGCATTTTTTGGCAATAAAGTATTTTTAATTAGGTATTTACATTTTTTAGACATAGTGCTATTGTATTCCTAATAGACTACAGTATAATTTAAACATAAATTTTATATGCACTGGAAAACCAAAAACCTCATGTGACTCATTTTATTGCAATATTTCCTTTATTGTGGTGATGTGGAACTGAAATTGTAATATCTTCAAGATATGCCTGTATAAGGTCATTACTTAATCAGTACTTTTTCATCACATTAATAGGACTAACTTTTAGTTCATCTTAACCCCACTACCAACATACACATGTACATGCACTCACAAACACATAACAAACTTTTTTTTTTTTTTTGAGACGGAGTCTTGCTCTGTCACCCAGGCTGGAGTGCAGTGGCCGATCTCGGCTCACTGCAACCTCCACCTCCTGGGTTCACACCATTCTCCTGCCTCAGCCTCCCAAGTAGCTGGGGCTACAGGTGCCCGCCACCATGCCCAGCTAATTTTTTGTATTTTTAGTAGAGACGGGGTTTCACCGTGTTAGCCAGGATGGTCTTGATCTCCTGACCTCGTGATCTGTCTGCCTCGGCCTCCCAAAGTGACATAACAAACTTTTACCTATCTTGTTCACTAGTGCTTTAAGTTCATATTCTGTACTACGTGATAGTTAATTAACTCAGTGATATAACCCAAGTTAATATGACAGTGAGTAGTAATGAGTTTAAAATCTTGATCTTTCCTACCAGCAGCCTATACCTTGATTCAGAACACTGACTCAAAGATGGGAACACAGAAGGCAGTCAGTATACAGAGTTTGGGGCAAGCAGGCCTATTAGCCAAGTTACAAGAAATATACAGTCCCCTGCCTGTGAGTGTGGTGTGTGTGTGTGTGTGTGTGTGTGTGTGTGTGTGTGTGTGTGTACCTGCATGCATCACAGACCTGTCTAGGTATGTGGTCTATACATTTATATTACACATTTGTGAAGAAAAACTCATTTCAGATGAGAATGTACAGAGCACCTAGTAAAACACAGATACTATGCAAAATTCCCCAGATGTGGAATGTGCCTAGCAAAACTCAATTATAATCAGTGATTTATTGCTAGATAGTCTATAATACCAATGCTAGACTAAATCCACTGTACAATTCTCTGTCATGAGCTCACACCAGGTTATGTTCTGCCAATTCAGTTACACCTAACTGCAATATTTTTTTTAAAAGAACCACAGTGGTGCTTTCAGTTTTCCTCCATCCTTAAGATCCCACCTCACTCTGAACAGAAGATATCACTCTCTACTTTGAAATCAACATTTTTCATCAACTGGTCACAGGTTAGGCCTTTGAAACTCTTCCTTTCTGGCTCTGCATCTATTCCCTCCATCCATCTCTTCTCCTTCCTCTTGTGGCCGAATCCCATTCATTCCTAATAGCTGAGGGACTGTGTGCCTACAATAGTCCCTTCTTCTCTGGTGTGTTCAAATCCTCCCTTTTCAGTGTTACCCTCCCCTTCTACCCTGTGCTTGGCACTGGAAATTCTAAGGTGAGTAAGACAGGTCTCTGCCATCAGGAATTCTTAGTCTATCAGAAGAAGCACAGGGCGAAACAGCCAATGCCAGGTAATGAACATTAGAGTAAAGAGAAGAAATGGGGTGACAGGAGAGGGACTAATCCTGCCAGGAGTGGGCAGGGTGAGCTTGCAGAAGGACTTGATAAAGATTTGTTAATTGAGTTTTTTTTTTTTTTAAAAAAAGGACTTCCTTTCTACCCAAATAATGGATTGAATAACATGAGAACCTTATTGCTTGAAGCATTGGATGGACTCTGTTTCAGAATTACTTAAATGCATAGTTGCGCTCTCCCAAGAAAGCAAGGGAGCACTCCCAAAGTCATAAAATAAAGACTCATTGAAAAACAGAGTGATGTCCTACGAAGAATCTTTGCCTGAAGTGTTTTAATGGTCTCAGCAGCCCAGAAGATTGGGTTTAATGGCTACTGAGGGAAGGGGAGACATCTTGCCCATGTGTGGTAAGGAGTTAGAACTAAATAAGGCAGTACCCCCAAAGGGCCATGTCTTTATTCAAATAATGATAATAGAAAAATATGACCAGTAGCCAAAGGAAAAAACAAGAAATGTTTCTGGTCTCAGCCTAAGTCTTTGATGAGTGAGGAAAGAAGGGTTCCCTGGAGCCCTTTAACTGAAAAATTAACATATAAAATGGTTCCATACTGGTAATGCATTTGGGGTTAACTCACAATTACAGGACTCCCCCAGTTAAAGTTTCATTGGACATAGGCTCACCATTCAATATTATGAAACACTTGACAAAACTATCCATCATGAAAAAGACAGTACAAACAACAGGCCCTTTAGAACTTCAAATGATAGACTGATCGAATATTTTGTAAAATAACTATGTTTAAATAAAGATGTTAAAAAATAACTCAAAGCATCAGAAAGGAACAGGCCAACTTGACAAAGAACCAGACAGAACTCCTAAAAATAAAAGTATCGTGTATGAAATTTCACTGGACAAGTTAAAAAGCAAAGAAGAAAAGTGAAAATGTCAGTAATATATTGGAATTTGAATCTTGGAAATTACCCAGAATATAGCACAGAGCTAGAGAAGGTGAAAAATGGGAAAGAGATGCTAAGAAATATGAAACATGCAATTGAAGAGTCCAACATTCTTTTTTTTTTTTTTTTTTTTTTGGGACGGAGTCTTGCTCTGTCACCCAGGCTAGAGAGCAGTGGCGCAATCTCGGCTCACTGCAAACTCTGCCTCCCAGGTTCTCCCCTTTCTCCTGCCTCAGACTCCCAAGTAGCTGGGACTACACGTGCCCGCCACCATGCCTGGCTAATTTTTTATATATTTTTTAGTAGAGACAGGATTTCACCATGTTAGCCAGGATGGTCTCCATCTCCTGACCTCGTGATCCACCCACCTCGGCCTCCCAAAGTGCTAAGATTACAGGCATGAGCCACCGCGCCCAGCCTCCAACATTCTTTTTATAGGAGCAGCAAGAAGGCCAGTATGTCTGCAGCAGAGTGAAGTGGAGAGTAATAGAAGATGAAGACACAGAGGAAAATGAAGGATCTATTATGCAAGGCCTTGTAGGTCCTCCTAAGGACGTTGACTTTTCTTCTGAGTATGCAGAGGATCCATTTGAGGGTTCTGAGCTGAGTGACATAATCTGACAGACACACAAACAGGATCATTCTGACAATAGTCACAGGCAGACTAAGAGGGATCAAGGGTAGATGCAGGAGGATGTGCTTAGATGCAGTTGCCATAATCTAGGGAAGAGATGATGGTGTCTGAGATTTGAGGGTAGCAAAGTGCTGGTGAGAAGTAACTGGCTATATTCTGAAGGGAGAGCCAATAGGATTTCCTGACAATTTGGCAGTGGGATATGAAAGAAAGAGAGACAAAAATCTCCCAAGTTTGACGTCTGAGAAAATAATGAAATTGCCACTAGCAGAGATAGGGAATGACACAGATGGTACAGATTTGGGAAAGGAAACCAGGAATTCTGTTTTGGATGGAAATCAGTAACTCAGTAAGTTTGAGGTGTCCACATGTGGCGAGCTGCCTCCTGGATACCAAGATATACAGATCTGGGCTTTATTCTGCCCACCAAATCCTTTACTGAGGTACTCTCTTGCCAAAGCACACGTAGGAACAAGAAAAGAGGTAAAAAGGAGGAAGATTAGAGACCATTCTCGCCCTTAAGGATGTTGAAATCTGAGAAGGGAAGAAGGGAGGCTTTTCGGCACCTATTGCAGAGCCTGAGCTGGAACAGCAGGTGCTGCCTTGCTCATCTGACACTTGGAAAGGTATCAGCAGCAAAACAAGATGGGGACATTCAAAAACTGGTTCTTAGAAACAAAAACATACTGCCATGTTGACCATCTGGTTCCTGGCTACAGCAGACAAAACACTTAGTGACAACATAAGAAAATGAAACCACATCAACCATTTTGTGAGAAAACCGCCCCCAAACTCTTCCCTTTTACAGTTCAGTTCTCCGGGTAGAATTTGGCCTTCAGGGCTATTTTCTTTGGAAATCATGATTATTTTCCAAAGAAAAACATGTTCAGGTTTTCTAATGGTCAAGGAAGAGGGCTAGACTAAGAACTGGGCGGCCCAAATTACCCCTGGCTCCCTGTGGACCAGCCCAACCCTGCTGTGCCTCGTGACTTGGTTTCTCAATGTGTAAATACTGCCACAGGGAAAAGAATATTTTCCACTGCCTACACACAGAACTTTGTTGAGGGTTAATGAATTAGTGTGTATAAAATACTATGAGCTACTCAAATAAAGGGACAATGAAATTCTATTCTTAGTGTTAAGGACAGAGCAATTTTAACCCTCTTCTTACAAACCCCACTGGAAATTAGACTAAGATACCAGGAGTTCTCTTGCATGGGCCTATGCAGATAAAAGGAGATAATGTGTTAAAGGTCTCTGTGAAGTACAGTTCCAATGTAAGGATATGTAGAAATAATTTCTCAAGATAAAACACAATATTAAACAGGTCAAAAATCATTAAAAACTACCAAGAAGCTGTCACTCTTGTAAGTCTCCACATAAAGGTTAAACATGTTGACCTGTGAACCATAGTTAGGCCAAACTCCTAGTTGTTGTGCAAGCTCAGAGCATGACAAACCCAAGGAGAAAATATGGACTTTTGTTCAAGAGCCATAGAATTGAGCACATTGTAAAAGCTGTCCATGAAAAGAGCTTTGTTGAAGGCGTTATTCCTCATTTTCTAAATGCTGTCCAGCTCCACTAAATGGTGACAATTAACATTGAAGTGAATAGGCCACTGTACAGATTCTATTCATAATCCAAATAGACAGTTTTCCTTGCCCAATGAGATTTTACATTAGTATTCAAACAACCTTTCATTTTGTCTAAATCCTGGCTCAGAACATGCCAAAGACCAGATGAATGCACCATCTGGAGGCAGAATCTCTCCCTGACAGAGCAAGGATGTGCTTAGATTACTGTGAACGTCAGGTTTTCACATGCCTTGACTTTTCATTTCAGAAAAAAAAGGAGTGGTAACTAGAAAATGATCAGACACACAAGGGGTAGAAACAAGCAATGAGCTAAACCTGACACCATGATGAATCTGTATCTGGATGAAAGAGATGACTGAGTTCATTCTGGCAGCATTTCACTGGGTGGGCCAGCATAATTATGCCACTGTGTTCACCTGAGGCAAGAAAAGTCTGATGACTTCCCCAAGGTCAATGAGTTCTAATCCCCATCTGCTAATGACTCATGGTGAATTCCAGATTTCTGGTTCCGTGTTTACTGCACACAGACACTAATCTCCTGACTGGTCCCCCCACTTTCAGACTTTCAGCCCCAGCTCTCTCCAGGCCATGAGGCCCACGACTAAAGATTCAGCTTCTAAAAATGCTGCTCTGGGTGCCTAGCCCACTCCCCTACTGCCAATCTCTCAGTGGCTCCTAGAGAGGAAAGGCCTCTCCCTGTACCTGCCATTTGAGGCTGGTGTTGAGAGCCCCTCGAGTGCCTCAGGCCATGCTTCCTTCCTGGTTTCTCCAGAGCAGACATTTATGGGGTTCTGGTTGTCTGGCATCCTTCCCTTTTTTCTGCTAGCACCTGGATCTCCCTTCTGGGGAAATCCCCCATTGTGAATAGCACTGACAGGAAGTAGGATCCCATTGTCCTTACAGAAGCCAATGGGATTTCATTGTCCCTCTCCCTGCCCCAGTGCAGCCAGGGGCTGGTACATGACTAGGATGCTTAAGCAGGGGTCCACTCTTAAGCAGATAATAACTTAAGCACCCTAACTTAAGGAGAGAAGTTAGGGTGATATTTAGACACCAAAAAGTCTATTTATGTTGTTTGCACCCAAAATGGCTGAAGCACTCTATGACTGAGGCCCCTTTCTTTCATACACCTTTTCTATGCAAACTCATTCTACCCAGGGTGGCCGATTGAGTATCCCTGCATACCACATATACACTTCCACCTCTGTGCTATCTTCCTGGAAAACACAGAGTAGAAGTGCCATGACGGGGGGGAACAGAGGGCAGGAATGCCAAACCTGGTCCAAGGGCTGGAAAGGAGCTGTAGGGGAAGCCCAGAGGAGACTGGATGTTGTGCTTAGTTTTGATGGATGAACACAGTTAGCTAGGCTAAAGGGAAGGACAGATAGGGGCTATAGAGAGGAGGCACATTTCAGCACCTTCCAGCACATGCATGGAGCACAGAGAACATGTGAAACTCTGTGCAGGAGTTGATATTCCTTCCATGTAGCTATGTGCAAGACACAAGGAGGCAGAAGCTGAGACGAGAGACATAAGCAAGGGTCTCCTCACTAGGCACCTTGCATGCTGCACTGAGGACAGGAATCTCCATCCCGAAGTTAAGAGAGCCTTAGAAGAAGCATAAGCATATATCCTCAAACTCCTACCAGAGATCAAACTTCTGCTTTTCCTAATTAGTTTCTTGAAATTACTAATATTCACTCAATATACTCGATATACAGACACCTCCATAAAATACGGTGTAATATTCAGCCAAGACACTTGCTTTGAACTCATTCCAAAATAATTTAATTTTGTATATGTAACCTGAAAATCAACCCCTCACATCGCTGAGCAAAGCAAGAAGTAGAAGTAGCTGCAGTGTGCCCAAGTGTCAGGTGTGGGAAGAACCAAGGCAAGAAACAGTCATGCACACTTGGAGCAGGGCCCCTCACTCTGCCTCTAACTGGATGTGTGGCGCTGGGCAAGTTGTTTAACCTCCTTAAGCCTCAGTTTCCTTATCTGTAAAATAGAGCTATTGACCAACAGCTACAAGACCATTAGGCTGATGATGCCAAATGTATGTAAAGTACCTGATACACATTAACTACACACTGACGGCATCTTTCTTTCCAAGAAGTAGTTCCCTTAACAATGGAAGATGTGTCCCTTGCACCCTGAGGCATCACTGAAAAACCAATGGTCCAGGAATGAGGAGATTTGGGTTCCTCCATCTGCCCGTTTTCTAACTGTGTGATACTGAGAGGTCACTCAACCACTTGAAAGCTCAGTTTCCCCATCTGTAAATTGGGGATAATAATCATTGGCCACTCCTGGACATACAAGGATTAAGTGAGATCTGTGGAAGCTTTAAAGGATTCCAGATGTATAACATATTATTACTGCCAAATATCTGTGTACTTATAAATGACCTTTTCGGAGCAATATTTCTGACACCACCTTTGAATTTCCAGTTCAACCACTTTCCTCATGTCACTCATAAACCTACAAAGACTCTTTATTTCTTATTATGCTTCTCAACTGTTTGGCTTCCAGCCCTCCTGAATGTGGCCCCACCCTGCCTAGCCCCTAATGCTATTTCCTTCTGCTCCCCCAAATGTGCATACCGTGCCCTCTCATGTCCCACACTCATTCCCACTCCTGCTCCTTTGCTCATGCTGGTGCTCCTGCCCAAAATCCCACAGACCCTCTCTCTCTATGAATAGCTAAATCCTAAAACCTGCCTCACTTCACTTCCTCCATGAAGCCCTCTCTGATGAGTCTATAGCAGTAAGAATTTTCTGCTAGTTCTAAACTCCTCATCAGACTTTTAGTTGCCATTATATGACTTGACTAACTTCTCTAATTATTTACTTTCCACTAGTGTGACCTTCTCAACTAGATAATAAGCTTCGTGAGGGAAGAGATCATATTGTCTTTTATATACCCCATTCCCTAGCACTTAAAAATAGTTACAACATAGAGAAGGAGAACATGGACTGGCAGTTCTCAAACCTCTTTGCAACCCCAAAACTTTTATCCTCAATTTATCTCCACAAACCTTTAACAAGCACTTACTCTGCACTTGAGGCCCAACGGAACCAAAATGAGGTAACTTCACAGGTCTCCGAAGCCTGAGAAACAAACAGGTCAATGACAAACAACAGAGCATGGTAGCTGGGCCTAGGATGGTTGTGGCATCAGATTCTGACTCAGACTTGCCATTGACAACCATAGTTAAAACAGAATTGCCTCTCCCCTTGCAAGAATTGAGCCATAAGTTCAGACAAAGATATACTTCACGAGTTATAAGAAAAATGTTGGAAATAGCCTAAAAGTCCCACAATGAGAATAATACAGAAACAGATAATTGTATATATAGTCACTGAATATGATCATTTTTAAAGGGCATTTAATAACATAAAAAAATTAGTAATGTAAAAAGTGAAAAATAAAAGATTTTCAGTGTATACACTAGATGATCTCAATTGTGTTCACAAGAAATAACAACAAGCTGTCATTGACTGCAGGTTTTCTACACACCAGGCCCTATATGTTAGCACTTCACAAAGTAAAAGCAACAAGAATAGCTTGGGAGACATATTAACATTCCCCACAATCTCTACCAGCTTTCCCTAAATAATCAATCTAAGTAAAACAACATGTTTGGTTTCAAAACAAGATCTTCTAATGCAATGATTTTCCCTCCATTATTGCTATCTGGAAAATCTGGAGTTGCTTCAACATAGTGTAAGTATTCTGCACAACAATCCATAAATAATGTTACTATTCCCACTTTATGAATGAGAAAACAGACTGGGGTCCAATGTCACCAGCTAAAACACAGTCGAGCTGGTAAGTAAGCCCAAGTCTATCTCACTCCAGAGCTCATGACCTGGACCACACCTCCAAGAGCATTTTCCATTCCCTTCTTCTTAGGCTCAACCAAACCCAGTGACTGTTAAAACCCCACATATGTAAACAGGTCAGAGCTGAGTTCTCACGAAATCTTACCCAGTTCAAGCCCCCATTCTAATTTTCCTAAATGTCTAAGAACTAATTGTAGCATTTGTCTTTTGAAAGTACTTTGGTCTCTCAGAGTTTCTACTATTAATTCCTCCAAGCACTAGTTGTTGGGACACGTTTACAAAAGCTTTTTCTTTGGATACATCAGAAGGTATTTATAACTTTGGGAGGCTGAGGTGGGTGGATCACTTGAGGCCAGGAGTTCAAGACCAGCCTGACAACATGACAAAACCCTGTCTCTACCAAAAATACAAAAAACGAGCTGGGCATGGTGGCACATGCCTGTGGTCCCAGCTACTTAGGAGGCTGAGGTGGGAGGATCGCTTGAACCCGGGAGGCAAAGGTTGCAGTGAGCCGAGATTGCACCACTGTACTCCAGCCTGGGCAACAGCCTGGGTGATAGGGTGAGACATTGTCAAAAAAAAAAATTAAGAAGAAGGAAGAAGAAGCCTATGTATACAGGTAATTTCCATCATTAGAAAACATCTCTCAGCTGGGCGCGGTGGCTCACACCTGTAATCCCAGCACTTTGTGAGGCCGAGGCTGGCAGATCACGAGATCAGGTGTTCAAGACCAGCCTGGCCAACACAGTGAAACCTCATCTTTACTAAAAATACAAAAATTAGCTGGGTGTGGTGGCATGCGCCTGTAGTCCCAGCTACTCAGGAGGCTGAAGAGGGAGAATCACTTGAACCCAAGAGGCGGAAGTTGCAGTGAGCTGAGACCATGCCATTGCACTCCAGCCTGGGTGACAGAATGAGACTCCGTCTAAAAAAAAAAAAAAAAAAAAAAAAAAGAAAGAAAGAAAACATCTCTCAGGTGATGAACGGGCCAGATTCCAATGCCTATAAGTGGATTACTTGCAGCTCTAAAACAAGCATACACACTACAGTAGACCAGCTTACATGAGCCACTTTAACTCATATCCTGTCCCATGAGTACTGTCCTAAGCAGCATGTTTAGCCGTGTTTCCCAGGAGAATCAGGGTTCCTGTTTAAGAATTCCAAGAACATACTTTCTCCTGACACAACCCTGGCAGTGGGATTACACTTCTCCCTCTCCCCACATACACAGAGCTATGGAAACCAGGACACCCAATCAGGTGAGAAAAAGGACTTGGGCACAGGTTGCCACAGTGTGGGAAGAGGGACTCTGAGGGTCTCCCCTTAATGGTCTGTCCCCACTTTATTGCAGAGGGACGAAGGGCTCGCCCACCAGCCTCCTTTCTTTGCCACCACTCACTGTGCCAGCCCGTCTTTTCTCTGGCTACTTGGGCAATGGAGGAACAGATTTCTGTCCCAGTTTCTCCATTACCCTGCTATTCCTCCTGAAGCAAGCACACACTCCCTTCTGATATTTTTTAGACTCTTTTCCCACTGGTAACAAGTGGCAACATACAACAGAAATAACAAATAAGGGTAAAACAGTATAACTAAATAAAATTAATATGGAACCAAAGAGTAGGTTCAAGTACACAGAACTCACTTTACTCACTAGGAGCATGCCCCTGGGCAAGTAATCTCATGTCTCTGAGCTCCAATTTCGTGATTGATAGAACAAGACAGTCAAACCACCTTATGGCTACAGCTTCTTCATCTTAAAAAGGGCCACAATGAAAGTTTTTCCAATACTCAGAATACAAATGAGTCTGATATTTCTGGCTCCTCCTTGCTCTACCAACAAGGCATGCTTTTTCCCAAAAAGCCTCATCCAAACCCTCCTAGACTCTTTCAATTCTGGATCAGGTGCTCCTTCCAGGGCTCCTGTCCCCCTTCCACTCCCCACCTCTTTCCTACTCACCCTCCACCACAAATAAATATATCAAAAGCCACATGAGTGACATTTAGGAGGCAGGACCATCTAATGTTCAAAAAGCCAAGATTTAGATTCAGATGTGCAGGTCAATCTGTTTAGCAACTCAGCTTATGACTCTAGGCAAGCTACTTAATCTGTCTTTATCTATACAATGGGGATCATACATAATAATGCCTATTTCATAAGACAGTTGTAAGGATAAATGAGTAACACACATAAAGACCTTAGCAAGAACCTGGCACATACACACATTATAACACCATTATCATGGTGATGGCAGTGACTGCTATAAATCTTATTTTCCTGAAAGATGGCACTGCCTGATTGAAGTGAGATTACTCCCCAGAGGTTGGCCAACCTAGGAAATTCATCCCGAGAACCATTCATGGAAAGGAGAAGTGAAGTTTCTGTTTGCAGGGAGAATGAGAGACAGGATGAGTGGTGTGGGAAGCTGTTAATGAAGAGGAGGAGGAAGAGGTGCAGTCCTATTCATTTATCCTTCCTCTTAGCCCTCACCTCACTGCTCTTCATTCTTGAGAGAAGGGCTGTGATATCTCAGGGGCCAGCCCAGGAAAGGTATTCCTGTAGCCACCTGACTGCAATGATGCAAGGCCAGGCATGTGAGAGACAGAAACAGCCTGTAACTTCTAGAATTTACCTTGTTTAGGGAACATTCAGCCCTCCATTTCATTTAATGAGAATCTGCATTCATGATTCATTTAATTCCAGAAATCATTGATAAGTTTTGCTGACTTGTTGACTTCTGGTAATACTGTTTCACATGTAAAATATTATCCTCTGCCTCTGTCTTCTGACATTAATAGATTTATAATAATATTTCCTAGAAATGGCATATTTCCCAAAGGACAGAACAGGAACTGACAGTATAAGGGTTCCACATAAACAACTCGATCTTGATCTTTTATAGTACAGAAACACCCTCCACAGAAGCAACATTCAATATTTCATGGAAAATATGGATTTCCCAGACACTGGACATATTGTTTTCTGAAACATGATTTGTGGAAACAGAGACCTGCCATTATATTCCAATGTGAATGTCAACCAAAAGCATCTCTGAATGTAAGTTAATGGCAAGTATACTAAATAGAATCAAAGTAAATCCATCCCCCCAAGAATAATATTAGAACTTTTTTATATACTTGCTTTTATTCTTAAAATATTACAACTTTTGATGGATAAGAGTCAAAACATTTGCCTAAGAATAACAAAAATAGCTGAGCAATTTTATAAAAGCTTCACTCAATTAATTCAATCATTCACTCAACTAAAATGTATCAATGTACTGATTAACAGGCAAAGATCTCAAGAAAAGATGATGCAATCTTTGCCTTTCAGATGTTTGATCCAGACTAAAACAGATCATTACATGCACATGTCCTGGGCAACATCAAGTAGTAGGATCAAATTGGGACAGGTAGGAGTAGAGAGTAATTAAGAGAAGATATGACAGAGACTACTGGTTGACCCTCAATATCAATTCTCCCCTTCATTTTATGGCAGGCTCCCTCAACTTTAGCAGGGTGCCTGGCTAACCAGCTAAAGCTGTTCTGTCCAATATGGTAGCCACTTGCCACATGTGGCTACTGAGCTCTTGAAATGTGGCTAGTCCTACATATTGAAATAACAATATTTTAGATATAGTAGGTTAAAAATACTGGATTACTTTCACCTACCACTTTTGACTTTTTAATATGACTACTTGAAAATTTTAAATTATGTGGCTTACATTGTATTAATATTGGACAGCGCTAAGCTAAAGACTACATCACTCAGCATTCCCTGAAGTTAGGTGTGAGTATGTGATGTTTTGGCTAATGAGACTAACACAGATTGAGTATTCCTTATCCAAAATGCTTGGGACAAGAAGTGGTTCAGATTTTGAATTTTTTCAGATTTTTGGAATATTTTCAAATACATAATGAGATATCTTGGGGATAGGACCTAAGTCTAAATATAAAATTTACATTTCACATATGTCTTATATGCATAGCCTAAAGGTAATTGTACACAATATTTTTAATAATTTTATACATAAAATTAAATTTTGACTGCATTTTGACTACAACTCATCACTTGAGGTCAGGTGTGGAATTTTCCTCTTGTGGCATTATGTTAGCCCTCAAAAAGTTTCAGATTGTAGAGCATTTCAGATTTTGGATATTTAGATTAGTCATGCTCAACCTGTATATACAATGTCTGAGTTGGGCTCTTCAAAGGAAGGGGTATGCCCACCACAATGTCCTTCTCTGTTCTTACTGGCAAGACGCAGACAAGTGGTGGTGAGCCAGCTGCCACCACACCAATAAGCATAATGTCCTAGTGATGGCGGGGCAAGAAAATAGAAGGAACATGGTCTCTAGATAGCCTCATAGATGAGCCACTCTACTCTCCAGATGAGTAGGTGTACTGCTTAGACTTTTACTTAAGAGACACATTCCTATCTTATTTAAGCCTCTGTTTAAATCTCTTTAAAGGAACCTAAATTATATTCTAGTTAACCCAGGAGAGTAGAAAAGAAAGATTCCTAAAGAGCAAATACTTTTAAGGAGATCTTAAAGAACAGATGTCAGCCAGGGGAAAGAGAGTGGTTATATTGATCCGAAGGGCCAGAAGCAAGATGAAGAGTGTTTGGGGCAGAGGAGACAACAGAGCAAAGGCAGAAAGCCAAGGACCCACATGATGTGTACAGTGAGCTCTCAGACAGGAGCATGAGCTTGGAGACAGGGAGCACAGAAAGATGGAGAGCGGGAACACCAAGGAACATGCTGCAAAAAAGCAGGTCAAATCCTAGAAAATCTTGATTGGTGGCTGGAGAACCTTGAACTTTTTTTGTGTAGGAATAGGGAGGTACTGAGGATCCTACTCAAGGAGGGAACAGCCAAATCTCTTTTCAGATGGATCATGCTGGCACCAGTGAAGACAGATTTTCAGGAGGCCAGATTGAAGTCAAGGAGAATAGCACCAATCCAGACACTATATAATCAGGGTCTGCGTTGCAGCAATACAGCATGAAGAGGATGTGTCAGAATTAAAGCCTGTGCAACAGGTAAAATCATCCCAGGGAATAAAGAAGAGGGAGATGTAAAAACAGACTTTTGGGTATCTGGCTTAGAAGAGAGTGCCAACATCCAGGGCAGGGAAGGCAGGAGGGGGAGCCATTTCTGGTGCAGCAGGGAAGTGGGGTGCAGTTTCAGACACTGGGCCTAAGATGTCAGCCTTTGTGCCAAATCATGTCATTAACAGATTCCCCTCACCCAGTGCTTAAGTATGGTACCAGAATCATATCAAAGATGTAGATTTCAAGTGGGCATTTATGTAGTTACCCACTGACCACAGATATGGACATCCAAACCAAGAGGAAGGGGAGGAGGGGGGAAAGGAAAGGAGGGGAAATTAATCAAAATCACAAGAATTTAAAGACACTGCTGAAACTCTCCAGGCTCTCAGAAAAAAAAAAGTGGGAAAATAGAAATGCACAAGACCTCTAGGGGAAATGGAGAATAAAAGAGTTAAAGCTATTACAAGAATTTAAAACTTTTGTTCAAAATGGTTCTTTCTTAACCTCTGCATTAATTTTGTTAGTAATAATAACACATCCCAACTAGCTTACAATACTTCATTTTCTCTAGTTCAGTATCATGTTTTCTGAGGAAGGGTCAGACATATCAAGATATAATCCCATTTAAGTTTTATTCAAAATTAAAATTAGTCAAGGGAGATGGAAATTCATAGTGAGTAATTTCTTATTACTCTAAACTATCAGAGTATGGTATTTTCTCAGAACTTACATACTCATTTTGGCTATTTTTTAGGAAACAATCTGAGAAGAAATTTCATCATTTCTGAATTTTGAAAAATGCCAGTGATTGGAAACCCTAACAACCTAATTATGTAAATACTTTTTAAAAATATGACCCTGAGAAGCCAGATACAGTACACGTCTGCAGTCCCAGCTACTAGAAAGACAGAGGTGGAAGGATTGCTTAAGCTCAGGAGTATGAGACCAGCCTAGGCAAATAGTAAGACCATATCTCTAAAAACAAACAAACAAACAAACAAACAACTTAATAATTTGATTTTTTTAAATGACCCTAACCAAGTTGCTTAAATTCTCTGAACTCCAATTTCCAGATATTTAAAACGATCAAATCTGACCTACCTTCCTACCTCCCAGAATTGTTGAGGATTGAATGAAATGTTAATAGGAGCCCTCTAAAAACTATAAAAAGATATACAAATTTTATTTTCTTACACAGAAGAAACTCCGCAAAACTACTAAAATCTCTTTCTTGTACAGAGAAGCAAACTAATGGATAGAAGGAAAGCAATAGCAATAATTAACCATGATTTCCATAGAAAATCTTCCTAAGCAAAAAATAAACTGTATCAGTGGAGTTTAATACAGATTCCCAGCTCCCACCTGCCAGAGATTCTAATTCAACTGGTCTCAGTGCCCAGGGATTTGTAATTCAAAGACCTCTCCAGGTGGTTCTAATGACTAGCAACAGAAGCTAGCCAGGTTTGTGCAGGGAGGAGACAGGCAAGAGAAAAATAAATGATAAGCAAAAGGAAAGTAAATGCAAAGGCAGAAAATCAGGCAGCAGTGTATGTTCAAGGAGCTCCTGGGAGATCTATTTGGCAGGAGGCAGGGCCAGAGAGGAATACAGGAGCCAGAGCCTGAAGGGTCATGAGGACTGAAGATTATCAGGGCTAGTGAGGGACTGAAAGTGGAAAACGGACATGCTCAGGTTTGCATTTTAGAAACTTCGTGCTGACAGCAGAGTGGAGTATGGATGGTGCTGGGGGAGCAGAGGTGGATGCAAACAGGTAGACGAGAGCATGGAAACACAGACTATAGCCAGGAAATCATCACAATAACCCAGAGAAATGGTAAAATCTGAAATATAGGTGAACATAGGTGAGGAAGAATTCCACAGAAATTAACTCAGGGTCTGCTAGTTTAAATGCTTGTCTATAAGACAGACTCTCACTAACTGTGCAGATAATACATCATGGGAGACACAAGAGCTACATACTGAGTGGTCCTAGCAGTGGCACACCTAGTGCATCTGATGCTGTCTATAAGACAGACTCTCACTAACTGTGCAGATAATACATCATGGGAGACACAAGAGCTACATACTGAGTGGTCCTAGCAGTGGCACACCTAGTGCATCTGATGCTGTCTATAAGACAGACTCTCACTAACTGTGCAGATAATACATCATGGGAGACACAAGAGCTACATACTGAGTGGTCCTAGCAGTGGCACACCTAGTGCATCTGATGCTCAAATAGGCAGGTCATTTAACATTCCCCACATCTAGATGACAAAGATATTTCCAGTGATAATCTCAAAATAAAATGCATGGTAATCGTGACCAGAAAAGGAATGCAGTGAATTTTTTTTTTTTTTTTTTGAGACAGGGCCTCACCCTTTTTCCCAGGCTGGAGTGCAGTGGCACAATCTCAGCTCACTGCAGCCTTGGCCTCCTGGGTGCAAGCGATCCTCACATCTCAGCCTCCTGAGTAGCTGGGACTACAGGTGCACACCACCACGCTGGGTTGATTTTTGCATTTTTTGTAAAGATGGAGTTTTGCCATGTTGCCCAAGCTGGTCTCGAACTCCTGTGTTCAAGCGATCCGCCTGCCTTGGCCTCTCAGAGTGCTAGGATTACAGGCGTGAGCCACCATGCCCAGCCCAAATTTTTACTTTATTGAACTGCATACTATATATAATTGTGCCAATAAAAAAATAAAGCAAATATAAATAAAACTATTAAATGTCTTCCAAAAATATAATGAAGGCAACCACTAAATTGCACTAGTTATGTAATGTTTTCTTTTCTTCATTCATTTTTCAGTTTTTAGAAATTGAATTTCAGTTTAAAAGATATTCAAATTCAATAAATTATTTGAAGTATAAAATGTTCACTTATGAAACTAAAATATTATAACTCACAGCTCTCATTCTGTTTCACTGCTTAACATTTTAAACACAAAAACTCCAAGTGGTCACACAGAATGACAGATTTAAAGTAACCTAAGCTTTGTTTTGGTCTTTAACATCACCGTGTTACCATTGCTTATTTCAAACCTACCATTTAAATGTACTGTTAAATAATACTATAGAAATCAAACACTTGTTCATGATGTGAATTTGAACTATGCCAAACCTTTGTGAATTTACTCTCAGAACAAATACTCATAGCATGTGTGGGACCCAACTATATAACTGGGAGCTGTCATGGACATAAATTTCATGTCGAATACAACATGTATTAAAGGATAAGTCATTAAAATGTACAAGTTTGAAGTTTACATAGATATTAAAATGTAACAGTGACTGCAGCAATTGTTTAGAACTTAAACCAACAGATTTTTTTTCAGGGAGCAGCCACATGAACAGATATTAGAGCATGATGATAGTAAAAACCAACTAACTAAAATCAGTCTTAAAGTGTTTTTAAATTCTTTGCAGATAATACACCCCTTACTGTCTGTACCCTGGGAGTGAGAGCAGAGGAGTGTGCCCACTGTCCTTGGGATACCACTGGAAAATGAAAAGAACCAAGAAGACGGAATCAAGGCCGATAAAGAACAAGCTCAGTGTGGTAGAACAGAACAAAAAAAAAAATCAGGGTAATCCTTGGGAGTGACCGAATGAGAAGTCACCCTCAGTTCAAAATGCAATGCATTTAAAATGCAAACAGACTCCTGGAATGCATTAAACACACTGGGAACAGAGCACAGGTATCGAGAGGTCAGAATTCTGAGTCAAGACTATTGTGTCTAGTCTGAAGCTTTTCCTCTAAAAAACAACTATGAACTTGGAGAAGTCATAATTGACCAACCAAATAGCCAATTAACTCTAGGGGGAAAGTTAAAAAAACAAAAACAAAACCCTGTTTTACACCTGGAAATATTTAGGATGACAAACTATGCAAATCAGATCCCCAAACACAGACAGATATCTAACATAGACGGTGACAAGTATAAACAATTAAGGCATTTAGTTTCACTATAAAGACAAATCTGCAAATGTAGAGGCAGGAAAAATTTCAGATCAGTTGAGTGGATTGAGTGGAACATAACCTCTTCTGGTCTTTTTCACAGGCGGACAAGCAGGATTCCCCCGCTCCAAGCCTTCTATAGAGGCTGCAAAGGAAAGTGATGAGAGCAAGGGCTTAGAGCCCCACAAACTAGGGATCAATAAACAGGCTACAAACCCCGCAGCAGGTTGCTTAACCTCTCAGCTCCTTAGTTCCCTTATCTGCAAAGCAGGAATAGTAACATTGTTGCAGGAATTCGAGGTAGTAGCATGAGGCTCCAAGCACAGTGCCTAACAAGGAAAAGCAATCGATAAATGGCCATCATCCTCTTCATTATTAATATCAAACTCCAAACTCCAAATGATACAAAGTGATCTTTCCATACCTGATGAAAATGTCACCAGATACTCCCTATAACGCAGCCCTCAAATGCTGCAGGGACTGCTTAGATGGTTGACTAAACCTCGTAAGCTCCATTTATACAACTGCGCAAATATGTTCAGAGGCTTTGCTAATTATGAGAGATCCCTGTCTTCTGTGGTAGGAATACCACTCATCCCCAGAAGACAAGATCCAGATGCGATAATTTTTAAAAATATATTAAAAAGCCATATCCTTCTCAATGAGGCAACAAAAACTCAAGACTCCAAGACAGTCAGTGTACTTAGGCCCTAAACATTTCTGATATGGAGAAGCAACTAATTTTTTTAAGAGTGTTATTGTTATAAATGAACATGACTCCAAATACAGATGAAATGAGCCAAAAAAAAAAAAAAAAGCCTTTCCCCTGCCATTATTTTTTCATTATGCCCACTAATCCAGGAGAAGACAGTCTTTTAGTCACCAGGTTTGAAGGATTAGAAGAGACTAATGCTTGGGGACCCTGAAACTGTCTTTCCTCATGGAAGAGGAAGGCAAGCATTTACAAACCATTTAAACCAATATATGACAGATGTACTTACACAAATCTCTTTGGTGGTAACTCATTTTTCCTGAAAGAGGGATTTGTGGTTAAACAATGCTGTTTCTCAAGTGGTCTTATCCTCTAGCTAAACAATGGAAGAATGTAAGAACAGTGTCTTTGTGACCATGAGTACAGAACCAGGGATTCCTACCAGAACATGGCCACTCATTAGTCCCTCCTTCTACACAACAGCCTCTTTGAGGCTTTCTTCCCCTAATTTGAATTGGCTCCACATTTTTCTTACATGTTACTAAACGCAGAAGTGCTAAATTGACAAAGAGACTTAGGAACTGGCACAGTACCAACTGATTACACTCCCTGCTTTTCCACACACATATTTACAGCAATAGTAAATCTATGTCCTAAATAACTCTCTGCAAATGGAGCTACAGTTTTTGGTTTTATATTTAAATATCATTTAAACTTTTGAAAGTGTTTCCAAAGTTAATTTCTATAACTTCATTTCATCAGCAAACTACCCAGTTTTATCTAAAGGGCTGGTATTATTCCCATTTCATAGATGAGGAAACTGGAAATGCAAAACACTCATCTAAATTAAGCTAGATTTAAACCCTCCTCAAGTTTAATTTTGAGACTCTAAGTAAGAACAGCTGTATTTTAGACAAAACTTGCTAATAAATCCTCAGCTGGCTGGCTTGTAGAGATAATAATTTCTTCTTTTTTGTTTAATTTTTAAAAAATTGTTAACATTAATAATACAGAAGAAAGTTTGGCTTAAACAGAGTATATGATCATTTGCCCTCCACTAGCTTAAACTTCCTTTGGCACTATAAATATCATATCTCTGCCAAACTGGTAGCTAAATGGCATTCTGATGTAAGAAGTATGAAAGATACTTAATAAGGCTGTTTAACTTTCTTAGGGGCTTTTCACATTGTACATGCAACTATTCATATATTGCTTATTGAATCACAGAAGGTGACAGATGAGGAAACTGAGGACTGGAATACCAGTAGCACTTATGGGATTATGTCCAGGTACCTGTCTGATCCCTTCAAGAGAAAAGCAGAGAAGAATCAAAGGAAGAGAGTTGAGACAAAGAGCAGGAGCCCAGATAAGAAATGTCCACCCCAGGCCTAGCTTACCATCCTCTACTCTATTCTAGTGGTCACAACATTATAGTACTAATGTCCCATACCTGTCATTTTCAAGAATGCTAGCTATTTCCCGTATGTGCATCTCATTTTAACCATATTCTGGTTTAGACATTCATCTGCGTTAAGAATATAAAAAGCAACACTTACTACAGTATTGACATTTATAAAGCCACTGATTGATTTGCCAATACACAGTATTCATTTTTATACAATTTGTTATTTCTAAATAAGAAAATGAAAAAGCACAAATGTGAAAAAGCATACCACTAATCTGAATAGCAGGAATGCCTCTAATTGCATAAATGTCAACCCCCAACACGTCTTCTTCAAATCTATTTATAGACTTCAGTTTTACATGGGATACACTATAGTTATATGACTTTAAATGTCTAGTGATATAAGGCTTACTATGCTATGTAGTCCTACATTACAAGCAAAGGAAGACTTCTGGTAGAAGAAACCACTTATTTTTCATTATTAGAAATTATCTATTGTATACTTGTACTCAAACTGCAATAATCCTATGTTCAATAAAGAGACTATGGCTAACAATTCACTGATAAAATCAATAAAATATAAAATTTATAGAAATGGTAAAATGTATATAAATTTATAGTTATGGTGTGCATATATATGTATACATACACACATTTTTTTACTAGCCAAAATATACTGACCCAAATATCCAAAAACAAACATATGAATGTTCTCAACAGCTGCACAAGTTACTGAGCTAATTACAAATGTCTCTCTGTACATATCTGTATAATTTTTTGATTTAGAAAAAGATGATTTCTAATTTGTTTTATTTCAAGATAGCTCATGCTCATTGTAAAAAAAAGGATGTATATATATTATATATATATATATATGTAATAGAAAATGAAAATCCTCCCTAATCTCTCAAGAGGTGACTGAATGAACAATACTTCATGTAAGTTTGGCCTTAAGACATGGTACATTTGAAAACCTACTTTGTAAAAATCCTACGTGCTAGGGCCATGAAGATCTTCCTACCAGAAAAAGGCATTAGGCTGGACATCAGCCTCCAAAACAGCTGCTCATTCTCTCTTCCCTGTAAGAAGCCTTAGATTTGCATACAAACACTAGCTACAAGCGCCAGCTACTCTAAAGAAGGGAAAAAAGGAAAAAGAACTGTGCAAATATATCAGTGGGGAAATCAACCACATATTTGGAATTCTATAGAAAAAAGTTAACAACAAGAAGAAAACAGGCACCTGGCAGGAAAAAATGTTAAGGAAATTATTGAGACGTGATACACTTCCTATCAAAACAACACATGAGGTGGTGATTCATTCGATTAGTATTTTCTAAATACTGTGCAATTTTAAATGTTCCATAAGTTCAGTGGTATTCAACTGTGGCAGAGAAGGATTTTATGTTTTTTAATTTTAGGTACTAATCAGTTCAAATCACCCTGTACCCCAAAATAAATAAAAACCAGTATGTACTCACTATATTCACAACAGTATTCTTTAACGTCACAAAGGCAAGATAATGCACTATAATTTACTTTCCCTAGTTTAGTTTTGGCTTAAGCTGTGGTCTTCAATGTAACTCAAAGTTGTAGGATACTTGGCCCTGGACTAGAGGCCTCTCCTCAAACAATTGAAACATTAGAATCAATTTGCTATTGACATATCAAGAACAACATCAAGACCTTTATCAAACATTTCCAGGATTCTATAAAATTGTTTCAATTCTCAAGTATCTACAGTTATAAAAATAGATTCACACATGTATAACTAAGTTTTTCCATACAAAGTTAAGATGTAAAGTCATGGCAAGCATATTGCCACAATAAAACAAACTGGAATATAAAGGAATCATCTTTTCTGTTTGATAATATTTGAGTTTCCCTCCCACCAAATAGCTACAGTAAATATTTATTTATAAGCCCAACTTTGAAAGGGTTTTAAAAAATTATTAGCAGCAAGTAATTATGTATGTTCAAAAAATAATAGTTTTAAAGCAAGTGCTACAGTTTGTGGTTGCATTCTAACGTCTGAAAGATAATCACTCCAATTACAGATTTTAATTAAAACATCAATTTCTTAAATTCACTTGTTTCTATAACATCACTGGAGCAGATGCATATTTACAATATACATTACATTTAGAACACCATAACAGGAAAGAAGAA
Organism: Homo sapiens; assembly: GCF_000001405.40. NCBI lineage: Eukaryota > Metazoa > Chordata > Mammalia > Primates > Hominidae > Homo > Homo sapiens. The sequence goes on along the minus strand of NC_000005.10, from coordinate 73,637,936 downwards.
AAAAAAAACTAAACAATACTTTGATCTCTATTATACCAGGTACGGCTCCCAGAAAATTGCCTTTGCTCAGGCTGCTGAGAGCACGCTGGTCCATTGCTTCTCCATATCACAATGTATTTACTGGCTTTTATGGCAGCTAATTTGTCAGCATTGAGAGCTCCTCAAGAGCTACCTCTAAGCTTCTTATCTCTGAACCTCCAGCATGCAGCATATGTCTGCCTTACAGCAATTACTAGCTAAACCCAACTCAATAAAGGCTCAAAAAATCAAATAACACTCCCAAAACTCCCTGAAGTAAAAAAGCTTTGGAAAGAACTCCTAAATGATAAGAGGGCTTAGAGCCCCTACACTCAGCAAGTAAAATCCCAAATAGAATAAATCCATTGTCCAAATCACCAATATAATAAAATATCTTTATCTTGAGGCTCTGTGAAAAGTGGAAGGATGTCATGCTTTAAAATACTACCTTTTTATAAGCACAAGTGTGTTTTCTTTCATACCACTAGGTAGGAACTACATAAAATACTAGAGGTTTTACAGATTTGCTATCTCTTTTTGAGGAAAAAAATTGTGAGACTAAACAGAAGGAAAATCCCTAAGTTTCTTGAGAGAAGGAGGAGAGGTAGAGAAAGATGGGAGCGGGGTTAGGGGAAGGGAGAGAGGGGATGGAACCATTATATAAGTTCTTATTTTAGCTAAAAACTGATAGTTATCAAAAAGGCCATACATTTCAGAGCATATTCTCCACCCAGCCTCACTGGGGTTAGGTACATTAAGTTCAATATGTTAAAATGAAATTAATACCCATTTTCATTCATCCTAAAATTCAATTAAAAATAATTACTTGATTATTACTGGCTGATTCCACCTCACTGCTCATGAAGTATTCTGACAACAATAACATGAGCTGCCATGACAGGGTAATCTCAAAGTATTTGCAACCATTTCTCCCCATAAAGATGCAACACTGAAGCACCATCTTCAAACTCAACTTCCTGAACAATCTAGATGTTGCCAGTCAAGTGTCTGAAAGCACTCTGGGAGCCAAGCGTGATGCTCGTAATGTGAGGGAGGCTTAAGACACCATCCTTACCTCCACAGAAACATAGAACTTGACAGATGGAACACACCGTGGAGATGGTCTGACCCTGGCCCCTTGGGTTTCAGATGAGGTCACCAGAGCCGAGAAAGGTGATATGACCCACCCTATATATCAGTGGCAATGCTAAGACTTCAACCCAAATCTACTTCTGGTCCAACCTTTGCTACATTCAGACTGACAATCTTTTTAAAACCTTCATCTTGCACACACTCTACTACCCCACTATGATGAATGGTGTGAACCACCAGCAATCACTTCCAACTCACACTAAAGAGACTGTTTTTCAATGAATTGAACATCAAACATCTCTCTACTTCTAATTTCTTCTGCTGCTGTCCACAAAGGTGCAACACAGCTGATGAAGATAAAGCTTCCTACCATAAATGTGAGAGGGGAAAAAAACTTACTCTTTATTTTTAATACGAAAAAACCTCTAATAAACAATATCCAAATTACTGTTAACATTCATGTCAAGATGTAGTTTCTTTAAACTGTTCTTGGTAAAGTTGAATTTTCTCTAGCTCAGCCCTACCATTGTGAGACAAGCATGCCAAGTGAAAAGTTAATTTGGGACTTTCTGTAGATACGAAGAAGATAACCTAGAGGGTTCATTTTTATTGTAACAACCTAAGTTATCTATAGTTGAAATCTTAAGCACCTTTTTATTAACACTAAAACATTTTTACAAGAAGACTAAAAATCAAAGGACATAAGACCTTTGTCTCATAATAAACAAATTTCTGTCCAAGTTGGAACTTTTCTAACTAAACATCAAGGAGTCCTTGATACTGTTTTATTGTCAGTGAGCAAGATATCAATATTTCTGGTGATCAAATGGGAGAAGAAACAATATACATGTATTTTATATAACAGTTACATATGTCAGGAAACATAGAACTTAAGAGAAATACTTCTATTTCACTCCCCCTTAAAAATCCGTCAGTTAAAACCCTATTAAAGCATTGGCAATGCGTTTTGTGCATTGTTCTTTTTCTCCAAGAATAGGAATGGCCAGCTGAATCCTGCTACATCTCTAGGGGCTGTGATAACTGCTATAAAAGCAACTTCCAGAAATCCATTCCTGAAGTTTTTGACAAGTTGCAAAGTTGACAACTCCGTGAAAGACAACACTTACATTAGATGAGCTGATTCTTATACCTAAATGTGGGTTTCTGATAATAAAAAAGGAGACAGGTTATTCCACAGAGTGATAAACCTGGACTTTAATTTCCCTACTACACTACCATATCCAAATTCCATCTCCACCAAGCTTTATAAATAGCCAATGAAATCACTACCTAAAGAAATCATCACAGTTTATAGAAACAACCAAAGTCCTTCTATTTGGAAAAGACATTGATTCTTGGAGATATGAAGAGATTACTTTCAATGAGCTCAAGACTAAAGCCAGGTCTCCTGATTCCTAGGTGTGTGCTATTTTCCACTCATACATAAATGATAAAAAAAAAATGGCTTTCTTTCTTTTTTTTGAGATGGAGTTTCACTATTGTTGCCCAGGCTGGAGTGCAATGACGCGATCTCGGCCCACTTGCTACCTCCGCCCCCTGGGTTCAAGCGATTCTCCTGCCTTAGCCTCCCGAGTAGCTGGGACTATAGGCATGTGCCACCATGCCTGGATAATTTTGTATTTTTAGTAGAGACGGGGTTTATCCATGTTGGTCAGACTGGTCTCGCACTCTCCACCTCAGGTGATCCACCTGCCTCGGGCTCCCAAAGTGCTGGGATTACAAGCGTGAGCCACTGCACCCGGCCCATGAATGGCTTTCTTTTTACTCTCTTCCCTGGCCCTTTGCAAGAACAAACATGAGGGAGTCATGCTCTTTAGAATTGTATCAGACAGTCTAAAGGCCCAAATAACCTGAGGTTTCCTAAAAATCTAAGGATACTAAAATTTTTATTTCAACTATTTTTAAAACCAGAATGTCAAGAAAGGAATAGGTTGGCTTGGGGCTGGTGATAGAGCATAGAAGACTGATCAAGAAAAGAGATTTCCTCCATGTCTATTTGTATTTTGTCTCCTTTTAGAAAGGAATGATTTTTTAATTAAAAAGGAGAGAAAGAACATCTCTAAGTGAGAAAGTCCATTGTAAGAGAGCATCAAGCTGGTCTGAATCAGTTCCAGGCTGCTGGACATGCCAGGATAGTAAAGAATCTGATGAGATTTCCTAACCATAATCCATCAGGAACTGTGGACAATGACAGAGGGATTCGATACAGGAGACAAGCACATGTCATTCCAACTTTCAAAACGGCAGATTCTACAAATTATAGACAGAAGGCATTTCATGTTGATCCTAGATTAAGATTCTAGAGCAGATTATTAAAAGTGTGGTGTATGAGGACCTCGAAGAAAAAGCAGTGGCATTTTGGAGCCAGTGTGTGCTCCCAAAGAATAAGTCACTTGAGAATAACCCCATTTTATTATGTGGTGATAATTTACCAGACTGTTAGACAAAGAGATATAATAGACACAGTATATATCTTTATGAGGAGATGGGGGATTAAGAACCAGATGCTGATACAAATAAGTAGTAATTAGTTGAACAAGCCTACTTGAAATTGATAAACATCAACCTGAACTGAAGTTTGCATAGACACATCAAATGGCTCTGCCCTAGATTTCAGCCTAAATAACACTTTTATTGTTTCCTCAGGCATTGAATAAATGTTTATCAAACCTATGGATACCTTGAGACTAAAAGGGGTAGTGAATATGAAAAATGTATAAACACTCTAAAAGACTAGGAAAAAATGGTCAAATACAGGAAAATAAATTCAAGAAAGATAAATATTAAGATTATTCATAAGACTAAAAACCCAATTGCACAATTCCATGAATGAGGATATATGGCTCCATAGCAACATACATAAAAAGAAACTAATTTTGAGATGACTATGAACGTGGAAACTCAACAGTACAGTTAAGAAATACTTTTAGGCCAGGCATGGTGGCTCATGCCTGTAACCCCAGCACGTTGGGAGGCCAACGGGGGTAGATCACCTGAGATCAGGAGTTCGAGACCAGCCTGGCCAACATGGTGAAACTCCGTCTCTACTAAAAATATAAAAATTAGCTGGGCATGGTGGCATGCACCCCTAATCCCAGCTATTTAGGAGGCTGAGACGGGAGAATTGCTTGAACCCAGGAGGCGGAGGTTGCAGTGAGCTGAGATCACACCACTGCACTCCAGCCTGGGTGATGGAACGAGACTCTGTCTCAAAAAAAAAAAAAAAAAAAAAAAATTAAAGGTATTGTTTATTGAGGAGTTATTCTCTTAGGTTCTGTGCTAAACACTTTATATAGACTATCTTATTGAGTCCTTTTTACAATCTTATGAGAGAAATAGACAAAAACTGAGGCTAAAAGTTTAGGTGACTTGGCCAAGACAAGCTAGAAGCAGCAGGCCATGAGTCTCCCCAAGTCTCTCTGACCTGCAGCTGCTAATCTTAACCATGAGGTGTCACTTCTTCCCTAGAAGAAAGGGGGACAGATCTGTGCTCTACACCAGAGGTCCCCAACCCCTGGGGCCAAAGACCAGTACAGGTCCATGGCCTGTTAGGAACCAGGTCACACAGCAGGAGTTGAGCAGTACGCAAGAGAGTGAAGCTTCATCTGTATTTACAGCTGCTCCCCATCGTTCACTTTACTGCCTGAGCTCCACCTCCCGTCCGAGCAGTGGCAACATTAGATTCTCATAGGAATGCGAACACTACTGTGAGCTGTGCATGCAAGGGATCTAGGTTGGGGACTTCTTATGAGACTCTAATGCCTGATGATCTGTCACCGTCTCCCATCAGCCCCAGGTAGGACCATCTAGTTGCAGGAAAACAAACTCAGGGCTCCCACTGATTCTACATTATGGTGAGTTGTATTATTATTTCATTATATAAAATGTACAATAAACATAATGCACTTGAATCATCCTGAAACCATCCCCCTCACCAAAGTCCATTGAAAGACTGTCTTCTACAACACGAATCCCTGGTGTCAAAAAGGTTGGGGACTGCTGCTCTACACCGTCAGATAGCATCTGGAAGAACTATACTTTAAAAAGAAAATAGTGAATTGGAATATGTCCAATATTCAGGTTTGTGAAAGGATTCAAAATCATGTCACTTAACAAGGGCTGAAGAAACAGATTTTTATTTTCTAACCTCAATAAAAGAAGACTTGAAGGTAGGATATATAATTAATTTTTTTAAATGTTAGAGGCTACCATATAAGAGAAATTGTTCAGAATGGCCTCCACATAGCAGAACTGTGACAAACTTAGGATAAGGGAGAATTGTTTTTAAAAGTCTAAGCTTTCCAAATAGATGGATTATCTTTATGGTCATGAGGTCCTCATCACTGAAGGTATTCAAGGACAGACTGGTCAACCATTTGGAGATAGGCCATGCAGGGGAATTGTGCACCTTCTGGAGACTAGAGAAAAACTTTTAGGTTTCTTTCAATCCAAAGACTCAGATTTTAATCAAGAATTTCATTCATTTCCCCATGCAGGTTGATACAGTTTCCTCAGAGAGGTCCATGAGGTCTCCCATTTACATCTGGGAAGGACTAACTGTCTAATTCCTGAGCAAACTTTGCCCTCCTCCCCCTGTACCCCAGTGTTTTCCAACGCAATCCACATCGGATACCCAGGAAAACACCACCACTAGTACTTGCAGTGGTGCTGCAAACAAGAAGGACTTGAGACGACAGTTAGCAAAATAACTAAATAACTGACCAACACGTGTATATTCTACTTTGAGCACCCTACAAAGTAGCCTAAATCAGGGTCCCTGTCATTAATGGGCTACAGTCACGATGTAAAGTTGAGACTTATATACAGGAACACAAAATGAACCCAGGGACAGGTGGTAAGTAAAAAATGAGAGGGTGGTAGGAGTTCAAAAGGGAAAGCAGCACAGTTGCTACTAAGTTAGTTGAAGGTTACAGGCAGAAAGTGGTTTAAGCTGGGCTTTGAGGACTGCAATACTTGTTGGCAAGGGAGGAAAAGGGGCCCACTAGGAAAAAGTCAAAGAAGTCAGAAACACACAACATGTTCCATAGGCAGTACTAGTCCTGGCTAACAGAACTGGAGAGTTCACAAGGGAGAAACAGCAGGAGGCAGTTGACACACCAACAGCATAACAGTAACACCATGAGAAATAGCAGGTGTTACCCTTTCCCTAGGCACTGTGCAATGTAGGAAGCCAGAAACACCTAAAGATTAGGAAAGTAGCTATCAAACCCAGCTGTACATTAGAATCACCTCTTTAGAAAATGATGCCAGGTCCACTTGAGAGATTCTGAACCCAGGTGGTTCCAGTGAACAACAGGGCTTGAAATCCTGGGTTAGAGGCTCAAAGTAAAGAACCCATAGTCAGTAGTCTCATTAATCACTGAATATCCTCTACCTTTCAGAACTCTAACACCTGATCATACAGCAAACCAGGAGGCTGGTGAAGCAAGAAAAGGAGAAGCACTGTTGAAAAAGAACCAGTGACAATGTACAGACAGTAAATCAGGGTCTTAGTGGGAAAAGACAAAAATATAAGCCCCCGAGGGACTTTGTCTGAACCATCCAGCCCAATGAAACCTCTTGCTTTTCACCATACTTAAAAGTCCTTCATGAGACTTCTTTGCCTGATAGAAATTATTTTTATCATAAAATTAAACAGTCAGCCCACTTGTCTTTCCTCTTTCCAGAGCTATACCACCCCTCTTCTACATGAGGGGTTCTTCAGAAGAAGAGGACTAGGGCAGCCATATGGCCCACACAAGGAATCTGGACTTGCATGTCTGAAATCTCTTTGGACTAAGTCCAGGAAGATAACTCCAAGTCATTTAAACCTGATGACTGTCTGGTAGTCAAGGAGAGATAAGGAATAAGAGTGACAGCTCATCATCTATTCAAATGCCTATTGCAGGCACAATGCTAACCTTTTAGACAGTACCTTTCCAGTAGTGTTGACCAAGACAAGTAAAGCAAATTGACAAATACATCACATTCACATTCAATTCATCAAGACTGAGTAGAATGTTAAAAAATGGGTTGCTCTTAGAGGTCATCCAGTCTAATCCTTTCCATTTTACTGGATGAGGAAACTGGGACCAGATAGGGTTCCAGTAGGAATATTCACCCAAGGTCACAAAACTGGAAAGCCAGAGGACTCCATCCCTTCCTCCAACTCCCAGCCTAGGGCAATTTCTCCTGGGGTCACACTGACATCTCACTACCTTCTGAAAGCTGAAAAACCTGCTACCCTTTTATCCTTTTTAAATGGTTATTTTCCATTTGCTATAACTACAACTTACTCTCTGTCAGGCACTACCAGGAGGGTTCTCTGTAAATTAAATCACGGAGTCCTCACAACAGTTGAAGCAGGTTACTATTATTATCCGCATTTTACAAATGGAAAAACCTGAGGTAGAGAGAGGTCACATAGCCAGGGCAAAGTTGGGGCTATTTAACCCAGACAGTCTGGCTCCAAAGTCCACATTCTAACCCCCTTCATGAGAGTTTATGAAATATAATTTCTTGAATTATAAAATGATGGAAGAAAAGGAGTAAGTCTTAAACAGAAAGGGCATGGTCACTAGTGTTTGATAATGAATTGAAAAGCTAAACCATAAATGTCATTAATATATACAATATACGCTTCATCTATTTATTAAGGGAATGTCTATTATATATATTTGAAGCATATTAACATTTCAAGTGTATATTTTTTAAAGGCACAATGATCATGTGCACAGCAGTCACACAAAGCTTGCCACTAGAAATAGGCAGAATGCTATTTGCCTGCTGGCTTTGGAAAGGTCTCTTCTGAACAGGCTACTATGGAGAGCAAAGCCACCACTGCTGATTTCTGCCTGTTGGTCCTCACTCATAGACACATTTTCATCTGCTCTTAAGAGAACATCGCTTGTATGTTAACTTTCTACAGAAATCAGACCTCGAGTTATTTATAATTGAGGGAAAGATTAAACTAAAACAAGAGAAAACACCTCTGAAAATTAAAATACATTTTTATACAAGTGTTCAAAACCAGTATCACTGGAACAAATGCCCACTATTCAATTATATACTTTTTTACTTTCTCTCATTAAAAAATGATGTCAGATCTCATTATCTTGGTTATCCAGGAGAAGAAGTCCAGGAGCAATAATGTTACAAATAAGCAAATTACTATTGTGCCTGAGATCAAATTTCAAGGGAAAAATGGAAGTCAATTAAGAAGATGCACTATCACATTAAAAAAATAAGTTACATGACTTATTTTGCCAGTCAAATGTCTTTAATTTTTTTTTTTTTTTGAGACAGAGTCTTTTTCTGTCACCCAGACTGGAAATGTGGTGGCACCATCTCAGCTCACTGCAGCCTCTACTTCCCCAACTCAAGCTATCCTCCCCACTCTGCCTCTCAAGTAGCTGGGACTATAGGCACACACCACACACCACCATGCCTGGCTAGTTTTTGTATTTTTTTTGTAGAGACAGGGTTTTGCCATGTTGCCCAGGCTGGTCTTGAACTCCTGGGCTCAAGCAATCCTCCCACTTCAGCCTCTCAAAGTGTTGGGGTTATGTGCATGAGCCACCACCCCCACCCTGGCCAGCCAAATGTCTTAATGTGGAGTGTGCAAAAGTCTACTCCGAAAATGCAACAGACCCTAAAAACTCTAAAGCCAGAAAAGTGTCACCTTCAACACGGAATCCAAAGATCAGAGAATCAAAGCAAAGAGCAGTGCTGGGCACATAGTAAGACTTCAACAAATATTAGTTGAATGAATGTAAATGAAGAACATGTTCATAGAAAGAGAGCCCCATAATAGAGATTGTCAAAATGGCAAAATAGTAGAGTGACACTGCCTTGGGCTTCCGAGAACTTCCAATACCATGATAATAACAAAAGAACTAAGGGTCACAGAGACTGGACAAAATGGCAGAGTATCATACAAATGGAGCAAAATGCTCTGTGATACAGGACCTGACCTACACTTCTTAAGCAAGAAAAATATCTCAAAGCCCAGCTTTGCCTAAGTAGAGATGTGGACTCAAGTCTGACAGGGTGGCATATTTACAGCACAACTTTAGCATGGCAGAATTCCCTGAATTTGGTGCACTTCAAATGTAACACTGTTTTTACATCCTCAGTAGGAGTTGCCCAGGTTGACCCACCTCTTCATAACAAATCTTATTTAAGGTTATGGGCGGGGGCCGGTGGGGGGATCCCAGAGCTACTCTGCTTCACTAAAAGCAACATAAATACAAATGCAATTACACAAAACCTACACAAACCAGATCTGTCATATCTGATTAGTAAATAAAAGCATAATAAAATTATAGTCAGCCTAGGTAATTTAGGCTCTGTTCAGTACCATCCTAGCCATGCCCAAGTGGTGAGGCTTTTCCAACATTTATATCATGAATCTTTTTTTCTTGGAATTCAGTCCTTGGTCATAAACTGGCAGGACTTGTTGGAGCTTGGGTACCAATATAGTGGTGTACAGAATGTTTAATATAGAAGTAATAGTATATGCTGCAATTTGTTTTAATACCTACTTAGAACACATAGTCTTTTCTCACGGGGCATACTAAAGGAGGTCATGTATCAGAGCTCACCTGAAATTCCTGCCCAATTTAAGTCTTAGCCACAAGTGTAGTTTCTTATAAGAACACAATAAGAAAACATTCCAAACTCTTCTGCAGTACTCACATAATTAAAAAAAAAAAGTATGAAACCCACCCAAGTGAGGCTTCTGAGACATTTCATAGAAACTTAGTTATTAACTACTATTTTTCTTCTTTACCTTTAAGTGTTTATAAACTGCTTAAAGGACAGTTGGGTACTTCAGAGGAAAGTCTAATGACACGCCTGCTATACAACCTGTTCTTAGTTGGCCAGATTGTGTGGTTTTGATAAGGAAAAAAAAAAAGTCAAAAGCAGGACAAACACTGATTCTCTGTTCTCCATTCTCCCATTACCCAAGACATTCATCTGAGTCACACACTCTATAGCTAGCTCTGAGCCTCAGTTTCCCTAACCATTAGCTATAAGATCTGATGCTAGCCAAATTCCTATTTGATCAAAGTTAATCAGCCCAATAATCACATATAGAGTCCACATCAGAACATTACATTGAAATACTATGTTGTATTAAAAATTCCAAAGGGTTTTGCCATATTCATCTCTTTTCTGCAAATACTCCAAAGGGGTTACTTTGGCTATTAATCAAGATTAGGCAAATACCCATGTGCTTTAGGAATGTGTAACTAAAAACCCAGGACAGATCTAGAGAAACCTTCCCAGGTTTCCCAGAAGTCATCACTACGCTTGGATTGTCATGTACAAAGTAGATGCCACAGAACCTAACAAGGGTAGGTCCTTGATTTGTTTTTGCAGTGAAAACAGGATTTCACTTACACCTGACAGCTTCAGGGCCTAGGAACACAAGATAACAACGCTTCAGAAAGCCAGGGGCCCCATGGAACCCCAAATGATCAGTTCTTTATAAACGAAAATTAAAGATCTTACTTTCTTTGGATTTTGCCCAATTGGTGTGGTCCGTGGTGAACCTCTATAACTCCTGGTGTGAGGAGATGTGTGGATACCCAGGCAGGGGTCAAGGCGGGAGAAGCCGCACAAACACAGATGTTGCCACTGTTCCTCGGCCCACCCAGCCAACCAATGCGGGGACGCTGTGGGCCTATAGAGATGGATTCTTTCTTAGAAATCTAACTGGTCTCTGGGAAACCAAAGCTGGGTATCCAGGGCCGCCTGAGCACCCAGTTTCCATACAGCCCTCGACCCAAATGGTGCTTTCTTGGCCAAACACCGGCCTGTCATTCGGAAAACCTAAGCACGGGAAGGCTGGGGCACCACCACATACACCCCGGGTATTTAAGGGGAAACAAATCCATAAAATAAGCGTAAGGAGTCCCACATAATTCTGACCACCTTTCCCAACCAAGGTAACCATAAATGCCTTTTGAAACACAGCAGATGCTTCCACACGAGTAAGTGGTAGTGCGTGTGTCCTGAGCTTGCGTTCCGTCTGCATTCTGCGGTCCTGGCCCTGCCAAGCACCCTCAGTCCCGGAGCTGAAGCATGGATGGGAAGGGCGGACACCAACTCTCGACGTTCTCCCTTCTCCACCGCAGGAGTGCTGTTTATTTCCCTGTCTCCCGAAGGACACTGGCGGGGCTTTCACCCGCCCAGCCCCCGGCTCTCAGTGCGCCCGAGCGACCCCGCGCTCCGCAGCTGCCGCCGCCGCACGAGGCTGCGCCGCCCTCTCCACTTGTTGCCGCTCCCGAGGGAGCGGGAGGCGGCGCCCAGCCCTCGCGCCGCAGCGCCTGCAGCGGTTCCCCGGTCACCTCTGCTGACCCTCGCATCCCTGGGGACCCTGGAGAAAGTGGCCCTGCGGATGCGAACTCAGGTGGACAAACTTTTCCGCCCAGAGCTGCAGGGAAACGCAGACGATGGAGTCCCAAAGAGCATTTACCTGGAGCGATGGCCCCGCAGCCTCCAGAACCCAGGCGAGGCTCTGCCCCCGCGCCCTGCCTGAGGGCGCCTCGGAACGCGCCCCCAGCCAGCCGCCGCCCGGAGTCCGGAAGGCTCTCCCCGGCGATGCCAACGCCTGGCGGCGGCCGGGCTGAAGCCAAGGTTTAGGGGGTGGAGCCGCGGCCGCGCGCCCGGGCCCGGCTGGCTGCGCCAGCAGCGGGTGCCGCCCCCGCTCCCCCCGCTCCCCCCGCGCCTCCCCGCTGCCACTGGATCCCCGCCTGCCCACCTCCCGGCCCGGCTCGCGGCGGCCGCATCACATGGCGAGGCCCGCCCGCCGGCCGCGCCCGACACCGGCTCCAGGAGGAAACCTGAAGCTGCCCCTACCGCGCTGTCTCCGCCAGCCCCCTCCCGCTGCGGGGCTGCGGCCGTTGGCCTCCGGAGATCGGAGGCGCGGAGGCTGGCGCGGACCTGGCGGGCCACAGGAGTGCCAGTTGCGCCCCGGGCGCCCCCACGCCTTGGCGCCTCCCGAGGGAGGCGCTGGGCTGCCCGCTCGCGAAAGGAGTTGTGCCAGGCCCGAGGGAGGCTCAGGCTGTTCCCAGCCAAAAGCCACCACACCCGTGACATAATACGGCCCGGGTCTATTACAATAGGAAATATTATTTTTAAAAACAGCATTTGCCCTCTTATTTGAAGCTCATGTTCCCTGGCCGAGAGCTTTGCAAGCTGCGATTCCCTTCACGTTTATGCACGCAAGTGGCTGCAAGTCTTAATTCAAAAACGTATGAAAACCATAACCACTTTTACAATGAACAGCAATGTGAAGGGACTTCCTTATCCTCCAAAGCAGTTTTCCTCTTAGATGTGATGACAGCCCCAAGAGCAGAAGCCAAGCCTCTTCATCAGCCAGGCTCTCATATACAGACTTAAGACCATTATTGCAGCTTTAAAGGTAAAATTGCCCATCTGAGACTGCTGTGGCAGTAAGTGTTATAGTTAAGACTATTTGTAAGGAAATTAGTATTGAAATATAAAGTTTCTAATAAAATTTATAAAATCACCTTGAGTCTCTGCTTTGTTTTTCCTTTGAAGACTGGCTACGCACAGAACCATAACAAAGGTGTGGCCCGAGGAAGCTGGCCACCAAGATCCCAAGCCAGAATGGAGCCCAGCTCCCAGGCTGCCACCACCACTTCTCCTGGGCCTGGGCCTTTTCTGTCTCCCTTCCAGCCGCCACCTTCCCCAGCCCACCTTGCTGATACGAATGCTGAGAAAGGCTGAGATTAGCAAGAGAAAGACCATCGTGTGTCTGAATGCCTTAGCCCTGTTCCAAGGCAAAGGCTGCAATTCCGCCTTGGGAAAGGGACCCCAACACTGGCATTGCACTCCTGACCTGGGCTGTCATCCCAGCTGATTCCACCCTCAGCCCCACAGAGCTGTGAACTCAAGGCCTGGCCTCAGGCGCTGCCACAAAAAAAAAAAAAGAAAAAAAAAATATATATATATATCCTGCCCAGTGTCAAGGTACACAAGATAAAAATAAAAGCAATAATATTCTTTTCAAAAATAGAAAAAATTTTGAGCAGGGCGTGGTGGCTCACACCTGTAATCCCAGCACTTTGGGAGGCTGAGGCGGGTGGATCACCTGAGGTCAGGAGCTCGAGACCAGCCTGGACAACATGGTGAAACCCCGTCTCCACAAAAACACACAATTTAGCTGGGTGTGTTGGTGCGTGCCTGTAATCCCAGCTACTCGAGAGGCTGAGGCAGGAGAATCACTTGAACTGAAGATTAACTGAATCAACATGCCAGACAAAAATGGTTTCCAAACTCTGGTGAATAAACATGGTGATGTGTTAGAAGCCTTTGTTGTTATTGTCCTTTTTCATATCACTAGTACTGAAGCCCTCTTTTTCTTTTTTTTTTTTTTTTAATTCTGGCAGGTATGTATCTTTTTTTAAAAAACAAAAAAATGTGGAAAGAGGAACAAATATTATAAGAAGTTACCCCCAAGCCCCTTCCCCACTAAAAAGAAACCAGCAAAACTAGTAATTGTGAAACTCTCACCACCCAAGGACATACAATGCTAGCTGCAGTTTTCTTGCCTGCTCTCAAGCCCTGAGCTTGATCAATATTTAAATACGTACTTGGCTTTCAACTTCTCTAGGTTCAAATATTAAGCAAAGTGTTTGCTTCAGCAACCTTAAAAGAAGCCGTGACTATCTGAGGCAGGAAGCTATCAGTTGTGTAAATAACCCTTTGCACCTGATTGATTTCACTGCTCCAGATATAGGTCACTCAGGACATTGCTGGCACTAAGCTTGGCTGGGACAGCATTTGTTTTGAATTCAAAGACTATATATTCTCTACAGACAAGGGACATTCAGCCAGCAAGAAACCAGGCTGGCCATTCAGTTAGGGAAATTCTAACTGCCTAGTGAGTATTATGCCAATGTCCTAGCTCAGCTCTGTCTTTTCTAGAGATTCAATCCCCATTCATCCTTACATACTTCACTCCAGATAGACCTCCTCCATAAATCCTTACATTGTCCTGGTTTCTGCTACCCTCTGAATTTTGGCAAAGCATAATGGCCTTACTACACAGTGTAGCACCTGATTATATTAACTGTCACATGTTGGACAACTGTAGGCTCTTATCCTCCCTTCAACTTGAAATTCAAGGACAAAACCTGTTCCTTACCCCTGTAATCTTCACAGTCCCAACACAGGGCATTTCTGGAGTATTTAGTATTTGTTTTTTAATTGAACTATCACATCCATTATGCAAGAAGAAAAATGTCACCATTTTCAAACTTTAATGAATTATAACCACTGCTAATTATATTATCTATTTAATTATTTCCTGGCCTTCATTATATTTCCTTTGTCAATAATTCTCAAAAATTGGATAATTGTAAATCTGATGTTTAGCCACGTGAGTTAGGGAATTACTAGTGTTTCTTAAGTGAAAGCAAGATACTAGAAAATGGTAGATTTAATAGGAGGTGAACAAACTCTGGAATACAAATAGGATGATCTTGGGAAGATACAACCTTTCTAAGCCTCCATTTCCTCATCTGTATAATGGGCATAAGAACAGCATATACTATCATTGTGAGGATTACGTGACTGAAAGTGATTACAGGACACATAATAAGGATGTGGAAAATAGTGGCAGTTAATCTTTTAGTGTATGGTTGTATTAGGAGAACACTTCAGAGCTTTGAGATAATTAATAGGGCATGGCAGACCCCAAGACAAGAAACTATTTCTGGATTATAAACTTGGTTGTCCAGCCTAGGAAGGTCGGAGAACACAGAGAAAAGAGGCCAACATTATTAAAACCAGGGGACAGATCTCATGGGGAAATCCACACAGTAGTTCTCATTCTGGCTACACATTAGCATCACCTGGGAAGCTTTAAAACAATCTTGATTCCCAGAACGCCCACCTGATCAATCATTCGGAATCTCCAGAAAATTGGGCCCATGTTATTGGTCGTTTTTTGAAAGCTCTCCAGGTGATTCCAATGTTCAACCAAAGTTGGGAACCACTGGACTAAAGGAACTGAATGTATTGACACTGGAGGAGGGTGAGGATCGCACTCAATTATATGTGGTTAAGGGGAATCAGCTCTTCCATTTCCAATGTTAAACCATCAGGTTTAAATTGCAGGTGAGCAGGGCTTCCGTGTAATCTGCATATGAGTCACTTGGGGATCTTGTTAAAATGCAAATTCTGACTTAGTAGCAGATGGAGTCTGATATTCTTCATTTCTGATAAGTTTGAGTTGGGGCTGAGGCTACTGGTCTGTGGACCATACTCTGAGGAGCGAAATAATAGATTTAGAGAGAAATATTCAGATTTGTTACAGGAGAAGTCTTAACATCTCTGAATATTTTTAATCAACTGATATTTATTGAGCACCAACTATGCAAAAAATTAATATTTTGCAATCTTTGAAGAAAATAATAGGTTGTTTTTAGCCAGTTTTCAGTATGAGGTCTTCCCTAAAGGGGCAACTTACCTGTCAGGTATAGCAAGCTCAGTGCCTAGGGTCTATAATACTTATAGGGG
This sequence comes from Homo sapiens, assembly GCF_000001405.40. Taxonomy (NCBI): domain Eukaryota; kingdom Metazoa; phylum Chordata; class Mammalia; order Primates; family Hominidae; genus Homo; species Homo sapiens. The sequence goes on along the minus strand of NC_000005.10, from coordinate 73,622,249 downwards.
CCAAAAAATATTTTAATTTCTTTTAAAATCAGAAGAGAAAAATGAACTTTTAGGTCAAAGAAAATGTTTTAGCATATAATATTAATATATTTGTATCTATAACAATGCAATAGTGAAATATAATTTTTCTTTTTATCTACATTTTTATTTTTCTGGAGGAAGGTGCGTATGAAGGCAAAAGTGCCCAGATCCTACAAAAGTCATAATGCAGCTATGTTCTTGAAGTCCATATTAGTCTCAGGTATTTTTAGGAAAGCACATGGAACTCATTGTGGCTGATATTTTCATGTTGGTATTTACATGAGCAAAAGGAAGATATTGGGGAAATTATAAATACGCCTTTTGAGTGGAGCCAGCCCAATAATTATGAAGAGTTCAACACTTTCCACGTGTGCAATTTGGAAACACTGGGGATGCTCCATTGACAAAACATTGTTTCTTTTCAGCTGATTCCTTAGGGTCTAAAATTCTATCACTAGAGATTTACTCCACCTCCAGAGCCAGTCTCTAGAGATTCACATTATTGAGACCCTTCCTTTGCATATTGACCTTTTTTTTTTTTTTTTGAGACAGGGTCTCACTCTGTCACTCAGGCTGGAATAAAGTGGTGCAGCTGCACCTCACTGCAGCCTCAATTCCCAGGCCCAAATAATCCTCCCACCTCAGCCTCCCAAGTAGCTGGGACCACAGGCATGTGCCACATACCTGGCTATTTATTTATTTTTGTTGAGACGGGGTCTCCCTATATTGCCCAGGTTGGTCTCAAACTCCTGGCGTCCAGCAATCCTCAGTCCTCCCGCTTCTGCCTCCAACTCCCAAAGTGCTGGGATTACAGGTGTGAGCACTGCGCCAGGCCTGACCTTCTTTTAGGTGCAATTTTTTACCCGCTAGAGCCAGGACCATACCTCAAGAACTTCTCAGGGGATTCACTCTGAAAAGAGGAAAATATAATAAAGAGATTCCATTTTATAGGAAACACCAATTCTATTCAGTTCCTAAATACTGAGATGTGGCCATTTGTAGCTAAAGGACATCACCATTGTCACTGTTCAATGCAGTAACCCCAACAAAAATTACTGACTCTTTCACTATCCACTATGGTAACTATTAGCCTCATGTGGCATTTAAATTTATTAAAATTAAGTAAAATGAAAAATTCATTTCCTCATTGCAGTAGCCACATACTGAGTGCTCAATAGCCACATGTTCCCATTGGACAGCACAGATCAAGAATATTTCCATCATCAGAGAAAGTTCTGTTGCACAGTCCTGTTTCAAAGGGCTTTGGGTAGAGAGGGAACCACCCTTCCTGAACATCCTGAAACACAAGGGTAGTTTGGGAAGTATTTAGACTCTAGCCCAGACACATTTTTTTCTTTCCACCTGTCAACCGATCCACAGCTACATAGACAATCAGTTACTCTGCTCCTTTCTAAACCTTCCAAACCAAAATTTCTAGGAAATCACCTTTTGGCTATATCTCCTGGCCTTTCAGAGAGCCAGACCTTTTTGACTTGTGAAGGGCTAGTAACTGCAGAGGTTTTTCTTAGGATCTAGAACAATCTTCATCTCAGAAAGTGAATATTTAGATCACTGCTTTTTCTTGCCAAAATGGCTCCAGGTATCCTCAAGTTGTAGCCAACTTCTTAAATTTTAAAACAACTCAAAGGCCCCTTTTTGATCTCCAGGACATAACTGTACAAGGCAGGCCAGCTGGATAATGTTCCAAATGCATGGTTTGTCTATAAATCTTCCATTAGTCAGCAGTTTTGTTTCCAGGCGCACCACCAGAGTGCTCAGGTGTGCAGAACAACTCAAAATCTAGGATTTCTCCAGTCCTCTAACACCTGCTGAACACTGACATAAACATGTTAAATCTCAGCCCAGAGCAAGTTTTCATAGTTATATAATAAAAACCCTTAAAAAACAGAGTTGATAATTGAGACACTAACACCATTTTAATTAGGGTGCTGCAACTAGTCACTGATAATACATGTGGGAAATAATGGGTGTGCAACTGTCACATGGGCTGTAATTATATTTAAGACTTCTGGTGACATGACAGATGGTGAGAATGAAGCTCTCATGTTCTGAACATGATGTCATCTGGAAGCTGCAAAATGCACGTATAGCTTTGGACAGCTATTATTCATTAAAGAGGATCAAGATCCTGTTTTTCTATTTACAAAGGGCGGGCAAAGGAAGGGAAAAGACAGGAAAATCTATAAATAAAATTGGTATGAATCAGTTTCCCACCCCTCAAAAAGATTATATATAAATATTTTAACTAAGTCTTTTTAAAATTCATTCAGATATATTTGACTGCTCATAACATATAACCCAAGAACTAAGTTTGGAACCTTCAGAGAAATACAAATCAAAACCACAAGGCAGTATCATCTCATCTCAGTTAAAATGGCTTGTATCAAAAAGACAGGCAGTAACAGATGCAGCTGAGGATGTGGAGAAAGGAGAACCCTCATACACTATTGGTGGGAATGTAAATTTGTATATCCACCACTATGGAGAGCAGTACGGAGGTTCCTCAAAAAACTAAAAATAGAACTTCCATATGATCCTGTAATCCCATTGCTGGGTATATATCCAAAAGAAAGAAAATCGATATATCAAAGAGATATCTGCATTCCCATGTTTACTGCAGCACCATTAATAGCCAAAATATGGAACTGGAACTGTTTCAGAATAACCCAGGGAATTTTAAAAACCACAGACGCCTGGATACTCCTCCCTCAAAGATGGACAGCTAGTCATATTGCCTAGTTGGGAGTCCAAAATTAAGCTATAGAATTAAATGACAGAAAAAAGAAAACAGAGATAACGCAGGGGAAAAAAGAGAACTTTGCAGAAGTTTTCATTAATATACTCCGGAGGTATACAAGAAAATAATATATTTATGAAACAAGCACAAGGCACTATGAAAAGGGAACAATCAGAGGTCAAGAAAATGTACTGAGAAATTAAAAATATGAGAAAGTAAACTTTAAGCATTCAACAGAAGGTTAAAGATAAAGTTGAGGAAATATCCCAGAAAGTTTTTAAAAATACAAATGCGCAGAAAATATGAAATCACAAATGAAAGTGTTCAAGATTAATCTCACATAGCCAACAACCCACTAAAAAGAATTCCCGGAGAAGAGAGAGAAGAGAGTGAAATAAATTATTAAAGATATAATATTATTGAGCTCAGAATTCAGGGGAACATAGGTCTGCTTCTAATAATTTATCCTAAAGATGTATGTAAGGGCATGAGGATACATATACAACTATGCTCAATGCAATATTTTTGTAACACCAAAAATTGAAAACAACCTAATTGTTTACATGGTTATTTGGTTAGATAAATTATGGAACACCTATACTATGTGTTGTTTAAAAATTATAGTGTGGCTCTGAGTATACCTATGTAACAAACCTGCATGTTGTGCACATGTACCCCAGAACTTAAAGTATAATTTTAAAAAATTATAGTGCGGCTCTAGATGTACTAACATGGAAAGATATCCAGGATAGGCTACTGAGGGAGAAAAACAAGTTGCAGAACATTATGTTTACTGGGAGTCCATTTTTATATTAAAAAATGTTTATAGATCAATGTATGATTACAAATGGATTGCAGCAGGTCTACAAAGCTACTCAGGAAGCTGTCAACAGTGGGTATCTCAGGAGAGGAGTAGGATTGGGGCAGAGGGTGGTTAACGAACAACCCTTTAACTTTGCATTTACATATGTCTATATTTTTTTTTTACAATGTGCATGTGTTTCTTCTATAATTCTTAAAAATTAAAGGCAACTTAAAAATTATTTACAATGTTAGGGAACAGAAAAAAAGTTTTTCTTTTTATAGTATCTCTGGGAATCAGCAGCAGATTACCAAGGGTCAAGGTGAAAAGAAAAGAAAATTTTTGATTAGAGAACGACGTGAACCCAGATAAGGAATACAAGCAGCAAAAGACATGGCTCTGCCCTTCAGGAGCTTACAGAAGAGTCAGAAAGGCAGACCCACACGGAGAGCCAATAGTGACCAGCGCTCGGTGGTACGGCTTCCTGCCAAATTGTGCGGTATGTTAAGGCCTGGAAGTTGGAAGGAGAGAGGCCAATGAAGGCTGGAGAAGCCAAAGATGCTCCATGGAAGAAGTGGACTTTGTAGGACAGTAAGGCTTTACAAAGGCAGAAAGGAGAACATTATAAGCCAGATAACCAGCAAGAGTGAATGCACTGATTCTAATGAGCATGCAGCGTTCATGCACTGGTGAAGAGTGTTACCCATCCAGATTAGAGGAATCACGTTGGTATAAATTAGGTTTGGCTGCATACAACAGAGAACTCAAGAAACAATGGCTTAAACAAGAGAGAGTTTTGCTTTTCTTTTATGACAAAGAAGTCCAGAGGTAAACAGTCCTGGGCTATGTTCATAGTTTCATTATCAGAAAGGCCTCACGTTCCTTTTACCTTCCTGCTTTACCATCTCTAGTACTGGCTTTCATTTTCAAGTTAGCTTCATAATTGCAGGATAGTTGTTAAAGCACCAGGCATCATAACTATGCTCCACACAGTAGAAAGGAGGAAACAGCAAGGGAAAAGAGGCATACCTCCCGGTCCAGTCAGCCTCCTTTACAGGATTTCCCTGGAAGCCTCACCCAACTCCTACTTACATCTCATTGGCTACCCCTATCCATTACAGGGGGCTGGAAACATGTAGCTGTTTAAGCTGAGTGCATTGCTGCTCCTATTAATACAGGATTTCTAGGAGTAAAGAAAAAGGGCTGTTCACTATGTCTGCCTAATAATTATGTTAGACTATGAAGGTTTTGAAAACAAGGCAGACAAAAGATTTTAAGTTTAAAAGAGGAGGATAGGTAGTTAGCAAATGACTTATTATCTATGAAGAAATAGGTAGAAAAGGGCCGGGCATGGTGGCTCACGCCTGTAATCCCAGCACTTTAGGAGGCCGAGGCGGGCAGATCACTTGAGGTCAGGAGTTCAAGACCAGCCTGGACAACACGGTGAAACCCCGTCTCTACTAAAACTACAGAAAAAAAAAAAATTAGTTGGGCATGGTGGCGAGCACCTGTAATCCCAGCTACTTGGGAGGCTGAGACAGGAGAATTGCTTGAACCTGGGAGCCTGGGAGGCAAAGGTTGCAGTGAGCCGAGATTGCACCACTGCACTCCAGCCTGGGCAACAGAGCGAGACTCCACCTCAAAAAAAAAAAAGTAGAAAAATGAATAAACTTAGAGTTTAAAAAGCATAGAAGAAACAAGCTTGAAAAACAAACAAGAAAAACTCTAATAGCTACTTTCTTCTAAAAGTAGCTGATTGATTGGCCCTGCTCCATTCACTCATTTTCAACCTTCTACGACCTTTTTCAATTTTCTGGAGAGATGTATTAACTCTCAACTATACACCACTTTTGAACCAATACAGGGTAGATTCCTAGTCTGTGTATGGTGCCAGAATCAGCCTTTCTCCCCTCTCAGTCATATGCCCATATTACTTTGGGGATACTATTATAATAACAGTTATCACATCATGCTTTAGTTACTTATCATTTGCTGGTTAAAAGGCAAGGTAATTGAGTAGAAAAGGCAGCAAGTACTTTGCCATCAGACAGACCTAACTTTCTACTTGCTAGCTTGACTATGTTCCTTTGGCAAGTTCCCTTAACTCTCTACAACATACCTTCCTCACCCTTAAAATGAAGAACATCGTATGACTCTTAGAGGCATTTCCGAGGTTGTGGTGAAGACTGGAGCCTACTACTCAGCAGAAACTTAGGAAATGGCCTTTTGTTATTATTACATCTTCCCTGCTGGATTGCAAGGTCATTAAGGGCAGGTTTGTTTGTTTGTTTGTTTTTTACAATGTGAATGTGTTCCTTCTATAATTCTTAAAAATTAAAGGCAACTTAAAAATTATTTACAACGTTATGGAATAGAAAAAAAAGTCTCACGTATCTTTACCTGAACCCCCAGTGTCTTAACACACTACTGAATGCCCTGGCAAGGGTCATTTCAGCAAAGAGAAGGTCACCTGGCAGGCCTCAGGAGAGCTCTAAGAAACAGCAGCATGCAGGCCAGCCCATGCTGGTGGAATGAATGTCACTGGCCTATCGTATTACCCCAGAGCCAGGTGGGAAATTATAGGAACTACACCACCCCCAAGGATGGCAAGTGACATTGTAGAATTCTCCTTGTGGGGCGTTTTAAATTCTGAGATTCAAAACACCTAACAATTGTTGCTTTTTTTTTTTCCATGTTTCATAGTTTAATAAATAGGTTTTATATTAATGAAGATACCTTTAGTTATGCTGTGGCAAGAGTGCTTGTTTTAGAGCGTTTCCTGCCAAACACCCACATGGGACATTCCCTCCCAGTACCAGATGTGGAGATGCGTTCAGGCCTGGCCAGTCCCATCTCACGTCCCTTCCTCCTGGGAGCCCATTTGCAGCTAACCATGTTACTCAGTGTCTTCCATGGGTGGTTGTGATGCAAGATGCACAAAGCCTGCTGCAAATTCTTCCTCAGACCATCTCTTGCTTTTCCGAAGTCAAATTTCTAAGCCCAGGTCATTCCACCCTACTATCCCCTTTGGTGGCAAACTCTTCTGTTGCTCCTATCATTTTCCCTTTTGTCTCTCCCTATCTCTTGACATTTGCACATTGAAGCATTAAATTGCAGGGTGGAAAGGAAGACAATTTCTTCTGTGTATTTAAAAAAACTACAGAGCAGCATATTGTTCTCAGCACACATCTATGTTAAATGAATTCCCCTGTCCAGTTGATATCCCAAGGCTAGGCAGCACCAGTGACATTGTCAGGCCAGAGACCTGGGAAGACATATCACCAGAAGCCTTTTCCCATTACTCATGCCTGGGCCCCACCCCTGGAGATATTGATTCAGCCGATCCAGGGTGAATCCCAGACAATGCTCCCCAGGTAATTCTGTTAGACTCCTCCCTGACTCTGCCCTTGGGAAATAACAGCATAACTTGAATTGCCTTCTGAAGAGCTACTCTTGGCAATGGCTTCTAGGGAGCCACTTTCTCATTGGCCACTGGTCTTAGTCACCCAGTCCTGCGAGGAATTGTACTATGCATCACAATCTCAGAATCACAATAATGGCAACCAGTACTTATGCTTAACATATTCCAGGCACACTTCTAAGCTCTAACATAATTCCTTTAATCCTCATAACAACACTGTTAGATACTAGAGGTGTCTCCTTTTTGTCAAGGAAGAAACTAACAGGTGCTAAAGCCTAGATTCAAACCCAGCCCATATTCTTTTTATTTATTTATTTATTTGAGACATGTTCTGGCTCTATCACCCAGGCTGGAGAGTGGTGGCCCCCCATCTCGGCTCACTGCAACCACCACGTCCCAGGCTCACGTGATCCTCCCACCTCAGCCTACTGAGTAGCTGGGACTACAGGCACGTACCACCACACCCGGCTAATTTTTGTACCTTTTGTAGAGATAGGGTTTTACCACGTTGCCCAGGCTGGTCTCAAACTCCTGACCTCAATTGATCCTCCTACCTCGGCCTCCCAAAGTGCTGGGATTATAGGCATGAGCCACCGCACCCAGGCGAGCCCATATTCTTAACCAATATCCTCTATGGCCTCATGCAGTGAGTGTCAGAAGATCTCAGGAGTCATATTTTTTGTGGCCAAACCAACCCAAATCACTGTGCAAACCACTGCTACCCTGATCCACCTGGTTTCACCACCAACCCCAGCTCTCCCATCTCTTTGGTCTGCTCAGCCGCATAAATTCTGAAAACAGTATTGCAGTTCCCACTGTTTTTCTACAGATCTCCTAAGCCTTAGCTCAGGCTCTCCTCCCAGAAAACTTTCACCAACACCCCCACCCATGCCAAGCTGGGTTAGGCATCTTTATTTATACTTACCTCCTACTTTGTGCATATCTTGATCACAAACTTACCATGTGGCATTCTGATAGTCTGTTTCTGCCTCCATCTCCCTCAGCAGAGGGTTGAGTAAGGTCAAAAGCACGTTTCAGTCATCTTTGATTCCCTGATGCCTGGTGAAAGATCTTGTGGAAGAAACATAGAAACTGTTGAATAAACAATGTTGGCTTCAGTGATACTTCTATCCCTCAATTTACAGGAAGTGCTTAGTAATTTATCCCTGGGGTCTGGGGCAAGATGGGACATCTATCTTCCAAAGGCCCTATTAAGACTTTATCTCCAGAAAATACAGACTCATATTATTTTATCTTTTCCTATTTTCCCTTTCAACCTTCTGCCTCAATATAATTATGTTAATTTTTTCTATAGCTGAGGAGCCAGGAACATAATAGTCTTGCTTAATATGGAAAGGATAAGCTCCCATTCAAACTTCAACTTTTCTAACAGGAAAGTCCTCTTTATTACCTTTACATTCTCTTTTTTCTGCCCTACCTGGACTTATTGGTGGGAAACCTATTATAACAGGTGAAGTGGGGTTCCTGGGGGCTCTGGATGGAGACAGACATGTGACAGATGAAAACCCTTCACAGCTGTCATCAACATAAAGGTTGTAGATATAAACTTCCTTGTCTTTATCTTCTAAAATTTAAGGTCTTCAGAATTAGTTGTGTCTTGTGAAGTGCAAGGAGATACAGATAAAGGAGGTGAGTAGAAGCTGCCAATGGAATCACAACAAGCAGTCAAGGGGATAAATCAGCCAAGAGAGAAAAAAGCACACAATGACATTTACCCTTGACAGTTTTTCTGTAAGACTTTGCATTTGGCTTTATAAATAACAAATATTCTCTTATAGTTTCTATTAATAATTTTATAAATAATTTCTATTAATCCCCTAGAACACTCATGATGTACTCCACGATTACTATTTAAAAATCAAATCTTACCACCATTCTTACACCCCAATCGCACTTATGTGGGACAAGATCTATTTGTTTGGCCAGTCATTTTGGCACTGTTGAAATGTGCCACTAAAATGACTTAGATCACAAATATGAGATAAAGTCTTCAAAAGGTTCCTTAGTATAAAACATGGCATTCCTCTTTTGTACAGCATAAGCTGCAGTAAGAAACTGGCTTAAAGTGTTTAAGAAAGAATGGAAATGGTATTCTGTACAACCCTTCACATACTGCAGTTTGACTTTCACCTTTGATACTGACTGCATGACAAATTGTATAAACCATAATAAGTAAACACCACATTGCAAGATTAAAGCTCCAAGCGCAAAAGTATCATTAATCATAACAAACAGGTATTTGCTTTTCTGTTGGCATCAAAACGTAATCGTTTCTCTATAAGTTAAACATACCCCATGGTACAATGCTGATCCAAACCTGTGCACTTGGCAACAGAAAAGGGAAACTTATCATCTTTGGTCTATGGTATGGCATGTTTTCCTCCAACTAAAATGATCAACTTGAATGAAAGTTTATTCTATCCTCCTCTGTAAATGTTGCCAAGCCCAGTATTTCAGATTTGAGTAACGAAAAAAGAATGACCTGTTTGCCCACTAGGTTCCATTAAAGCATTAAGGTTTCAGTGGGGAGAAGGAGTGTAGTCACAAACCCACTTGAAAATCTTAAAAACGCTCAACCTTCACCGCAAAATAATGCACACTCACTCATATTCCCCAAATTGTGGATTTATTTTCAGGGGGCTCTTGGCTACCTCAAAGCCAGTCACTTGCATTTCCTGGTAGCAATAGCATACATAAGTTTAGTGACCACTTAATTCTTATTATTAATGGGATGATTTGTCTTGATTCAATTGTATCACATGACCTAAGATTAAGAGATGATTGTGTTCTGAAGTAGAAGTCAGTAATAAACCCCTATTATTTATTTATATATATATTTTTTTTTTTTTTGAGACTGAGTCTCACTCTGTCACCGAAGCTGGAGTGCAGTGGCACGATCTTGGCTCATTGCAACCTCTGCCTCCCAGGTTCAAGAGATTCTCCTGCCTCAGCCTCCTGAGTAGCTAGGATTAAAGGCACTCGCCACCACGCCCAGCTAATTTTTGCATTTTTAGTAGAGACAGGGTTTCACCATGTTGGCCAGGTGGTCTCAAACTCCTGACCTCAAATGATCCACCATCCTCAGCCCCTCAAAGTGCTGGGATTACAGGCATGAGCCACTGCGCCCAGCCTAAAACCCTAATTTTAGAAAGGAGCTTTACAGATCCTTCTCCTCCTGACCCAATTTGTCCATAGCATTTCCTTTCAGTCTCACTCCATATACCACATGATACTGTGAACCCTTCTGTGGTCTGTTTCTTAACTTGCTAACTGGAGACATTGGCTCACACCTCTGTTTGGTCGTAATAGGTACTTAAATTGGCTGTGCATTGGGTTTTTTTCTCTGCCTACTACTCCCTTTTGGACAAGCATCCTATGTTTGGAAATTTTCCACCTTTGAGACCCACTTTCTCAGTCAAAGTAAAAGCCAGAAACTCACCTTCCCAGCTCCCTTGTAGCTGGACTCTGGCAAGTGACCTAGTTCTTCCAATCAGATGCACTCACTTAAGGATTTAATTCCAAAGAAAATGAGGTAAAAAGACTGTGATTCTTGGGATCAATTCTGCCAAGGACAGGAGAGACTCTATCGATGAGAACTCCCCAGGATCTCACCAGTGGCTCTGACAGAGGGTCCTAGTGCCCAGCATCCACAGTACAGGCTGCAGGCCCCCTTCCCGTGCTGGCAGTGGTGGGGCTCACCTGATGATTTGATGGTATCACCTGGGCATTGCACCTGCTCTGTAGACTCCAAGCCTAATTCTGTGGTCCCTCTGGAGATTCTGTGAGCCACTTTCATATCCTTTAAAGTATTCTATTTTGCATCATTAATTCACTCAATATTTATTGAGTGTGCCAGGCACTGTTGTTGGTGCTGGCAATACAGGAGTAGTAAAACAAAAATTTCTGTCCTTGGAGAGCTTACATTCTAATGAAGCAGGGCAGATACTAAGGACAATAATATGGTTTCGCCGAGTCCCCACCCAAATCTCATCTTGAATTGTACTTCCATAATTCCCATGTGTTGTGAGAGGGACCTGGTGGGAGATAATTTGAATCATGGGGGCAGTTTCCCCCATACTGTTCTCACGGTAGTGAATAAGTCTCATGAGATCTGATGGTTTTATCAGGGGTTTCCGCTTTTGTATCTTCCTCATTTTCTCTTGCCACCGCCATGTAAGAAGTGCCTTTCACCTCCTGCCATGAATCTGAGGCCTTCCCAGCCATGTGGAACTGTAAGTCCAATTAAACCTCTTTTTCTTCCCAGTCTTGGGTAGGTCTGTATCAGCAGCATGAAAACGGACTAATATAGGCAGTAGAAGCAAATTTATTTTACAAATAAGTAAAATGAATACACAATATGCTGGAGAAGTAGGGAAAGGAAACGGGGAGTGCCAAGGGGAGCCATGGAGTTACGATCTTAGATAGCTTGGTCAGAAAAGATCTCACCCAAATGAAAAGGTGACATTTGAGCAGATGTGAACAAAGGAGCATGCCTGGTGTACATGGGGGCAGTGTTCACACAGCAGGAACAGCAAGGGCCAACATTTGGAGGTGAGAGCATGCCCTAGAAATGTTTTCCCATAGTAATCATAGAATCCCCATAAAGTCAGTCCCCTATCCTAGGAGAAATAGTACATGGAAAAGAGCCGTCACCCTCCTCCTGATCTGATAGTTGGAGCTCAATTTATCCAGATGGAACGTGATAAGATCCTGGAAATATCAAGTCTAATTTAAGCAGTATTAGTGACCTACAGCCAAATCAACCCATCTCCCCAAACACACACAGCATATATTTACTTATTCACAAAAATGAATTAAAGAGAAAGCAGGTACAGACTCATTAATCTGATTGTGTGGTTCCTCTGAAAATTCTGTGAGCCACTGTAATATCCTTTAAAATATTCTCTTCTGCATCATTAAATCACTCAATATTTATTGAGGGGTTGCCTGTGGTTATCAGGGGGAGCTGGTCTGGTCATGTACACCTGTAGTCCCAGCAACTTGGGAGGCTAAGGCGGGAGGATTGCCTGAGCTCAGGAGTTCAAGGCTGCAGTGAGCCTTGAACCTTCAATGATTGCACCATTGCATTTCACCCTGGGTGGCAGAGTGAAGACTCCATCTTAAAAACAAAAACAAAAACTTCACGTGGGTTTATTTTGGTATTCTTGCCTTATAAATATTTGTTTAGAGGCAAATTGGTACTCGAGGAGACATTTTCTTCATCAAATATTCAGAGCTTAAAAAAATTTAAAATCTGGGAGTATTCATCTTGGTATGGAGTTTTTAAGTCTAACTATGACTCAAAATCTAGAGGCAACAAAAGAAGAGGTTGACAAATTTGACTACATAAAAATAAAAATTTATATAGCAAAAACACCACAACCAAAGTCAAGACACCTGACAAGTTGGAAGAAAATATTTATAATATGTACCATGGGAGAAAAAAAAGGATATATAATATCCCTTTAAATAAAGAACCCTTAAAAATTGAGGGACAAGGCTGGGTGTGGTGGCTCACGCCTGTAATCCCAGCACTTTGGGAAGCCGAGGCGGGCAAATCACAAGGTTATGAGTTCGAGACAAGCCTGGACAACATGGTGAAACCCCATCTCTACTAAAAATACAAAAAATTAGCTGGGCATAGTAGCTGGCGCCTATAATCCCAGCTACTCAGGAGGCTGAGGCAGGAGAATCGCTTGAACCCAGGAGGCGGAGATTGCAGTGAGCTGAGATCATGCCACTGCACTCCAGCCTGGGCTACAGAGTAAGACTGTCTCAAAAAAAAAATTAAAAAAAAAAATATTGAGGGACAAAACACATTTTTCCAGAAAGAAAAAAATGGAGACAGTATATGAACAGACAACTCATTAAAAAGATATAAAACTGGCCCACAAATATATGAAATAAACGTTCAAACTCACTCATAGAGAAATTCAAATTAAAATAATACTAAGATATTATTTCTCTTCAATCAGATTGACAAAAATTTTAAGACTTGACATTGTGTTGGCAAGGCATTGGGGAAATGAATACTCTCATATATTGCTGGTAGAAATGCAAATTGGTACGGCCCTTCTGCAGGAAAATTTGGCAATACCTAGCAAACTAAATATGCACTTACCTTTAGATCCCAGCAATCTCATTTAAAAAAATGTATCCTGGGCAGGTGTGATGGCTCACACCTGTAATCCCAGCAGTTTGGGAGGCCAAGGAGGGTGGATCACTTGAGGTCAGGAGTTCGAGACCAGCCTGCCCAACATGGTGAAACCCTGTCTCTACTAAAAATACAAAAATTTGCCGGGCATGGTGCCAGGTGCCTGTAATTCCAGCTACTCAGGAGGCTGAGGCTGGAGAATCGCTTGAACCTGGGAGGCAAAGGTTGCAGTAATCCAAGATCACGCCACTCTACTCCAGCCTGGGCGACAGAGTGAGACTCCGTCTCCAAAAAAAAAAAAAAAAAAAAATCCAGGCACAGTGGCTCACGCCTGTAATCCCAGCACTTTGGGAGGCCGGGGCGGGCAGATCATGAGGTCAGGAGATCGAGACCATCCTGGCTAACTGGGAGACAGAGCAACACTCCCTCTCAAAAAAAAAAAAAATTGGCCTGGCGCAGTGGCTCACGCCTGTAAATCCCACCACTTTGGGAGGCCGAAGCAGGCGTATCACCTGAGGTCGGGAGTTCGAGATCAGCCTGACCAGTATGGAGAAACCCCGTCTCTACTAAAAATACAAAAAATTAGCCGGGTGTGGTGGTGCATGCCTGTAATCCAAGCTACCCAGGAGGCTGAGGCAGGAGAATCTCTTGAACCCGGGAGGCAAGGGTTGCGGTGAGCCGAGATCACGCCATTGCACTCCAGCCTGGGCATCAAGAGTGAAACTCCATCTCAAAAAAAAAAAAAAATTTACCCTTAAGTTATACCTCCAAAAGTACATATGCACAAGCTTATACATTGCAGCATTTTAAAAATAATCACAAGATATTGAAACAATTTGGCCAGGCGCGGTGGCTCACACCTGTAACCCCAGCACTTTGGGAGGCCAAGGTGGGCAGATCACCTGAGGTCAGGAGTTCGAGACCAGCCTGGCCAACATGGCAAAACTCTGTCTCTACTAAAAATACAAAAATTAGCCGGGCGTGGTGGCGGGCATCTGTAATTCCAGCTACTTGGGAGGCTGAGGCAAGAGAATCACTTGAACCCACGAGGCAGAGGCAGTGAGCTGAGATTGTGCCACTGCACTCCAGCCTGGGGTATAGAGCGAAACTCTCTCTCAAAAGAAAAAAAAAGAAAGAAAAGAAAAGAAAACAATCTAAATGACCATACACAAGATGGTCATTGAATAAATTTATGTACTTCCACACTGAAGTACGAAGCAGCTGTAAAAGGAATGGGCTAGATCTGTATGAACTGATATAGTTATTTCCAGGGTACACCATTAAATGAAAAAAGGAAAGTGTGAGGGCATATCTATAGTATGCTACCTTTCATGTAAAAAATAAGGGATAAAAAAATGCACATGTATCTGCTCATTTATGAAAAAGAAAAACAGAAAGTAAATCAGAAGCGAAAGAGACTGATTACCTACACAGGACAGACAAAAAAGAGGTGAAAAGATGGGGAGAGGAGGAGAATGGGAACAGGGTAGTAGGGATGAGGTGGATGCTTTAACTCTTAAAATCATAATGATCTTTCACATACTCCAAAAAAATTTAAAATGAATGAAAATCAACCAGGATATGGAGGAAACCCAAAGTGTAATACAAACAGTAACAGATAAAATGAATCATATTACAAATAAATATAACTACACTGCAGGGGTTGTGGAAGAAATAAACTAGCCTAAGTGCTTTTGAAAAGCTTTTGATACTATAAGGCTTAAAACAAAAAGAACTGTGCACAAATGCCATAGACTTATTAATAAATCTATATCTCACCTGGGCATAGGTTATTCTACAACATTTTTTATATGCATGCTAGGATTAAACAAGTAAGTGAGTATTTATAGATGAAAGCCATGTTTCCCATTGTTGGAGAAAGAAATTACAGATAAAAAAAAAGAAGTAAAGTAGAATAAACCCTATGGCATCAAATTGAAAGAAGCAGTATGAAAGAAGCAGTGCACAGATAAACAGACACAATCATAAACATAGGACCAGGCACAGTGGCTCACACCTGTAATCCTGGCACTTTGGGAGGCTGAGGCAGACGGATCAGGAGTTCAAGACCAGCCTGGCCAACATGGAGAAACTCTGTCTCTACTAAACATTAGCCAGGTGTGGTGGTGCATGCCTCTCATCTCAGCTACTCAGGAGGCTGAGGCAGGAGAATGGCTAGAACCCAGGGGGCAGAGGTTGCAGTGAGCTGAGATCATGCCACTGCATTCTAGCCTGGGTGACACAGCGAGAATGTCTCAAAAAAAAAACAAACCATAAACATAGATATGTGTGTACCAGTATACATTTATATATATTTTCCAGCTCTGTCCACACACACACACACACACACACACACTCACACACAAAAGAGCCTGGGAGTAATGACACCCTGGAAGCAATGAGCACACCTAGAGCTCAGAACTTGCATTCTATCACTCTCCAATAACTTCTTGGAGAGGTATTTGATTGCAGAGCTGGAGCAGCAAAAATATCAGATGAACCAGGAACATTTTGTGCCAGCAAACAAGGAAGTGCTCGAAAAAGGATGGGGGAATGTTGAAAGGATGCAGAAGCCAGCCTGAAGGAACTCCCAATAACCAAAGCTGGAACAGCTGGAGCAACAAAAGACATAATAACAGTATTGGATTATAACCCATAGAACAAAATAAATATTCATGAGCCCATACTCATGGATAAATGGGGTAGAAGGGACAACTCGTCATCACCAAAGAATTCCAGTCATGAAGGGAAAAGATAATCTTCATTTCAACCCCTAGTATTAATTGTGACAGGCAAGGTCCACTAGCGGGTGCTAAAATTAGTGAACAAAAGTTTAAGCAGAAACATGATATTTACATACTCTCAAGTATCTCCCCCAAGATATTTCTCAATTACAAAAAAAATAATAATAACTTAATGATGGAGAAACCTGGCCAACAATACTTTAAGTGATCAAAGTTAACATCACTAGCAAAAAGACACATGAACATCAGGAAGGCCTGATATGATATTCTGAAAGAGATACAATATTGCTTCTGTGGTATTCTTGCCAGAAACATGTAACCTAAATCAAATAATGAGAAAACATCAGACAAATCCAAACTGGGAGACTTTCTGCAACATAGCTGACCAATATTCATCACAAGTTACAAGGTGCTGAAGAACGAGGAATGACTCAGGAACCATCACAGATTGTAGCAGATAAGAAGACAGAACAACTACATGCAATGTAGCATCCTGGATTGGATCCTAAAACAGAAAAAGGAGACGGGGTGCAGGAGGAAGGGACTGGTGAAACCGGTATGTTTTAGTTAATAGCGCACACCGATGTTAATTTCCTGGTTTTGATCATTGTATTGTGGTTATGTAAGTTGTTAACATTAGGGGAGGTGGAGTGAAGCCTCACTATTCTTGGAACTTTTCTGTAAGTGCCAAAGGATTTCAAAATAAAAATAAAATGAAACTTTTAAGGTTCTAAAGCCTTCTCTATCCTTGAAAGTTCCATTTTTGTCTAATTCTCAAGAGATCAAAGACTCATTTCCTTGTTTGGTCCAGACAGAGCAAGCCACCTCCCTCTGGTAGCCCTGCTCACCCCATCTCAGGTCTGACATTTGCCCTCCTCCCTCCCTGAATCAACATCCAAGCAGCAAACATTTATTTTTGCTGCGTGTCACACCCTGTGTGTGAGGCTGATATGGTTCCTGTCTTCTCACCGCTTACTTCTCTTACCAATTCAACCCGTGTCAGCTACTGGGAAAGTAACTCACTGCTCACATGTGAAATATTGCCCTTAGTCCTGTTTTTCCAGAATGGATCCAGGAGATCCATATTCTTATCTCCTATGCTGTTAAGAAAGAAATCCAGAGATAAACTAATACATGTTACTATTTGGACTATTGATATAAAGCCTGTATCAGTAGACCTGAACATTACATTAATGTTCCTCTATCAAATGACTTCCATGTCCTGTTTCCTAAGAAAATGTATAAGTGATAACATGGCCTACTTATAGCAATAGCACAGTGTTTTATTTATAGTGACAACCAGTTATCTAAGGTTTCTTCGCAAGAGCTTGATGGAATCATCTTTTAATGACAGAAATCATCATATCATTATGACTTGAAGAAAAAGAAAAAAGAAACTGCAACAAGCATTACTAGTTTGTAGTAAAGATACTAGAAACCTATTGACTTAGGCAATGGTAGATTATTTTAAAAAACAAAACAAGAAAAGATCATAAAATAAAACTACATCAGGAGCTTGGTGATCTAAGTCCAAAGCAGAGTATCCCTACTAACTACAGCCAACCCTTGAACAACACAGGGGTTAGGGACACCCACCCCCCCATGCAGTCAAAAATCAGCATACAACTTTGGACTCCCCAAAAACTTAACTACAAATAGCCTACTGTTGACCAGAAGCCTTACTGATAATATAAACAGTCGATTGACATATATTTTGTATATTATACATATTATATACTGTATTCTTACAATAAGGCTAGAAAAAGAAAAATATTATTAAGAAAATCATAAGAAAGACAAAATATTTTTACAGTACTGTATTTATCAATATCATAAGTTTACGTCATCTGTTTATAAGATGAATCATCTGTCTAAAATGGCGGCAACTGCAGCTGCAGTCTTCAATCTATGGTTTGTATCAAGAAATTCAACTTTTTATTGTAATGTCATGATTTTTCTCTGCTTCTTGGGAGCACTTCCATCATCACTAGTGGTACTCTGTATAGATCTCATGGTGTTATTCAAAGTTTACCATATTGAAACTAAACATGACGAAAAATGTGCGAGAACCGAGAGAGATGGCAATTTACTGGAGAGATGAGCTACTCACTCAGAGGCGATTAGCATCACATGATGTTTTAAGCAGATATTCGCAACACTTGAGCTCACTGAAATAACAACAGGAAGTGGCTATGAAATTACTACAGTAGTACAGTATGTACTACAGTCTATTTTATGCAATTAAAATTCAATACTGCATCTTTACATTTGTTTAGATTTCTCTCTAGTGTGAGTGGTGCTATGTAACATCTGTAGGTGTGTGTATAAGTTTTGATAAATTTTAACTTTGAATAACAGATTTGTATATATTTTACAGTAGCAAATGACTTTTAAAAGACTAGTATATACATACATCTTATGCATCCATGACATATCTTCATCTTAATTTTTTGGTATTTCTAGTCTACTTGGTTCATCTGCGAGTGTTTTTGAATTGTTGCAAATCTCCAAAAAAATTTTTAATATATTTAGTTCAAACCTGTGTTGTCCAAGCAACAACTGTACTTCAATTTCTCCTCTTGCAGAATAGGGGTAATATTCATTTCCTGTGCCTTCATAGGAAACAATGCATTGTGAAATTTTATAAAGCAATGACCCCTAGGAACTTTCATTTAATGTACTCTTCACTCCATAACTCAGCTCTCACATTTTCCCACTTAAGGTTGTTTTTTGATATCATGAAGCCATTGAATCCTTAACCCTGTTTTTGATAATGGCACAATGGATTGAGGAGAGGGACAAAGCTACTGATATATTTTACAAACGAATCCACATTACCTTTTCTTGAGACGAGAACATACAAACATAAAGTGGGAGATTTCCAAGTGCTAACATGGGTCTTTAGTGGGGAGCATACTCACCTGTTTAGAGATATTAAAAGTCCATATTGAATTAAAATAGAGGACAGAGAGTGGCTCCTATAGATTACTGCTAATTGGGGAGTTTTATACTTCTTTTTGTGTTCCTTCCTTCTATTCCTACACCTAAGACAATGCTGGTAAGCATACTCTATAAAGCCAGGCAACTTCAGAACTGTCCATCCCTGAAACTGACCAAAATAATCAGTGAGGCCGGGCGCGGTGGCTCACGCCTGTAATCCCAGCACTTTGGGAGGCTGAGGCAGGTGGATCACTTGAGGTCAGGAGTTTGAGACCAGCCTGGCCAACACAGTGAAATCCCATCTCTACTAAAAATACAAAATTTAGCCAGGCATGGTGGTGCACGCCTGTAATCCCAGCTACTCGGGAGGGTGAGGCAGGGGAACCACTTGAACCCGCAAAGTGGAGGTTGCAGTGAGCCGAGATTGTGCCATTGCACTCCAGGCTGGGTGACAGAGCAAGACCCCATCACAAAAAATAATAATAATAATAATAATAATAATAATCAGTGAGAAACAAAGTAGGGAAAAAACCATCCTTGCTGCTAAAACAATCTCATATCACAAACTTTAGGAAATTTGTTCAGGATATAGTGAAGCACAGATGAAGTTGAAAGAGACCAAAAACTGATTCAAATAAGTAAAATTTCCCAACTCAGTCAATGAACCCAGTATTATCCTGAAGCCAAAAGCCAACAAAGGCATCACAAGAAAAGTACAGACCAATCTCCCTTATGAATATAGATGCAAAATCCTCAGCTAAATACTAGCAAACCATATCCAGCAACATATCCAAAGGATTATATACTATGACCAAGTGGGATGTATCCCAGGAATGTAAGGTTGGTTCAACATTAAGCAATCAATATAATATACTACATTAATAAAATAAAGGGCTAATACCACATGATTATCTTTATAGAAGCAGAAAAAGCATTTGACAAAATCCAACATCCTTTTATTATAAAAACACTCAACAAACTAGGAGTAGAAGGCAACTCCTTCAACCCGATATACAACATGAATGAAAAACCCAAAGCTAACATTATACTTAATGGTGAAAGACAAAAGCTTTTCCCCCAACATCAGGCACAAAACAAAGATGTCTGTTCTTGCCATTTCTATTAAACATTGTGCTGGGAGTTCTACCCAGAGCAATTAGGCCAAAAAAAAGAAATAAAATACATTTGAATTATAAAGGAAGAAGCAAAACTATCTGTATTTTGAATTGGCATCCTCTTATATAGAGAAAATCCTAAGGAATTACCTAGAAAACTATTAGAACTAATAAGCAAGTTTAGCAAGATTGCAGGTTACAAGATCCATATAAAAGTCAATTGTATTTTCCTACACTAGCAACTTTACATTCTCTTGGGATAGACTCCACTTGGTCGTGATGTATAATCTTTTTCTGCTAATATCAAGAACAAGGCAAGAATGTCTACTCTTATGACTCCTATTCAACATAACATTGGGAGTTCTAGCTAATGCAATAAGACAAGAAAAGGAAATTAAAAGTGTGGAGATGGGGAAGAAAGAAATAAAATTGTCTTTGTTTGAAGATGACACAACTGTCTATGTAGAAAATCCCAAAGAATCAACAACAACAAACACCTGGAACTAATAAGCAATAATGGCAAGCTTGCAGGATACAAAGTTAATATACAACTGTCAACTGCCTTTTATACACCAGCAATTAGCAATTGAAATTTAAAATTAAGAACCAATACCATTGACATTAGCACCAAAAAATGAAACACATATGTATAAATCTACCAAAAATGTGTAAAACCTATATGAAGGAAATTATGAAACTGATGACAGAAAATTTAAAAATCCAAAGAAATGGAGATATTCCATGTACATGGAAAGGAAGATTCAATATTGTCAAGATGTCAGTTTTTTCCAACTTAATCTATAGAGTCAATGCAATTCCAATCAAAATCCCATTTTGTGTATATTGACAAACTTATTCTAAAGTTCCTATGTCAAAACAAAAAACTCAAAATAGCCACCATAATATTGAAGGAGAAGAACAAAGTTGAAGGACTAATACTACTTACTTCAAGACTTAATATAATGCTTCAATAATTAAGACAGTGTCATATTGGCAAAAGGACAGACAAATAAATCAGTGGAACAGAATAGAAAACTCAGAAATAAACCCACACAAATATAATTATCTGATCTTTGACAAAGGATCAAAGGCAATTCAATGAAGAAAGAATGGTCTTTTTAAAAAATGGTGTAATGGTGTTGAAACAACTGCACTGGACATCCACATGTTAAAAAAAAATCTAGACACAGACTTGATACCTATCACAAAATTTTACTTAAAATGGATCATAGGCCTAAATGTAAAGTACAAAACTTAAAATTTGTAGGTAAAAACACAGGAGAAAATCTAGATAACCCAGGGCTTGGAAATCTTTTTAAGATATAACACAAAAAGCACACTTCATGAAAGAAAAAATTAGTAAGTTGAACTTCATTAAAATTAAAAACTTCTGTTCTGTGAAAAACACTGGGAGAGGAATGAAAAGTTAACTTATTGACTGGGAGAAAATCTTTCCAAAACAAATATCTGATAAAAGACTGGTACCTAAGATGTACAAAGAACTCAACAATAAGAAACAAGAACTCTCATTTGTTGTTGATGGGAATGCAAAATGCTTCCACTTTGGAAGACAGTTTGGCAGTTTTATACAAAACTAAACATACCTTTACCATATGATTCAGCAAACATGCTCCTTGATGTTTATCCAAATGAGTTGAAGACTTAAGCCCACAAAAATCCTGCACACAAATGTTTATAACAGCTTCATTCATAATTACCAAAACTTGGGAGCAACCAAGATGTCCTTCAATCGTTGAATAAATAAACTGTGGTGCATCCATACAATGGAATATTATTTAGCAGTTTTTAAAAATGAACTACCAAGCCATGAAAACACTGGAGAAAACTTAAGTACATATTGCTAAGTGAAAGACACTAATCTGGAAAAGTCACATACTATGTGGGTATTCTCTGAGGCCAGGATTAAGGGTACTGTTACCCATTTCATTTGCTTCTTCCAAGTGTCTGGGGGTGTTAGTAGGCCAAACAGCTTTAAATAATATTTATGGCTTATGTCTGGGGGGCTTTGAAGAAGAGGGGTGGTGAAGGTCTTTTAAGACTATCCAGATAATGCAAGTTTGTGCTGCAAATCTGCAAGAAAGGAGCATTATCATTACAACTCTCGGGGATGTTTGTAAATTCTCTTACTATGCTGTGAGTTAAGAAAAAATTCTGGTCAGGCTCGGTGGCTCATGCCTGTAATCCCAGTACTTTGGGAGGCTGAGGCGGGCAGATCACCTGAGGTCATGAGTTCAAGACCAGCCTGGCCAACATGGTGAAATCCTGTTCTACCAAAAATACAAAAATTGGCTGGGTGTGGTGGTGCATGCCTGTAATCCCAGCTACTCGGGGGAGGCTGAGGCAGGAGACTCACTTGAACCTGGGATGCGGAGGTTGCAGTGAGCCAAGATCGTGCCACTGCACTCCAGCCTGGGTGACAGAGTGAGACTCCATCTCAAACAAACAAACAAACAAACAAACAAACAAACAAAAAACTTCATAGTATTCTGGAGGTCAGGGGTTAGGGCACAGAGTGGGTTTACTTCCAGTTAATCCTTTCCCTGAGACTGTAGCCCAGTGGAGATACACTCTTATTGATAAAGCTCCCCATTAGGCTACCGACCCTCCTCCAGCCCTGGGCATTTGTCTCCTTTACCCCATGAGACCATCAAAACTGAAGTCCAAGTTTGCTGAGATCGGCAAATAAGTTCCAGGTAAAAGTGGCTCCAGTGCTCTCTTTACCTCTGTAGGTTTCAGTATTTATGTATATTTTGGCCTGATAATTTCTTCCTGTCTTATCAGCTCTCAACAATGTTAGACACAGTTGACCACTGACTCCTTCTTTCTTCTTTTTTTTTCCGCAGGTGATTAAAGTTTACTATTACTTTTTTAAAATTAATACATAATTGACATACATATTTTCAGGGTATAGGTGATAATATGATACATTCATATAATGCGTAAATATCAAATAAGGATAATTGGAATATCCATCACCTTAAATATTTATCTTTTCTTTACGCTAAGAACATTCAAATTATTCTAGCTATTTTGAAATGTATGATAGATTAGTGTTAAGAACAGTCGACCAGGCGCGGTGGCTCACACCTGTAATCCCAGCACTTTGGGAGATAGAGGCAGGTGTATCACTTGACATCCAGAGTTCAAGACCAGCCTGGCCAACATGGCAAAACCCCGTCTCTACTAAAAAATACAAAAAATAGCCAGGCGTGGTGGCTGGCGCCTTTAATCCCAGCTACTCGGGAGGCTGAGGCAGGAGAATCGCCTGAACCCAGGAGGCAGAAGTTGCAGTGAGCCAAGATCACACCACTGCACTCCAGCCTGGGTGACACAGCGAGACTCTGTCTCCGAGAAAAAAAAAAAAAAAAAAGTCATCCAGCCACTGACTCCTTTCTTTGACTTCTCACTACTGGAAATTCCCAGAGATCATTCTTTCCCTAGGTGATCTACTCTGATCTTATGGCTTTGACAACTCCCAAATACAGATCTTCAACTTTAACCTGTCTGTTAGTTCCAAACTCATTCATGAGTGCCATTCAAACTATAGTCCTTAGATTGGTGCCAGTCTATGAGCTGTTTATTACCTGTCAATAATGAAGTAAGTACAGAAATTGAGGGTAAGCATTTAGAATATTTTATAGCCATTTGACAACTGCTGTGACATGCAAGCACATGGTCAGTGGACTCATCTTCTTGAATAGTGTGTAGACCATTAGGATGACTTGCATGTGGCAGGACTCACATAATAGTCATACACAGTAGGACCTCATTACAGAGTGCAAGATTATTCATCAACTTTAACCCAAAAGTATATCAAAAATCTGAGAAAAGGTGTACATTTTTATAACATTATTTTTAAGAAAATTTACACTGTAATCAAGTTTGTCTTTTTGTTTTTGTTTTTGTTTTTGTTTTTGAGATGGAGTCTTGCTCTGTTGCCCAGACTGGAGTGTACTGGTGCAATCTTAGCTCACTGGAACCTCTGTCTCCTGGGTTCAAGTGATTCTCCTGCCTCAGACTCTGGGGTAGCTGGAATTACAGGTGCCCACAAAGCCCCGCTATTTTTTGTATTTTTGGTAGAGACAGGGTTTCACCATATTGGCCAGGCTGGTCTTGAACTCCTGACCTCAAGTGAACCACCCGCCTCGGCCTCCCATAGTGTTGGGATTACAGGCGTGAGCCACCGTGACTGGACTCAAGTTTTTCTTTATTGACCAAAGTTGGGAAATAAATACCTATGTCTTTAACCTCAATTAACTGATGGTGAAACAAAATTCACTGAACGTTTTTATCAAGAAAATATAGACCTATTCTAAAAGCAGCAGTAAAGGTAAACAAAATAAGGATGATGGAAGTGATTCCAGAGAACAGGAAAACCAAAGAGTTCATTGAGTTTTCCTCCAAAATATGATCCCTCGTGTACTGAGTTCAGCTTTGAGGCTATAATTGAGGGTGGAATACTAAAACCTCAGTTTATTAGCCAAGAGTACATCTCCACAAATACAATTTATTGTGTATTTGTGGAGATGTACTATTAGCTAATAAACCAATGAAACCATCAAAACTTAGGCAGTATTCAGGTGCAAAATATAAAGAGGTTTAAAACCAAAAGAATTATTTGAAGGAAAGAATACTGAATTAGAACAGATGTTCAACATTTCACATATAAACATTTAGTGTTTGGCAGGATTTTAATATAAAAAAAACTAAGCTCAAAATACAATGGATGTAAAGATTAAATAATAGGGGAGTTAATAAGCTCTCTTGTCACATTCTTGACTTTAATGGGAATATTTCTAGTATTTCATTATTGAGCTACTATAGATTGCATGTCAGGGAAATATAAATCTCTTCTTATTTTATCAGGAACATCAAATTTGCATTCCTGAAATGAATCTCAGCTGGGGGTATATTATTCCTACAATGTATGCCTGAAATCTTTTCCTTATTAAAGATTTTTAAAATTAGTGTTCATAAGTAAATGTAGTCCACAGCTTTCTTGTGTGGGAGAAGAGGAGTGCATCAGTCAGAGTAGGCTAGGTTATGCTGTGATAACAAACAATCTCAAAATGTTAGCAGCTTACAGTAACAAAGGTTTAATTCTTACTCATGGTCTGTGTCCACCATCTGCTGTGCCTCTCTTCCATGCCATCTTCCCTCTGGAATGAAGTGGATAAAGCAGCTTATCTGACACATTGGTGGTCATCATGGTAGAGATAAGAGAGACATGGTGAACCATGAACTCTATTTTAAAACTTCTGTTTCTAAGTGGCATAATGTCACTTCTGCCCTTATTTCATTGACCATTTGGCCAAGGCAAATTGGAGAACTACTCTTGGCTTCAACAGGATAGGGATAAGTAATCCAGCCACAAGGGGGAGCATGTCAAGTCCTAAAGACAGGCCAGATGTCAGTGGGATGAAGGCCTATAATTAATCCATCCCCCAGGAGGGACAATAAATATTTTGAACAATAGTGCAACCCACCACTATAGTACAACATACCAAAAACAAATTTTTCAGGTTTATATTGTGTTTTGCTGGCTTTAGAAAATGACGTTGGAAGTTTTTTTCTCTAAGTCCTAGACCAGTTTAAGTATAATTAGAATTTTATTTTCCTTGAAAGTTTGGAAGAATTCACTAATAAAATATTTGAGTTCAGAGCTTCTCAGATTACCTTCTCAATGAATTCCCTGGTCAGTGACCATTTTCAGTTTTCTGTCTCTTTGGGAATTTATTTTATTTATTTATGTTTTTTAAAACAGCATTCATGTAATCACACTTTTAAAATGTATTTCTATAAAGTTTTATCAAGTACTCTTATAAATTGTTTAAATTTTCTCTGCATCTATGGTTACTTCCTGTTACTTCTTTCTGATTGTGTTTAATTTTTATTAAACTACACAGTATAGAAATATCTATTTGCAAAAATAGGAATGTTGATAGGAACAGTAAGAGTGCCTGCTCCCACAGTTATCATGAAGATTAAATAAGCTAATATACGTACATTAGTGAGAACAGTGCCTTAGTAAGCACATTATCAGTGTTAGTCATCATCATCATATTATTTGTAATTTTCCAGTTTTGATCAACCTTATACTTAGTAGAATTATACATTGTTCTCTTTAAAAGTTGATCATAGACTCCTCTCATTAATGATTACTCCTCTCATTAATGATTACTGACTTATGCTACCTTAATTAACTTGCAATGTACTCATAAGGTAAGTAAATCAAACCACTGAGTTATGTTTAAGTTTATGGGTAATAATTTTATAGTAAAGAATCACGTGTAAACTCATAGTCTTATATTAGAAATTATATAATGAGGAAATTCACATATGCTACTGTCAATAAATTTCACTGTGAATTGTCTATTTTGTTTTTTCTCAATCTTTATTATAATCTACATCTACTCCCACTGGCAGATAAGAATGGGTTAGGCAGGCTGGGTGCGGTGACTTACAGCTGTAATCCCAGCACTTTGGGAGGACACGGCAGGCAGATCACCTGAGGTCAGGAGTTTGAGACCAGCCTGGACAACATGGTGAAACCCCATCTCTACTAAAAGTACAAAAAATTAGCCGGGCATGGTGGCATTATATATCTGCAATCCCAGCTACTAGGGAAGCTGAGGCAGAAGAATCTTTTGAACCTGGGAGGCAGAGGTTGCAGTGAGCCAAGATCAGGCCATTGCACTCCAGCCTGGGCAACAAGAGGGAAACTCCGTCTCAAAAAAAAAGAATGGGTGAGGCAGGTGAGACATAAAATATTTTATTCTAAATGAGTAACAGTAAAAGAAAGTCTGGCTACTGCTTTCAACTTTTTTCCTATAAAGAAATCACTTTTGGCCAGGTGCAGTGGCTCACACCTATAATCCCAGCGCTCTGGGAGATCAAGGCGGGCAGATCACTTGAGGTCAGGAGTTTGAGACCAGTCTGGCCAACATGGTGAAACCCCATCTCTACTAAAAAAAAAAAAAATACAAAAATTAGCCGGGCATGCTGGCACGTGCCTGTAATTCCAGCTACTTGGGAGGCTGAGGCAGGAGAATTGCTTGAACCCGGGAGGCAGAGGTTGCAGTGAGCCGAGGTCACGCCATTGCACTCCAGCCTGGGCAAAGAAGCAAGACTCCATCTAAAAAACAAACAAAAAATTGCTTTTAACTCATGTATTTTTAAGTCGTGTTTTTTAAACATTTTGAACCACTTTATGAATATATTTTTTATATGAGTCCAATACCTCATAACACTGCTTGTAGAAAATTGCCAACTCTCATTAAATTAACACAGTATATAGATATATATGTGTGTGTATATATATATGTGTGTGTGTATATATATATGGAATGTGTGTGTATATATATATGTGTGTATGTGTGTGTGTGTATATATATATATGGAAAGCAGTGGCATGAGATCGGCTCACTGCCACCTCTGCCTCCCAGGTTCAAGCAATTCTCCTCCCGAGTAGCTGCCATTACAGGCACACGCTGCCACCCAATTTTTATATTTTTAGTAGAGATGAGGTTTTGCCATGTTGGCCAGGCTGGTCTTGAACTCCTGATCTCAGGTGATACACCCACCTCGGCCTTCCAAAGTGCTGGGATTACAGGTGTGAGCCACTGCACCTGACCAAATTAACACAGTTTATATTTTTAACTTTCTGCTCAGTTAAGTCATCACATACTCCCACCTGTAGTTAACTACAGTCTCACACAGTAGTTAATTTAAATAAAGGAAAATCTGCCATAATAAATATGTTTCGAGACATAAACAACGTTATTTAAAATGTCTAATATAACACCAATGAGGGAGTGGGAACTGGCATCTTACTTTATGAACAAGTGGTTAGTGGTTATTATCTTATTATATTTTGTTTGTTTGTTTGTTTTTGTTTTTGAGACAGTCTCACTCTGTCACCCAGGCT
Organism: Homo sapiens; assembly: GCF_000001405.40. NCBI lineage: Eukaryota > Metazoa > Chordata > Mammalia > Primates > Hominidae > Homo > Homo sapiens. The sequence continues at coordinate 73,594,325 of NC_000005.10, read as the reverse complement.
GGGGTGCAGTGGTGTGATCACAGCTCTCTGCAGCCTCAACCTCCCCAGTCTCAAGTGATCCTCCCACTTCAGCCTCCTGAGTAGCTGGGACTATAGGTGCACACTACCACACCCAGCTAATTTTTTGTTTATTTTTGTAGACATGGGGTTTCGCCATGTTGTTCAGGCTGGTCTCAAACTCCTGGGCTCAAGTGATCTGACTGCCTTGGCCTCCCAAAGTGCTACGGTTACAGGCATGAGCCACCGTGCCCAGCCCAGTATCTTACTTGTATGTACTGCAATTATATCATTTACTTTCAAAATGCTTGTAAGCAGTCAGTCCCAAGTCAGTTATATTCTTTTACGTAAATAATTTATTTAGAAAACATCCTTTATAATAACATAAAAAGAAAACTTTAACTTAACCCTTATCCAAGTGATTCAAATGATGTTAGTAATCAGGTCAACTAAGAAAATACTCCCAACTGGTGCAGGGCAAGTAGACTTTCCATAATCACAAACATGTGAAAAACACAGTAAGTAAGTAAGACACAGTTCATATATCATTGTATTTATTCTCACAACAATCCTGCAAGAGAAGTAATATTTGCCCCATTTGACAGATGTTGAAGATGAGGCCCAGAGAAGCTAGGACTTACCCAAGATTATTATAGCTCTGTTCTTTCCATTAGTCTACATTGTTGAAAAGTTTAATTGAAATAGAATGTTGGGAGATAAAAGATCTCTACATGAAAACTACAAAACACAGATGAAAGAAATTGAAGAGGATACAAACAAATGGAAAAACATCCCGTGCTCATGGATTGAAATAATTAATATAGTTACAATGACCGTACTGCCCAAAGCAATCTACAGATTCAATGCAATCCCTATCAAAACATCAATGTCGTTTTTCACAGAAAAAGAAAACACAATCCTAAAATTTGTATGGAACCAAAGAAGATCATTAATAGCCAATCCTGAGCAAAAAGAACAAAGCTGGAGGCATCACTCTACCTGATTTCAAAACATATTTGTCACAAGGCTATAGTAACCAAAACAGCATGGTATTGGAATAAAAACAGACATGTAGGCCAAAGGAACAAAATACAGAAGCCAGAAAATAACTCTACATATTTACAGCCAACTGATTTTCAACAAAGCTTCCAAGAGTATTTATGGGGGAAATGACATCCTCTTCAATAAGAGGGGCTAGGAAGATTAGATAACCATATACAGATGAATAAAACTGAACCCCTATCTCTCACTACATACAAAATCAACTCAAGACAGATTAAACACTTAAACATAAGACCTGACACTATAAAACTACTAGTAGAAAACATAGGGGAAACATTTCAGGACACTGGCCTAGGCAAAGATTTTATGGCTAAGACCTCAAAAGCACAGGAAACAAAAACAAAAATTGACAAATGGGACTATATTAAACTAAAAAGCAAAGGAAACAATCAACAAAGGGAAGAGATGATCCATTGAATGGGAGAAAATATTTGCAAACTATTCATCCAACAAGGGACTAATATCCAAAATATGCAAGGAACTCAAACAACTCAACAGTAAAATAACAATCATCATCATCATCATCATCATCATCCCAGGAAAAAGTGGACAGAGGACATGAATAAACAGAAGACATACAAATGGGCAGATACGTTAAAAAATGCTCAACATCACTAATCATTAGGGAAATACAAATCAAAACCATATTGACTTATCATCTTTTACCAGTCAGAATGGGCTATTACTGAAAAGATAAGAAATAACAGAGGAGAAAAGGTAACTCATATACACTATTGTGGGAATGTAAATTAGTACAGCTACTACGAAAAACAGTATGAAGATGTCTCAAGAAACTAAAAATAGAACTAACCTACAATCCAGCAATCCCATTGCTGGGCATTTATCCAAAGGAAGAGGAATTTGTATATTAAACAGACACCTGCACTCCGTGTTTATTGCAGTACCATTCACAATAGCAAAGATATGGAATCAAGCTAAGTGATTATCAACAGATGACTGGATAGAGAAAATGTGCTATATATACACAATGGAGTACTATTAGGCCATTAAAAAGAATGAACTCATCATTTGCAGCAACATGCACGGAACTGGAAGTCATTATGTTAAGTGAAATAAGCCAGGCACAGAAAGACAAGTATCACATGAGATAGAGTAGAATGATATATAACAGATGCTGAGAAGGGTGTGTCAGGGGAGAGGATAGGGAGATGAAGAAAGGTTGGTTAATGGGTAAAAACATACAATTAGATAGAAGGAATAAGTTATAATGTTCAATAGCAGAGTGGGGTGACTATAGTTAACAACAATGTATATTTCAAAACAGCTAGAAGAGAAGACTTGAAATGTTCCCGACACATAGAAATGATAAATCCTTGAAGTGATGGATACCAGAAGACCCTGACTTGCTGGGCACAGTGATTCATACCTATAATCCCAGTACTTTGAGAGGCCTCCTGGGGAGGATGGCTTGCAGCCAGGATTTCAAGACCAGCCTAGGCAACATAGCGAGACCTGGTCTCTAAAATAAATAAATACATAATTAACTGGGCATGGTGATGCATACCTGTAGTCCTAGCTACTTGGGAGGCTGAGGTGGAAGGATCACTTGAGCCCGGGAGTTCAGGGCTGCAGTGAGCTATGATCACACCACCGCACCCCAGCCTGGACGACAGTGTGGACCTGGACCCTTTCTCAAAAAAAAAAAAAATTCCCTGACCTGATCATTAAACATTCTATGGGTGCAACAAAATACCACACGCCACCCATAAATATGTACAAAGAGTATATACCAATTTAAAAAAGAAATAGAACCTTGGTTAGATTTTATTTCCACATTTCTGGTATCTATTAATAACTATAATTGAACTTTCAAAGCTACTTTGTCAACACAGTAATAACCAAATATCTTGGGTTTATTCTGTGCCAACTCTGATGACTCTAAAACACCAATTCAGGGGAAGAGCTGGGGAGAAAGCAGGCTTCTTGTGGTTTTTCAAGATAATACTGCCACCTGGTGGACTAATGGTGAACTGAGGTAGGTTGTCTAATGCATGATTTCAATTTTACCTGATTAAAATTCTCAATGGACAAGAAGGGCAGCTTCCAGAAACATCTTTGCTTTGAGTTGTGTCTCAGGCAAAATGATATAATAATAATTTCATGTTGTGCATAGTAACAAAACTGCTGTTTTCATATAAATTGCCAACTAGATCCGATAAGAATTCATTTACTCATTCAACACATATTTACTACCAGCTGTTTATTGTGGATAAAGTCAAAGACACAAAGGTGACTAAGGACTTGCTCTATGTTTCTAGAAAATAAGATGCTATTCCTGTAGTGGTTGAGAATATGTACTCTTGAAGCAGATGCTTGAGTTCAAATCCCAAATCTGCCACTAACCAACTGTGTGACTTTGGACAAGTCACCTAAACTTTCTACGTCACCTCAGTGTCATTATGTGCAGAACTGGACTAATCACAGCTTCTCGTGCAGTTATCAGGTACTCTGTGGAGTGTTAAGTACCGTGTATGCATGAGAAGGAGGTCTCCAGGGTGGACAGCATCCCTTGTAGATGAAGATGAGCAGCAGGGATGAGGCATTACCACACAAAGACTTTGGGGTGGGAAAACAAAGTCTTGTTCTCTGGGGTCAGAATAATCCATGTTGATTTATTCTAGCATACTCCTCAAAACACACACAAACTTAGGCAAAAGCTTGCTCAATGCAGAATTGCTTGTGACTGCAAAAGACTGAAAACTACCTAAATTCCCATGAATAGGGGACTGGTTAAACTGATTATGGCACAGCTGTATAGTAATATAGGAGGCCAGCATAAAAAAGAATGATGTAGAGCTGTCTGTACTGAGATGGATCAACCACTAATACACAATACGTGGAAAACCTGAAATGCAGAACAGAGGTATAGTGTGATCTCATTTGTTTAGAAGTGAGGTTGTGCATGCACATGGTTAAAGATGTGTAGAATATTTGGGGGAGAATATTGTGTGGATTGGCTCTCTTACCTTCTGCTCCATCCTCCTCTGCTCTATCCTCCTTCTAGGATGTCTTCAAAACTGTAGAGCTGGAAAGCTAAAAGCCATAGTTCCCACATTCCTTTCCAGATAATGCCCTGGATGCAAAATTGGGCTCCTCCAATTAGATATACTAACATGATATGAAAGTCAGGAATGAGCGGAAGGCCAGCTTCCTGCTTGTTACTGTCAGCAAGCAAGGAAAGGAGATGGGGAATGAGATGCAATTGTGATGAAGTGACCCAGCTTGCCAGGGTATATCCTCTGGCTTCATGATGGCAGGAGCAGTAGCTTTTTGCTCTCTGGAGCCATGCTCTTGAACAGTGGCTCCATCTGGAGCACTCCCTCCCTCCTATCCCTATTCTTCTAGCCCTTCCAGTGATTTCATAAGGACCTACTTCCTGTATTAAGTCCCGTCTACTTTAGCTTCCTAGAAGATTTCTATTTCTAGGACAACTGAACTTTGATTATTACAGCCGTTTAAGAAACTGGTAAGAGCCTTGTCATGGTTAGTATCATGTGTCAACTCGACTGGGCTAACGGATGCCCAGATAGCCAGTAAAGCATTTACTGGGTGTGTCTGTGAGGATATTTCTGGAATAGATTAGCATTTAAATCAGGGAACTGAGTAAAGATCCCTGAGTAAAGATCTCTCACCAATGTGGGAGTGTAACATCCAGTCTGTTAGGACCTGGATAGAACAATGTGGAGGAAGGACAAATTCACTCTCTCTTCTTCAGCCAGGACATCTATCTTCTTCTATCCTTGGATGCCAAAGCTGCTGGTTCTCGGGCCTTCAGACTTGAACTGAATTATACCACCACCTTTCCTGGTTCTCCACCTTGCAGGTGGCAAATCATGGAACTTCCCGGCTAATATATATATATATAATATATATATATAAAATATATAATATATAATCTGACTATATATATATATATAATCTCCTATTCATTCTGTTTCCCTGAAGAACCATAATATAAGACATTACCTTAGAAGAAAGTGGGCTGAGATCCAGAAGGAATGGAGATTTTTTTTTACTCTATTATATATACTGCTTTGTACTGTCAGAAAATTTTTCTATGTGTGTATTTTTTGAGGCAGTTCTATGCGTACTGATAGGGAACTATAGCTACAGTATGTTATTACTTTTTCCAAACAAAAAAAACAGAGCAACGTGAACAGCATTATATATATTATGCTTCAATTACATTGGGGAAAATCTATATAGAGATATATCTATACCTATTCAGATATATATCTAAAAGTGTATGTTTATAAATGCCTCCAGATAGGATAACTGGGTGACTAGGGGAAAGGATGAGAGAAAGACTTATCACTGTCTACTTTGCACTTTAGAATTTTATGCCCGGTCCATATGTTGTTTATTTAAAACTATATTGTTAACTAAAATGAGAAACTAGTAAGTTTTAAAGGAACAATCCATTTTGGCCAAAGTACATGCATCTTGTTGGGGATTATTGGGATGTAAGACCAAAATAAAAATGTAGGTTGGAGCTTGGCAAGACAAACGAGAGCAAGGAAGATCTCACTATGCTGGCATTTGCTTCTCTCTATCCCTGGAAGCCACTGGGAATGGTCTTTCCATAGTCCCAACTGTGCTGCTCCCTCCCTACTCGACCTCCCCAAAATCTAAGATCTCTCTCAGGGAAAGTCTCAAGCTTTTCAACTCAATCTCCCTCCCTTTCTCTCTCCCTGCCAAGGTAAAGAAAATTATCAAAAGCAAGTATATGTTGAGGGCTGGGCTTTTTAATAAACATTACTGAGTTTCAAAAGCAGAAACTCTCTTCCCCACCTCCCAACTCTCTCTTACCTGGTTCATGTTCAAAAACAAAGTCCACCGTTAGTCACAGTGCTTACATTTCAGTGCATTGACTAAAACATAGACACATTATAATGGAAATAATTCAGGGGATTCCCTCTTTTGATTAGAGAAGGAAGAAGAAGGGAGAGAGGCCTGACGATTCTGCAAGCATTAGGTATTCCTCCAAAAAAGAGGAGGGCAGCCATTGAGGGTGGTAGGGTGTCAGCAAGGAGGCTGAGGAAAACAGAAAGTCTGCAATGGCCACAGTTTGCCTAGAACTCACCCTGCTGTTTCACTGTATCCTCTTCAATCTCAGTTTCAGTGTGCAGCTGCCTGTACTCTATTTAGAGAGGATGTGAGTTAAGCATTTCTAGTTAGAGTGGTGAGAGCTTCCAGGGCATGGTGGTGGCTATCCTCAACATGAGAAGTCTCAAGACATCAGAGGGCTGCTTCATTCCCCAATGTTATCACAGCCCAAGGACCTCAGGGCACACAGCTTATGGCCTAGAAACATCTGTTAAATGAATAAACAGAAGAATGCCAATGTGTGTGTACGAAGTACGTTGCTGCCTCAGCATCACCCAAGACTACTGAGGTGAGGTCCCTCTCCTCCAGCCTGGTCAGGGGAGGTAGCACATGGATGGCAGTCCTAAAAGACCTCTCCTCAGACCCTGAGCTGCTAGAGAAAATGCCTGGGGAGCTGGTGCCAAGCAACAGGGCTGGAAGAATCAAGCCATGGGAAGAGTTTATGAGCAAGAATCAGTGAGAGGAAGAAAACTCAGGGGCAGATCTGGGGCAGTCAGGGCCAGGGAACTAAGTTAGAAACAGATGGGCCAGAGCCAGGAAGGACCAAGCCAGTGGCTGCGTTGGCAGATAAAGTAGCTGCCAGATGAGTACTTCAGACCAGATCAATGAAGTGGACTCAAGTCTCCAGAAAGAAAGAGTTTGCACTTCTCCAAAGGTCCAAGGCTGTCTGGTAGAAACTTCTCCAATTACGGAAATGTTCTGTATCTGTGTTGTCCAATATGGTAGCCACAAGCCACATGTGGCTATTTTCAGCCATCTCAAAGTGTGGCAAAGTGACTAAGGAACTGAATTCTTAATTTTAATTAATTTTAAGATCACTAGAAAACCCTTAGTAGGGCCAGGTACGGTGACTCATGCCTGTAATCCCAGCACTTTGGAAGGCCAAGGTGGGAGGGTCAGTTGAGCTCAGGAGTGGAGACCAGCCTGGGCAATAAAGTGAGACCTCGTCTCTACCAAAAAAAAAAAAAAAATTAGCTGGGAGTGGTGGCGTGGGCCTGTAGTCTTAGCTACTCGGAAGGCTGAGGTGGGAGAATCGCTTAAGCCTGGGAGGTTGAGACTGCAATGAGCCATGATCGCACCACTGCATTCCAGCCTGGGCAATAGAGCAAGACCCTGTCTCAAAAACAACAACAACAAAAGCAAAAACAACAGAAAACCATTAGGAGAAATTGCTCAAGACTTTAACTCTGTACCAAAAGCACAATGACCCAGCAGGAATCCCTGCCTCTATGTTCTCAGGTCAGAGTGGAGAGTGGCTGGATGTTTGAACTGTGTAAACAGATGCAAAAACAGTTGAGGAATAAACATCGACTGAAAAAATAAGTGGCGACAGGCTCTGAATCAGAATCAAGATCTCCAAAAAAACCAAATTTCCAACCGAGGATAACATCATAAGTATTTCAAGCCAAAGACCCTTCTACGTGGAAGCTGCCTGAGCTAAAGCGAAGGATGGAAGGAGGGTTTGGTCGTTTCACCTCCTACATTATCACTTCCATTCAGTTGCCACCATGTCCTTTTAATTCCCCCTGACACTGTGATAGACTGTCTCCAGGGAGTGATGAGATCAAATGTTTCTGAAGACCACTCTAGCCATGATACGGAGGATGGACTGGAGGACTGCTAAGCTGGAGGAGCTGTAAGGCAGGGTGCTGCAGAAGTCCAAAGGAATTGGGGCCACAAAGAGATGGCGATGGGAATGGAAAAACAAAAGGACATCTAGGATGTGGCAGCTGAGGGTTATGTTGAAAACTGCTTGAATATGGGAGGAAGAGAGAGAGCAGAATGAGGATGAGGCTGTCTCAAGCAATGATAAATGGTGCAGGTTGTAAAAACAGACTACGTGAATCCAAATCCTGTTTTGTTGTTGTTGTTGTTTGTTTTTCACTTACAAACTGGGTATCTGGAGTGAACTTAATCTGTTTTCCTGTTTCTGTAGAAGTGATTGCCCCTCTATCACCCGCCACAGCACCTGTGTGGCAGGTGTGAAGAATGGTGCCCAGAATTCTACAAGCTCCTGGGGAGAGCTCACTTCTCTCCCTCCCTCACACCCAGCATCTACCTGAAGATGATCAGGGCTGTCATCATGCCCTCTAACCCTCTTTATGCCAGTTATTGCCACAAGAAGCCAGGAACCCTAGATCATGCCTTATCTCCTAGACTCCATACATCCTCTCTTGTGGTCCCATTTCTATCCTTCTCTAGCTCATAAAACCCTTTGCCTCTGCCCTCTGGGTCTCACAGTCATCAGCAACAACCCTCAGACTCTCAACCTCGTGTTGACATTCTCTCCACGCCTTTGATCTGAGCCTTGGCTCTCTGCTGAGGACACTGTTTCTTCTGCAGCCCTCTCCAGTGCTGCTGATGGTGTTCTCATATCTCCTGTACAACTCCTAACAGTTGTATAGGTAATCCTCAATGCTGTTTCCAGACCATTCTCCCACCTTCCTTCCCAAGAATGCCTCACCACTGAATCTCATGTCATCTGACTATATCCCTAATACCTCCCACCTTGTTGGTCACCACACATCATGAGACCTATCATGTTTTCAACTTTTTAGCTCCTGGCTTGCTGTCACTCTTTCAAATACTGCTGTTGTCATAATGCTTAGTTCTCTCAACATCTTTCATACCTCTGGCTCGCTATCTCTAGTAGGCAAACCGCAACTCTTCAACCACACACAGACCAACAATCCATTGATCCAGGTGTTCTCACTGTCCTCAATCCCATGTGGCCTCCTTTCCATACTTACCCAGCTTAGCTTCCACGCTCTATCATTACAATCACTCCTTTGCATCAATCTTAACACTACCTTTGTCCCTGCCCAGTTATGTTGCATTCACCTACAAAAACCCCACTGCTTGTTAAATCCGTATCTCAGTCTGTTCCACATCTGCCTCCTAATAGGTGAATGTAAAGGGAAAAACATGCCACCATGCTGATGGGTCTCAGTGTAAATCCAGAACACTCATTCAGTTCCTTAGTCATGTGGGCCTCTAGTGCTGCCAGGGACCCTCCTTCATTTTCCAGTCCATTCATTCCCCCCATCATACTAGCTGACAATAGAAATATTCTAGGGGCTGGATTGAAGGTAGTGTTGTCTCAATTGATTGTTCAGTCAGTTACAGATAGAATTCCTTGTTCTACTCTCCCTTCTCAACACTGTTCTTTAAAAACAACTTTTTAGAAGAAATATTCTAGGTACATTTATGGGTATTAGCACAATTCTCACAACTATCCTATGTGATTCTGTTTGTCTGATTAACAGATGAAGAAAATGAGATACAAAATGTCAAAATAACGTCCCCCAGATCGTGTAGCCAGTGAGTGGTCAAGCCAAGATTCAAATCTATGCAGATGGCTCCAAAGTTTGAGTTCTTGACCTTATTAGGATTAATTCATATCTTGTTATCTCATCAAACTTCCAACACCTCCACCTGCTCTTCCTCTAACCTCATTTCAGTTGGTTACCTTCTTGGGTTTTTTCCAATGAAGAGACACCAAATTAACTTCCACAAACCCTCACTATCACCTCTACCCACCTAATTGCCTCTGTGCCCGTATATGCCTTCCCTCCTGAACTATGCCCAAATTATTATTCTCCTATCTTCTCCTATCTAAACCAACCCTTCCACTTGGGCACTTGACCCTTGCCACTGCTCCAGCAGTGCCACCTCCCCTGGATCCTATATCATGTTTTTCCTTCTCTACAGGATTATCCCCACTGACACACATTCATTCTGTCATTGTTGCCAACTTAAATCTCAAATTAATTATAAATCTCAAAACAATTATGCTAAGTGAAAGAAGCCAGACCCCCCAAATCCTAAATTCTAATTCCATTTTATAAAATTCTAGAAAATGAACACTAATCTATGGTGACAGGAAGTAGTTCAGTAGTTGCCTGAGGCGAAGGGGCCAAGGGATGGATTACCAAGGGCAGGAGGAAACTTTTGAGGGTATTAAACATGTTCATTAACTTGATTGTGGTTTCAAGGGTGTATAAATGTCAAAACATATCAAATGAACACCTTAAATATGTGTAGTTTATAGCATATCAATTATACCTAATTAAAAAAAACTCTTGACCCCACATACCTCCAGTCATTGCCCAATTTTGTATTCCCTTTTACGTTAAAACTCCCTAAAGAGCTGTCAAAATGCACCATCGCCAGTTTCTACACCATTCTGTATCTTACTACTCTCCCCTCCCTTGCTCCATGCCAGCTAAATGGGCCACCTTGCCATTCCTAACTCCCCAGGCACACTTCTCCACTCTGCCCCTAGATAGCAATGAGGATCCTTCACTTCCTAAAGAACTTTGCTCAATTGCCATCCCAGTGAGGCCTTCCCTAACTACTCTATTTAAAACTCCAACCCACCAATCACCCCTGACATTTGCCATCTCCCTCCCCTGCCTGATTGGTCTCCATCTCATTTAGCACCACGTGACCCCACTACATATGTACTTGTTCACTGAGTATCTCCCCTAATCAGAATATTGAGGGAGATATTTTGTCTATTTTGTTCATTGCTATAACCTTGATACCCTGGCCTCTAATGTGTCTCAATAAATATCAGGACCAGTGGATTAGTGTTTTCAGAGTCATTTGGTTGTAAATAAGAGAAAACCACTCACAGTCAACTAAGCAAACAAGTGTTAGAGGGAATCCAAAAATATCATGGACCCCTGGGGGAAGAGGTACAACCAGAATAGGGCAATAGGAAGTCATCAGGAACTAAGATGGTTTCTCTCTCCTCTAGTCTGAACTATTAAAGCAGGATAATCTTTATTTTCTTTGCACTTAGGTTTCATTCTTGTTCATTCTCTACAAACCAACTTTCTCCGCTGATGACCTAGACATAGCATTCCCAGCCTCCCATTTTCCCAGATCAGGAATTTCATTATAAATCCCAATTACAAATCCCTGCTTAGAGAAGGGTTGAGTCAGTTGTACCACCATGGTCCAGTTAACTATAGCTGAGGGAACAGGCATGCGGCTTTTTAATGTCTAAGAGGGTATTTTGTTCCTAGAAAATGAAATGCCCTCATTGAGTTGAACAGACTAAATTTGTTTTAACAATCCCATTTACAATTCAAATTCCTTTAAACAACTTAATAGCATTTATACATTTAAAAAAATGATTCTTTTAAGCAGCATTGCAAATGCTTGACCCCATTAGCATAAACCTTCCCAAGTGCTTAAATCTCATAAACATAATAAATTAAACATACGGTGACTTTCCAAGTTCTCTGAAACATTTCAGTACTTTTGCAGACTTAGTAACATTTTAAAATACCTTTCAACTGAAACTCATAAGTCTAAAAGTCTGTTAAGCATTTTAAATTAGAATCTTAAGGCCAGTGTCACATATTGTAATATGCCAATTATGTTTAAATACTTCAAACAGCAAATACTACAGTTTATCTCAATGAATATAATAACCATTCCTGCTGGGCGCAGTGGCTCATGCCTTTAATCCCAGTCATTAAGGAGGCTGAGGTGGGAAGATTGCTTGAAACCAGGAGATTGCCTCAGGCCTGGGCAACATGGTGAGACCTCTTATCTCAAAAAATCAAAATAAAAAATTAGCTGGGCATGGTGGCTCATCCCTGTAGCCCCAGCTTCTCAGGAGGCTGAGGTGGGAGGATAGCTTCAGCCTAGGAGACAGAAGCTGCAGTGAGCTATGATCACACCACTACACTCCAGCCTGGACAACAGAAAGAGACCTTGTCTCTAAAAACAAAACAAAACAAACAAACAAAAAAGTACTCCTGAATTTAAGTATTGATGGCTATGGGAATTGCTTCCTAACCTGTTTGAAAAATGTGTTAACTGTTACATATTTTGAGAACTGCAGCACTCAGTGAAGCTTTGTTAAAGGGAATGAGGAGTTTAGGCCCCAGCAGGCAAACCACTTCACAGTGCTAGGATGAAGAGCTCACACTCAGGGACTTCGAGAGTGAATCAACTACTTTCGTTAACTCAATGTTAAATGAGAATAACATCAACCTTGGATGGTTGTGGTGAGAATCAAATGAAATGACATATGGGAAAACCTTTGTCACATGTTACACAATTGACGGCAACTACAGCTTTAGGTAGAATTTCAACTTCTAATTTTTACTACTATGCAAATTATCAGAATATTTATGATGTTAACTTTTTAAAAAGGTTTTTAAATAGAAACTTTATTTAAATAAATGAACTCTTCTCAACCCCAAAACCCAGCTTCTGATCTTGACTAAGTTCATAATTACTCAGGGAAAAACACTGCTGGTTCCTTATAAGCCACTGTGCTGTACGAAATCAATTCATGAAAAGGAAACGCCCTATTTCCAAGCATACCTGTACTAGAATATATTAAGTATATTCACTTAACATATTAATTTAAATGTTAATGTTAGTCTAAATGTTAAATTAATTTAATATGTTAAACTTAATACGTTTATTTAATTTTTACTTAATACCCTTACTGGAACATATTAAGCATTTTTTCGGCTTAAAAAAAACAAAAAAACAAAAAAAAACCCTGAATTTACAGAACTAAAATTATGAGAGGAGATTCGCATTACAAAATCTTCCTCTATGGGTTCTTCTAGCTCAAGACATTTTTCTTACTGATTTTTAACTACTTGAGTTGGCGTAATAATTAGAGAAAAGCAGGAGAGGTAGCAACTGTGAAACCAGTGTACTAGGAGTTACTAGCCAATGATTATCTATCAGGAACAGATACATCAAAAAGCCAAGAAAATAAGAATCTCTCTTTATAAAAAAATAATAGTTACAGGCTGGACACAGTGGCTCACACCTGTAATCCAAGCACTTCGGGAGGCAGAGGCAGGTAGATCACTTGAGGTCAGGAGTTTTAGACCAGCCCGGTAAGGTGAAACCCCGTCTCTACTAAAACTACAAAAATTAGCCAGGCGTGGTGGGGCACACCTGTAATCCCAGCTACTCAGGAGGCTGAGGCAGGAGAACTGCTTAAACCCGGGAGGGCAGAGGTTGCAGTGGACTGAGATTGCATCACTGTACTCCAGCCTGGGCGATAAAGCGAGACCCTGTCTTTAAAAAAAAAAAAAAAACTTCTAAAAAATAATTATTTACATTAAACTTTTAAAAACAACTATTTTTCAAAGCAAACTGCTCTGCATTGGGGTTCCGAAATACAATATGATTGTGAATAATGGGGGGAGGAATCTAAATACAAATCAGAGAAAACAGTTTTCAGAGGATTAGGTAGCTTAGCTACAAGATTAGCTTGAAACATATGAAGAATAGTCTGAAAGGCTGTTGTAAGAAAAATGACAAATTCTATCATTCCTCTGACCTGAAACAAGGTGAAAACTTGGTAGAAAGGCTGCATGAAGAAAAAAAAAAAAGTAGTCCAATAAGGTCTATCTGTAGAGCTTGCTCTCACACTCTGAATACAAATCTAGCTAGTGTCAGTTCTTCAGAGCCGAAAACTTACTTGCCACACTTGGAACCGATGCAGTCCCATTACCAGCTGAAGCAGGGCATGTGATCTAAGACAAGTGTAGATATCAAGGAGACAGGAAGCAAGCTAAGCAAGGGCCTAGAAATCCCAAAGGCACTGATTAAAGTCAAGAAAGAGGCTTTTTGTTGTTGCCAATTGTTTTTGTTGTCTTCCAGAGGTAATACAAGGCTTTGCTCCTTTAGCAGGATTCCCAGTTGGACCCTCTCCAGAGAGGATTCATATTTGAATTCCCATCTGAATACCAACCCAAATGTTGATACAGAACACTCCTGTATTAAAATTAATATCCATCCCAGATAAACCTACTCTGTGACTAAGACAATTGAGATCTTCTAGGTGAAGATGCTATAATTCAAAATATTACATGGAAAACCATGTCTTACTTAAAACGGGTACTTGTTTTCCGGCCATAATTATTCCAGTCTCTTCCACAGAACTGCTTCTGCAAACAGTTTTTTTAATGTATCAAAGAGAGTCTCTCGCCAACATTTAATACAGTCAAATCTATTCCAACTTCAGAGTTCTTATATGTCTTATTTAGCAGACACTATGATTCTATCTTCTTATTCTCTGGAAATCCATCAGATGTGTGTTCCAACACAGAAGTGCCTTCCTTCCTTCTCATGGTGGCAAAAAGCATATCCATCATCCCCAAGGTTTCTAACAATTCTCTTTGGTAATCAATCTCTTTTTCTACAAGTCCTTGAAGTAGTAAAAACTTTTTATCAACTACAGGGGACTGACCAATTACAGGCAGATATATATCTAAAAAGAGAGAAAGAAAACACATTAACTAGCAATATCTTTCCATACATTAAGTGAAAAGCAAAAGTTTTTAAAAGTATAAAAATATTAAACATAAGAACACTGAAAAATCTGTACTTATTTTATAATTAATTAATGATTTATAGAAAGTATAACAATCCCTCTGAGTAAATTAATTTCAAAAAATAATAATTACAGAAAGTATAGGGTGGAGTTCCTGACTTATTTTCATTTTCCCATTTGAAAAATTGTCATCGTCATTATAGATGTCTATGAAAAAAATTTTTTATAATAACCCTAGTCCCATCAATTCAAAGTCACACCACTATAAACATTTTACTACTTTTTAAACTGCACTGACTTGTTGTTTTCTCCATGAAAATCCATATTGAGATTTGATAAAAGCAAGATATTTTGATCTACTTGATTTCCAAATTTGATTATTTGACATCTCTACTTTTGCAAGCATGTTAGGATTTTCAAGTTTTAACAATGACTTACCAATAATTATTTCAGCAGCATTGATTAAAACAGGGGCAAATCTTGGCTGAGAAAGATTCCTACAAAGTAAAAATTCAGTTTAGTGAAACTTGTAAACTTAAAAAAAAAATCCTTAAAACAGATTTGTTTCATCAGTTCTCTACAAAGATCAAACTAAATGTCTTTTATTTGGTGATAAAGGATTTCAGATGCAAAATGTAAGTGTTTCACAGACAAAAAACATACCTTATCAAAAAATTAAGAACATGACTGATTTCCTTCTCATCCCGACCTGCAAGCGCATTTGCAAGGACTCCTCTTCGATTTAACTCCTTTATGATGGACACCGTAATCTCGGGTGTCTTTATTGTACAAGTGGGCTAGAAAAATTTTCAAAGTCAACATGAGTAGACAAAACAGCACAAAAAAAATCACTGTCTTGCACTAAATTATCAAGTTTGAATAATATTTATCTTCACAGTTCCAAGTCATGGTAATATGCAGGGTAAGTAATAACATGATTTTTTAAAAAATGCTCACTCACATCAAGAACTCTATCGAGTGCCTTAGAGATCCGAAAATGTTTCAGATCCCTGTCATACAATTCTAGGTGCTTCTTTGCTGGCCTGTTAATCAAAATGTCATCCTGCAATGAAAAGTACATTTATAGAGAAGGAAAATCAGCATCTGTGTAAATATACATTTAATATAAACTTTTTCATAATGAAGTGGTATCTCTGAACTATGTCACAAATAATGTTCATATGCCCATAATGTAGATTAAATAAAAATGCATCCTGCTAATCAGAGTCAAAAAAAGAAAAAAAAAAAGGAGTAACTTGCTACATCAACATGTTCTTACTCTCTTATAATTTTAACTTACAACATGCACCATTGCCTTAATTCTAGGTAAAAATTACTCATTTCAATTCTCTTTATGTGGCAGGCAGTGTGGTACAGTAGAAAGAGAAATCAAACAACAATCAGAGATAATGAGATCTAGTCTCAACAACTCTGGATACCAGTAATGAAATCCTGAATCAATCACAAATTATTTGTCGCTCAGTCTTCTCAGGTGCCAAACAGGGACATGATTGGTTCTACTACTTCTTGGGATTTAGATCAAATCAGGTAGTATGTGAAAGACATTATTTTGAATGCAGTAAAGCATTATAACATTATGTTATGATGCAGAGTATTACATAAAGTAGTCCTTGTTCCCCATTACTCATCAATAATGTCCCCAATCTAGCAATCTAGAAATAATTCTGATGTAGAGAAAAGCAAAATAAAGTGCCATGTGAACTACGCTTTCCAGTAATGTGCAGGGATGAAGCTGGCTACTCTAACAAATTTCACCCTTTAAACAAATATGAGAAATGCACAAATACCCGTTGCTTCATGTAATTTTTTCCTTTAATAAAGGTTCGATATGCAGGCCTTCTTCTTCTGGGAAGTGATTCCTTCTTTGCTTCAGATTTCCGATGTTTAACACTCAGTATTCCATTGGTCATTCCTACAACTATTGTCTCATCTTCATGCTAATAACAATTAGAAAAATAAGTTAGTCTATTCTTAACTCGTAATTTATAGTACTTTTACTTCAAAACACATTTACCATGTGTTTGCTGCTTGTCCATACATTCACCAACAGTTCCATTCAAATACACATAGTCTGCCTAACGATGATTGGTGCAAGACGTTAAAGCGAAATCATTTTTTCCTTAGGATACAACTACATTGACAGAACTTATACTTGTAAAATATCACTGGCAAAGTTTGTATAATACATAGTTAACGGCATCAAAGATTACACAGTAGCAAGACTTTTATGATCTTGCCCCCCAAAAATATTTTTAATAAGCTTTTCCTCTCCCAAATCAGATTTCTATATAATATAGTCAAATGCCTTCCTGCCCAAATGTGGCTTCTCATAAAACTTGACAGTATACATTTCAGAAAGAGCAGTAACAAAGAAAAGGAGATATTTCATTTTGTTGTCCCCTTCTCCCCACATCTTTTTTTCTGCTCAGAGAGCTAATCTGCCTTTCTAGTGTACTATAATACTCTTGAGTTAAATGAGTTGAAGAGAGATTTACCAGCTTCCCAGGTCCTGCGTTTAATGTTAACAATGCCTAGAGCACTGTATTTAGTTTGAAGTTCTACAGTGAGTGGGACCTAAATCTGAATTCATGCTGAGTCAATAGGACGAGTTACATATTCCAGCAATTGTCTTAACTCAAATATCTGATGTGGCAAGAAAAGTTACTCAAATCTAAAAATAAAGCCCAAAGTTCCATTTTAGTTTCATTTAACAGGCAGGGTTAGTGACAGACTTAAAAATAGGTAAAGGTACTTACTGCAAGGGCAAGACTCAAAATTGAAGCTGCATAATCAAAACTGTGGACTACTTTGTAGGAAGTTGTGCTGTATACTTTCACCTTCCTAATAAAAAGGAAAAGCTTTGTCAAAAATCACCTTGAAAACGAGTATAAAATGCAAATTTCTATTTTCTGAAAACAAAATACAAACATTAAAATCTGTACAACAGTGAAGAAAAACAAAGATTAGTAATGTTAATTACAAACTAATTCATCACTGAATCCCTTAAAAAATGAGCTGTAGGCCGGACACGGTGGCTCACACCTGTAATTCAAGCACTTTGGGAGGCCAAGGTGGGTGAATCACCTGAGGTCAGGAGTTCGAGACCAGCCTGACCAACATGGTGAAACTCCATCTCTACTAAAAATACAAAATAGCTGGGCGTGGTGGCACATGCCTGTAATCCCAGCTACTTGGGAAGCTGAGGCAGGAGAATTGCTTGAACCTGGGAGGTGGAGGCTGCAGTGAGCCAAGATTGTGCCACTGCACTCCAGCCTGGGCGACAAGAGCAAAGCTCTGTCTAAAAAAAAAAAAAAAGAGCTGTATACCAGCCCTAACTATAACATCCGTATAAAAACTTTGACTAGCCACTTATAAAAAAAATAGAAGGGCCGGGTGTGGTGGCTCAGGTCTGTAATCCCAGCACTTCGGGAGGCCAAGGTGGGCAGATCACTTGAGGCCAGGAGTTCAAGACCAGCCTGGCCAACACGGCATAACCCGATGTCTACCAAAAATAATAAAAACTAGCCAGGTGTGGTGACACACACCTGTAATCCCAGCTACTCAGGAGGCTGAGGCATGAGAATTGCTTCAACCTGGGAGGCAGAGGTTGCAGTGAGCCGAAATCGTGCCACTGCCCTCCAGCCTGGGCCACAGAGTAAGACTCTGTTTCAAAAATTTAAAAAGAAAAAAAGGAAAAAAAAAAAACAGAAGGACAGACCATGAGCCACTGTCATCTGAAGATCAAACTTGGGAGTAAAGAAAAGGTATTAGCCGGGTGCGGTGGCTCACACCTGTAGTAATCCCAGCACTTTTGGAGGCCGAGGTGGGCAGATCACCTGAGGTCGGGAGTTAAAGAGCAGCCTGACCAACATGGAGAAACCCTGTCTCTACTAAAAATACAAAATCAGCCGGGCATGGTGGCACATGCCTGTAATCTCGGCTACTTGGGAGCTGAAGCAGGAGAATCACATGAACCCAGGAGGCAGAAGGTGCGGTGAGCCGAGACCGCGCCATTGCACTCCAGCCTGGGCAACAAGAGTGAAACTCCATCTTAAAAAAAAAAAAAGAAAAAATTATCAATGAAAGCACATCACAAAGCCAAGTGTGATGGCTCACACCTGTAATCCCAGCACTCTGGGAGGCCAAGGACAGCAGATTGTTTGAGCCCAGGAGTTCAAGACCAGCCTGGGCAACTTGAAGAAACCCTGTCTCTAAAAAAATAAATTAAAAAAAAAAAAAGAAAGAAAGAAAGTACACATGAAGCCAAAGATCAGGGATTCTCAACCTCAGAATTACTGTCATTTTGGGGCACAGAATTCTTTTTTGTGGGGGTTGTTCTGTGCATTGTAGGATGTTTAGCAGCCTTCCTGGCCTCTATCCCCTATATGGTAAGTACCATGAGTTGTGATAAAAAACAATACTTTCTCAAGATATTGTCAAACGTTCCTTGAGGAACAAAAATCACTCTTGGTTGAAACCACCACAAATAGAGCCAATTTACACTTAGCTTTTAGGAACATACCTAAGAATCAAGTCCCAAATTGCCGAGTAACATGATTTCAGTAACATGTGTAAACTTGCCATGTATTTACATAAAAAATTCCTTTGTATTAAAAATATTTTCTAGCTTTTAAAATATGTACAGTCAATCCTTCTTATGGCAGGTTCCACATCTGCAGATTCAACCAACCATGGATTGAAAATATCCATAAATATATAAACAATACAGAATTTTAAAATACAGTGTAACAACTATTTACATAGCATTTGCATTGTATTAGGTATTACAAATAAGCAAGCCATGATTTAAAGTATACAGTGGATGTGTGTAGGTTATATGCAAATATGCCATTTTAAATAAGGGACTTGGGCATCCACAACCAATTCTCCTCAGTTACCAAGAGATGACTGTATACTTTTTAATTAACATGCTGAAAACTAAAGTTTTTCATAAGAGCAGAAAAAAATGAAAATATGGAAATAAAATAATAAAAAATAGATCATGTAAGCCGGGCACGGTGGCTCACGCCAGTAATCCAGCACTTTGGGAGGCTGAGGTGGGAGGATCTGTTGAACTCAGGAGTTTGAGACCAGCCTCGGCAACATGGCAAAACCCCATCTCAACAAAAATACAAAAATGAGTCAGGTACAGTGGCGCGTGCCGGTGGTCCCAGCTACTGAGGAAGCTGAGGCGAGGGGATCGCTCGAAGCCAGGAGGTGGAGGTTGCAGTCAGCCAAGATCATGCCACTGCCCTCCAGCCTGGGCGACAGAGCAAAACCCTGTCTCAAAAAAAAAAAAAATTAATAATAAATCATGTAAATTCTAGAACTGTGCCATACTTCTAGCTGCACATGGCTACTGACCACTTGAAATGTGGCTAGTGAAAATGAGAAACTAAATTTTTTATTTTATCTAATTTTAATTTAAAAACTGAGACAGTAATTTTTATAAAATATTATCTTTTTTTTTTTAGAGACAGGGTATCACTGTAACCCAGGATAGAGTACAGTGGTACTATCACAGCTCACTGCAACCTCAAACTCCGGCTTAAGTGCTTCTCCTGCCTCAGCCTCCCTAGTAGCTATGATTAAAGGTGTGTACCACTGTGGCCAGCTAATTTTTTTAATTTTTTGTAGAGATGGGGTCTCACTATATTCCCTAGGCTGGTCTCAAACTCCTGGCCTCAAGTGATCCTCCCACCTCAGCCTCCCAAAGCACTGGGATTACAGGTGTAAGCCACTGTACCAACCTAAAATATGATTATTGTATCATAGTGCACATGTTTAGATGCTTAATTTATTTCTAGTATCTTAATAATTTTGACATAGATTACATACTGAAATTATATTTTATATGTAATATATATTTTATTTTTACATTAGATATTAGGCTAAATAAAATGTGCTATCTAACTTTTAGGTCAGGCGTGGTGGCTCATGCCTGTAATCCCAGCACTTTGGGAGGCCAAGGTGAGTGGATCACCTGAAGTCAGAAGTTCCAGACCAGCCTGGCCATCACGGCGAAACTCTGTCTCTACTAAAAATACAAAAATTAGCCGGGCAAGGTGGCAAGCGCCTATAATCCCAGCCACTCAGGAAGCTGAGGCAGAATCGCTTGAACCCGGGAAGCAGAGGTTGCAGTGAGCTGAGATCCCACCACTGCACTCCAGCCTGGGCAACAGAGCGAGATGTCATCTCAAAAAAAAAAAAAAAATTAATTTATCTAATTTTTAAAAAACTTTTCAGGCCAGGCACAGTGGCTCACACCTGTAATCCCAGCACTTTGGGAGGGCGTGGTGGGCAGACCACACGAGGCCAGAAGTTCGAGACCAGTCTGGGCAATATGGCGAAACCCCGTCTCTACTAAAAATACAAAAATTAGCCAGGCATGGTGCTGCACACCTGTAATCCCAGCTACTTGGGAGGCTGGGTCACGAGAATCGCTTGAACCTGGGAGACAGAGGTTGCAGTAAGCCCAGATTGTGCCACTGCACACCAGCCTGGGCAACAGAACAAGACTCTGTCTCAAAAAAAAAAAAAAAAACTTCAAAATATATGAATGTACAATAATGATTTTAAAAGATGGTTTATAGAATAACATTATTTGAAAGATTATCATTCAAATGGTTCAATAATGTTGTTTAAGTATACAAGTTAAAACAAATTGTGTCAAAGGAGAAAATAAGTAGCTATGGGTGGCCGGGTGTGGTGGCTCACGCCTGTAATCCCAGCACTTTGGGAGGCTGAGGTGGGCGGATCACGAGGTCAGGAGTTCAAGACCTGCCTGACCAACATGGTGAAACTCCGTCTCTACTAAAAATAAAAAACTTAGCCGGGCATTGTGGCGCGTGCCTGTTATCCCAGCTACTCAGGAGGCTGAGGCAGGAGAACCACTTGAACCTGGGAGGCGGAGGTTGCAGCGAGCCGAGATTGCACCACTGCACTCCAGCCTAGGTGACAGAGTGAGACTCTGTCTCAAAAAAAAAGAAAAGAAAAGAAGTAGCTATATGTAAACAAAAGGTCAAAACTATTTTCAACTCAACAGGTTTTTTTCTCCTGGAAATCATTATCTGTATACTTATCACAAATATTGCTGAAATAACTCATTTCCTCAAGCAGTAAACAGGTGTACACTAATAATAATATACAAAAAAATTAAAATGCCAACCTATCCAGTGAGCCAGAGAGTAACCTCTGTCCAGAGCTGCTTAGACATAAACATGTCACGGTTTTGTGATGATTTTTCAAAGATACTAGCAATTGTCCTCCTTTTAACATGTCCCAGACTTTAACATAACGACCTCCTATAAAAAGAAATCATCGTTAGTTGGATATTCTGCCCACAGATTCAACATATTAAAGATCTGAAAAGCATTCTTCTCTGGACACTCCACAAAGCATGGAGGCTGAGTGAGGGAGTCCAGGCCAGGCTGCCTGGTAAAATCCTGGATGCACCACTTCCTGGGTCATTGGTAATAACAGTTCCTACCTCACAGAACTGTTATGACCATTAAATAATATTTGTGAAGTGTACATAAATTCCAGCAAAATAAATGTATAACTGAAAGAGTCCATTTTAAGAAAATTATAATAAAATCATTTTTTAAAAGAAATTCTATATAGCAGTGGAAGTGAATAATGTAGATCTGCAGCAAAATATCAAGCAAAAAAGTCTAATATGGAAAGACAGAAAAAGGGATGGAAGGGGAGACTGAAATCTTGACTGGGGAACAGGAGTTGGAACCCAACTCACAGTTCCCACCTCTCCACTCCTATGTGGCACCTCACAAGAGGGATCACAGTTGAAATCACTGATCTAGTCCAACCCTCTCATTTTCAAGGTCTAGAGACCTTAAGGGATTGCCCGAGGTCACAATTAGCTAGTGACACACAGTGGAGATCAGCACACAGCTTTCTATTCTCCCTGTTCAACATGATATTTTTTCCATTTGTCAGAATAACAGCAAGAAAAGTAGACACATCTGACATTATCAACTTTTTTCTTTTTTTAATTAAAGATGGAGTCTTAGAGTCTTGCTATGTTGCCCAGGCTGGTCTCAAACTCCTGGACTCAAGCTATCCGCCTGCCTCAGCCTCCCAAAGTGCTAGGATTACAGGCGTGAGCAACCACATCCCGCCTCAACTTATTTTTAAATCAAATAGGTACTGGGGAAAAGAATATAAAACAGAGTAATTTCTAGCCAGATTTTAGAATTAAGAAAAAAAAAAAAAGGAGGTACACACAGCAATATATATGTTGTCAAGTATACATACTACCTATACATTCTTCTAATATGAACACATTTTTACTTTATTTACAAATGAAAAAAGCCAATTTACTTCTTCCACTGTAATTATGAAAATGCAATATGTGCAAAATGAGAAAAACATCTCAGTCCCAACTTGTTGAAAAATGTACCAAGGCCCCTTTTGAGGCCACATTATCTCCTTTCTCTAGTACTAGCAGCTATTTGCTGGGTAGTGGCATTTCAATCAAGAGAGTCACAGAAAAAGAGACAAGCCTACTAGATCTCAAATAACTGATTTTCAAAAGCTGCTGCAGATCTCTTAGGTAGGAGTAAAAGGAGTATGAGCTAAATTTCTGGGGTTAAATAAGATGGCACAGGGCTAAATACATAAGAGCTAAATTTCTGGGGTTAAATAAGATGGCACAGGGCTAAATTTCTGGGGTTAAATAAGATGGCACAGGGCTAAATAAATAAGATGGCACAGGGCTAAATACACAGAGCTCTCGAGTTCTGTGATTTCAGATCTGCCACTTACCACTTTGCCTTGAAAAATAAGTTAAAACTTTTATTTCATTGCTGTAAAGTAGGGAAAAAGCTAACTACCTTGTAGCATCATCTAGGGCATTAGAGTTCATATGTAACAGCACAGTGCCTGGCTCACATTAGGTACACAATAAATGATAACTGCTTGCCAGTCCTACCTATCAACTGTTTGAACAAAGACTTAGATATGCAATTCAAATGCACACTGATAAATTACAAAGAGCAACTGATTTTAAACAAACGTGATTCAAAACCAACAATATTGGTGAAAGCTATTTTTAAGAAGTACCTGCTGACACCAGAAGACCTCCAGAGGGGAAAAGTAGGACACTCTCCACTGGCTGCCCATGCTCAAC
Source organism: Homo sapiens (assembly GCF_000001405.40). Taxonomy (NCBI): domain Eukaryota; kingdom Metazoa; phylum Chordata; class Mammalia; order Primates; family Hominidae; genus Homo; species Homo sapiens. The sequence goes on along the minus strand of NC_000005.10, from coordinate 73,570,644 downwards.
GGAGAGAACACTCTCACTCGTTCGTGCATCAAACATCTTCACAGTATGATCATATGATCCTAAAATGTCAATTTTTGAATTTTTAGTTTGACTGTTTAAAACAACAAAAACTGTGTGTATCCAGATATAAATTTTAAAAGGAAAAAAAGCTTAGATGGAGTTTTAAAAAGACATATATGTATATTCATGAAGACACAGGACCTCCAAACCATCTACTACTGATCGTGTCTGAAGAAGCACTACATAATACTATACAGAATCTAACTTGCTCTGATCTTAAAATATTTCTTTCTTTGGACTACTGTCACTACTGAATCATCTGGAAATCTTTGTAAAGGCACCCACAAAGGCTAAACTGCACTCTTTGTTTCTTGGCTGCTTGAGGCAGGGTACTATACATTACAGTTCTGAGAGTCTATTATGTTTTCAAGACAGCCTGATTTTTCCAAACACATTTGGAAGACATGAACAATCAACAAAAGAAGAATAAGAAAATAAAAAACAATTGGAAGCCAGGCATGGTGGCTCACACTTGTAATCCCAGTCCTCCGGGAGGAAATTGAGGTAGGTGGATCACTTGAGCCCAGGAGTTCGAGACCAGCCTGGGCAACATGGCAAAACCGTCTCTACAAAAAAATACACAAAGTAGCTGGACGTGGTGGTGGGCACCTGTAGTCCCAGCTACTTGGGAGGCTTATGTGGGAGGATCACTTGAGCCCAGGAGGTAGCAGATGCAGTGAGCTATGGTCACATCACTGCACTCCAGCCTGGGCAACAGAGTGAGACCCTGTCTGAAAATAAATGCAAACATACATACATAAAAATTAATTTAAAAACTGAAGAATTAATCAGAAACATATTCCTTTATAAAAAAAATTTAAACCCCTCCATCCCAAAAGAGTCCCATAGCAACATTAAAGTACATCCCCGTGAGATTATTTGCTTCAGGAGGGAATAGAGTTCACCAACCTGTTATAAAGAGATCCGGATTAAGTTTGCTAGCACATCCACACCTCACATAATCAGAGTGTTCTTTAAATGTCAAAATTTCTTTGGAGTTTGGAATATCCCATAATTTAACTGTATAATCATCAGCCCCAGAGACCACGTGATATTTGTCAGCTGTAAAATCTACTGTATGAACTGCTCTGAAAGATTGAAGGTCAGTATATTAAAAAGCAAGAAAATTATTTTTCTGATACCTTCTAACATAAAATGCTCCTTTTTCTCAGATTAAAAAAAAAGCAGCTGAGTTTCAGGGAGTCTTCATAGGGGGAAATCATGAAAGAAAGAGAAAACTTACAAGTGTTTGCCCCCAAACCAATTAAGAAGTGTAAATACTCCTATATTGTAAAGTTAAAAAAAATTAAAGGATAGCCTTAAAATTATATTTTCTAGTATATAAACAATTCCACTTAGCTGCTGAATATGGAAGCAAAGGCACTTTAATTTTTAAAATTTCAAAAAGTTCTTTAAAAAACTCTAAAGAGATTTACCACTAAATAGAATCATGTTACATAAATTTCTGTTAAATTTTAACAAATTTCAGCACGGACATTGGCAATCCTGAAAACAAAGTTATAATATAAAATTGTGATGGCCACTTAATTTATTAAGGGGCAAAACACTATAAATTCAAGAAGAAAATCCACCTTCCTACTTGACTTCAACATAAGAGCCTCTAAGACAGTACAGGCCTATAGAGCTGTCATTACCAGCTGTAAGGTTGTCTTCAGGTCAGTAATTCATAATCTCAGCTGGGCCACAGACCCCACTAAAGTTAACCAAAAGCTACAGAGTAGCTCCCTAGATAAACGTGTATTTCCTAAAATATCACATACAATTCTAGGGAATTCATAAGCCCCATGAAACTGGACCACGGAACCCAAGTTAAGCACTCTTAGAACAATCAGGAAATATAGTACCTATAGGCAAATAATCTCCATAAAACTGATCTCTATCTTTTTAACCAAAGTCCAGAGAAAAAAAGAGCTTACAACAAAATAAAACCAGAACACACAGAAACCAACTGTCTCTTACTTTGTATGGCCTTCAAACTGCCTGAGGGGAGCCCTCCCACTTATATCAAAAAGTTGAACTCCACCATCTTCACTGCCAGCCACAAGCAATCTACCATCTTGTCGAAAAGTAGCACAGTATGCTGTGTCTTTAAATCGAGAAAAGGTTTTTATAGGTTCTTGGGAGTATCGGCCATAAATGTGAATCTACAAGATGAAAAACAGTATTTCACCAGATGGCTCAAGATCAGTAGTAAACTATACAAAAGAAAAATAAAGAAATTTAATATTATACTTACTCTTGAGGAAGCTGTGACAGCATAATTATATGGAGGCTGAGGAGAAAAGTCTACTTTTGAAACTGCACCAAATTCCTTAATCTGAACAGGGGTCTTAATAAAAAATAATAGTGTGTTAACAGAGTTACCACTGGTAAGACCTATTTATGCATTACATAATTTCTTACAGACCGTTTCTCTTTGTTCTTAGTAACATTTCTTAAGTTGTATTTAACATAAAATTACAAAGAAAGCAAAAAAGGTACATATCTCATCACCCAGACTATTCTTGTTGCCACTGAAATAAACATATGGTTAGAAAGCCACACCCCACTCTGTCTCTTCAGCTATTGAGTTTACTGTGATTTCTACCAGAAAAAAAAAGTTATCATGTCTACACCAGCATACAATAACCACGTACTTGTACTTTTAAAATAACAAAAAGATAATCATACCATGTAGGCTGTTCCACATCTTGCTTCTTTTCACTTAGTAACACATATTAGCTTTCATAGGAGCAATAGACTTACCATCCATTATAAGGGCACACTGTAATTTACTATACCAGTCCACTACTAATAGACATGGGTTTTTCAAGATTTCTACTATTACAAGCAATACTTCAATAAACATCTTTACACATATGAGATTCAAATTTTAAAATTTAATTCATTTGGCATTGATTGATCATCTGTTCTGTGCTAGGCATTTGTATGGTTAATCTGATTAAGCAGTATGGACTTTTACATAAAATTCCAAGAAAAAATAGATATCAAATTATCTGCCCAAACTATAAGCTGCTGATAGATGGTTTTCAGTTAATAATTCTCTGTTAGAGCATCCAGAGTATAACATATGCTAGAGAAATTGGCATAAACACAAATCCCTTCTCCCTCATTACGTCCCACACTCACCTTATAGTTGTTCCAGTACAGTGTATCTTGGGTGATTTTTTCACCAAGTATAGGATATGTCTGAATAGCTACAGGCTTATAACCAGCCATAATTCCATATAATTGCACTATTGTCCAAGAGTCACTATTTTGGAATTGGTATTAGAAATAATTACAGTGACTCTGCCTTAATTCTGAAAAATAAAATATTTTATATACATATTATAAGCTTGTACACATAGTTGATTTTCACTCTGCTTTCTTTAAAAAGTCTGTGTGGAAGTATATAGATTAGAGACCAATAAGCCATTTAATTCTAACCCAGAAAAGGCAATCTATAGGAAGCAGGAATAATTAAAGTGAAGGCTATCATATCGCACCATCTATTCAGCTGTACACAAAGGTTCTCACACCTAGCCAACCATTTTACAACACTTAGGAATAAATCTAGCACAGCCTTACAGTAGCCAAACCAAAAAGGATCATGCTGGCTTTGAGTGTCCATTTTTTGGCAACAGGAAATATTAAGGTGAAACTGCAAATACAAGTTTCCTGAAACCAAGTTTAAGATGACATTTAATCTATAACAATTATAGTTACGGATTTGATTTCCTGAAAGCCTAAAAATGCCAAGAAGTAAGAAACACAAAGCTAATATTCTAATGTAGAAGCTTAAAATTAAATTTACTTTAAAAGGTTTAAACAGTAGGAAAGAAAACTGTAATAAAGCAGTCCTGAAATTAAATTCAACACTAAAGTGGCAGAATAGGATAAAACTTTTAAATAACATGCAATCAAGCCAAAACATTTTTCCAGAACGACTCAATTGCAAAAGAGATTCAATGTTATCAGGTAAATGATTCCAGAGGTGCTGCTCATCATCTATTCCAAAAAGCCTGAAAACTTTACATTAGTAACACCACGATAAATAGGTGTAACATATATTTAAAAGGTGCTTTAATGAAATACAATGACCAATGATTGTATTTCACTGGTCTTTGGGAACACTCTTCTGTTCATTAAAGTACCTACCAATGTGCAGGACACTGCTCTAGGCACTGGGGCTATAATGGTGAATGAAATAAAGACATGGTCTGTGCCTTTGCTTACTCCAATATACTCCATTTTGGCTGGTGACTGGCACCAGATATTAACCTAGACTCAGCCTTGACGTGTCCTTTTCTTCCTCACTCCTAACATCCAAATAGTTAACAAGATCTGCTGATTTTATCTCCCAAATATTTTAAAACTCCATTAGGTTCACTTCACCTGAGGGAGCCTCGTAAGCAAAGGCAAAGATGGAAATGTGTCCATTGCCTTGGAGAGTTGCTGATTACTCCGGGAACTAACAACGGTGGACAGGAAAGGGTGTAATCGCAGAGAAGAACCTAGGTCGAAGCTTAATTGAGGGGAACTTGAGCCGGTTAAAGAATTTGGCCACTCTCCTATATAGCCTGGGAAGCCCCAGAAGAGCATGCCAGATTAACACAGGAAGGCCGGGTGTGAGTGTGGGCTTCCCTCAATGGGAGCCGCCTTCACCTACCTCCACTGAGCCCCAAAGGGTCCGACGAGACACCTCGACCCAAGGACAATTAATCGGACTGTGCCAGCTCCCTACCCTGCACAGTTCAGCAGCACTGGCGTAAAAATCACATGGACCCTCAAGGAGCCGGCGACACACACAGCGAACCGAACGTCGCGCGAAGATGACGTACCAGAGCACGCTCATGAGACTCACGCAGCCCGGCGGCGCAGAGGCGGGTCAGGTGGGCGGGGCGATCTGGAGTAGGAGGTGTGACCGGAGGGCGAAATTGGGGCTTCCTCTGCTCTGGTGACCCAGAACCGTCAACTGAAATGACCCTGTCTGTGTAGTACTCCGGCAGGATGGGCCTCGGAGCGTAAAGGCGGCAAAAACAAAAATATTAAAAAAAAGGAGAGAGGGACAAAAAAAAGAAAACCCGAAAGTTTCAGCTGCATTGCTGCGGAACGTTTTTTAGCCAGAAGGCGAAAGAAGAAATCGGAAGTGACGTCGCGGCCAAAACAAGCCCGGGCTTGGAGGCCTGTACTGAAGCTGGCCTCAGATGGGAAGGCCCGACTCGCTGTCTGCTGTCGTCGGTGGTCGCGAGACCTTGCACTCTCACCGGGTCGGCCTCCAGCCCCTGTGCCCGGGATCCGCTCGCCGCGGATGAGCGAGAGTTTCTTCCTGGGACTTTTCGGGCACAGCTGGCCGGTGGCGACAGAACGGACTTTCTTTCCTGCAAGAGTCTCCCCTCCAGCGGGAGACAGCGGGCTCCTGTCTCGGGACGCTGGGACACCTGTCGCCTGTGAGGCATCATTTATTTTCATAGCACCTTCCTCTCCTTGTAGAATAATTCCAGGATCAGGAAGAAACGAGGGGCTCCTGTTATTAGCATCCACAGGAACTAGCATAGCTGCCCACTTTATCTCCGTAGACTCTCTATCCCTTCATCCCTGGGCTCTGACAGATCGAGGTGAACCTAGCTATCGATTGCCTTACCCCCTTTTTCTCACCACCACCTCTTCTAAGTCCTGTTACCCCACTCCCCTCACCCCCGCCTCCCTCTCCTGTTCTTCAAAATTTTGGCCTACCAATCAACTTTGCTTCTCCTCTCGTTAAACTGCTGTGCCAAGATAAGCGTTCATTTTCCACCCACCCCCTTCGCCTAAGCACATTTGCTATTCTCCTCTCGAAGACCTGTAATTCCATCTATAAACCCTGATTTGTAACATGGAAGCTGTTTAGAGCTGGAAAGAATATTAGAAAGGCCTATTTCAACACCTTTTTATAATAGATGAATTTCAGAAAACTTGTATTATTTATTTGTCCAGGAGTGGCCAGCTAGTTAGTAGCGATGTTGGGAGTGGAAAGCCAGGTCTAATCAGCAAATGTTAGAAATAGAAAAGAATATGGAAAAAATTGTTAAAGTTAAGATCAGAAAACATTTATGGAGCACCTGGTAGGACCAAGTACTGTTCTGTGTGCAAAAATTAGTAAGAGTGGTCCCCATCCTAGGGGAGTTTTCAATTTAGCTGTTATTTAAATGGAAATTGTCAAAAGGATGGTGAATGCTAAAATACAGATACATGCAGGGTGCTCAGAGAGCTTAGGGGAGTTGCACTTAGCCAACCGCTGGATAGGAGAAAGGGGGAGATGGTTCTTCCCTCAGGAAACACAGTTCACATTGTCCAGTCCCTTTTAAGACGCATGGACTAATGCATTGCACATCCATCTCCCTTTGAATCACTGAACTAATTTTCTTTTCTGGTTTCCTTCTTTTTGCCCAAATGTATTAACCTTCTTACTTCCTGCTTTTTTTTTTTTTCCTTACTATACTATGTGTTATTTATTCAACTCTCTCGTGGAGATTTTGGCTTTGTTTAGGGCTGCCTCATTTTAATGGTCAGAGTGATGGAGTCAGAAGAGCTGAGTAAGCCCTCATAATTCATGAGCTTCCTTTTTTACCCCTCCTAGGTGGACATATGATTACCTGACCTGCCTACTCAAAGGATTGTTATAAAGACTAATCTTTGAAAATGTTTTTAAAATTGTAGAAGGTGGTTATCTGTAAATGTATGGTTTCGCGACCCTTGCTCCACTGCGATCCTAATGCATTTTTCTTTTAATTCCAATTCCAATTTTGAAACACCCTGCACCCTCTCAAAATTCCTAAGAGGCAATTAACCCTAACATGAAAAAATTAACTGGATGTTATTAATTTCCTTTCTGTCCCAAATGATAATGTATCTAAGACAACTATACATCTTGGAAAGCCAATCCATAATCTACCTACTTTATTTTTCATGAAAACCTACATTAAGTTGCTAATGCTTAATCGGAACAAAAATTCATAAATGTACCTTCAGTTCATCAAAACCAAAGCTTTGTAAAGCCTTTCATGGTCTAGGAATCACAGGTGTTATAGATGACAATGCCAATAAACTTGGATACAACATGAATTATCATTTCTTAAATTCAAACTAAGGGCCACCTATATAAACATAGCATATTAAAGAACTAACCTTAGGTAAGAGATTAAAGTTTATTTTCATTGTTAGCCTGATCTTTTATCCATTTGGTGATATTCAGATATAGGAAATGGGAGAAACAGTAACTAAAATGTATTGGAATTTAATGATGGAGGTGAGAATATCACTGTACAGTATTTCATTTGGTCTTTACCAGAACCCTATAAGGTTAATGGTGATATCCCTATTTTATAAATGACACGGAAGCTCAGAGGGATTGAGTAACTTCTACAGGTCACACAGCTAATTAATGGCAAAGTTTGGATTCATACCCAGGTTTCTCTACCTCTGAACATTATATTCTTTCTATTATGTGTAGGTGCTTTCAAGAGCATTGTTACAATACTTGATTGAAAATGATTATTTTGTGTGTTTTTACCTAAGCTGATAGAATACTTTTAATTTTCTAATTTTTTCTTTCAGATTTTTAAATATCCAGATTCCAAGAACACACTGGATACTGCTCTTACAAAACCAAGAGGAAATCATGAAGAAATGTTTTAGTTATTGAAACTACAGTTGAAATCATGGATACATCAACAAATCTGGATATTGGAGCCCAGCTTATCGTGGAAGAGTGTCCCAGCACTTATAGCCTAACTGGCATGCCAGACATTAAAATAGAACATCCACTGGACCCAAATTCAGAAGAAGGGTCAGCTCAGGGTGTTGCCATGGGAATGAAATTCATATTGCCTAACCGATTTGATATGAATGTGTGTTCTCGATTTGTGAAGTCCTTAAATGAAGAAGATAGTAAAAATATTCAAGATCAGGTTAACTCTGACCTGGAGGTGGCATCTGTCCTATTTAAAGGTTGAAAGTTATGGTATAAATATCTGCATTTGTTTTTGTTTTTGTATATTTGGGTTATTTTCCCAATCATGAGATTTTGAGTTTGGGAAGACAGTTTAGAAGTCATTTTTTAATATGATTTTCTGGAATCTCATAGAAACCAAAATTAAAATAATTTCAGATTATATAATATCTAATTTAAAGGAAGTACATGTTGATTTTTTTAAAAACTTCTTGTTTAATATTTGTTTACAAATTCCCTAATGAAGTTCCCTATTATTCCTTTTAAAATCATAGGGCCAGGCACAGTGGCTCATGCCTGTAATCCCAGCACTTTGGGAGGCCGAGGTGGACAGATCACTTGAGGTCAGGAGTTCAAGACCAGCCTGGCCAACATGATGAGACCTCGTCTCTACTAAAAATACAAAAATTAGCCGGGTATGGTGGCGTCCACCTGTAATCCCAGCTACTTGGGAGGCTGAGGTACAAGAATTGCTTGAACCACAGAGGCTGTGGTTGCAGTGAGCTAAGACTGTGCCACTGTACTCCAGCCTGGGTGACAGAGTGAGACTCTGTCTCAAAAAATAAAATCATAAGAAAAAAAATCATGTTCCTTTTAGAGATGAATTAGCGTAATATCCATTCCTGAATATTCCTGTTCTATGAATATTTAATATGCATTTACTTTCTGTGCTTTAATGCAGTGAAGTCTGTCATCATGCTCTAGATTTGCTTTTATAATGATACCCTGAATAATAAAACTATTCTCTTAGGATAACATCACCCAAGATTAATATATTTTCTTCCAGAACTTTCACTATGGTTATGTAGACTTTTTTTTTTCTTTGAGCCAGAGCCTCTCTCTGTCACCCAGGCTGGAGTGCAGTGGCGAGATCTTGGCTCACTGCAACCTCCGCCTTCTGGGTTCAAGCAATTCTCCTGCCTCAGCCTCCCGAGTAGCTGGGATTACAGGCGTTTGCCACCAAGCCCGGCTAATTTTTTGTATTTTTAGTAGAGATGGGGTTTCACCATGTTGGCCAGGCTGGTCTTGAACTCCTGACCTCAGGTGATCCACCTGCCTTGGCCTCCCAAAGTGCTGGGGTTACAGGCGTGAGCACCATGCCCAGCCTAGACTTTTTTTTTTTTTGACTAACCATTATGCAAACAAGGAAGTATGGACTTTAATGATAAAAACAATTTAGTATCACTTGATAAATAGTTTAATTGAAGCTATTACACCTCATGTATTTCTTTTCAAATGTAGACATTGACATAGAACTCTTACTGAAATGCTTTTAATGTGTTTACATTTGTTTTTCACTTAGCTGAATGCAATATCCATACATCTCCTTCTCCGGGAATTCAAGTAAGGCATGTCTACACCCCCTCTACAACAAAGCATTTCTCACCCATAAAACAGTCAACCACTTTAACCAACAAACACAGAGGAAATGAGGTCTCTACCACACCTCTGTTAGCAAATTGTAAGTATTTGCCACTGATGTATTACTATATTCTTAATGTAATACTTTCAAGAGTTTGACTTTAAAACATTATTTCATTAAATGCATATTTTCTGGATAAAGAAAATGTGTTATACTACACAATGGAATACTATTCAACCTTAAAAAAGAAGGAAATTCTGTCACTTGGTGACACATGGATGAACCTGCAGGACATTATGCTAAGTGAAATAAGTCAGGCATAGAAAGACAAATACCACACGATCTCACTATATGAGACATCTGTAAAAGTAGAACTCAGTGGAAGTACACAGTGGACTGGTGTTTACCAGAGGCTGGGAGAGGGGAGTAGATGCTGAAAAGGTAGAGATACTGATCAAAGGATACAAAGTTTTAGCTAGACAGGAGGACTACTTAATGACCTGTTGTACACAATGGTGACTATAATAAATATAATGCACTGAAGGCTGGGCATGGTGGCTCACACCTGTAATCCCAACACTTTGGGAGTCCGAGGCTGGTGTGTCACTTGAGCTCAGGAATTCGAGACTGGCCAGGGCAACATAGCAAGACCCTGTCTCTACTAAAAATGCAAAAAATAAAAAATAAAAAAATTTCAAAAAATAGCCAGGCGTGGTGGTGCATGCCTGTGTTCCCAACTACTTGGGAGGCTGAGGTGAGAGGATCACTTGAATCTGGGAGGAGCAGGTTGCAATGAGCTGAAATAGCACCATTGCACTCCAGCCTGGGTGACAGAGTGAGACCCTGTCTCAAAAAAATAAAAATAAAAAATAATAATGCATTGTATTTTTCAAAATTGCTAAAAGAGTAAATTTTAAATGTTTACACCACGAAAAAATAAGTATGTGAGGTGATAGATTTGTGAATTGGCTTTAATCATTCCATAATGTAAACATATATTAAAATACCCCTTTGTACTCCATAGATATACACAATTATTATTTGTCAATTAAAAATAAATAAATGCATTATACGTAACTTTTTTGAAAGCTTAAGTGATGTCCTAGTAGTTTTAGCAGTTGTAAACTTTTTCATATATTCTTGCATTTTTAAATATTTCATGTGGGGCTAGACACGGCGTGTCACACCTGTAATCCCAGCACTTTGGGATGCTGAGGTAGGAGGATTACTTGAGTTCAGGAGTTCAAGACCAGCCTGAGCAACATAACAAGATCCCATCTCTACCAAAAAAAATTTTTTTTAATTAGCTAGGTGTGGTGGCAAACACCTGTAGTCCCACATACTCAAGAAGCTAAGGCAGGAGGATCACTTGAGCCCAGGAGGTCAAGGCTGCAGTGAGCTGTGATCATGCCACTGTACCCCAGCCTGAGCAACAGAGTGAGACCATGATTCCAATCAATCAATAATAAATAAATAGTTCATGTGTTATATTTCTCTGTTGAGAGCAAATACAGATTAAAATATTAATTATGAAAACTTAAAAGTTTTACTGTAAAAATAGTGAGTTAATAAATAATAAATAGAGATTAAAAATAATAATTCTGAGCCCTTTGAAATTAAGACACTGTATTTTCATCTTCTTAGAGTTCAAGGCTTCACATTTTACTTATAAACCAGATCACTGATCAATAAATGATTTTGTAGTAAAAGCTGAGTGATTTGCACTGTAATTTTGAATTTGAATATAATATGAATATGAAATCACCTATTTTAACACCTTGAATCCACAATTTTTTTAAAGTAGAATCATTGTAGAGGAAGTTTTTCTATTTAAAATACAAAAATATTCTATATAGTATAAGTATGTTAAAAAAAAGAAAAACAGCAACTGTATTTGTGTTAGTATTTAACTGTATTTCTGTTAGTCACTGTATTTGAGAATGTAAGATAAATATATCTATATTCTAAAGCATGACAAAATCTGTTTTTTCTTTGGAAACACTAAATCCCTCCTGATTTCTGAGTCACATACTGTACCAACTGAGCTAGGAAGAATCTTCCTGTAGGACTCTCATCCCACCTGTAGGCCATTTCTGGTTTACTTATATAAATTTGCATAGGACACCAATTGCTTTTCCTTCTGTAGTAAGGCCATCCAATCGTATCATTGAAGTCAATGATCAAATGCTACTAATTTTTAAGGAGAACTCTCCCTATTTGGCATTGTCTTTAAAGAAGTTGTCTTAAAATAATCCACCATAGAATTTTTGAGCTAAAAACAAACACCTAAGATCATTTGATTTACATCTCATGTTACAGACAAAAATGTTTAAACTTATCCAACATCACACAGCTAATTAGCCACAGCTAGGCCTACACTCAAGAATTTATTCTCAGGCCAGGCGCAGTGGCTCATGCCTATAATCCTAGCACTTTGGGAGGCTGAGGCTGGCGGATCACTTGAGCTCAGGAGTTGAAGACCTGGGCAACATGGCAAAACCCTGTCTCTACAAAAAATATGAAAATTATCTGGATGTGGTGGCACCCACCTGTATAGTTCCAGCTATTTGGGGCACTGAGGCAGGAGGATCACTTGAGCCCAGAAGGTTGAGGCTGCAGTGAGCTGAGATCACACCACTGCACTCAAGCCTGGGTGATAAAGCGAGACCCTGTCTCAAAATAAATAAATAAATAAATTTACTCTCAAGGCCAGTTTTTCATTTGTGACTTCATTCCTTGTAAAAAGAAAACCCCATAGAATCTCGAAATAAAAATATTTAAGACCACAATGGGGTCAGTCAATAAAAAGACAAAAGAGTGTCTTCATGTCTTAAGACCCATCTTCCTGATAAGTTTGGATGCAGAAATAGCATTTTAAAAATTAAATATCTAAGCCGTTTCTTCAGAATAGATTTCATTGATAATACCAATTTGTAGATTTTTAAAAAAGGCTGAGGCATGGTGGCTCATGCCTGTAATCCCAGCACTGTGGGAGGTCAAGGTGGGAGGATCTGCTTGAGCCCTGGAGTTCAAGGCCAGCCAGAACAACATGACGAAACCCTGTCTCATAAAAATAAAATTGTAGATATCAGAATTACCTTAAATAAATATGAATCAATTCTCAGATACAGAATGAGTACTTGTAATTTTAGGGTACTTTTTTTTTTTCTGTCACCCAGACTGGAGTGCAGTGGCACAATCTCAGTTCACTGCAACCTCTGCCTCCCTGATTCAAGTGATTCCCCAGCCTCAGCCTCCCAAGTAGCTGGGATTACAGGCACATGCCACCATGCCCAGCTAATTTTTGTATTTTTTGTAGAGACAGGGTTTTGCCACGTTGGCCAGGCTGGTCTCGAACTCCTGACCTCAAGTGATCCACCTGCCTCTGCCTCCCAAAGTGCTGGGATTACGGGCATGAGCCACTGCGCCCAGCCTTAATTTTAGGATACATTTTAAGTTATATTTTTAAAACAATAAAATTGTAGTTTTTGTTTTGGAAAAGAAAATTGGTGACACAAACATGAACCATGGGATGATGCAAGTGTACCCTATAGATAATTCATGAAGCATTTTATGATACTCTTTCAGCTTTGTCTGTTCACCAGTTGGCTGCTCAGGGAGAGATGCTCTATCTGGCTACTCGTATCGAACAAGGTAATAGCCTATTTAAAAATATTTAAACAAATTCAATAGGATTTATTAGATTTGTTATTGTTTTATTTTAATATAAGAAAGTCCTAAAGACAAAAACAAATAGTTACATAAACTCACCAGGCAGATAACCCAATGGATAGTAAAAAAAAAAAAAAAAAAAAAAGGAATATAAAGCGTAAAAGTTCCTTTACCACCGTTGCCTTTTCCCCAAAAGCAAACGTTATAAGTTTCTTACATTTTCAGTAAATTTTTTTGAAAACATTTCTATTTATGTTTCGGATTATGTGTGAGAATGTATATGTGCTTGTTATTTACACAAAAGGGAAAATATACACTACATTGCACCGTTTTACACTGAATACTGTGGAGAGCTTTCCATATAAGCACGTATTAAAGACCTATTTTATTCTTTTCATAGTTCCATAAGTGTGCATTGTATTGCATGTACGTGTTCTATGTTATTTTTTTTTTTAACTGCCCCCCTTAAGTTTTAAGTTTAAACTTAAAACTTAAAAGTATATCTATAGGGCAGATTCCCACAAGTAGATTTGCTGGGTCAAAGGGTGTATATATATATATATGTATTTTTTTATATATGTAAATATATATTTTATATATATAACCAGATGTGTGTCCTCACACAAGAGCTAGAGTTTCTGTTTCCCCACGCCCTCACTGATACAGGATATTAGCAGATTCCAAATTTTGCTAATCTGACGTGTGAAAAATGGCATCTCAGAGTAGTTTCATTTACATTTTTTAAGTTATGGTCTACTGGAATTTTTTGCGTGTGACCTACCTGCTATATATTAGTATGTAAACTCTAAATTAAGGAAATTAGCTTTTTTTCTTGTTGTTGTTTATGTTGCATATATTGTTCCCCAGCTTGTCATTTTTCCTTTGACTTCCTTTATGAAGTTCTGAAAGCATAACATCTGTAAGTCATAAATTTATTTTCTTCTTTGTGACTTCTGGATTGTATATCTTGCTTAGAAAGGATTTCCCATTTCAAGATTATAAATAAATTCACTCATTCCTTATTCTAGAACTTCTGGGCTTTCCTTTTTACATTTCAATATTTAACTCATATGGAATATGTTTTGTTGTAATGAAGTAAAGATTGAGCTGTATTTTTATTTTCATGCTTTAAAAAGTTAGCCAGTTGTCCCAAAACTGTTTATTGAATACAGGGAGTCTGATCAAAGAGTTTTATTTTGCTTAATCTTGTCATTTTTATAAGAAAGAATCTTATATTTCTGTTTGTTTATGAATATTTGGAGGCTTCTTCAATCTACTAAATAAATTTAGGGAAAAGGCTGTGGACTTAATAACTAGTAGACAATCTAGGGAAGAAAATGGGGTTCAAGGTAGAATTGCATGGTACTGTATTTCAGACTATTCATTCACATTATATTATCTGTCATCCACATAACATTATGTTAGCAAACCACAAGAATGAGAGAAATTCACAGGCAGCAATGTTAGCTATGGAGTAGAAGATAGCTTCAATAAGATTCAATAAGTTTATATATTTCTGTAATTCTGAGGGCTATCATATAATCTCACTTTTATTATGATCCTCCCAACTGTACGTTGATGTAAGCAAGGAATTCTGTATATTGAAGAAATTAAGTGTCTTGCCCAGGGTCACATGGCTGGAAAGTGACAGAGCCAGGATTCAAACTGTGGTCTCCTGATTCTGAGACCAGTGTTCTCTTGACTGCCTTGTACCCGACATTATGTCATGTCTGGTAGTTTATACTTTAAGTAATATGCTATCTGAACCCGGCTATGTACATTGAGGCATATTTTAATACACTCAGACTACAAATTACAACAACATGCAATAAATAGGACACCAACATAAAGTCAGCACAAAGTGAACTTTACTGAGTATTATAATCAGCTCTTTGGAATGCCAGTTTTTCATAGTGATATTAAGATATGGTTGTTAAATTAGATCACAAAAATTGCTTTTCTTTTAAATAGAAAATGTTATCAATCACACGGATGAAGAAGGATTTACTCCTCTGATGTGGGCTGCAGCACACGGGCAAATAGCTGTGGTAGAGTTCCTACTTCAGAATGTAAGGAAAATGCCTCAGAAAATGTATATGTATAGTTACTTAAGTTAAGTCTTTAGTAGAGTTTTTATATATCCAGCCAGCTAGATATAATGGTAGAGGCTACCAAAAAAAGTTTAATGCTTTTCATATTCTTGTGGAACTTGGATCTAGTTGGGAAGGCAAGACTAATCATACATGCAACAGTGAGAAATAATTTAACGCCCAGACCCCTCTACATCCCACGGGAACAGAAGTACTGTCAGCTTTGAAGGAGAAGGCTTCATGGAGGAGCTGTGACTTGACTCCAGAGTGAAAGGATAATTAGGATTGATACAGGACGGAGGAAGGAAGGCATCCAGGCAATCTCAATAAAAGCATCCATGAGTAAAAGTTTCCATTATTTCTTTATTAAGCCCAGAACATTACCAGGCCTAGTGTTGAACTATAATTATTGTTGACAGGAATAACAATATTCTTGTTTAAACTAATTGAGAAGTCTTTTATCTCTACTTCCCATACCAGGGTGCTGATCCCCAACTTTTAGGAAAAGGTCGAGAAAGTGCACTGTCGTTGGCCTGTAGTAAAGGCTACACAGATATTGTCAAAATGCTGCTTGATTGTGGAGTTGATGTAAATGAATATGATTGGGTAAGTTTGTAATACTAAATTTAAAATGACTCTAGCAAGTTTTAGAATTTATTTGGTTTGGGAGAGATGCAGTAAGTTTTATTAAAGAAGAAATAGACTGAGCATCGTGGTGTACACCTGTAGTCCCAGCCACTTGGGAGGCTGAAGCGGGAGGATAGCTTGAGCCCAGAAGTTTGAGGCTGCAGTGAGCTGTGATTGCACCACTGTACTCCAGCCTGGGTGACAGAGTGAGACCCTGTTTCTAAAAAATAAATAAAAGAATAAATAAAGAAGAATAATTAATTAGCTACATAGAAGAAAAAGTTAATATCATAGACTCAATTATTAGTTCTGATTTAAGTATCCTTCACAAAATATTAAAATTACTTTAAATGATTATATGTCTAATTCTAGTAAAACTTCTTACAGCAGCATTAAATTACTTGAGTCTTGCTCACCGTGAAAAACTCTGAATCACCTTTTCATTTTGCAGAATGGAGGAACACCTCTGCTTTATGCTGTACATGGAAATCATGTGAAATGTGTAAAGATGCTCTTAGGTAAGCAGATAAAAATTTAGAAAATGCCATGTGAGGACTTGATTTTATTTTTTCGACCTGGCCTCCCCTGGTACTACTCAGGAGAATCATTAACTATTGTTAAATACATGAATCTTGCTGCTCTTCACCCTTAGAGCACCTGCCACCAAAAGTTGCCCATGTGAGAAGCAGCTCCATCACATACCACACCTGCAATTGGACCTTTTATCCTTGTTGCTTTCATTTGGGGGGTCACATGTGAATCCACTATGTGGCCAGGCACAGTGGCTCAAGCCTGTAATCCCAGCACTTTGGGAGGCCGAGGTGGGTGGATCACTTGAGATCAGGAGTTCAAACCAGCCTGGCCAACATGGCGAAACCCCGTCTCTACAGAAAATACAAAAATTAGCCAGGCAGGTGGGCGCCTGTAATCCGAGCTACTCAGGATGCTAAGGCAGGAGAATCGCTTGAACCCCAGGGGCAGAGGTTGCAATGAGCCGAGACTGCGCCTCTGCATTCCAGCCTGGGTGACAGAGCAAGGCTCTGTCAAAAAAAAAAAAGAAGAAAAGAAAATGAATTCACTATTGTACTCTTTCTACAGTGTCTTTATGCGTGAGCTTTATCTTTAATTGTGTATGAGTTTCAGCTGCTCTAAAGGATGCTGTTTGTTTGAAGTGTCTTCCCTCCAATCCACTAAAGTAAATTCTAAGTACCCCATGCACTCTGTACTTTGTCAGACTATCCTAAAACATTCTCCAAACTGAAAAATCTCTCCAGCTATTTGTACATGAGCCAATAACAGACAAACATATCTGCATTTTCATTTCATTTATGTAGTTTTTCTATTTTGGTATAGAAAGTGGGGCTGATCCAACAATTGAAACTGACTCTGGATATAATTCTATGGATCTAGCTGTAGCCCTAGGCTATAGAAGTGGTAAGTATGTTAGAACTCCTGTGTCTCATCTTAGTAAAGCTCTGTAAATAGTATAAGCCAGTACTCCAAACCATCTTTATCACTGTAATCCTAAAACATGTTATCCCAACTCCTGACATATACTTTTAACTTTGGGAAAAGTCCACAAATTCCTATAAAGTCTAGAAATGAGTTTGTTACTATACTTTTCACCAACCCAAATAATTGGTTACTGGAGGATAAGTGCATACCTGTTTATAAGATTTATTTCATATTTTGATAGCAAACTATTTATAGGGCAACCTTAGGATAACCTTGTATTCTGGACTCTCCTTGAGTTTCAAAAATAAAGAAACAAAGACACAACGTCCAGTAACTTGGACAGTTACTCAGTGACAGACTAAGTTTCAAGTTTTTTAAAGTATTGCATTGTATTATTGCCCTCAGGCTATGTATGTATCCTGCTTAGAAATAACTTTATTTTAGGAAAATATTGGGGATAAGTTAAATTTGATAGTTTTAAAAGAAATTTTATAGTCACTGTGCTGTAATCTTGATTACCTATCTGTTCTAGTTCAACAGGTTATTGAGTCACATTTGTTGAAGCTGCTTCAAAATATCAAGGAGTAGACACAGTCATCAGAAAATGTCTGCCCTTTTGTTTACTTCTTGGTCCTTATAAATGATAGTTTTGTTTACTTATAAATTTTTACCTCAGTTGCAATATTTACTGGTTTTTAGTAGGTTTTAATAAATATTTCTCTGAGTAATTCACTGGTTTATAATAAATGTAATACTCTTTTTATAACTATGTTTTACTGTATATTTAAAATTATAAATTAATGTTTTCGTGGCATGTAAATTTTTATGGTACAGATAGTTATCATCAGTCTTTGTATCAAGTGCTGTAATTTGACATTTTCAGAAATTATTCTACCCTAGTCATCTTCACTCGTGTATTAAGTCATTCACTTTATATAGGGTTTGCTATAAATCCCTAGAAAAAAATTGTTCTTATTGTTGAATAAAAAAGTGCACAGTGTGATTGTTTACAAAATGATATTATAAATAAATAAAATACTTCTTCTGTCAGTTTGCATACTACTTTTTTAAGTATATAAGATTATTAAAGATTTCTTTCAGATTTTTAATTTCACCCTTCTGTCCTGCCGTAACACTTCATTAGATCAAACAATATATGTAATTAAAATAAACTGAATCTAAGTCAATCAACAAAGACATTGTCATTTCTAGAAGTATATTTAGAATATTTTTCTCTTTTAAGGAAGTTTTTCAGTAGGAAAAGACCTCTGTGAAGAGAAGTCAATTCTTCAATATAAGTGAGATATTCTGTAATGGCACAAAGGGAGCACTATGAATCCATGTTTCACAGAAGCCATGAAGAAAGAGCCATGGGTTAGATGTTGATTGGACCACTGAGTGTAGGACTTGACTTACATCACTTCACCTGGAAAATAGGATGTTTTGTCAGTTATGGTACTTGGTTGTAAGCCACATAAACTTGGTCTAGCTAATATAAACAGAATGGAAGGGAAAGCTGAAGAAGCATGCAGTCCCAAGGAATGAAAGGCAGCTAAGGATCTCAGTCAGGAAACCATGGCCAGGCATTTCAGATGCTGTTAATATGATGTTTAGCTTTAAACCCCTTTTTTGTCATTCTGCTCAGATTTACATTCCCAGGAGGCAGAACCCTGTTAAGCGTGGTGAAGGGATGGCTGATTAACAATATCCAGCATTGCCCCCAGACCACAGAGAATGTGTCAGGCAAAGGCTGCCTAAAGGAAAAGCAGGGGGGAAAGACAAACAATAGATGTTTACATCAAATGCAATTTAAATAGTATGTGAGGCTGGGAGCAGTGGCTCACACCTGTAATCCTAACACTGGGAGGCTGAGGCAGGATCACTTGAGGTCAGGTGTTCGAGACCAGCCTGGCCAACATGGCATTACCCCACCTCTACTAAAAAAAAAAAAAAAAAAAATTAGCTGCGTGTGGTGGCACATGCCTGTAATCCCAGCTACTCAGGAGGTTGAGGCAGGAGAATTGCTTGAACCCAGGAGACAGATTGCAGTGAGCCAAGATTGCACCACTGCACTCCAGCCTGGGTGACAGAGTGAGACTCTAAATAAATAAGTAAATAGTATGTGAAAATAGTACTAATGTCTCACCCACTGTCTGTAAGACATATACTTTAAATTGATTTTCTAGCACTCTTGGTGGGTTAACCTAAAACCATTTACCCTTCCATTTGGTTCCTTCTCTTGCTAATGGTACTTATCCATGAAGTGTTGGTTCCTGTTCAGATTATGCAGTAACAACATCCAGTGATCCATTTGGGCACATCACTCTGAGTATTGCTTGCAACTGCTTTCCCCACTGAAGAGCAACAAAACAATCTCTGCCAGAATTTACTAGCATAACCATTTCACCCCCAGTGTGACTCAAGATTGACAATCAACGATCTCAGAATTCTCAGGCCTGGCTGGGGGCTGCGCCGTCGGCTTCCCTGGTTCTGAGGCTTCAGACTTGGACTGAGCCACGCTGCCAGCTTCTCTGGTTCTCCAGCTTACAGTCGGCATGTGGTGGGACTTCTCCACCTCTGTGATTGTGTGAGCCATTTCCTCCTAATAAATGCCCTTCCACATATCCCACTGGTTCTATCTCTCTGGAGAAGCCTGACTAATATAGCATGTAATTCTCGATTGCTTTAAGGTTGTTTATAAACAAACATTAAAATAACAAAACAGAAACAAGACTAATAAATCGAATTCTCTGTCAAATCTCACCCAACAAAGAACAGGTCTCCCTTATTCATCCAACTGAGATAACCAAATAGACCATAAAAGCAAGTCCCCAATCATTGTTTTGTTGCTACCAGTAGGGAGTAAGTTACTGAAGGTGTACAAACCAGAAACAAAAACAAATATTAATACATAAAATCAGTAGAAAGGGCAAAAGAACTAGAGAATCGGAAAGTTCAAGTTCTGTCACCACTGAAGATGTACAAACCAGAAACAAAAACAAATATTAATACATAAAATCAGTAGAAAGGGCAAAAGAACTAGAGAGTCGGAAAGTTCAAGTTCTGTCACCACCCAGGATTCACTTCAGAGGTCAAGAAAAGATGAGCAGGCAAATCAGTTTCTTGGGCTCTGCCAGGCTAATCTTCTCAAACATCTCAGTACATGACCTTCAAAAATGATCACATGTAATTTCCAAAAGGTCACAAGACATGACTCTCATACACATAAACACAGGACAAGGACTTTATTCAACTCATTAATTAATGAGGAAAACAATAAAATGAAAACTGACTCCAAGAGCATTTGAGAAGCTGGGTAATTCTTGGCAACATTAAGATTACTAGGTTGAAGGTTGCACATTTATTTATTATGTTCAATACTTTGGTTCTTAGTTCTTAAAGAATCAAGAAGTTGTGTAATCTTTTAAAAATATCTTGCAGGTAAAGAAAAAAATTAAGAGTGTGTTTACAACTTTTTTTTTACAGCACATGTATTTAAATCATTGCTATAATAAAGTTAAGTTCATTATTTAGGAATATAAAAACTTGTAGTTCTATGATAGATTGCATTTATTAAAAATGTTTCATTGGAGCACATAGAAATATGGCCAGGAAGGACTTGAGAAGACAGTTTGATCCATTGCTTTTAGACAGGACTGGGTTTTGCTGCCCAATTATATACAATAATAGTTTTTCTTACAATGTAAGCTGGCCCCAGTCTTGTCTTGGTATTAATATATGAAATTTTTATAATTGTCTCATTGTCTCATTTAGAAACATCCATATTTTTCTGCTTTTCCTATTGCCATTTTTTATTTGTGCATGAATTGATTATTGAGAAAATGTAGCAGTTTGCATATTTAAAAATTAATCATTGTGCATTTTACATTTAAATATGCTAACATCACTGTCGTAGAATTCCCAAATTTCATTTGTAGATATTGAGCTAAGGGCTAATGTCAGGAGCTGATTTTTAATGATAAAGCTGCAGATGGGCTAAATAAAAGCCAAATTAGTCCTACAATCAGGTATTACGTTTTTAAACCAAGTTGACTGAATTGATAGTGGACTTGGGAAATCTTCCCCAGCAGAATCTAGATGAGTGGCACAGAATTGAAATCTCTTTCTTTCCCACCATTTCCCTTTAAGTGCTCTGCTCCTTTGTAAACAGTTAAAGATTTGAAAGAGAATCTGATATTCCCAAGGCATTAGGAAGAAAGGATTTAATCCCTTCAATTTGGGGCTTAATCCTGTTAAAGAAAATGTAAGTGAAAATGGAAGGCTGGAGAGAATGATTGCTTTTTGTACAGTTAAATAAGGTCACAATATTCTTATGTACTTTGTTTTACAACTGTGTTTTCATTTTTTCAAATGTCTGGTCACTTAGCAAAGTTATTTACTATTTACTGTGTACATAGAAAGCTTTATTATGTGTGGTGTATCTAATTTTTTTTTGCTGAAATACATTATGGTCAATCAAGCCAACCTTGCATGTACAGAATTTTTTTTTTCCAAATAAATTAGTTGTTTTCTTATTTTTTTGGTTTAGTATGTTGAAATAAACTATTGTAGCTTCATCATTTTGTACACTTCCTTTTTGAGGAAGGTTTCTTTATAAGTGCAAGGGCTACCCTAATAAAGGAATGTATTTGTGTCTGCAAAAAGAAAAAGAAAAAGAAAAAAGATTACTGGGTTGAATACAAACCTAGCTAATATTCAACAGGGATATAAACTACCATTTGGGTGCAAAACAAATTATTTGCTTCTTTACCAGACAAAAATCTTCAAATTAACATGCGACTTCATTAATTCTGAGACTTTGAATAAATAGTAAAGACAGGGCCAGGCGCGGTGGCTCATGCCAGTAATTCCAGCACTTTGGGAGGCCAAGGCAGGCGGATCACTTGAGGTCAGGAGTTTGAGACCAGCCTGGCCAATATGGCAAAACCCCATCTCTGCTAAAAATACAAAAATTAGCCAGGCGTGGTGGCGCACGCCTTTAATCCCAGCTACTTGGAAGGCTGAGGCAGGAGAACCAATCAAACCTGGGAGACAAAGCTTTCGGTGAGTCGAGACTGCGCCACTGCACTCCAGCCTGGATGACAGAGTGAGACTCTGTCTCAAAAAAAAAAAAAAAAAAAAGAATCAAATTACATTTTTCTAGATAGTGTCTTTGGGTGGCCTTTGTCCCTTATGACATGGAAAGGACATGTCACCAAGACCTTTACTTCAGTGAAAGCCAGGCTGGGGTTAAGGTAATTACCCTTGTAATTAATCTCCCTTCTTTCACGACCTGAGAGGTATAGTAACGCAGGTGTCCTGAAGTGTTGGTGACAACGCTTTTCTTACATCACCCTGCTGACTAGACGATGAAATTCACTCCAGAGTTACCTACAGCAAAAGTAGCTACAAGCTGCAAATATGAGTGAAAAGGTTAATATTTTTAATATTCTTGATCTTTACAAAAGCATGCCAATAGCTTAGATAAATGTATATATTTTTAGGGAAATTATAATGGATGATTTTTAACCATTAAAAGGTAAAGATTTTAAAAGTTTGTAGCTTTGAAATTTTCTCTAAAATGTTAAGTTAGCCTGCTAATTTTTAGAAAATACTCTTTTAAGATTTTATTACCATACCTTTTTATCTTTATACGTACAAAAAGTTAAATTTTGAAATCCTTTTGTTAGAACAAACTGGTTATAACCAGTTGGATACATATACATACACTATATATATCTAAATGTTTTGTGCAAGTTACATCATTGAATATTTATATTTCTATTAAGTGGGATTGTATTCATAGCTGTTAAATGATTTGTTGTGTAATGAATAAAATGTTTGCAAATATAAGAGTTATAAACTAAATAAAAATAGAATAAGGCCAGGTGCAGTGGCTCACACCTGTAATCCTAGCACTTTCAGAGGCTGAGGTGGGAGATCACTTGTGGTCAAGAGTTCAAATCCAGCCTGGACAACATAGAAAGACCCTGTCTCTACAAAGACTAAAAAAAATTAGCCAGGCACGGTGGCTCACGCCTGTAATCCTAGCACTTTGGGAAGCCGAGGCAGGCGGATCACAAGGTCAGGAGATCGAGACCATCCTGGCTAACACGGTGAAACCCCGTCTCTACTAAAAAAATATAAACAAATTAGCCGGGCGTGGTGGTGGGCTCTTGTAGTCCCAGCTATTCCGGAGGCTGAGGCAGGAGAATGGCGTGAACCCGGGAGGCGGAGCTTGCAGTGAGCTGAGATCGCGCCACTGCACTCCAGGCTGGGCAACAGAGTGAGACTCCGTCTAAAAAAGAAAAAAAAAAAAAAGAAAAAGAAAAAGTAGCTGGATGTGGTAGAACAAGCCTGCAGTCCCAGCTACTTGGGAGGCTGAGGTGGAAGGATCACTTGAGCCCAGGAGTTCAAAGCTGCAGTGAATTATGACCACACCACTGCACTCCAGCCTAGGTGACAGAGTGAGAATTGGCCATTTGAAAAAAAAAAAGAATGAAGGGCAAGACAGACTCTGGCTATTATAAAGTTCTTAAATTAATTAATTGTTTTTACTCTTTAGTATTTTCTGTGACCAGTTCTCATATTTACATACCTACTGAGAGCTTTAAAAGTTATCACCTTACTCGTTTGTAGTAGATACTACCAATAAGATTCAAACTAGTAGCAGTAACTTTCTACATTGTTTATTGTCTAGAAACTTTTACCGTATGTGTATGTTGGTTTTATAATAAAAATAACACTAAAGATATGAAAAAGAACCATAGCATGATTGAAATGTTTCTAGGCGTGCATTTAAACAGGAAATACAACCATTTAAGAAAAGAGGTGCATTTTGCAAAGAGAATTGTGTGACTATTCTTTGATTAAAGTAAACTTCGAAGGTTTATTCTGTCTTTCGTATACATTTTCCTCTTCAGATAGTAAAGCCCTTCCTGTTGGAGTAAGAGCCTTGTGATACCAATTGCGTGCACAGGAATGCGATCCACATGCATTATGCCATGTCGCTACCTGGAAGCAAGAAGCTATTGCTGGGGATTTTATGCTCTATGGAATTGAAATTCAAATCAGATCCATAATTATTACACTGGAAATAGACTGTTGCACACTCATTGCCTACTGGGTTCTCCTCTCTGTAGAGTTCAGGCCACTGTGTGATACGTTTGCCCCACATTTTATTTTTTATTCATAATTTCAGTGAAATTGTTCTCAATTTGACAGGTTCCAAATGTCAGCTGTTTTCCAAAGTGACAAATTAACTCATGTTACTTTATTTAAAAATTTTAAAGCGGCGGATCACGAGGTCAGGAGATGGAGATCATCCTGGCTAACATGGTGAAACCCTGTCTCTACTAAAAATACAAAAAATTAGCCAGGCGTGGTGGCGGGCGCCTGTAATCCCAGCTACTCTGAAGGCTGAGGCCAGAGAATGGCGTGAACCCGGGAGGCGGAGCTTGCAGTGAGCCGAGATCGCGCCACTGCACTCCAGCTTGGGTGACAGAGCAAGACTCTGTCTCCAAAAAAAAAAAAAAAAATTTAAAGCACGTTAAATTTTTAGGTGTTTGTTATTTCCCCTTTTCACATCCATGAGGATGGGTTGTAGTTGGATATATTACATCTCCCACAATCAATTTATGGAAAGCATTATAAATACCTTCTTGGTGCTCAGTTGACCTATTCACCATCTCTTCTGCAAAAGGTTAATGTTGGAAACAGGCAATTTCCCCTAAAAGTCATCCAATCCTTCAGCAAATGTTTATGGAGCGTGTACTCTGTGCTAGAGACTGGGCTGGGCCCTGGGGACACTGGAGACCAACACAGCATTGTTCCCTGCCCTGCTCAGAATGATCTCCCCTCAACCCATACATCCTGGGGACAAGTTAAAAATGTCATGCATTAACCAAGGTATGTTTGCATTTGTAATATGCCTATTACAGGTTTCTTCTATGCTAATTGTTCTGCTGTATCAACATCAATTGATTCAACAGAAGCCTCTCTCTCCTGAGAATGAGAGGACTGAAGACCTTACAGTGGTGGAAGAAAGTTCCACTCCAAGGGGAATTGGTTCTCTGCCTAGGATGTTCAGTGGAATCATCTGGAGAGGTCTGAAAATACTGAAGCCAGGCCTTATCTCCAGATGGTCTGATTTGATTAGCCTGGGCTGCCACATGGGGACTTACAATCCCTTCTCAGTTGATTCTAATGTACATCAAGGCTGGGAACCCCTGCTCTAGCGGCAATCATCTCCTGGCAGGTGGACAAGCCACATTCTCACACTTGCCTCTTGCATCGCCATCCTGTCTATGAAAGAACTTAGTCATTTATCCTTTGTCTCTGGCCTGTTGGCGCTTGCTATGATGCTTTTGTAAAGATGAACATGTTCCCCTTTAAGCCTACATGACAAAACAAGAAATTCTGAAACAGTAATTTTACCGTGAGTTACTAATTCACCTTTTTTACTCAATGAATTGCTTGTTGTGGTTGAGCATCCTTTATGAATCTGTGTGTGAAAGAGAGCCCACTTCAGATGTCACGTGACTGTTTGCTTCCCTTGTTTATCTTCTGGATAAAAAAAGAGTCCTGAACATCCAGTACAGCAGTCTGTACCAACAAACGCTTAAGAGCTTGTCTCGTGATTCCTTTGTTCTAGGATTTCCTTGAACATTGGACACCAGTGTTGACTGAAGCACCGCCCTTCCAGAACTCATGCCAGCTCACAGAGTCTATCCACAAGGCCAGGTTACCCCTCCTCCATGATGCATGTCTGTTATGAAATCTCTCTCCTCTTACTTTCATGTCCTGGTGTTGCCCCTCTGCCAAGGAGACTGTCAGCAACAACGAGGTCAATTGCTTGCACCCCTCTCTCAGTGAGCCCCTGCCTTGAAGGTCTCTCAGCTATTTCAGGAACAGGTTGTAGGTATTTAAGGAAGAGCCTGCCCACCCAATTGAGACAGAGATTGGCCTTGCTGCCCTCTAAAAAGAATAAGCCATTCTCCTTGTGCCATTCTAGATTCTTCTTTGAAAGATAATGTTGCCATACCTACAATGATGAGATGCTATAGGGTCCTCCCAAGGACAGCATTGTATACTTGGTCAGCTTTGACACAGCATCCTATTTGGGGAGAAGTCCAATGCATCAATCCGTGTCTTATGTGAAATGTCCATCTGGGCGTGGTTGCATTCCCCAGTCTTCTTTTCTGCAATAAACAATGAGATTCCAGGGAGGAGATGGGATGCAGTTCAGCTCTCTTTGGTGGGTCCAGTCTTAGGTTGATAAGGGTATATCAGAGGAGAGCCTTTTGCAGCATCTGCTGACCTTCAAGAGTCTTAAATTTAAAATATCAGCATGTCAGAGTGCCTCAGAAATTCCCTGGGCTCCTTCACTATAGTTTACTGTTTCATATAATATTGTAATGAGCTCTTATGTACATGTTTGTGCACTTGTGGGAATTTATCTGTGAGATAAATTTCTAGTAGTGGAATTGCCTGATCACAGGATATATTTACCTAAAATCTTGGTAGATATTGCCAATTGCCTTCCAATTTATTACCCCCAACCCCCAGCTCCTGCCAGTACTGAGTACGTGTTTGCCCTTTGTTCACCAACCTGTATGGTTTCTCACTTTTTGATCTTCATCATTCCAATTATTAACAATGGTAGCCTATTTCCATTTTAATGTACAATTCTTTAATCACAAACAAGATAGAACAGTTTTCACATATTTATTAGCCATTTTTTAAGTGTTTTTGTTCTTTGCTTTCTATTAGGTTATTATTATTTTTCTTAATTTTAAAAATTCTTTGTATACCATGAAAATTATATACTAAGAAATACTTTTTTATGCTAAGGTATATTTTAATACTTACATACTGAGATACTAAGGACTATTTAGTTGCAAGTGTTTTTTTCAGTCCATCAATGAGAGATTATTCAATTACAAGAGATAGAACTCAACTCATTTAAACAACAAATGAGCCTAGTGTGGTGGCTCACTCCTGTAATCTCAGCACTTTGGGAGGCAAGGCAAGAAGATCACTTGAGTCCAGCAGTTCAAGACCAGCCTGGGCAACATAGTGAGACCTCTGCATCCACAAAAAAATGTTTTTTTTGTTTGTGCTTTGTTTTTGTTTTTTGAGACGGAGTTTCACTCTTGTTGCCCAGGCTGGAGTGCAATGGCATGATCTTGGCTCAGGCTCACTGCAACCTCTGCCTCCCAGGTTCAAGCGATTCTCCTGGCTCAGCCTCCCCAGTAGTTGGGATTACAGGCACCTGCCACCATGGCCGGCTAATTTTGTATTTTCAGTAGAGACAGGGTTTCACCATATTGGTCAGGCTGGTCTCGAACTCCTCACCTCAGAAGATCCACCTGCCTTGGCCTCCCAAAGTGCTGGGATTACAGGCATGAGCCACTGCACCAGGCCTAAAAATGGTTTTAAATTAGTCAGGCATGGTGGCATGTGCCTGTAGTCCCAGCTACTTGGTAGGCTGAGGTGGGAGGATTGTTTGAGCCCAGGAAGCTGAGGCTGCAGTGAGCTGTATTCCTGCCACTGCCAGGCGGGCAACAGAGCAAGACCTTGTGTCAAAAATAAATAAATAATAAAGGACATTTATTGGCTCACAAAATTAAAAAGTGATTACAATGTTAGGTGAGACCTGATCTAGCAACTGAAAGATCTCATTTCTTTATTTCCCTGTCTTCTGCTTTCCACATGGTTGGCTTCATCCATCAGCTCCAGCAACTGCAAGACCTCACTCTCACTCTATGCTTTCCAGAGAGGGAGAGAGAGAGATTCTCTCTTCTGGGGGCTCCTGCCAAAGTCCTGGGATTTTTTCTTTCTTTATCTCTGTCTCTGCCTCTCTGTCTCTGTTTCTCTCTCTCTCTCTCTCTCTCTCACACACACACACACACACACACACACACACACACACACACTGACATGATCATATGCCCATCCCTGATCTAATCAGTTTGCTCAAGGGGGGACATGCTAATTCGTTTAAGTCAATTAGAATCCGCCCCCTACCCAAAGTATATAAATGAGAATAGGGAATTAAAAATTCCCCCAAGAAAGATGAGCTTCTGTGAATAACTTCAGGATCAGGGGGTTATGAACATCCGTTTTATAAGAGGAGACCAGTACAGCCTCAGAGTCCCTTATGAGTTTACCAAGTCATAGATTTCCTTAAGGCCTGCCTGAGCTTTTGGACTCAATTCCAGCAAATGGAATTCTGTGGCTTGAAAAGGCAAGTCCTCGTAACTGCACACAATAGAGAAAAGAGCTACTGATGCCAGCAGGAAAGATGAAATGCTAGCCCTAATTTTTAAAATTTTCATTAAATTTGGAGGCTAAAATATTTACAAAAATGCGATCCTGTTTTATATTTAGTAACCATAACAGTTTCCTTGTGAGGTTGTCTGTAAAAAGTCCTTTTCCAAGATTATCTGGCTTTCAAAGTTTGATATAATTTCTGCAAAATAAGATTCTAATCTCTAAAAACCTTGAATGCCGACTGGTAGTCATGGATAACTCTATTCAAACTGAGATTCGTAATTTTAGAAGTATAAACTACCATTCTGTTCTTTGTTAAGCACAATCGTCTTAGAACACCCTCCTTCTCTCTTTTCCTTTTGTGCATAAAGGTAAGTAAATAGATGGCTGGCTGATTCATCTTGAAACAACGTGTTCCAGGAAGTTTATTCCAACAGCCAATTTATCTTTCAGCTTTATGTTAATGTTTTCAGAGCAGGCTGTGTGTGTGTGTGTGTGTGTGTGTGTGTGTGTGTGTGTGTGTGTGTGTGTTTAAATTTACCAGTACTCCAGTGCTCCCAAAACAACGTCTCAAATTGGCTAAGCAGTGTGGGTTTCCTTTGGGAAATCACATGGTACTGAGCAGGAAAATGGTGGACATTCGTGGGCCTTTTTGACTCTCCACCTCCTTTTAAGAAAGCCAAAGAGTCCAGTCTTTCCACCCAAGCCTTCCTCTTCCCACCTCCCTTGAAGCTAGAGTACAAGGATGTGATCTGGGCTTAACCAGTCAGACACGCTAGCCCCAGAGTTTTGAATTGGTGGCTGCTGATCCAAAGCAGTATGAGAAATGAAGTCAGAGTGGCTACAGCAATAACTGGTTTCCGGGAGCAGCAGATGCTGCACAAAATGTGACGGCCATGTCCTCACTGGCAAGATTTTGGCTGTGGACCTGCAGCTGCCTGACCCTTTCTCCTGCCTGCTTCTCAAGATTTCCCCATGTTTCTGTGAACCAGGTGCTTTTCAGTCAGTTCCTTTTTGGTTTAACCAGAGTTGGTTTCTGATGCTAAGAATGTTGACAGTTACAAGAAATAAGGAGAATATCCCTACCCTAGACTCTGGGTCCCATTTTGCCACCTGAGCACCAGGAGTCCTTTGTGAAGACAGTCCCTCTGGTTCTGGTCATGTTTGCTGTGATGTCCCCTCCCCTCTTCTCCTCCTTCCCTCTTTCCTTTCTTCCCTCTTCCTCTCCTCCTTCTCTCCTCTCTGAGGGACCAGCATCAGAGACATTCACCACACACTCCCACCATCCCTCACTGGCTCAACATCCTCCACAAACCTTCCCTGAGAAGAGCCTACACCCCATACAACACAGCCTCCATCAGCAGAGCCCTGGGGCCACCCATTCCACTGGTTCATCCATCATGCCCAGACTGACCGCCAGGCAAGGACACAAGTTGTGCCTAGTTTGCAACCCTCCAAATACTGAGAAATGAGTTACTTTGGGAAATGCTTTGTCCTTTTTCTGAAAAGATCCTTCCAGGTTATCTTTGGCAGGGCTAAATTATTCCAGCTGAGCCTGACACCTGCTTCCTGAAGGCTCAGACCCTGCCGCTTTCCTCCCTCCCTCTCTCCCTCCCTCAACACTCCCTCCCTTCCTTTTCATAAGTATTCACTGAGCACCTCCTAGGAATGAGACAAGATGACGAGTCTCAACTCAACCCTCTGTCACTGAAGTCTCACTCCAGTAAGGCGCATTTACTCCAGTATGTCCTGTAACCCACAATGAGTCACTGCATTCAGTGCAGTCTAGGCTATTCCTTCTATTGTAGGTAACAGGAGTCTCTTCTCTTTCCACTGCAAAGGATGTGCCTTCAGATCATCTGAATCATAAAAAAGGTGACATTTCTACTTTTTTCAAAAATAAATAAAAGAGCCCTCCTAAGCAGGAACCCCTCAGTTATGTCACAAGAGCCTTCCAGTAACAACTTCTCTCTGTCATAGCCAATGGCTTAAAGGCACCCAAAGTCCCAGTAAGGTTTTCCCAGACTCTAGTTCCTGGGAAGCTTTACTTGGAAGACAGTTGCAGATAAACGCCAAGCAACCAAGCTGATGGGGAAGAAACCCACTGCCTGGGTCACGCTCAGTCCTTCAGGGTTTCCAGGGACCAAAGATTATGCACAAGAACAGCCCAGTCATATCTACTACCAGTCACTTCCAATAACCAACTTTGCATAAATGTCAATATGTGTCTGCTGACATATATACAACATGCACCCATATGCACATCTTTATAATAGTTTCATTATAATGACATACTTTCAAAAAGTTATTGGCATACATAAACATATGCCCATCTCCAATTAAAATAAACATATACTTAAGCTGTTTTTAGTTTCTGCTTCATAAGTTATAAATAGGCTAAACCATTTACAAAATAATAAAATCCAGCACTAATCTTTCTGTCTGCCGAAGACCATTTTCTGTGATCCTTACCTGAGCACATTTTTCAAGGCCACAGGACTGGGGGGTCAGATTTTCTGCATCTCCAGGTGCCTGGGTCATGCTGGTTTATAATCCTTCTGGCAGCTGGGCACAGTGGTGCATGCCTGTAATCCTGGCACCTTGGGAGGCCAAAGCAGGTGGATCACTTTAGGCCAGGAGTTTGAGACCAGCCTGGCCAACATGGTGAAACCCCACCTCTACTAAAAATGCAGAAATTAGCTGGGCATGATGGTGCACACCTGCAATCCCAGCTACTGGGATGCTGGGGCAGAAGAATCTCTTGAACCTGGGAGGCGGAGGTTACAGTGAGCCAATTTGTGACACTGCGCTGCAGCCTGGGCAACGGAATGAGACTCTGTCGAAAAAAAAAAAAAAAGGCTTCTGGCAGAAATTTAGTCAGGACCTGGGAAGGATTATTTCAAATTAGGTCCATCAAGAGGAAAAGGGGGAAGGAATTCCCAAGTGACACCACCCCTCCCGCCCCACGACAGTTTGAGGATGCCTCTGTCTTCACCTGTTTTGTGCAGATCTGGGTTCATTGTCTCCTAGTCACAAGCTTCCCCACAGCTTCTAGAAGGGTCCATTTTGGAAACTACAGGGGGCTCTGAGGTTTGGCTTTTTGAAGTTCTGAGAGAGGTATCTGCTCCAGCTCAGGAGGTCCCTACGTACCTGCCAGGTAAATGCAAGTTTACCTGGGAGAGAGTCAAGCCTGCTCTTGAGTCCTAGGGCTTAAAGTCTCAGCAGCTTACACAGAAAACTGTGTTCCTCAGCCCACTCGCTGAGCAGGACTTGAAGTCCTTGGCAATGCTCTAATGGCAGTCCCTTAGGAAAATAATTTGTCATCAATTTAAACCCTAAAAATAGACTACATTCCTTACACTACATAGACTTACAACCAACCTTTTTGATTTTTTTCCAAATATTTTATTTTATTTATTTTATTTCTGAGACAGGGTCTTACTCTGTCGCCCAGACTGGAGTGCAGTGGCATGGTCATGGGTCATGGCAGTCTCAACTTCCCTGGACTCAGGTGATCCTCCCACCTCAGCCTCTGGAGTAGTTTGGCCTACAGGCACATGCCACCATGCCAGGTTAATTTTATTATATTTTTTGTAGAAATAGGGTTTCATCATGTTGCCCAGGCTGGTCCTGAACTCCGGGACTGAAGGGGTCCACCTACCTTGGCCTCCCAAAGTGCTGGGATTACAGGTGTGAGCCACTGCACCTGACCTCAGATATTTTAAGCCAAAAAAAATTTTACCTGAAAAAATTTGTTTCAACTACCAGGCACTTGGCAAAACACTCTCCAAATATTATTTCAGTGATTCTCGTCATACGTTTGTATAGAGCTTTAAATAGTTACCAATGGCCAGGTGCAGTAGCTCACACCTGTAATCCCAGCACTTTGGGAGGCTGAGGCCGGTGGATCACTTGAGGTCAGGAGTTCGAGACCAGCTTGGCCAACACAGCAAAACCCCATCTCCACAAAAAATACAAAAATTAGCTGGGTGTGTTGCCACATGCCTGTAGTCCCAGCTACTTGGGGAGGCTGAGGCAGGAGAATCACTTGAACCTGGGAGGCAGAGGTTGCAGTGAGCAGAGATTAAGCCACTGCACTCCAGCCTGGGCAACAGAGCGAAACTTGTCTCAAAAAAAAAAAAAAAAAAAAAAAAAAGGCTGGGTGCAGTGGTTCACGCCTGTAATCCCAGCATTTTGGGAGGCCGAGGTGGGCAGATCACCTGAGGTCAGGAATTTGAGACCAGCCTGGTCAACATGGCAAAATCCTGTCTCTACTAAAAATACAAAATCAGCTGGGCATGGCGACACATGCCTTAATCCCAGCTACTTGAGAGGCTGAGGTAGGAGAATCGCTTGAACCCGGGAGTCAGAGATTGCAGTGAACCGAGTTAATGCCATTGCACTCCAGCCTGGGCAACAAGAGTGAAACTCCGTTTCAAAAAAAAAAAAAAGTTACCAAAATGCTTCCACACATGGCCTCATTGGATTCCCCCAGGAGACCCTCAGAGTTGGTAGGACTTGGAAGCATTGATTTGACAAGCAAGGAAACTAAGACCCAAGGGGTTATAAAGACTTGCACAGCTAGTAAATAACAGTAAAGCACTCGGGCCTCCCAAGCGTTTTCAAAGTTCATGCTCAAAATAGAAATGGAGGACTCTATCTTGGCATTTTCTAAGCTGAAATACTGAGGCAAAAAGCAAAAAACAAAAAACAGGAAGGCTATCTTCTGAGACCTGCTATTAAATTTTTTATTTGAGAGAGAAGATGCCAACTGTAAATAATTTCCTATTGTCTACATTTTGCAAAAGAAAGAAGGAAAGAATAACAGGGCTAAATGTAAGTTCTGACGTAAGAGCCTTCTCTATAAGCAGCTTGGAGGCCGCCACATGTGCTGCTCCTACGCTGTAAGCTGCGCACTTGTCACTTGCTTTGCACAACAGTGATATGCCATCAATGCTGTGTGCCAACTAGGACTCAGGAAGTCAAATTATAGTTTAGGATCAGGATCATTATTTAAAGGTGTACTATGGTAAATTTATGGTAATTTTTTCCCCCTCATTTTAACCGCTCTGAAAGCAGGATGCAGTCAATGCTGTCGTACAACAACTGTCCGCCAGGTGGCAGTCGTGATGTAGTACGAAATGTGAAAAATCATTGACATCTGTTAGGATCCAGCAATAGTAGGCCGGGCACGGTGGCTCACGCCTGTAATCCCAACACTTTGGGAGGCCGAGGCGGGTGGATCACCTGAGGTCAGGAGTTACAGGCACGCACCATCATATCCAGCTAATTAATTTAAAAAAATTTTTTTTAGAGACAGGGTGTCACTATGTTGCCCAGGCTGGTCTCAAATTCCTAGACTTAAATCCTCCTGCCTTGACCTCTCAAAGTGCTAGGATTACAGGCACGAGCCACCGCACCTAGCCATGTTCACTCTTATGGATGGCAATGACAATTATAATGCAAACATTTTAGCTGTTAGCTTGTGGGACAAACCTCTTCCAGGGTGGAGAGTGGAGTCAGCAGTACACATGTATCACCCTTTAATCTCTCAGTAGTTTCCTATTCTTGCCTCTGCAAATTATCTCAAATTTAGTGGCTTAAAACACACAAATTTGTTTTCTTAGAATTCTGTAGAAGTCCAATGAGAATCCCTCTTTGCTAAGATCAAGGTGTCGGCAGGTCTGTGTGTCTCCCTTTCTGAAAGGCTTAGGGGAGAATCCGCTTCCTCACCCTTTCCAGTGTCTAGAGGCTGCCACAGCCCCGGGCTCTCAGCCTCTTCTCGGTCTGTAAAGCCAGCAATGCCGCATCACTCTGGCCCCACTTCTGTCATCTTAGCTCCCTCTGATTCTCTCTTCTGCCTCCTTCTTTGACTTTTAAGAGTGGTTGTGCGGCCGGGAGCGATGGCTCACACTTGTAATCCCGGCACTTTGGGAGGCCGAGGTGGGCGGATCACCTGAGGTCAGGAGTTCAAGACCAGCCTGACCAACATGGAGAAACCCTGTCTCTACTAAAAATACAAAATTAGCCAGGCGTGGTGGCGCAAGCCTGTAATCCCAGCTACTTGGGAGGCTGAGGCAGGAGAATCGCTTGAACCCAGGAGGTGGAGATTGCGGTGAGCCGAGACCGTGCCATTGTACTCCAGCCTGGGCAACAGGAGTGAGACTCTGTCTCAAAAAAAAAAAAAAAAAATTCTGTTGTGCTTACACTGGCCTCACTCAGATAATCTAGGATAGTCTTCCTATTTTACGGTTGACTGATTAGCAACCTTAAATCCTCTCTGCCATGTAACCTAACAAAGTCACAGGTCCTGGGAATTAGGATGTGGATATCTTTGATCTCTGGGGGCCTATTATTCTGCCTACTAAAGTCCTTCTCTGTCTTCTACAATACTTAAAATGAATCTCAAAGCCCCAGTTTAAGAAAAAAGTGGCCATTTCCCCTTTCTCTTATCCATTGGTGTAGCTCTCCTTGAATGGTTGCCACGATCTTCAAAGAGAGGCTCCGAGCTCATTACTGTCTCCCATTTACAGTGTTAAGAAGGTGCTTCAATTTCTTTCCAGGATGAGGAAGTCATTTCAATTTGCCATAAATCTCTGTGCCCATCACTGCCCTGACCTTGTAATAATTAAATCTGCTACATGTCTTTTTCCCTTTCAATAGCTAAAACCTCAACCCTCCTCCTGAGGAAAAACATCTGCCCTCAGCCTTCTCAGAGTGTCTATCACCTTCACTTTCTCTGTCTCGATGGTTTATGGGAAGTCTTTTGACTAAAAGACAATGATTTGCTCTTGTCTTTTAAGCTGCCTTCATTTTGCTGAGTTTCTGATTATTTTCATCCTCCAACTGTGGTTTTTCCAGAGTCAGAGAGTTCCAGGCACAGAGCTTTTCTCTAAGCTCTCAGCTTGTAACTATTCTACCAAGTTGTTTAACCATCTCAATCCAAGAAGAGGATACAATCTTTGTATAATAGGAGTCCCCATTCCTCTTTTTCTGTTCACTGAGAAAATCCTTATATTAAACTGAACCCATAATCTGGGTCCCTGACATCCAAGAACATACTCAGAATTTATTTAATGACTATGTGAGGTGTTGAGCAATCAGTTTAGTCAATTAGAACAACAAGCCGCACTGAGAGTCATGGCTTTATTCATTTATCGTAATGGTGCAAGCAAGAGAAGTGCTGGCTCCCCAGGGTTCCATTTTCATCATGGAACAGCACTGAAAAATAGAAATGAAATCCTAAGCCCCCCAGCTGATGGAACAGACCTCCTCTTGGCCAAGGAGACCCCAGAGAAACCTTGAGCCTGAGTTCCCAACAATGATGGGATGGAAGGACAGACATACCTCGTTATGCACCCTCCCTCCCTCACTGCCTGCCATTGGGCTTTCCTCCACAAGGGCTGAACAGAAACCAGCCCTTTCAAAAGACCCCACCATGGATATCCACCAACAGCCTGACACTGCCCCTCCTTTTTTGCCTGATAAGTGACCACTGACCAGTGGTTCTGGCCAGTCTATGGAAATGCACAGTGAGGGTTTTTGTGTCCTCTGTCACACCTTTTGACATCAGAGGGCTGAAAACTACACCCTCAGATCATACTAATGCCGATATTGTTTGAACGTGAGTCCCATGGAGAGGCATGAAGCGCCATTGCATATGCACATATCTTTTCTTTCATAACTATCCATGACTCCTCCTTGAATATGTATATTTGACCACCTTGCTCAGCATGAATTCCTATTCCCTTTGCCCCTCCCTCAAAGTGTCCGTTTCTGGCTTCTGGCCAAAGGCTATGCTTCCCAGCCTGTCAGAATGGCCACCCTGCAGGCTGCAACCCTTTACAAGAAATAAAGCTCTCCTTTCCACATGTAGGGACTTCATCATTCTTCAGTTGACAGCATGGAGCAAATGGGTTGAGTCACCACACTGTCCAGAAGCCAAGAATAGAAGGCTTGTGCCTCTTCATGACTGCCTGTGGGCTTGGGGAGAGAGAAGAGTGTGGGGGCCAAGGCCCTTGACTCCCTAAATGTTCACTGAAAAAATTACTGACATGAGGCAGATTAATAGGAGACAAGGCATACGAATTTATTTAATGTGTATATACAAGAGCCTTCAGAATGAAGACCCAAGCTCCCAGTGAGGTACAGGAGCTTGTATACTGTGGATGAAAAGAGCCAAACTCCATAAAATTTTGAAAAGATTAGTTCTGAGTAAAATATGAGTGACCATGGCCCAAGGCGTGGTCTCACGAGATCCTGAGAACATGTGTCCAAGGTGGTTGGGTTACAGCTTGGTTTCATATGTTTTAGGGAGACATGAGACATCAATCATAATGTACAATATACATTGGTTCCATCTGAAAAGGTGGGACAACTAAAAGTAGGGTGGTGAGGGGCTTACGGATCATAAGTGGATTCAAAGATTTTCAGATAGGCAATTGGTTGAAAGAGTCAAGTTACCTAAAAACCTGGACTCAATAGAAAGGAGTGGCTGGGTTAGGATAAAGGGCTGTAAAGACCGAAGTTTTTTTTAGACGGAGTTTTGCTCTTATTGCCCAGGCTAGAGTACAACGGCGCGGTCTCGGCTCACTGCAGCCTCCACCTCCTGGGTTCAAGTGATTTTCCTGCCTCAACCTCCCGAGTAGCTGGGATTACGGGCCCGCACCACCATGCCCGGCTAATTTTTGTATTTTTAGTAGAGACAGGGTTTCACCATGTTGGTCAGGCTTGTCTCAAACTCCTGATCTCAGGTGAGCCACTTGCCTCGGCCTCCCAAAGTGCTGGGATTACAGGCGTGAGCCACTGCACCCAGCCGAGACCAAGGTTCTTATCAATTGTCTTAGGTGGCTGCCCTTAGAGACAAGAGATGGCAAATGTTTCCTAATCAGATCTTTAAAAGGTGCTAGACTTTCAATTAATCTCTTCAGAATTGGGAAGATCTAGAAGGGGAAATATCTAGTTATGTTAACAGAGATTCTTTACAGATGCAAATTTTCTCCCAAAAAAGAAGGCTTTGTGGAGCCATTTCAAAAGATGACAAAGAAACATATTTTGGGGTAGAACATTTGATTTCCTTCATCTGCCATGTGATATTATACCAGAGCAGGTTGGAAAGTAAGCCATGTTATATGCCCATCTGATGAGATTTTATGGTTTGTAGGATGGGCCTCCCCAGATCCCTTAGATAGGAATTTGGGCAAGAGAGGAAAAAGGGTCGGAGTTTAGTCTTCAATACCATCTTGAAGTTACGGAAAGAATGGGGGCTTGGATCCTGGTGAAACAGGTTATGGGAGGGGAAAAAACAGGAATTCTGTTGCGGGGATTACCAGGGAGAATGAGTGTATCTGGGAACAGTTATTGCCTTGTAAATAGTTATCCTTGGAACTTAAATGATCCTTGGAGGTAGTCATTATACTTGTAAAAGGGTATGTTCAGGTGTGGTTACATTCTTCTTGTTGTTGGTTTTTTGTTTGTTTGTTTGTTTGTTTTTCTGAAATAGATAATAAGAGGGAGGGGAAGAAAATACAGTTATTCTCCTCAGTGGGTCTGAATTTTAGGCAGGTAAAGGAACTTCAACTTCCATGAGGGAGACAGTCTCAATCAATTTAGAGCAGGGGTCGCCAACCTTTGAGCCATGGACTGGTGCCAGTCTGTGAGCTGTTAGGAGGCCAGCCACACAGCAGGAGGTGAGCAGCAGGTGAGTGAGCATTACTGCCTGAGCCCCGCCTCCTTCCAGATCAGCATTACATCCTCACAGGAGCACGACCCTACTGTAAACTGCACAACTGGCTTGTTCCTTATGAGAATCTAATGCCTGATGATCTGAGGTGGAACAGTTTCATCCCAAAACCATCATCATCCTCCTCCTCGTCCCTCCTCCCACCCTCACCCCTCCTGTCCGTGGAAAAATTATCTTCCACGAAACCAGTCCCTGGTGTCAAAAAGGTTGGGGACCACTGATTTAGAGGTTTGTTTTGCCAAGGTTAGGATGTGCCCAGGAAAAAGGAACAGAAATCACAGGAACATCTGTGATCCATGCGTTTTCCAAAGAGGGTTTGAAGACTTCAGTATTTAAAGGAGAAAGAGCAGGCAGTAGTGGAAAGAGGAAAGAAAAAAAGGGAGAGGATGAATAAAAGAGGCAAGCAGTTACATTCTTTTGAGGCTTTGATTAGTGCTTACTGAATCCACATTTTACATGTGAAAGGAGGGGCTAGAGATGGTGCCAAAGGGCTCAGGGGGATCCTCAGATGCCAGTGAGGCCCCAGCCCCAGCCAGTGTCCAGATTTCTCACACTGTCATGAGAAAGAACTCAAGGACAATTGGCTGGGTGCAGTGGCTCACACCTGTAATCCCGGCACTTTGGGAGGCTGAGACAGGCAGATTGCTTGAGCCCAGGAGTTTGAGACCAGCCTGGACAACATAGTGAGACCCCAACCCTGTTTCTTTAAAAAAGAAAAATAAATAAATAAGAAAAAAGGGAAATAATTCAGGGATGAATCAGAATGAAACAAAAGGCAAGAAGCTTTTATTGCAAAGCAAAAGCAGACACTCAACAAAGAAGTGTGGGCATGCTTATGAGATCAGTCACACACAATGGAGCTTGGGTTTCTAATTTTATGGATGTTTCTTTAATTAGGGGGTAGGATAATCATTAGGTATTCTGGAAAAGGGGGATTTCAGGGACCTCCCAGTTATGGCTCCCTTTCTCCATTATTTGGGTTTGCCTGGAAGAGCCATGGACCTCTCACCCTGACTGGAGTTTTGGCCATTTTCTTTCCCTTATTTTGGGTTTTCTGTTATCCTGTGGTAAGTTTGCCTAGTTCTTATTTTCCACCCTCCTGCAACTACCCCGTGCTATTCATATCTCAGAGGAACAGTC
Source organism: Homo sapiens (assembly GCF_000001405.40). Lineage (NCBI taxonomy): Eukaryota > Metazoa > Chordata > Mammalia > Primates > Hominidae > Homo > Homo sapiens. The sequence goes on along the minus strand of NC_000005.10, from coordinate 73,531,228 downwards.
AACTATGCATTTGTCTCATGTGAGCGGAGGGGTGACTTCTAGTCCTGTCTTTGTCCTGTACCTGTGAAGGTAAGCTGTTCATTTACATTGTCAAGGTGAAGTTCAACAGAACTCTGTTTCAAGGTAAAGATCTTGGGGCCCACAAAGAATTTCCTTGTGAGCAATTTGTGAGGGAGGTCCCCAGGGAGATATGTGACCTTCTAGCTTTGCAGCTATTTAGGAACAAAATGGAAGGCAGTTTTGTGGGACTCAGCTCCCAAGCTTAAATTTTCCCTTTGGCAGAGTGACTTAGGGGTCCTGAGATTTTATGTTCCTTTCACACATCCAATTCCTTAAAAGCTAGCCTTAGGCTAAATCAGATAATTATAGAGTGAAGAGGCTGAATAACATCTCATCAGCATCATTCTCTTACCCAAAATATGTTAGCTGAATTTTACGTTGTCTTAATGCCATTGAGCTATGGACAACCAAATGGGTGACAGAGGCAAGTGTCCCAATGAATTGAGGTTTATTGATCCAGCTTGAGGGTGCATCCAGGAAAAACATGAGTCACAGACATATCTCTGGCTGTTTTTCCAAAGAAGTTCTCAGGAGGTTTAGTATTCTACATTTTCCTTAAAAATTGGTGGTGGCGGGGGGAGCATGACAGTGAGACTAATGGTTACATACTTGTGAGACTTCAGTTGGTGCCCACTAAATCTACATTTTACATAAGATAAGGTGAACATTAGAGAAAAAAGAGAATAGAGGAAGCAAATGTCAGGGAGGGATGAAGGAATGGTTAATCTCTTCTTTTCTTTGTTTTGTTTATTTTTAAATTTTATTTATTTTTATTTTCTTGAGACAGAGTCTTGCTCTGTCACACAGGCTGGAGTGCAGTGGCATGATCATAGCTCACTGCAGACTCAAACTCCTGGGCTCAAGCGATCCTCTCACCTTAGCCTCCTGAGTTGCTGGGACTATAGGATCATACCACCATGCCAGGCTACTTTTTATATTTTCTGGTTGTAGAGATGGGGCTTCACCATGTTGCCCAGAATGGTCTTGAACTTCTGGGCTCAAGTGATCCACCTGCCTTGGCCTCCCGAAGTTGTCTTTGTTTTGTGCCTGGAAGAATAAGCTAGTAACCAACGTTATCAGTGTGGAGTCTTTTGGAAGGACTGGTTTCTGTTTAGCCCTTAGGAAAGAAAGCCTAATGGTGGTTAAGGAGGGAGTGGTATAATGAGCCATGCCTCACCTCCCATTACATCATGGCTGGAAACTCAGCTTCTGAGGTTTCTCTGGGGTCCCCTTGGCCAAGAGGGGGTCCATTCAGTCCACTGGGGTCTTAGAATTGTATTTTCCTTTCTCAGCCATGTCTAGGAATAGTCCAGTGAAATGATCATTGCATTGACTGTAAGGGTGCTGTTGAGTACATTGTTCCCATTACACAGCATCCTCTCTTCATTACAGGAATAGGGGCTGGTTTGTTTTTATGCTATAGGCCTTAGGAATCACATGTCCGATCAGGCTTCTCTCCTTGTGTTGACTAACAAGAGTAAAACCAAATTTGTGGCCTATTTTATCAAATATATAGGAATTATTTGCATGTATTTTGTGTGTATAAACCTCACTCTTAGTTTCTCTTAGTTTCACATCTTTATTTTCCCGTTGCTGTGTTCCTTGCTTATTTTTAATTTATTTCATTTTGTTGTATTGTATGTGTCTTTATTCTGCCTAAAATACTTTGTGGAGTACTGCAGTTAGAAGTAAAGAAACACAATCGACTTATGGAAATAACATCTAAAATGTAGATTTGCATAACCCTTCAACTTATTGAATGGCTCAGAAAGACACATATTTACCTTCTACTTGTAATTATCCTTAGGGAGAAGATTGTAGCTCTGACACTTTCTCCACAGAATTATATTATTGGAAACAGCCCAGACCATTTCCAATGCTTACATCAGAGTGCTTGGCTGGAGAACTGGGGTGAAGGGAAAATAACTCAATAAGTCTTCCTGAAAGTTCACTTTTCAAGAGCCAGATCTTGGTAAAGGAGAGCAGAAATGTCATTGGGAATCAATTAGAATTTAAGAAGGCTTGGTGCCTCAGTCTACAGCAGATACCCAAAGCAGAACTCTGATAAAAGGGAAGGCAAAGGACCAAGACAATGGAAATGAATTTGCTTTTTAACCAAACCGATATGCACATAACTTTAAAAGTCAAATTATGCAAAGGTTAAAACAAAACAAAAAAATCACTCTTTTTCTGCCTCCTCATCTTACTATCCTGCTTCTTGCAGGCAACGAATTTTAGTGCTTTTCTTCTGATCTGTTCTTCTATATTTATAAATAACATGCTTAAGTTGCTGTTTTATTTTATTTAATTTTAAGCATAATCCAGGGACTTCTTAGGATAGATAAGGTTTTAACTCTTGTATCACAACATCCTCACTCCCTGCCAACTTTCCTAAACATTTTGATTAATCAACATTCACTACTTACATTATTACAGCTATACAAATATTATTCCCTGCTGGCCTAAGGAGTGAACTTAATTATATTTGTTTTCTTATGCTTATTTTTTGCTTATCCTAAATTTAATAATTGTTTTGTTTTTATTTGCTTAGCTAAATGCTATTCCTAAGTTTTCTTAGCCCCTATCACAGTCCCTCAATACAGTTTCCCTATAGTCAAGCCAGAGAAATAATCAGTTTCATTTCCCTAGAGATCTCCCTCACAGAGCACAGTCTCCTATTGTTCTAATATAGAGTGTTTACGCTCTAGACCTGATGCTCGCTGTCATCCTAGAATCCCTTTCGTAGTTCTCTTGTGTTGCACTTCCTCTTACCTGGCTGCTATGTCTTCCTTTTTCTTGGTTTTCTTCTTCATTTCAGTGCAACACACCCTTCAGTATGACATGAGAATACACTGAGAAAGGGTGCAGGAAGGTCTTTTTTTTTTTTTTTTCTTGAGATGCTGCATGTCTGAAAATATCTCTTTTCAACTCTAATGCTTGGTTTGGTTAATAGTTTGGTTAGGTATAGATTCTAGGTTGAAAGTCATTTTCCTTCACCATGTTGAAGACATTTCTCCGTTGTCTTTTCGCTTAGTGTTGCTATTGAGAAATCAGCTATCCTGCTTACTCCTAACCCTTTGTGTGGGACCTGTTAGTACACTCTATCCCTCCCCATTCCAGAACGTTTTGGGATCTTCTTTTTATCCTTAGTGTTCTGAAATTTCACACTGACTTGCTTTTTTGAGTGTCTTCTTCTCCTTCATTGGTTTATCTCTCAGTGGGCCCTTTCAATCTGGAAACTTAAGCCTCTAATTCTGGGAAATTTTTAAATATTACTTCTTTGATATTTTCTTCTCCACAATTTTCTCTTTTTCTCTTTTCTCATTTCTGATTTTACCTATTAATCAGAAGATAAATATTGAGTTAATTCTCTAATTTCCTTGTGTTTTTGGCTCTAAATTCCCTCTCTCTTTGTCCTACTTTATGAGAGAATTCTTCAACTTTATTTTCCCATAGTTTGACTTCTTAATATCAGCTTTTATCATTTACTTTCCATGAACTTTTTCTTGTTCTCTGAGAGTCCCTTTTATCATAGCACCCTGTTTTTTTCCGTTTTTGTTTTTGTTTCTGTTTGTTTGTTTGTTTTTTGAGACGGAGTTTTGCTCTTGTTGCCCAGTCTGGAGTGCAATGGAGCGACCTCAGCTCACTGCAACCTCTGCCTCCCAGGTTCAAGCAATCCTCCTGCCTCAGCCTCCCGAGTAGCTGGGATTACAAGCAAGTGCCACCACGCCCGGCTAATATTGGTATTTTTAGTAGAGACGGGGTTTCACCATGTTGGCCAGGCTGGTCTCAAACTTCTGACCTCGTGACTCGCCCTCCTTGGCCTCCCAAAGTGCTGGGATTAGAGGCGTGAGCCACCGCGCCCGGCCGCGTCATGTTTATGTTTCATGGCTGCATCTCTTCTCGTGTCTCTCAGAGGACATTAAACTATAATTTGTTTTACATTTTGTCCTGCTACCTGAATGGACTTTTTTCTCCCCTGATTCCAGTTTTCTCTTGATTTGCATTTCACATTGGATTGCCTGAAATGTCTGATGATCATTGGCTATCATCATATGTAAGAATGAGGCACTTAAAAATCTGGGAAGCTATACCTGCATAAGTGGGGGCTTTCAGGGGCCTCCAGCTATCAGAACATGTAGGACAGCTCAGGTCCTACAAGGAAGGATTCCCTAACATCCTAACTAAGAGATAACTTCATGTTTGCCACCTTCTGCCTGACCCCACACTCCAGTGTACCTGATACCCTTGAGCCCAGAGCTTGTCAGGTCCAATTTCTCCAGAAAATAAGCCTCCCTCTTTTGGGGATAGAAAAGACTCAGTTGCCTGGCTTCCCAGAGTGGGGTGAGAACCTGAAGTCAAATTGCTTTTCAAAGAGACTTTCAACCAGTGCCCCCACTGCGAGCCGACTCCTCACCTGTCTTCTACATTACCCAGCACCTCTGATTCTCAAGGCTTCCCAAAGTCCTGAAGGTACCAGCTATCCTGCTTCTCATCACATCCTCCCTGAAGCCTTCACCGTACTCCGTTCTGCTGTCTGTTGTCACTCATTCATCCACCTTCAGTCTTTATTTATTTATTTTTTTTGAGATGGAGCCTGGCTCTGTCACCCAGGCTGGAATACAGTGGCACGATCTCAGCTTGCTGCAACCTCTGCCTCCCAGGTTCAAGCAATTCTCCTGCCTCAGCCTCCCAAGTGGCTGGGATTACAGGCACCCGCCATCATGCCTGGCTAATTTTTGTACTTTTAGTAGAGACAGGGTTTTACCATGTTGGCCCAGCTGGTCTCGAACTCCTGACCTCAGGTGATCCGCCCACCTTGGCCTCCCAAAGTGCTGAGATTACAGGTGTGAGCCACTGCACCCGGCCTCCTTCAGTCTTCATGCATTGCAACTATGGTTTATGCATGCCACCCAGTTTCATTAAAGATGAAGTCAAGCTTCTGTTTCTCTTTCTCCTTGTTGTTATTCAGACTAATCACTGAAAGAAAGGGAGTAAAAAAGTCTTTACTCAGCCTTCTTAACATCAGAACCTATCCGCTTTTCTGAAGTTGATTGCCAGACACCATTTTCCATTAACAAACAAATGTGGAAACTCTTAAACTTATCTGCTATGTTAGCTTAAACAGTTCATGCCATTATTTCTTGACCTTTCATAGTCTGTGGCATAACTAGAAATTTGCAAGTACACGCTTTGCACTAAGCAGATAATTATTTCCTTCTCCCCAACTCCAGCTTTCTGTCCATCTGTCCTCACTGCATATTTTATAAGCACACAAATCAGTATCAAAAAAATGTCCCTAAGAAAGGCAGCCAATCTTCAAAGAAGCAAATAGGACATGGCCCATTTCATGGAGGGGGAGCAGTTCAAAAGCCACTGAAATGTCAACATGGTTTGAAAGATGTCGATTAGCAAAACAGATATAAAGATGCCATGCTTGTAACAAGCTTGATTAACAGAATGATGAGGCTAATTAGAAAAATTTTAATAAAACATTCTGGTGTTGAAAGCTAATCTTTGATGAGCTGGAAAAGAAAGAAAAATAATCCTGAACCATTTCTAAGTTTAGAAAGATTTTGTTTATCTTTCTTTGCTAGAGTTGGGGCCAGCAGTTCTGATGGTTTGGATTAGCTCTTAATATTCCTTGCCATTTGGGTGTTCAAATCAGTGGTGCATTTCTGGGAACAGACTGTGTCACCATAGACAGCAGACTGAGGAATGAAGGCCTTCCACATGTGAGGCACAAACACCCCCTCTTTTTTCACCACTTCAACCAGCATCCTTTAATCAGTCAGGAACCCTAGGACATCAGCACACCAAGGAGGTCTGTATGATACACCAAGTCCTCCTTGGTCAGCAGGGTTCCCAAGTTCCCAGTTGCTCACTAAGTTATATGCCTTCCTTTGATAAGACTAGCACCTTCAAGTCAAGCAACGCTTCCTGTTACACACCTCAGTCACGTTTCTAATAAATCTACACTGCTGAAGTTGAGGCAGTAAAACAATGGCAGAGGGTGGGGGATATTAATGTGGATGAGAGCCTCAGAATTTTTGAGAATGGTTAGGGACAAAGAATCCTTTCACCTGGAAACCTACTTTAGACTTGAAATAAACTTCATGTGTTCATGTATTCAATCACTTTACAAATTCATTTCAGTTACCAACTGCTATGTATAAGATTTGTAGGCCGAGTGTGGTGGCTCATGCCTGTAATCCTAGCACTTTGGGAGGCCGAGGTGGGCAGATCACCTGAGGTAGGGAGTTCAAGGCCAGCCTGACCAACATGGAGAAACCCCATCTCTACTAAAAATACAAAATTAGCTGGGCGTGGTGGCGCATGCCTGTAATCACGCTACTTGGGAGGCTGGGGCAGGAGAATTGCTTGAACCTGAGAGGCAGAGGTTGTGGTGAGCCAAAATTGTGCCATTGCACTCCAGCCTGGGCAACAAGAGACAAACTCTGTCTTTAAAAAAAAAAAAAAAAAGTAGCATATTGAAAAGAATTGGAGTTTTACAACCAAACAGACCTGAATTCAATTCCTGATTTTGAAAAGACTTTTTCTGAGCCTCAGTTTCTGCACTATAAAATGAAAATAATAACACCACCTTTGCAGGATTATTCTAAGGATTTGGAATAATGTACAAAAAGTTACTAACATACGTTGATTATTTAATAATTGAGAGCTATAATGTATTATTACTATTTTATTGTTATTATATTACCTCTGTCAAGCAGTATAAGCGCTCAGTTCAATCTTCCATATTTATGTAAGCATAGTTCTTCTTGTCAGCCAGCGTCTTAGCTGAACAGAAAGAAATTCACATTCCCATTAGCTTTTTATTAACTCCTCTCAAACATAGGAGGTCTCAGTACCCCTGACAAAGACTTCCTCCTTGGCCAAACATTAGTTGGGATCCTCTGAGCCATCTTCTCGACTAGGCCTTCACCTTGGCCTCTCAACCTTGACATTTGTCTGCTGAGCCCACTTTTAGCAAAGAATCCCCCTAAGCCAGTTTATTGAGAATCCACCTACCCTTGATGTCTAATCAGTTTCCTCTGAATAATTTTCCATCTTCTGACCCCTCACTCTGACTCATTGGCTATAAATTCCCAGCTGGCTTTGCTATATTCAGAGTTGAGCTCAGTCTTTCTTCTCTATTTCAACAGTCTTTAATGAAGTCTTTCTTATTGTTTTCACAAATGTAATATGGTTTGGATGTTTGTTCCATCTAAATCTCATGTAGAAGTGTGATCCCCAATGTTGGAAGTGGGGCATAGTAGGAGGTATTGCATCATGGGGCCAGATCCTCATGGATGGCTTGGTGCCATCCCCTTGGTGATGAGTGAGTTCTCACTCAGTTCACAAGAGATCTGGTTCTTTAAAAGAGTCTGGGATCTCCCCTTTCTCGCTCTTGTTCTCTCTCTCACCATGTGACACCACCTGCTTCCCCTTCACTTTCTGCCATGATTGGAAGCTTCTGAGGCCCTGACCAGAAGCAGATGCTAGCATTATGCTTCATGTACAGCCTGCAGAACTGTGAGCCAATAAACCCCTTTTCTTTACAAATTACCCAGCCTCAGGTATTTCCTTGTAGCAAAGCAAGAACCCACCAATACAAAGGGTCTGAATAATGTTTCTTTAACATCCCTCATCTCTATCTGACCGGAAAGTCATGATGGTGCTACCGCCCATAAAGACATCAAATGGAACTTGGCCTCCCATAGTTAGGACGTGTAATCAGGAGAGACCAGTTGATTCCCCTGAAGCCAGGCTACCACTAATCCATACGCCACACTGGACAAACACCCATCCTCTGAAATGCAGCAATAGAGCCAGCTCCACTTGAGGCCCTGAAAGACGTGTAGAGGGCTCCATTCCAGGCTTACTCAGGCCTCCTCTGCATGCCTACCACCAGTCTCCCTGGAAACTGCGTGGCTGCTCCTTGGCACCCCAAGCCAATCGTCTTGGCTCTCCTTGTAGGCCCGCCCTTGCCCTCAGGGCACACCACATCATTGACCTCTCTCCATTCACTCTTCTGATGAAAACTCACCCATCTTGCTTTCCCAGTGCCTCAGAGCCTTGCTGAGTGCCTCACTAACAAAGCTGACATCTCTATTGTCACATGTGAATGGCTGATACTAATTCCACGTTCTCCCTCTCATATTCGCACTTGTAGTATATCTGGAGCTTTTACTGATTCCAAATTTTAGGCCCCGCTCATCCAGTTCTGTTTTCTGGTGGAAAACAATGAGGTGGAGCTCTTGTTAAATATAGATTACCACGTTAAATATAGATTACCAGGCATCTTCCTGAATAGTCCAAATTTGGGTCGGGGCTCAGAAATTTAAGTGTTTTTTTTTTGAGACAAAGTCTCACTGTCACCCAGAATGGAATGCAGTGGCACAATCTCAGCTCACTTCAACCTCCACCTCCTGGGTTCAAGCGATTCTCCTGCCTCAGCCTCCCAAGCAGCTGGGATTACAAATGCCCACCACCATGCCTGGCTAATTTTTGTATTTTTCAGTAGAGATGGGGTTTCACCATGTTGGTCAGGCTGGTCTCAAACTCCCGACCTCAGGTGATCCGCCCACCTTGGCCTCCCAAAGTGCTGAGATTACAGGTGTGAGCCACCGTGCCTGGCCTATGCCAAGGGATTTTTATCTTCAGGGAAGATTAGGAAACACTGAAATTCTACTGTAATTCTGGTCATTTTACAGAAGAGGGCATGGAAGCCTGAAGAGTAGCAATAGCTTCCCCAAGGCTGCCCAGCTTCTCCTTGGCAGATCCAAGTCCAGCCAGAGGTTTGCTGACCCCCAGGGCAGTGACTGCCCTTCATCATACAATATCTGTTGAGGAAGAGGGAGGCTTTGATGCCGGACCTTTTTTTTTTTTTTTTTCCTGAGATGGAGTCTCGCTCTTGTTGCCCAGGCTGGAATGCAATGGCGCGATCTCGGCTCACTGCAACCTCTGCTTCCCAGGTTCAAGCGATTCTCCTGCCTCAGCCCCCCAAGTAGCTGGGATTACAGGAATGCACCACCACACCTGACTAATTTTGTATTTTCAGTAGAGATGGGGTTTCACCATGTTGACCAGGCTGGTCTCGAACTCCCTACCTCAGGTGATCCACCCGCCTTGGCCTCCCAAAATACTGGGATTACAGGCATGAACCACCGTACCTGGCCAGCAATGCTGGACCTTTAATCACTGTGTTGGAGGTGGGTGGAGAGAACTCTACAGCTAATCTTTGATGAGCTGGAAAAAAAAAAGAAAAATAATCCTGAACCATTTCTAAGTTTAGAAAGATTTTGTTTATTTTTCTTTGCTAGAGTTGGAGCCAGCAGTTCTGATGGTTTGGATTAGCTCTTAATATTCCTAGCCATTTGGGTGTTCAAATCAATGGTGCATTTCTGGGAACAGACTGTGCCATGCCTCTTATAATGCCTTGCACCCATGACTGTGGTCTAGCCTTGCTCCCATTTTGAAACAGGAAATTAGCAGGTCTGTGGGAAGTAGCAAGTGCTGCTTCCCTGTGCTTTTCCTGGGGATCTATGCTCTGGGCTTTGGATCAGGAGAGCCAGCTCCAATCTCCAGTGCCCTTGAATGAGTCACTTTATCCATCTGGGCCCCAGTTCCTTCATGTGTAAATTATGGTAATTGGACTAAATTAGGGTTCCAAAACTTTTCCCAAGAAGGACACCCCCGCTAAGGTGCTCAAGAGCTAAGTATGGAGTCACAGTAACAGAAGAATAAGGGCTGATATGCTGAAGAGGAGAGAGGAGCAAAAGAAGCCGAGCAGCTCTTGACATGAGACGTCGTGGAGCGGAAGGAGATGAGGCAGGGTCCTCCGCTGTCTGTTCCTCAAACCCAAGTGATGGATGGACCCCTTCATGTTCTTGAAAAGTTATTGCAGGCTCCAGCTCTCAACATGTTGCCATCATTTTCATTTCTATAATAATGTTATTTCAATATCTACAAATATAAAACATTGTATGAGCTCCATGATTGTAGATTACTGTCTCAGTCCATTTGGGCTGCTGTAACAAAATACTACAGATTGGGTAATGTGTAAGTAATAGTAATTTATTTCTCACAGTACTGGAGGCTGGAAGTCCAAGATCAGGGCCCCAGCAGCCTCGGTCTCTGGTGAGGGCTGCTCTGTGCTTCCAACATGGCGCCTTCTTGCTGCATCCTCACAGTGGAAGAGGGGAAGAGCGAGGCCGCTCTCTGCAGCCTTTTGTAAGGACGTTAATCCTGTTCACAAGGCTGGAGCCCTCATTGATCCTCATGACCTAATCACTACCAGAGGCTCCACCTTCTAAACCATCATCTTAGTCATTAGATTTTAGCATATGAATTTCATAGGGGCATATACATCCAAAACATAGCAATTACTGTGTAATTAAAGAAAAAAATTGAAACCAAATACCATGTAACTAATAAAATTCAAAATTTCAATGTTCAATTAATGTGATGGACATGTTTTGTAGAAACTAAATTGCTACTTTGGAGCTGATGACAGAAAAATACTAGGTCAAGTCTGGTCTTTATTTAGTCTGTTTCTCTATGGTGAGTTTCAAAATATAACTTATAAGAATGCCTGTTTCCATGCAAAACAGAAGTTCTAATACATTCCTGCCTTTGTTTATAACTTAGGAGAAAGAAACCTTTCACTTAACCAACACTGTGTAAGTGAGCAATACAGGTGTCACTTGGTAACTCTGCGAAGTCGTCTCTTTATTTAAAGATATTAATCTTTGTTACAGATAATTATCACAGTGAAGACAAAAATTTTAATTCTTACAGAGAATTTGCAGATTCTTGACATACTGTCCAAGAACTCTGAGAAATGTTGAGTTTCACAGGATAAACTAAATTTGCTTTTTTAGGAGATTTGGGTTCAAGTCGAGCCCTGTCTCTAACCAGCTATTGAAGTCTGGGCAAGTGTTCACATCTTTGGGCATCTGTTTTCTCATCTATAAAATGATCCTACGAATTCCACTTACCTCACAGGCTCTCTGAAAGTAAAGAGAGTCTGAAGGTACTTAAACAATCCTCACAGTGCTTACAAATGGAACACACAATCATAACGGCAGTGGCAAGTGGCTGGTGATTTATCTCCAAGTGCCTTAAAGTGTTCTGGTCAACCATCCCTGAGTAGCATGGGACAGGCATGAGTATCTTCTGGCCCTTCCAGACCTTGGGTCCACGATGCTCCGAGCAAGCAGCAAGGGTGGTGGTTATTGGCCCGTGTGCTGAAGATCTCAAATGAATGAGGGCCCATTCATTGCTCTCTGCTGCCCTCTTGAGTATAGAAATTGGCCTTGCACCAGATGGGGTCTCAGCAGTAAGTTAGGAGAGGCAGTACAAGCCTTCTGGGCAACCTCAGCTCAATTTCCTGACAACCCTTGTTCTGCGTGCCTGTGCGTGTGCGTGTGCGTGTGCGTGTGTGTGTGTGTGTGTGTGTGTGTGCATGTGCGCGCGCATGTGCATGTATCGGCCTCCGCCAAAAGATAGGTGAGTGAGGATTTGCACTTCAAGTATTCCCCATTTCTTAGCCCCAGTCCCTCCTCAGGATTCCACTGTCCCAACCTCACCCTTCAGGCTTTGTGTTAAGTTCCTCAACATTTGGAAGGAACTGTCTGTACAACTCCTCCCCCTCTCCTCTCTTGGTTGTTAATGGCTTATTTAAGACAGATTTTGGGGCCCAGAGACCCCATAACGTTTTCTCATGTCTGCTGACCTGCAGTGGAATGACTTGCAGTTATATAATAGGCACTGGAGGAATAAATACATGTGCTATGGTTTGAATGTATCCCCCAAATTTCATGTGTTGGAAACATACTGTGATGCAGCAAGAAGGCACTCACCAGATGCTGGCCCCTTGGTATTGGACTTCCCAGCCTCCAGAACTATGAGAAATAAATTTCCTTTTTTAAAATAAATTACCCAGTCTGTGGTATTCTGTTATAGCAGTGGAAAATGGACTAAGACAACACGCTTTGTTCTACTTTTATGTCAATGTCACAGGTCTATTTTGATGTCTAATCCTATTTTTAGATCTAATTTCATTTTAATTATTAATGTTTGCATTAGATTTTTGGATACCCTTGAGGGCTATGATGCTAAATAAGCAATGACTTATTAAAAGTAGCTTTGTGGGCCGGGCAAGGTGGCTCATGCCTGTAATCCTACCACTTTGGGAGGCCGAGGCAGGTGGATCACGAAGTCAGGAGATCAAGACCATCCTGACTAACACGGTGAAACCTCGTCTCTACTAAAAATACAAAAAATTAGCCGGGCGTGGTGGCACACACCTGTAGTCCCAGCTACTTGGGAGGCTGAGGCAGGAGAATGGCTTGAACTTGGGAAGTGGAGGTTGCAGTGAGCCCAGATCCCGCCACTGCACTCCAGACTGGGCGACAGAGTGAGACTCCGCCTCAAAAAAACAAAACAAAACAAAACAAAATAAAAGTAGCTTTCTTTCTTTTTTGCCTCTCACAGCTTCATTATCCTTTAGACGAGAGAATTAATTTTCAAATGGATCACAAAAGGTGGGCAAGATGATCTAGTAGGATTAGAGGAGAAAATATTAGAATCTTTATTTTTACATTGTATATTTAATCTCATCCTTCTTAAATTTAAATTTTGAGTTAAATATTGTAAAACAATGTTTTACAATAATATGCATATTAGTGGACTAGTACAGGTATATAATCTATAAATAAATTGTGATGGAATGCTAATTTTATTTAATTATTATTATTATTATTTTTGAGACAGAGTGTTGCTCTGTTGCTCAGGCTGGAAGTGCAGTGGTACAATCTCGGCTCACTGCAACCTCCACCTCCCGGGTTCAAGCAACTCTCCTGCCTCAGCCTCCCCAGTAGCTGGGATTACAGGTGCATGCCACCACGCCCAGCTAATTTTTGTAATTTTAGTAGAGACGGAGTTTCATCATGTTGGCCAGACTGGTCTCAAACTCCTGACCTCAACTGAGCCACCCGCCTCGGCCTCCCAAAGTGCTGGGATTATAGGCGTGAAACACTGTGCCTGGCCAGAATGCTAATTTTATTTTATTTAGTTATTTTGTTACTGAAGGGATATAGAATCATAAAAGTTTGGAGACCTCTATTCTAAGACAGTAGCTGTCATCCTGCCTGTATTTCAGAATCACTAAGAGAGATTTTTAAATAAATTACATTATGCCTCACCCCATCCCAGACTCAGTGAACCCAACCTTCAGGAGTGAGGTATTGAATATGTGTATTTTCAACAAGCACTTTCTGATGATTCTGACACAAACCTCCTTGCTAAAAACCATATTGTTATCTAGAGCTAAGTAAGTTCACCAAGGGAAAAGCAGATATCTTTCTTGTTTACCTTTGTATCTATATATATAGCATAGTGCTTAACACAGAGTAAATGCTAGCTGAAGGAATGAATGAACAAATAAGCCACAACCCAGAGATAGCCTCTGACTGCCCCAGTCTTTGTTTTCATGCTTAGTGTTTTCATATAATTGTTTTACACATTCAAGAACCTTTTATATATAAAATTGGGTACCTTATTTTGATTGCTTTTAGTAAACAGTTGTTTAATATGTATTTTAGCATTATTTAGCATTTAACATTTCCTATTATCAATTATACTATTTTAAAAAATATTGGCTGGGCCCAGTGGCTCATACTTGTAATCCCAGCACTTTGGAAGGCCAAGTGGGAGAATCACTTGGGCCCAGGAGTTGGAGGCTGCAGTGAGCTGTGATCACACCACTGCACTGAATTCAGCCTGGGGAATGGAGCAGGACCCTATCTCCAAAAAAAAGTCTTTACGTCTAAAGCTTTCTTGTGTATATCCAATTATATGCTTAGAATAGAGCCTCAGAAGTAGGATTTCTAGGCCAGGTGTGGCGGCTCATACCTGTAATCCCAGCACTTTGGGAGACCAAGGTGGGTGATCACCTGAGGTCAGGAGTTCGAGACCAGCCTGGGCAACATGGTGAAACCCCATCTCTACTAAAAGTACAAAATTAGCCAGGTGTGGTGGCAGGCGCCTGTAATCCCAGCTACTCGGGAAGCTGAAGCAGGAGAATCACTTGAACCCAGGAGGCAGAGGTTGCAGTGAGCCGAAATCACACCCCTGCACTCCAGCCTGGGCAACAAGAGTGAAAATCTGTCTCAAAAAAAAAAAAAAAAAAAAAAAAAAGGGCCGGGTGCAGTGGCTTATGCCTGTAATCCCAGCACTTTGGGAAGCCAAGCTGGGCAGATCACGAGGTCAGGAGATTGAGACCATCCTGGCTAACATGGTGAAACCCCGTCTCTACTAAACATACAAAAAAATTAGCTGGGCGTGGCGGTGGGCGTCTGTGGTCCTAGCTACTCAGGAGGCTGAGGCAGGAAAATGGTGTGAACCTGGGAGGTGGAGGTTGCAGTGAGCCAAGATTGCGCCACTGCACTCCAGCCTGGGCGACTGAGCGAGACTCCGTCCCCCTCCTCCAAAAAAAGTAGGTTTTCTAAGTCAAAGAGTAAAAACTTTTATTTTCTTTTTCCCCTATGGCAATTTTTTTCTTTTCTTTTCTTTTCTTTTTTTCTGGGACAGGGTCTTACTCTGTCACCCAGGCTGGAGTGCAGTGGTGCAATCATGGCTCACTGCAGCCTTGACCTCCCAGTTTCAAGTAATACGCCCACCTCAACCTCCTGAGTAGCTAGGACCAGAGGTGCACACTACCATGACTGGCCAATTAAAAACAAAACAAAACAAACAAACAAACAAACAAACAAAACTTTTTGTAGAGACGGGGTCTCACCATGTTACCCAGGCTGATCTCAAACTCCTGGGTTCAAGTATCCTCCCACCTTGGCCTCCCAAAGTGCTGTGATTACAGGCAAGAGCCATTGTGACCAGCCGAGAGAGTAAGAACATTTTAAAGGCTGTAGCTACTGTGGGAAGAATAAATTAACATTGAACCCAGATCTGGTTCAAGGAGCAAGGCCTTGCTTGCAGGGTCCTTGTGGTCTGGCAGAGTGAGAATCTTCAGCAGGGATTTTTGGTGTGGCGAATAGACTTGGAGTGTCTGATTGCCTTCTTGTCCCTGTTTCTACCACTGACAGGCTGTGACACTTAAGATTCTTCAAGCCTAAGTTTCTTCACCAAGAATGTGAATATTCATAGCTATGTGACAGGGCTGCTAATTCTGAAGCACTATCCAATGGTAGAGCTAAAAGCATTTATTTGTATATTTGACATAGTTCCAAAGGAACAAAAGATTAGAGTCTAGAAGTGGCTCTTATGAAAAGACACCACTCCATCTCCCTTTTGTTAAAAAATACTGTTTACCCAAAAGGGGGTTTGAGTGCTAGTTCCTTAGGTGGGGGCCCAAGAGATCCCGCAACTCCAGACTCAGCCCCTGAGGGAGGTTCAGAGCTGTTTAGCAACTCTGGCCAATGGGTCACTTTGGAAATATCAAAGGTGGGTATCGTTGTTGGCAAAAGGTAGTGCTGCTGTAACTGACAAAAATAATCATGAGGCTGGGTGCAGTGGCTCATGCCAATAATTCCAACACTGAGAGGCTAAGGTGAGAAGATTGCTTGAGGCCAGGAGCTCAAAAGCAGCCTGGCAACATAATGAGGTCCTGTCTCTATTTAAAAAAATAAATAAAATAAAATAAAATAACAAGTGGTCTGAGAACTCCTTCTCTTCGTGGTGTGCCAAAAAAACTGGTCAGGCAAGTTCTTGCTCATGGTGCCAAGCCACTCTAAATAAAACAGAAGCAGCTTCCGCTTCCTGTTCTTCAATGATTGCTTACTCCAGAAACCACTAAGCAGATGGCAAATGTTTGTCCTTTGGCATGTCTAATTGGATCCCAAAACCATGGTCCGCATTTCGTCTTTGCTTTTTTTTTTGTTGTTGTTTGTTTTCTTTTGTTTGAGACAGGGTCTTACTGTCGCCCAAGGTAGAGTGTGGTGGCGCGATCTCAGCTCACTACAACCTCTGCCTCCCAGGTTCAAGCAGTCCTCCTGCCTCAGCGTCCCAAGTAGCTGGGATTACAGGCATATGCCACCATGCCCAGCTAATTTTTGTACTTTTAGTAGAGATGGGGTTTCACCATGTTGGCCAAGCTGGTCTCGAACTCCTGATCTCAAAGTGATCTGCCTGCCTCAGCCTCCCAAAATGCTGGGATTACAGGTGTGAGTCATCACGCCCGGCCTGGTTTTGTTTTTGAGCCTGGGTCTCATTCTGTTGCCCAAGCTGGAGTACAGTGGCTCTATCATGGCACATTGCAGCCTCAACCTTCTGGGCTCAAGTGATCCTCCCACTTCAACCTCCCCAGTAGGCTGGGACTACAGGTGTGCAGCACCACACCCAGCTAATTTATTTTGGGTTTTTAACTTTTTGTAGAGATGGGGTCTCACTGTGTTGCCCAGGCTGGCATCTTTGGTATAGGGCTGTGTTCTCAAATTTGTGTGTGTTTAAGGATGACTCAAGGTATTCAGAAGATGTGCAGATTCCTGGTGCAACCCCTAGAGAGTCTGATTCTGTAGTCTGGGGTGGGGCCCAGGAAACATTAGCATAGTAGAAGCAGCCCTACCCAGATAGGAACCAGAAGACTGGGCTCCGTTTATATCAGCATAAACCTGAGAAGTCACTTCACCTCACTGGTCCTTCTTTCTTCATTGTAAAGCTTCATTTTTACGAGGGGAGCAATACCCACTCATCATAAGGCTGGTTGCCAGAAGATCAAATTAGAAACTGTAGACAGGAAAAGCACCATTATCACTAAAAGCACACACTCAAGGTCTAATAATTTTGGCTTCTGCCTTTCACAGTGAGAAAACCTGAACAACACCTGGTTAGGTAACACTGTATCCCCACTGTGAGCCTCTGTCCTGTGATAGAGACTCTCTTTTGTGCTTGTGTGTTTTGCGGTGACAGATCACAGCTGGCTTCCCACCAGGCAATGTCTTCTGATTTCCTACATGGCAGTCCTTGTACTGGGTGTGATCACCGCTGTGACTGGTCTTGGGATCACCTTTGGAATACCTGTAAAACCTGAAAGTATGTGTCACCTCTGGGTGGCCAATCTGTCAATAATTCACTCAACCAACAAGAGTATATTTATACTCCATATATTTCCAAAATGGGTGAGTCTACTGATAATGTTCGGCATGTGGTAGGTGCCAGCCACTGCTCTGTTCATTTTATACTTCTCATCTTTATTTTATTCTTAACAAACCTGCAGGGTGCTATCACCATTATGACTGAGAGTCGGTGGGGGGAGGCAACTTGCCCCAGATCATATCGCAAATACATTAATAAGCCAGGTTTCTGATCCAGGTCAGCCTGACTCTGAAGTCAGGATACAGTTTCCACCTTCCAGGAGTTTCCACTGTGATTAGGAGACTGGTGAAACAGTCGTGGGCAATACAGAACAGCATACGACCAGGAATTAAGTTGAGTGAGATGATACATATTTCCAGTAATTTGAGAGAAATCAGCTAGAACTGGTGCTGAAGGGACACGGTCATAAAAGTGAGAACTGGAGCCAAACCTTGTAGGGGGTTCAGATTTAGATTGAGGTTTGGGAAGAGGTTTGCCAGAGATGGAAACTGTGTACCCTCTGGTAGGACACAAAGGATTAGGACTTTGCCTTGCACCAAACTTGAAGTATGTGAGGGAGAGAGGTGAAAAATAACACTGAGTAGTTAAGGGGTGGGGGTGAGTGAAAAATAAGGAAGGATTATGGTCCAGTAGCACTGAATTGCATTACACACACGCATCCACACATTGACACCACGCTTCCTCTTGCCACACTCTGGCAGATGCTCTCCGCTCTGCCATGATGTCCTTCTTCCATTGCTTGTTTGGCTGGCTCATAGAGGGTTTAAGACTAATCTCAGGTGTCCCCAGACTGAGTGAGGTGTGCCACCTCTGTGCTTCCACAAATCCTGTGTAAAGCTTAACCCAGCTCCTGGACACACAGTGCAGTAATTATCTGTTCTGGAATGCATCTTGAAGACAAGCAATATCCTTCTAATCCCAGCCCTGCTACATGCTTATTGGACAAATGCCTTCAGTAATGCATGTTGATTAAAGAACTGAACCTTGATGCTGCCAGAAGTGGAGCCATGGAAGGCTTTTGAGATGATAAAAGCAAGCAGTATTTGTGTGGCTTCAGTGAAGGAAATGGGGCATAGAGAAAGTGATAGATTTGAAATATGGGAAACTGACTCATCAAATTGCCATGAAAACAAACAAACAAACAAAAACCTAAGGCTTAGGGTGTTGGTCTCCTGATGAGAACAGTTTTGGACTCACGATCCTAGTCAGCTTTGGGAGTTAGTAGGATTCTACACAATGGGACATAAGGGTAAGATCTGGATTCTCATTTTACCTTTTGAACACTCATTCAGAAAAGCATTTATTGAGCACATATTATGTGCCAATAATAGTGCTCTGCTCAGGTCTCCTTCAAGAGCGTCTGCATCAGGGAGCTCCTTTAACTGACAGCCCCAGCCACCACCTGTCTGGACCCACCACCACATTCATGCCAAGGCTACTCTTCCCCACGTGGTCCCCAGGCAATTACTGAGCACTGTGGGGTTGCTAGTGCTACCCATCCCTCAAGACATGGGACCCTGCTAATGGGTGACTTTGCCTCAAAGACTCCACCTTGGCCTGTCTGAAACTTTCTTAGAACTGGCTGCAGGCCAGGCACGGTGGCTCACGCCTGTAATCCCATCACTTTGGGAAGCCGAGGCAGGCGGATCACCTGAGGTCAGGAGTTCGAGACCAGCCTGGCCAAAATGGTGAAACGCCATTTCTACTAAAAATACAAAAATTAGCCATGCATGGTGGCAGGCACCTGTAATCCCAGCTACTCGGGAGGCTGAGGCGGGAGAATTGCTAGACCCTGGGAGGCAGAGGTTGTAGTGAGCAGAGATTACGCCATTGCACTGCACTCCAGCCTGGGCAACAGAGTGAGACTCCGTCTCACAAAAAAAAAGCTGCAGTCTGAGACTTCCTACGCAGACCTTCATTAACCCCCTCCTTTCATAGGCATTAGAACTGCATCAGGATAGGTTCCCTTGCCTACTTTTGCTTCCTCCCCAAACTATAATCCTCCAAGTTAGATTCACATCTAATCTAGTTTGGTGTTAATTTCTCAGAGGATGAAAAATGACACAAGTTCTTTCAGATTATCAGATCGTAACAGTTCTTGTCCCTAAAACCACAATGCCAAGCACCTCTTAGATTAAGGGATATAAACTAGTGTTATCTGCCTCTTAATTGTCAACAGTCCCAACTATAAAATATTTAAGATGTAAAATTTACCAAGCCCTCACCACTTCTAAATCAGGTACCTAAAGTATTTCCAGCCTGTTTATCACTCTACACACCAATCTGGAATTTTCTGGGTATACGTTATTTAGGTGTAAATATGTCTGAGATACAAATGTTACCAATGAGCTCTTTACATCTTAACTTCCACCATCTAATTTTTATAGCACTTGAAATTTTTAAAAATACCTTTCACATTATTTTGACTACCTCCCATTCATTTTTTGAATGGGTAGACTAATTACATTTAAACAATAATATCAGTTTAACTCATAGTATCCCCATGAAGTCAGCATAGAGAGTTACCCTTGCTCTCATTTCTAGCTAAGAAAATAATGGAGGGGGCTATATAACCAGCCCATGGTAAAGCTCAAGCCAGAGCCTATGCCTATGGACCCTCTCCCAGGCACCTTCCAGTACTTCTCCAGCAGTGGTGAGTGTATGCTTGTTTGCCCACATACAGTAGTATTACAAAAAAGAATGAGGGAGAATAAGAAAGAAAAGAGGGAGGAGAAATAATGGGCAAAAGAACAATGGTTACAGCTAAAGCTTCAGTCAAAAAAAGAACGATGGTAAGAAGCAGAAGAGGGAAGAGGGGCATGTTGTTATTAAAGCTGATGTTCATGGTCACGAATGCATGTGTCAACATTTAATACTTGTCTTATAAATCTTCCAGATTTAGGCCAGGCGCAGTGGTTCATGCCTGTAATCCCTGCAATTTGGGAGGCTGAGGCGGGAGGATCACTTGAGGTCAGGAGTTCAAGACCAGCCTGGCCAACATGGGGAAGTCCCGTCTCTAATAAAAATACAAAAATTAGCCGGGTGTGGTGACAGGTGCCTGTAATCCCAGCTACTAGGGAGGCTGAGGCAGGATAATCGCTTGAACCCAGGAGGCAGAGGTTGCAGTGAGCTGAGATGGCGCCACTGCACGCCAGCCTAGAGCGAAACTCCGTCTCGAAATAAATAAATAAATAAATATTTTCCAGATTTACCACATCGACAATGTAAGACAGCTTCACAGCAACTGGGCTTCTTGTGCGAGGACCTCAGCACTTGCTTGCCACCCTCCCAGCTGTGTAATGGCAAGTTGGATTGCAGTCAAGGGGAAGACGAACCTGCTACCCACTCTAGTAAGGCAGACAAGTAACCAAAATTTAAAAACAGTCACCAGCAACTAATCACTAAAATTCAGAATTATATGAAAACATTATTGTACGTGAATGCTTTCTATTAGAATTAATGCTTTTGTCTAATATAGGTCAAATGCCCAACAGTCTCCCACAAAACTTGATATTCAAGTGTCCCAACCAGAAGACTTGGACATATATGGACAAGGTGTGTGACACAAGAAATGACTGTGGTGATTGCTCAGATAAATCAGGTAAAAATGAAAATGTCATTAATTTTTTAATGGCTTCTTGGAGTGGCTACCCTTATACTTCAATTACATAAATTAACTCATCCTTACAAGCCTTCCTTAAGGATACATCCATGATTTTAAGATTCTGTCATTTCCAGTAGTTTGTGCATGTTTAAACTAGATGAATTCTCTAGCTAAGAATACAGCCAGTTCTGTAAGAATTACCAAAGGAAATAATCTTGACGGACAGCTCTTGTCTGCTATCAGATTCCTTCTATATTTCTTTACAAAGGTTGGTGAAGATCAAACAAAAATCTGTTGAGTGCTTTGGCTCTCAAAAATTTTTTTGTTTAACCTTTGCCATTTCCTTGCTTTTCCTCCCTCACTTTCCTCCTTCTCTCCTCCCCTCATTCTGTTCCTTACGGTAGTTTAATACTTGGCAGACACCTGATCACCCCACAATTTCATGAAAACATGGCAGAGGTGCAATTCCAATACCTCGTGGCCCCAGTTAGTAGTATCTGAAAGCCCTATCAGAAATACGCTAAATAGATAATTTCCTGCCCTTTGTCTGGTCATCGTGGAGGGTAGAAATAGAAATGCTAGGAATTACAGATAACAATGCTCTGACAAATAAAGACTAAAAGTATAAGGAGATCCTTTTCTTCTTGCTAGCTGCCAATTAGCAGTGATTCTTTTCCCTGCTGATTGAACATACAAACTCAAAGGGACCCTTTCTTTCTTTCTTTTTTTTTTTTCATGCTTAAAGGCAAATGTATTCAGTTCCTTTCCATGCAGCACACAATAAGGTTATCTATGTGCTTATTTCTTTTCCAAATCAACAGTTTGGGACAACCTTTCAGGATCCACTCATCCTCCACGGTCAGCCATCTTGCAATGTGTTCTCATAAGTGTCTTGCATGGGGGTAAAGGAACCTTCTTGTTGACCTACAGACTGACCTTCTTGTTGACCTACAGACTGACCAAGTAGGGGGTGTACTGGGAGGAGAGCTAAGGACTATTGTCTCTTCTGCCACCATCAAGCTCATGGTGCCACATTAATTTGTACCAGCAGAAGCTTATAGAAGCCACTCAGATTTGCCATGGCAGGCAGGAAGGCATGGGAGAAGGAGAGGAGGGACTCGATGTCCTACGATGGAGTGTAGAGGCTGCTGGCTGGAAAAAACCAGGAACAATGAACATGAGGTCATCTTCCTTAGGATGCCATGCCAAGCAGAAAGCCTCCGAAAAATCCCCCAGTCACTAGAACATTCTTCTTCACAAATGACACCACCTCCTCAGCTTTGCTCCTGACCTCAGTAGGTATCTGATTGCTCTTACGGATCTTCAGCTGCTCTTTGGCTTTCTTCATGTCCTTCTCCACTCGTTGCCAGTCAACTTTGATATACCCAGTATGGTTTGCAAGCTGAAGGAGAGAAAATCCACCTCCCACAGCTGTTGCAGCCAACTTTCCAACCTTCTGGAATATGAAACCCATGCACCATCCAGTGACACCTCCAATGAACAGCTGGGTTGCCATGCTATACTTTTCTGCTGAAGGTCCAGATTCCTGCCCGAACAGCTTACGCCACCATGGCTGCTTCTTAGCAAATTCCGTAAGGTCCAGTGACTCAAAATTTCCCTCAATGTTTCCTTGACTGGACGCGGCCATTTCGGTGAGCTTGTCTCGCGAGGACACACGTAGAGGATCTGCGCGGTAGGCCGCGGAGTGGCGCGCAGTTGTCGCCACCACTTGGCTTCCGGCACGTGTGGCAGATGTTTCCATTCCCACGGAAGAGGGCGCGCCGTGGCTGCTTGCAGTCTCCGCAAGCGGCTACATCACAGAGCTCAGCGGGCGGTGTGAGCACCCTTTCTTATTTATGCAATATGTCAGTAAGTTTATTTTTAGGCTGATGGTGAGGGGTAGTACTTGTCTTGGCTTTTCAAAGTACAAATTCTTTCACCCAAATATGTAGAATCTTTAATAAACATCTGCAATTTTTCCTGCTGGGCAGTTTTCACTAATATTTTTAAGATCCAGGGGGCTATTTCTTTTCCAATAATATCTTTTTCAGTCCACCTTGACATTTTAACAGTTATGGTTTTTAAAATAAATAAAATTGTCTAGTTTTACAGTGCCCAAAGTGTTCAGGCTGGAGATGTGATACTGTTTTCTTTGCTGACTGTGCCTGCATTCCCAGAACTCGCTGCAAAAATGGCATTCAAGACTGTGCTGATTGGAGCGATGAAAACTTATGTGAATAGAAGACTTTTCTAATCATTGTTTTGGAAAAGCTGAAAACTGTTATTAGTTGCCTTAATACTTCTCTCAAAAAAAGTATGTGTGCATGTATATATCTATATATGTGTATATATATGTATATATGTGTATATATGTATATATATGTGTATATATGTATTATATGTGTATATATATGTATATGTGTATATATATGTGTATATGTATATATACACACACACACATATACAAACATATATATCTTACTGGGATGGCAGAGGGAGGGAAGAGCTACTGAAGAACATGAATCCAGCATTAATGGAGAAAAAAAGATTAGTAGAAATCAGACCAAAATCTTACTTTCAGCTCATTTCTCAATCTGTTTCCAAATTTTAGAATGTAGCTCTCTGTTCTGTGCACCATAGGGTTATGGGAATGAAACAAACGTATTTTAGCTCAATTATTTTAACAAATAAAGGGTATTAATCCCAAAAGCTGTCAGATCGAAACAGATGTCTATTTCAGTTTCCAGCTGAAAACTAGTTTGTTCCGGTCTGCCCCTCTAGTCTGCCAGGGCCTAAAATTCTTTCCAGCAGGTAGTGAACTTGAAAGAGCAGACTTGGATTTGAATCTCATCCTAACACCTGGGGGGTGTGTGACCTGAGATAAATAATTTCACCTCTTAAAGATAATTTTCTTATCTGTACAATAAGGCTCTTTCTTGGGGTTATAAGCAAAGAAGACACAAAACAAGTGGTAGAGTGCTTTTAATATGTAACAGCAGCTAAACGGACTGTAGACAAAGAAAAATTAGAAAGATATGGTAGATTGTATTATTGTCCAAAAATATCTGCTACCCTGGAGGATTATACTTCCCCAGTCCCACAGCCACTACTCTGTATGTGACTTGCTTTGGCTGAGGAAGTTTATTAATGATATGCATCACTTCCCAGCATCACTTTGAAAGAGCCAGCTGATTGTTCTCCATATTTTCCCTATCATGAGACTGGCAATGTTCCAGTTAGATGTTTCTGGAGTACAGCGGAGCCCAGCCATGGGCAAACCACAAACTTCAAATGTGACAAACCTTTGTAGCAACTAGACTTTTGGTCCTTTCTAACTGTAACATAACCCTTCCTATTTTGATATTGAAGAGACTACAAGAAAAACTTGCCATATTAATCCATAGCCACGAACACAAACCCTTATTTACACAATAAGCTGAAGAAATAATTTTAGATTGTTGGAAAGAAGTTGCTGAGTGCAGGCACAACAGGCTTAACCTTAGACAACATCTGTCCAATAAGCAAGATATGCTGGGATAGGCCTCACCTGGAAATCGACTGCACTTCTGTTTAGTCCCTTTCCGCTAGGCCTAGATCAAACTGGACAGATATTCAGACAGTGGCATTCTCCACAAGCTTGTCAGTCAGTCAGTCACCCCCAATACTTCTTGGGCTGAGAATGTTTCCAATCATGCTACTCAAAGTAGGGCCAGTAGGCCAGTAGCATTAGCATCACCTGGGAACTTGTCAGAAACACAAATCCTCAGTCCCCATGCCACTGCCCTGCAGCTTAGCCATTCCACTTGCTTTGGTTTTGTTTGTAACAGCTTTAAGAGCCAGCGCATGACCCACCATCTTCTCTGCCAGGAAGCCGAGTGTCCCAGATAGGTGCTGCCATCAGGGTGGGATCTAGCGTGACTATATAAGCACAGCCCAACCTGACCAAGAGTCTGTAAATGTGCACTTAGTTTTTATAATTTTGTTACAGTTGAGACTTCAGGAGTCTTGTCACTGTAGCAGTGTACTTCAACAAAACTGATAAACATCCTGAGGAAAATACAATGTAAATATTTGCAAATACTGTTTACTCAAAACTTTGTTTTCCCTACGGTTAATAGTGACTTTTAGATACAACTGTATAATACTTTCAAAAGGTACTTGCAAATTGCTATGAAAATTTAAAATAAATTACCATTACAAGTAGAAACTATTTTCTCCTCAAATGGCCTTGGTTCAGATTACACAATTGTTTTCATTGTAATTTGTAAAAATGTTTAAAAGTAACCCTATGTTTAGGGATTTTCTGGGACCATGAAACTGTCTGGTAACCTGATTATAGTGGCAGACATTATAAATTCTTTTAACTGTATATGCTCAATTTTACTGTATATTTTTTATTAAATAAAAACATAACCCTATTCATTTATTAGTGTTGACACTTAAGGAAAAGACAATGACCCAGGAGCCACTCCTATTCTAAACACTACCTTTTCCAAGTCACCTTATAAAATATCCTACAAAGAAGGGATCTGGAGATTACTTTTACTTTTTAGAAGTTCTAAACCTCAGGTTACATCTACAAAATGGAGCTATTAGTTCTTCACAAATTGAGGAATAAAGGAGATAACACCGAGGTAATTCATAAAAGGCACTTAACATATGCTTACAATAGAGAATATCAGGGAGAAATGTCTGTTTATCCACTAAGGAATACTCTATTCTCATATTTACACCCACCATATAAATCATGGAAGCACTAAGGACTGTTGGAGAGCAAAGTTTTCAAACCTGAGAACTTTATACCACCTTTGTTACACTACACCGTGATTTTAAATCTTTAATCAAATTCCAAAGGTTATCAGCCATATTACATGCCATGATTAGCTTTCTATAAGCAATTTTTTTTACTGTGTACAGATCGGTGTCAATGAAATAAAAAAATAAAACTGTATACTAGGCAAAGAACTTTATTAATCTTTGTTTCAAACTTGATTCCCAGGCTTCTTCGGCTTAATTAGCTGCAAAGAATGAATTGTGTATAAGCAAAAACTGAAAAGAGCTGCAGTGTCCAAGGGGCTTGGGCTTAAAAATATTAGAGATCTAGATTTTATCAGATCCATAAACAAAAATTTCTTAAAAAGCAGTCATAATATAAAATAGCAGCTCCCAGTAACTTCTTCAGGTTTTATCTTCAGAAGTTGACTCAATTCAGTTTGCCTCATTCTTGGAAGCCTCATCAAAATTCTCCACAAGATCTAGGAAAAGGAAAAGAGTAGAAATTCTTAAAAAAGCCAAATCTACAAATAATTATCAGATATTAAAAGGGGATGAAGGAAAGACATTCATTTGCCAATGATGATAAATACTGTGTCATAGCCCCAAGAACAAGAATGCAAAAAAAAAAAAAAGTGAAAAAAATGCCCCCCTCTTCCCATCTCATACATTGGTCAATAGTGGGGGAGCAGAACCAAAGAATACAATGACACACAATGTTAAAATTTTCCTGGATTCCTAAGGATACCTGTCTATGCAAAGTGGGAATATTTATGAGTCCAGTGATTCTCCTGCCCAATAAATATTTTAGAAGAACGTAAATTTATCCAATAACAGGTAAGAGACAAAAATGTCTCATGATTCCCAAAGGAGTTATGCTGCTACAGATTTTAGAATGCATATATATATCCCAAGATACCTGAACAACTCCACACCTTCTTGTAAATTCATGAGTTTCAAAGTAGGGAGCAAGGGTCATTAGTGCTCTGCAGGTAATAGTTATATTTAGGGTACTATATATATATACTTATTTATTCAATATTTAAGGTTAGATACCTACACATCCTTGGGATCCCAAACAGAAACAAGCCAAGTCAAGTCTATAAACATAATTCTCAATTACCTAATACTGCATTATTTTTCTCATTCTAAGTAAGATCTATGTCCATCTTAACTTACCACCCCTCTTCCCTGGGTAGTTTTTCCTACAAAGATTTCTTATTCTCCCTTGCTAAGATTCTCTAGGTTAACCACAAGTAAACGTTCCTACCTGGAACTTCATCATCATCATCCTCTCCAGTAGCAAGTGGTGCTTTTCCATCCACAGCTATGAAAGGAAAATGTAAACATTATTTGTCTAGGTTTTTAATAAATATTCACCAAAAAAAAAAAAAAAAAAAAAAAAAGAACAGATGAAATGCCAAGTGTTGTTACAACTTATTTCCATGATAAGGGACATTTGGGATTTTATCTATGATACTATCAATAACATGATATTCTAATGTCTACAAATGGGTTAAAATACTAGGAACAGCCAACAAACAAAATTCCATACCCATCCTTTCAATCCCTCTGGGCCACCATAGGCCCTGAGGTAGTATAAGGGCAGTAGGGAACTCTTAGAGTGCAGGTAAAACCCACATACCAAATCATGGTGAGATTTTGGGAGACAAATGAAGATGCCATTTTCTCAACTACTCTGTGTGTGGCATAAGGGTGATGCTCAACAACCACTTACTGAAATGAAAAAAGTTAAAGTAAAAAAATTAAAGAGTCTGTGAGTGGTAAGCATCCACTCTCCTTTATCACACAAGAATATGAACGTACACAGGAGAGTTATGTACTAGGCCCATACAGGCATCAGTGGGATACTTCAAAAGCCTATTTCAGCTCTGAAAGCCCTGACAGTTTAGAACCTGCAACTCAATGTGATAATAAAAATGAAAATTGAGGCAGATTAAGTCAATACCTAGAAAAACATGGGTAACTAAAGAGCCATATATAAGCCTCTGACTTCCTCCTGCATTCCTATTCTTCAAAATTTTAAGCACAGAAAACAGCATAACACTGCCACATCCTCAGATGTATATTCAGCTACACTATTTTCTGCCCCGAATAAAATCCCTATCACACTGTAATTAAAAATGCCAGAATACTGGCAAGCCATTTTTAAAAGATTACTGGTAATACGAACTATATAGATGAAACTGAAGTAATTTCATAATTTACACTAATTTTTTTTTCAATTCCAAACTTACAAGTAGTTATTGGCAAAGCACCAAATTAACATTTTCATCATTTCTAGTTAATAAAGTATCTGATCCAAATCAAGTAAGTAGAAAACATTCCACAAAATCAAGTGTAACAATCATGGCACGCTACATCAATTACTGCAAACTTGAGCAAGGACAGTTGCTTAAAATCAGTTACAAATCTGTTATTTTTAAAGCTTGCATTTCCAAACTTAAAAATACTCATATCCATTCTGAGCCCTGAGATCAGAAATCAGCTGCTAAATGAGTAATTCCCTGGTAAAACCATTACTAGGAAACTCACATTGTTTGGGCAGAGCTTCGGCCAGTCTCCTTAAACTAGTCAGACTATCCGCACCAAGCTGGTTTAAGATGCTGGGTAGCATTTCTGTCAGCTGCTTTGTCTCAGCATGGCCTGTAATGGTGAAAGTGTTCGCTGCCAGAGATGCCTGAACTTTAGGGTTGTTAAAGTGGATCACTGTTCCTTGGTTTGTAAACATATTCACCTATTAAGAAAAGAAAAATTTAAATTAGCAATGCTGACCAGTCTCTTTAAAAACAAATGTTTTATTAAACTAAGTCTGGCTAACTAGTATTTCACTGTGAAGCACAGGTGAAATTTTGCCTGGAATGGAATATGTATTCTAATAGCATTCAGACTTAATGAGCTCCCTGATATTTATTAATTTATGGTAGAAACACATCTTAGGGACTTTGAAGTCCCTAAGTTAAAAAAAAAAAAAACAACCCATTTAATGCATTAACGTTAACTTTTCCCAGCCAAATCTTGTTTTTTAAAGTAACAAAATTTGATACTTGCCTCTTCAATACCAGAGATATTGTTTACCCCTAACTTCTTTAAGGAGAACTGAAGTTTTTTGTCATCTGCTGTGGCTGTTCTATGAACCACCTTCTTCTTTCTGCGAGCAGTTCCCTAAAGTCAGGGAGAAGAGGAAAGAAAACAGCACATTTATACCACAACAGATATTTTTCAAATGGGAATAGTTTCCAATTCATTTCTGACCTTTGGATCTGTATAAGAACATTACCATAATCATAAACTTATGCAGTGAGCAGGCAGGCTAAGGCGAAGATAGAAGCAAAAAATGGGAAAGGAAAAGAATGATCTTTTCAAAGTTCTACTTTTTACATTTGCTCTAAAAGTGATCAAAGAGGTAGCATGTGTCAATCTAAATTAAGCATTTGAAAGAATTCCACATCCAGAATTATTAACCTCTTCTGTTTTTTTTTTTTTTTTTTTTTGAGACAGGGTCTCACTGTGTCGTCCAGGCTGGAGTGGCGCAATCTCGGCTCACTGCAACCTCCGCCTCCCAGGTTCAAGTGATTCTCCTGCCTCAGCCTCCCGAGTAGCTGGGATTACAGGCACCACCATGCCTGGTTAATTTTTGTATTTTTAGCAGAGATGGGGTTTCACCATGTTGGCCAGGCTGGTCTCAAACTGCTGGCGTCAAGTGATCCGCCTGCCTCGGCCTCCCAAAGTGTTGGGACTACAAGTGTGAGCCACCGCGCCTGACCCCTTTTCTGTTTTTATATTAAATAAAAATCAACATCCAAATTAATATTTACAGGCAAGACAGTGTATGGAACAATCAAATGAATCTGTATATAGACTTCTATAGGACTCGATAGTAAAGTCTGAAGCCCTTACCTTAACTTACAAGAGCCCTACACAAACTGTCCTGCCCTTAATATGCCACTCCTGACTGCATCTGCTACCATCCCTCTTCTTTAGCCAATAAACCTTGGCTATTCTTTGAACAGGCCAAGCAGGCTATGACCCAAGGGCCTTTGCACATGCTGTTCCTCTCCTTCCGGAACATCTACATGGCTCTTTCCCTCACTGCAGATCTCTACTCTTATGTCACCTGATCAAAGTGGTCTTTCTCAACTACCCAAAGTAAAATAGCAACTTCCACACTCACTCATCAATTTCTTTCTATCCTGGTTTATTTCTCTTCATAACACTTATTACTATAAGAGATAAATACATTTTATCATCCATCTCCTCTCCCTAGAATGTAAGCTCCATAAGGACTTCTGTTTATTGCTATAAACCCAGTATCTACAACAGTATCTAGCTCACTGAAGGCACTCAAGGAAAGTCTATCACACCCAACCACCTCACCGTCCCCCAACCTCCATCCCTATTCCTATTCATCCTTTAAAATCTTATTCAAGTCATTACCTCCTGTTTGCCTTTCCTAAATTCTGCAATTACCCCCTTTCCCTATGCCAAATCATTCCCATCTCTAGATTTTGAAAATGCTTCTACTATTGTACTATGTATATTACACTGTGAAAGAAGATTTTTTTAAGAAAAGACAATTATCGCCACTGCTAGGCTTAAAGCCCACCTAGGGACTTTAAACTTCTTAAAATTTTATATTCTCAGGATCCAACATAGTAAAGGCTTAAATAAATCTTGTTATTTAACTGAAGAAAATATCTATGGCTACAAAAAAAAAAAAAAAGTACTGGTTACTAACCTCTCCAAACTATTAAGTACAAAAATCACTTTGAAATGGTCATGTATGTATCTGGTTTCCAAAGAAATCTTCTCTAAGAAACTCAAAGGAATTTCTAAGATTGTAAAGACAAACCCAGCATACTTTCTAGAGGTTTCATACACTTCACATATGTAGAGTTCAATTTTCACTTAAATAATTATTATTAATGCTGTGATTAGATATGAAAATAAAGGGCTTTTGTAACATTTACCTAAGAGCACCTAACACCTGCAGTTTTCTCTAAAGCAAAATTAACTCACCTAATTTCACATCCCATAATAAGTACGTTTCTTAAACAGTGTAGAAATGTTTCCATATTGTGACTACAGAAATACTTCTTGTATTATTAGCTAAACGAGTATTAAGATGTTAGGACACAAAATTTAATCTTGTTATCAGCTTTAAATATCCTAGCAAATCTCAAGATTTCCTTTACCCTAAAATGATGTCTCCCAAAGTTAAAGCCTAATGATGAGAGTAACAACAAAAAGACTGCACATAAGCACATTATTCAAATTACTCCTTCTGAAACTGTACTGAAAGTAAGAGTGGTTAAAAACACCAATATAAGAGCATCCAAACACTGAGACACAAAAAATTTGAGTTTTGCTGGCACTTGAAGGCCACAGTCTGATAACAATTGATTAAAGAGGACAAGAAACATCTAATGTTGTTAAATGTGTGGGTGTGGATCCTGAAGATGGCTAACGTTAACAAAAATAAAAAGTAAAAAAAAATCAGGATAAATTCACCGCTGGCAAAGTTCAGTAATTTAACAAAGCTGTATATTATTATTTAAGTCTAAGTGCAACTTCTGGCTATCTCACAGCTAACTCTAAGTTAAACGCTTAAAGTTGGGAAAAACTAAAAGGTAATAAACATGTACCATGGAAGCTTTACAAGTTTTACCAAGTAAAGACATGCTCTGTTTCAACAAGCTACCACACCTTGTTAAATACTAAGAATGTGCTAACAATACAAACTAGGTAGACCTCTGTCTACAGTGGACTTCTTATTAATTACAGGACAATCTAAAAATCAGCTTCAAAAAAGAATCCCCTTGATGTGAATCAGTATCCACCAGGAAAAAAACAATTAATCAAAAACTGATCATTTAAAAATCAGTCACTTTAATTCCCTCATTTTTACAGTAATACAAAGTCAGAACAGGAAAGATACCTACTTGGGTTATATTTTCAAATCTAATAGTCACTGCTCTTAAACTCCAAAATGTACCCGTATCTTCAAATACCCTTGAAATATGCAACTACCCTAAAGAATATTTAGTTCAGAAAGCAGTACAGAAAGGTCTCAATTTACAAGAGAGACAAACAAGCACTGACTTTAGAAAACTCAGGCCAAAACAAGTCAAGGGTATGATGTGCACAACGATCTAACTGAAATGACACATTTTCCTTACTAATTAAATTAGGAAACACTTTTGTGTTCTACTTACACTCTGTAACACTGAAAACACAAACATGTTTACACAAAGGCGATGTTTTTAGCTCGTCTCACTGATGTGTCTCCAACCCTCGTCTCCCCCGCTCCTCGAGATTTGCTAGCTCCGTGAATTTCCCTCGATAGGCAAAGTTTGTCACCGATAATATAAGAAGCGCAAAAGGAATATGTTTTTTAAAATACCTAAACCTTAAAAAAAAAACCCACAAACCCGAACTATTAAAACTTACTTTCCCACCAATGCGCACTTGTGCCTGCAGTTTGGCGAGTTTTTCCTGGTTCATGATTGTTTCTTTCATCTAGAAAAAGAGGAAATCCTCAGCAAGGATAGGTTTAGCTCACTCTAGCATTCCATGCTCGTTATTTCCCAAGATACCAGCAGGAAAATAAACGTCCTACACAGGCCGAAACCTGGATCCCAAATCCACCCCGCAAAGCTCCAAATTTGGGTTTCCAGGGAGCCCAAAGAGCACCCGCCTCCCCACCACTCCCCCACAGCTCCCCGCTCTTGGCAGGCCCGGATGAAAGGCTCTACCCCACGCCTGGCCAGCACCCCCCACCCCTGGCCCTGGCCTGGCCTCGGCCTAGCCAGGGCCTGCCCGGCCCGGCCACTCTCCGCAAGCCTCGCGGTACCTGAGGCTCCTGTCCTCGGGTTCCGCCGCGAGGTGGAGGTTGAGACAGCGTCGCCTCGCCCCCAGGGCAGCCGCCCCTGGCTCGACCTCGCCCCCGAGAGTCAGCCTGAGCGGGTGCGCCTGTCCGTCGCATCGCCTTCCTCTCCTCCTCTGCCCTGTCCCTCCCTGTCTCGCTCCTTCAGGGAACTTCCCGCCCCCGCTCCCGTCCTCCTACCACGCCGCCGTCCAGAGCCTTTTTGTACCTTGTCGGAGCGAATAAGGGGCCGCGCGGGGGACTAGGGTTGGTGCTCAAGGGGTCTCGGGTGGACCACCTGAGATTAGGCGCACACACGCGGGGACGCAAGATGGCAGCTAAAGGGAGGCCGGAAGTGACACAAGGCCACTTCCTTCAAGAGTCAGGAAACTGACTTCGCCGCGAACTCGGTTCCTCCCTGCGCACGCGCGACAGCGTTTGTGATGGTCCAGCGAGTCCCTATTCTCCTCCTCCTGCTCCAGCGGCTGCCGGCTGTAGGCCCTACGAGAGACTGCTGGCTTGGGGCGCAGCCCGTACCTCTGGGAGAGGCCACAAAGGGGTCGGAGAGCGCGGTCCTGTGCACAGTTAGGGTTAAGTCCGCTCAGTCTCCATTGGGCCCTGATCCTGAAGTTCTGTGCCCTCCGAAGAAAGGGCCTATTCACGTTTCCTGGAGACGCCGGAGGTGCCCAGCTTGTGCTCACCACTCAAGCAGCTCTCCCCTTGCTGGAGGTGTGGGTTGGAGAATTGCAGAATTTCCCTCTCGGCCCGAATGAGCCATTACCAAAGCATTTTGTCAAAAATAGTGAAGTTAGTTTGGCCTTCCAAGGTTAGGTGGTGTGGTAGATTGCGGGACCGAGGTTCAGAATTTCTGGGGGCTGTATCCCCGAGCCCCACTCCTCAGAATGCAACTCTGTACGACGAAGGAACTGGGTAATCCGCATTTCAGCCAATTTAGCAGATGACTAACCACCTTAAAACGGTCCACACAATTATCTTGTTTATCAGGCAAAAAAATTGACTCCTAGGTACCGAATTGGCATGGATTTGACAATTAGCGATTCACGGTTAAGCAGACTTTATCTATCTTAATCCAATCAAAGGAGAATTTCTGCCTGCTGTGTTTGGAGAGACAACGCGTGGATGTGAGTTAAACTTTGTTAAACCCAGGACAAGCTTTAAGATAAAACGACTGATATTTAAAATGGCAATTTAAATAAAAATGTTCTCTGATCAGCCTTTTTGTGGTCTTAACCATGAAATGTCTTTGCATATTCAAAAGTGAGTCCGAAATCTTAGAATGCAATGTGTGTAGCAAGAAAACTTGTTCAAGTGCAGACCCCTCTCCAGTTAAGATCAATGTTTAAACTTTTTGAATACTTTTTACATATAAGTTTGTTGCAACTGATGTCTCAAGAACATAACTGGTGAGGACAGCTGTATTGCCTTTTAGAATAATTGTTACAGTTATATTTACAAAAAACAATGTTGCTTCAGTTAAATATGAGTGAAGTTTTAGTACAGGTAAGGGTGTTTGTAGTTAGGCTTATGTGGGTTACCTTCCTAATGACAAAGGCCAAAATGGCAGTACCAACATTATGCTGTGCTCTGGAGATATTACAAAATATATAGAAAGACTCCCCCTTTTGGAAGAAATGTGTATCTTTGTCCAGGAACAGTTTTTTTCCTCTCCTCCATGTTATATTGGAGGCATTTGAAACTTCCTAGTCACGTGATGTTTTCTGAGCTTTTATAGAGACAAGATTGTATGTATGTAACCTGCCACCTTTTTTTTCTTTTTCTTTGCCTTCCCTCTCCTCTGCCCTTTTAATACACCTGTTTTCAGGAAATATTGTGAGCTACTTTTATTTATTTATTTATTTCTACTTTTTGAAACCAGGGATGCTGCTAATTTTATTTTTATAATTTTTTTAAAAAATATAAAACTTTAAAAAAATTAAAAGAGATGGGGTCTCACTTTGTTGCTTAGGCTGGGCTCAAACTCCTGCGCTCAAAGGATCCTTCAGTCTCAGCCACTTGAGAAGCTGAAACTACAGGTGTGCACCACTTTCCCTGGCTTATGACTTTTTAATTTTCCCCTCGTTCCTACTTTTTTCTCCTGTTCTTTCATGAATTTAAAAGTTTGCTGCGTGTTGAAAATATAAAAGATTACTTAATAGTAAAAAAGAAAATTTTGATTTTCTTTTTACGTTCTGTTTTGGTTTGGTTTTTGTGCTTTTCTATTTAGAGATGGAGGTCTTGCTATGTTGCCCAGGCTGGTCTCAAACTCCTGGGATCAAGCCATCCTCCCATCTGGGCCTCCCAAAGTGCTGGTAGTACAGGCATGAGCCACGATACCTGGCCAAAATTTTGATTTTTGACTCCAGCTGCTTCTGCTGGTTTTATGAGTAGTCAGGAAATTCTGATTCTTCTAATAAAATAATTATATACTAGACTTTTCAAAAATATGGGATTTTTTTGTTTCAAAAAAAGTTATTACATTGCAATCTTAGCTCAAGGATGCCAAAAGAGTAACTTGTGCTAATGTGGGAGCCATTTCCAGTATGCTCCCAATGTCTATGGCAAATGTGGGTAATTGGCTCCCACGCTTTCCTGCTGGGCTTCAAGGAGCCTAAGAATCATTTACTCAGCACTCAAGATTGTATCTGTCAATAGAGAAGGCAAGAAAGGTGAACCCTGTTTGCCCTCCTTGGTTTCTAGTTTATAGCCTAATCAAAGTCCATGAATTGTTTTCATCTCTCAGCTGGATTTGAGTCAGCTTCAGCAAAAGCCAAAATATCCACTTTATATAATGCTTATTTCTTTCTTTCTTTTTTCTTCTTTTTTTTTTTTTTTAGTCTCATCCTGTTGCCCAGGCTGGAGTGCAGAGCACTCGGCTCACTGCAACCTCCACCTCCCGGGTTCAAGCGATTCTCATGCCTCAGTGTCCTGAGTAGCTGGGATTACAGGTGCCCACCACCACACCCAGCTAATTTTTGTATTTTTTATTACATGTTTCACCATGTTGGCCAGGCTGGTCTCAAACTCCTGACCTCAAGCGATCTGCCTGGGATTGCAGGCATGAGCCACCATACCTGGCCAACTCAATATTCTTAATAGGTGGTAGGGCTATTTCCCTTTTTCACTTTTGAGACTGACAGATTTGCAGATATTCTATGTACATTTTAGGTTTTGTTTCATTTTGAAATTTTGATTAGGATTGGTTGTATAGATCGATTTGGGAAACTTATATATTTTCTAATTGTATGCCTCTGCATTCACTTGTAGGAAATCTGGCTATTTTTAATACACAGGGATTTAATATAGGGAATTGGTGCTTTACAAAGTTTGAAGGACTGGAGGAGTGGGCTTTAGCCTGGGCTGTCAGAAGTGAGTCCTAAGATAATACAGATTTAGTATCCCTAATCCAAAAATTTTAAATCCCAAATGCTCCAAAATCCCAAGCTTTTTGAACACAAGCATCATGCTCAAAGGAAATGCTCATTGAGCATTTCAGATGACAGATTTTCAGATTAGGGCTGCTCAACCAGTATGTACATAATGCAAATATTCCAAAAAAAAATCCCAAGTCTGAAAAATTTCTGGTTCCCAGCATTTCACATAACAGATACTCAACCTGCACTCCAGAACTGGGCTGTCATAGGACCTGCTGCAACTGTTTTCACCCATTAGGAGGATAGAGAATCAGGACCCTACAACTGGAATTATTGATGTTAAGAATGCACCACTGTAGCTACAATTCAGGAATCAAGAAGATAACTGTAGTAAGTACTACTCAATACCCACAAAGCTAATGACTGAGCTCTGGAAAGCTGCTGCAAAAAATATATCTCATGAGCATGCTTGCCAGCAAAAACAAAGCAGCAGGAAAAAGGCTTTAGCCTCACTTCCACTTTCTAAACCTTACTTAAATGTACTTAGTTGGCAAAAATAATTCACTTCTAGGATGGTAACTGCAAGGAAATCTGGGAAATATAGTTTTTAACTTTCCAAATTTATAGTACAAGGAGGCAAACTTGAAAGAAATTGGAATTGATCTGAGTACCAATCTACCTTACCTACCCAAAATTTCACCTCCATAAACATAGTGCATCTATTTTTTCAAATCTTTTATGTATTTTAGCAGTGTTTTAAAAACCTTCTGAAGGTCATGTGCATTCTTTAATAGATGGATTCCCGGATGTTATAGTTTTTATTCTTAATCTCTTTCCTATTTTAGTCATTGCAAATGTCTTCTCCTGGTGTGTTAAATCCATCATACTCTTGTTAAATAGAAACATAAATTTTTGACCCTGAGTTGATCTAGTTGTCGATTTACAGAATATACAAAAGACAAAATTCAGATTATAGGAAATGAGAGGACAAATAAACTCCAAGGGAACGAAAAAAAAAAAAAAAAAGAGTAAGGGGATCTTTGTATTAAGAGAAATCTAAGAGACATATCAAACAAACAAAAAACCCAAAAGAAAGCAGGCAAAACAATAGTGTCTAGGGGTGCATGCTTAGGTAATGAAACTGAAGAGGAAGGGAATTAATTATAAAAGAATAGTGGTTATTCCATGCTGGGTGTAGCTCACACCTGTAATCCCAGCACTTTGGGAGCCGAGGTGGGTGGATCACTTGAGGTCAGGAGTTTGAGACCAGCCTGGCAACATGGTGAAACCCTGTCTCTACTAAAAATACAAAATAAATAAATATAATAAAAAATAAAAAAAGAATAGTGGTCATTCTTGCAGAAAATGGATTATAGTTGGGAGGAGGCATATAGTAGATTTCTAGGGTGGGGAGGAAAGGTCTGTCTCCTTACATGTAGAGTGTATATGGTTCTCTGTATTTGCTGTACTGAACAACAAAATTTCTTAAAAGGAAAAGCACACGATATATAATGCAAAGAAATATGCATATTTACGATCATATTTCAACATTACAGTGCATACATTTATGGAGAAGGAGAATGGGAGTAAAGATCAGAGAAGAAAAATCAATGAGAGTGTTTTGCATGGACTGAAAATGACAATGTGCTAATAATATGTCATGTTTAGAAGGCCTTTAATACACATTAGGCACTGTTCTTAGTGCTTTACTTATATTAACTCATTTGATCACATGAAGTAGATACTATTACTCCCATTTTACAGAACCAGAAAACTGAGGCACGCAGAGGTTAAGTAACTTACCTAAGGCCACAGTGCTAGTAAGTGGCAAAGCTGAAACACAGACCCTGGCAGTCTGCTCCATCCTCTGTGCTCATAACCATTATACGATGCTGCTGACTACTAAGGAATATGATTGTCTCAACTCTGCACCTGATGCTCAGTAAAAACCCACGCAGCTGCTCACTCAGAATCTCTATGCACATGACTGACACCTCAAATATACCATGTTTAAGCCAGAACAATGTTTTCCATCTACCATTAAGTCAAAACACTTGAGAGCAGCTCTTTCCTCCTGTAACCTCCCACATCAAATCATCAATAAATCTTATTGGTCCTACCTCCAAAGTAGATTCTGAATTTGACCACTTAGCCATATTTACTGTTGCCACCCTAATCCAGACGAACATCATCACTCACTTAGGCTACTACAACAGCTTCCTAACTTACTTCCCCATTTCCACTTTGCCTCCTGCAGCTCATGCTCCACACAAGTTTTTGTTTTTTGTTTTTTTTAAAGCAAGTTTTCCCTACATAAGCATTTTAACGTCCGCCCATTGCATTTAGAATAAAATGCACTCTTTACTTTGACCAACAAAACCACACATAGTCAGCCACTATCCTCAAAATTTATCTCCTACCATTCTTTCTCTAGTTCTTAGGCATCTTACATATTTGAGCTGTGCAGAACACACAGAAAAAAAAACAAAACGTTTCCTTGGCCATTTTTATTTTCCAAATGTAAGAATAGAGTAAAAATTTCAGGAGTGATGAAGTTATCTCAGTCTGGGGCAGTGCTTAATGTAAGTTAGTATTTGAATTGACCACTCTTCAACCTCAGTTGTAATCAACTTCCTTAGCCCTAACCTGACCAAGGCAATAGCCATCAAAATCACTAGAATACAGAAACATTCACAGGCACAAAGATGACAGGGAGCAAAAATGAGAAAGAAGGAAAGGAGAGAGAGGGTGCACACCCTAATATTGGGGGATAGTTTAGATTTCTTGTTCAGCAAATATCCATTTCGTCTGCCTTTGACCATTTGCAGAAGATACTTCCCTGCCCATTGCTTTTGGGTTCAGCCAAGTGACTTGCTTTTATCAGTGGAATATTAGCAAATGTGAGATAAGCAGAGAACTTAAATGTGCTTTTATGGTTTCTTATGCCCCTTCTTTGGTGATCATCATGAAAGGAAGATGCCTCAGGTAGCCATAGACCCTTGAGTATGGACCCCAGAACCAACATGTGGAGCAATCCTAAACCCTATCTTCAGCCGTAAGGCCACGTGGCCAAGCCCATACAATTGATTTATAGACCCATGAGCATGAAAATAAATGCTTATTATTGTAAGATACTGAGTTTGAGGTACTTTATTATGCACCATTATTGTTGCAATAGTTGACTAATGCAAATGGTAACAGCTAGTGCTATAGGCTGTCTATCCTGTTCCCTTGCCATTACCTCTCAGTGCACCTATAACTTCTATGTATAATCAAAGTGAAATAATTGAAAAAATTCAAATTGTGTATATTGTTTAAAGGATTAGAGTACTATGCAATGAAGACAGCATATGCAATTTGCTACCTTTTGTGTTAGAGAAAAGATAAGTAGGAGAGACTGATTTGGGGGAAAAAGTAAACAACGGAAGAAACAATAAACAAATTTTTTTTACTTATAGGTTACTTACAGGGCTACCTGTATAGAGAAAGAAACAAGAGTTCTCAGAGTATACCTTTTCAGTTACTTTTGACTTTTGAACATTTTCTTTATTAAAAAATAAAATCAAAGTGAAAAGAAAAAAGCAAACCCTAAAATTGAAAACACAGGAACATAACTGTATATCAAGTTGACACAGAAATAATGTCTTCAGATGACTTTTGAATGCAATATGCACATTCTTCAATCTTAATGGGATTTATTTATTTTTAGAGATGGTGTCTTCTTATGTTGCCCAGGCTGGCCTTCAGCTCCTGGACTTAAGTGATCTTCCCACTTCGGTCACCCAAAGTGCTGGGATTACTGGTGTGAGCCACTGCTCCCAGCCTTAATGGAATATAGTTAAAGAAAAAAAAGAACCGGAAATAAACCTCACAGTAATTGTGATAATTAATTTTATGTGTCAATTTGACTGGGCTCTGGGTGCTGAGAAATTTGGTCAAACACTACTCTGGATGTGTTTGTGAGGTTGTGTCTGGATGAGATTAACATTTGAATCAGTAAGACTGAGTAAAACAGATGGCCCTTCCCAATGTGTGCAAGACTCATCCAGTTCATTGAAGGCCTAAATAGAACAAAAGGCTGAGCAAGAAAAAATTTGCTCTCTCTGCCTAATGGTCTTCAAGCTGGGTCATCATTCTTCTCCTGTCTTTGGACTTGGAGTCAAGCTGAAACTTACACCATTGACTCTCTTGGTTCTCAGGCCTTTGAGCTCAGATTAGAACTATGTCACCAGCTCTCCTGGGCCTCCAGCTTGCAGAGCTTGGGATTTCATAGGCTCAAAATGTGTGTAAGCCAATTTCTTATACTCTCCTTCTCCACCACTCCCCACCCTGTCTCTCTCTCTATATATATGTGTATGTAGATAGATGGGTAGATAGATAGAGTATATATATACTATTTCTCTGGAGAACACTAATAGTTGTTTTTTTTTTTTGAGACAGAGTCTCGCTGTGTCACCCAGGCTGGAGTGCAGTGGCACGATCCCGGCTCACTGCAACCTCTGCCTCCTAGGTTCAAGGGATTCTCCTGCCTCAGCCTCCTGAGTACCTGGGATTACAGGCGCGCGCCACCACGCCTGGTTACTTTTTGTATTTTTAGTAGAGATGGGGTTTTACCATGTTGGTCAGGCTGGTCTTGAACTCCTGACCTTGTGATCCACCCGCCTTGGCCTTCCAAAGTGCTGGGATTACAGGCGTGAGCCACCACGCCCAGCCTGGAACACTAATAGTTTTATACTTAGTTGTAATATTGGTACTGTGAAGTAAAAAACATTTTCTGTGTATTATAGGATAAAGCAAATGAGTAAATATTTTAATGTTTATAAAAATGGAGAATTTCAGTTTAAAAGAAAGATACAATGTATTATTTTGTAATTTTCTGGTTAGTACTTTTTCCTCCTTTTTAAGAAATCTTTATCCACCCATGAATATATTCTCCTTTGTTTCTTACAGTTTTAGTTTTCACAATTAGCTCTACAATTCATCTCTAAATTTTTTTTTTGAAATGATGAAAGGTAGGTGTTAAGGTTTTTTTTTTATATCTCACATGGATTAGAGAAAGACTGTAAAAGACCAATAAAGTTTTGAATTGGATTCTGGCCCTAGCCCAGCACAAACAAGAGGTTGAAGCCTCTCTGCACAAAGATGATATAAATCAGTATCATAAAGTAGATCATTACATCTTAGAGAATTTTATTGAATCTGTTACAGCATTAGAAGTGGTAAATGGGGCCTGGCCCAATGGCTCATGCCTGTAATTCTAGCACTTTGGGAGGCCGAGGCCAGTGGGTTGCTTGAGCTCAGGAGTTCGAGACCAGCCTAGGCAACATGGTGAAACCATCTCTACCAAAAAATAGAAAAAATTATCTGGGTGTGGTGGCACATACCTGTAGTCCCAACTACTCGGGAGGCTGAGGTGGGAGAATTGCTTGAACCTGGAAGCTGGAGGTTGCAGTGAGCCAAGATCATGCCACTGCACTCCAGCCTGGGTGACAAAGCGAGACCCTGTTTCAAAAGAAAAAAAAAAAGAATCTAAAGTAGCACCAAGGTCAAACCTGGGCTATAGCGTCTGTTTTTCCTAATTACTCTCTAATCTTTGGATAGTGCCTATAGAATATTATTTTTTTGTTATAAAGTGTAAATCGGGTGGTAGAAAATAATAATTTTCAGTCTCTATAGTTTTACATGATTCAAAATTTATATTCTCATTATTTTCTTGCAGAATGCGGTCTGTTTTGAGCACAGTTCTAAACACATGACTGAATTAAACCCATGTTAAGTTGTAACTATAATCTGTGACTTTTAAGTATCATGGATAATTTTCAGACTTCATCCTTTAACAAATTGAAGGATTCAAAACAAATTATTGATTCAAACAAATGAGTAAATGGGATTGTGTATTTACTGTACTGACTAAAACAGAATCATAGCTTTATATTTCTATCATAAGTAGTCTCCTCATGTATATTATAAAGACTGAACTGAAAACCGTCACAAATTATGCTAAACTATCTCAGTTTTACCTCTGCTTAAGTCAAGCTGAACAAATAGTTAACCTCTTTGAATCTGCTTTCTCACCTAAAAAGGTTGTCAAACTTTGGTGTGTATCATAATCACCAGGACAGTTAATAAATCGTACAGAATCCCAAGCTGATTGAAGCAGAATGGGGACAGGGTCTGAGTCTCTGTATTTTTATCAAGTTTCCCTGGGTAGTTCTGATTACATATCAGTACTTGAGAACTTTTGTCTTAGTATGTTTCTACTGATAGAATGATTCATTTATGTGCTTATGTATTCACTTAATGCATGTGTGTAGCAATAAATACATACTGAGTGACTAGGTGCTGTCACACAGTGCTGAGGGCTCAGAGGTGAAAGACCTAGCCCTGCCTGATATGAACCGAATGTTTGTGTCCTCCCGAAATTCATATGTTGAAACCCTAACCCTCAATGTGACTGTATTAGGAGGTAGTGCCTGTGAGGATGTGATAACAGTTAAATGAAGTCATAAAGATGGACCCTACTCTGATAGGGCTGATGCTTTTACAAGAAGAGGAGGAGACACCAGACCTTGCTTGCCGTCTCTGCCATATGAGGACACAGCAAGAAGATGGCCATCTACAAGTCAGGAACAGAGACCTCACTGGGAACTAAATTCTTTTTTTTTTTTCGGAGACACAGTCTTGCTCTGTTGCCCAGGTTGGAGTGCAGTGGTGCAATCTGGACCCACTGCAGCCTTTGCCTCCCAAGTTCAAATGATTCTCCCGCCTCAGCCTCCCAAGTAGCTGGGACTACAGGCAGGCACCACCAGGCCCGGATAATTTTTGTATTTTTTGTAGAGATGGGGCTTCACCATATTGGCCAGTCTGGTCTCTTACTCTTAGCCTCAAGCGATCTGCCCTCATTGACCTCCCAAAGTGCTGGGATTAAAGGTGTGAGCCACCACGCCCGGCCTGGAACTAAACTCACTGGCATCTTGGACATTCCAGCTTCCAGTACTCTGAGAAATAAATTGGTTGCTTAAGCTACCCACGCTATGATACTTTGTTATGGAAGCCCAAGCATCTAATGCATTGCCCTAAAGAAGTTCTTAGTTTAATGGAGGAGACACACAAATAATTGATAAATGCAATATAGTGTTAGGTGCTTTGATATAAGCAGGCAAGGTACTGCAGAAGCATTTTGGTATCAGGAGTGGTTCTAGAGGAACAGAATCTTAAAAATTGTAAACCAAAAATTAAATTCTAAGCTCCCCAATCAGCCGAATGGACCTCTCCTCTCAGTGGAGAGGATTCCAAAGTAAACCTGAAAAACTAGTTCAGGCCATGATGGGAAGGAGGAATTGGAGATGTCTTATTTTACCTTACTCTCTCTGGAATTCAGGCACAACTGACCAGCATTAACATTAAAACAGAGATCTTAAGACTGACAAAACCGATTCTTGGTAACAGTAGGATACCAAATTCCAACCTGACACTAGCATAGCATCACACGACAGATAGCGGGCCCTGAAAGAGATTATTTTACCCCAAAATATATTTCTTTGACATATTTTGAAATGGTGAAGCTGTGTCTTGTGGGGACAATTTACACTCTATAGCAAATCCTCTTCTTTTTCCAGGTCTTTTTCTTTTCTTTTCTTTTTTTGAGATGGAGTTTCGCTCTGTCGCCCAGGCTGGAGTGCAGTGGCGCAATCTCGGCTCACTGCAACCTCTGCCTCCCGGATTCAAGTGATTCTCCGGCCTCAGCTTCCTGAGTAGCTGGGACTACAGGTGCATGCCACCATGCCCAGCTAATTTTTTGTATTTTAGTAGAGACAGGGTTTCACCGTGTTGCTCATGCTGGTCTTGAACTCCTGAGCTCAGGCAATCCGCCCGCCTCAGCCTCCCAAAGTGCTAGGATTACAGGCATGAGCCACCGCACCTGGCCTCTTTGTCTTTCTTAAAAGGAGGAACTGAGCTGTGGCCTAGGGTTTAGTGTAGTGGATCAAAGTGTGCTGACTGCAGGAGGGACTCCTCAGTGTTTTACCACTGAGTAATTTCCACACTCTTACATGTCTCAGTTTCTCTCTCCAGAGGTCTGGCATCTCCAAGAGGGCTTAAAGTGCAAAGTGATCAGCTCTTATATGCATTTTCTGGATGAGCCTTTTTAAACTAATTTTTTTGGGGGGGCCGCTGCAAGTCATGGGAAGTCAAGCCCCCAAACACTCTCACTCAGCTCCCGGTCACCCAGGGGCGCCTTTTTGCTGAGAGGAGCAAAATACCTTTTCTCTTCCAAGCTGAGGAAGCTCAGTTTCTCTTTTATCTAGGAAAATGCAGTTCAGCTCCTCACAAAAATATGCAGACATGCCAATTGAACTTAATCTTGGGGAAAAAAGCAATGAAGAAGACCCTTTAGAATGCACTTCCAAACTAGAAACTAAATGGAGTGCCCAAAAGGGAGTCATTTTCCTTGTCTTTGGAAAAAGGCAATGGAGAAGACTCTTTAGAATGCACCTCTGTCTTAGGATCCGAAACAACAACTTCCTAGGACTAAACAAACAAACAAA
Source organism: Homo sapiens (assembly GCF_000001405.40). NCBI lineage: Eukaryota > Metazoa > Chordata > Mammalia > Primates > Hominidae > Homo > Homo sapiens. The sequence continues at coordinate 73,486,849 of NC_000005.10, read as the reverse complement.
CAAACCAGCTCAGAATAAATCAAGGATTGTCAACCAAAGGGAGATCCATGCCTCAGGACTTATCAGTTCCACTGGAGAAGCTCACAGCTGGGGAAGCTTTCAATGGGCCCCTGCTGGTACCTTAGCTCTGAGTTCCGGCAACTTGTTTGGGGCCCATTCAGATGATTGGGGGTGGGCCTTAGAATTTTATTTTTGGTTTACATACTTGTAGTCCCAGCTACTTGTAAGGCCAAAGCAGGAGGGGTGCTTGAGCCCAGGAGATTTAGGTTGCAGTGAGCCATGATCACACCACTGCACTCTATCCTGGTCAACAGAGGGAGACCCTGTCTCAAAACAAACAAACAAACAAACAGAAAACAATACAAGGACCAGGTTCATGCCTGTATTTCCAGAACACTGGGAGGCTCTGGGCTTGAGCCCCAGAGTTTGAGATCAGCTAGGGCAACACAGTGAAACTCTGTCTCTACAAGAAAGAAAGAGAGAAGAGAGAAGGAGAGAAAGAGAGGAGAAAAAGAAAGAGAGAAGGAAGGAAGGAGAAAGAAAGAAAGAAAAGAAAGAAAGGAAGAAAGAAAGAAAGAGAGGGAGAGAGAGAAAGAAACGAGAAAGAGAGAGAAAGAAAGAAAGAAAAGAAAAGAAAGAATTAGCCATATAGTGGTGCACACCCATAGTCCCAACAACTCAGGAGGCTGAGGCAGGAAGATCACCTGAGCCCAGGAGGCTGAGCAGTGAGCCATGATCACACCATTGTACTCCAGCCTGGATAGCAGAGCAAGACTGTTTCAATAAAAAAAAAAATTATAAATATAAAAGATAAATAAATAAAAGAAACATGGGTGAAAGTTGAACAACAGTGAGTGAATTGGACATATTGGATGTGTGTTGATTTAATGTAGAGGAAGGAATGCAAAGGCTTAGGGAGACTGAAATGTTCAAGTGGATTACTCATTTAAGACGTCACCCACACAGGGAGGGTCCAGAAGACATACTCCAATTCAGTGAGAAATTAGTTGGTGAGAGAAGCCCCAGCATCCTTGAAAAGCTTCACGATTGCTTTTCTGTGTAGGCCAGACCTTACAGTGAGAACCACAGTCACTGAATTTAAAAACCTAAATACGATGGGCATAATTGGATCCCAGGTTGTAGGGCCCAAGTTGCAACACTCGACCACCAATGGCAAGGTGGCCATGGTTACCATAATGAAAAGCAGAGTCAAAGCAGCCATCAGAATGACCTAGTTCATAGATCTACAGTGTTCACTAGTTGATCATGGTGTTCCTAGACGTGAAATAGGAACTATTTCAACTAAATTCTTACTTGATCTGTATAAACAGAAAAGTTTTAGGTTAAGTGAACAGAAGTCTAATCTGAATCATAAGAAAAAAAAAGAGTCACAGTTCCGTAATCAATTCCCAGACTTGAGCTAGTTTACTCACCCAAAACCTTCTGAATGAAGAGGAGGTGGGATCCCCTTGAGGAAAGACCCCAGTATATTATGAAAAATTTATATGTTAATCTTTTCCCCAATATTCACCAAAGGGACCTACAGCTGTTTACCTACAGCTGTTTACCAGGGTAACTGTGCACTAAAGCAAAGGAAATAATCAGAATTTTCAGACACTGGCTCTAAACTGAAACTAACTTTAGGTGACCCAAAACATCATGATGGTCCACTGGTCAGAGTAAGGGCTTATGGCAGCAGTCCCCAGCCTTTGTGGTACCAGGGACTGATGTCGTGGAAGTCAATTTTTCCACAGACTGGGAGACAGGGGATGGTTTGGGGATGATTCAAGTACATTACATTTATTGTGCACATCTATTATTATTACATTGTAGTATATAATACAATAATTATACAACTCACCAGAATGTAGAATCAGTGGAAGCCCTGAACTTGTTTTCTTGCAACTAGATGGTCTCATCTATGGGTGATGGGAGACAGTGATAGACCACTATGCATTAGATTCTCATAAGGAGCACACAACCTAGATCCCTTGCATACACAGTTGGCCATAGTGTTTGTGCTCCTATGAGAATCTAATGCTGCCACTGATCTGACAGGAGGTGCAGCTCAGGTGGTAATGTGAGTGATGGGGAGTGGCTATAAATACATGGGAAGCTTTGCTCACTCACCTGCTACTCACCTCCTGCTGTGTGGCCTGGTTCCTGACAGACCACGGAGTGGTACTAGTTTGTGGCCTGGGAGTTGGGGACCTCTGGCTTATGGAGGTCAGGTAATCAATGGAGGGTTTTTTTTGTTTTGTTTTTGTTTTTTTCTGGAGGCAGAGTCTCACTCTATCCTCCAGGCTGGAGTGCAGTGATGCAATCTTGGCTCACTGCAACCTCTGCCTCCTGGGTTCAAGCAATTCTCATGCCACGGCCTCCCAAGTAACTGGGATTACAGACACCTGCCACCACGCCTGGCTAATTTTTTTTTTTGAGTTGGAGTTTCACTCTTATTGCCCAGGTGGGAGTGCAATGGCACAATCTCAGCTCACTGCAACCTCCGCCTCCAGGTTCAAGCAATTCTTCTGCCTCAGCCTCCCAAGTAGCTGGGATTACAGGCATGCGCCACCATGCCCAGCTAATTTTGTATTTTTAGTAGAGACAGGGTTTCACCATGTTGGTCAGGCTGGCCTCGAACTCCTGACCTCAGGTGATCTGCTCGCCTCAGCCTCCCAAAGTGCTGGGGTTAAAGGCGTGAGCCACGACGCCTGGCTCAATGGAGTTTTAACTCAGGTTCATCTCACAGTGGATTGTTAAACCCTCCTGTGATCATTTCCCCAGTTTCCAAATGTGTAATAAGAATAGATATATTCAACAGCTGGCAGAATCCCCATATTGGTTCCCTGACCTATAGAACGGGGGCTATTATGGTGAGAAATGGCAGATGGAAGCCACTAGAATTGCCTCTCCCTAGGACAATAGCAAACCAAAAGCAACACTGCATTCCTGGAATGATTGCAGAGGTTAGTGCCACCAGCAAGGACTTAAAAGGATGTGGGGGTGTGATTTCCACTACATCCCTATTCAACTCACCTATTTGGTCTGTGCAGAAGACAGACGGATCTTGGAGAATGACAGTGGATTACTGAAAGTTTAACCGGGTGATGACTCCAATTGCAGCTGCTTTACCAGATATGGTTTCGTTGTTTGAGCAAATTAACTCAATCTCTGGTACCTGGTATGCAGCTATCAATCTGGTGCATATTTTTTCTCCATACCTGTTAGTAAAGACCATCAGAAGCATTTTGATTTCAGCTGGCAAGGCCAGCAATACACTGCCACTGTCCTTCTCAGGAGTCTATCAGCTCTCCAACACTATGTCATAATTTAGTTCACAGGGATCTTGCTCACCTTTTTTTTCCACAAGCTATAACAGTGGTCCATTGCATTGATGACATTATGCTGATTGGACTTAGTGAGGAAGAAGTAGCAGCTACTCCCTAGACTTATGGGTAAGATATTTGGATGCCAGAGGGTGGGAAATAAATTTGACAAAACTTCAGGTGCCTCCTACGTCTGTAAAATTTCTAGGGGTCCAGTGGTGTGGAGCATGTCGAGACATCCCTTCTAAGGTGAAGGAAAAGTTGTTGCATCTAGCCCCCTCCTACAACCAAGAAAGAGACACAATGCCTAGTGGGCCTCTTTGAATTTTGGAGGCAACATATTCTTCATTTGTGTGTGCTACTTGGCACGTTTACTGAGTGAGCTGAAAAGCTGCTATTTTTGAGTGATGTGCAGACGAGAGAAGGCTCTGCAACAGGTCCAGGCTGCTGTGCTAGCTGCTCTGCCACTTGAGCCATGTAATACAGCAGATCCAATTGTGCTTGAAGTGTCTGCAGAGAGAGATGCTGTTTGGAGCCTTTGGCAGGCCCCTACAGATGAGTCACTACACAAACCCTTTGGATTTTGAAGCAAAGCCCTGTCATCTTCTGCAGATAACTACTCTCCTTTTAAGAAATATCTCTTGATCTGCTACTGGGCCTTACTAGAGACTGAATGCTAAACCATGGGCCACCAGGTTACCATGCAACCTGAGCTGCTTATCATAAGCTGGGTGTAATCTGACCCATCAGGCCATAAAGTCGGGTATGGAGAGCAAGAGCCCATCATCAAATAGAAGTGGCGTATACATGATCATGTTTGAGTAGGCCTTCAAAGCACAAGTAAGCTACATGAAGTGGCCCAAATGACCATGGCCCCCACTTCTATTATATCATTTTATCTCTCCCAGCCTGCATCTATGGCTTAATGGGGAGTTTCCCACAAGTTGACAGTTCACAGACAAAGAGAAGACTTGGGCCTGGTTTACAGATGGTTCTGCACGATATGCAGGCACCACCTTAAAGTGGACAGCTGCAGCACTACAGCCCCTTTCCAGAACTTCTCTGAAGGACAGTGATGAAGAAAAATCCTCCCAGTGGGCAGAACTTTGAGAAGTGTACCTGGTTGTTCACTTTGCTTGGAAAGATACATGGCCAGATATGTGATATATACCAATTCATGGACCACGGCCAGTGGTTTGGCTGGGTGATCAGGGACTTGGAAGGAACGTGATTAGAAAATTGAAGGACAAGAAAATTTGGGAAAGAAGTATATAGATAGATCTCTCTGAATTAGCACAAAAAAAATGGAAGATTTTTATGTCTCATGTGAATTCTCAACAAAGTGTGACCTCAGCAGAGTAGGGTTTTAATAATCAAGTGCATAAGATGACCCAGTCTGTGGATCCCAGTCCGCCTCTTTCCCAGCCACCTTGTCATTGCCCAGTGGGCTCATGAACAAGGTGACCGTAATGGCAGGGATGGAGGTTATGCATAGGCTCAGCAACATAAACTTCCACTCACCAAGGGCATCCTAGCTATGGCCACTGCTGAATGCCCACTGTGCCAGCAGCAGAGACCAATACTGAATCCTCAATATGGCACCATTTCCTGGAGTGATCAGCCAGCTATCTGGTGGCAGGTTGATTACACTGGATCACTTCCATCATGGAAGTGGCAGCATTTTGTTCTTACAGGAATAGACACTCTGGATATGGATTTGCCTTTCCTGCATGCAATGGTGTGATCTTGGTTCATGCAGCCTCCACCTCCAGGGCTGAAGTGATCCTCCCACCTCAGTGTCCAAAGTAGCTGGGACTGTAGGTGAACACCACCACACCTGACTAATTTGTTAAATTATCTGTAGAGAAGGGGTCTCCCTATGTTGTTCAGGCTGGACTCGAACTCCTGGTCTTAAGTGATCTTCCCACCTCAGCCCCCCAAAGTGCTGGAATTACAAGATTGAGCCACTGTGCCTGGCCTCACACAGCATTGCTTCTAAACAAGGAACCCCCCTCACAGCAAAAGAAGTGTGGCAATAGGCCCATGCTTGTGGAATTCACTGTTTTTACCGTGTTTCTCACCAGTCTGAAGCAGCTGGTTTGATAGAATTGTAGAATGACCTTTGGAAGATTGAGTTACAGCACTAGCTAGGTGGTGATACCTTGCAGGGCTTGGGCAAGGTTCTCTGGAAGGCTGTATATGCTCTGAACCAGCATCTAATAGCTGGTGGTGTTTCTCCTCTAGCTAGGATTCATAGGTCCAGGAATCATGGTGTAGAAATGGGAGTGGCATTACTCAGTATTAAGCCCGATAATCCACTAGCAACATTTTTGCTTCTTGTTCCTGTGACTTTATGCTCTCCTGGTCTAGAGGTCTTAGTTCCAGAGGGAGGAATGTTTCCACCAAGAGAAACAACGATTCCACTGAACTAGAAGTAAAGACAGCCACCTGGACACTTTGGGTTCCTCATGCTTCTGAGTCAACAAGTAAAGAAGGGAGTCACAGTGCTGGCTGGGGTGATTGATCCTGACTACCAAGGGGAAACTGGACTGTATTCCACAATGGAGGTAAGGAAGAGTCTCCCTGGAATACAGGAGATCCCTCAGGGAGTCTTCTAGTATTGCTACTGTGTCCTGTGATTAAGTCAATGGAAACCTACCACAACCCAATCCAGGCAGGACTATGACTGGCTCAGACCCTTCAGGAATGAAGGTTTGGGTCACTCCACCAGGTAAAGAACCATAGCCAGCTGAGGTGCTTATGAAGACAAAGGATATACAGTGTGTAGTAGAAGAAGATAGTCATTAGAAATACTAACTTTGACCACGTGACCAATTACAGAAATGAGCACTGTAATTGTCATGAATATTTTCTCATTTTGTTATGAATATGTGTGTTTGTATGATGTATGTGTGTATATATATGTTTATGTGTGTGTGTGTGTGCACACATAGATAGATAGATAGATCTCCTATTGGTTCTGTATCTCTGGAGAACCCTGACTAATACAAGGGACAGCACACTTCCCCTGAAAGCACACATCAGGGAAGATTCTTCTGGGTCCTGAAACACTGAAGGAATCAGCTGGGTGAGAACGAAAGCAGAACATTTGAGGCACAGAATAAGAAAGCTTGAAACCACAAAGTAATCTGAGAAGGATAGAGTGGTGTTTTCCAAAGCATGGGACAATTAATATTCAGATTTTATGTGGTGGTTCTAGGTCCTATCTGGCTTATATTCAGCCAGATAAGTAATTACATAGTGATAGAATAACACTCTTTCCAATTCTTTTTCAAACCTTCTTTTGTAAGGAAAAGTCATTTTTTTCTAGCAAGTACACCTATGTAACATTTGCTAATCTCCTTTTAGGCTTAAACTCAAAGCTTCAACTGGCAGCATTATCTAGGTAGAGTTAAATAACACCTATCTCCACTTTAGGCAATTGAAACTGATTTGCTATTTTTGGTAGTGATAAAAAGTTTCCTTTTAAAAATCATTTATTCAAGTAGTCAAAATTGATCTATTAAAAGATACTAAGTAAACAGTTCACTGGTACTTGTGTATGCCAAAAATTGTGAAGATGGTAGATAAAGGAATGAATGTTCAAAGCCTTGCCTGCATCTTGAGAAGTGGCAAGAGCTGAGGCTACCAAGACAAAGGAGCAGTTGTGAAGGACCATGGAAGAATACTAAAGCAAATGGGGGAGACCTGAAGAGTGTCAAACAAGAGAGGGTTAAGCTTGGAAAGAGCCACAAATGATAATGCCTGAATGGAGTGTAGAAGTGTCTGTGGGGTGGGGTAAAGTAGAGGAAATTCTCAAATAGGTCTGTCTACAGACAATTCAGAGTTATTCTTCCTGATGGACTTGGTCTATTAATTAAATCAGTGGAGACTTCTGAAGTGGGGAAGTAGATCCCTTTAAGAGCATTCAGCCCTATTAGCTGATAACTGCAGCTTAGGTATGAAGAACATAGCCAGTTTAGTAATATAAAGCATGACAGCTCCATAGACTGTTATTAATTTCACAGGTAATATTCCATGCTAAACTTTTATGAGAGATTTGAAATATAGGCCAGGCATGGTGGCACATACCTGTAATCCCAGCACTTTGGGGGCCAAGGTGGGCCAATAGCTTCAGCTCAGGGAGTTCGAAACTAGCCTGGGCAACATGGTAAAACCCCATCTCTGCAAAACATACAAAATTTAGCTGGGTATGGTGGCATGTATATGTAGTCCCAGCTACGTGGGGAGCTGAGGAGGGAGAATCACTTGAGCCTGGGAGGTGGAGGTTGCAGGGAGCTGAGATCGCACCACTGCACTCCAGCCCGGGTGACAAGGCGAGACTCTGTCTCAAAAAAAAAAAAAAAAAAGACAGAAAAAAATTTGAAAGATAACATATATTGTTGACATTATGGTAATAGTTCTTAAAATATGTATATAAAAAATCAAAACAGAACAAAATACTCTCATTTTCCATGTAATTTGGGTGGAATACTTCCTACTCTCTTCACTGCCCCCAAAATCTGGACACACGACTGGTGGCAAGTCACTGTTTCACCATAAAGACTGGGCGGGGCATGACTGTCAGCTTCTCTGAAAGAGTGGCCATTCTTGGTTGTAGAACCAAGTAGATAGATGCCAGACATCTGTCTTCTATCAATGAGGATCAAAATAAAGCCCTACCCATTAGATGACTTAACATATAACATAAAACCTAATAAGGTTTGCCCTGTTGCCTATTTAGCAAAATCTCTATTATAAGACTTCTTTTTCACCTTCTCAATAGCTGTGAAAATGCTGGCATTTAACAATGTAGGCTTTATTTTATTTTATTTTATTTTATTTTATTTTTGTCTTTTGGTTTGATGCTGGACTGGCTTATTTTTTCAACTACCTTTTTAGGCGCTCCTCTTCTTGTCCTTAGACTCTGTACTAGGAACCGGGCCACACAGGAGGGGAGCGAGCATTACCGCCTGAACTCTGCCTCCTCTCAGATCAGCAGCATTAGATTCTCATAGGAGCGAGAACCCTATTGTGAGCTGGCTTTGCGGGGGATCCAGGTTGCATGATCCTTCTGAGAATCGAATGTCTGATGATCTGAGGTGGAACAGTTTCATCCCAAAACCATCCTCTCACCTCCACCCGTCCGTGGAAAAATTGTCTTCCACGAAACCAATCCTTGGTGCCAAAAAGTCTGGAGATCACTGCTCTACAGGACCCTCTGCACTTGCATGCCTGCTCTCCCACCATCCTCCAGAGAGCTCAGCCATTTCCGGAGCCTCCATTCATTGAGTCTCTGCTGACTTTTGCATTTTGAATTTGTATCACAAACTATAGCCCCTTATTCCCAGGCCTGTATATTCAGATGTCTCTGGACTCCAACCATTTGGATGTCCTCAAATATAGTGTATCTCAACCTAAATCTTCCTGGTGAATTCAAATACCCTTAATGATCCCAATTTTGACTGTCAGTCACTGAGGCTGACGAAATGATACGTTGCTGGCCAGGCAAGGTGGCTCATGTCTGTAATTCCAGCACTTTGGGAGGCCAAGATGGGAGGTTCACTTGAGGCCAGGAATTCGAGGCCAGACTGGGCAACATAGCAGTATCTATTAAAAAATGTTTAAATTAGCCAGGTGTGGTGGCATGCCCCTGTAGTCCTAGCTACTCAGGAGGATCATTTGAGCCCAGGAGTTTGAGGCTGCTGTGAGCCACATTCATACCACTGCACTCCAGTTTGGGTGACAGAGCAACACCCTGTCTTTAAAACAGACAAACAAACAAAGATACATTTCAGGCTGTGACTTTGCTGCCCATTAGTTGGTATGCTGTTCAATAATTTGTGTCCATAAGATACAGACACAGTTAACTGATTGTGAGAATTAAAGAAACTATCTTTTGTTGCTTGCATCTTTGTCTTATGAATTCCACCAACCCCCCCCCACTTTTTTTTAAGGAGAAAGTACTTGAGAAGCGAAAAATCAATAATTCACTTAGTTTCAGATTATTGAGTACTGGACTATGAAATGTGATATGCTCATAAGGAATACTTAACAGCTTTGGTTGCTAATTAAAACCTTACAAACACATTTCAATTAGTATTGGCTAATATAATACAGTTCAACTAGAAAAATATTTGTAGAAGACATGTTTTGCAACAAAAATATCTAAGTCAGTTTCACCTTCTACTTATTTGACATAAATTAGCAATAGATATTTTTCATGGAGGTTGGAATTGAGTTTCATAAATATAGATTCATGTTGGTTGCCCTTCAGGTTGTAATACTTTAATGATACACCCTTAATGGTAAGTGACCTGATAATGATAGAATGCCACATTTTAATTTATATATTTTAATGTATGGCAAACATTGTGGATGTGTCAGCAAAAAGGAAATAAAACAGACCCCTTCAAATAAACAGTAATTCACAATTTAACCAAGAAATTGAAAGTGGCATCAAAAATACTGGTACAGGATTAGTATGTCAGGTTCAAGTCAGTACCCAGCAAGAATTGTAATACTTTTCTTAAGAGGAGAATTTGAGAAGGAGCATGTGATAAGTCAGGGGCCCTAGGTAAGAGAAGATTTAAATGAACTGAGCTCCTCAGCTTCTCCAGAGCTCCTTGCTTCTTGCTCCTTGGCTCTGACAGTTGTGGAATGAGGGTACTGGGCAGAGGAGGTTTATTAAGTGAAACCCTTCTCCTTTTTTTTTTTTTTTTTTTTTTTTGTTAAGACAGAGTCTTACTCTGTCGCCCCAGGCTGGAGTGCAGTGGCATGATCTCGGCTCACTGCAACCTCTGCCTCCTGGGTTCAAGAGAGTCTCTTGCCTCAACCTCCTGAGTAGCTGGAATTAAAGGTGTCTGCCATCACACCCAGCTATGTTTTGTATTTTTAGTATAGACAGGGTTTTGCCATGTTGACCAGGCTGGTCTCGAACTCCTGACCTCAAGTGATCTGCCTGCCTTAGCCTCCCAAAGTGCTAGAATTAAGTGAAAACCCTTCTGATTGCTAATGAGAGAGACACAACTCCAGTTAGCTTAGGCCACAAAGGATACCAGGAATGCCAGGGGTTTAAATAGCTTTAGGCTTGACTAAACCTAGGTTCTCAGTGATACCCTAGAATACTGTCTCTCACCTTTGATTCTCTGGCTCTGCTTCTGCTGCGGTGGTTTTATTTTCTGGTAGCCTTTTGCTAGGTTATGGCAAAGAGAGCCTCCAGTTTTTCCAGGCTCACAACCTGACAAATGTAGCCCTACCGAAAATGATCTCCTCTTCCCAGTTCCAGCAAAGTCCCAGGAATTACTCAGATTGGCCTGGCTCAAAGGTTGTGTCTCCTCCTGGCCATACCTGGGTCACCTACCATCACTGGAGCTAAGGAGTGGGATGGTGGCTCCCAAGAGGAAAATAATGAGTCAATTACCAGAAGACATACAACAAGTTGGGGGAGGAAAAATAGCAAGAAATGGGATATGACGACAAGAAGAGTGTGAATAAATCCATTCTTAGTTTCAGATTTTGGCTGGGATTCATTGCGGCAAACCAACAGCAAAGTACTTTCCTGTCAAGATGCCTAGGTAGTTTTAATTCAGAGTTTCTCAACTTTAAAAAAAATGTCATTTCCCTAAGGAGCTTTGAAAAATGTGTTGGCCAGGTGCAGTGGCTCGTGCCTGTAATCCCAGCACTTTAGGAGGCTGAGGCAGGACTCTCGCTTAAGCCCAGGAGTTGGAGACCAGCCTGGGGAACATAGTGAGACCCTATCTCAATAATTTAAAAAATATTTATATTGAATATTGACAAAAAAAATTTTTTAAATGAAAATAAAATAAATAAAAACATGTTTTACCTAATCATCCCCCCTTTAAAATTTCTTAATACCACAGATCTAGTATATATCTGTTTATGTACTGTATGTTATGTCTATACTTCATACATAAGAAGAGTAAGTATAAAGTTTATTATTTTTATCTGATGCAGGGTTAGGAAGGAGGAAATAAAATTTTAAATTAAAATTTTAGTTAAATTAAAAATAAAATTTATTATCATTTAATTTATCTTAATAACTATCTTTGCTGAGTAACTTTTAATAGAATTTATTTTCCCATAATTATAATGCATCAAATTTTATATGTAAATTGGCAATTTATATAGGTAAATAATAATAACAATGTATTCAGTTTGTTAGTTTCTTTTTTTTTGTTTGTTTCTGAGATGGAGTTTCACTCTTGTTGCCCAGGCTGGAGTGCAATTACCCACTCTCAGCTCACTGCAACCTCCATCTCCCAGGTCCAAATGATTCTCCTGCCTCAGCCTCCTGAGTAGCTGGGATTACAAGCATGCACCACCACGCCCAGCTAATTTTATATTTTGAGTAGAGATGGGGTTTCTCCATGTTGGTCAGGCTGGTCTCGAACTCCTGGCCTCAGGTGATCCACCTGCCTGGGCCTCCCAAAGTGCTGGGATTACAGGCGTGAGCCACCATGCCCTGCCTGTAGTTAGTTTCTTAAAAATCACTCAAGGCTGGCCAGGTGTGGTGGCTCACACCTGTAATCCCAGCACTTTGGGAGGCTGAGGTGGGCGGATCATGAAGTCAGGAGATTGAGACCATCCTGGCCAACGTGGTGAAACCCCATCTCTACTAAAATACAAAAAATTAGCTGGGCGTGGTGGCACGCACCTGTAGTACCAGCTACTCGGGAGGCTGAGGCAGGAGAATCTCTTGAACCTGGGAGTTGGAGGTTGCCGTGAGCCAAGATCTCACCACTGTACTCTAGCCTGGCAACAGAGCAAGACTCTGTCCCAAAAAAAAAAAAAAAAAAGAAAAAGAAAGAAAAAAATCAGGCAGGTGGATCACGAGGTCAGAGGGTGAGACCATCCTGCCCAACATGGTGAAACTCCATCTCTACTAAAAATACAAAAACTAGCTGGGTGTGGTGGCGTGCACCTGTAGTCCCAGCTACTCGGGAGGCTGAGGCAGGAGAATCATTTGAACCTCAGAGGGGGAGGTTGCAGTGAGCCGAGATCATGCCACTGCACTCCAGCCTGGGTGACAGGGAAAGACTCCATCTAAAAAAAAAAAAAAAAAAAAAAATTCAAAACTGGTACTTTTCTAGCAAAAGCAACAGTTGAAAATAACTGATTTTCTAAACATGAATGTTTAACTTTTGCTTCATATGAAAAAATAACTTTTTTTTTTTTAAGAGGCAGAGTAGCTCGAGTGTAGTGGTATAATCATAGCTCACTACAGCCTCAAACTCCTGGGCTCAAGTGATCTTCTTGCCTCAGCCTCCCAAGCAGCTAGGAATACAGGCTTGAACCACCACACCTGGCCAATTTTTCTATTTTTTGTAGAGTTGGGGGTCTCGCTATGTTGCGTATGCTGGTCTTGAATTCCTGGCCTCAAGCAATCCTTGTGCTTTGGCCTCCCAAAGTGTTGAGATTACAGGCATGAGCCACTAGGCCCAGCTGAGAAAATAACTAGACAGTCATTATTTATTCCGATATTGTTGATATTTTTTCTTTTCAGCACTTGACATATTTATTGATAGTTGAATAACTTTTGTAGGATTAAATAGTAAAATATATATCATTTTAATTTAATTCTCAAAGCTCAAGTCACACACAAAAATACTGAGGATCAAATATAGACAATATACTCAAGGCAGCCGATAACAGCCAATAGGCACAAAAAGGCCACCTCTAATGGACTGAGCAATCAATTGAGAAGTCCCCCAGTCACAGCCATCTACTCACCATAGTTTTGGTACCAATCTAGAATACATTTTGTGTATCTGCTATGTCAATACCAACCCCACTGAGTTGGGAGTCCTTGAGGGGCAGGCACTCTTTTGATCACCAAGCTGGTTTCTTTGTTTGGATCCCTGCAATCTGTTGTTGAAATGAGGTGTCCAGATTTGAATATAGTATTCTGACACAAAGTGGAGAAAAAGGTTATCTCTTCCCCTTTTTTAGACAGCATTTATCTAGTAACACAGTCTAAGATTGCATGGGGTGAGGAGTAGCCTGAATGGCTCTCTAAAGTCTGTTAGTAGTGGGCCAGGTGTGGTGGCTCTCACCTGTAATCCTAGCACTTTGGGAGGCTGAGGCCAGAGGATCACTTGAAGCCAGGAGTTCATGATCAACCTGGGCAACACAGTGAGACCCCTTCTCTACAAAAAATTTAAAAATTATCCAGATTTGGTGGTGCATGGCTGTAGTCCCAGCTACTAGGGAGGCTGAGGTGGGAAGAGTGCTTGAGCTTGAGAGATCAAGGCTGGGAGTGAGCCATGATTGCACCACTGCACTCCAGCCTGGGTAATAGAGCAAGACCCTGTCTCAAAAAGAAAAAAAAAAAGGTCTATGCATAGTGAACTGAAATCCCTAAGCCTTTCCTTACATATCCTGCTGTTATGATGAATTGTTCCTGGAACATAGGTGTGACTGGCATTCATACTTGTTACATTTCATTATTAGAATCTCCCCATTATTCTGTCATGTTGAGATATTTAAAGATTCTGATTCTATCATCCAATATATTTATTCATTCATGTATTTATACTTGCTTTTCTAAAGATATTTTCATAAAAGTTAATAAGAACAGAAACAAAAAAATCAGTATGAGGAAAAGAAGCAAAATTTCCAGTTCCTAGAGGTAACATATGTGCTGAGTTTGGGCATGTGAAGTGTAAATCTAAGCTTTACCTTAAAAGGGAGGATTATATTCTTCTTTATGCATCTTCCATTGCCGGGAGAGAATGGGTCTAAACAGGTTGTCTTGGGAGTTATACATATTTACTTTTTCAAAATAAAATACACTTGGCACCTGAGATTTAACCACTTAATATATATCAGCATACACTGTAAATTGTAAATATAACTGGAAAAACAGAATTTTGTAAAAATGCAAAATATGGTCTTTTTCATGCCCATAATACAATAAAGCATTTTATCATTTTGACCATATTAACTTATGTTAACAGTATGACATCAAACACGGAGTCAATGAGCAGCACAATTTTGGGGGAAAAAAGATCTTACTACTGATATTCTCTATAATAAAGGGAAGAGAGTGTTTTTGACTTGAATTTTTTGGACATTTGGCCGAATCCTTTACTCAGTGAGAATTGACTTGGCTTATGAGAGTTAATTCATACCATTTGGAGGCTGAAGCAGTTATAAAGCTGCTTTGGAATGTCCTAAATTGGGCCTAAGAGACCTGTTTTTGACAGATGCGCTCATGTAGTCCAGTCAATTGGCATATGGAATTTTAATGTACAAGCTAGTGCAAAAGTTTCTACATGTAACATTTATTAGTGCTCCTAGTGGCATGGAGAGACAGATGGTACACACATTACATGCAGAAGCGAGCTTTGCAATTGGCCTTACAGGCCCAATTTTGCTCAGTTACCTAGGTCCCTTAACTGCACCCCCATACTCCCCACCCCCACACACGTGTGAGAGCCCAAATGCCCAACCCTTCCATCTCTCCTGCCCCAGAGTCCACTATGGGAACCTCCCTTTCCTTCCAATTGCTTGACTTGAGATCTCCCTTCTTTCTTGCCCTTTCTTTGGCCCAGATCCTCACCTCCTCTGGATTTTCACATCCTCCAGCTGGTCCAGCATGAGCTCTGGAGGCTAAGGTAGGGAAGAACATTGCCTTACAGCTGTTCTCAGTCCCCACCCACCCCTAATATTAGTCTTGGCAACATTCATCCCATTTCCTCACATTTATCCCAGACTCCTCTCCTGACATCTCAGCTCTAGAAATGAAATGCTCAGGTCTACAAGAGCTGCAGAGAGATCTTCTGTCCCAGATAGTCCCAAAGAAAACTCAGGGGTGGGGAAAATGTCTTCCTTCCTTCTCTGTAATATCTAAATGAAATAGCAAAAGAGGGGAGTGCTGGGTGGAGCCTTTTTGCCTTTTCAGTCCCTGCCCCCTTCTCTGTTGTTACTGGCAATACAGACCCTTAGAAGCTAAAAAAAAAACCTTAAGGATGTGTGTGTGTTTTTAAAAGGTATGTCTGGGGAGGCGGAATGCTGAGTCTGAATTCTCTTCTTCACTGGCCCAAAGAGGAGAGAAATTCTGTTCAGAAGTTACTAAGGGCCAGCTGCTGTGGCTCAAGCCTGTAATACTAACACTTTGATAGGCTGAGATGGGCAGATCCTTGAGCCTAGGAGTTGGAGGCCAGCCTGGGCAATATGGCGACACCCCACCTCTACCAAAAAATACAAAAATTAGCCGAGCATGGTAGCATGTACATGTAATCCCAGCAACTCAGGAGGCTGAGGCGGGAGGATCACCTGAGCCCAAGGAGGTTGAGGCTGCAGTGAGCCATGATCATGTCACTACACTCCAGCCTGGGTGACAGAGTGAGATCCTCTTTCAAAAAGAAGAGAAAAGAAAAAAGAAGAGAAAGGAAAACAAAAGAAAAGGAAAGAAAATAAAAGAAAAATAGCTACTAAGAGTGGCAATGGTAAAGGAAGTGGGTGGGCTGGGTGACTGAGAGGCAGCTTGGAGATTCATTAGCAGGAAATCCTGACAGTCGGCAACTCCTGGAACCTTCATCCCAAAGAGGCTCATTTCCTCTCTGCTCCATTTTTTGGGTCTCCATCCAGATCTTCACCCCAGTCTTACCGTAGTCTCTTCCCTTCTCTCTTTATGTAGGTGTGTGTTGGATGGAGGGATATAAAGAGAGAGGATCCCCCACTTCATTATAGTGGTGGAAGGGGAGGGTGGGAGCTGAGGTATCATAGAATTCCAGATGTATATTCTCCTAGAAATACTATAATACATGACAGATAGGGTGAATAGTACTGTTAGGACTTTATTGAACAGAAAATCAGGCCTACTTGGTAAGCCATAGGGTATGATAAAGAAGTGGTCCAGGAATCTGAAACTTAACTTGGCTCTGTCACCAGCGCTCTAGATGAATCACATCCATTTACATTTCGATGAAAACATCTATTTACACTTCCAGTGAAATTTCTGATATCTGCCCACCTCACAAGACTGTGGAGGTGTATATGGCAGAGGTACCTGACAGCCACAAATGAGGCTTACTCTGAGAATGACCCCATGGTCTAAGAAGAATGTGGATTTGAAGTCCCAAGCTAAGGAATCCGGGAGTGGCCAATCGAGAGAATCACTCCTTATCTGTAAGGGACATCCAAACCCCTGGCCTATCCCTTAAAATGCAGGCCATATAGGGGATTGAGGCCCTTTGTTTTGTGTCAAATAGAGATTGCTAGGTGGAGGGTGCTAAGTGAAAATGCTATATAAACTGCATGCTTTTTACAAACAATAGTGGTTCTCCTGTCCACCTGCTGTCACAGGACCAGCCCTGTGTGTAAGTTCTCATAGGCCATAGAACCGCCCCTGTTTGTAATCCTCACAGGCCACAGGACCGACCCTGTGTGTAAGTCCTCACAGGCCACGGGACCACCCCTGTATGTAAGTCCTCACAGGCCATAGGACCGCCTCTGTTTGTAAGTCCTCATGGGCCATGGGACCACCCCATTCATAAGTCCTCATAAGCCTTATGTCTTGTTTGCTAGCTCCAGGCCTCTTCACGCTCTCGGACATGGTGCCATCGCCAAGTCAATCCTAAGCCAAAAGAACAAAGGTGGAGGCATCACGCTACCTGGCTTCAAACTATACTACAAGGCTACAGTAACCAAAACAGCATGGTACTGCTACCAAAACAGAGATATAGATCAATGGAACAGAACAGAGCCCTCAGAAATAATGCCGCATATCTACAACTATCTGATCTTTGACAAACCTGAGAAAAACAAGCAATGGGGAAAGGATTCCCTATTTAATAAATGGTGCTGGGAAAACTGGCTAGCCATATGTAGAAAGCTGAAACTGGATCCCTTCCTTACACCTATACAAAAATTAATTCAAGGTGGATTAAAGACTTAAACGTTAGACCTAAAACCATAAAAACCCTAGAAGAAAACCTAGGCATTACCATTCAGGACATAGGCATGGGCAAGGACTTCATGTCTAAAACACCAAAAGCAATGCCAACAAAAGCCAAAATTGACAAATGGGATCTAATTAAACTAATGAGCTTCTGTACAGCAAAGGAAACTACCATCAGAGTGAACAGGCAACCTACAAAATGGGAGAAAATTTTCGCAACCTACTCATCTGACAAAGGGCTAATATCCAGAATCTACAATGAACTCAAACAAATTTACAAGAAAAAACAAACAACCCCATCAAAAAGTGGGCAAAGGATATGAACAGACACTTCTCAAAAGAAGACATTTATGCAGCCAAAAGACACATGAAAAAATGCTCATCATCACTGGCCATTAGAGAAATGCAAATCAAAACCACAATGAGATACCATCTCACACCAGTTAGAATGGCAATCATTAAAAAGTCAGAAAACAACAGGTGCTGGAGAGGATGTGGAGAAATAGGAACACTTTTACACGGTTGGTGGGACTGTAAACTAGTTCAACCATTGTGGAAGTCAGTGTGGCGATTTCTCAGGGATCTAGAACTAGAAATACCATTTGACCCAGCCATCCCAAAGGACTATAAATCATGCTGCTATAAAGACACATGCACACGTATGTTTACTGCAGCACTATTCACAATAGCAAAGACTTGGAACCAACCCAAATGTGCAACAATGATAGACTGGATTAAGAAAATGTGGCACATATACACCATGGAATACTATGCAGCCATAAAAAATGATGAGTTCATGTCCTTTGTAGGGACATGGATGAAATTGGAAATCATCATTCTCAGTAAACTATCACAACGACAAAAAACCAAACATTGCATGTTCTCACTCATAGATGGGAATTGAACAATGAGAACACATGGACACAGGAATAGGAACATCACACTCTGGGGACTGTTGTGGGGTGGGGGGAGGGGGGAGGGATAGCATTAGGAGATATATCTAATGCTAAATGACGAGTTAATGGGTGCAGCACACCAGCATGGCACATGTATACATATGTAACTAACCTGCATATTGTGCACATGTACCCTAAAACTTAAAGTATAAAAAAAAAAAAAGTGAAGGAAAATTGAACTCTCTCTCTGCCTGTTGGAGCTGAGACATCAGTCTTTTTCTGCCCCTGGACTGGTACTTACACCATCAGCACTCCAGGTCTTCAGGCCTTTGCACTCAAATTGGAATTTATGTCACTGGCTTTCCCAGGTCTCCAACTTGCAATTGGCAGATTGTGGGATGTCTCAGCCTCCACAGTTAAATGAGCCAATTCCTTCTAATATATCTCATTCTCTCATATTCTTTCTCTCTCTTTCTCTCTCTCTCTCTCTACACACACACAAACACACACACACACACATACACACACACACACCCCCCCCATTCTTGCTCTGTTTTTCTGGAGAGCCCTGACTAATACAGTCATGATGCTGCATGGTTTAGCATGGGGCCTCCATTAGTCCACCTACTTGGCTCAGTGGTGAAGCACTGTAGTCCTCTTGCTATTTTCATTTCCACCCCTTCTCCTAGGAGATTTACTATACTCTCTACCCAGTTCAGTCCTCCTCCACAGCAGAGATCATGACTTAATGCGCCTATTAGTTGATGTTCTTTACCTAAATGTGATTAGTAGCCTTTTGAGGGCAGGGATTAGGTCAAATTTTTTTTATATCTCTGGGGCCTAGCAAAGTGCCAGGTTAACAGGAAACACTAGGTAATCATTAGAGAGCCAGCTCTAGCAGATATTAAAACATATTATAAAATTACACAAATTAGACTGGGCATGGTATCTCACACCTATAATCCCAGGACTTTGGGAGGCCAAGGAGGGATGATCATATGAGCTCAGGAGTTCGAGACCAGCCTGGGCAACACGGCAAAACCCCATCTCTACAAAATATACAAAAGTAGCCTGGTGTGGTGGCATGTGCCTGTGGTCCCAGCTACTCGGGAGGCTGAGGTAGGAGGATTGTTTGAGCCTAGGAGCCAGAGGTTGCAATGAGTCAAGATCAAGCCACTGCACTCCAGCCTGGGTGACAGAGTAAGAGCCTGTCTCAAAATAATAATAATAATAATAATAATTATTCAGAAGTTAAACCAGTGTTGTATCAGCACAAGAATAGATAGATCAGTGAAAGTCTCTAGCCTAGAAAAAAACTAAAATGCATATGAAGATTGAGCATAGAATAAAGGTGGCTTTTTTTTTTTTTTTGGAAGACAGAATCTCGCTCTGTCACCCAGGCTGGAGTGCAGTACAGTGGTATGATCTCGGCTCACTGCAACCTCTGCCTCCAGGGTTCAAACAATTCTTGTGCCTCAGTTTCCTGAGTAGCTGGGACTACAGGCATGTGCCACCATGCCTAGCTACTTTTTTGTATTTTTTAGTAGAGATGGGGTTTCATCATGTTGCCCAGGCTGGTCTCCAACTCCTGAGTCAGGCAATCCACCTGCCTCAGTCTCCCAAAGTGGTAGGATTACAGGCATGAGCTACTGTGCCCAGCAAATGTGGTACTTTAAAATAGGTGAGGAGAGTAGGTCTTGTTCAATAAATGGTGTTAGAACAACTGGCTACCAGCTAACTTCAGAATATTTTCCCATACATTACAACAAAATTATTTCAGATAAATTGCATGTAAAAAACAAGACATAAAAACTATACAAAAAGGTATAGGTAAATATTTTTAAAAGTTTGGCATGGGGAAGGTCTTTCTAAAAATGACCCTGGAGGAAGGAACCATAGATTTGACCATATACAATGAAAATTGCTGTTCTGCAAAAACAACCAAAGTCAAAAGACAAGCTGGGACACAATATATGCTTATATATATGTAAACCGAAAAAATTCTAAGCTTCCTAACAATCTGAACAGACCCCCTCCTTTTGGCCAAGGGCATTCCAAAATTAACCTGAAAACCTAGCTCAGGCCATCATGGGAAGGGGGAGTCAGACATGCCTCTTTATACCCTCCTCCCTACTGGAATTCAGGAAAAGCCAATGAGCATTAACATTAACACAGACCTTAAGTCTGATAAGAAACATTTACAATGTATTCTCTCTGAAGCCTGCCATCTGGAGGCTTCATCTGCATGATAAAACATTGGCCTCTACAACCCCTTATTGTAATCCAAATATTCCTTTCTTTTGATTCCAGGTCTTTAGATGATAACTTAACTCTTTCAACCAATTGCTAATCAGAAAATCTTTAAATCTACCTATGACCGGGAAGCCTCCACTTTGAGTTGTCCCACTTTCCCAGATAAAACCAATGCATATCTTCCATGTATTGGCTGATGTCTCATGTCTCCCTAAAATATACAAAAGCAAACTGTACCCCATCCACCTTGGACACATATCGTCAAGACCTCTTGAGGCTGTGTCACAGGTGTGGCCTTAACCTTGGCAAAATAAACCTTCTAAATTAATTGAGACCTGTATCAGATGCTTTTGAGTTCACACATGACAGATGATTAATACCCTTGGCCAAAAACAAGTTCTAATATATCAAGAATCACTCCCCAAAAGAAGATGAGTGAAAAATATGGATGGGGAAATCACAAAGGAAAAAATTCAAATATGTGTGTATTCAACCTCAACATCAATAAAGGACATGCACATTACAATCATGAGATTTTTATTTTTACCATTTAATGGAAAAGATTTTAAGAGAATATAGTTCTCAGTATTGACAAGAATGTGCAGAAGAAGGTACTCTCCCAGTCTTAGATAGATTGTTCACACACAGGTGGAAACTGAGGCTAGAGTGTGGAATAAAGGGGTAGGACAGTCACAGGTAAACAGCCTTATGTCCCTAAAGAGGCTGGATGTGGTATCAGTCTTGGCCATCCCAGCTGGAGATCTGATGAAAGTTCTTGATGGGTTAGGAAGTTAGACAGCAGGAGAGCAGGGGAGAAACAGATCCAAGAGAGTGCTTGTCATTTCTGATGCCATTGCATCTAAGTTTCCCTTCATAATTCTTCCTTGCTCACCTTTTTATTTTTATAGAGCATCTCAAGAATCAACTCTTAAAACCCAGCACACATTTATACTGGCTTCTTTTTAAAATTGCATTCACTTTCAACATTATATTAGGAAAGGCAATGCAGTAGCAGAAACAAGCTGGGCTGGCATTTCTGTGCAGTTTGTTCAGCACGCTGAATGGGAAGCGCAGGGTAACAGTGAGAGCACGAATCAAAGTTTATCACCTGTGGGGTTTCAGGCAAGTTGTTCAATCATTCTCAACTTGTTTTCTGCATGTTTGCCTTCCTTCCCTCCCTCCCTCCCTCCCTCCGTCCCTCCCTCTCTCCCTCTCTCCCTCTCTCTCTCTCTCTTTCTTATTTGAGATGAAGTCTCGCTCTGTCGCCCAGGCTGGAGTGCAGTGGCACGATCTCGGCTCACTGCAAGCTCCGCCTCCCGGGTTCACGCCATTCTCCTGTCTCAGCCTCACGAGTAGCTGGGACCACGGGCGCCCGCCACCACGCCTGGCTACTTTTTTTTGTATTTTTAGTAGAGACGGGGTTTCACCGTGTTAGCCAGGATGGTCTCGATCTCCTGACTTCGTGATCCGCCCGCCTCGGCCTCCCAACGTGCTAGGATTACAGGCGTGAGCCACCGTGCCCTGCCAAATGTTTGTATTTCTATAAGTAGGAATAATAACACTAACTTCACAGTGTTGTTGTGGGGATTGAGTAAAATTGTGTATGTAAAATCCTGAGAATTAGTCTATGTTTAATAAAGGTAGGTTTCCTTCCTTTTTTGAGAAAAACAAGCCATGGGACTAGTTATCCTACAGGTGGCATTCTACATTTCTTGTGTGGTCTCCATTCCAAACAGGCTCTGAGGCCTCACACTGTCTGAGGCTCTTGCTAACCCGTGATAAAGGGTTCTTGGCAAAAAAAGTTGAGCTGCTTCCTATTTCGTTGGCCTCCAGGCTGAGAGGAAAGCTCTGGCTTAGGGTAAAATACTGCTGGGTGGAATCCAGAATGACCTCCATCCAGCTCCCCAGCTGCACAGGCTAAACTGTGGCTTGCATGAAAATTGGAGAGTATGTGACCTCATCTGGTGAGGAAATGGAGAACAAAAGACGGGTGAACAGGAGCCAAAAAAAAGCCTCATAAAACATATTTTAATCACATCAGTCTGGCATTACCATCCCTGCATAGCTACTAAATGCTCATGGCTGTCAGAATTTGGTGATTACAACTGTGGCTGTCATGTTAGGGACACAAAACCTAAGCTTAAACGAAAAGGTCAGGGCCCAAAAGGCATGCACAGAAGGGAATGGTGGAGTTTACAATGTTCCATCTAACACTGGACACGTGACAGTAAGTCAGGTAGCTTCTGACGTTACTGCTTCGGCTGTTGCTACAGTCTTCCTTTTGGGAGGCAGTATAGGTAGGATGTGTTTAAAATAAAAATAGAGATGAATCCACATCAGAAAAGGAAGATCAAGATCTTAATTTCCCCACTGCTATCTTCCAATCAGTGCATCAGAATCACCTGCAGAGCTTGGTAAAAACAGATTCAGGAACACCACAGTCTTAGTTTGGGTTGCTATAACAAAGAACCGTAGACACAGTGGCTTATTAAGCACAGAAGTTTAATTCTCACTGTTCTGGAGGCTGGAAGTCTGAGATTAGGGTGCCAGCATGGTCAGGTTCTGATAAGGATGTTCTTCTCGGTTGCAGATGGCCAACTTATCCTTGTGTCCATCCTTCCATGGTGGAAAGAGGTGTAGAGAGCTCTCCGGGGTCATTTTTAAAAGGGGACTAATCCCATTCATGGGGGTTCCACCATTGTGGCCTAATCACCTCCCAAAGGCCCCACCTCCTAATACCATCACATTTCAGATTAGGAATTTTTTTTTTTTTTTTTGAGACAGAGTCTCACTCTGTCACTTAGGCTGGAGTGCAGAGTGATCTCGCCTCACTGCAACCTCCGCCTCCCGGGTTCAAGCGATTCTCCTGCCTCAGCTGGGACTACAGGTGCGTGCCACTATGCTCGGCTAATTTTTGTATTTTTAGTAGAGACAGGGTTTCACCATGTTGCCCAGGCTGGTCTTAAACTCCTGACCTCAGACGATCCACCCGCCTCAGCCTCCCAAAGTGCTGGAATTACAGGTGTGAGCCACCATGCCGGGCCAGGTTAGGATTTTAACACATGAATTTTGGGCAGGGACACAAACATTCAGTCCATTGCATCCATTCTCAGAATTTCTGAAGTGAGACCTGAGAATTTCCATTCCCAGGAAGCTCCCAGGTGATGCTGATGCTGCAGGTCCAGAGACTGCTTGAGCACTGCTGCTCTAGGTGATTTTTAGAGAAGGTCTGTTCCTGTTTCTAGGGGATCTGCTCTGAAGCCTGATATTCCCTCATGCCCCTACTCTTACCCAGACTATGTAGATCATTCTCCTCTAGTTTTCAAAACATCAAAGTAATTATCTCTTTTTTTGGTTGTTATTCAGAACAAGAAGAAGTTTATTAGTTGGAACAGAA
This sequence comes from Homo sapiens, assembly GCF_000001405.40. Lineage (NCBI taxonomy): Eukaryota > Metazoa > Chordata > Mammalia > Primates > Hominidae > Homo > Homo sapiens. The sequence continues at coordinate 73,463,050 of NC_000005.10, read as the reverse complement.
ATACAGATTATAACAGGGGTACACTCAAGTCCAGATTAATAGCCCCAACACTGGCTGAACTTTAGAAAAATCTGGGAAACTGGAAAGAGGAAGAAATAAAAGGCAGAAGGAAGCAAGCTGGCCCAGGCTTCACACCCAGATATTCTAATTTAATATGTTTGTGGTGGGGTCCTATCCTAGCAGGAATAAGCTTTAAAAGCTACCCATGTGACTCTAATTTGCAACCAGGGCTGAGAACTGCTGGTCTAGATCACTGTATTAGTCCATTCTTGTGTTGCTATAAAGAAATACATGAGGCCAGGCACAGTGGCTCACACCTGTAATCCCAGCGCTTTAGGAGGCCAAGGCAGGTGGATCCCTTGAGGTCAGGAGTTCAAGACCAGCCTGGCCAACATGGTGAAACCCCATCTCTACTAAAAAAACAAAAATTAGCTGGTCATTGTGGTGCATGACTATAATCTCAGCTACTTGGGAGGCTGAGGCAGGACAGTCGCTTGAACCTGGGAGGTGGAGGCTGCAGTGAGCCGAGATTGTGACACTGCACTCCAGCCTGGGTGACAGAAAGAGACTCTGTTTTTTTGTAGAGATGGGGTTTTGCTGTGTTGCCCAGGCTGGTCTTGAACTCCTGGGCTCAAGCAATCCACCTGCCTTGGCCTCCCAAAGTGTTGGGATTATAAGCATGAGCTACTGCAACTTGTCATGTACTGTGTTCAACACTGAAAGAAAATCTTCCTGACCACTTCAGGGCCTGCAGAGTAACAAAACACTCAGCAGCCTGGTTGAGTACAATAATATCCAATGGCTCTTACAAAGGAGACTTAAACTGCTTGATAAAGGACCACACTGCATATTCCCATAAAACCAGTTTATTCTAATTCAATCCAGCCCTGATGAAGTGGCATCATTTGTCTGGGGTAATACCTGAGGTTTGTTGCCTTATGCCAAGGAAATCAAGGATGTGGACACACAAGGAGTGAGGTTAAGAGCAGAGGTTTAACAGGCAAAAGAAAGAGAAAAACTCTTGAGGAGGCAGTATCTGATTTACATAGGGCCCAAAAGATTGGTTGGACCAGGTGTGCCATTTACATAGCGGGCAAAGAAGCTGGCCACCCCACCGTAATCTATATTATTTGAATGGGTTCTCTACTTGGCCAGCGCCATGTTGCCTGCTTCTTTATTGCACATGTGGTTGACAAAGAAAAGAGAAGATGGAGTCTCCATGTTGAACATGCCTGGCCCCCAGGTAGCCTTTTCTTACTGGCACAGCTGCTGGCATTCACCCATGCAAGCTTTCAGCTTGCTTATCTATGTCTGCAGCTGCCCTTTGTTAGAAAATAAATGATTTGGGGACTGCTTTTTATTAAAAGGGAAATCTTGCCGAGGACTCTTTTACCCTCACTAACTGCCTAAATAATTTCATTCTAGCTCCTGTATCACTGGGTTAGGTTTTGAGAATGCTGAGGTGAAGATGACATGGAGCCTGCCTTCAAATAGATCACACTTTAGCAGAGGAGATAGGTAGGTGAGCAAGTATTAATGTAACTGCCCAAGAGGTTTACCTTGCCTGCTGCCTAGACAGAGCCAATTCCTTAAGACAGGGGAATTGCAATAGAAAAAGAGTAATTCACACAGAGCCAGCCGGCGGGGAGACCAGAGTTTTATTATTACTTAAATCAGTTTCCCCAAGCATTTGGGAAGCAGAGTTTTTAAGGATAACTTGGTGGGTGAGAGGAAGCCAGTGAGCCAGGAGTGCTGATTGGTCAGAGATGAATCATATGGAATTGGAGCTGTCTTCTTTTGCTCAGTCAGTTCCTAGGTGGAGGCCACAAGATCAGATGAGCCAGTTTATTGATCTGTGTGGGGCCAGCTGATCCATCAAGTGCAGGGTCTGCCAAATATCTCAAGCGCTGATCTTTGGAGCAGTTTAGGGAGGGTCAGAATCTTGTAGCCTTCGGCTGCATGACTCCTAAACCATAATTTCTAATCTTGTGGCTAATGTTAGTCCTACAAAGGCAATCCAGTCCCAGGTAAGAAGGAGGACTGCTTTGGGAAAGGGCTATTACCCTTACTAACTTCTCCCAAAGTTAGTTAAGCCTACACCTAGGAATGAACAAGGATAGCTTGGGGGTTAGAAGCAAGATGGAGTTGGTTAAGTTAGATTTCTTTCACTGTCTCAGTCATAATTTTGTAAAGGCGGTTTCATTAATATATTTCCACACTGGGTGCTGACTGCTGTGGAACGAGGTGCAGTCGGAATTCAGAGCAGGTGGAGGTGAGGTCATCAGGGAAGGCTTTCTGGAAGCAGACACTAGGGCTGAATTTTGGAAGGAAAATAAGTTGTTCAGTAGTCAAAGTATGCAAAGGGTGTTCCAGGCAAGGGCCCAGAGGAGGGAGGCAGTATGTCTAGCGTTGTGAGCTATTGGTTGTTCAATATTGCAGGTAGGTAATCATGACGTGCAAAATAGTAGGAGATGCAATTGTAGAGTCAAGCAGAGGTGAGGCCCTTTTTATGCTAAGCTTCAGGAACTTGAATTTTAGCACACAGATTGGTAGTAATCAGACTTAAATGATCACCCAAATTACCTGGGGAACTTCCAAAAAAACCAAAAGCAACAACAACAACAAAACAAACAAAGCAAAATAAATTCCTGAGCCCCACCTGTAGAGATTCTAATTCAGTAGGTCTGTGGTGAGCCTGGCCTGGTGATGTGTGCATCCCAGCTGAGCAGCAGGACTTGGGGGAAGGCTGACCAGTGAAAAGAGGCTAGGGAAGTCGAAGCAGCAAGGGTGATAAATACTCCAAAGGCAATTGGAGATTAGTCTACTGGATTGTAGGATAACTGGGTCTCTTCAACTCACTTTTAAAAGGAATTTTTAGGGTTTAGAGAGGGCAAAAAGATATTGGCTTTTGTGTAATCTTTATTCAATGATTGATGTTACAGAAAATTTGCTGCAAGCACTGGGGCAATAAGATGTTACCAATACCTTTCTGGGTTTGGTGGGAGCCCCACCCAGGTTTAAAGTTTATTTTGCACAAGATTCATCTCAAGTAGTAACAATAATGGCAATAAATAAAGCATAATCATATTTATTGTTATAGCAAGTACTTATTAACATTTGTTTCTCCTAAAATTTGATAATAATACATGTTTAATCTACTTTGCACATAAAATAAAACTAACAGGCACGAATTCCTCTGAGTGAAGACAAGATTGGTCAAGGTTGAACTACAGCAACTAATAGCGAATGTCTACTACAAATAAGTAAATTAGCGAAGGATCTTAAAGTAGAGCAAATCCTTGGGCCAAAAATAATGATTTGCAGAAAGCACTGGTTTTTGAAGCACAGACTTGAATTGCCTTGGGAAAGAGTCAGTCATAGATTTTTCCAGGTGTCTTGTCTGGAACCAGACAGTTGGTATATGAGCTTTTTTGCTCACTGTAAAAATATAAAACACAGTCTGGGAGACATAGTGAGTCATTGTCTTTACAAAAAAAAAAAAAAAAAAAAACAAAGAAAAAGAAAAGAAAATGAGTCGAGTGTGATGGCACATTCCTGTAGTCCCACCTACTTTGAAGGCTGAAGTGGGAGGATTGCTTGAGCTCAGAAGTCTGAGGCTGCAGTGATCTATGATCATGCCACTGAACCCTAGCCTGGGTGACAGAGTGAGACCCTACCATAAAAAATTTTAAAAAACATATCAAAGTAGTTCCCCCCAAGTTATGTTTTATTATGTTGTGGGCTTATTTATACAGTGTAAGTTGTCATGGACTCTCATATATTACACTTTTTTTTTTTTTTCTGAGACAGGGTCTTCCTCTGTCACCCAGGCTGGAGTGCAGTGGTGCAATCTCATCTCGCTACATCCTCTGCCTCCTGGGTTCAAGCGATTCTTGTGCCTCAGCCTCCCAAGTAGCTTGGAGTACAGGCATGTGCCACTGTGCCTGACCTCATTATTAAACTTTTTTTTTTTGAGATGGAATCTCCCTCTGTTACCCAGGCTGGAGTGCAGTGGCACAATCTCGGCTCACTGCAACCTCTGCCTCCCGGGTTCAAGCAATTCTTCTGCCTCAGCCTCCCCAGTAGCTGGGACTACAGGCATGTGCCACCACACCTGGCTAATTTTTGTATTTTCAGTAGAGATGGAGTTTCACCATATTGGCCAGGCTGGTCTCAAACTCCTGACCTCGTGATCTGCCTGCCTCGGCCTCCCAAAGTGTTGGGATTACAGGCATGAGCCACTGCGGCCAGCCTCATTATTAAACTTTTTATGTCATGATGTGGCAAACTATATTTTTCAAAGATGGCAGTACCCACATCTCCCACACACTTTTTACATGGTGACTTGAAGACTCCTCCCATTCAGAGTTGGGTCTATGTTCCTTTTATGGGTTAAACTATGTTTCTCCAAAAATTCTTATGTTGAAGTTCTAACCTACAGTACCTCAGAATGTGAACTTAATCAGAGATGCAGTCTTTACACAGCTAATCAAGTAAAATGAACTCATTAGGGTGGGCCCTCATGCAGTATGACTGGCGTCCTTTTAAAAAGGGGAAAAATGGACATAGACACACAGAGCGGGAAGATGATGTGAGGAGACAGGGAGAGAAGAGAGGAGAGCCAAGGAGAGAGGCCTGGAGCAGATCCTTCCTCTCAGCCCTCAGAAGGAACCAACCCTACCAACCCCTTTATTTTGGACTTCCAGCTTCCAGAACTGTGAGATAATACATTTCTCTTATTCAGGCCACCAGTCTACAGTACTTTGTTATGGCAGCCCTAGCAAACTAATACACTTCCCTCCTCTCAAATCTGGGTAGCTTATAATTACTGTGGAAGTGACATTATGTGACTTCCTAGGCTAGGTCATAAAAGGGAATACACCTTCCACTGATTGTCTTGGAAGACTGGTCTGTGAGGAAGCCCAGGCCACCGGAAAAGTTCACATGTTGGTGTTCTAGCTGACAATCCCAGCTGATAGCTAGCATTGACTGGTAGAGATATAAATTAAACAGCTTTCACCCTTTGATTCTCTTTGTTAATTCCCGACTCACAAAAGGTGTTAGCATAATGAAATGACAGTTTTAAGCCACTACATTTGGGGATAATTACATAATAGTTTGTAACATGTCTTTAAGATGATTTTTATTTAAGATTACTCATGCCTTTGCTCAAATTGTTCCTCCTGCTTGGAATCCTTTCCCCCCAGATATCCAGCAGTAGCACTATTCTAGTCTTTGCTCACTGTGTAAAATTTCCACCCACCTGTCCTTTCCATGCTGCCCCGCCACTACCACCTCCAGCCCCCTTCGCTGTTCTATATTTTTCCACATGGTAAATATTACCTTTTAACATATGATATCATTAATTAATTAAGGTATTCAGTTTACTTATTTCTTATGGTCTTTCTCCTGCTAAATATGTAAAGCTTTTTAGGGCGAAGACCTTTGTCCATTTGTTTACTGATGTATCCCAAGTTCCTAGAACAGTACTTGCCGCATAGTAGACACTCAATAAAATAAATATTTGTTAAGTAAATGAATAAGAAGAATTTTAAATCTGGGAAATTAGAAAGTCACTGTTAACTCTACAACTTTTTGGATTTTTTTTTTTTTTTAAGAGACAGGGGTTTCACTATGTTGCCCAGGCTGGTCTTGAACTCCTGAGCTCAAGCTCAAGCGATCCTCGTGCCTCAGCCTCCCAAAGTGCTGGGATTACAGATGTGAGCTACTGCTCCCTGTCTGTATCACATTATTTCAGTGAATGCCATTTCCCAAACTGGTATCCCATAGTAAAATAAATTTGGAAAATATTACAACAAATGTATAGTCCTCTGAAAGAGTCACAATGTACAAAACAAACCTAAAAATTTCAAAGTGCTGCAATAAAGTCAACTGCTTTCTTGATGTACCTCATCTTTTCCAAAATTTCCATGGCCAGGTTGTTCCACAGCACACTGATTACCACAGCAGTGGCATATGGAGTAGGAATGACACTATGAGGGCCTATGGAATATGGAGAGAGGATATGAAAGCAATGGGGAAAAACAGATATTGGCGGGGTTGTGGAGAAAAGGGAACACTTAGACACTGTGGGTGGAAATGTAAATTAGTTCAGTCCCTGTGGAAAACAGTTAGGAGATTTCTCAAAGAACTAAAAATAGAATTACCATTCAGCCCAGCAATCTCATTACTGGGTATATATCCAAAGGAAAAGAAATTATCCCATCAGAAGGACACCTGCACTTCTACATTTATCACAGCACTATTCACCATAGCAGACATGGAATCAACCTAGGTGCCCATCAATGGTGGACTGGATAAAGAAAATGTGGTGCATATACACCATGGAATACTACACAGCCATGAACAAGAATGAAATCATGTCCTTTGCAGCAATATGGATGCAGCTGGAGGCCATTATCTTAAATGAATTAATGCAGAAACAGAAAACCAAATACCACATGTTCTGACTTATAAATGGGAGCTCAACATGGGGTACACATAGACACAAAGATGGGAACAATAGACACACTGGGGACTCCAAAATTAGGGAAGAGGGCAAGGGTTGAAAAACCGCATATTAGGTACTATTTTCACTATTTGGGTGATGGGTTCAATAGAAGCACAAACCTCAGTATCATGCAATATACTCATGTAACGACCCTGCACATGTACCTCCTGGATCTAAAATAAATAAAATGAAAGAGGAGCTTTCAAACTTTTTTATTGTAACCCACACTAAGAAATTATTTTACTCATTTTTAATTATTATTTTTTGTACAGATGGGGTCTTCTTATGTTGCCCAAGCTGGTCTCGAACTTCTGGGCTCAAGGAAACCAAGAGATCATTTTACATAGAAACTCAGTATACATACACACGCACAAAAGTATAAAAATAAAAATAACTGAAATAAAGTTTTCACAAACTATTCTTAGCATTATTATGTGCTGTGCAGTGATGTTTTCTATCCTAACCCATCCCATTCTGTTCTGTTCTATTCTCTTTCAGTTGTGGTCAAAATGCACTAAATTGATTTCATGAGCCAGAATTTTGTCTTTTCCTGCTGCTTTTGGAAGAGCTCCTCAAACTCTTCAAACCCAGTCCATTCTTCAGTTGTATCTATTCTGCTTCATATTTGTTTTTTAAAAATTAAATTGTTGTGGCTCCAGATGAGGGTTTTTTTTTAACAAAAAGAAATTTAAAAAATTGTCGTGGGTACATAGTAGGTGTATATATTTATGGGGTACCTGAGATGTTTTGATATATGCAGGCAATGCATAATAATCCCATTATGGGGAATAAGGTATCCATCCCTTCAAGCTTTTATCTTTTGTGTTACTAACAATTCAACTATGCTCTTCTAGTTATTTTAAAAATGTACAATTAATTATTATTGACAACAGTCACACTGTTGTGCTACATTCTGCTATGTATTCCATCTATTTGCCCTTTATTTTATTACTTTCTTCATACTTAATGTTTCCACTAGGTTTAAAACAATTATTTCTTTCTTTTGCTTAATGTTACTAATAAGTCCCCTCCCTCTTTGATATATGTATTATGCTTGCTTTAAATTCTTGATGTCTATTCCTATAATCATGCTTCAAATGATATGAACTGTTCCATCTGTAGTCTTTCTTTTACACTAATTGTGCTCCTCAGCTGTCTCAACTCAGCACTTTGGAAATTGCTCAGGCTGAAAAATTTGGAAAACATAGAAAAATATAATATAAATAACAAAATGAAAACCACCCATAATTTCACCCAGAGTTAACCAATTGACATTTTATTGTATTTTCTTCCAGTCTTTTGCATGTTTAGTACATTGAATTATTGAGAAAATACTGTATGTAATTTTCTATCTGAACCTTTCTCTTAACTTTAAGATTTTCTCAAGTTATTAAAACTGTTCACGGACCTCGCTTTAGTGATTGCAAAATATTCCATCATGAGAATAATATATTTAATCCCGAGCATTTAGAATGTTTCTATTTTTTTTTTTTTGCTTCTTAAAAAAAAACTGCCGCAAACATTTTGAACATAAATATTTGCTCATATTTCTGGTTATTTCCATAAAATAGAATCTTAGAATGAAAGGATTCAAGGGAACGGACACTAAGATACAAGCTCTGTTTTGCCAAATTGTTTGCTGAAAGGTTTGTACAATTTTATAGTTCCACAGGCAGTGTGTAATTGAATTCCTACCATCATGTTCATCATCCTCATGTAGTTTGCTAATCTGATAGAGTTTTCTCTTTCCTATTTTGCATGTCTCTGAAGAGTAGGGAATCATTCATTATTTGTATTTACTTTTATGTAAATTTTGGGTTCAGGCCCTTCCCAGTTTTTTCTGCTCTGGAAGGCTAGCCGACCAAAGCTTTCTAGCAAAGGTGCTCACACGTGCCTCTAGTGGAAGGTTTTGAGAATGCCTTCTTGCAAAGGGGTGTATGTACCTGACTGCAACCTATGACTTGCAGCCTGGTGTCAGATGGTGGTATCAGGTGAAGTGCCACACTGAGTGTAGACAATGAGGTTTCAGTGTGTTTGCATATGCGTAACAGACAGGTGATAGTTCAGTCTCAGTTTAAGCCTGGAAATCAGGCAATAGTGTGTGTGTGCGGGTGTGAGACAGAAAAGGTTGGTCACCAAATACCTTTTAAATACACACACAAAATTACAACTTATGACAAGACTTTCTCATGACCTCATAAACATACTTTTCATTTTCAGTGTGACTTGTAGACAGCTGCATCCCTAGAGTTACTTTAGAGAGCCCTGTCGTTCCCAAGCAGAGAGATTTGTCTGCACAGCCAGCCTCTGGGTGAAGTACAAATGCAAAATAAATAAATGCCTTCTTCTAGAACAGCAATATTATTTTTCAATTCTTCTTATAACTAAAAATACTAAGTCTATTTCCAGGAAATTATTAGACAATGTGAACAAATACCAGAAGTTTATAGAGCTGCAAAGATGTACTCAGGAGAGTCTGGTGTTGAAGTTAGCCCCCAACAAGAGGAGTCCTCTCTGGAATGGAAATATGTGTATTTTTCAGTTAAATTCATGATAAAAAATACTTTTTGAGCTTTGGGGTACAAAATCTAAACATGTGCCACTACAAACCACTTAGATGCGGAGCTAAGTAAGTCTGTGTGTGGGTGTGTGTTAGGATGGGAGGACCAGTCCAGGTTAACAATGTAAGGAAAATTTCTGAGTCCATGTAAATAATTTTGGTGTTATGAAACACAGATTTGGACTTTTGCTGACATTCTGAATTCTTGAGGATTTCTGAGCCCTGCTCAGGCCATGAAATGCTTGTTTAAGGAATTGTCGTGCAAGCACAAGCTGCCTAGTGGGACCTAGAGGCCACTAAAATATCTTCTTCACAAAGGAATCTCATCTCCCAACCACACCCTCTATAAAAGACCCACCACTGGAACCTTGATTAAGGTGGTATCAAGAGGATGCCCAGGTTAAAATGTACCCATTCTTGGGAAAGGCACCAAACACCGTCAGCCAGTAACAGCTTACCTCAGACTTATTGTCAGACCAAATAAGAGCTGGCCTGAAGAAGCAGGGTGGGGGAGGAAAGAGGCTGGCCCATGGAGTCCTGCCTTGGGAGAGGCTGCTGACCTGGAACAGGAGGACAGAAGGCTCTGCTCTGTCATGGCTGCCTCCATGAGGCTTAGTAGCAACACCCAGAATCTGTCTCCTCAGCCATCACATGGAGATACCCACTTCACCCGTTGTTGAAATTAGCTTGGCGCATGGGAACCAGCATGAGTGGCAGGTAATGTTACACCACAGGAGAATGCTGAAGTGGAGTGCCCTAGACAGCCAGAGAAAAATTTTAGATCATCTTGGGGCTCCCAAGGATCAGGACAGATAAGGAGGGGGACTAAGGGTGTAAAAGCATGGGGTGGGAGTAGGGATGATCACAAATTTGTCCAGAAATAATTCTGGAGGAGTCCCGACTTATGCCTTTTTACTGAAGGTGATGTGCAGAGTCTGAACCTGAAAGTCTCAAAATTGTGAACAAGTTGAGGTTTCAAATCCAGAAGGGCGAATCCCCCTTATGTTGTTCTGTCAGCAGAAACCGTCCCCCCTCACTTCCCCAATGTGTATGCTCTGTTAAGACAATGGGCTTCCTTTGAGGGCTTCTGGGGTGAAAAAGATAGAGGAAAATGAATATATCAAACATTTTATCAGTGTCTACTGCATGCAGAATAGACAAAGAACTAAGTGAGTGGAGGTTCAAAAACTAACAGAAAAAGAGAAGCAACCCAAATGTCCACCAATGGATGGATGGATAAACAAAATGTGGCATATACATTCAATGGAACATTATTCAGCCGTAAAAAAGAAGATATTCTGATACATGCTTCCACAAGGACGACCCTTAAAGACATTATGCTAAGAGAAATAAGTCAGACACAATGGACAAATGTGATTATGATTCCACTCAGATGATGTACCTAGAGTAGATACATTCATAGAGACAGAAAGTAGAATAGTAGTTGCCAGGGGCTGGCGAAAGGTTGGGGGGAGTAGAAAGATGGTTGGGGAAATGGGGAGTTACTTTTTAACGCGTACAAAATTTCAGTTTCGGATGATGGAAAAGTTCTGGAAATGGATAGTGGTAATAGTTGCACAACAATGTTAATGTACTTAATGCCTCTAAACTATACACTTAAGATGATTAAAATGGTAAATTACGTATATTTTACAACCCTACTCGCCCCTTCCCCTACTACCCTAGTAAACAATAAACAACTCAGAGCCCAGGTTTTGGCCCCCACACTCTTGATTTTAACAGGAATGGAAATGCCTGTAGCCCCAAGGAAGGACAGCGAAGGCTAAATGGGCCCTGGGGCAGCGACTCCCGGCATCCCTCCCTTTCGCGGGGGCGTCAGGAGGACCTCATCATCGGGCAGAATAACTACCTACCTGGCTACCCACGGGACGGAGCACCCTCAGGCCAGGCACTCGCGTTTTCTTCTGTCTCTTTTCAGGGCTCACAGTGACAGGTACAAACACTATCGCAATACAGCCTTCTAGAATGACTCTTCAAAGGAGGGTCGAGGCGCCAGGGGAACCGCTGGGGTTGAAAACACGTTCATGTTCACGTTCATGGGTAAAATCCTGGGATGCACAAGGAATAGCCTAGGTTCCTTCCCCGTAAGTCTGAGCCCCCAGGTCTCTTCCAGCCTTCATCCCCCTAAGGAGGTCCCTGGGCTTGGGGCGCTCATGGTCAGGGGCAAAGGACAAAGGGCGGAGGCAGGGAGCCTCCCGACGGTGGCGCAGCCTCTCCGGCTCTCACCTAGCGTAATCCACGTGACCCCCGCGCAGGGGCTCCTGGAGGGCCCAAACCGCTCGTGGGGGGAAAAAGCCTCAGCCTGCAGTCCAAGGACCTGCCTCCACTACCGCCCAGTCCCGGGCCCCCGCAGCCGGTGGGAGGGACGCCCGGGAGCCGGCTGCCCACACTCGAGAAACACAGGCTGCTGGGCGAGTTCCCCGCGCGGGCCGAGCTCCCAGGGAGTTGCCGGCCCGGGCGCGAGGGCCCGCAGGTCGTCGCACCGCCGCCAGGGGGCAACTCTGCCCTACGCAGGCACCACCGGGACCCGCCGCCCGCCACTTTCCGCGTCCACGCGAGCGGGTTGCGCCGGACGGGGGTCTTCGCGTCGCTTCCCCGGCTCGCCTCTGGGAAAGGTTTTGGTCCCTTGTACCAGCTTGGGGGCGGGGAGCCGGGGGAGAGTTACCAGCTGGGGCCGAAAGCTGGGAGCGCTGTAGAGAAGGAGGCCCGGGGTAGGGGACGATGGGGGAGACAAGGGGGTCGCGCAAGACGTGAATCGCTTGAGTTTCCGCGCTCGGGGAATTTCGCGACTGCGGAGCTAAAGGTTGCATACAAACATGTAGCTTAACTAAGCAAACAAAACAAGTGGTCACATCCACATGTGGGGCTTCAGTAAAGCTCGCCTAAATCTTAGTGACACTTCTCCGTCTCTGCAGCGGTCCCTCTGGGCTGATCTTCCACTCTGACCTTCAGTAAGTCCTAAAACTTTCCCCGGAGTGGCCAGGAGATAATTCGCCACATTCTGCAAACGTTTCCAGGGAAGAGCCTCTTAACCCTTTGGGGGAAGAACTTGCGGACAAAGTTACAAACGAACGCAGTCTATCTCCCGCGCCATGAACGGAATGATGGCTGTAACCGGTCATCTAAAGTCATTAATGGTCTGCGAACAAATTCTTCCTCTCTGTTTCATCTTTGAATAACTTCGCCACACACCAACCCTCAGTGCTGCGAAAGTCATGGTGTTTATTTAGATATCGACTGAGTACTTATAAAACTTAAACTTTCCAATGTAAAAGTGAACTCCTTGGTAAGGACTCCTGGCTGCATCAACAAAGCAATGTGATGCCTGATTAATAGTGCTGATTAATGTTGGCTCAGGTTAATGCTCAGCCTATTACAGTAATTAAATTGTTCACCCATATATCAAACAAGAGTTAATGAAAAATAATTTATTTAGAACGTCGAGGCTTTCTCATAGATTGTTCAAAGACCTATGATAGCCTTTATGGGTCACTTGTAAGAGTAACTGGTGGTAGCAGTCCTCAGCAACAAAAACTCGATTTTAATAGAGGTCTTTAGATGGGGAAACAGTTTATTTCTGAGGCTCTGTGATTGACAGCGGTAGTAATGACACGTTTCAGAATGTGAAAAGTACTTGGTCGATAAAATGATATACACAAGGGCAGCTGATGGCTGTTCCTACAGAACGCCATTGAATTTTGATTCTTAGTTCTTGTCAAGGGGTCATTTTAATCAGAAAGTTAAACTTTTGGGACAAGCTCCCCTCTTTGAAATAGAAGCATTTTAGGAAATGCACAAATAAGTGAATGTGAATTCAACAAACTATTAGGATTTTTCCACTAGCCAAAATAGCTCGTTTGAGTTGGTGATAAAGATAGGTATATTTAAAAGAGCATCATATCTTAATTATTTCCACTATCTTGTCACCCGAAAAGAAAACTGAATTGAGCGGAACTTTAATCTCATAAAAAAAATTTTCATCTCACCAGAAAGGATTAACAATATTTAAGGATTTTCCAAAAACACATTTTTAAAAAGTTTATCTTAAAGTCATCTATCATTATAGTTTCTATTAATAAGCCTCAGTAGAAATATGTATATGTTATGTAATTTAAGTATTTTGAGATTACTATGCAAAGTGCTGACTAGAATGTTCCTCCTACTGAGAACTATATAGCCCCATTATGAACGAACTTCTGTTTTTTTTTTTTTTTTTTGAGGCGGAGTTTCGCTCTTGTTGCCCAGGCTGGAGTGCAGTGGCACGATCTCGGCTCACTGCAACCTCCGCATCCCGGGTCCAAGCGATTCTCCTGCCTCGGCCTCCCGAGTAGCTGGGATTACAGGCGCCGCCTACTAATTTTTTTCTATTTTTAGTAGAGACGGGGTTTCACCATGTTGGCCAGGCTGGTCGAACTTTTTAGTAGTTTCTAGGTGCAATTTTTGTGCGTGTATTTGGGTTTTCACTAAAAATTTCAATTTCTTCTCCGAATTCAATTATTACGTTCTTTATTCCCATGACATTTGTCAGATCGTCTCATTAGAGTGGCTTAGTTTAACTGTCAAGTCTCTAGGGCATTCAATCGCAGAGAAGTGAGTAAAACGCCAGTCTCACAGCGTTTTTATTAACAGATGGCGGAAAACAAACGTCTTTGGAGTAAAACCGAAGAGAATGGGTTAAAGGGTCAATAAACAATTATTATCGTGCTTAAATTGGGGGGCTTCGCATCAGATCCAATGGGGGGCCGCTCGCCCGATCTGGAGGGGCTGGACACCCCCAACCGACCCCAGAGCGTCCCCCAGGGGCCACCTCAGAGGATGGGGTGGTTATCCCCCGGCTGGAAGGCTCCTACAGGCTGTCGAGGGGTCAAACCAGAGTGTCGCGGGTGTGCTTCTGAGGTTAGGGTGGAGGACTAATTGAGGAGGCTGGGAAGTCTAACTCGTGCAGCGGCCCTCGGTGCAGACAGCCGCGTAATTCGGGCATCAGCCTCTTTGGCAAGAAATAGTGAGGTCCCCTCTCCTCCCCACTCTTCTCAGCTGCTGCCTCCCTCCTACGGGTGAATTTTCTCTCCCGAGAAGGGCTGATTTCCTAGGCTTGCTTTCCTTCCCTCGGCAGCGCTCTGACGTGCACACCATGTGACAGGCCCCCTTCTGCTATAAGCCGAGGAAGGTCCGCCCTCTCCTGGACTCAGCCCTGGCCTCGCCGAGCTCTGTTCTTAGACTCTCACCCGTCCCGCACGTTCCTGGGCGCCTGGCGTTCTGATTCGCCCGCCCGGGCCCCGCCACCCCCTCCTCAGCTGACGGGGCAAAAGCTGCTCCGAGAGGAGAAGGTCAAGTCCTCCGCCCGGGCCGGGCGCGAGCGGAGCCCAGGGAGCGCAGCATCCGCGCGGCTACCGCGGCGGCGCAGGAGTTATAAAGTCGGCGCGCGAGACTCCGCCGCCACCCGGCAGCCCCGGCGCAGCTCCGGCAGCCGCAGTCGCAGCGCCCCCAGCGTGGCGCCCCCCGGCCGGGCCTGCCGCCCGGGACCCGGGCTGGGGCGCAGAGGGAGCCCGGAGCCCGGCGCCCCCATGCGCCGCCCCGCCGCCGCCGCGCCACAGCTATGACCCTGAGCACTGAGATGTCCGATGCCTCTGGCCTCGCCGAGGAAACAGACATCGACGTGGTGGGGGAGGGCGAGGACGAAGAAGACGAGGAAGAGGAGGACGACGACGAGGGCGGCGGTGGCGGGCCCCGGCTGGCTGTCCCCGCGCAGCGGCGGCGGCGGCGGCGCTCGTACGCCGGGGAGGACGAGCTGGAGGATCTGGAGGAGGAGGAGGACGACGATGACATCCTGCTGGCCCCGCCTGCTGGGGGCTCCCCGGCGCCCCCGGGCCCGGCCCCGGCGGCGGGGGCAGGAGCCGGTGGGGGCGGCGGCGGCGGCGGCGCGGGCGGCGGCGGGAGCGCGGGTAGCGGCGCCAAGAACCCGCTGGTGAAGCCGCCCTACTCGTATATCGCGCTCATCACTATGGCCATCCTGCAGAGCCCCAAGAAGCGGCTGACGCTGAGCGAGATCTGTGAGTTCATCAGCGGCCGCTTCCCCTACTACCGGGAGAAGTTCCCCGCCTGGCAGAACAGCATCCGCCACAACCTCTCGCTCAACGACTGCTTCGTCAAGATCCCCCGCGAGCCCGGCAACCCGGGCAAGGGCAACTACTGGACGCTGGACCCGGAGTCCGCCGACATGTTCGACAACGGCAGCTTCCTGCGCCGGAGGAAGCGCTTCAAGCGGCAGCCGCTGCTCCCACCCAACGCCGCGGCCGCCGAGTCTCTGCTGCTGCGCGGCGCGGGAGCCGCAGGGGGCGCGGGCGACCCGGCAGCCGCCGCCGCGCTCTTCCCGCCCGCGCCCCCGCCGCCCCCGCATGCCTACGGCTACGGCCCCTACGGCTGCGGCTACGGCCTGCAGCTGCCGCCTTACGCGCCGCCCTCGGCCCTCTTCGCCGCCGCAGCGGCCGCCGCCGCCGCCGCCGCCTTCCACCCGCACTCGCCCCCGCCGCCCCCGCCACCGCACGGCGCGGCCGCCGAGCTGGCCCGGACCGCCTTCGGCTACCGGCCGCACCCGCTCGGCGCCGCCCTACCCGGCCCCCTGCCGGCCTCCGCGGCCAAGGCGGGCGGCCCGGGCGCCTCAGCGCTGGCGCGCTCGCCCTTCTCCATCGAGAGCATCATCGGGGGCAGCTTGGGCCCGGCCGCCGCTGCCGCCGCCGCCGCGCAGGCCGCCGCCGCCGCTCAGGCCTCGCCCTCGCCCTCGCCGGTGGCGGCGCCGCCAGCTCCCGGATCCAGCGGAGGAGGCTGCGCGGCGCAGGCGGCCGTGGGCCCGGCGGCCGCGCTCACCCGATCCCTCGTGGCCGCCGCGGCCGCCGCCGCCTCCTCAGTCTCCTCGTCCGCCGCCTTGGGGACTCTGCACCAAGGGACTGCCCTGTCCAGTGTCGAGAACTTTACTGCTAGGATTTCCAATTGTTAATAACGCTATGTTAGCGCGCTCGAGGAAGAAGGTAGGAATCCCGGCTCCTTTTCTCGTCTTGGTGGTTCGGTGTTTTGTTCGCTCCTCCAGGCGCGGCCCCTCTCGACCTCGCGCGCCCATTTTCGCCGCTGCGAATTCTCGGACAAAACTGTCAACAGCCCGGGCGCGCCTTTTGGCTCTGCGGGTCCCTCTATTTATGCAAAGCCGACCTATGCTACAGCCCCCCAACCCCCGACCTGGGGTAGGGAGGAAGAGGGTGCCGGGGAAGGGAGTCCGCCCTGTCCAGGCACTAGAGGCTCCCTTGACGTTTGGCAGATGAAAAACAACTAAGCCTTTTTGAGGTGTAGAGATTCTCAGGTCCAGGCGTTAAAAAATAATGGTCAAAAGAATAATACAAAAATAGTAAAGGTCTTGAAGAATGCCAGCGAAGCAATTCTTTTTTATTTGAGGACACTTGTCTGGTGTACTTTTTCATGAAAAGGAAAAATGGTTAACATGTTTACACAAGAAAAAAAGTCAAAATTATCATTTATTTCAACCTGTGTTTTGTATCATAACAGACGTGTGGATTTTTTTGTACTTACTGCGTATTCTTTACAAGGAGTATTGTAAATTTTACTGGCAATTATTATTGTACTATTCTAAATGTAAGATTTTTACACTTTTTCAGAAATAAAAATGCTTAATTTTCAAAGAAAATTCACCAAAATGATTGGCTTCAGTTGTCCCCTTCTTAGTTTTTCTTTTCTACTTAAAAAAACTTTCTATGTGGGGTAAGCAGGAACTCAATATAGAACAGACTTAAATACTTTCAGAGAGAATTTAACAACAGCATCATGCCATGATTTTTCACTTGAACTTCCTAAGTGAAAACCATGGTAGGAGATCAGAAATTATTTTTAAATGACTACAAATAAAATAAGTTACTTTGGTATACATTTTCAGATCTGACTCTATGCCATTTTAAAGCGCATTGAAGTATGTTAAAATTAAAGCCACAGGTACCCAAAGATAATTTTATAGGAACTTTGCATTTCATTTTTGAGCTTCCTTCCTCATTTAATTTCCACTCAGTTCACGACAATATTATATCTGCAGAAACTGTCAACATAATATGTTGTAATGGAAGTGAAACAAAGAGGCAGTCTAGTTTTAAAATTCTAATAGGAAAAATTAGTAGAGATCATAATCAGTTAAGGAGCTTCAAAGCCGTAAATAAGGACATATTTGCATATATGAAATAAATCATATTTAAAAGTACCAGTATTTACAGCTACTATGTTGCAGATGGAAGGAATGCGAGTAATTGTATAAAGAGGTTTTTCTCTTAAAAGGCCAATTTATTGAAATTCTAGCTTAAGTGAATAATTTAGGGTATTTAAGATAAACCTTCAACTTTGGGATGCTTTAAAGAATAAAAAATGAAAATGTATCAGGTGTTCATTGAACTAATTTATTGAATTTAGGTGATTTAGGTTTATCTTTTTCAATTTTTAATGTCTTTTAATTATTACATGAAATTTCTAGTTCTTTGAAAAAAAGTGAGGCACTAGTTTTGATTACTACAATGTTGTGCGCTCCAAATAAAACCTAGGCATATGTAACACATAATTTAAATGTCTAACATTAGTGTTTGCAGCAGAGATTAAATATTCAATTTCTTTAAAATGTCTGGACAGGTATATATCTGAAGATTCGCAGATTTAACTTACCAAGTTAATGAAATCTGCATTATAGGGTCAATATGTTGCAATGATACTCATTCATGACGCCCTGTCTCTTTTTAGGGAGAAAACGGACTCTCACGGGCTCAAATGAAGTTCTTCCCCGTCCCCGCAACCCTTGTTAAATGTTTGGAGGAGGTTAAACCCTCTCACTCTCAAACTTACCACTAAATCTATAGATACAAATTGAAATACTGTTAGACCAAAGTCTTATATACAAAAGTTACTTTTACTCTAGCCCGGCTAAGAGAGAGGAGTCATTGAACCCGAGAACGTCCGGACTCCACGCGCCGCCCCGGGTGGAGAGGGGTTGGCAGGCGGAATCCAAACGGCACAGACACTGCTGGCGCGCCTGGTAGCCTTCTGTAACGCACGCATCTGAAATTTAGATCTGAAAATAATTACGAAGAGAGCCAAGAACAAAACCGTGTGTATTTTTAATTTTTGCGCGATGCGTGGATGTCCTGAAATCGGGGAATTCTGGTTAATCTTGTCTCTCGTTCATATTCCCACGTCTTCAAAAGTGCCAGGACCGGTCCCACCTCCAGGGGTGTCAGTGCATTTAAGAGAATGGCAAGAAGGCATAGGGCGATCCAGGCCTCGCTCCGGGGCCCGGGGTTGGGATCCCGCTTCACGCGCCCCCACTGGAGACCGCAAGCCTGTTTTTAAACAGGTGGAGAGCAGCGTGAGCCCAGAGCTAAAGGAACGTGTAAACCCAAGCCGCCTCGATTCCGAGTTTTGCGTCCTGCCGCTCACCTCCCCACCCTCTGCGTTTGGGGTTCCGTTCTTGGCCTTGCAGACCCTGCGGGCCTGCTCCCGAGAGGATGAGACTGGGGGAAGCAGGGCCGCGGGGCGGGTGAGGTATGAGCTGCGAGAGGTGTGGGCCGCGGGGCAGGCGAGGGACGAGTGAGCCGTGGACCCTGGATGGGCGAGCCAGGAGCGCGGGGCGCGCCCCGTCAGGCCGTGCAGGCGAGCAGGTGCTGGAACAAAGGCTGCGGGGCCGCCAGGCTACCGCGGCCTTTGATGGGCAAGGACGTCTCCTCCTGGGGCTCCTCATTCGCATGCAAATCCAGCGCTGGTCCCCTTTTCTTTGTAGGCAAACAGAAGGATGTTTGTGTGTTTGTAGGAACGAAGCCTGCTTGAACAAGCCTTCCTCAATAGGCTGGGTCTCGAAAAATAAACCAGTTGAACAAACATTGGCCACCAGCTCTCCTCCTCCCAACTACAAAGTGTGGATTTGCTACAACTCATTAACCCGACGCTTTTCTCCCCTTCTCCTTGTTTCTCTGCTCATCAAACGCCCCCGTAGAGCCTCGAGACAAATGACCGAAGCTCAGTCGGGAGGGAATTGCAGTTAATAGGGAGAGGGATATATTGGGGCTGATGGTTCAGGCAGCTCCCGGAGAAGGACCACACAAAAAGGAGCCTCTCCATTCAGGGCTCTGTTGTGCGCGGAGATTTAATCTGCAGCTAGGTTTAGCCAAATGTTATCTATTGCGGGGGTAATGAAGCCCTTATGGGTTGAATTGCTCCTTGTACCACACATGGTGTCATGACCTTAGATCGTTCCTTGGTTGATTTCTCTTTTCTTTATTGGGTAATTATTTTATTTCTTTAAAATAAGAAGCTAGTGCATCTTCTCAACAACGTGTTTCCTGTCCATCCTATTCCATGCATTTATTTAAGGGCCACTTCCCTTCCCCTTAAAAAAAGAAAAAAAGGAACTGGGGAGATGAAGGAAAAAAATTGTGAAGACGCTTCTTACTTTTCACTCCCTGAAGCATCTGTATGTTTACACATCTCAACTTGTCTGGCCCCTACTTGGCAGCTCTTTCTTGGCCAAACTTTCTGTTGATGGAACTGGAATTCTGGATATATTTATTATCAAAATTCTTGCAGTGAATGTAGTAAGCATTCATCTCAGGAAAAGGCTTTTCTGCCCTTCACAGTTTTTTCTTTTTTATAAACCTACCATTTCTTCCTGTAGCCTGTCCACTGAGAGAGTTGGGGGAGGTGGTTATTCTGATGGAAGGTGATTATTTTGATGGAATACCAGCCTGTGTCATTTATTAAAGGCCGTCTGAGGCCAGTGGTTGAGGCTGTGCCTGTTGTGTTTTTCTCTCTCTAGCCCCAGTGGCTCTGATTTCCTTGTTTGATTGAGGACCAAGCTTGGAGTGGCTAACGGTGTTATTACAACTGCTATTGATGGATAGGGATCTGATCTTACTACCCAAAGCCAGGAATCAAGGATTCTAGTTATAATTTTAAAATTCACTGCTGGCTACACATTCTGCTCACACCTATTTTTATTACTGACTGAGAAGAGACATTTTGGGGGCAATTTAAAGGTCATATCAGCATCAAACCCAATCCAAATCAGAAATCTGCCCAGGAACTGCCCTAGTCTCTCAGGGCTCTTCCAGGGGGGAAACCATGCATCTAATTGGAATGCCAGGGTTCCATCATCCCCTTTAGAACTAAACCAGATGAGGACAGGCCTGGAGAGCAGAGGACAAGTGAAGTGGGCCTAGCATTGTCTGCGTTCATTCTCATCTCTGTCGGTTTCCTGGTGGTGCAGCTGGGTCACACATATACATACACAGGCATGCATGCTCGTTGCCCATCAGCTGCCACTTGCCTCCTCTATGATTTTGTAATTAGACATATGCTTTTTGTTGGTAAATGTGTTTGATGTCATGGCCAGTGAAACGTGGTGTGTTTATAGGGCAACGAATGTAAATGTGTAAATATGTTTAGTGTAAAATCTGGCCCTTCGACTTTAGCAATAAATACCCTGCCAACTTGGATACAATTACATTTGACAGAAAGATGGAGAATCTGATCATGACCAGCTGCTCAGGGCTCTTTAGGGCTTATACTTTCCCAACTGAGTTCACTTTTCAGATAATTTCTTTGCATGTCGCATCTCTCTAATCACATCTTTCCCTTGATGTGAACAGCTTAGGCTTCTTTCTTGTTAGTGTTGACCCCTCTGGCATGTAGGAAACTTCCTGGTTCATTCCTCCAGCTTCTTTCCTCTAGTAAAATACTAGTCAGTAAGATGCAAAGCACACACAGAGAAAACAACTGATGATTCTCATAGATCTCCTTTGATTCCCAAGCCTCCATACATGGTGGCTAGGAGGAGAAACGAAGATAACAGTGATGAGCTTCTGATGACTTACATTTAGAGTTTTTCTTGTCGCTATTATCATGAGCGTACCACCTTGAAAAAACTATTTTGTGCTACTCTGTCTTTTAAAAGTAAAAGTTTTAGGGAAGCATATGTTTGGAAAAGTGCACAAATCCTAACAATTTCTCGCAGTGGCCACATATGTATTACATAACTAGCATCAGAGCAAGAAGCAGATGTTATCAGTGTCCCAGAACCCCTTTCCTGTCTATTCAGTCACTATCATCACCACAGATTGACTTTGTAAAAGGACTCTCACTAATAATTCTCTCAACTGCACTGTGAAATAGTGAGGACAAGAATTATTATTGACCTTATTTTACAAATAGAGATATCAAGGCTCAAAAGAGATTAAATGACTTGCCCAAGGTCACAGCTACTGGGACTTCAGCATTTAAAACCCATCTTATTTTTGTTACATCACACTGCTACTTTGTTGCCATCATTGTGATTTATTAAATGACAACTGTGGTAGGGAAGTTTCCTTAGAGGTCACTGTGCAGAAGAGTCATGTATTTCTTACACATTTCTTTTTTTTTTTTTTTTGGCATTGTTGCCACACCCTCCTCCCTACCACTTCCACCCAGGTCTTCTGAGAGATACTCTAGCAACTCATCTCAGATTCATTTGGAATTGATAGCTAATTATTTTAAGAGGCATTAGCTTCCTCCACGTAGCTCTACATGATACACATGATACTTTCCTGGCATCCCTCCCGCCCCCCCATTTTTTGGCATCAACAGTATTTATCACACACACACACTCACATACACACACACACGCAGCTTATTTTGTACCATTTACCCATGTCCTCAGCTTCTTTTGCTGGTTTTTAATGGTCAAGATCCTCTAGTTTAGAACTTTTTGCTAAACTGCTAAGCGGGTCTTACAACCATCCTTAGGGACACCTCCTCTCTGTGTGGAAAAGGTAAGAATACATAAGGAGTCAGATCAACTGGTTTAACACTTAATGAGAAAATGAAAAATTTTTCTGAGGATATGCCCCTTCTCCCAGCATACTGTTGAAGATATTTTGTTTTCTTTGAACAGCTGTATATGATGTGGCTTGGGCCAGTCCTCCGCCCCTATACAATTAATCCACCTGCCTTGCCAGAGGTCTCCTAAAATGCTTGTGGGGGAATTCTAGACTACCTGCAAGCTTACCATTGCCCATTGCCACCCAGAAGCCTTGTTGTAGCCTAGCCTCCTCAAGCATGGGCTGGGGCCACTGTTTTGTTCAGTTTGAAGACATCCATACCAGAGTCAGTGCAGGGATTGTGCCTGTAAGCTGCAGAGAGCAAAGGAGAGTGTGTATGGCAATCTTTCCAAGGGACAGTGCTTAATGCAAGAGAACATTGATTTCCTGGAGAAAATATGTTGTTTTAAAAACCAGAAACTTTTTTCTTTTTAATTCTAGAGTTTAAAAAAACAACAAAAACCTAGGCCCCACCAGTCCACTGAGCACCAGGAGAGGAACAGGTGTGGGGTGGAGGTGGGTGGGTACAGGCTGAATCTGAGGCCCTGCGGCCTTGCCTGGATCTCCCTGTCCCAGAGGGAGTCAGGCACAGACCAAGGATTCTTATTGCAATTACTCATCAATAATAGACTGGCAAAGAGGGGAGGGCAGAGATTAATTATGGCAGAAGGCAGAAGTGTCTTTGCTTACTTGTCTAGGAATTCCTGTTAAAATAGCTGGAAGACAGATCTTTTCAGCAGCAAAAGGAAGCAACACATTTTTGGAAAGGTCTATAAGAAAGGGTTATTATGAAGGAAAAATAACTGGTTCTCTATTTTTGCTTATTCTTTTTTTTTTTTTTTTTTTTTTTGAGACGGAGTTTCGCTCTGTCGCCCATGCTGGAGTGCAGTGGCGCGATCTCGACTCACTGCAAGCTCCGCCTCCCGGGTTCACGCCATTCTCCTGCCTCAGCCTCCCGTGTAGCTGGGACTACAGGCGCGCGCCACCATGCCCGGCTAATTTTTGTATTTTTAGTAGAGACGGGGTTTCACCGTGTTAGCCAGGATGGTCTCGATCTCCTGACCTCGTGATCCGCCCGTCTCGGCCTCCCAAAGTGCTGGGATTACAGGCGTGAGCCACCGCGCCTGGCCTATTTTTGCTTATTCTTATGCAGAGAGTTTCATATATGTATGAAACTGTGCAAAATTTTGTTCTGTTAGATGATGGACTATGAAGAAAAAAAAATCACAAGCCAAAAGAAAAAAAATCTCCAAAGACTGCAAGAGAAGAAAGAATAGTTTGAAATTAAACATTAGATCAGTTTTCATAATTATTTGCATTTTTCTTGTGGGGTAGGAGAGGTTGTGAGAATCAAGTAATACAATTTATGTGAAAATGCTTTGGAAAACTTAAAACCTGTATAATGTGTAAGAATTATCCCTTTGTGGCTTCTTTCCACATCCTTATTTTTCAAGGAAAAAAAGAAAAGGAAAAACTTCTAAATTTTGGCATATACTTAAATCCCTAAATTAGTTAAGAGAAATTTTTGGCCATATATAAAAATTTATCTTCAAAATTTCCATTCCTATCTATGAAATAAATTAGTTCTTCTAGATATAATGAGGATAAAAGAGATGGCATGTGTTTTCTCTTACTTAGCCAGATGTGTATTTGGACAGATAACTTTCCCTTTCTAAAATAAACAAACCACTGGTGTTTTAAATCTGCTCTTCTAGTCTCTTGCTCTATTTCTTTCCTCTACTTATCTACTGATCATCTATTTAACCTCTAAGCTTTGAAAAGTGGGATTAGTCTGCACTATTTATTGAGCACCTGCTATATTGCAAATCCCTTTACTCCTGCTTTAAATATAAGAAACAAATTAAAGAATTCCTGCCACCAATAAGCACTCGCTATGGAACAACAAGAGCAAGCCATTTTAGCAGGAAACAATGGGATGGAGGGAAAGTTAGCAAGATATATTTTTAAAATCTCTCCATTAAAACGATTTCTTTTCATTACCAAAAATCTCCCTAGTGTCTAAATGAAACTAATAATAGCTTCTTGACAATATCTTTCTCGTGTTGCCAATTTACTCACAAAATGACTAAAACGCCTGAGCACCTTTGCCTATGTGGTATGGAGGCAACTCAGTGCCAGAAGTTTCCAGGCACTGTGAATTTGAATTTCTTCCCAAGTGTTTACAGCTTTTTACTAATAGATTGAATCCTATCCCTAGCTGCCAGTTTTCTGTGAAGAGCTGAAAAGGAGGAGGGTGATGGTTTGTGCTCAGGCCCTCAGATATCATTGTGAACAGAGACAGTCACCTATTCCGAATGAGTTTAGGCTCACATGGGTTTGTGGAGAGTTAAATACAGAGACCCAGTAAAACAAAAACAACAAAAACCCTAGGGCACTTTTTTTCTTTTTGCAGGCTTAAACATTTTATTACAAATAAAAAAATTAAAATTAAACCAGGTATATTTTCCTTGCTAAACTTTTAAATAAACACTTTCCCACTTGCTGAAGTTGTAGTCGCATCTTCAAAAGGCAGACAGCAAATCCAGGTTTTGGACCACGGGGGGTGGTGCATAAGCACCCAAGAGTTTTTCTGCATTTATTTCACCTTTAAGTTGTCATTGCTAAGGAACTGCTTCCAAATCACCAAGTTTGGGTCTTGGCGTTTTTTGTTTTTTTTTTTTTTGTCTCCAGAAGTAACTGGGAGTACAGAGGAGAAAAATAAAATGTTGAGGCATTCTGTGCTCTGTTTTTCTATTTAAGGAATTTACTATTTCTTTGCCTTCCTCCCCCCTTCCTGGCCTCCCTCCCTATCTGCATAGATAGCAGGACTCCAGCAAACTATATCCCACAGGTCTTTAGAGTTATGTAGGATAGGATCCCTTATTTTAGGGAGTTGGTGGGCGCGGGTTGTTACTGTAACTCTATTCTGTAACTAAAGCTCTGGCATGTAATAAATCTCTCCCCAAAGACTTTTGGATCTTTGATTTGAAAAATCGGATTCCTTTTGTGGAAACAGTTGACAGGAACCTAAAAGGATTAGTTGCATTCCACATAGGATAATTTTTACTGGCAACATTTTGAAACGATTTGGTCCCTTTCAGACCTTAAACAATGTCCAGAAAAATGATCTAACGAGACTTTTATTGTTTTCCTTTGTGTGTGAATCCGCTTGCGCCAACATCTCGATGGGGTTTTGACGGTTTTGCTCCTGAGCAGGGCACTGAATTAATTTCTGATCGCCGTTTCGACTCGGTTAGTTACCTCCTTCGGCCAGGGGCCTGGCGGTGTTTTCCAGGCGTCAGCCCTTGAAATGGCAACAGGAGCGGGAGGCTCGGCCTCTCGGTGGCGCTGTGTCCGGGAGGGACGCGGGGGCCGCTGCCCGCTCGCCCGGGGCCCCGGCAGCTCCGGCGCCTGACGTCGTAGGGGCCGACGAGGCAGCGCGCACGCCCCAAACTGCCATCGTCAAACGCTCCCGGGGCCCTCCATCCACGGGAATGAGACGCGGAAAGGGAGATAATTCGGCTTCTCTCTCTCCTCCAACCGCCCCCCTCCTAAAGCCCCAAGCACAAAGCCGAGAGCGGCCCGCCTTCCCCTCGCAGAAGGCCGCCGAGCTGCTGCGAACCAGCCGCGGGCCACGGCGCCCCCCGCCCTCCAGCCTTCTCCACTGTTTATTTTGTTGTCAGCGGACTTATCAAGATGTTAGTTTGCTGGAGGTTCTGACCTGCCCGGGCGCTTTGGCTGCTCGGCCCGGGCTTTCCCCTCTGTTTTTACACCTGCATAAACTCCACCGCACTCCCCTGTCTGATTTATAGCCCAATTAAAGGTTCAGTGTTCTCCAAGCCACCCGGGCTGCTCCCTTCCCCGCCTCCCGCCGGCTGTGGCGAGCGCAGGAATGCGCGAGGCCGCGCCTAAGGCCGGGCCGCGGCCGAGGCGGTTCTGCGCCCAGCGACCCTCAGGAGCGGCGGCGCGAATGAACGGCCTGCGCCCGGAGAAGGGCAGAGAAACCTCGGGCACATCACCCAACAGCCGCGAGCAGAAAGGCCGCGTCCCCAGCCCAGAGTGATTTCCTTCCTGGGGTTTCGGCCTGAGTGGGACGAGGCGCTCCCCCGACAGCATGCGAGGCCGGGACGGGAGGGCGCTGGGAGCTGCCACGTGGCGCAGCCCGACGCGGAGGCCAGGGGTCCGGCCGCTACGCCGCGCCTCCCCACGATTTTCCGGGTGAGGAAGGGGCGGCCGCGGGGCCCGGCGGGGCGGAGAGGCTCCGGGCTGGGGCGGGAGGCCGTGCCCGCTCCACCGCGGCCCTACCTTCCCGCCCGCCTCGCTCGGCGAAGGCCGGAGACCGCGGCCTGGAGACGCTCCCCGGGGTAGCGGGTGCTTCCAGCTGCCGGGCTCCGGCTGTGGGCGGGAGGCGCGGGGGGTCAAAGACCGCCCAGCCTGCGATCCGGCCAGAGCCCAGCCCCAGCGCGGGCTTCGGCTCCAACTTCCTTCTTTGCGGCCTTTTCTTTACGCAGAGAATAAGCGGCAACCCAGCCGAGATTGGCAGCATTGAGCATCTTCCTAACCCAACTCTGTCTTCTTTCCATCTATCAATCCACCTTTCTAATTAGACTAATTAGGAGCGCTCTGGAGTGTCGCTAGGCCCGGGGACTGAACCGCTTAGGGGTTGTGAAAAGACGCCTGAATGGCCTCGCTGGGGGCCGGGCGGGGGCCTTTGCGACCCATTCAGCACAGAGTAACAGTGGCTACATTTATCCCTGGCCATTGAAAAGAGGCTCGATTAAAACGTTTGGGAACTAATGCCACCCTGCATCCCCTCTCTAATTAGAGGAGCCCAGGGCGAAGGCGAGAGCGCCCGGGACCCCGCAGACACTAGTTCTGTGCGCTACTGCTTTCCGCCCTTTCAGCACAGCCGATTTCCTTCCCCGAGACAAAAGTCCGCCACCTCCCCACCTGTTGCCCGGTCCTTGCTTTCCCACCCATCCCGAGCCCCTTCGCCCTCATCCCAAGCTGAAGGCCCCGCCAACTGCGTTACAACGCACAGCCCAGACGTTGGGGTCAGCGGAGTGGAAAAAAGGCGCCTAGTTCCCTCCTTCTGTCTTGGAAAGCATCCTTTTGCATTCGGTAGGCTACACATTTTCCTCTCCATCTGTCTTCCGTATTTCTCACATACTTACCAGCTCCTCCCTCTCCTCGTCCTCACTTTTAGCAACATGGAATTTCCAAGTAAGCATTTGGGAATGAGAGGAAAGTGGGTCGGGTGCCATCCTGAAGTCACTATCTTGGCCAAACATTATGCTGTAGGAGTTCCTCGCTTGCGTAAATAATGTGTATTTTTTGTTACCAGTTTTTTTTAAAAGAAATGTGTGTGGAGCACCTACTGTGTGACTAGACAGACAGATTCTTACTATACTCCTCAGTCTTCTTCCTTCCCTCTTAAGTCCATCTCCAAATCTGTCTTAAGAAGTTAAACCTGACTTGGTTCAATTCCTTAGGCAAGCTGTTGATTCTGTCCCCATAGTTTATATGTAGATGTATTTTTTCTTTGTCTTTTTCATGGCTCATTAGAAAGAACTGCAGACACAGGATAACAGGGAAGCAAAAGAGAAATAGTAGACATATTGCAACTACAGATTTTGTGTGGGGAGGGCGTTGTTTGTTCCTTTTGTTGATGAGAAGTTATCTAATATTTTTACAAAAATTTGAAGCAAACTTTGCCCTAAAATAAAGGTGACCAAAAGGGGTTTGATTTCCTCTCTCTCTCTCTCTGTCTCTCTCTCTCTTCACCCCGCCCCCCATCCCCTTAATCCTTCTTTTTGGAAAAGAGCCAGATGTACAAAGAAATATCATCAGGTCACTGTTCTTGATCTTGTTAATTTAGAAAATAGAACCTCAGCAAAAGATGCTATTAACTAAATGTCAACCCACAGCATGCAAAATTCCTTGGATCCAAACTTCAAAAAAAGGAATGAAAGATGTCATGTGAGTGAAAGGAATCATGGAATTTTTAAAGGCCTAAACTGATCTTAATAGGGTTTTATTGCTTCCACACTCTGCTTCACAATATTTTAATTTCACAGTTACAGTATGCATGACATTGCACCATAAATCTAACTAGTTTAGAAACTGGGAGGGGCAGAGAAGAGGAAAGAGGTGAGAAAAGCAGTTCATTTGCATTGGAGAAAATGACAATTTGTAAGATGTAAAAATTCCTGGAAACTTTGAGAGGAAAAACCAAAATCGATTCTGCCTGTGATGTTATCACCAAACCTCTTATTTTTTTCATTTCAGTTGTTAGCTTAACTTTTAATTAAAGAATAACATAGATACAATAAAGTATCCAACTCCTAGTGTACATCTTGGTGAATTGTCCATATATATGCACCTGTGTAGCCACCAGAGGTACAGAGTATTTTAAACACCCCAGAAAACTCCTCTGTGCCTGTATCCAATAAATGTCATTCCACTTCCAACCACTGTTCTCATTTCTCTCACCACAGGTTAGTTTTACATGTTTTTGAACTTCATATAAATGAAATTATACAATATGTATGGAGTCTCTTGATTGACTTTTTTTTTACTCATCAGTATGTTTGTGATATTCATCTGTTCAAACTCCTATTTATAGAATAATATAAATGATAAGTCAATTTAGATAGATAAAGAATGGGAAGCAAATGCTGGAAAGCTTTATCTTAACCTGAAATTAAAACATATGACCCTCCTCAAACCCCAACATTTCATTATCAACTAACAGAGGTAATTTTATGATTATAAGTAAATAAAATGAAATGATTTACACATAGTAACTGCTAGTTACATCATTTTCAAGATGCAGTTGTGGGTAAATGTAAGTGGAGCAGAAGCCACAAGCTGTTTTGTAATTGGATTCTTTTCCTCCTTGCCATTTCATTCCCTAAGACTAGTAGTAAGCACTTTGGGCCTCTTCACAAAGAGTGGCATGAACTTGAGGGGGAAAGTAAATTGTATCCTGTGTGTTCCACCTCAGCCGTGCAAGTACTTAATGCAACAGCCTCTCAAGGGCACTTTGAATTCTGTTTGAAGTAAAGTGATCATTTTGCAACTAACATAGCAGTCTCTACTTTGTCTCATCTATGGGTCACCATACAGACCTATTAACTTTGAACAGAGCAAACCTGCAGAATTATGATTGTGCTGTTCACTCCTAGCATCCCCAGAAATCCACCCACAAAAGCCAGCCACAAAGCCAGAATTCACAGTAGAATTTATGCTGCGAGTGACCAACCAGAGGCAACCAGTGCAGCCCAACATTAGTCCTCCTTCCCTCAACAGAAACAGAAGGCAGCCAATAGGACTTTTTTTTTTCCAGGAAGGACAATATTTTTAGACAAAGGCATGTTTATGACGTGGGAGAAATTATAAGGGCAGGTGGAAGAGCCTGAAGTGAGTTTTTGGTCACTTATGCTGGACATTGGTAAACGAAGTGATGAACACATCTTTTTATAATTTTAAAGCTAAAAATCAGTATAAAATAAGGCTTGAAGTTCATACCCAGGAAGACAATGTGAAGGCAAAAATCCATCTCTTTTGAATTATCATAAGACCAAATACATTGAATCAGCAATTTCCAAAAATAATTAGAACTACTGACCTATTAGAATAGCTAAAATAGCAATAATACCAAATGCTAGCAAGAATGCAAAAAACCTGGATCTCTCCTACATTATTGATGTGAATGTAAAGTGGCACAGTCACTCTGGAAAATAGTTTGTCAGTTACTTACAAAATTAAATACGCACTTACCATTCAGCCCAGCCACTATGTCCTAGGGCATTAATCCCAGAGAAATGAAAATTTATGTTTGCAGAAAAACTTGTACATGAATGTTCATAGTAGCTTTATTTGTAACAATAAGAAGAAAGAAAGAAAAAAGACAACCCATATGTCCTTCAGTGGTAAAACTCTGGGATATTCATACAAAGGAATACTACTTAGGAATAAAAAGAAATAAACTACTGATGTGCACAACAAATAGAATCTCAAGGGCAATATAGGGAAAACAGTCCACCTCAAATTGTTACATACCGCATATTTCCATTTATGTAACATTCTCAAAATGACAAAACTGTACATATGAGAACAGATTGGTGGCCTACACAGGACAGGGAAAGGGTGGGGGTCCGAATGTAAGAGGGGACCAGGAATGAGTTCCTTTGTATTGATGGAAGAGTTCTCTACCTTGTTATGGTGCTTACTTGAATTACACATGGGATAAAACTACATAGAACAGTACACACATGAATGCATGTAAAACTTGGCAAAAACTGAGTAAGGCCTGTAGTGTACTTAACAGTGAAAATACGGTGGGGCGCGGTGGCTCACGCCTATAATCCTAGCACTTTGGGAGGCTGAGGTGGGTGGATCACAAGGTCAGGAGATCGAGACCATCCTGGCTAACACGGTGAAACCCCGTCTCTACTAAAAATAAAAATACAAAAATTAGCCGGGCGTGGTGGCGGGCGCCTGTAGTCCCAGCTACTCGGGAGGCTGAGGCAGGAGAACGGCATGAACCCGGGAGGCGGAGCTTGCAGTGAGCCGAGATCACACCACTGCACTCCATCCTGGGCAACAGAGCAAGACTCCGTCTTGGGGGCGGGGGGGAGAAAACAGTGACATACAATGTCAATTTCTGAGCCGGACATGGTAGCTCATGCCTGTAAGACACGGTAGCTCATGCCTGTAATTCCAGCACTTTGGGAGGCTGAGGCCAGTGGATCGCTTGAGGCCAGGAGTTCAAGACCAACCTGGTCAACATGGTGAAGCCCCTGTCTCTACTAAAATTACAAAAATTAGCCGGGCATGGTGGTGGGCATCTGTAATCCCAGCTACTCAGGAGGCTGAGGCAGGAAAATTGCTTGAACCTGGGAGGGGGAGGTTGCAGTGAGCTGAGATCACGCCAGTGCACTCCAGCCTGAACAACAGAGGGAGACTCTGTCTCAAACAAAAACAAAAACAAAGACAAACAAAAAATACACACACACGCACACAAAAAGCAGTGTTATATAATGCCTGTTTCCTAGTTTTGATATTGTATTGCAATTACATGTCGCCACTAGAGAAAGCTGGGTGAAGGGTGTATGGAACTCTATTTTTGCAACATCCTATGAGTCTATAATTATTTTAAAAAATAGTTAAAAAAAGGTAAAGGATCCTTCAGTTTCTGTGTCATTAATAAAACTCCACTGATGGCAAGTGCTTTCATTGTCTTTTTCAATAATTAATAAGGGTAATTATCTAGCTCTGTCCTTGCAACAGGTACTTTATAAACAATGTTTAAAAACTGATAATTTTCAATTGCATTTTCTATCAATAAGCCCCATCATGAAAACTTTTTGAAATGCAAAAAAAAAAAAAAAAAAAAAAAATTGCCCATTCATTTGAAAAACTTTATTCTTTGAAGGTAGATTTAATTTTGCAAATGGCCAAATGTCACTGAGTCAAATATGTTGAATAAAGTGGATGAACAAATTTAGTAAAAACAAACAAACAAAAACTAACATATCCTTGAAGATTTATCATCTTGTGTGTCTTGTAAACTGGTTACAAAAGGAGAGTTCTCAAGATGTCCTCAGGAATGGCAGTATTATTGATATTGGTGTGCTCCCAGGGTGATTGCTTAGAGGAGAACATTCCTGTAAGTTTGATGAAGGGTGAAAAAAAATTGCATCACTTTTTAGTCATGCTTTAAAGATGGTTTCTGAATATATATATGGCTTATTTTAGAAGTAGTATATTAAACAAGGTATCAAATGTTTAAAAGATAGCATTTATTAATCTTTTTCTAAGACAAAGCAATATACATTATCTTAACTATTTTATAATTTTGAACTACTGCAAGTGAATTTTTTTATTTTTTATTTTTGAGACAGAGTTTCACTCTTGTTGCCCAGGCTGGAGTACAATGGTGTGATCTCGGCTCACTGCAACCTCCGCCTCCATCCTGCCTCAGCCTCCCGAGTAGCTGGAATTACAGGCACCTGCCACCATGCCCGGCTAATTTTTTGTATTTTTAGTACAGATGGGGCTTCACTGTGTTGGCCAGGCTGGTCTCGAACTCCTGACCTCGTGATCTGCCCACCTCAGCCTCCCAAAGTGCTGGGATTACAGGCGTGAGCCACTGTGCCCGGCCATGCAAGTGAAATTTTTAAAAACTACACATAATTAACTCCCTTTACCCTCTACCAAAGCATAAGGGTGACTCAGCCAGTACTACCACCAATTAAGTAGCAAAAAGTCTCTAATGATGAAGAGCATGTTCAGTCTTTGTGCTCAATAGGAATATGGCACAGGTTTAATACAGATCCCGCCCATGAGATCTGGCCTGCCGATCTGTAAGTGGACCATGACATAAAACAATCTAAATTCCTACTGTAAACATTCCAAATCATGAGTGACTGGGTTTCAGACAAGTTTCAAGCCCTGATGCCAACGTTTTAACCATGGTACTTGTTCCTTTCCTCGAATGTTTTATTGCTTTATTATTTTATTTCCACTAGGAATTGTGGAGTTATAAATATTATTAGTGGTTTACCACTTTTGCACACATGTATCCTATTATTTTTGGAGATTTATATGTGGAGAAAGAGACTGGCCTCTTTCATTGCACCCATTCATCTACCTGCTCACATAGATGGGCTCCTGTCTATTTAAAGAATTCAGAAGAGACCACACAGATTCTAAGAAACTTGAGCAGAAGAACTACATTGTGAGTAGCTGACAAAATGGTTTTATTATAGAAAAATCTCTAGTAATGATATTAAATTTTTGTTCTTCTTTTGCTTGAAAACAGTTTATTTTAAAAAAGCAACGTATGATACATTACTTTGCTCTACAATATCCTTACATAAATTCTTAGAAAAATTATGAATATTTTCATTTAACAAGTCAATAAAATATATGAAAAATTAATAACAAAGAAAAACCACTTCTTATAAAATGCTATAAAAAGTGTCAAAAATTGGGCATTTATTTTGAGATTCTTGGATCTGTATAACATTATAGCCATAAAGTAGCATAAGGGTTGAAAAAAATACAAATAAACTTCACCTTAAAATACTTATATTGTAGGCTGGGTGTGTTGGCTCATGCCTGTGATCCCAGTGCTTTGGGAGGCTGAGGCAGGAGGATTGCTTGAGGTCAGGAGTTTGAGACCACCCTGGGCAACACAGCAAGACCTCCATCTCTTAAAAAAAAAAAAAAAAAAAATGATCAAGGGGAACCAAAGACCCAGATTTAATCATCTATTCATTCTTTCTTTTATCGTGAGCACCTACTGTGTGCCAGGCATAGTGTGATGTGGATACAAAAATATTAGACATCTGGTTGGAGGTGGCGAGATATGTATACTCACCGAAATACAACAATTCTTGATGTGTTGTCATAGAAATATGAACTGATTGACAGGATTGACAGAGAAAAATAACTATCTGGGAGGGATAGAGAAAGCTTCCCAGAGGAGGTAATATTTTAGATGACCTTTGAAGAAGGAACAGAAATTAAACTTGTAAATAGAATGTATAAAAAATAGCAGCATAATTCTCACATCCTGTCATTCACCAAGTATAGTTAATTCTTCCTCTGCAAAAACTCACCTTTTCTCCCTTCTGCACTCCCACTGTTATCGTCAAAGATTGGGCACCTTTTACCCTATTCCTGTACCACTGAAATACCTTTTTCTCTCTGGTCTCCTTACCTCTAGTCTTCCCATTGCCCAATATATGCAGCAGACTAAAACTTTGCAAAACATCTTTATCATGCTACACTTCTGCTTAAGAAGTGAAAGTGATTCTCTATTGATTACATGAAGAAGTCTTAAGTTCATCTTATGTTCAAGACCTTTTACAACTGGGCCAAACTTACTATCCCAGCCAACACCACAATTTTCCTGCAATTTGTACTATTGATGTTATAGTCCATATCTGTAAGACCTTTTCCTCCTTACTCTGTAGTCTTCATAAGACCCTACTAAGACTTTTTTCTTCTTCATGAATACTATTACCCCATAAAAGCTACCACTACATAGGTAACATGTATGGAGTACTTTAGGCTAGGTTCTATGTTAAGTATGTGACATAAATTAGTTCATTTAATTCTCACAGCCATCCTACAAGGTTTTTAAGAGAGAAACACTGGGCCAGGCATGGTGGTGCACACCTGTAATCCCAGCACTTTGGGAGGCCAAAGTGAGAAGATCCCATGGGCTCAGGAGTTTAAGACCAGGCTGTGCAATGCAGTAAGACCCCATCTCTACAAAAAATTAGCTAGGTGTGTAGGTGCAAGCCTGTAGTCCCAGCTACTTGGGAGGCTGAGGCAGAAGGATGGCTTGAGCTAAGGAGAAGATTGAGGCTGCAGTGAGCTATGTTCACTCCATTGCACTCCAGCATGGGTGACAGAGTGAGACCCTGTCTCCAAAAAAACAAACAAACAGAAAAAAAACAAAAAAAAAAAAAAAAAAGAAGGAATCACTGAAGCATGAGGAGGTTAAGCAGTTTACCATTGTCATATATCTGTAAGTGGATGAGCTAGAATTCAAATCCAGGTGGCTGGATTCTTGAGCCTGGGTGCTGTTACTCTTATTTGCCCCCAGTGAAGGACTCATTTCCCGAATCCCTAGCAATTTTTTATGTGGACCACTACTTACGTGGTATTAATTCTATATGAGCGTTTGTGAAGTGCCAATCTTTACTCAGTCTACTATTAAGTTTCCACTATATTTCAAGCTACTTAAAAGTAAGGCCATGCCTTGTAATTCTTTACATTTCCATAATTCCATGTACATAATTAGCACTGAATAAATATTTTGACTGATTAATAAATTGACTGATTTACCAGGTGAATGATGTGGATAAAATAATTTGGAGTCCATTGGCTTTGTCTACTTACCCAAAGGCAAAACAGTAAAGATAAGAAATTGCTCTAACCATAAATGTTGGCCTAATGGATCTACACTGTCCAACTAGAACAGTAGGGTTGTAGTAATTCACCCTTTCAGATACCTGGCATTCGCACTGCTATGTTGGATGACTGCTGATTGCTCTGACCAAAAGTTATAGACTAGTATAGATGTACAGTCATGGGTTGCTTAACAATGGGGTTATGTTTTGAGAAATTTGTTGTTGTGTGAACATAATAGGGTGTACTTACAGAAATGTAGATGGTATAGTCTACTACACATCTAGACTATATGGTGCAGCCTACTTAGGCTACAAACCTGTTCAGTATGGCTATACTGAGTACTGTAGGCACTTGTAACACAAAGGTAAGTGTACCTAAACATATCTAAACACAGAAAAGACACAATAACAATAAAGCCTAATCATCTTATGGGATCAATATCTGTCTGTTAGTGGTGGTCTGTCATTGACTGAGACATTGTTATGGATGCATGACTGTACTAGGTATCAGAGCTTAGATGTGAACCCAGATCTTCCATCTCCAGAGCCTGTATTCTTTCTTATGACACTGTGGAGGCCTCCCAAAGATGAAGAGTTTGAAATGATGGTAAAGAGACCAGAAGGAACACAAATGGGGAGGACATGAGATTTTGCATAGCATTCCATGGTTATGATGCTAACTCACTTCAGTTTGCATTCCTACTAGAAGGACCTAGTACATATAATTAGCTATTCTTAGCCACCTTATACCTTAGGAGTACAGTTGTGGCCATTACAATATTTTTTGGGTGGGGGGCAGGGAGTGGTAAAGAGTATAAGAAGAACCCTTTTAGAGAATTAAGGTATATTAGTAAGTCTGGCATTTGTACAACTCAATGAAGTTTCTACTGCTGATTAGCTTTTCTGAAGCTTTGTTTAGTTCCTTTTGGCCTCACAACATGTAAAGTACTAGGCTTTGGGGTTAGGTGCATGAGGTTCACTAGGTTGAAAAACTGAAATCCCAGGTAAAGAAAAACTAAAATTCTCTTCTAGATTTGCCACATGATGTACCCTCATAAGCTGTCTCCTGGTTTACGTTGCAAATCATCATCATTAAAACCATGAGCAGTAGCAAGTATTCCCATGACTGGGATCCTGGTCTTGTAAGAGGGAAATTGGGAGGCCTGGCAGCTCTGCTCCCTTTGTTTTTAAGGCAATACTTCTCAAATTTTTAAGATGCTCAGAATAATCTGGTGGGCTTCTTAGAACACAGCATACTGGGCCTCAATCCTAGAGTTTCTGACTCAGTAGATCTTGAGTAGGCCTGGAAATCTGCAGTTCTAACAGGTTCCTGAGTCCCCCACAGATACCAAGGTATGACTGCAGATAGAAAGGTAGGTAGATGAGAGGTAATTTATTAGGGAAGTTGGCTCACATGGTTATGCAGGCTCAGAAATCCCACAACAAGCCGTCCAAAAGCTGGAGACCCTGGATGCCAGTACCATGGCTCAGTCTAAATCTGAAAGCTTCAGAACTAGGGGAGCTGATGGTTTAATTCTCAGTCTGAAACCAAGGGTCTGAGAACCTAGGGGGCTGCTGGTTAAGTATTAGAGTCCAAAGGCTGGAGAGCCTGGAGTTCTGATGTCCAAGAGCAGAAGATGGATGTCTCAGCTCCAGGAGAGAGAGAGAGGAAACCACCTTTCCTCTGCTTTTTTTTGGTTCTTTCTGGGCCTCTAGGTGATTGGGTGGTGCCTGTCCACATAGAGGGTGGATTTCCCTCCACTCAGTTCACAGACTGCCAGTCTTCTCTGGAAACACCCCAACAGACACACCCAGATATAATGTGTTACCAGTTCTCTAGGTATCCTTAATCTAGTCAAGTTGACACCTAAAATTAACCATCACAGGAAGTATACCCCTAATAGTCACCAGTGATACAGAAGACAGCTACTGACATGCTCCCAGTGATGCACACCTCTTGGAATTCAAACCGTGTGTAATCCCCTCCCCTCGAGTGTGAGCAGGACCTAGTCACTTTCCTCCAACAAAGAAAATACAGCTAAAGTGATGGGGTGTCACTTACATGATCAGGTCACGAGAGACTCTGTCTTCCACCTTGCTAGTACTCTCTCGCCCACTTGCATGCTAGCACTGATGCAGCCAAGTGACATGTTGTGAGATGATCTACCTAGAGGCCCACATGGGAAGGAACCTAGGGAGGCGAAGCCTCCAGCCAACAGCCCTGGAAGAAATGAGGCCTCAGTCCACCAGTCAACAAGCACAGAACTGATTCCTGCCACCAAGCAGATGAGTGACCTCAGAAGTGGACCCTTCCAATTCAAGCCTTGAGATGACTGTAGTCATGCAAGAGACCCAGTTAGGGGATCCAGCCAAACCGTGCCCAGCTCCTGACCCATAGAAACTGTGAGATAATAAGTGTTGTTTTAAACTGCTAAGTTTGGGGGTAATCTATTATACCACAATAGATAACTAGCTAGGCAGGAGAACAGCAGTGGGGAGACTTGAGAAAAACTGCCTTAGTGTGAATGATGAGAACCTTCATGTAACGAAGCTATTCTGGGCACTGTACAGAACCAGGTCAAGAGCCTTTATTCTCTGGGGTTTAAATTATTTATGTTTTACTTACAGAATCATCTTTAAATGGGAATGTTTATTTAGGTATCCTATTGCTAATTCTCAGAAGTTCTCATTTTGCACTATAACAATAGCTATATGGAAAACAAAATCCCATTGGAGTAAACAAATTCCATTTGTTACTCTGCCTTGTAACCACACACTTAAGCATCTAAGTGTCATGAGTATTTTATAATAAATTTACATCGCTTAAGAAGCAAGTTCATATAGGTAGATAGAAGCTTAAAATGCTCATCTTTAACATAATTTAAAATTTAAAGTAAATAACCAAAAGGATCATTTCAAATTCACATGTTATAAATGCCGCTGTATTTATTTAGGTAGGTTTTTTATGGTAGAGAAAGAGATCAAAGGAAATATGTGTAATGTTTTCCATTTTGTCAACATATCTCGACAGATCTATTAATACAAATCAGTACTATAATTCTATCATAAAAGACAAATAGATTATTGGATATTTTTTACAATGACTACATGACTTTTGTGGATTAAAATCAGGATGATCTAAATATTAGTAGATTAATTTATTTGGAGGAAAAGTTACAAATCATTCACTTAAAAATTGGCTTTGTGCCCACATTCTGGAGGCACACTAGGGAGAGTTGTAGCTGCACTGCTAATGTCTACACAGAGTGAATTTCAGAACATAATTTATGTAGATGAAGTGTGCAGAATGTTTTTATTTGTTCTACATCTCACTGTCTCACCTCTGCATGAACTTCCCAAACCCAGATCTACTCCAAATATTCTTACTCCCCTTCTCCACACTTCCCTCCAACGTGTTTGCTTTGGCAACTTTCATGTTCTTACAAACAATTCTCCCAAGGAAATCAATCACTCTTGCACCCAAAGAGAAATACTGTACACTCAATGCGATGACAAAATGAAACATGTCTGAGGCAAACCATGTGTTCCCGCGTGTCCGGGATTATGCTATTTGCACAAGGAACATGTTCCTAATGTGTTTGGCTTCTGTTACCCCTTGTGATTGCAACTTTCATTGTCTTTTGGAATTTATGATTTCAGAAGCAACTGCTTGGATTCATTTAATGGGACACTTTTGGAATGTGAAGCCTGGGGGATTCACTGGGCAATGTCATTCTGTTCTTTTCAGGCAAATCTGGCCCATATAAGGATACCTGTTGTTTAAGGAATTGTGGAGAATTGATTCTGTTTTGGCACCCCAGACAAATGGCTTACCTAAATGACATGGATCCATCATACTTTGAAAGTTCTTCAGTTCATCAGTGACATTATTTGGGAAGAAACACTTTCTGGCAAGTGAGTGAGGCAATGTCATTTTAGAAAAGAGGTTTTCTGGCCAGGCACGGTGGCTCACACCTGTAATCCCTTTGGGAGGATTTGGGAGGCTGAGGAGGGTAGATCACCTGAGGTTAGGAGTTAGAGACCAGCCTGGCCAACATGGTGAAACCCCTTCTGTACTAAAAATACAAAAATTAGCCAGGCGTGGTGGTGCCCGCCTGTAGTCCCAGCTACTCAGGAGTCTGAGGCAGAAGAATTCCTTGAACCTGGGAGGTAGAGGTTGCAGTGAGCCGAGATAGTGCCATTGGACTCTAGCCTGGGTGACACAGTGAGACTCTGTTCCAAAAAAGAAAAAAAAAAAAGACCTTTTCTGTGGTGCTCTCCTCAGAGGTACTCAAGGTACTTGACCAAATTCAAATTTGTCCCTCAACTTGGCAGCATATTTAATTAGAAGAGAGGAACCACTATTGCCAGTTCCATTTTTATAAGCATAAGACCCATGAGCTAACCAAATCCCTGTCCTGTTCTCTTTGTTCTGAATGAAGGATATCTACTTCCTTACACCAAAGATTGTCATAGTAGGAGGCTGACTCTGGCCCATTTGGCCTTTTACCCGGGTTTCTGCACTGTCTTCCACTGGAGTTCTTCAGTAAGCCCTGGGTTCATTTCTTGCCATGACTCCACCTACCTACTGGGGACCCTGGGAAACTCTGTTCCATTTAAGTTTTTTTTTTTTCTATATCTCATTAGTCTTAGATTTTTTAGAATGACAAATGGGGTGAGTAAATTTTCCCAGTCTGGTGCCTAATATATTAAAAAATTAAATAAATAAGAATTAGAACCATCAATCACTCCCATTGTAGCAAATGAAATGACACAGGCTCAGGGAAGGCACACAACAGAATCCAGTCACAGGTGATGGAAAGAGGCCTTAGTTTAAAAGAAACAGGGAGGCAATAATTAATTCATTGTTGAGAATGGAAATATAATTCTACCCAGTAAGGAAAGTGTTGATACTCAAAATCTTATTCTTCTGTTAAGAGAACTGTGGTCCCAGGGGCATGGAAATTAACATTTAGAGTCATCCCTCATAGACACTGGGGGACACTGTATGCATGAAGAGGGGCCTACGTATGGTGCATGGTTAAGATCACAGGCTTGGGAATACATATGCCAATGATTGGAGACCACCCCTGCCACATAATAACCTGGTGGATAAACTATTTAACTTCCCTAAGCCACAGTGTTCTCATTTGTAAAATGGGCAATAATAATATCTACCTCATAGGTTTATCGTGAAAAGTATGCAATATAATGCATGCAAAGCACTGGCAGATGATACAGGCTAAATCAGTGTTAGCTGCTGTCATTATCATGATCATCATCACATTATCACTGTTACTGATATGACATTCTAGTCAAGGCCATGGAATATATATTAATCCATGTATATATTATATAAATTGTATATATGTAAATCCATATATACATTATTTAAAAGTAACTTATGCTACTAAACAAAGATGGTCAAAGTAAGTGCTCTAAAATTTTTTTTTAAGGGGAATAAGGGACTGTAAAAAGGAAGACAGAGAAAGCTTCAAAGAGTAGGTGGTCTCTTTGCAGGGCCTTGGTCTGGTCTGGGCCTTGAAGGTGGGGTGGAAATTGCCATCCCGTGTTCCATCCACCAGCTGCACTGCACTGACACAGCAGTGCCTCTCTGTTACAGACTGAACGTTTGTGCCCCCAACTCCAAACTCATGTATTGAAGTCCTAACCTCCAATGTCATGATATTTGGAAGTGGGGCCTTTGGGAAGTAATTAGGTTTAGATGAGGTCATGACAGTGGGCCCCCCATGATAGGATTAGTATCCTTACAAGAAGAGGAAGAGATTAGAGCTCCCTCTCCCTGCATTATGAAGACACAGCAAGCAGGTGGCTGTCAGCAAGCAAGGAGACTAGAGCCCTCACCAGGAGCCAAATTTGTCAGCACCT
Source organism: Homo sapiens (assembly GCF_000001405.40). Classification (NCBI taxonomy): domain Eukaryota; kingdom Metazoa; phylum Chordata; class Mammalia; order Primates; family Hominidae; genus Homo; species Homo sapiens. The sequence goes on along the minus strand of NC_000005.10, from coordinate 73,422,250 downwards.
GGATGTTGGACCTCCCAATTTTCAGAGCTGTGAGAAATAAATGTCTGTTGGTTAAGCCATCCAGTCTATTGTTTAAGCCATCCAGTCTATGGTATTTTGTTATAGCTGCTTAAGCTGACAAAGACACTCTCATATGAGGTGAGGGGAGCATCAGAAACCTCAGCCTCCGCATGGGAATATGCCACCTTCCAGGGAGGCAATCTCATTGGTTTACTGGGCTCCAGGCTCTTTATTGTTGTCTCTCTACTGACTGGTAGGAGTAAAGTGTCCTCTTTTGGCTGGGTCACTAAATAAAGGAAATTTAGGTTGGAATTATTGAAACCCATTCTCTTCTTTGATTCCAAAGAATTTAAGTTCCTCAGCTGTGATTTTTTTTTTCTGGTTTGCTGAAATTTTTACTTTCCTTATTCCCCTCATTTCTGCCAATCAGTTTCAAAATAATGTAAACTGAAGGCCGTTTGTACTAGTGCTATCTTTCCTTTTCTGTTTTAAATTTAGGGCCATGTGCCTCTTTGATCAAAAGGACCCATAAGCTTCTTTCACACCTTAGTTTTGAGTTGGAGGAGCGTATGGGCCCAAATCAGACAGGTGGACACTGTATTAAGTCATTTAGATCAAGACACTTCATGAGCAATATAAACCAAGCAAGTGAAGAAGTGTAAGAGAAAAAGATTGTTTTAATTCCCCAAATCTCTTCAGTTGTGGCTCCCCAGACTGAACAAAAAAAAACCTCTAATATAGAAACCAGGGAGAAGTTGGCACATGGTTCCAAACAGTTCATTTTACTTTCTATTTCCTAGTACTACGCTTGCTTTTGAAAGTCTTCAGATTGCATTGCCAACTGATACTTAGCTCAAGATCTCTATGGCTCTTCAGATATTTCTCTTCTGTGTACATTTGAATGAGTTCTGTCTCATCTTGCACTTGGGAAGTCTTTTCATAAGGTAAATTTACTCTCTGCTTGCTCTGATTCAACTTCCTATTTTCTTTCTTTTTTTTTTTTTGAGATGAAGTCTAGCTCTGTTGCCCAGACTGGAGTGCGGTGGTGCGATCTCGGCTCACTGCAACCTCTGCCTCATGGGTTCAAGTGATTCTCCAGCCTCTGCCTCCTGGGTAGCTGGGATTACAGGCGCTCACCACCATGCCCGGCTAATTTTTGTATTTTTAGTAGAGAAGGGGTTTTGCCATGTTGGCCAGGCTGCTCTCGAACTCCTGATCGCAGGTGATCTGCCCTCCTCAGCCTCCCAAAGTGCTGGGATTACAGGAGTGAGCCAACAATCTCTTCTTTTCAATATTTGCTCATTTACACTTTCTGCAGACACTTCTTACCAGCAATACCCTGCATACTGTCTTCCAGAACAACCCCTACCCAACTTCCCTTTTCTTAAGAGTCATTGAGAAGTACTCTTTATGAGGCACTTTCTAAGGACTGCTGAATTGTTAGAGGTTAGCAATAACGAGTTCCTGCCACAGCAGTCCATTTCTTAATGACTATTATTGCCAGTTCAGATATGTTTTATCTAGTTCTCAGTCAGTAACATTGAAAAAATTAAGGTCCAGTATTTTTCAGGTTATCTTTATAGTTCAAGTAGTATAAGCTCCCACTTGTCCGTTTTCAAACTTGATTCGACTTCATCTTCCATAGCTTTTCCTAGAGAGTGGCCAGTGGCTTTGCAATGACTTGACGTAGTTGTTTAATCACCTTCAGACCAGACTCAACATCTTTACTACGGTAAAGTTAAAAGTGGGTCTTTCTTGGGTGGATATTGGGAGGAAGAAAGACAAGAGAGAGAAAAAGCTTAGCACGATGAAGCGATGTGTTGAGGTAGGTGTTTTGGACTCATCCAGTTTTGTTGTTTGTGCTTACACTGGAACCTCTGAGCTTTGGCTTTCCTTTCTCAGGTCAGGGACGTTTCCCGCTATTTTCTCTTTTGTTGGCTTGGGCAGGAAAGAGCGTGCGTTCCTCTTTTCATTCAGCCCAAACATAAAACACGAAGCTTCCCGTGCTTTAGGGGACATGTGGTTGTGTTCTAAGAGCCATCTGCAGAAGGACGGTTTTGGGAAAGCTGCTTCCCCAGAACGGAGAAACGTCTCCGGAGCGAGCGATCTCCGGCCCGCAGATTCAATAAGCCCCAACCACACTTGGCTCCGTCACAAACCTAATACGGCAGCCCATATTGTTGCTCGGGAAGTCTCCAGCCAAACCGAGTTCTTGTAAAAATAAATACTCATCAGCAAATATTTTGATTAGTTAAAAATGTTCGAGATGGCTAACCCCTCGCTCCCCTCCTTTCACGGTGCGAACGCGAAGAGGCTCGGCTCCGGGGGGCGGGAGAGCAGTACTGCGCCCCCCGCTTCGGTGTGCGCCAGGCCTGCGGACGCCCGGGAGGCTCGGCGCGGCGGGGCTCGCTCGGCCTCGAGGGCGCGCGGTTCCGAGGGCCTGGGAACGCGAGCGCAGGCAGCCGGGCCTCGCCCTCCCCCGGGCCGCCCGCAAGAAGCCGCTCGCAGCCTCCATACACTTACTTGCCTGCCTTAAGCTCTTTATTAACTCCCCCAGAGGAGCGCCGGCTGCGGCCGCGCCTCCTGCGCCCCGGTGGTCTGGCTCCTCCGCGCGGCGCACATGCTAAACAGATTAACATGCCTTGGCTGACCCACGCTTCGCAACCCGCGGATAGGGTTTCTGCAGCTCCATGTGGAAATTAACCTATCTGTACCCGTGGTCAGCTGCGCCCGGCCGCTCCCGCGCCGGCCCGGCAATCCAAACAAACCAGGCCGCTGGCTCCCTTTGTTACTCTTGGCGCCCCCTCCCCACTACCCGGCCAAATATTTATTGGAAAAGAGGTTCTCTTCTTTGGCCGAAGGTAGGGCACATTTCTGAGAGCTCTTTATTTGTAAATGATTTTTGTCAGGGCCAGCCAGGCACCCTTAGGAGGGGGTGGCAGGGAGCTGAAACTCAGGACTGGAAGGTTTCTAGCCCTCCGCTGGCAGGGAGCTGTTTATGTTTGCACAGGGCACCCGAGTCCTGGTCATTAAAAATGTATGCACTGCCCACATTTTGCTTTTGTAACAGCCCCTCTGTTTAATGTAGTTGTTTGCTTTGTTCTAGGGCAAGTTTATTCCCTCTCCCCGACCCTCAATCTCTGCCTCCCATTCACACCCGGTAAACAAAATGAGGGGACTCTTCTAGGTTTTCTTACTTAGAGGATCAGAAAAGGTAAGCTCAGAGGCTGGTGGGTACCAGCCCGAGGCCAAGTGCTAATCGCAACAGCATCTGCCTTTCAACCGCTGCCTCTTCCAGCAATTCAGGATTGCTAATGAATTTCTAGTTCCTTCGTTAAGCATTCTGCTCTTATTATTTCATATCCCCGTTTCCTAAATTATTATTCATATTATAATTCTGTAGAGGCAGTTCAGCTTTTCCCTACATACTGCATGCGGGGGTCTGTGTCAGTTGGGTGGGGCTTCTATGGTGAATACTGCCCAGGAAAACGAATGTGGCTTTTCCTATTCCTTTCCCTGGCGTTGGTCATGAAATATTCCATTGTTTGGGAACCCTAAATGACTATTTCTGAGATGGCTGCAACTCCATGATGCATCCATGCTTTGACTTGTCTCCTACTCAAAATGAGCCCAGGCTGTTTGATGTTGCCGGCTGCGTCATCGTGCCTCACTGGCTTCTAGCAGTGTCACATCACTGCCTGGCTGGCTTGGTGTTTTGAGGGTTGTTTCTCAAGGCCGGTGGCAGCCATCCATCTCACTTGCATTTACTTTCCAGGCAGCCCTCACTGCAGTGCAGTGCCCTTTGCTGTCTTGGTATCAGTGAACTGTGTGAGACTCACAGGGCTGACCTGGCACTGATCAAACTGTGTGATGGCAGCCTCCATGTGGCGGGTCCCAGGGGACCTACAGTCAGCAAGAAGGTTGGGCACAACTGCCCCTTAGCAGATCATCGTTTGCCAGCCTGCTGAGTGACAGGCTCACTGTGTTGATTCATTGTGCCCTTTCTTTCAAGTGCTGTATTTCTTGGATGGATGGCATGTCCCTGAGGTAGAAAAAGCTTTCAGAGTTGCAAGCTTCCAGAAATACAATCAGGAACCAATTGGCAGCATATTTTAGGTGGTTTCAGTCTGACACTGAGGAGATGAACTAGAATTGGCCCTGATAATGCACGCATAGCGAAGAACTGTGTGGAAACTAAGCTATAATAAATGTGCTGAGAAAAAAGGAAAGCATGGTCCCCCGCAATACATATTGCTGTAGGAGTAAAACCTAGATTCTCCTGCAAAGGCAACAGAAACCTTTAAGCTTGAAAAGAAAAAAATTAGGCCCAAGGTCCAAGGCAACACAAGGCCTTAGTCAGTCAAGAGCTGGTGGTTCTTTTTCCCTCTGGTGTGAAGAACGTCTCAGAATTCCTCCCAGCTCTGGAATTGTGGTGTTTAGTCAGAGGCTCACTGTTAGAGCATTTCTCCATGTTTCCCACAAGGCAGCCGGCATCTTGATTTCTGGTCATCCTTTCTTCCCCCTTCATCAGCACCTATACTCGATATTGTCCATATGGATCATGTGTGTGGGAACACACAAGTTACAGCAACTTTTGTCTTTTGTCGTGAAGGGCTGACAGGGCAATAAACACACACAGCCTCCCTCCTCCAGGAATTCCTCGTCCTCCCTGTGTGGCTCTGGCCCTGTGGATAATATCATTACAGGACTAAACAAATAAACAGTCGATCCGAATCAACCAGGAGGCACTGGGGACTATACAGTTCCTCTCTGCAAAGATGATACAAGTAAATTTACACTCGCAGCTTGGAAGTGCTCCAGCGGCTATGAATAGCTGTTCAGTTCTGTCAGGCTGGGGAGGAGCTGGGGCACTGGGCTGACCCCCCCAGCTCTGTCTTTGCTTCAATCAATGTGAGCTTTCAGGGTTCTGTTTTCCTTACTATCCTTAACTGGGAACACTGAGGACCAGTCACACTTTTTATGAACCCTGAGCTCAAAGAAGCAGCTTTTACTACAAAGCTACAAAGTTAACATATTAAACCCAATGACATGGATGAAAGGTTAACACACTTCTGCCAGCCTGGAGCATCCCCTTTGAATGTGACTTCCTGCATTCAGGCTGTTGCTGCGGCTGCAAACACTGCTGCCATCACCTCTGCCATAGCCCCTTTGGACAAGCGCATTGATTCATTCCACTTCAGCACAAGAACAGAAACTGACTGACCATAGTCACAGCCACACGAAACGCTTACTCTAATCCTGACCAACAAATTCTAAACAACAAATGGATTAATATCCTTTTTTTTTCCATTGGAAAGAGTCAGTTACAATGATAACGTGAATACCACCTGCAGTTCTCTTTTTCCAGGTTTAAAGATGAAGCTTTCTTGTTTCCTGTCTCTATATTCTCTATATGTGTCAACAGTTCTTAGGACATGTGAGACTTTTTTTTTTTCTGTTGCCTGTTCTTCTGACCGAAGACTGATTTTTTTTTTTTTTTGGTCTATAACTCTGCCTGCAACCGTTTGATAGTTCCATGTGTGTTGAAAAAGAAAAAAGACTGAAAAGATATATACCAAAGCATTAACAGTGTTGGTGGGATTATACTTTTTAAAACTTTAAAAAATATTTCTCTGCTTTCCCCCAATTTTGGTCCAAGAGTGTGTATTACTTTTAGAGTCAGATTAAAAAGTATTTAAAAGGTTATTTTTAAACAACATTTGTCCTCTTGTGGTAAGCTCTAATTTCTGTTTGGTAGGGCCCATACTCAGTAAAGGTAACCTCAAGGCATGGAGTTACTGGCCTCTCTGGTTTATGTGTTCAAAACTAGGGATTAGGCATTCAGAGGGTTTGCCTACAATTTCTTCAGGAAGGTAGAGTTGGGCAAATAGAAGGAAAAAGCAAATAAAACAGATAAAAGTTTGTCTTTTGTGCTTTTTTTTTTAAAAGAATAAGGCAGCATTACTTTTGACAGCTGCTTTCTGTATTTATGACCCACTCAAGAGCCCTGTAGCAAACAACTGTATCTTCTTCAAGTTCCCAGAGACTTGCACATGTGAGCCCAGGTTTGGGCAGTATGTGTTTTTTACATCTGTTGAACTTCAAGAGTTCTGGGGTAAACATGAAGGAATGATGTAGCTTCTGGGAACTAACAGAAGGCCCACCCAGTGCTGAGGGACTGTAAGGAACCACCTGTGGGCCCCAGGTGAGCGGAACCTTCTGCAGCTTCTCTGAGATCCGGGTTGTGGGGAAAACAAATCAAGGAGCTAAGCAATGGGAAGTGGTGAGGTGAAACACACACAGACTTGGCATTGCCTGATTTGGCTTCCAGGTGCATGTCTGCCACTGAATTACTGTGAGAACCTGGGTAAGTCACTGATCTTTCTCTGGACCTCAGCTTCTTCATTTCAAATGAAGAGGTGGGTGTGCCGATCTCAGGTCAGGTCTGTGAGTCATCTCCTGTTTCGGAGTGCATGAAGATGGCTGCAGCAGATCACATAAGTCTTGAAGCATTGACTATTCCGAATGCCCAACACCCCGATTCCAACTATTCAAGGAAAGCATGGCCTTCAGATCCCAAACTGGAATTAAGTGGGAAGATTTGGCTTGCTCTGATCATTTGCATGAGGATGGGTTTTGAATTTTTACATGAGAGACATTATATTGGACCCTGAACATGTGCCAGTTACTAGACTAGGCATAGGGGCAACAAGAACGAACAGACCCTACTCTCTGCTAATTGTGAGATCCTAAGTCCCTTAGGAGACTAGTGTCTTTGGTTAGTGTTTAGAAGCCCCAATTTGGTACCCAAAGGTCTTCTATTCATTCAGGGGCAGAACTGTCTGGGCCCGGCTCCCAGAGGTTAGAAAAACAAGCAATGGCCAGAGGCCACCTGGCAAAGATTGGCAGGGAGCTGGGAAGAAAGGTGTCTCTGACATTGCACTAGTCCCTCCACTGCTGTCAATGTTGGCTCAAAATTCTCTCTATACCTCAAAAACCTGGTGATTGTTATGTAGCATCTATTTTTTTTAATTTTTCTTTTGGTTCTCTCATCATATCTAGTTAAGTCATTTTTGAATACCTGTCTTAGCTGCATGAAAGGGCATTAAAGAAAGGGGGTTTACTTGTGTCCAGGCTAAATTTTAAAGGAGAAACTGGGTGTTCCAGGGAGACAGCCATGGAAGTGGCAGTTGGAATCAAAGTGTGATACTTCCAGGAGAAGATGCAACTTTGGAAAGGTCTTAGGTTTGGTGAAAGAGGTGGAAAGAAGATTCACTTGGGCAGTCATTTATTTTACATGGAGAAATCTCCTTCCAGAAAATCTATTGGTTCATGCTGTGTTTAATAAGATACTCTTATAAGATTCCTCCCAGTTCTAAAATTTGACAACCAGTTTGTTCAAACAATTCTTCAGTGCTTTCTTGACTCATTGATTAGCTCAAAATCTCAAAGACTAGAGCACAGTTTTGGGAAAAGGAAGTGATATTTTCTTCTTCCCATTCCCTATACAGATGTATGGCAGTCCTAGCCCACCTGATAATTGAAAATCTAGATTTTCTCTTAACTATTATTTTCAAAGCAATTTACAAGACTTTCTCAACTATGACAGAAATTGTTAATTGTCTCACAATATCTGCTGTTCCAGTCTTCTTTTTAATGGAAAACCCCCCTAATTTTTAGCTGGGCACATGGCTACCCTTAGAGACTATATTTTTCAGGATCACTTGCAGCTAGATATGTCCATGTGACCAAGATCTGGCCAGTAGGATGTGAGTAGAAGTGATGTGTACAACTTCTGGCATGTCCTAATACAGAAGCTGCTGTCGTTGATATCCTCTTTCTTTTTTCTACAACCTGGCACAAGGACAGATGATGGTGAGCCAGTTTTGGTCATGTAAATGAGGGCAACATCATAAAGGATGATAGAGCAAAGAGGTGAAAAGAACTTGGGCCCCCACAAAGCCCTGTCCTGCTTTGTGTGTTTTCTACCAGCTCAGACCTTCACATAAGAGACAAATCTATTTTATTTAAGCCACTATGTTACTTTTAGAGTCAGATAAAAAAGTAGTAAAAAGGTTATTTTCAAACAAAATTTGTTGTCCTGTGATAAGCTCTAATTTCTGTTCAGTAGGGCCCATATTTAGTAAAGATAACCCCAAGGTGTGGTGTTACTGGCCATTCTGGTTTATCTTTCTGTTTATTAAAGCAGCAAATCAATATGCTAACAAATGCAGCAAGTGTTCTTAGTGTATTTAAATCATGACCTGATTTATAAAATTTTGTGCTACACACATTTTCAGGAAAGCATTTATTGCATAAACCAAGGTACACCTCTATTGTCCATGGCAACACTATCCTTCTAGTCCCCTATACTGCAAATCTCGTATTCATCTCTGACTCTTCTCTTTCCCTTTTTGCCCATGTTCAATTAGTCATCAAGTCTAGGTGAAATTTTTCCTTTGTAATGCCTGTGAGATTTGACTCTTCCTCTCATATCCACAGCCTACCCTCATCCATGTTATGACCATCTTATGCTCAATTTATTAGAGTAATTCCTAGTTGTCTCCAGGTCTCTAGTGTAGCTGACTTCCAGCCTACCCATTACCAGATAAATCTTCCCAAAATAGCTTCTTCACTTTGTCATTTCATGAACTTCATATTTCTAACTGAACCATATGAAATTCCCAATAATTGACCTACAAAAGTGGCAGTTTCATATGGCCAACCTAATAATTAGCCTGAATTCAAAGAATTCCACCCCTTGAGTTCACCTTTTATTTACAGCTCCCATTAAATGATCCCTTTATTCAGTTTGCCCAGATTTCTTGGTCTTCCTCTTACCTTGGTGAACTTTCTCCTTGCTGTGCCTTTGTTGGGTGTAGTTCGCCCTCCCTAGTAAGTCTTTCTTCCTCTTCTCTGTCAATGCCACTCTCCATTTTCTTCAAGACTCAGTTCTAGACTCTTCCTCATGATAGTTCCTCTGATCAATCATCCTTTCCAGGAAACTGAATTCTTAATTTGAATTCCTATAGCATTCTCTAATAATATGAGTATCTTCTGTCCTAAATAAATTGTAAAATCCTCACGGGCTGACTGTATCTTCTAATTTCTTTAGCAATTCTTAATTTTAAAAAGTTCTGCTCATAATGGGTACTTCATAAATACTTTATGACTTAAAAAAGCCATTAAAACTGTTAACTTTCCTAGTCTGACTAAAAAAAAAGACACTCTCAGTAAAGTCCCATAGTTGTCTCTAGAATGGGAAATATGTGGCTGGGTACTAGCCAAGTAGTGGTACTTTTTCTACTGCTAGAAGAGTATGAATGGCAGGAGTTTGGGTGACCTGGCTCTCCCTATTGCTCTGTCTGTTTCTTGTGGATGCACACAAAGGGGCTCTGAATCATTCAATCAGTGTGGTTTGAAACTGAATAACCCTTCTATTTTCTTCCTTTCCTCTAACTCATCAAAGTTCTCTCTTATTCAGAGATTCGTTATTCATAGTACCTGTTGTAACTCTGCTAGACTGTGAATATTCAGGGAATGTTGACTCATGTTTGATGAATGCATATGTGAATGATCAGCAGAGTTCTTTCAAGGGAGAGCAAAACTAAAGGCTGAGAAATAGCAGGTATCAGTGCTAGGATTTTAAGCCTTCTGGCTCTAGCAGTATCAGAATGCTGTCTATGGCCCTCACCAAGTGTCATTTTTGTGTTGCTCAAAAAGGTATGATTGGTTCTCAAGACTTGCAAAAGCTCAAAAGCTCACAAGGTCAGGTGAAAAGTTGCTTAGGACTTACCTCATGAGTACCTTTTCCCAGTCTCATCACTCACATCCTCCTGTGGCACGACAGGGCTCAGACACAGCCTGTAAGTGCTAGGTTTGTTCCTTCATCGATCAAAGTCAACACAAAAGGCTAACAGGAAGGAAGGAGGAATTAGATAGAGGCAGATACCATTAAGTTAACAATTCATAAGTATACATTTTTTCATGGCTGGAAATAACCCTGATTAGGATAGTGTTATGGTGAATTCTATGTGTCAACTTGACTAGGCCTAGGGGTGCCCAGAGTAAACAGTCTTTCTGGGTGTGTCTGTGAGGATGTTTCCAAATGAGATTAGCATTTGAATCGGTGGACTCAGTCAAGCAGATTACCCTTTCCAGTGGAGGAGGGCATCATCCAATCCATTGAGGGCCTGAATAGAATAGAAGGCTGAAGAAGGAGGAATTCGTCCCTTTTTCTTCCTGCCTGCCTGCGAGCTGGGCATCAGTCTTCTCCTGCTGTTGGAGTAGGATTTATGCCATTGGTGCCCCTGGATAAATTGGGCCTTTGGACTCAGACTGGAATTTACACCACCAGCGTTTGTGGGTCTCGAACCTGCAGATGAAGGGACTTCTGAGCCTCCATAATTGTATATATTTATATTATATATTATATAGATATATAATATATATGTATCTATGTATCTAATGGTTCAATTTCTGTGAAAAGCCCTGACTAATACAGATGGCTTTAGTGTGACTTCTCTAGGCTTCTGATTTTTCTAATCTGAAATATTAAACAGTGGGATCTCTTTCCATGGTCAAAGGGTATTGTCTATGATTCTGGAGAGGAAAGAATTTGACCAGAGTTCGTGAATGATTTAATGATTAGAAAATACATCCTATCAAGACTAAGGAATTAATATTATTTGTATTTATATTATTTAGTCTGGAGGGGAAAAAGGAATGAAGAGTACCTTTATAATGTTTTTTAAATATAAGAAAATTTGTTGACCAGCTATTCTCAATTTCACCTGAAAATAGAGGAAAAGTAAGGAATGAATTTCAAAGCACTATGGGGAATGTAAGGCCGACTTTTCTGCCACTATAGAGAGTGGTTCTCAAATTTTAATGTGCATAAAACCCCCAGGAGCTTCTTTAAGATGCAGGTTCCTGGCCTCTAAACTTAGCAGTTCTGACTTGGTGGATCTGGGATGGAGCCTATGAATCTATATTTTAATTCTTTTTTTCCAAGCCAAACTGTATCCAGCTTTATTAAAGATACTTTCCATAAACAATCATGGCATTTCAGGCAGGATATGGGCAGACAATTGTTAACAGTATACAACAACTTTCAAACTCCCTTCTTCAATGGACTACCAAAATCAGAAAGCCACTATAAAATCTAACAAAGTCTTCATCTGATGCTCTGAACAGGGAAAGTTTAGAGTGAGGGTTGACATTTCACATTTAGCATGTTGTTTAACAACTTTTCACAAGCCGACCCTGACTTTCAGGAAGTTAAATGAAAATGGTAGAATTTATCTGAAGATCCATAATCTAGAAACGGAACCACTGCTGTTTTGACAGGTGCCATCTCAGTGGCATCACTGGAAAGTCCAGATTGCCTGACACACTGGTAACCAATGACTGGGGGTCAGCCCAACAGATGTCTGGGCTTAAGGGAGTTAAGTCTATGCTGAAGGATGGAAAGGGAGAAGAGGACATAAAAATGGATTTGTATTTCCATACCACAAGGCTTTTGTGCCAAGGTGGCCATGTGTGTCAAAGTCAGGGAATCCCTCCTCCTGGGAGCCAAGAGGAAGTCTCTCAAAACTAGAAGGGAAAGTTGTTTTCCTCACATCAATCCAGCTTCAGAGACATTCTATTAGTGACATATGCCCCTTACCCCAAAAACAGCAATGAAGTGTTCCGTGTGCTAACAACACAGCTTAAAAAAAAAGTAAAACAAAATTCTGCATTTTTATAAAACTTGATAAAAAATAGTATTTCAAACTGTACAGTCACCAGAAGTACACTGTTATCCAAAATGCATACACTCAACTTGCCATCTCCAGCACCTTCAGCTTTCTGTGCCTGGTCTGTTTTGGCATCTCCATTTCCTGCAGGGTTATTTCCCTCCTTGCCAGCATCGGCTTTTCCCTTTTTCCCTTTGGGTACCTTCTCTCCCTTCTTTGCAGGGGCCTTTTAGGCGTGGGCTCTGGCTTTGGAGGAGCAGGTTTAGCAGACAACCTCGCGGATCTTCTCTGTGGTTCGTCCTTCACCTTGGCTTTATCTCTAGCATCCCCTTCAGCTCTTGGGCATGATGGTGGCAGCGACAGTGGCGGGACGTCGGCGCGCTGGGCGTGGGGTGTGGCGGCACGTGGGCTTTGGTCGGTCTGGGGGCCGGTCTTGCCTCTTCTTTTTCACCGCTCCTGTACGTTAATTTTGATTAAATTAATTAATTAATTAATTAATTTTGGAGACAGAGTCTTGCTCTGTTGCCCAGGCTGGGGTGCAGTGGCATGATCTTGGCTCAGTGCAACCTCCGCCTCCCAGGTTCAAGTGATTCTCCCGCCTCAGCCTCCTGGGTAGCTGGGATTACAGGTGTGAGCCACCGTGCCCAGCCTGAATCTGTATGGAGTACAGTGGTGCTATCTTGGCTCACTGCAACCTCCGCCTCCCAGGTTCAAGCGATTCTCCTGCCTCAGCCTTCTGAGTAGCTGGGATAACAGGCACCCGCCACTATGCCCAGCTAATTTTTTTGTATTTTTAGTAAAGAGGGGGTTTCACCATGTTGGCCAGGCTGGTCTCGAACTCCTGACCTTGTGATTCGCCCACCTCGGCCTCCCAAAGTGCTGGGATTACAGGCATGAGCCACCGCGCCCAGCCCTGAATCTGTATTTTTAATAAGCCCCTAATCCCCCAAGTTGAATTGAGGCGAGTTGCCCTTAAATCATACTTTGAGAACCGCTGGGACGGATGGCTGAAAAGAGTGAATTCTTGGGGAATTCATTGAGCTTTTCTTCTCCAGAACACTTTATAAAGTTATTTTTGTTTTATTTCACTTAAACACAGGAAAGTTTATCATTTGTTTTGGAGGTTGTACTAAGTTGAATAGTATCCCTCCAAAATTCATGCCCTTTCCAGAAATTCAGAATGTTACCTTATTTGAAAATAGAGTCATTGCAGACATAATTAGTTAAGATGAGATCATATGGGAGTAGGATAGGCCCTTAATCCAAGGTGACTGGTGTCCACATAAGAAGAGGATAGGAGACACAGGGAGAATGCCATGTGGCAATGGAGGCAAAGATTGGAGTGTGATGTGTCTATAGGCCATGGTATGCCAGGGATTGCCGGCAAACCACCAAGGCATGGGAGGATCCTCCCTTAGAGCCTCCAGATAGGGTATGGCCTTGCTGACACTTGATTTCAGCCCTCCACCTATCAGAACCATGAGAGAACATATTCCTATTATTTGAACCCACACACTTTGTGGTGCTTTGTCACAGCAGCCCTAGGAAACAAACATAGGGAGTTTCAGTATAATCCTGCCACTAGGCAGAGCAGTAGATGAGCTCTCAAGATGGACATTTATTGTTTTATAGGCTTGTTCACTCATATTTTGAAGGGTAGGTATTCAAATATTTGCAATTGTCGTAAACCAGACAATGGTTTATCAGTATTCGTAACATCTTTTCCTTAAACTGTACCTTAAAACCGACCCTATATGATTTTGAATATCTGAGACAAATGGGCTTTTGAATTTTTGTAAGATTAAAGAAGTAAATGCATTTGTTTTTGATAATAAACAGGACACCCCAAATGTTCATAACAGAAAATAAATCATTTTGAGGTTGGGTTGTCAGTCATGAACAGATTTGAAGTCACTTTTTCCTCTTAAAATTCTGGAAGTTAATTTCAAGGATAAATCTGATTTTTCCATTGATTTGAAATGATGAAATTTTGTATGGGAAGTTTACCTACTTGAATGAGACTTCCATAACTTGGACATAGAAGAAAAACTCATGCAAGAAATCAAAGTTATTTTCTTATAAGACATGTTAAAAGAATCCTTCTTTTTTGGTAGCTGCTTTGTAATTGTTACATTTTACTGACAGATTTGACTTCTGAAGGCTGACATCCCCTTATATTTTGTGGCTGTTCATTTTTTGTGAACTTGTCATCTAAAAGCCATAGGTTTGCTGGCATTTAACTTGCAACCTCCTACTTCCCAGATAGGTTCTGTATAATGGTGTAACATGACAGAGAAGGGGCAAAGAACTTGGCTTGTTGCTGGCATTTCAGTTCTTCCCATTAATAAAACACTCAACTGAGTCATTTTCTCTGGTCACTTTTCCACTATAAAGAAACCTAAATCAAAGAACGGGACTGCTTTTATTGGCAAAACAGTAGATAAATCAGGGATGTAAAAATGCAGGAAGGATTCAGTACAAGCACTACCCAGAGTGGACTTGCTGGGTGAAAGGTTTATTCTGTCAGTTTTCCTCTTGAGACACTTAGGTTTAAGGAAATGTTTGCACTGTTCTAGAGAATAAGTTGGCTGTGTGTTTTCTTTTGTGTTTAGGCCACTCTGGAAGTAATTCCTCTGGGCACAATTATCTAACATATGGTGATTTAGAAAAAGCTCAAAGCAAAGGTCATTTGGATGTTTTAGGCAGGAAAGAAGAAAATCCATCTTGGAGAATAAAAGGAAGTGAGAAAGGGCTGAGGTACAACTTATGGTCAAAGGGATGTGAAAAGGAAAAATGACGTAGATATCAAGCAAAAATTGCAACTGAAGCCTTTTGTTTTTGCTTTTGTTTCTGTTTATTTTTGTGTGAGGAGTGTGCACATGTAGATGAAAGCAAAGGCTGTGATATCAGAGAAGTTTGGTGCTGGAGAAGGCATGAAAGAGATTGAGTCCAGTGTGTGACCCATGCGTGTGGCCTGTGCCACTGAGCAGGGCCCTGTGCGCAAGTGGGCCCCATACCTGGATCTGGCTTAATGCTCCATTGTTGTTGCTTTGAAATTCTTCATTTTAATGTTAGGCCCTATCTTTTTATTATGCACTGGATCTGCAAATAAGGTAGGAAGTTCTCTAAAAAATGGTCTATTCTCAACCCCCCGACCCCCCTTTTTTTTCAGGTGAATAAATTAGGTCCAGAGAGGACAAATGACTTGTGTGGTGGAGCCAGGAATAGAGCTTAGCTTCTTGGGTCAAAATTGCAAATGAATTCACATTTGAAGTGTTTAAACAAAGAGAAGTGCTGCTTTCACCCTTTTGTTGAAAAGAAACTTCCTCATGCATCATAAATGAGCCAAATAAAACACTGAAATAATCCAAAAGGAAGAAAGATCTGGATATGATTGGATAGGAGGAAGACCTCACATTGAGTTTTCAAGTCACTTCTAAAAAACCTGAGCTGCCATACTGATTTTCCTCCCTTCAGCATCAGCCCTCACATCACTCTCTGAGGCCAGGGAATTCTGGCACTCATTGCCTTCTAACCCAAAGGGCCATGTTGTCATTAAGTCTAAGCAGAGAATCAAGCTAATTGCTGTTCACGTGCTGTGGAAACTGGCTGTCCTGCTCTATGTACCTTGATCACTGGTGCTGTCCTAGTAAAATAAATTAATTTTAATAATGATGCACTTGTCTTCTTGCAGGGCCAGGAACAGAATGAAGATCAGTGCAGCATCAGTCAAGCAACGACCAACACTAAACAGCAGAATAGAGCGTCATGCAGTAGCAAGCGATTGCTTTACTTCAAAAAGGGAGCCAGACTCAGAGCAGAGCAGCCTGAGGAGCATTCTCACTAAACAAACATGTCTCCAGAACTGCAGTGCTCTGTATCTCCAGGCTCCAAAATATGCTATCAGAATGAAAACATTTGGTGGATTCTAGATGAAGCAAGCTGCATTAAATAGTTGGTTTTTAACTTCCTTTAAATATTGGAACAAAAGAGCTGCTTTCAATCACCACCCCCCAAACAACTCTCCACAACTTCCTGGTGATAAACAACATCTGTATAAATAAAAAGGTAGGTTTGCAAGCCAGGCGTTGTGGCTCACACCTGTAGTCCCAGCTACTCAGGAGGGTGAGGTAGGAGGATGGCTTGAGCCCAGGCATTCAAGGCTGCAGTGAGCTATGATCATTGCCTCTGCACTCCAACCTGAGTGACAGAGTGAGACCCTGTTTTTTTGTTTTGTTTTGTTTTTTGTTTTTTTTTTAAAAAAAGGTAGGTTTGCAACTCTGCCTGGGGGTTGCCAACTGAAATTCTCTTGGGCCAGAATGGGCAAAGGAATTCTCAAAACACTTTTTTTCCCCATGAGAAACATCCTACTTAGAATCCCTTGGTGTATCAGACATGAATAGGTAGGCTGGTGTTAGCTGATTCACAGAGAAAAAAGATGTCTAAAATAACCCAATTCATTGCTAGATTCAAGGAACCTGATAAGAATTAGCTCTTTCTGATGGACTGCTTACTCACTACGGTTTGAAGAGGTGGCAGGGATTTTACTGGGAAAGAGGAACCAAGTGTTTAGAAAATACAGCTCAAGCTCTTTTATAAAAGAAACATTCCAGATTTTCTCAAGTGTCTGGTGAGGGTGTGGAAGGGTGAGGCATCAGATACTTTCCATGTGCAGGTCAAGTAGAGAGAAGGGCAGTGTGGAAATGCAAGAAAACAAACTTAAGAAATTTATCTTGGCAGGATTTTTACATCATAACATCTTGGAGCTGAAAAACACTCTGAAACTCCACTCACATTTTATAAATGAGAAAACTTAAGTCCAAGGAGATTGTTAATTACTTGAGGCCACTTGGCCAGTTAGAAACAACCAGGTCACTAACCTCCAAGTGTAGTCTTCTTTCATAAAATGTGCCACCTGCGTAAGTGCTAAGTGGGGAGAGGCTCTGGGAAGAGGAAGGTGGTCTCTGTTAAACACTGAGGCATGGTAACATTCACTTCGGGTGTCTTGGTGGCTCAAAGTGCAGATCCTGGGACTGAGTTTCCGAGCTGGCTTGGGGTTTTGGTTGCTGCAGAAGCTAAGGAGGACTCATGCCAAGCACCTTTCTCAAATCGCTCCACATCATGACCGCAAGGGCAGACAGCAAAAGGAAAGAGAGCTGATGGCCCTGAGCCACCCTGAAAGGCTAGGTCTCCATACCCACAGAAGCAATAGCAGCCACAGTGATCCTAACAGAGGTGCAGACTACTTTCTCTGAGTTCCATTTCTGACAACTGGAGTTTTTTTTTTTTTTTTTTTTTTTTTTTTGAGACGGAGTCTCGCTCTGTTGCCCAGGCTGGAGTGCAGTGGCGCGATCTCGGCTCACTGCAAGCTCCGCCTCCTGGGTTCACACCATTCTCCTGCCCCAGCCTTCCGAAATAGCTGGGACTACAGGCACCGCCACCACGCCCGGCTAATTTTTTGTATTTTTAGTAGAGACGAGGTTTCACCGTGTTAGCCACGATGGTCTCGATCTCCTGACCTCGTGATCTGCCTGCCTCGGCCTTCCAAAGTGCTGGGATTACAGGCGTGAGCGCCCGGCCTGGAGTTCTTTTTTTTAACCTCTGGAATATTGAGCCCCTAATCTGCCCATGTTTGGATAAACGACTGAGGGGAGAAGGCCGAAGTATATGGTCAAGCAACTGTTACCATCGTGTGTATGTAGAATCAGCTTCTGCAAGGGAGCTGTCGCGGAGCGGCTGGTTGTAAGATAGGAGAATCTGGGAGGACAAATGAATCTCTTCCCACTAACCCAATACTGGTAATAACTACTGTTTTCCTAAGGGTTTTACTTTCATTTAGTTGGTTTAGAAATGAAATGATGCTAGTCACAATAGTACTACTGTCTCTGGACCTGGCTGGTTGATAGACAGAAACTTTTTAGCACCTAGCAACCTGGAGGAGTTAATTGTGTATAGGGTTTACCATCTACTCATTGTCACAGGACTTCCAAACTATAAAAGTTGCTGTTGAAATATTTTCCTTAAAGCATACAAAATTTAGCTAAACCACTATTAACAGTGACCATTTGCATTAATATAATAGCAATTTGTCATAATTACATGCATTCCCAGTTATTGCAGTTTATATTCAAAATTTGATTTTCCCACAGTGAGAATATCAACCACCAGCCTGGGCAACATGGTGAAATTCCATCTCTACAAAAAAAATAAAAAAATTATCTGGGCATGGTGGCACATGCCTGTATTCCCAGCTACTTGGAAGGCTGAAGTGGGAGGATCACTTGAGCCCAGGAGGTTGAGGCTGCAGCAAGCTGAGATCACACCAAAAACTGAACCAGCCAGGCCTATGCTTCTCAGTTCCCCACTCCTGTTACTTGGATTCACTTCTAAAAGTAAACTACCTACATGTGAATTCATGTCTCAAGCTCTGCTTTTTGGAGGACATTAGGTGACGACAATACCATTTCTTATAACTTTTTCAGTTTTTTTTTTCCCTCCTGTGCTGGCCTCTCTCATGTCCTTGATTTAGCAGTTCAGAATAACACTCTCACTATTTTCCAATTTTCTTTCTTAATTCTGACACCCTGTTTGGTTTCCAACTATCTTATTTATCCCTGATTTTAACCTGTTTTTCTCATTCAAGCCTAGTGTGCTGATGCCTCAAATCCCTTAAAATCCCCAGCTATAAAACTGCCTCAATTCTTCCTCCCCTGGGTCCAAATGCTCACTAATTTCAGCGGATTTAAGCCCAGGATAAGGTGAGCACAGCATTGTATCTTTAATTAGGTACTTTTCAAATCCCCTGTGGTATGTACAGTTTGGATTACTAAATTATGCCAAAAGTATTTCATGTGAGGGGGTATGAAAATTAGTAAGTGGTGGTTTCTAAATAGGTTTAAAGGTTGAGAATGGAAGGTGTTTTGCAAATATATGGCATTGCCTTGAGTAGCAGACATTGCCTGAGTCCACAGAATAATCTATTTTGGGAAAATGTTTTGTATTGCTAAACCTGCATAACAAAAACATGCTGTAGCGATTCTATACTTTGGCAGCACAGGCTGCTGCTATTTATCCATCCATCCATCCATTCATAAACACTTATTAGAAATTTATCATGTTTTCTTAATCCAGTCTATCATTGTTGGACATTTGGGTTGGTTCCAAGTCTTTGCTATTGTGAATAGTGCCGCAGTAAACATACCTGTGCATGTGTCTTTATAGCAGCATGATTTATAGTCCTTTGGGTATATACCCAGAAATGGGATGGCTGGGTCAAATGGTATTTCTAGTTCTAGATCCCTGAGGAATCGCCACACTGACTTCCACAAGGGTTGAACTAGTTTACACTTGGAACCAACCCAAATGTCCAACAATGATAGACTGGATTAAGAAAATGTGGCACATATACACCATGGAATACTATGCAGCCATAAAAATGATGAGTTTATGTCCTTTGTAGGGACACGGATGAAATTGGAAATCATTCTCAGTAAACTATCGCAAGAACACAAAACCAAACACCGCATATTCTCACTCATAGGTGGGAATTGAACAACGAGAACACATGGACACAGGAAGGGGAACATCACACTCTGGGGACTGTTGTGGGGTGGGGGGAGGGGGGAGGGATAGCATTAGGAGATATACCTAATGCTAAATGACGAGTTAATGGGTGCAGCACACCAGCATGGCACATGTATACATATGTAACTAACCTGCACATTGTGCACATGTACCCTAAAACTTAAAGTATAATAATAATAAAATAAAATAAAATAAAAAGAAATTTATCATGTGACAGGAGGTCTGCTAGGCTCCCTAGATTAAAAAAAGTCACCTTCCAGTTGCTCCCATATCAGTGTATGTATGTGTGTGGGGAGGCGTCTGAACAGTACGCACATAATTATAACATGTAGATGCCATTTAAGGAGGAAGCAAAGTGCTAGGAGACTTGAGAAGAACTAAAGGTCAGAGCTGGGTGGGGGATTAAGTAAGGGATCACAAGGAAGGTGACATTTGGATAAACTTGAGTTAGAAATTAAAGTAGAATTCAAGTCGACGTAGAATTACATATTTTTTGTTTTAGAATAAGTTTAGATATACAGAAAGTTGAAAAAATAGTACAGAGGGTTCCTACATACCCCTTACTTAATTACTCTACTCTTTACATCTTACATTTCCCAGTATATTTGTCAAAGCCCAAAAGCCAACACTGTCATATTACTATTAACTACATTCCACACTTTTTTGGATGTCACCAATTTTTCCATTAATATTCTCTTTCTGGTCAGGATCCAGTTCAGGTAATCACATTGCATTTGGTGGTCATAGCTCCTCAGTCTCCTCTGGTCTGTGCCAGTTTCTCAGTCTTTGTTTTCATGACTTTGATGGGTTTTGCTTTTTTTTTTTTTTTTGAGACAGAGTTTCGCTCTTGATGCCCAGGCTGGAGTGCAGTGGCACGATCTTGGCTCACTGCAGCCTCCGCCTCCTAGGTTCAAGCCATTCTCCTGTCTCAGCCTCCCGGGTAGCTGGGATTACAAGGCATCCATTACCACTCCCGGCTAATTTTTGTATTTTTAGTAGAGATGGGGTTTCGCCATGTTGGCCAGGCTGGTCTCAAACTCCTGACCTCAGGGAATCCGCCTGCCTCAGCCTCCCAAAGTGCTGGGATCCGGGTGACTTTGATGGTCTTAAGGAGTACTGGCCAGGTCTGCTGCAGAAGGTACCCCAGTTTGGGCTTGTCTGGTGTTTCTCTCATGGTTAGGCTGGGGTTATAGGTTTTAGAGCAGAACACCCTCTTTCTCACACCATGTCTGTGGTACCTGATATCCTCAGGACATTATTACTGATGTTAATCAAGAAGCAGAATTTTAATGCTTCACAGGTGAAAGAACTCATTTGTGGACTAGTGGGAAGCCCAGGTGGGTACTTGCAAGGGAGTAGTGAGAGACAAGCCATGTGTGGGTACGGCCCTTTAAAGTTTAGAGGAGATTATGTGGAAACAAACTTTTTCAAAGCTTAGCACCACATGGTAAAGTGATTGGGTAGGTATTGTAATCTCCGTTACCAGTTAAGAAAACTGAGGCCTAAGGAGATGAAGAAGATGGTAGAAGGTCACACAAGTAGTAGTAGAGCTAGGAATTGGACACAGTCCTCCTGATTCCCATCACAGGGTTCTTCACTCTTCATCTTGGTCACTGTGTCTCAGAAAGGCCCATGGAGCAATTGTTGGGAGGAATGAAACTGCATATATGAGTCTGTCATGGCTGGAACCCCCTGTTTGTCTGTCCCAATTTCCCTCTAAACTTTATATTCACAAAGCTAGGAAGAGCAAAGCCACCTCTTAACTTCTCAAGAGATTAAGCTCTTCCATGCAGGTCTGGGGAAGTTTTCTTCTGTGCCACTCCTTCACCCAGGTGTTTGTCCCGGTGTATGTCCATGAAAGGAATGTAGCACTGTGATCCTAAGGGCAGAGGAGCTGCTATGTAATTCTACTAGCAACTGTTCATTAGTACATTCCATGAGCAATCAAGGGGCACAACACTTTTGGCAACCGGAAGCTCACTACTGGTCCTAGTTGACCCAAATCCAGATTGAGGAGAGAATGAGAAAGGAGATTGAAGCAGTTTCTCTTCCCTTCTTCCCCCGTGAACTATGGGACTGGCCCTTTGCTATGTCAGCAAGGAAACCTCAAGTTTGCTAATAGATAAGATCCCTTATCACTTTTAGATTTAACACTTACTTGTTCATTTCACAGACACGTATCATGTACCCACCATGAGTCTGGCAATGGGAATGTAAAATAAACAATATCAATAAGGTTTCTTGCTTTTAAGAAGCTCACCAGTAGGTGAAACAGGAGAAAAAAATAGGAGAGAATAATTTACTAT
Organism: Homo sapiens; assembly: GCF_000001405.40. NCBI lineage: Eukaryota > Metazoa > Chordata > Mammalia > Primates > Hominidae > Homo > Homo sapiens. The sequence goes on along the minus strand of NC_000005.10, from coordinate 73,400,622 downwards.
CTGGGCTTCATGGAAGAAGTGATACAGGAGCTGGGTCTTGTGGGACAACAGGAGCTTTTGTGGTAGAAAACAGCACAGAGCAAGGCATGGAGGAGAGGGGCAGCATTGCAGGTCTGGAGAAGTGGGAGTTATTGGGTATTGCTGGAGCATAACGGAGGGTGTTGAGATAGTTGGAGATGGAGCAGGAGAACATGACTCCTGCTGCAGGTCTTTGTCCAGAACCATTCTCTGGGAGTAGGAGGCAGAGACCTCCAAAAAGGAGCCCTTTGGCATTATACCTTCTCTGTGCCATCCTTTAGACAGCCGGACACTTGGATCTTAAGTGTTTTTCCTGACTTCGCATTATTGCAACTTGATCTTGGAAGTACATATCCATAATGCCTAATCCCTTCAAATGTGCTGAAAGCATAACAGCATTTGGTCTATGATCGGCAACAGATTTTCTTGCAACTCATTTTTACACAGCTCAAGACTGAGTGAAAACATCCCACTGTGCTTAATACAGTATTCTTGTAAAACTTTTTTTGAAGAAGAAAAGATTATCTGTAGATCTTTGATATTCACTTGTTCATAGAGCTCTGTCATTATAATGTGTCACATGGCTCTCTTACAGTTTCCAAAACCATTAAATGCTAAAGAAAACAGGACTTTTCCAGCTCTGATCTCATTATATGTACAAATTCCAAGAGCAGCCTCCCAGAAAATAAAAGTTTTTATACAACAGAGTAGATGTGTCCATGAAAGATATATTGTTTATTTTCTTGGCACAGAGTTAACACTAAAATAAGATTATTTAATTGGAGAAAACATCTCCTGACATGCTGAGAAGAACATTTGAACCAAATCTCCTCTCTCTTAGATTAAGTCTAGGGTAGATGTGTTCTAGGCTATTTAATCCATGTGAATCTCAAAACAAAATCATTTTAACTACTGAAGCATTTAGTTGGTAAGGCAAAATGTAACTCAATGCTGGAGGCAACAGCTTGTAATCAATTATGATTTTTAGTTGAGAAAGTTCCTGGGGTTTGTTGTTACAGTAGTTGTTTATTTATTTATTTATTAGCACAAAACTCTTAAATCTGGAAACATTCAATTCAATTTTTCATAACACTGGGCTATTCAGCTTTTGTTTGCAGAGTAACTCAGCTCATTTTTAGTGGTTCCTTTGTGCTATTTTTTAGGATTTGGAGTCAGCATTATAGTATGCAATATTATATATAATATATATTATATACTATATATTATAGTATATTACTATATATGATATATAGTAATATACTATAATATATAATATATAATTATAATATATACTATATAATATATAGTATATAATATACTATATATATTATATATAATTATATATTATATATAGATATATATCACATATATAGGCTAGTTTTAATAGTGTGAATATTATGACATATATTGGTTTTATACCACTGTATATTAATATTATATAATATATATTATATGACACATATATATTATGCAGACATTCAGACCATCAAGAAAGCCAAAACTACCACCTCAGCTGGTGATTGTGGGTTCTACCTTATCCTTGCTCTCCCCTACTTGGCACACACCTTCCCTTCCTACCCTGCAGTGGTGTGCATGTGTGTGTGTGTGTGTGTCTCTCTCTCTCTATATATATATATTTGTATATATATAACAATATAATCTATATAACAATATTATATATCATAATTATATTATTGTTATATTTGTAATATAACTATATTACTAATGTATTACTATATAATACTATTATTATAGTTATATATTTATATTAACATATAGTTATATAAAACATATTATTATATATCATAATATTTACACTATTAACACTAGTCTATATATTATATGTGTGTGCGTGTGCTGATGCAAATGCACACTATGGGGAGCTAGTTTTTCACCAAGCTACCTTTTCCCTTTATTCCTGGGCACACGGCTACTGCACTAGAATTGATTTCCAAGTCTTTCTTGGAGTTGGGTGAAGCCATGTGATGAAATTCTTACCTACAGAATGTGAACAGAAGAAATGTGTGCCTCTTTTAGGGCTGGGCCTTAGATGTTGGGTGTAGCTCCTCCATACCCTCTTGCCCCTTCCTGCTGGCTGGAATTTGGATGTGAAGACTTTGCTTTGACCAAGTGGGTAATGACAATGCCCTACAATAGTAGTACAATACAGTCCCAAATGTGCATGTGGGACAGAGCTGTCCTGCCAACCTGGATTGCCCACCTTTGAACTGTTACCATGTGAGGGAAATAAGCTTTATTATTATTATTATTATTTATTTTATTTTATTTTTTTTGAGACGGAGTTTCACTCTTGTTTCCCAGGCTAGAGTGCAATGGTGCAATCTTGGCTCACTGCAACCTCTGCCTACCGGGTTCAAGTGATTCTCCTGCCTCAGCCTCCCAAGTAGCTGGGATTACAGGTGCCTGCCACCACATCCAGCTAATTTTTTGTATTTTTAGTAGAGATGGGGTTTCACCATGTTAGCCAGGCTGGTCTCGAACTCCTGACCTCAGGTGATCCACTCGCCTTGGCCTCCCAAAGTGCTGGGATTACAGGTGTAAGCCACCACACCTGGCCAGCTCCCCTGTTCTTTAACACTGTGTCAGTGTTCAGTCAGAGAAGCAAAAGCACAAGAAGGTATGCATATAAGGAATTTGTTGGAGAGATCTGATCTTGAGCAAGTGTGGGAGCTGGTTAAGCAGTCTCTGTAAGGCTGTTGACTTTGTGACTGAGGTAGAAATTTAAATTTGCAGGTGGACAGTTTGAAGGCTGCAGGGTAGGAAGGAAAGGCGTGTGCCAAGTAGGATGAGCAAAAAGAAGGTGGAACCTGCAGTCACCAGCTGAGCTGGGAGTTTTGGCTACTTCTTGATGGTTTGAGTGTCTGTAGAAGTTGACATCCTTCATGACAGATATGGGCTACATACCTGGCCCAAGAGTCAGAGCAGTTGAAGGAGAGTATAGGAGAAGATGGAGCAGTTGCTGGCCTGGCTGCCGTATCACACCAATAGGGTGAATTGGAAGGTGAACAATGAAGGTTGCTGCTTCTCTCCCACCACCAGATCTCACACAAGAATCTCTCTTGTGACCCTCCTTACCTGGAAACATAGAGGTAAGGGAAATGTAATTCAATCTAGTCAACCTGACACATTACAAAGCCACCACAGTCAACCCTTTGTCAACTTGTACTCTACATAGCTTCATAGGGCATATTTTATCTCCAAATGGAACCCATAACAAAGTCATGCTTTATCTGATGTGAAACAACCATTACACATACAACCAAAAACACACTAACAGTTTCCCTAGAAGAGGAGACAAAGGCCCTTTTTTTTTGTCTTTTGGTGATGTTAATTCTTCCAATTGATTCACAATCCTCTTCTGATAATCCTATAACTTAAATACTGGTATATAAGATTAATTACTATTTAACACAGCTTAGATAATATGGGGATGAGAGACGGTAAGAAAACAAAAATATTTGGCCAATATATATACAAACATATAAGTACTAAAAAAGAGAAGAAACACTCAAACAATTACAGTCTTCATTTATGCAATGGTCCCGTGGTCATTTCTAGTATTTATCACTGCTTTCTTCCACTACCCATTCCATATTCCCTCTGCCCTAAGCAAGCACTTCAGCTGGTTGAGTTTCCTTGCCTGGAAAGTGACTCAAACCTTCATTCCTGAAAGGTCTGGGTTACTAGCAGTCCTATCTGAATTGAGTTGTTTTCCAATTGACTTTAAAGTTTTCCATTGACTTTAATCCTAGGACACAGGAATAGTAAAAGGTGCCCCAGAGGATCTAGTGCATCCCAAATGTATTATTCCTTAGCCCCATTGTATAGTAACCCCAATTTCCTATGCTTATCATGGACCAGTCTCCCCAGCCAATATAGTAACCCTTTTCTTTATTTCTTGATTCACTGGCATAAGGAGCACAAATTATTCAGGGGGAGTCTCAGTGTCTACTTCAGTGGAATTATGTTGTGTCCCTTGGTGGAAGCATTTTCTACCTTTAGTTCCTTTTGAAATGAAAACTCCCAAACTAGCAGAGCCAAAAAGTTGCAGGAATGGGAATAAAAAATGAGTAACAGTGAGATGAGCCACTCCCATTTTCACCCCTTAAGTTCCAGACCCATGAATCCCGGCTATGAGAGAAAAATCACCATATATATATTAGACATTAATTTTGAGCATATATACTGTATCCTGGAGGACACTTCAAGGTATTGCCTTAGCCTTGCAAGGTATTGCTACCTAGATGGCACCATAACTGAGCCTTCAAAAGGCTGTTCCACTATTCCATCAAGTCAGGTGCTTCAAGATGATGGGGAACATGGTAAGACCAGTGAATTCCATGAGTTTGGGCCCAATGCTGCAACTTCATTTGTTATAAAATAAATTCCTTGGTCAGAAACAATGCTGTGTAGAATATCGTGACAGTGGATAAGGCATTCTGTAAGTCCACAGATAGTAGTAGTTTAGGTAGAAACATCGTGGGCAAGAGAAGGCAAAAAGAATAAGCACCCATTCTTGTTGGAACACAGTGCTGTCCCTTCTATTATGGAAATAGTCCAAATGGGATCAATGTGTCAATGAATACCTGGATGATCTCCCTGGGAATTGTGCCATATTAGGGGCTCAAGGGCTGTTGGCAGATTAGATACTCAGTAGTGGTAATGGCTAGGTCAGCCTTGATGAGTGGAAGTCCATGGTGCTAGTCCTTGCATAACCTCCATCCCTGCTACCATGGCCACTTTGTTCATGAGCCCACTGGGCAATGACAAGAGTGGGTATAGAAGGAGGCTGATAGAATGTGCCATCCTATCCATCCGAGGTCACCCTTCCATGGGTATTCACATGGAACACAAATCTCTTCACACTCTCTGCCCATTGAGAGAAGCTTATCCACATACCTCTTCCCCAGATCTCCTTGTCACCAATTTTCCAATTGTGTTTTTTTCCAAGTCCCTGACCATCCAGCCAAACCATCAGCCACAGTCCATGAATCAGTGCAGATCACACTTTTGGTTATTTCTCCTTCCAGCTGTGGCAGGTGGTATGCATGGAATTGCTGATCTAGGAGACCTACTCTGGGCTATTTTCCAAATAATTCTACTATATTTCTGGGAAATAGTTAGAAAAAAATGGTTTCCAACTTACTTTTGGTTCATTAACCCTGATACTTGAATGCCACAGCACTTACATGTACACTCTAGAAGCCTTCCACATGGGAGGTAGGCACTCCATCAACATTTGCACAGTGAGTGGCTAGCCCTGACACTTACTATGCCACTGTTGAGGCTTCTTGAAAGTAGCCAAATGTACAGGTTCAAGCATCTGCTTAGCAGCTGAGACTGCATAATATATGAACACTTATAGCCACTCAGCCAACATGTATGTATTTAGCACCTTCTATGTACCTAGTCACTATTCCACAGTAATCTTTTTATACCAATTGTTGGGCTAAGTTAATTTTAAAGGACACATGATATCAATTATGTAACAGTACATTTATTTCTTGCCCAGGTTGAGCACATGTGTGTATCCGAGCCTAGACCGCTCTAACTACTGCCCTGGAAGTGCTCAAAGGGGAAAAAAGGAATTTATTGTTTCTGACTAATTATACATTAGATTGCTAAAGCAATCTGCTCTTAAGCTCTGGGAGGTTAAGGCCCATTCCTGACGTTGGAGTTGTTGAACACTCTTAAGCTTTCCTCAGTGTTTGGCACATGATAGAGCTTTATAAATAATTGTTGAGAGAATGAATGGGTTGTTCAGCGAGATCATGTTAAATACTAGTAACTTTCTGAGATGCCTCGAGGAGCTGACCAGCGGGAGTTTAGCATAGAAACAAAGCACTGGGCCAGGGCCAGGAAAGCTGAGTTCCAGCTTTAGATTGGCCACTGCCTGGTTATATGACCTTCAGCAAGGCACATATCTGTTTTGGGTCTTGATTTCTGCTCCAAGGATGTTTGAGAATTGAATGGCAGCCATTGGAGGCCTCTTTTGTTTAGACTGTACACTGTTCTAAAAAAACTATATTTGGATACCTTTTGGGACACATGCTCTCTGGTTTGCTATTATCACCCTTCCTATCACCTTTGTGCATTTTCACTCCTTGTCCTGCCCCTGTAGCAATTTGAATTTGTAACTTCTGAACACCATAGGCCCCAGTTCTGACATTCTCTGAGTCCATGCCACTGGAATATCGGTGCCATGAGGGGAGGAGCTTGAGCCTGTTTTGATCTCTGCTGGATGCCCAGTCTTGGAATGGTGCCTGGAATGTAATAGATACTTTTGAGTGAATGAATGCATGGAAGCATGAATGCATGAAAATGAGGCAATACTACCAAAGCAGACTATGTAATAAGGGAGGTGGAGGATCCCATCAGGAGACATTTCCCTCCAATTTGGATAAGTTTGTTTTCCATTTGAAATGGAGTAGGGAGGCCAACAGTATTCTCCAACTCCTCAACTTGTCTGGAAGGTCCTAGGTTGAGTGCCACCAGGAGAAATAACACCTGTGCCAAAAGCTTCCATCATCAAATATACAAGTTAGTTTAAATATTAACTGCCACTGTTCAGGAGCTTTTCCTAAGCAAAATTGACCACTTTATGGAGTTTGTGTTGCTGTAGGCATGGTCAGGAGCCTGGTTTCAGATGCCTCCCACAAGCTTCCAGCCTGTTTCCTGTCCAAGTCACTGTTGTCTACTGCTGGATCCAGTTGAAGAACTTCCTGTGAGCTTCCTACTGTGTGTTTTTAAAAATTCCTTTCTGAGAGTACAACCCTGCAGCACTGCTGTTAACACTCAATAAACCTTTTTTTTCCCTGGTAGCTGTTAAACTTTAACATCAGATTATACTACACATCAGCGGAATATCCCACACAGGGCTTCCTTGCTAAACACAAGTGAGTCCCCCTAATGCATTAGCTCTGGGGAGAGTACAAAACCTAGCTCACTTTCACAGCCACCTGGAGAGAAACTGCCAAAACAACGCTTTTAGTCCTTCCCAGACAGCATTGGCAGTTAGAAACATTAGCGTATCACTCAGACAAATGAACGAGGTGAAATTAGACACTTGAGATTTGAAGAAACAATTTAAAAATGTAAATTAGAAATTAATGAGGAATTACTTGCAAGCACAAATGCTATTTTCTTAGATTTTTCTAGTTTCAATCATTTGTAGTGCACATCTTCATTCTGTGAATTAAAAATGTAAGTTACTTAAAAAATGTTGTCTGACGAATCCGAATACTTGTCTAGATTCAAGAAGAAAAATATCCATAGATATTTTTCATATCTGCATAGAAAGGACACAGCAAATAATTCTCCTGGTCTCTTGTAATTTAAAACAGCAACATGGACCATGGCCTGGAAGCTGAGGCCTCAGGCCGAGCTCCAAACCCGACAGGTGTAGTGATATTTCATTTATAACTTGGACACAGGGGCTGATCTAGTCTGCACTGACAGAGCCATTGATGAGCACAGCACTGAGCAGAGACTGACAGACTGGCATTCTTCCACAAACATACAAAGGAAACCCTCTTTTCCCCTGCACTAATACAGCTTTGCTGGAAAAATCCCAGCCTGAGTTCCCACTTTTGATTTCACTTGGCATTTGTAGACAAATGGGCCCAGGTGCTTTCACTCTGCGCTGCCTGCTGATTGGGGAACAAAGTTCAAGAAGTCTTGGGAAGATAAACATTCAGAAGAATCTGGGCCCACGGGGCCATAGGTTTTGCCTTTGCAAATTAGACTCTGAGATAGCACAGTGCTATGTCATGTCCTCACACAGGATGAGTTTGGACGATGAACTGCAGAGTAGCAGGTTTTAGGTTTATGTACACATCTCTGGCTTATGTTTCATAGTGATTTTCTTTATCTAACCACCTGATTAAAAAATAACTTTGTGAAATTCATTTTAACACAGAGAGGGGTTGTCCAGTAGCCTTCCAATTTAAAACAAAGTGATCATCTAAAATGATTCCAACCATGGAACATCACATGGTATCCTCGAGAAAGACAATGGGAGAAATGAGAGACCAGCTTATAGAAATGATCCTGCAAAACTCTGTACCAGTTGAAACAGATTTAGACTATCACATGGGTAGAGTTGAAGAATAATGACTTCATCTTTTTATTTAGTGCATGTAGAAAATATTGTTCTTCATAATTATAATCAATTTCATCATCTTCTAAAGCAACAAAAGTCATTCAAATCTAATAATATTTGTAAGTGCTCCCAGTATCAGACTGAATTTACAACCCAAGGAAGACAACAGAGATGAATATGCCTATGCAAAATACACAGAGAGAATTACATAAAATATACACTGAGAGAAAATCCGCTTTCAGAGATAAGTATTTAAGAGTTTCAGACCTGGTAAAATTCTTAAGATGAGCCCCCCTTAAATGCATTTTTAAATCTCCTATAGCAATCAGCACAATTTCTTGCACAAAATTGGTGTCAGTAAGATTCTGTGTAGAAGGGTAGTATCCATATTTGTCTGGAAAATGGAATGAAGTGCACCTCTGAAGTTTACCTTCAAATCTCTGAACAAAAGGTAAACTTTTTTTTCTGGCTCTCACTTTGTGTTTTTTCTCCAAACTTTTCTCTTTAAAAGAAAAAAAAAATCCTCCCTCAATATATCCTAAGTCCTTCTTAAATTTGGATACTCCCTTGGTTTTTCTGCTTCCACCACCTCCTGGAGTGGCTCATTTCCTTGGGGAAGTTTTTCTGTGGCTGCTTCTCACAGAAGAACCAGAAACAAGTCTGGAACGTGGATCCTTGGAGCCTTAACCACATAGTCATCTGGACTGTTTTATGTCTTAGATGTATTGTCTGTGTAACTCACACTGAAAAACTTCATAGGAACTGCTTTCGAGTGAGCTATCTTAGATGCTGAAATCAGTTGAAAATCATGGAAAAGGTCATAAATAGCCCAAATTGTGAGTATAGCTTTGAAGGTGAGATTACTAAATGTGAAAATTTTCATAACGAGGGTGAGATTACTCAATGTGAAAACTTTCATAACAAGGAAAGTAAGAGTTCCTAAACTTCCAGATTGTGAAACTGTAAGCTGCCATCATTCCTATATCATTGTTTTACTGAAGAGGGTTGTGTTTGGGTCACCTCCTCATTGCCCTGAAAAGAGATTGGGTGTTGTAACTTCTGGCTGTACTCTAACTAATTACCCTTGCCTTGCAGAGGGTTTGAGAAACATCATAGTGGATCAAGAAATCATGAAAATCATACGAGTTTCACATTAGAACTAAAATAAATGGATGTGTGAGACCACCAAGATTTTCAGAAAGCAATATCTATTCAGCTGTGTACAATATCACAGAATTGATATTTTGATTCTTGGCAATTCAAGAATGTGCCAAGCAGAAGCCCTGTGATGATGTAATGTTTTATGTAGTGTTTACTTTTATCCAAGTGATATGTGCATGCATGTAAGGAGACAAAGAGTTGTTTAAGGCTTGTATGAGAAACAGAAGTCTCCTCTCCCAGCCTCTTCCACTTCCCGCTCTTAAAGGCAAACCCACTAGACTTTTTCAAATGATTATCTTGGTATTTACATCCATATCTCTAAATCACATGCTTTTATTGCTACATCCTGATTTTTCACTTTTAAATATTAAACTATGGAAGATAAGGATATAGCACTCTTTCTCACCCCCTTCCATCATCACCCATAGTCACATGACTCCTCACCCTCCAACTCTGTACTCCCAAATAGTTTTAGAGACTTTTAGATTGATATAGATGTTCGCATTTTATGACCATTTAAAAGCTATCAATAGCTGAGCCATGTGATAGTAATATCATCATCTTCCTGCATTATTTCCTTCCAAGTTTTTTTTTTTTACACTTTAAGTTGTAGGGTACATGTGCACAACGTGCAGGTTTGTTACACATGTATACATGTGCCATGTTGGTGTGCTGCACCCATTAACTCGTCATTTACATTAGGTATATCTCCTAATGCTATCCCTCCCCCCTCCCCCCACCCCACGACAGGCCCCGGTGTGTGATAATCTGGCCTCTTGCTTTCCTCTAAGAAGTCTTCCTCAAATGTCAGGTAATCCTTGGCTATCTGTTCATATGTAGGAATAGGGCTCTACAGATCTGATGGAAGGCTCTGTATGCAAAGGGAGGGCTCAAGATACTCCCTTTAGAGCGGGGTGATCTGGCTGAGCCATTTCATAGGTAAATGCCTGATATCAGTCTCATAGCTTTTCTCTTAAACTGTCCAGATTTCCCAAAGAAGTCTCTTTTCACTAGGGGGGCAAAATACAGTGAGGGGGTAATTTCAACATTCAGTGTGTCGGCTTTCACTCATTGCTCCTGTTTTCAGGATAGTTTTTCATCTTCACTATTCTTGCTGTTCCCCAGTTCAACAGATCCTTTGCCTTATCTTTGTCAGGGAATGAGTTTCCAGTCTTCTGCCAGAGTGGTAGAGGAGATATTGGGTCTGACTCTTTAACAACCTCAACCCGTCCTCTTATTTTTAGCCCCATCCTTAGTCCCCTTCTAGAGGTAACTGGTGTTGCCCATTCCTGTACCTTTTGGGGATTCCGTGGTTTAAATCAGGTTGCCTCCCAGCTTTTCTTATTTTCTTGGGTCGGCTAAGTCATTACCATTCCTCCAATGGTTTTTGGCTTTTAAATGTTGTTACTGTTTCTCTTCTTCTCTTTGTTTAACTTTCATTTAATCCCTTAGTTGTCATTTTAGTGGACTTTCTGGAGGGAGTAGAGGCAAATATGTGTATATAACTAGCCATGTTTTATTGGAAGTCCACTAAGCAATTTAATGGTTTTTTTTTTTTTTTTTTTTTTTTGAGACGGAGTCTCACTCTCACACCCAGGCTGGAGTGCAGTGGCACCATCTCGACCATCTCGGTTCACTGCAACCTCTGCCTCCTGGGTTCAAGTGATTCTCCTGCCTCAGCCTCCAGAGTAGCTGGGACTACAGGCACGTGCCACCATGCCCGGCTAATTTTTTGTATTTTTAGTAGAGACGGGGTTTCACCGTGTTAGCCAGGATGGTCTTGATCTCCTGACCTCGTGATCTGCCCACCTTGGCCTCCCAAAGTGCTGGGATTACAGGCGTGAGCCACCATGCCCAGACATTTAATGTATTTTTTAAAGAAAAGAAATAGAACTAATGTTCTACAGAGAAACCTTCCCAGACATTCCTGACATACATAGAGTCTAAGGCCTACTGTAAGTTGCTAAATTAAAAAGAAAATAATGCCTTTATCAGTCCTCTCCAATATCTGAGAGGTTGAGTCCTTATTTCACATGACTGCCATATGATGGCCAGAAGGCCTAAGAAGTCCTAAGTGCTTGGGCCTATGCTCACACTCTAAGAGTCTTAGGCAGGATTTCAGCCTCTCACTTCATCACTTCACCTATTCACCTGCAGCCGATTGCTGGGTAATTAACTAAGAAGCTACAAAAGGCAGGAGAGACCCTAACCCAGGATAGAAGAGGAGGACCTGAAACTTGGAGAACTCACTCCCTCCCCTGCCTGGTGGCACAGCCATGGGATTGCCCTGCCAGCTGCCCTTTTTGACCTCTCATTTCCCTTGTCTCCTTCACAACACTGGGACAGAATGGGGAAGCACACACTTCATTAGTCCACTAAGGAGTGCCTAGCCTGTGGCGTCAGGAACGAGGATTCTGCCAGGTCACTTTTCTCAGCAGCCAACTGGATGAACACATCCCTGCAGGGAAACAGTTTAATCTGCCTCCCATTCCTAAAACTGTTTTTGAAAGAAAAAAATTTAAAGTTGTTATAATAGTTTACATGAAGGGGCTTGCAACTGCCTACTCATATACACACACTTCATTGCTTTTATGTAGGGCAAATGGAGAGGGAGTAAGAGAGGTCCCTTAGCTTGGCAGGTGTTGATGAATGTCTTAGTGAATTGACTGTATATAGACAGGGCTCAGGATTATCTATGCGCTTGCTTTTTAAAGCGTCACCTGGCCCTCTAAGATACTAATCTTCAGTTCCACACTCTGGGCATCTGTCACTTTGCTGTGTCCCAGTGATATCACTGGCTCCCAAGATTAAGGCTCCAGAGCCAACGCTTGATTTATTACTTGGATGATTCACACAAAAAACTCAACATCCCCTGCTTGCACTGTGGAATCTGGCAAGAGCTCTCACCTAATGAGTGCCTTCCCTTCTCTTAGCCCTCGGACTACTCTCTTATTTCTAATCCAAATTTCTATTCTGAGGAATAGAACTCAGCCTGCTGCAGAGTTCAAGGGCTTGGGAGCTAGAGGAATTCCTGGGGGTGCTGGGAAGCTGCTGGGGCCTGGATGTCAGTAACACTGTGCTTATTTCAGCTTCTCAAACAAGTACTCCAGGCTCCATCCTGCTCCAAGCTCAGGGTGAGCTTCTTTCAGAGCCAACACCATTTTCTGCATGTGTGTCTTCATACATAATTTTCAGTAATACTTTGCAGGCAGCTGCCTTTCTACATAGGATCAGCTGCCGGAAATGCAGGAAACCACACAGGCCAGAAACAAAAAGACACTCGAGGTATTGTTTAGAGAACACATGTAAGTTGTTAGAAACCACAACATCCTACACCTGTAGCAACATCGGCTGCAGATGGGTATGTGCTCTGCAGCCCATTCCAGACTTTAATGTGTATTACTTTTAAGAAACAAACTCAGGCTGCCTTTCTGCCAAGTTCCTTGATGCAGATGACTGCTCGTGAAAGGCCATATATAGTACAACTTTACTGCCTCTCGAGGAAAGAAAAGGCTTCGTTTGCAAGAGTTTGCCCTAACTCAAGCCAAGGTCATCAACTGAGGTTTCTGTCAGATCAGTTTTGGCCCCAAAGATTTTGCTTGCTCTTTCAAAGTAAACAGGAAACCAAAACAAACTCTATAGAGCTAATGCCTCACAAAAAGCAGACTCAGCCACTCGCTCACTCACTCAATCATTATTGTCCAAAAGTAGCACTTATCATCTTGATATTATTAGTTCTATGAGAAACACATCAGCTCTGTTCACTTTAACTCCCTCCTAACTGTGTTTTCTGAGAATGGATCTAGGGTCCAATGATGGAGTCAGAGTCTTGTTGTGCAACAGGCTTTCCATTGACTGGGGTTTGAGCACCTTATCAAACAGTGATTTTATCTTTATTAGTTTCCTGTTTGAACCCAAGCTATAAACACCATAACCATTAACAGTTTCACTGTTCACAATACATGAATGTTCTCAAAATTGATGACTGTCTACAACTTTGAATCAGATGCAAGACCATAAAGTCATGTGCACTGTGAGAACCAGAAGGGGGCAGAGGCCTGACAGCAGCAGAAGTGTGATAGGATGCTGACTGCCTCTGAGGAAACAGACTTTTTTTTTTTTTTTTTTTTTTTTTTCAGATGGAGTCTCGCTCTGTCACCCAGGCTGGAGTGCAGTGGCACTATCTCAGCTCACTGCAGCCTCTACCTCCTGGGTTCAAGTAATTCTCATGCCTCAGCCTCCTAAGTAGCTGGGATTAAAGGTGCGCATCACCAAGTCTTGCTAATTTTTGTATTTTTAGTAGAGACGGGGTTTCACCATGTTGGCCAGTCTGGTCTTGAACTCCTGACCTCAGGTGATGTGCCTGCCTCAGCCTCCCAAAGTGCTGGGATTACAGGTATGAGCCACTCTGCCCAGCCTGGAAATATTTTTATGTTAGGGACGCTTTAAGGATTTTTCTCATTTTTATTTTATTTTGTATTGATTCTCAGGGTCTTTCTGCCTAAGCCAACTTCTTAACAGAGATACTGGCAAGGCATATGAAAAAGATCCTGAATGCTTTTTCTGTTAATTTTGGCCCTCCGGTAGCTTGAGTAAGTCTGTCTGATGATCTATCTGTTTTCTTTTCTTTTTTTCTTTTGCGATCTGTTTTCTGAAAAGACACTTTCCCTATTAATTCCACAGGATTGTGGTGAGGACCACATATTTTCCTTTGAAAAACATCAAGTGATAAATCTAAGGTGACTTCTTACCTTTAAAATTAAGGGAAGGCTTATTTAATTACCCAGAATATTAAGTTATATGCTGCTGAGTAACAATTTATCCCCAAACTGAGCAGCTTACAACAATAAACGTTTATTATCTCACAGTTTCTGTGAGTCAGGAATTCAGTAGTGACTTAGCTGGTTGGTTATGGCTCAAGTGTTAGCCGGGGTTGTGGTCATCTGAAGGTTTGACTGAGGCTGGAGGATCCACTTCCACGATGGCTCACTCACATGGATATTGGCAGGAGGTTTCAGTTTCTTGACACATGGGCCTCTCTATATGGCTTCTTCAGTATGTATGACATGACAACTCTCTTTTCCCAAAGTGAGTGATCCAAGAGAAATCAAGGCAGAAGACACAATATGTTTTATGATCTAGCCTTCAAAGTTACACATTGTCATTTCCATACTATACTACTGGTTACACAGTTCAGTCCTATTTAGTATGGGAGTGGACAACAAAAAGTGTAAATAATAGGAAAAGAGAATCATTGGGGCCAGTCCTGAAAGTTGGTTATCACAGAATTGAACTATGCTGACAAATGATGAAGTGAATTAAAAGTAGTTATTAAGTGCATGTTTGAGCTCAGCATATTTTGTTTCCAAACATTTTCCCAAATCCATGGACACAGGTGCCTATCATATGTCTGAGTATTATCTGACAAGCCCTGAGTGTGGAATCAAAGTTAAATACTAGGTCACTGGAGTCAGGACTGGATATAAATCTGGCTCATTTGCCTACTTGTTTGAGCCTATATTTCCTCGTTTGCAAACTGGATTAATATACTTATTTCACAGGCTTATTATAGCCATTAATCAAAAGATCATAGAACAGTATCTAAGTATTCAATCAATGGTAGGTATTTTCATTAATTATTATTGTTCTTATTATACAATTTAGCTTGAAAGATTACCATAAGTGCAGAGAGTTTGCATTCTGGCACTCACATAACAAGAAGCCTGAATGTTGCCCAGTTTCAGGTATAATTAATGCTGTGGTTCAGTGACATCATCAAATACCCAGATTCTTTCCATCTTTCTTCTCTGTCATCCTTGGCATTTGGATTCTTCCCTTGGAGTCATAAGATAAATACAGCAACTTGGAGCATCATGTCCTCACACAATTACATCCAAAGGCTGAAAAAGTAAGGCCCTTCCTTTTATGCATTTTAACGTGAAAAAAATATTTCCATACCTCTAGAAGACTATTCCTCAGGTTTAATTGATCTTAATTGTATTGCATGTTCATTTCTAAGCCAATCATTTGCAGGGGATAAGGAATGATCAGTTTTTAGCTTAGATTAATCAAAGCTATTCCTTCAGGCTGGGGAGAGGCTTGGCTTTCTGGAAGCATGTTGCTGTGTGATGCCTGAAAAAAATTAATATGTAAGAATGACAAGAATGGCTGTTGGGTGAGCCACCAGCCTCTATTACAGGGTCCATGAGAGATACAACTGTGAAAAGTTTGCTTTCTGAAAATGCCTTTATTCTATCTGTACACTTGGTGGGTAGTTTAGCTGGATATAGAATTCTGGACTGGAAATGATTTTTCCTTAGAATTGTAAACATTGCTCTCTTTCCTTTTCACTTTCGGTGTTATTTTTGAGAAGTCCAATGCCTTTTTGATTCCTGATTTTGGTAAAGGACCTGTTTTTCTTTCTAGAAGTGTTTTGAAGTTTCTATTTATTCATGAGTTTCTGAAATTTTATGATTATGTGCTTTGGTCTAAAAATTTTTCCTTCTTTGTATTGGGCACCCAATTGGTCCTTCCAGTCTGGGAAGTCATCCCAATTAATTCTGGGAAATGTTCTTGTACCATATTATTAAATAATTTTACCTCTCTATTATCTCTGTACTTTCTTTCAGAAATTCAACTTGAATGTTAGGCCTCCTGTATTGATCTAGTTTCCTTATCTTTTTGTTTCTATTTTTTTCCATCTTTTGGTCCTTTTATTCTTTTTTTGAAATATTTCTGTAACTTCATCTGGACTTCAACTTTTACTGAATTTATTTCTACCACATTTTTAATTTCCAAAATTTATTCCTTATTCTCTTAATGTTTCTTTTTTAGAGCATCCTTTTCTTATTTCACGGATACAATCAATAGTTTTTCTCATCTCCTCAAAGATTTTACTTACAGGATTTGTTTGTTTTATGTGTGTTTTTAAAAATTTTCTCTACTTCCTCTTGGTTACTTATTTTTCCATTTTGGTCTTCATCTTTTGTTAAAGAGTTTCCTTAAAATATCTGATGATTTTTCTTCACTTTCTCATATTTTAGTGAAGAGAGCACTTTCCCCCACCTTACTGCCTACTAATAAGGTAAGTTGTAATATTAGAACAGGAAGGAATGCCTATCTTCACTTTACAGATGAGAAACTGAGGCATATGGTATTATATAATCTAGCTAATAAAATGCAGCCAGAGTGTGATGAATGTGAGCTCCAAGTACAATACTGACTCAGTAGGTAAAACTTATCCTTGGCATTGGCCCTCCTCTCTTGTCTTTTTCTCTCTCTCTCCCTCAGTTTGGTTTCAGAAGAAAAATCTATTGACATTTAAAATGAAGCAGGAATTAATGGCAAGGGAAGAGCTGGTACCTCCCCCTAACGTCACTCTAGTTTTCAGCATTTTAGCGGGGACTGTGTTTACTCAAATTAGCTGTGGAATCAACATAGATAACATTTCTTGATCTGGTATTGTGGTGTGAGGCAACACAGACAATTAATATTGGCCACTGTCCCCAGAGGTTTTACATTTTAGAGGAGATGGACTATTTATCTAAAAAGATAATTACATTATAATTTAGTTGCCCTGCACTCCTTGAGATAGCTTAACACCTTAAAGGTAATGACTGCTTGGCATCATAAGCCAACTTCACCCTGTAAGAACACTGAGATTTCAGAGAAGCCAACTTCACCTTCTAAGAACATCGAGATTTCAGAGGAAGATGTGGGCTCAGAGAGGGCAGCCAGGTCTGCAAGAGTTGGAAGTGCCCACAGGACAGTGGGAGGGCCTCTGTGGAGTCCAGGCAAGGGAAATTGATGAGCAAATGTGAGGGGTTATAATAGGTGACTCAGTGCTCTCCTTGCTTAGATCCCCAGAAGAACAGGGGTCAATACCCAAGCCCTCCGCGTCTGAAAGGCAGCAGTCCTTGGAGTAAGTGTGGGGGGCATGCAGGAGTGACACATGATTCAGACTCAACAGTCACACCAGTGTCTTCTAGTTCTTACTTAACCTTCTTGGTTCTCAACAGCAAACCAAGCTGCAGGGAGAGGGCTTTTTCAAGAGCATTGCTCTTCCGACCTTTTGAGTGTTTTTAGATGAAAAGACATTCTTTTAATATACTTGAAAAATCTGGAAGGAATAATATAAATCAATGCCTTAAGCTTTATCAGCTTCAAGTTTAGTCATTTTTCTTGAACTGAATTCCCCACAGCATTTAAAGAGCAGTAAGAAAGCAGAGCCGTCAGCCCCAGGAGCCAGTCTGGGAAGCTTTGTGATAAACTCGCGGGTCGACTTTTATTCAAAACACACACCAAATCCTATTTCAAGTAATCTTTGGCTTCCAACTTGGCACCCAGCAGCTGATTGAAAATGTCTCCTGGGTGTTGACCTTCCAGACAGACCCTTGCCCTGGAAGGAGCCAACCACCATTCTCTGTCCCCACCTTGGTACACACTCACTGGGAGGCTCCTGGATTCTTTGTGGTCAAGAAGCAGGGATTCCCAGGAACACGAACTTGAGCCCCCAAAGCCAGGAAGCCCAGGGCAAAGTAGGGCGCTGCAAGGACACAGAAGGGTCGCCAAGCCCGCAACCCAACGACCCATGTCAAGCACGCCTCGCCCGCTGCTGCTGGATGTTAAATGTGGGGTTTGTGTTGTTTTAATAAAGCAGGACAGACACATTTCTCACATACCAGGTTTCGCTACACCAGGCCTGTTCCCTCTGGAGGCAGCTAAAGTCGAAGCCGAGGGCGGAACCGCGCGGGCCGCGACTCCCGGTCTCCTGGGCTGCGCCCGGCCTTTGCGGCGGCCAGGGACGCGGGCAGCCTCTGCAGTTGTGCGGGAGCCTCTGGAGCGGCCCCGAGCTCATTTTCCACTCGGCTGCTTCCCGGCCGAGCTGTAAACCCAACCTGACGTGGGCTCATTAATTTGGCAGCGACTGGAAGACTGGGCCATGGCGGCGCACCCGGGAGGCCTTTGTGCGCCCGGGGTCAGGTCAGAGGGCAACTGAAACACGGCTGAACCCTGCACGCGGCTCCCAAGCGCGGACAGCGCGGCCGGAGCCGCTTCCTCCGGCCGGACGGCCCCGGTACCCAGCCTCCCTCCCCGCGGCCCCGCCAGCGCGGCTTCCGGCGTCCGGGAGCGCGGTGACCCGGACCCTTCGCAGCCACCGACCGCAGTTCTGCAGTGGGCTTGCTCCGCCCTGTCCTTTCTCCTCTGCCCGCGCCCTGGCACGAGCAGGGACAGTTTCAGGCGAGCTGGGCCGATGACCTCCGAGGCCTCCTGCCTTCGAGATTCAGTCGCTGGGGTTCAGCCCTGCCCTGCCCTGCCCACGCCTCCCAGCAGGCCCGGGGTCTCGCACCAGCCGGGAGGCACCTGGCTGGCCCGGAGCTCAGTGCCTGCCTCGGGCTCGGAGGAGAGGCCCGGGTGCGGCGTGCGGCCTCCCCGCCCGAATGCGCTCTGAGCCAGGCCCGGGCCCAGCAGCCCTGTGGCCTAGACCGTTGGCCCCTCGGGATTTTCCCTGAGGATTTCGGCCGCGCACCTGGGACCCAGGCGCCCGCGAAATCCCTGCGGCCGGGCTTGCGCAATTTTTGCCTGTGGCGCGGGCCTGACCTCGTCGGCCCGGATGGATGGGCGCGCCTCGTCATCGTCTATCTTCTTGCTCCGTGGGGCCCGAGACGGGCATGCGGGAGGAGGAACGCGCACCTCGGGGCGGGGACCGGAGGCTGAGGCGCCGCGGGAGCGCAGGGGCTGCTTCCCAATGTCGGGTAGGGGTGGCAGGCCGAGCCCCAGCGCCCTCCTACACCGGCCTGGCGCTGGAGAGAGCGCCCGCTGGATTTTCTTTCTCTTGTCGTTTTCTCGGCCGGCGGATTCGGACTTCGAAGCACCAGTGCCCGGGTCCCTAGCCCAAAGGTTCTGTCTTTCACAAACGCCTGAACCCCGGCGGCTGGAGGCGAGGTGGGGGCGGGAGGTGGTTCTGCTTTCTGCAAGTGGCCCAGCGCAGATTAATTTTAGCAAGTTTCGCAAAAACAGAGCGGCCTCCTCTGTGCCTTTAGGTGACTTTTGTGACATTTAGCAGCAAAGAAAACTATTTCCTCTGCCATTCAGAGCTAACCACGTGTAATTGGCCCAGAAGTCTGTTGTATTTTGGGGAACTGTTTGCGATACCCCATCTGTTTTCATCTCGCGCTTCAAACGAATCTCTGTTTATTCTTCCGTCGGGGAAATTGGTTTACACGCGCAGTAATTTTGGTGCGACACGAAAATAGTCTCTTGAACTAATGCTACGGGTCCGACAGGCTTTGTGACTGCTAACAACCCTCCATTACATCTGTCAGTAGACTTTTACACAGCCCCAAGGTCGGTCCCAGGTTTATCATCACTATTTGTAAACCAATTGGTCTCCCGTGATGACCGGAGACGCGGACGCCTGAGTCCGAGGAGGAGGTCGAGAGGCCCAGGAGTATTCGGGTCGCAGAGAGCAAAGCCTCGACGGGTCCTGCGATCCGTGGGACACGCCAGGCTGACAATGAGCGGTCCCTAGCAGTTTCCTTCCCCAGCCGCCCTGTCCTGGCGTTTGTGTCTTTTTTCTCCTCACTGTGATCCTGAGCGGTGGGCCTGGCTCCCCAAGTAACAGAGAAAGAGGTGGTCACAAGCCTGGGACCGATGCGTCGCTGACCCGGCGTGTTTTGCAGATCGAAGATGGACCGATGGGCTGGGGGGTGGAGGAGGTGGGGGTGGAGAGAGTGGCGGAGGCCACCTGGCCGCTTGGAGGGCCTCATGGGGACGGTTCGGTACTCCCCCACAGGTCAAGTCCGCTCGAGGACTAGGGGCGTGGAAGGTCAGGTCAGCGGAGTGAAGAGCTGGCAGGACGCAGTCCTGGTGGGTGTTGGTGTCTTTTTGTCTCTCAGCGTTTGTGGGCGCTGGGCAAGGCCCACCGAGAATGGGGAGCCCAGGACTGTAAGGTGGCTGCGCGGGAGGCAGCGAGCGCCCAGGGCGGTCCACCAGCTGTGTAATCGGAGAAATTGCTCCGAAATTGCGTAGGCTGCCCTGGCTGAGAGGCCTGTAATCAGCCCCTGGCAAGTGTGCAAATGCTGATTTTGCGGGTGTTACCTCATCCACGCTGGCGGTGAAAAGCCTCGGGCTGGTGGCAGGCTCGCCTCTCACAGCCTGACTTCTCCCGGTCTAGCGGGTGGGGGTGCAGACCCTGCCCCGAGGTGGGTTGGGGTGAAGTGTGGGAGTGTGCATCTGAGGTTGGGGGCTTCTTTGGCCCAAAGATTAGGGAGGCTGAAAGAAGGTGAAAATGAAATCGTTGACTATTGCCTTAATGCAGGTTCATTGTCCCCGTGTCCTAGCAGGAATGAGCCACTTTCTCTGCCTCCCATGCTTCGCTTGGTCTTTCTGTCTCTTTTAAGAGGAGGAAAAGTTGGTGGAGGAGAAAACCAGAATTATTTACCACACAGTAGAAAAGGTGATGGAGGTTGTCTTGACGAAGATGCAAAGGGAGCAATCTTCAATTGTTTATATCTTTATACTGAAAATAGCAAAAAAAAAAAAAAAAAAAAAAAAAAATTCAGCGGAAGGCCATAAAATCAGTAAAGAACTTCTCTACAGAGGAAGAACCATATTTTAGTTTCAGCAGTGAGAAAAGTGACCTTTGCTAACTCCATTAGGGAGGAGGCCTGCTCCTGGGATTGTGCAGGAAAACAGTGATGTAACCAGAACCTGTGTCTGCACAGATAAGGCGTCCATCTTTCCAAAGGCAGAGGGAAATGGGCTCCTCACACCCCTTCATGCTGGCCAGCCCTGAATTCTCTACCACCCTCAGTCCCCAACTTCATTTGACTTAAATAGATACTGACGGTGAGTAATTTGAAAAATCAAACTATTCAGGGGAAAAAAGTGAAAACTTCAACTTACCCCACATCTCAAAATCCAGAAAGCAAAATAATTCATTAACTCATGACTTTCCCCTGCTTCCCCACAAAGAAATAAGAACTTAGGTGTACATAACTACTTGGATATAGACCTGATATGTAAGAGGCAGTCTCGTTTCTCAGGTCTCTGAGCATTTTAATTTGTGGCATTTTCAGTGTTGCCTCCTGAAACCAAATCCCCAGAGGATTTGAAAGGTCCCTGGCTCCAGACACTCATTTCAATCCATTAGTGGGGATGAGCTAGAAGGTTTGCCCCAGAAAGTAATGATTTTAAGGTTAAGATTCTCCTCTTTTATTCATTGTCAGCATAGACCCAAAGCTTGAGGAAAGACAACAGGATTATTTCAGAGTACGAGGCCTCCATATCTGGGCCAATCATAAAAACAAGGTTTTAGTCAAACAGGGTTTCTTAGCAGGGGCTGACTTTGCCTTGCCAATTGTCATTGCTGCTGTTTGTTTTCTTTTGTCCTTTTACCCATCTTGTACAACTGATCACAACTCACACCAATGAGACTCCTCATACAATTTGCTTTTGAGAGACTGCTGTTTGCTTGGTACTGTACTAGCAATAATGAAAGGCATATGGATTTCCTGCTCTTTAGGAGCCTCTAATTCACTTGGGGAGAAAAGACTGAGAAGACTTAGAATAGTAGGAAGGGCCCATATAGTATTGCTGAGAGGATGCAGTGAGGAGGCCGCTGGCTTGTTGGCGGTATGGTTAGAGCATGGGGAAAGGCACAGGTCACAGGAATATTTTCTGGGTCACCCAAGCAAGTGGTCTTCAGGCCACGTGGGAGAGAAAACCAGATGAGGAGCTGGGAAGCCAGCAGCCAGATGGGGCCAGGCTCAGTTTTGTGCTTTCTTCCCGCCCTCTCTGCTCTGTTGGTAGATAGCAGAAAATAACTGAGGGGCAGAGCTGGAACCCATGGTCTGTGTGTGTGCTGAATATATCGTCTGGATCATTCTCTACCAGCAGTAGAGATGAGGTGAGATGAGAGAGGTGAGGTGAGAGAGCTCCATTTCTGGCTACTAACCCCGGGCTACTAGCTTTGCTATTTGCATCAGCATGATTACCTAATGTATCCTCGAGAAAATAAACTAGCTGGTTTATGAGCTAAAGAATCATGTGACTTTTTTCCCCTGCTGGGATCCCCTGCTAGGATCTCAACAGCTGTTTTAGGACAAACACTGCCCAACAAGGCTGCCGCCATCACAGGATGAATATAAAGGACTTCACTGCCTGGGAGTGATTTAAGGAAAGTACTTGAAATGTTGTATGTGATTAGAAAGAATAACCACAGTGAAACACCGGCTGCATTTCTAGTCATTTTTTAGACCATTGTTACCTGGTTGGAGTTTGGAAGCAAATACTTCTTTCTGTTTGAGAAAATGTTTGATCCAGAATTTCCAGCTTCTGATGGTTATTAGCAAGTTCTAGCCTTGACCTCTTACGTTGGGGAGGGCTTCAGATATGGTAAAGATCAGGGATATTAAATTAGAAAAAGCAAAAGGAGCCACTGTATTTTTTAAAGGCAAGTTAAAAATAAATTGTTATGCATGTTTTGATTCCAACAAAATAATTCTTATACATAAATATGATATAACATTATAGTTATTTTCAATTTGTATGTGCTTAATTTTTTCCTCTCTATATTTCTTTCTCCTGAGTATCTAGATGAAATATAAAATCAGAGTCAGAATTTCTTATTTATCATATTATTCGTATAGAATTGTTTTTTCCTTTAAAATGTATAAAATTTTTATTCTATGGAATTCTTTTTAGGCATGAAACTCATTTTAGATTCTAAAAAACCCTTCTAATTTGTTTCTTTAGCTGTGTTAGTTTTTCCCACTTTACTAACTGCTTTTATATATTTATCTATGTTTGGGATTTATGAAAATGTCCCCATCATTTTAATAGTCACCCCTGGGTGCATAGGCAATGGCTTAGAAAACTTTTTAAAATATGCTAATACCACTATAGCAAAACACCATTACATCAACAAAAAACACAAACCCACTGAACACCAGCCCAGAAAAACATTCCCGCAACTATCTGGGGAAAATAAACCAAAAAGAGCTATCTTTCATTATGTCTGAAAGATCAGCTAACCAGGCAGGGCTCTCAGGAGAACAAAAGGAATGATATTTTACAGAGGAGGGGTCCTTATGGAGACCCTCTGCTTTCAGCTCCCCAGACATGCACTAGAGGGTGGAGTATGGAGACTGCTCTCATTTGGAAAGAGACGTTGAAGGAATAAAGCCATGTGGAACCTGTTCTACCTAGAGTTGAAACCCTGGGGCCTCTGGGGTGAATTGACATAATAAGTCCATTTGAGCTAATAACCCCTCTTGTTCCATAAACTGAGGGTGAGATTTTTTTTTTTTTTTTTTTTTGCTGTTATTTGTAAAGGGCTGTAGGAAAGATTGGTGTTTTGCATTGCAACATCACTAAATAGACATGGATTTTGAGTCCCACCTATGCTCACTGAGTTACTATGAGAATTAAATAAAATGACACATGTAAAAGCACTGATTTCATATCTTGGAAGTGGTCTATAAATGACTGTACTGCTATCTGGAGTTTTTCTTGAGTCTGAGTCATCAGAAAGAATTGCCTGGGCTCTCTCCTTGTGTCTTCTGGGGTGCACAGAGCCTTCACTAACTGTGAAGGATCCAAGTGAACACCTGAGTGACCCTGTTAAGGGAAGGGTAGCCTGGTTCAAGGTGTCGGTGGCGGGGAGGGGGTTGGGGCATGTTGCATCCCATCTGATAGTACAGAGGATATGCAAATAAAAACTTGTCACTTGGGAGTGCAACAGGGGTTCTGGCAGAGCCTGAAATTAGAGAAAGTGTAACGGGCAGACAGAAAGGGTAGCGGGGACATGGGTATGTACAGTTGGCTTCTCCCAGACATGTCAAGAGGCAGTATGGAGTGATGGTCATCAGCTGGGGCTCTGAGGCCTGCCTGCCTGGGCTCTTCTTACCATCAATGCTTACTTACCTCTCAGTGCTCAGGGCCCACACCTGCAGGACAGGGAGCATAATAGTACCTGTCACATAGCATTGTAGCAAGGAGCTACAATCTATGCAGAACACTTAGAGCAGGGCTGGATGTGCTGGGTCATTCAGAAAGGCAGCAGAGAACCATGTGAAGCTGCCCGGCTCCAAGTGAGCTGCCTGACTTTGCCTTTGTCACTTACCAACAGTATGACGTTGGAAGTATGACATTGAGAAGTTCCCACACTTCTGTGCCTCAGTTTCTTCATCTGTGAAATGGGGATAATAATAATACCTACTTCCTAGGGTGGTGGTTGTTATGATTAAATGAGTTAACAAATGTGAATGGTTTGGAACAGTGGCATGTAACACAGATCTGCTGTTACCATTGTTGTTTTTATTATTGTTATTGCAAGCAAGCTGCTCCTTCCCTTTCCCTTCAGTTCAATAAATGTAAATTATCCCACAGATACCCTGAAGAAAATGCGCACACATCACCTGAAGATCTTTCTGTAACTCTCTCTGGTACCACTGGTTATGCCTGCATCAACCTTAAGATCCCTCTTTAATGAGCCCCTATGGAAGAGACTCATGTGAGGCCCATTTCGCCTCTCAGGAGGCTATTCCACACCACACCTCACTCTGCCTTTGGATGTAGTTTTCTTTTTTCACTCAAGATTTTCCACCACCTTCAGCTTTTCTACTTGTACCCTTCCTCTTCCTGCTTGTTCTTGAGTGTGGCTGGGGATGCCGGGTCCTCTCGACCCGGGAGGGCATGCACGGATCAGGATAGGACTGCTACTGGCCTAGATGTGTAGGTGGGTAGATGGACAGTGCTTGATTTCTGGTGTCTATAAAATCAGTAGAAAATGAGAAATGGAGCATCAAACAAATTTAAATGCTCTGTTGGTTTTTAATTAATTCAATAATCTCATTCTTCATGCTTCTATAAATCTGGAATGATACCACTGTTATTTTAAGAGATGGAGAGTGAATACTAATGCCTTCCAAAAACATTGCAGGACTCTGCAGTTTCCTTAAAAAAACTCCTTTCCTTTTGGGAGTGAACTTGAATTCACCAAGAGGAGTAGTATCATTGAACAGGTCTCCTTCGTGAGTCTGAGATTTAGACAAGAGTTTGTGATATTCCTTTATGACTGGACGTAGCAGAATGAGTTGGGTATAGCATTTTAGATTGAGTTCTCAATCTCCAGATTGTGGTAGTTTAATTTATCCTCTCCACGTAGTTTTGCTATTGACATTTATTAGCCTGGAGTGTTGCTGCCAACGCAAGTTTTGAGTAGACTGTGGTATAAACAGATTTCCTCTTTACACGTTCTAATCAGTGCAGGACTGTTTTTATTGAAACCGTACCTCAGCTCAAGCTTCTCCACAAGTGTAGGCACATATGTATGGAGTTTAAATTGTATTTATGGTTGGTAAATGTTCTAATTAAGGGGCTGTATGTGTTCAGAGGGGAAAATTAAATCAGTGAACATGGGAGGCCAGGAGGCTCTTCCGTTCTGGTTTGGATTCTGTATGATTTTAGGCTTTGAGAAATCAATGCGGTGAGCTGGTGGGTGACAACCCAGGCAGACATTTGTCTCCTGGCTGATTTACAATGTTATCTACAGATTTTTTTTTTCCTTGATGAGATGACGTTTCATTCCTTATTGCCTGCTTCATCCTGACACATCACAGAGCAATTTCTGACAGGCAACTCTTCTGGATAATGTCCTGGGCCTTACTTTCCATATTAGGATACATGGAATGCTCAAATAAAAAGGAATATAACTGACATGGTGTCCACCACAACAGTCCCATCCTGCTGTCACAACAATGGCAATGAGTAGATTGCCATCCACTAAGCAGTGCCTGGGCTTCTTTGGAACTCACCTCAGGAAAGGTTTCCACATCTTTCTGAGCACTGCTAAAGAATGAAGTCTTGGCCACAGCAGACCAAAGGGTACTGAAGGGTTTCAAAAGTAGCTGCTGCTATGCTATATAGTTAGCTCAAGGAGGATTGTAATTTGCAAAAATGGGCAAAATATGCACTCCAAGGATATGTAGAACACAATCTAGCCAGATCTGCCCAACCACAGTAATTTTGCTGCTTCAGACAAAATGCCTTTTGGGTGTAGGTTTGAGTTGACAGATTACTGAGGGAAATTTTTGTCTTGCCCACACTCCCAGTTTATTCAGGTTGTTTGTTAATACATCGTACAGCCCTCCATGAGGATGGTGTGATGTAGACCTGGCACCCTAAACCGAATAAGCTCTTTGCTGACAGCTGAAAGTAAAGGCATTTGTGGCAATCAGATTGAGGAGGGCCTCAGGTTGCTTCCAGATGTCAAGTTGATTAATGTTGGAGTTGGTGCTGCCAGCAGCCAGGCCATCTGAGTGCACAGATCCCCAGGAAACAAGCCTGGTGGTTGTGGTATCAGTGGGTAGAGACACAAGCACAGATACTGAACAGATGCCAGTCCTTCTGCTTCAGCTTAGTAGAATGCCCAGAAAATCCTCCACGATGCAAACCCCCCAACATAAGACTTTTCAGCCATTTTTCATGTTTTCTAACCAGAGTGTTGTTTCCTTAAATTAACATCAGTAGTTCTACACTCAGAAGTCCAACCCAAGCTGGGCTTGGTGGCTCACGCCTCTAATCCCAGCACTTTGGGAGGCCAAGGTGGACTGATCAGCTGAGGACAGGAGTTTGAGACCAGCCTGGGAAACATGATGAAACCCTGTCTGTACTAAAAATACAAAAATTAGCTGGGTGTGGTGGTGGGCGCCTGTATGTAGTCCCAGGTACTGGGGAGTCTGAGGCAGGAAAATCATTTGAACCTGGGAGGTGGAGTTTGCAGTGGGCGGAGACTGCACCACTGCACTCCAGCCTGGACTACAGAGTAAGACTCCATCTCAAAAAATAAAATAAAATAGAAGTCCAACTCAGGAAGACACCAGTGGGTTAAGCCCAACACAACGTTAGGATCTGCCATTTTGGATTGAGAAGGGCAAAGAAGAGAAGACCAAAAAGAATATGATGATAAAACAGCATGTTTCTATGGTACTTCTGATTTTCCAAAGCATCATCATATTTCTTTTCTTACATTTATCCTATATACCCATGAAGAAAGTTGAGAAAATTGTGTTCATGTAAGTGATCCAGAGTGTGTGGCTTAAAGTACTTTGTGGATGTAAGGAGCCATTGTCATTCCCCATCTCCATAGGGTGCTATGAAATGGATAGTGTATTGAAGGTCATACCACTTAGTTGATGGCAGAGCCAGAAGAAAAACCACAGACTCATCATCCATTGCCCCTGCTTATCCTCTTAGATCAATCTTTCTCAAAGCGTGGGCCCCAGACAAGAAGCATCAGCATCACCCCAGGCCTATGGATCAGTACCTCTAGGGAAGGGGCCCACTGATGTGTTCTAATAAGCCCTCCAGATAATCTAATGCATACTCAAGTTTGAGAACCATTGGTCTAGGCCAATACTTCCCAGTCTGGGTTTCCTGGACCCCAGGACCCTGTGGACATAATGATTAATTCCCCTAAGGCTATTTTCAAAATTTCATAAAACTTAATCATGCTCAACATTACTTTATAAATTATATATTTTATTATGTATGATGGATAAATGAACATTAGGAAAGGAAACTGATTATTAATCAATGCTTTTTCATATTTTTTTACTCATTTATTCATTTATTGGTTATCTAATATGCTCTGAGTTGGATACTGGGAGCTCCAAAGATGGTAAGGTGCCTATCCTCAGGATAATTATAGGCTTGTAAACAGATTATCGCAATATGATATGATAAGTACTGAAAGGCAGATTTAAATAGTACTATGATAGAAAAAAAATCTAAAATACTGTGGTGGGGAGAATCTCCAGACTGTGCCATGTTGCTTCAAGGCTTTGTGGTTGAGCTTGAGCTTGGCTGGTTGAGATGGGGAGAGGAGGGACGGAAGATAACTCTCAGGTGGAAACCTGCTTCTCCCTCTTCTTTCCCCAACCACCCAGCTGAGGACAAGCAGAAACATGAGCCCACTTCTGGGTTCTGGGTTCTCTCCCTTCTTGGACCCTCCTGCCTTTTTCCTAGGCAACACTTCTGAATATGAGAAGCACTAACAAAGGATTTGGAACAGGCTCAGAGAGTCTCTGCATTAGTGAGGAGAACTTTAACAAGACCTTCAACTTACATTTTTACAGACCTCCCTCACCTATAAGTACAATGGGCAATTACTTAAAAGATACTTCTCTGTTTAACCAGGGAGTTGAAACAAAATGAAATGTCTATTTGGAGAATATTTTAGTTTTACTCCAGTACGATTACCTTAAAAAATGCATACGTTTTGTAGTCCCAGCTACTTGGGAGGCTGAGGCAGGAGAATGGCGTGAACCTGGGAGGTGGAGGTTGCAGTGAGCCGAGATTGGGCCACTGTACCCCAACCTGGGTGACAGAGCAAGACTCAGTCTCAAAAAAAAAAAATGCATATGTTTAATTTCAGTTCAGCTATTTTACGGGTCTTTGTCTTTTAGAAAATCTATGGTGATGTGTTTTGCATTTCAGAAAAAAAAATACTTTCTAGGTTAATGTTGCTTTCAGATGCTAGTGAGGTTTGTCTCTGCTTGTTAGGTTATTGCTTGTAGTGCCCAAGTCTATGTGGATGATGGGCCTTCCTCTGTACATTCTTTGAAGTTTACTTTCCATCTTCCTATAATTTCACTTCAGAATGTCTGTGTGCACAGCATATACCCAGCATAACCAAAGGGAAAGGGCAGGGCAGAGATGTGTATATGAGGAAACTTCACATGTAGCAACTGAAACTTATATCGAGAACATTAACAATTGCTTCCTTCTTGGGGGGGTGCTTCTGGTTCTAAATGAGGTGTTAGTGTTTGTAAGGGTGATAACCTTGTCCCATTGAATTATGATGAGAAAACAACCTAGTTGCCTACAGAGCCAAAAGCAAACCTCAGAACTGCTTGACTCATCCGTCAAACAAATTGTATTTTAGGAAATGCAGGACAGAGAAAAATGCACAAAAGAAAAGTAGGTTTATTTATTTGTACAAAAGTAGAATGACAGCCGTTTGAGTGGATCCAAATAGCGTTTAGGGAGAAAAAAAATGTGATTCATTGCCAGCTATTAAATTTTGTTTATCCTTCTTTAAACTAACCAGAAACACACTTTGGAAAAAACGTGAGTTAACATTTTAAGCGCTGAAAGCCTGCTGTGGATGCTGCCTCGGCTCGCCTATCTTCCAAGGGGAAGATGAGGGCTGAAGCAAGCAAACATGGTTTTGAGAGGTCAGGCAAAGAATGAATGTCTAGACCTGCTTCCCAGTCCACCCTCCGGCACTGGGAGAAGTTTTTCGTTTCCTTAAATAAGGTTGCTCACTTCAGGGCAATAGCAAGAAGGTTCATGTTTACAAGGTGGTTTCAGATAAAGTACCTCAAAGGAAACAGAACATTTCTCCAAAGACACAATCACTGACTGAGTGACTGTGTCAGGAAACCCCTTTTCCCTGATAATCAGTGCTTATTATCATACGCATTTGCCAGATCACCAGCGGATGTGACTAATGCTGACTCCTGGTACAACTGTGTGACTGAAAGACTTCAGAGCACTTGACAAGTATCTGAAAAAATTGCTGGAATCCCAGTGCCTAGTGGAAGAAACCCCTCCAGACTGCAGTGTGCTGGGGTGACTCCCTCTAGCATGGCCCTACCCTCTTTCTGCTACAGGGCCATAAGGGAGCAGCTTTTATAGCTGTTTCTACTGTCCCCACCCCCGCACCCTCCTTAATTAAGTGTATCAGTATAAATATTTGGGTTGTTAATGCCCTTAAAATTGGAAGGGAATGTACTTATCATAGACTATAAGAATTAACTTGATTTAAATAATACGAAAATATACACATTTCTAAAAGAAGCAGTAGCAAAAATAACTTTGCCGAAGCCGAAGCCCCTAGCATCTTTTTGCTTTCCAAGCAAATAATTCCACCATGAGAATTATCTAGAGTTTGCTATCTCAGTAGTGTCTAGAGAGGGAACTCCCTGCTGAGTCTGAGGCCACAAGGAAAGGCCCAAGTGGACTTCTTAGGTCTAGAGAACTCCACCACCCCTCTGCTTCATGGCCGAGGGAGAAGGAATCTCCATGTCGTGGTTCACTGGCTTTCAAGCCTCAATGGACTTGATGAAGCAAAAGACCCCATACAGGCTACTGTCCTCCCTTTTCCCTCATAAACCTTCAACTTTTCCCTTTTGCCCAATATTCCAGCTTCCTTCACATATTTCTGGAACTGTGCAACTGTGTCTTATTCATTTTTGTGTCCCCTTGTCTTAGCAGAGCTCCCACCACTTACAGTAGGCATTGAAAAATGGGATTAAACTGGGTTGTCTTGTGAGCAGACACAGGGCCTTCCTACCTGCCAGCAGCATGGACCACCTAGGCTAGGTCTACACAGGTTTAGGGGGCAGCTTAGGACACATTGCTCCCAGATATCTGTCTTAATAGCTAGTAGTATGCAGACTCTCCTTTAAAAATATTTAAAAATTAACTTTAGAAACATTTCAAGCTTAATACAACAAAATGAAAAGACAACCTCCATTGGCATCCTTTGGGTTTCCTTAGCAACTACACCTTTAGGGTGAGGATCCATTTGAACTATTGCAACAGTACCTATGGAATTGATGTGATAAGAGGAACATAAAGTAAAAACTTGTATTAGAGGAAAAGTCTGCCTTCTCTTCTGGCCGCTCTGCTAGGGTAGCAGTTTACAGAGGGAATGAAGAGGAAGGCCACAGAGTAGCACATTCATTCAGAAACGTCATAGTGTGCATTATGCCAGGAGCTGCAAGCACTGTCACTAAATCTCTTTGTCTCAGAAGGAAAACCTGGACATGAGACTAGGCCAAGGCAGATTGTTAGCAGGGAGTCCAGCCCAGTCATTCTCTGGCTCTCACCACAGAACACATGGATGAAGGGATAAAGAATTTAACAAAAATTGGCCAGGCGCGGTGCCTCATGCCTGTGATCCCAGCACTTTGGGAGGCTGAGGCAGGCAGATCACTTGAGGTCGGGAGTTTGAGACCACCCTGACCAACATGGCAAAACCTATCTCTACAAAAAATACAAAAATTAACACCAGTCAGAATGGCGATTATTAAAAAGTCAAGAAACAATATATGCTGGCGAGGCTGTGGAGAAATAGGAACACTTTTGTTTTGTTTTGTTTTCGAGACAAGAGTCTCACTCTGTCGCCCAGGCTGGAGTGAGGTGGCACAATTTCGGTTCACTGCAACCTCTGCCTCCCAGGTTCAAGCAATTCTTCTGCCTCAGCCTCCCAAGTAGCTGGGATTATAGGCGCGCACCATGCCCAGCTAATTTTTGTACTTTTAGTAGAGACGGGGTTTCACCATATTGGTCAGGCTAGTCTCGAACTCCTGACCTTGTGATCTGCCTGCCTTAGCCTCCCAAAGTGCTGGAGTTACAGGAGTGAGCCACCCCCTCCCCGGCCAAAATAGGAACATGTTTATATTGTTGGTGGGAATGTAAATTAGTTCAATCATTGTGGAAGACAATACAGCGATTCCTCAAGGATCTAGAACCAGAAATACCATTTGACCCAGCAATCCCATTACTGGGTATATACCCGAAGGATTATAAATCATTCTACTATAAAGACACGTGCACACGTATGTTTATTGCAGCACTATTTACAATAGCAAAGTCATGGAACCAACCCAAATGCCCATCAATGATAGACTGGATAAAGAAAATGTGGTACATACACACCATGAAATATTACACAGCCATAGAAAGGAGTGAAACATGTCCTTTGCAGGGACATGGATGAAGCTGGAAGCCATCATCCTCAGCAAACTAACACAGGAACAGAAAACCAAACACTGCATGTTCTCATTCATAAGAGGGAGCTGGCCAATGAGAACACATGGACACAGGGAGGGGAAAAATACACAGCAGGGCCTGCGCAGGGCGAGGGGAGGGAACTTAGAGGACAGATCAATAGATGCAGCAAACCACCATGGCACTTGTATACCTATGTAAGAAACCTGCACATGTATCCTGGAACTTAAAGTAAAAAAATAAAATAAAATACAAATACAAAAATTAGCTGGGCATGATGGCACATGCCTGTAATCCCAGCTACTCAGGAGGCTGAGGCACAAGAACCGCTTGAACTCAGGAGGTGGAGGTTGCCATGAGCTGAGATCGCACCACTGCACTCCAGCCTGGGTGACAGAGAGGGACTCTGTCTCCAGAAAAAAAAAAAAAAAGAATAAATAAAATTCTCAAGTACTTAAAAATATCTTATTAACTCTTTCCATCTATTTATTTGACTACCTGACCAATATTTTGGTGCTTCTGGGAAGGACAGCAGTGGATAGAATGTGGAGGGACCCCAGGCTCATGCACAGGAGTAGCTGGGATAAAGAAGGGGGTAGTGGGTGCTCCCTGCAAGATCCTCTGACTCTGGCCTGGCTTCCTTTACCACATCACATTCTACTTCCTTTTTCCAGGGAGTATGTGGTTCCAACCACATTCCTGCAGGCACCAAGGCCTCATGTCAAATCACATGGCATTTCTGAGCCTAGAGCTTCATATTCAAGAATGTGGCAAGAAGCACAGCATCGTGGTTATTTTGTCCCATACTTCTGCACCGAGGACCAGAATTTCAAGAAATAATGAAGTCTCTGACCTGGCAATTCCACTTCTAGGTCTATACCCAAGAGAAGTGAAAATATCTGCACACAAAGACTTGCACATAAACATCCACAGTGCTGTTATTCATAAGAGCCAAAAAGTAGAAACAATCTACATGTCCATCAACTGATGATGGACAAACAAAATGCAGTACGTCCATACAATGGAATACTATTCAGCCATAAGAAGGAATGAAGTACTGATACATGAATGAACCTTGAAAATATTATGCCGACTGAAAGAAGACAAAGACGGTCATGTGTTATATGATTTCATTCATATGAAATGTCTAAATAGGCAAATTCATAGAGACAGAAAGTAGGTTAATGGTTGATGGCAGCTAGCGGAAGAGAGAAGGGAGAGTGACTGCTGATGGGTATGGGGCTTCTTTTTAGGGGTGATGGAAAGTTCTGGAATTACATAGTGGTGATAGCTATACGACATGGTGAATATACTAAAAACCACTGAACTGTACACTTCCAAATGGTGAATTTTATGTTATGTGAATTTTCTCAATTAAAAAAAAAAGAATAAGTCACTGGGAAGCAGCAGTCTTATTTCCTTCTTTCTGTCCTCCTTGAGCCAACTGAGAACCTCATTCAAATACTTGAACACAACAGACCTGCATTTTGGACTGATCGATTGGCTCTTTCACCTTTTTTTCTACCTTCCAGCCACGTCTCTCCACTTCAGTGAGCATCTATCTTCAAGACTCAAATGGGGGGAATTCAGTTCTAAACATTCCTTTTTGTGCCTAGGCTGTGTGTTGGTCTTGTGGGCTTGGGTGATCTAAATCAGGGGTCTCCAAACCCTGGGCCACAGACTGGCAGTCCATGGCCTGTTAGGAACCAAGCTGCACAGCAGGAGGTGAGCGGCAGGTGAGCGAGCATTACTGCCTGAGCTCCACCCTCTGTCAGATCACCTGCGTTGTTCGATTCTCACAGGAGGGCAAACCCTGTTGTGAACTGCGCATGCAATCTAGGGATCTGGGTTGCCTGCTCCTTATGAGAATCTAACTAATGCCTGATGATCTGAGATGGAACAGTTTCATCCTGAAACCACCCTGCCCCCTGTCCGCGGAAAAACTGTCTTCCACGAAACCCGTCCCTGGTGCCAAAATGGTTGAGGACCAGTGATCTAAATAGAGACCTCAAATTACCTGTCTCCAGCACCACTGCTCATGAGAGCTGTTCCCTGTGGAAGCCAGATTCTTCAACTGTTGGAAATCAGCGGGGAGGCTCGTTTAGGAGACTGGCCGCTGAATAAGGCTTGGCAAAATGTCAGCTTGGACACTCTGTTCCTTTTTGCTGCTGTCATTTCTGCGGTCACAGGACAAGGCCTTGGGGTAAAGAGATGTCTTTATGAGGGGGCTCCTGAGGATACCTCAGTTTCCCTTCTTCTGCCTGTCCCGCTCCTCAGGAGGACACCACAAGCACTTCCCTCAGGCCACCTGTGTGGAACACATACCACTAAGAGCAACAAGTGCAAGGGTTTCTCAGGGATCACACCTCATCAAAGTGGCAGCCCAGGCACTGGCTGTGCCCACCCTGCGGTCCCCTCCCTGCCCACCTCTCTCTCATGCCTTCTGCTCTGCTCTCCTGGTGGGTGACGTTCTTTCCTCCCTGGCACAGGTGCCTCAATCTAGGTAGTCCCAATCCGAGGTTAGCTGTCACTCTTTTCGCATCAGCACAACCAGGAGCATTTTTCATTCCCATAGATGGCTCTAAAGGACAGATTAAATGGGAAGCTTTTGATCAAACCAGTTCTGAGAAGGAAAGGGAAATCCCAGCCCACCAAAGGCTTTTAAGCAGGCCTGCTGAGATGCGATGCAATGCAATGAAAGTAGTACTGTCTCAACTGGGCCACAGTAGTTCAAGCCGGCTAATAAAAACAAAAGCTCTGGGTTTATTTGTTTAACTGACAAATAAAGCCCAGAATAGTCAAGTGGGTTGAAAACTATTCAAATGATTCACATCAGAACACTGGCCATTGTTTAGTCCACAGCAGTGCCAGTGGAACAACGCCGGATACATGCCTGATCATTTATCTGCAGATTTAATGAAAACATATACAGTTGCTGCAATAATTTAGTAGCTTACTGAGCCATCTCCTGCAGGCCAAAGAGGTGTGTTTGGAGTTATAAATATGTTTTCCTCAATTGTCTTGGTGAGTCAGGGCTAGAACAATGTTTACCACCTATGACATGCTCAATAAATAAATAAATTTATTGCTTCATTTTGTGCTGTGGGATAGGCAGAAACCAAGACTGCTGCAGAGTGAGGAGGCCTGTGTCATAGGAATGATGCCATAACTGGAACAGTCTGAAAAAGACAAAGCTGTAACCTTTGGGTCACTCAAAATTTAAAGTCTTGATAGGGGAACCTATTGGTTGAGCTCTTATCACAGGCAGGCCAATGGCTATATTAACACAATGAGAGGGAAAAGATCTAATCTCTCAGTTTCTGTGATAGGAGATAGGTATAGTCTCACCAAAACTACACAGAAGGGGAAGAGGTAATTCCCCCAAAGGAATCAGGCTGTTGATTAGGAAGAGAGAATAGAAACCTGGTGGACAAAAAACAACCATTATTTCTTCCATCCGAAGTACAGAAAATCACTTGAAACAAACTAAATTGAATGACAGCTCCTCTCTGAATGAGGGTGTCCAGTAGTGAAATGATTAAGTGTTTACAATGAGACCTTAATTTTGGAAATTCTGGAAAGGTAATTTTTCTGGCAAAGGTGTGTGTGAGCTAAAGGAATATCTGAAACAGTTTCTAACTCTTCTGCTCAACTTGGTTGTGGAGACTGTTTTAACAGAGACAAAGTGAAGTAAAACATGGAGCATTTATATGGTGAATCTGAACCAAGTTAGAAAAGTTAAATTGAATAAACTTGCCTTGTGGGGATCTTCAGACATTTCTTCCAATTAACAAATTTAATAGGTGAGTAGCCCTTCAAGTACTGAGAGGGATGGACAAGGAAAATCAGAAAACAGTTAGAATCTATATGTAATTTATTAGCATTCACAGTTAATATATGTATTTCCCATGCACATATGCTATTAGCCAGTGACAGCAGCATAGTGAGCAATGAGCAGTAGCTCACCATTCTGCACATGCTGTCAGCCAACGAGTCCTGCAGGTTATCCTGGGTAGACTGTGTGAGGCAGTGTTATTAAGAGGGCTGTTTCAAAGAAACAAAGGCAAAAGATCACACTGGACCGCATTATGAGTTTTACTGCAGCTCATGCTCCTTTGAGGATATGGTTGAAGAAACACAAGGTATAGTTCAGCAGTCAGTGAGGGATTGGTGGAAGTCCTTTGACATGATGAAAGAGCTCACAAATACTGCAGCAGCCTTGGAAGATTTAGCAACAATTTTCTGAACGGGAGCTGAAGGAACTGTGTCTAGATACAAGTCATGACTTCAGGGAATCAGAATGAACAGAAATGGAATTGGCAAGGCACAGTCTGCTCCCCATCTGCAGAGGGAGGGACCAGGTAGTACTCCCTCTCCCAGGAATGCCTTCTCCTCACCAGATGGAGGAGGCCAGTATATAAGATACAGCCTGCCTCAAGGAGCTGCTCTTTCCCCACTGATTTTTCAGAGGATTGACTCAGCTTTTCACTTTGCAGAGCAATTCAGCAAGGCTTTAGGAGAAGGGAAATCTGTGTGTCTCTATAGTCTTCAGCACGGTTTTGTGGTTCCAGCAGGTATTCCATTAAGACTCTTGGTGGATAAACCACAGATAACATTTTCCATGCCTCATTGTGTGTAATCTTAGTAATAAAGTGCTTGGCCAATATTTTATTGATTATTGAGAATTATGAGTAATAATGGTTGTGTTTGCTGGAAAGCTTCTAGGGAAACATAGTGGAAACATATTTTTTGTCATAGCAAGGAAACAAGTGTGTTAGTTTTTAAGGAATTTTTATAAAATAATTAGGATTGCTTTTTTATTTTATTTTATTTTTGAGATGGAGTCTCACTCTGTCACCCGGGATGGAGTGCAGTGGCATAATCTCAGCTCACTGGAACCTCCGCCTCCTGGGTTCAAGCGATTCTCCTCCCCCAGCCTCCCAAGTAGCTGGGACTACAGGCGTGCACCACCATGCCCAGCTAATTTTTGTATTTTTAGTAGATACAGGGTTTTGCCATGTTGGCCAGGCTGGTCTTGAACTCCTGGTCTCAGGTGATCCACCCACTTTGGCCTCCCAAAGTGTTGGGATTACAGACATGAGCCACTATGAATGGCCTAGGATTGCCTTTTTAAAAAGGCTTCTAAAATAAAGACTATGGTGTGATGCCGAAGATGAGTGATTTGCTTGGACAATTTAGAAATCAATTTGTGAGAAGTACTGTTAACACTGAAGAACTAAAATGTAAGACTAGTTATTATGTTTATGCATACTCACCCCCAGAAATTTGGCTTCATGGAATGGGTACATTGAATTAAGTCCAACTAAGCAGTGTTTCACTCATATTCTTGGGCTTCTTCATAAAAATACGTTCATGCATTTTAATTCAAGTGGATAAAATACTCTAAAAATATTTAAACTTTGTGTCAATATAAACAGGATTAAAATGACAGTAACCAAACTATTTGTTTCATGTAAAATACAGCTTTTTTTTAAAAAAATGGAGAAATGTGGAAAAAGTATTTCACAGCCCTAGACAACTCAATCTTTTAATTATAGACCTCTAGACATAACGTAAGGTGAACTCTTTGTAAAATCAAAAGTTAAAATAGAGTCAATGTATGCTGGTGACCTAATATATTCCACTCATGTAGATTCATAGGGAAAGTACTTTCACGTATCTGTTAAAATGGGATTCTTACCATTTCTCAAGCTTTAATATAAGGATGTAAAAATCACAGCATTTTAGCATGGTGGAAAGAATCACTGATGGGGGTAGGAAGACCAATTAGGAGGGTACTGCAATAATTCAGGCAAGAAATGGTGCCAATGGAGGTAGTAAGAAGTAGTTGGATTGTGAATAATTTTTGAAAGAAGACTCAACCAGATTTGCTGATGGATTGCATATGGGGCATATGATGCAGGAGTCAAAGATGAGCCCAAAGTTTTTCCTCCAAGCAGATAGAAGCATGAAGTTGTCATCTATTATCACAAGGAGAGCTATAAGAAGAGAAGGTTTTTGGGGAAGGATCAGGAGTTTGGTTTTGAACTACCACGTTTGAGATGTCTTTAAAACTTTCAAGTGAAGATGCCAAATCATCAGTTGAAGTGACAGTCTCTCATCCAGGTGAGAAGTCTGGGCTGGAGATAGAAATCTGCAAATCATCAATACATATGTGCTATTTAAAGACTTGGAAGTAAAGAAAGATGAGAAGAGGACTGAGGCCAGAGAACCCTGGGGCATGCCAACATTCAGAGGTCAGGCAGATGCACAGAACCAGCAAAGGAGACTGTGACAAAGTGGCCAGAGAGGGAGGTAGAGAACCAAGGGAGACTGGTGTCCTGGAAGACAAGAATGTTGTTTAAGAAGAAAGGAATAGCTGGGCGCGGTGGCTCAGGCCTGTAATCCCAGCACTTTGGGAGGCTGAGGCGGGCGGATCACAAGGTCAGGAGTTTGAGACTAGCCTGGCCAACATGGTGAAATCCCATCTCTACTAAAAATACAAAAATTAGCTGGGCGTGGTGGCAAGTGCCTGTAATCCCAGCTACTCAGGAGGCTGAGGCAGGAGAATCTCTTGAAACCGGAAGGTGGAGGTTGCAGTGAGCCGAGATCATGCCACCGCACTCCAGCCTGGGCAACAAGAGCGAAACTCCATCTCAAAAGAAGAAGAAGAAGAAGAAAGGAATAATTACCCCTGTTGATTGCTCCTGAAAATTTGAGAAAGATAAGGACTGAGAAATACAACAGCCAACTATCCTGGTTTGCCTGAGACACTCTGGGTTTTAGCACTGAAAGTCAGCTATGGTCTGAACGTTTGTGTTCCCCCCAGATTCCTACATTGAGACCTAATCCTCAATGTGATTATATTAGAAGGTGGGGCTGGGCATGGTGGCTCATGCCTGTAATCCCAGCATTTTGGGAGGCCAAGGTGAGCTGATTACCTGAGGCCAGGAGCTTGAGATCAGCCTGGCCAACATGGTGAAACCCTGTCTCTACTAAAAATACAAAAATTAGCTGGGAGTGGTGGTGCACGCCTGTAGTCCCAGCTACTCGGGAGGCTGAGGCATGAGAATTGCTTGAGCCTGGGAGATGGAGGTTGCAGTGAGCCCAGATCACGCCAGCCTGGGTGACAGAGCTACTCTCCATCTCAAATAACAAAAGAAGGTAGGATATTTGAGAGATGGTTAGGTCACGAGGGCTCTGTCCTCCTGAATGGGATTAGTGCCCTTATAAAAGAGACCCCAGAGAGTTAGCTAGCCCCTTTCACCGTGTGAAGACACAGACAGAAGGTGCCATCTATGAAGCGAGTGAGCCCCCACCAGACATCAAATCTGTTGGCAACTTGATCTTGAACTTCCCAGCCTCTGGAACTGTAAGAAATAAATTTGCATTATTCATAAGCCACCAGTTTATGGCATTTTTGTTAGAGCAGCCTGAATGGACTAAGACAAAGTCCCTTGTCCTAAGAAACCTCTAAGCCAACTGCAACAGTTGGTCACCTTACCAGTGAGAAATAGTCATTAGGCTTGACAACAGAGTGGTCATGTGATTTAGTCAGGAGAAGTTCATGTGGAATAGTGGAGACAAACACCCTGATCAGAGTGGGATATTTTTGAGAAAGAACAGAGGGATTATTATTATAATACACAACACGTACTACAATATTGTTTCATCATTATTCTTTTTTTTTTTTTTTTTTTTTTTTTTTTTTTGAGGCAGAGTCTTGCTCTGTCACCCAGGCTGGAGTACAGTGGTGCGATCTCAGCTCACTACAAGCTCTGCCTCCTGGGTTCACACCATTCTCCTGCCTCAGCCTCCCAAGTAGCTGGGACTACAGGTGCCCGCCACCACGCCCAGCTAATTTTTTGTATTTTTAGTAGAGACGGGGTTTCACCATGTTAGCCAGGATGGTCTCGATCTCCTGACCTCGTGATCCACCTGCCTCGGCCTCCCAAAGTGATGGGACCACAAGTGTGAGCCACTGCACCCGGCCTCATCATTATTCTTAATCAAGTTAAAGTTGTTTAAGAAAATTCCTCATTTCTTATAGATATATCCTGAGTATTTAAGACTAAAATGTCATGCTATCTGGGACTTGCACTTCAGGCCAGGTGTGGTGGCTCATGCCTGTAATCCCAGCACTTTGGGAGGCTGCTGCAGGTGGATCATTTGAGGTTAGGAGTTTGAGATCAGCCTGGCCAACATGGTGGAACCCCATCTGCACTAAAAATACAAAAATTAGCTGGGCCTGGTGGTGGATGCCTGTAATCCCTACTCGGGAGGCTGAGGCAGGAGAATCACTTGAACCCAGGAGACAGAGGCTGCAGTGAGCCGAAATCACACCACTGCACTGCAGCCTGGATGACAGAGCGAGACGTTGTCACTAAATGGATAAATAAATAAAAATAAAAATAAAACACTTCAGCAAGAAAAAAAGAAATGAAGCACTTATGCATTAAATTCATGATTATTAAATCTGAGTAATATAATAATGAATTCATTGTGATATTCTTTATTTTTAGATATGATTGAAATTTTTCTGTTAAAATTTCTTAAAGTAAATGGGAGAAAAGGAATTTTAGGCAGCAGGAATACACAGATCTTTTTTGGTTTTTGTTTTGAGTCTGCATCATTGGCAAAAGGAATACATAAATCTTTTGCAGTTTTGCTATAAAGGAAAACAGAGAAGTAGGTAGTATCTAGATTGGTCTCTGTTTTTTTGTTTGCTTGCTTGTTTTTTAAGATGGAGAAGTTACAGTACAGTTGAATGCTGATATGGGAACATGGATGAGGAGGGCAGGGTGGGCAAATTTAAGTGTGCTGTCCTTGAGTAGAAAGAGGGGATAGGACCTGCAGGATAGGTCCCAGGTGGAGAGTTTGGTCTTAAAGAGGATGGTATGTGCCATACTCATCCACAGTCAACAGGAGGTGGCAGAGAGGATGGACACAGATGCAGAGAGGGGGTAGTCCTACTGGTGGAAAAAGTGGAGTTGTCTTCTGATGGCCTCAGTTGTTTTAATGAAAGAGGAATTGAGGTCAAAGGTGAGGGTGAAGCGTGAGAGGGACTTGGAGGTTTAAGAGAGTATGAGGAATAGGAAGGAGAGAGAGAGTTGACTAGAGAAATTCAACAGGATTGCCAGGCAGCACTAAAGGCCTATCTGAGGCTGAGACCAGTCAGTAAGTGGAAAAGCTGCTGCTGGTTGTGTCTGTGGTTCCCTGTCCACATCCTCCCAGCAGTCACCTTTACACAATGACTGCAAACGCTTCTAACTCTCTGCTTGAGGGCTTTACACATTTGTTCTGGCTATGGGAACATGCTCTGCATGAATGTAGGATAACTAGGAAACGCTGAAGGGTTACTGCCCTGTGAAGCAGCTCTCAACCAATGATAGAAAAGGCTTTGGTGGATGTTATGGATAGAATGTCTGTGTCTCCTTGCAATTTATATGTTGAAGCCCTAACCCACAATGTAATGGCATTTAGAGATGAGGCCTTTGGGTGGGGCCCTCATGATGGGGTGCCCTTACAAAAAGAGGCACCAAAGAGCTTGTTCTTTGTCTTTACCAGGTGAAAGTGTTCATTTGCAAATCCAGAAGAGGACACTCATTAGAACCAACCATGCTGGCACCCTCATCTTGGACTTTTAGGATCTAGAACTGTGAGAAAATATTAGTAAGTGTCTGTTGTTTAAGCCACTCAGTCAATGGTATTTTGTTATGGCATCCCTAGAAGACCAATACAGTGGATAAATACCCTAACACCCTCAGCATTCAGCTGGGACAATTTTGAGGCATGCTCAATACATTTTGCAGCATTTCCTGGTGGAATTCTCCAGTTGCTCAGAGAAATACCGTGCTTATTCATGTGTCATTTATTGGCTTTCTTTCTTCCCTTTCCCGCTTCCTGACTTCTCTACTGATATTTCCAAGGATCACCTCTGAGAAAACTACTTCTATTGTAATCCTGTCTAAGGAATTTCTTCTTGGAAAATAAAGTCTAAGACAGTACATGTGTCAGTTTCTTGAGCGCAGATGTTCAATGGGTGGAGAATTGGATTTAACAAGGTTTGGGCTTTTGCCTGGTGAATTTTAAGCAGGATGAGGGCATATGTGAAGAAGTGATAATAATGATGGACCAAGGAATCCATGCAGGGTAAGGAGGGAAGTGAGGCTAAGTGGCAGATGAGGAGCAGAGAAAGGGGATGTGAATTGGAAATCCCAGTGGATTCTAGTAGTTGTTGAGGTTAGAAGATTAGGGGAGTCAGCTAGAAATGTCAGAGGTAGAAAGTTGAAATCGAGAATATGGGGGTGGGGGAATTAGTAATGGGCGTATGTTTAGAACAATATCATTGGGAAAATGGAAATGAAGGAACTAAGAGGGCAGGGCATTGAATTAGACAGGGGTGGTGTTGGAAAGTGATTGTGAACCTGCTGCAAAATCTTCAAGGAATGACCTGGAGGCCCATAGATGACTAAACTTTCAACTGGTGCTTGAGAAGGAAGGAGAGAATTGTCTGGAAAGGAAGGTGAGGAGCAAGGAGGACACCTAACCCAGCTTCAGGACTGTGGGGAAGCAGTGCCCTCAGAGATCAGATTTCCCTCTGAGCCGTGTGGTAGAGGAACACTCAGAGGAGCTGCAGAGGATATCCGGGAGTGTGTTGATGATTGGCTGTGCTTTCCTGAGGACATCCAGTGGACGGGCCTGGGGGTTGGGAAGGGTGGAGAGGTAATCAGATTAGAGGATATACCAAGGTCTGTGAGGGTGAGTCCTAGTGAGAGGGGCAATCTGGGATCTTAGGCTTCTTGTGGTGATGGTAAACACCCAGGAAGTAAACAAGGATGTGGGCATCATGGGATTAGCCCTGGCAGTCTCTAAGGTAGATGTGGGGGTGACACTGAGAGTTATGGGAAGAGAGGGAAGGCCTGCAAAGGAGTGGGTCCTAGGAAACACAGATAATTCTGCAGGTGTGGTCCCAAACCACTAAATCTCAACTCTCTCTGTGGCTCAACCTGTGGAGTTTGGGGTCCAATGATGTTCTTGTTAGGAAGAGGAGGAAATAAAAGGCCTGAGGGAAAAGTCAAGAATCATATACTAGGGAAAATTAGAGAGGGGTCTGCCAGCTCCCAGACCTGAGAAGATCAAAGTGGGAAGGCTCTTAAAACCAACAAGGGGTAGGGGTGGGGGAAGGGCTTGGGACTGAAAGAATGCCAGTAACTTTGCCAGTGTAGAACAAGCCTACGAAACTTAAAAACAGTGTACTCTCAGGCCAGGCATGATGGCTCACACCTGTAATCCCAGCATTTTGGGAAGCTGAAGCAGGAGGATTGCTTGATCCCAGGGGTTCAAGACCAGACTGTGCAACATGTCAAGGCCCCATCTCTATAAAAAACTGAAAAATTAGCCAGGCATGGTGGCGCTTGCCTGTAGTGTTAGCTGTACTGTGGAGACTGAGGTGGGAGGATTGCTTGAGCCCAGGAGGTCGAGGTTGCAGTGAGCTGTGTTTGCACCACTGCACTCCAGCCTGGGTGACAGAGTGAGACCCTGTCTTGAAAAAAACAAAACAAAAAAACACAGTTTACTCTCTCCTTTGGTTATTCTGCAAACTTTCCAGGGCAGACAATTTGTCATGTGAAATAGATTTTCCTTCTTTATAAGTTGATAGGATTGCTGATTACTATTTATGAAGGTACGGAGTTCTTTCTTCCATCAACAATAGGAATGAAAAATAGAATGCTTGGTGGCTTTCCAATAATTTCACAAAAACTTGTGAGCATATCACTAGGACCCAAAAATAATCTTTTTGGAACTGTAAAGAGATCTGTGTACCTGGTCCTACTGTAGTTTGCCCTGGTGGTGCCCATGCAGGAGCAGGCAAGAAGCCCCACTTCACTCCTGCTTCTGTGTGAAATCCTCCCTAACCAATTCATCTCACTAATTCCTGGTTGTGTGAAGTTCTGTGATGACCCTCACACCATCCAACATCATTCTTGGGCACCCCCGAAAGCCGACTTTCATTGTTCTGCCTGTGCATCTCATCTCTACACAACGAGATGGTATCTCCAAGTCCCTCAAGGGACCTATTTATTATCTTGAGTCTCCCGTATTGCCAAACACAGTACTTGGCACAAAGTAGATATTTAATGAATCTTTGTTGCATGAAGACCAAATGGATGAATGAATTTATTTATTTATTGAGCACCTCATAGGTGGCAAATGTTGTTCTAGGCACTGAGGAAATGGTTGTAAAATAAATAAATAAAAATCTGCCTCGTGGATCTTACATTCTAGAGGAGAGAAAGTAATATGTATTATTATAACATGTATTATTACAGTTCCTGGGTAGGTGGCAAAAACTGAACTCTGGAGTGAAGCAAGTCATAATGACTGATTACAGGGCGTAGCATGTGCCACTTGTTTCCAACATGCTATCTAACTATGAATGTGCAGTAGGCAACGTTGATCCCTAACCTAGAGATATGCAAACTGGGGCTGAAAATGGTAATTGAATTTCCTAAGACAATGGTGTTAAGTTGGCAGAACAGGGATTTAAGCTGAGCTCTCTGGGACCCCATTGTCCATACTCCTAACCCCTACACTGCAGGGCCTGTCATTTTCTATTTAGTGTTAGTAGGTGCATTTATGTAGGAGAGTAGGGGCACTGATGAACTTTAGAATCTGCAGTTCTCTCCCTCTAACATGGTCATGGACTAACATGATAGCAGATGCCTCACTTAAAACCAACCCTTTACTCTCAAGCCACTTGTTATCCTTAAGCTGTCTAGCTCCTCAGATTAATTTCTATTTAGCTACAGATGCAAATCTAATGGCATTGCTA
Source organism: Homo sapiens (assembly GCF_000001405.40). Taxonomy (NCBI): domain Eukaryota; kingdom Metazoa; phylum Chordata; class Mammalia; order Primates; family Hominidae; genus Homo; species Homo sapiens. Next base: position 73,355,680 of record NC_000005.10, on the reverse strand, counting down.
GGACCCTATGTCCGGGAGCTGTTTAACACCCTTATAAAATACCAGTTTCTACCATAAGACTAAGGAAAATTAGAAAGATACTCAGCAATCTACCCACATCACCTGAAAATCATTGGTAATCAAAATGCCCATCAACAAATGAATAAACAAAATGTGGCATATACATATAATGGACTATTATTCACACACAGCCAGTATGTGACAGGAAGGAAATCCTGCCACATACTACATCGTGGATGAACCTTGACAACATTATGCTGACTGAAATAAGCCAGTTACAGAAGGACAAATCCTGTGTGATTCCATTTATATGAGGTAGCTAAAGTAGTCAAATTCACAGAAACAGAAAGACTGGTGGTTGTCAGAGTCTGGGGGAGGGAGAAAGGAGATGTTGTATAGTAAGCCCAGAGTTTCAGTTTTGCAAGATGAAAAAGTTCCAGAGATAGTTGTATAATGATGTGAGTATACTTAACACTGCTGAGCTGTTCACTTAAATTTGGTTAAGATGGTACATTTTATATTAGGTGTGTATTTTAAAAATACTCTTTTTAAAGAACAGTTTTAGTTAGGTTCACAGCAAAATTGAGAGGAAGATACAGAGGTTTCCCATATGCCTGCTGCCCCAGTAGACAAGCAGCCTCCTCCATAATCAACATCCCCCAAACTGAGCGTTTGTTACCATTAATTAACCAACATTGACACATCATAATTACTCAAAGTCCATGGTTTACATTAAGGTTCACACTTGGTATTGAACATTCCGTGGGTTTGGACAAGTGTAAAATGGCATACATCCACCATGGAGGATTTTCACTGCCCTAAAAAGCCTCTGTGCTCTGTATATTTATCTCCCCACGCCTAACCTCTGCCAACCACTAATCTTTTTATTGTCTCCAGAGTTTTGCCTTTTTCAGAATGTCATCTACTTGGAATCATGCACTTTGTAGCCTTTTCAGATTGGCTTCTTTCCCTTAGTGGTATGTGTTGAAGTTTCCTCCATGTCTTTTCATGGCTTGGTAGCTTATTTCTTTTTAGCAGTGAATCATATTCCACTGTCTGGGTGTACCACAGTTTATTTATCCAATAACCTACTGAAGCACATCTTGAAGGAGTTTTAACAATCATAAATAAAAGTGCTACAAACATCTGTGCACAGGTTTTTATGTGGACATAAGGTTTTAGCTCATTTGGGTAGGATTACTTGATCATTTGGTAAGAGTATGTTTAGCTTTGTGAGAAACCACCACGCTGTCTTCCAAATGCCTTGCCGTTCTGTATTCCCACCAGCAATCAAGGAGCGTTCCTGCTGCTTCACATCTTCAGCCAGCATTTGGAGTTGCGTTATGTGTTTTTTTTTTACTACAATTAAGAAAACAACAACCACCACCAGTGGCAGCACCCTTATAGTTCTGGCTCCAAATGGTGCCCCAAATCCTAGCAGCACTCCTGTATTATTCTTTGAAAAGTACATTTCTGTGTTAATATGAGCACAGGAAAATTGTTTTTGTAGGGGAGAGTTGGGAAAGAGAAGTCCTGCACAGAGGAGAGCCTGCCTTGTATTTAAAGAAGCAGAAATGGAAATTGTTCAACCAGGAGAGCTGTGGGATGTCAGCTCTCTGGCCCCTAACTGTGTAGGTGAATGGTGATTACTTCCACACAGACATTGGGTGCCAAGCTCCAGTTTTAGGCCACGGCAAAGGTTGTGGGGGGCTGCCAACAGGTACCCAGGAGGCTCTCTGTGTAACACTCCCATGAGAACAGCTCCCTCCCAGTATGTGCCACAGAAGATGCCATCTGGAAGGCACCCACAAGGCACACACAGCCTGCTTCTCTCCTGGGAGCTTGCCTTTGCATCTTAATTTTCTCTCGTCCTGAAGAACGTGTTTTCCATTGTGCCTGAGGGTGGCCACAGCCTCATGGGTCAGGGGAAGGCATGCCAGCCTTAGGAATGCCAATGAGCTATCCCTTGTCCCAGGGCCTCCATCTTGGTCCACTTCGGGGTGGTGTGGGAGTGAGCACGGACAAATCTTCTCTCTTCAACCAGCTCTGAGGAGGCTGCGCCAAGGTCCCCACATGTGGAGGACTTTAGGGAAAGGGGACGTTTTAAAATCTTGTGTTTTCTGCTGGAAGTTAAAACAAGAAATGGAGCAGCAGGGATTTGCTTCGTTCAGCTGACTTGGAGCAGCTGCTGCCCAGCGTGTCTAGCCCCCATGGGTGGAAAGCAGTGCTTTGCCCTGGTTAGGCACTGCTTCCTTCCAAACCAAACTTCCTCTCAATGACTTCATTGAAAGCTGCTTTACATCATGAAGAGAAACTCCATTTATTTATTTGTAATAACTTTAGTATTTTATGGACCCACAAGAGGATGTAATTTAAGAAAACATTAGCAAGCTATTCCAAATACCAAGGTTTTGGAAGTTGCTTGGCCAAATAATCATCAATGGAAACATTTCAATAGTAAGAATAAAAAGCTGCAGTACCACTCCTTTTGAGCAGAGCTTTGGAGGTGGAGAGGTTTTAAAATGTATATTTTTGGTCATGACATCCTGGAGTCCTAGGAAAAGACAACTGGATTTCCAGGAATCCAGTATGAACAATATATGACCTAATAGAAGTGGGTCCATCTAATGCCTCCCTTGTGGGGCATTAACTCTATAAATAACTTAGAAAACACATGGGCTGATCTACCCTCTGGAGCCTCACTTAGAACACAGTGTTGGAGGGAATTACATGGTGTTTTTATTAGGGTTTTTAAGACAAAATAATCAAGAAGTTACCAGGAAAGGGTGTGAGCTAAGAATGCTTCCTCCCTGAAGAAGTATGATGTTTTGCAAGTTCCCATTCTACTAGCAGTCATGTGTTAATGATGTTTCTATCCCCATAAATAGCCAACATCAAACATCTTAAGAAATCCTTTTGAACCATGTTCAACCTTTCCATTCTGTTGGAAGCATGAAGATCCAATGGTGGGAGACACAAATATCTCACCCAATAAGTCCTCATCTTGTATCTCCAGGAGAGATATGTTGAAATGAATAAATATGCACATGTGATCATCTCCTCATCTCATTGTAATTACATGCATGTAATTACATGTACCATACTTATAAACACTTATGAATTTAGGTATTTGTCTCCTACTCCACTCCACTTGCCTGACCTTCTTGACCATACAATCAAATCCTTGTGTGTATAGCCCCAGGCCTGCCCTGGTGCTCAATTGTGAAATCCGCTTATGGAGTATCTATTATGCTGAATGCTGTGTTAAGCACTGAGGAGCCAGAGGGAGGGGACAGAATCTATCAAAGTGCCTCTGCCATTCTCAAGCAGCTCAAATCTTATGGAAAGAGTTGCTGCTCCAGAGGACAATTCAGGATCTTAGGATTGTATCTAACATTTAAATAACAATTTATAGGTCATATGATGCTTTCATAGACACTATCTTATCTGAGCCACATAAAGCTTTGAGGGGGATGTAATTTTTCCAGTATGTAAAATGTAGAAAATGAGATTCAAGGAGTTTGAGTGGCTTTTTTCAAGGTCATAGAGCAAATAAGTGGTGAAGTTGGGTTTTTCAACTCCAAGTTTAGTTCCTGCCCACTATTCCTTCCTCTCCCCACACTTTTCCCTGACTGAGAACGTTGACACACATAGGTCTATTCTTTCTGTTTAATAGCAGTTTTATTGAGATATAATTCACGTACCATAAAGTCCACCCTTTCAAAAGTGTAGTTCAGTAGTTTTTAGTATATTCACCAAATTGTGTAATCATCATCTTTATATAATTCCAAAAGCCTTTCAATGCCTTCCAAAGAAATTCCATACCTTTTAGCAGTCACTCTTCCATTTTCCCCTTCCCCCAGCCCCTTGCAACTACTAGTGCACTTTCTGTCTCTGTGGATTTGCCTATTCAGAACATTTCACATAAACAGGATCCTACAATATATGGCATTTCCTGTCTGGCTTATTTCACTTTGCATAATGTTTTCGAGGTTTACCCAAGTCGTAGCATGTATCAAAACTTCATTCCATTTAATTGCAGAACAATATTTCATTGTATGGATATACCACATTCATTTATCCCTTTATCAGTTGATGAATATTTGGGTTGTTTCCTCTTTTTGGCTGTTATGAATAATGCTTATATGAACATCTGTTCAAATCCTGTGCCCATTTTTTAACTGGGTCATTTTTTTTTCTTATTGAATTGTGAGAGCTCTTTACATATTCTCGATACAAGTCCCTTATAAGATATCTGATTTCCAAATAATTCATCTCATTCCATAGATTGTCTTTTCACTTTCTTCCCAGTGTGCTTGAAACATGAAAATTTTAATTTTGATGAAGTCCAATTCATCTATTTTTTTCATCCCTTGTGCTTTTTGTATCATAATTAAGAAATTATTGCATAATTTGAGGTAATAAGATGTACTCCGATGTTTTCCTCTAAGAGTTTTATAGTTTTAGTTCTTACATTTAAGTGTATGATCCACTTTGAGTTAATTTTGTGTATGGTGTGAAGTAGGGTCATGTGGATATACAATTGTGTCAGCACCATTTATTGAAGACTATTCATTCCTCCACTGAATAGCCTTGGCACTCTTGTCAAAAATTAGTTGATCATAAATGTATGGATTTATTTCTGGACTCTTTATTCTATTGATCTATTTGCATATACTTATCCATTACCACACTATCTTGATTACTGTAGCTCGAAGCTGTCTGGGCCTAGGCTTTTCTTTGCAGAAAGTTCTTTGATTACTAATTCAGTCTGTCTACTTGTCATAGGTCTATACTGATTTTCTATTTCTTCTTGAGTCACTTGAATAGTTGTGTCTTTCTCAAGAGTGTTGATCATAATCCCAAAAGACACAACCCTAACAGCATAATCCTAAATGTTGAAATCCCTAAGATAAAAAATGAAATAGAAAGTTTTAAAATAAGGAAGTATGAGTCCTCTAACTTTGTTCTTTTCCAAGGTTGTTTTAGCTATTCTAGGTCCCTTATCATTTTCATATGAATTTTAGAATCAGTTTGTCAGATTCTGCAAAAAAAGGCAGCCTTGATTTTTATAGAGATTGACTGAACCTGTAGATCAATTTGGGAAGTATTATTGTCTCAACATTATTAAATCTTCCCATCCATGGACACAAGATGTCTTTTCATTTATTTGGGTCTTCTTTAATGTCTGTCAACAATGTTTTGCAGTTTTCAAACCCCTTACTCTTCTTTTGGTAAATTTATTTCTAAATATTTTATTCTTTTTGATGTTATTATAAATTGAATTGTTTTCTTAATTTCATTTTAGATTGTTCATTGTTAATGTGTAATATTGTTGAATACTAATCTTGTATCCTAAAACTTTGATGAACCCACTTATCTCTAGAAGTTTTTTGTGTGAGCTCCTTAGGATTTTCTACATACAAGATTGTGTCTGTGAATACAGATGTATGCCTTTTATTTCGTTTCCTTGTCTAATTGCCCTGTCTAGTGCTTCTGGTATACTGTTGAATAAAAGTGGCAAGAACAGACATCCTTGTTTTATTCCTGATCTTAGAAGGAAAGCATTTAGTCTTTGACCATTAAGTATGATATTCATAAATGGCATGTATCAGGATGAGAAAGCTCCCTGTTGCTCCTAGCTAAAGTTCGTTGAGTGTCTTTCTCATGAAAAGGTATTAAATTTTGTCAAATGCTATCTCTGCACACACTGAACTAATCATGGGGTATTTGTCCTTTACACTATTAATATGGTATATTACATTGATTGATTTTTTAATGTTGAGGTAACTTTGCATTCCTGAGATAAATCTCACTTGGCTATGGGGTGTAGTCCTTTATATATGTTTCTGGAGTCAGTTTGATAGTATTTTTTGAGAATTTTTGCATCTATATTCATAAGAGATATTGGTCTTTAGTTTTCTTGTGATGTTTTTGGTTTTGGTGTCAGTGTAATACTGTCCTTATAAAATGAGTTGGGAAGAGTTCTCTTTTCTGTTTTTTGGAAGAATTTGTGAAGGATTGGTCTTCTTTTTTGAACAGTTAGTAGGATTCACCCTTGAAGCTCTCTGGGTCTAGGCTTCTTTTGCAGAAAGTTCTTCAATTACTAATTCAGTCTGTTTACTTCTCATAGGTCTATACTGATTTTCTATTTCTTCTTGAGTCACTTTGAATAGTTGTGTCTTTCTCAGCAGTGTTGATCATAATCTCAAAAGACAATCCCTAACACCATAATCCTAAATGTTGAAATCCCTAAGATCAAAATCCCTGAACTCTAAAATTCCTAAAGTCTAAAATTTCTAATGTCTAATATTCTGAAAATCATAATCCTAAAAGATTAAAATTCTGAATGTTGAAATCCTGAAAGCTGAATCCTGGGGATGATATTAGTATATTTTTGGTTGTATGCATGATAGTTGCATCATATTAAGTGGAACTATTACCTTATTATTGTCTGTTTGGAGATTAACCAAGGTTTAAGGAGCTGCCTACAGGTGCCAGGTTGACAAGGGCCACATTCGTGGACTTAATTTTAGATGTCAACTTGACTGGATTAAGGAATATCTAGAAACCTGGTAAGGCATTATTTTGGGCGTGTCCGTGAGGCTGTTTCTGGAGGAGATTAGTGTGAGTCTGAGTGGATTAGGTGCAGAAGATCTGCCCTCAGTGTTGAAGGGCACCATACAATTGGCTGGGACCTTGAGAGGACAAATACAAAAGGCCACTTCATCTCTCTCTTTGGGAGCTGAGACAGACTTTTCTTCTGCTGCTGTATTAGTCTGTTCTCACGCTACTATAAAGAACTACCTGAAACTGGGTAATTTATGAAGTAAAGAGGTGTCATTGACTCACAGTTCCACAGGCTGTATAGGAAGCATGGCTGGGAAGCCTCAGGAAACTTATAATCATGGCGGAAGGGTGAAGGGGAAGCAAGTACCTTTTTTACATGGTGGCAGGAGAGAGAGATCAAAGGCAGAAGTGCTACACACTTTTAAACAACCAGATCTCATGAGAACTCCATCATGAGAACAGCAAGGGTGAAGTCTGCCCCCATGATTCAATTACCTCCCACCAGGCCACTCCTCCAAAACACGGGGATTACAATTTGACATGAGATTTGGGTGGGGACATACAGATTAAACCATATCGGCTGTCTTGGACATCAGAATTCCAGGCTTGCTGGCCTTGACTTCAGAACTTACACTGCCTGACAGATATACCATGAGCTTTCCTGGGTCTGAAGCCTTTGGACTTGGACTGAGCCACACTACCAGCATCCCTGGGTCTCTAGCTTTCAGATGGCTTATTGTTGAACTTCTCAGCCACCATAATTATGTGAGGCAATTTTCCTAATAAATCCCCTCTATATATCTATGTACATATTCTATTGGTTCAGTTTCTCTGGAGAACCCTGACTAATACAGATTTGATGTCAGGGAAGCCAAATATTATTCCTTCTTACTGTTTTTCTTCCAGCTCAATAGAAGAGGTCCATGAAATTTTTCCTTTGCAAAAAGGCTGTGATCAGTGTACAAGGCTACTTAATGGTGAAAGATAAACATTTAAAAGCTAATTATTATTGGTGTTGCAAAAGCACAAAATTGCTTAATTGCAACAGCCAAGCAATAACTAGACTTTCAAATGAACAGCAGATGGTTGTGAAATTTGTAGACCACAACCACTCTCCAAATAGAGCTGTATTGAGTGTTTCAAAGATTATAGAAGAAGTAAAAATGCAAGTAAAAATTACAGGAAATCTCTCCTGAAAAATTATTCAATCATGTATGAAATCTGCCCCTTCACACATAGCATTAATTTGCTATGCTATGTATTTCATCTTCACATCATTTCCAGTACTGGAGGCATAAATTGTTTAAAACTTTAGAGAGTTCTAATTTGTTTTATGTATTTTTCTTTTGCAGATTTGACTCCATGAAAATGCATTGTCACAAAGTTGACTTTGTGTGTAAGCATTGTGTATGTCAATAAAAATGTTGAAACTTCCTCAATAAATGAAGAGATGTCCTTTTTGTACATCTGCATTTGTGAAAGATAAAATTTCTCAAGATTTTGGCTCTTTGGGCAACTACATATGCCATGGTGACCCACTGTGGCTTTTGAGGAGATTGATACATTTATGCTGTTTTTGTATTTACCAAGGAGATTGATACATTTAAGCTGTTTTTGTATTTACCAATGTATTTACCTTTACTGGTGGTCCTTATTTCTTCTTGTGGATTTGAGTTACTCCCTGGGGTCCTTTAATTTCTACCTAAAGGGCAGGTCTGCTAGCAATGAGTTCTCTCCTTTTCTGTTGATCTTAGAATGTCTTAATTTCTCCTTTAGTTTTTAATAGTAGTTTTGCAGGATATAAAATTCTTGACCGACAGTCTTTTTTTAGCACTTTAAGTATGTTATCCTACTGCCTTCTGGCCTCCATGGTTTCTGATGAGAAGTCAGCTGTTAATCTTACTGAGCACCATTGTATGAATGAGTTGCTTTTCTCTTGTTGCCCTCAAGATTTTCTTTTTGTTTTTTGTTTTGATGTTTTGATTGATGTATCTAGGTGTGGAATTCTTTGAGTTTATACTTGGAGTTAGTTAAGCTTCTTGGATATGTAGATTAATGTTTTTCATCAACAGTTTCAGCCATTATCTGTTCAAATATTCTTTGTTTTATTTCCCTCTCTTCTCTGCATTTAGGGCTCCCATTATGCATATGGTGATATACTTGATGGTATCCTACAGGTCTCAAAGTTTCTTTCAGGTATTTTTATTCTGTTTTATTCTTGTCTCTCAGATTGGATTATCTCAACTGCTGTGTCTTTGAGTTTGCTGATTCTTTCTTTTACTATTTAAAAATCTGCTGTTGAGGCCAGGTGCAGTGGCTCACACCTACAGTCCCAGCACTTTGGGAGGCCAAGGTGGGCAGATACCTTGACCCCAGGAGTTTGAGACCAGCCTGGACAACATGGTGAGATACTGTCTCAAAAATTAAAAAAAAATAAAAAATAAAAAATAAAATTTATTGTTGAGTCCTATGTTGGTTAGTTTTAAGTGTCAACTTGACTAGATTAAGGGATACCTCAGATAGCTGGTACAGCATTATTTCGATGTCTGTGAGGGTGTTTCCATAAATGATTGGCATTTAAATCCTTGGACTGAGTAAGGAAGAACCGCTCTACCCCTTTACCCAATGTGGGTGGGCACCATTCAATCTACTGAGGGCATGGAAAGCACAAGAAGACAGAGAAAAGGTAAATTTTTTTCCCTCTCTCTCTTCTGGAGCTGGAACACACATCTACTCCTGCCATCAGACATCAGAACTCTACGATTTCCAGCTTTTGGACTTCAAGATTTTTACCAGTAGCTCTCCTAGTTGTCAGATCTTCAGACTTGGACTGAGTCATGCTACTTGCTTCCGTGGTTCTCCAGCTCGCACATAGAATATCATGGGACTTTTCAGCCTCCATAATTGTGTGAGACAGTTTTCCTAATAAATCTTCTCTTCTCTCTCTCTTTCTGTAGCTATAGATATAGATATTCCTATTGATTCTCTTTCTCTGTTGAGCCCTAATACAAGCCTCCAGTAAATTTTTCATTTTAGTTATTATCCTTTTCAAACCCCACATTTTTATTTGGTTCTTTTAATAATGTCTATCTCATTATTGATATTCTGTTTGGTAAGATGTTGTTTTCATACTTCCCTTTAATTCCTCACCCATGATTTCCTTTAGTTATTTGAACATATCTATAATAGCTGAATTAGTGTTTTTGTCTAATATTTGAGCTTCTTTAGGAAAAGTTGTTACTGACTGCTTTTTTCCTCCTGTGTATGGGCCATACTTTTCAGGCAATTGTTACTGCCTCTGCTGTTTGTTTGTTTAGTGACCCTCTTGGACTTAGTACTTTTTGTCATGTGTGGCCTTTAAGTCTCTGGTTGGTTAGCTTAGTAGTCTAATGATTAGACAGAGATTTTATTAAACTCCTTAACGAATGAGTCTCCCAGCCTTTTCCAAGTGGCTCTCTCTGTGTTGGAGCATGTCCTTAATGTTCTAGCAAGTAGATTATAACTCTATCTAAGCCTTCATTCTCTGCTAGTGCAGAGCCTCAAAGTAAGAGGTGAGAATTTTGGATCTTCTCAGGTATTTTCTTGACATATAGACAGCTCTGGGCATGCACACAGTCCTGTGCATGTGCATGGCTTATTAGATTCCCAGAAATATGTTTGAGCTTTGCAAATTTCCCTATGAACATCTCATTTACTAGTTTTTCCTTTTAAGATTTTTGGTCAGCCTCTTGTTAGCTGTGACTGCTAATGCTGCCTCAGATGCAATTAGACAATTGCAGCTGATTGCTTTCAACAAGCACCCTGTGGACAGGCTGCTTGCACATAGAAAGCTTTGAGTCACATCAAAGAAAGAGAAACCCTGAGAATGGAGCTTTGCAGCAAGTTGCCAGCCAAATCAAATAGTGCCGATTCTCTGGGGATAGGATTTGGGGGAGCTCCCAACCTATCTGCTCCTCCAGTAGCTACTAGACTGCTGGCTGTCACAGTTGTTATAGTTGCTAAACCGTTGGTTTTTACGACTGTGGCGGAGCTGTGTAGAGGGGGATGAGATTAGGAAAGTTAAAACACTGGACTAAAATTAGTCTAGAACTGTCCAGGGTTCTGAGTTTAAATTCTGGCCTGACTATTTAGTCAGCTGAATAAGTCACACATTCTTACTGGTTTAGCCTCTTTTTCTAAAAAACAAGGCTGTTGTGCATTCCAAAAGAAACTACAATTGACAATGCCAAATGCTGGCAAGAATGTGGAGTAACTGGAACTCTCATCCGCTGCTGGTGGGAATGCAAAATGGCACAGCCACATTGGAAAACAGTTGAAGTTTTTGATAATGCCAAACAAACACTTAACATGATATAGCAGTCTCATTCCCAACTATTTACTCAAGGGATATTAAAATTTATGTCCATGCCAAAATCTGTATGTGAATATTTATAGTGGCTTTATTCATACCAACAAAACCTAGAAAAAAAGTCCTTCAGCTGGTGAACAGATAAACAAAATATAGTACATCCATACAATGGAATTATATTCAAAAACAGAAAAAGAACAAATTATGATATTTCAATAACATGGAAACGTGGATGACCCTCAATGCATTATGCTAAGTGAAAGGAGCCAGACCCAAAAGACTGCATATTGTATGATTTTATTTGCATGCTGTTCTGGGAAAAACAGTGGTTTCCAGGGGCTGGGGGTGGGAAAAGAGATTGACTACAAAGGAGTATAGAAATATGTGGTAGGGGGATTGATACAACTGTTTAATATCTTATTGTGGAAGTGGTTTCATGATTGTATGTGTTTGTCAAAACATGCAGAACTCTATAATTAAAAGGATAAATTTTGTTGTATGTAATTTATACCCTAACTTAAAAAAATAAACAAGTAAAGCTAAAGGAGGTACAGAGGGAAAAAAAGAAGTTCTATTGCTCTCTGAAAACAAGAAATCTTGAACTCTGAGGTCCTGGTTTTCCCTTGCGCTGTTCCCTCCCTGCAGGAGGCTGCTTGGGACTAATCCTCAGCCTTCTCTTTGTTTCACTGAAGACTTGTAGACTCTCAGCTATCTCAGCTTAAAGGGACTTAAAACTGGTTCAGTTTAACTCATGGCTTTGTGCAGTACATTTTTTGACTTACAGTCCCATCTTCTAATGTATGTTGGAAGCAAGAACGCCAGAGAAGACTGCAGCAGTTGTAAAATGTTGAGTGATCCTCTAGCATTATTTAAAACTTCCTTGGAAATATTGTCATCACACCATGATTCTGATTCTATCCATAGCTGGAGCTAATTTAAGCTGTTATTACTCCCTCGTTGGCCGAGCTTTGATTATCCTATAGGCAGACCCCACAATGCAAGGAGGACAGGCCAGAAGCACCATTAAAAGTAGCTGCATGAAGATGTGTAGGAGATAGTACAGAAACTACTGAGTTTTCATGTTTTTTCCCACAGTCTTTAAAGAGCCCTTCCTGGTATAGTGTAAATACTTGGTTGGCTACAACTTTGAAGTTTATGTGAAAAAACAACCAGCTAAAGAGAAGTCAGGAGAAGGAAAACAAGTGGCACTAACCAGCAGAGGAAACAGATACATATTAAACATACTAGAGAAGAATGTTATCATTCTGCTCTGATTATACACTGTGGAGACAGGGCATGCTTTCTTGTGGGGTTTGGCCTGGGTTGCCTTCTAGCATGAAGCTCTGGGAAGATGCTCGGGCCAGCCTGGCTTCCCCTCACTGTGAAGTGACCTTAACAGTCAGGCTTCACCCATATCTTACTGTCTTGAACTTTCCTCCAGGAGCAAGATTAGGATTTCTGGTCACCCACTGCTCATGGGGCAAGATGAGGAAAAGAAATCCCTGGGAGACAGTGATGGAGATGGAGCTGCACCATGGGAGTGTCAGAGGGGAGAAGATAAGGCCCTGGGGAAGTCACCTTTTAAAGTAGATCTTCCAGTGCAATTGTGTTGCCTGCTAAAAATGGCAACATGATGGGGAAACTCAGCAACTCCATGATGCTGGGAGATGTGATCTGAGCCTGACCATGAGGAATTTTTTCTTTCTTTCTTTCTTTCTTTCTTTCTTTCTTTCTTTCTTTCTTTCTTTCTTTCTTTCTTTCTTTCTATCTTTTTCTCTCTCTCTCTTCTTCCCTCCATCCGTCCCTCCCTCCCTCCCTCCCTCCCTCCCTGCCTCCCTCCCTCCCTCCTTCCTTCCTTCCTGTTTTTTTTTTTGGAGTCTCCCTCTGTCACCCAGGCTGGAGTGCAGTAGCACGACCTCAGCTCACTGCAACCTCCACCTCCTGGGTTCAAGTGATTCTCCTGCCTCAGCCTCTTGAGTAGCTGGGATTACAGGCGCCTGCCACCATGCCCGGCTAACTTTTTGTATTTTTAGTAGAGACAGGGTTTCACCGTGTTAGCCAGGATGGTCTTGATCTCCTGACCTTGTGATCTGCCTGCCTCGGCCTCCCAAAATGCTGGGATTACAGTCATGAGGCACCGTGCCCGGCCAGAATTTTCCCTTTAATACTGGCTGGGGAAAGTCAGGGATTTTACAAAAGCAACATGAAATCTTTCAAAGGCTCTAAATGACAGCCTCTCATTTCTGACAGTTCTCAGGTACCTTTAAGTTTCCCTGACTCTTTTTGCTCATATTACTCTTAAAACAGACTAGCAAGGAAGTAGCAGGCTGCGGGTGGCTACTGCTAAAGCTTGCCAGGATGCCAAGCAGGTGGCAATTCCTTGGAGACCACTTAGCTATGAGTGCAAGAAGAAGAGCTCTGTGCAACTCCCTGAAATTGCTCCCACTCAATCTGTCACCCTCTGCAGTCTTGGCCCCTTTCCCAGTGTGGCCCACTTGCCCCCTGCCTCCCAAGTGAGGGCTTCCAGTACCTCCATTCACTGTTCAATTTTAATTCAGCTCATTGGTTGCTAATGTTGCATTAGCAATATACCTATTGCATATTTTATTTATTCCTTATTTTTGACAGAAAGAACATGTGTGTTTGGGTGTTAATTGTTTTTGTTGTTGTTGTTGTTTGTTGGTTTTTTTTTTTTTTTTTTTGGAGACAGGGTCTTGCTCTGTCACCCAGGCTATAGTACAGCGGCATGATCACCACTCACTGCAGCCTCGACTTCCTGGGCTCAAGCAATCCTCCCATCTCAGCCTCCCAAGTAGCTGCAACTACAGGTGTGTGCCATCACGACTGGTTAGTTTTTTTTTTTTAAGATTTTTGTAGAGACAGGGGTCTCACTATGTTACTCAGGCTGGTTGAACTCCTGGCTCAAGCAATCTTCCCACTTGGGCCTCCCCAAGTGCTGAGATTACAGGTGTTAGCCACCATTTAATAGTTTTTAATGATAAAATATTTAACCCCTGCCTGACTAATAATAATGCTAATAACTAACATTAAACTTTGTTATAGACTGAATTGTTTTCCCTTAAAATTTATATGTTGAAACCTCAACCCACACTGTGACTGTATTTGGAGACAGGGCTTTAAAGGGATAATAAACACTAAATGAAGTCAAAATGGTGGGGTCCTAATATAACAGCACTTATGTCCTCATAAGGAGAGGAAGGGATGCCAGGAGTGCCTAAGTACAGAGAGAAGGTCATGTGAGGATGCAAAGAAGTTGGTCAACTTTAAGCCAGGGAGAGAGAACTCAGAAGAAACCAAACCTGCTGACTTTCAGCTTCCAGAATGGAGAGAAGAAATTTCTGTTGTCTAATCCACCCAGACTGCGGTACTTTGTTATGGCAGCCCTAGCAAACGAATCAAGCCTATATTGTGTGCTTGATTCTGCTAAGTGCGTTACATGCATTATATCAGTTAACCGTTTAAACAAGTCTATGTGATTACCCCCAATGTACAGACAAGGAAATTGGCAAAATAAGTAAGTGCTGAGGTTTGAACTCAAGTCTTCTGACTATAAAACCCTGCACATAAATTAACACTACACTGCTTCAAAAGGAAGTGTGTGGCCCCAGATGCTCTCAGATAGGGGGTCACCTTTTAAAATAGATCTTTCAGGAAGATTTGTTGCTTGCTAAAAATGGACTAGAGCAGCAGATACACTCTAGAGGAAATAAAAAGATCCAGATTCCAGCCCTGACTCAGCCACTGACTGAGGGACTGTAGTAGACTGAACAGCGGCCCCCTAAAAACTATGTTCATGTCCTAATTGCTAGAACCTGTGATTATCACCTCCTATGGTAAAAGAGTGGATATCACCTTTTATGGCAAAAGATGTAGTTAAGATTTTGAGGGGAGGAACTTATCTTGGTTTATCCAGCTAGGATCAAAATGCCATCACCAGTGTCATAATGAAATGGGAAAAGTCCCCTTGTTCCCCTTGCAGGGCGTGTGATGGGGAATGTGGCTTGCTTCTTCAGTGCTCCGATACCTTGATGTATCAGAAGAATTGGATCACACGGGGGTTTGGAGAATGAGTGAAATGTTTTATTGAGTGGAAGTAGCTCTTAGCAGATGGGGGAGGCAGAAGGGGGATGGTTTTCCACTGGAGTCGGGCCACTCAGCAGCCCAGGCTCTCCTCCAACCGCCCCAGCCAAACTCTGTCATTCCACCAGTCGATGGCCTGCTGGCCTGCTGGTGCTTTTTGGTGTGCTCTCCACGTCCTCTCAATGTCCAGCCGCTTGTGTCTCTGCCTGCTAGGGTCTTGGGGTTTTCATAGGCACAGGATGGGGGCATGGCAGGCCACGGTGGTCTTGGGAAATGCAACATTTAGGCAAGAAAACAGAAATGCCTGACCTCACCTTAGTCTGTGGGCACAGAGCCCTCGCCTGGGACCACACCCTTCTCTACCCAGCACTTCCCTGTCCCTGTTCTGTAACAATAAGAGGGAAATAACATAGACAGAAGAGAGGAAAAGGCAAAGTGAAGAGAGAGAGAGAGATGCAGCCACAAGCCAAGGAATGTCTGCAGCCAAGGGAGGCTGGGAGAGGCGAGGAAGGACCCTTCCCTAGAGCCTCCAGAGGTAGCCTGGCTCTGCCAAAATCACCTTGATTTTGGCCTTCCAGCCTCCAGCGCTGTGAGAGAAGAAATATCTGTTGTTTAAGCCCCCCAGTTTGTGGCATTTAGTTGCAGCAGTCACAGGAAACTCACACTTACTCCTCCATGAAATAAACATGTGGGTAAGAACAATAGTTTTGGCTTGGGCGCTTGGTTGCTGTGCTTGAAATTAGCCACCGCTGGAGTCACCAAAACTTTACAAAGTTTTGAGGTTTGAGGATCACCGCAAGGTAACTGAAGCAGAACTACTCAGGTGTGGGCTCAGAAAACAGAACCTGTAAAGGCTCTCCAGGTGATTCTAATGGTACCTGGGGGCAGGCCCCTGATTTCTGTGTCTAGACCCTTGAAGCTCTGAGAGTCTATGATGCTCACTAAACAGAACTCAGGATTCCCTGTTGTCCCCTTCTTCCAAAGCTTCAAGAAACAGTTTGAACTTTTGGGCAAGGAGAGAGCCAGGACTTTCCAGAATAGAAATGGATGACAAGGGATTCCTCCGAGGACCACAGAGGGGAAGGGAGAATTTAGGGAGAGAGGGAAGACAGCAGCAGGGCAGCGGGTGGAAATGAGAATGCCTGGGAGGTCTGGGGAGCCTTCAATAACATTGGAGCGGACAGCGGACAACGGAGAGGGCTGCGGGGCCAGGGGAGGCACCTGTGAAAATAGCAAATACTTGAGCCAGAGACGGTACACATCCTGCCCTGGCTCCTGCAGGTTTCCCGCAGAGGCAAGGATCACAGGGCCAGGGTGATGTGTCTCCCACGATGTCAGCGTCCCCAAGGACCGGTCAGGAATTTGACAGGGGAACCCGCTTGGGGCTGCAGTGACATCTGAGGAAGGAGTATGAGAGGGATAGAGGGGGCGAGAGCCACATCATCATTCCCAAAGATATGGCTTTAACCTCTGCCCCCTCCTGCCCTCCAGCTCTGGGAGACCCCGGCAAGCCAAGAACCTTCTCCAAAAGGGAGGGGAGGGGGGTGCGGGTAGGGGGAGGGCCTCTGCCAGGCGCCATCATCTCTCCTCCACCACACAGCTGACAGACACTTGAGAACTTTCCTTCCCAAGCCCGTATCCTGCTGGTTCAGGGCAAAGTGTTCAGCTTTCCCACCAGGATCAGTGAGGAAGTGGCCTGGTTTGGACTCAAACAGACTGATTTGTTTTCTCAACAAGGCCTCCGCTCAGTTCAGGGAGCCCCAGTGATGCCCATTTTTCCAGGGTGCCTCTCCCACCCTCCTCCCTCTCCCCGCTCTGAGAACACATCACCTAGTGTCTGTAAGGCTTCTGCTTCTTGTTTGACATCCCTTATTTACAAAGCAAACAGAATGTTCCTTTTAACACACATCATGCTCAGTTTATTAATGCAGAAAACAATCCCAGGGGGCCGACCCAGGGGACCCTTGAAACCTGCCAGCACAAACTCTTCAAACGCTCAGCCCGTCAGATCCTCCAGGACAATATTTCACACAATGGAGTAAAAATAATATTTTTCTTTGGACCTTTCCAGCCGCTTTTGTGGCGAGCAGACAGAAATTATTTTCTTACTCTGCTCCCAGAGCAGAAATCTGGACGAAGCTGCGTTTATTTGTTTAACACAATGATTTCATCCTAAATGTCTCGACAGCAAATAGTTGGTGGTTTAATAAAGGGCCTTTGAAAGGAGGCTGGAGCTGGGGAAATGTGAGGCATGCAGCTCGCAGGGGCCAAGCAGATCGCGGGCTGCTGAGACTGGGTGCCCCCTCCGCCTGCCTGGGAGCCCTGGGGATCGTTGCATGTTATTGCTCCCTGATCAGAACAATTTGTGCCGCTTCCATCCTGGAAAAGGAAGGAGACTGACCTTTTGTTCACGAATCCCGGAACTTCCCCAAGACCAGCCCTGCCAAATACAGACAGACATAACCCAAAAGCAGATACTTGAACCTGCGTGAAGAAAATAGGCCTTTTGTACTTATGTCTGCCTTCCCATGATTAAAAATTATGTCCTGTGTCAGCCAAATGTTGGCTGCTATTCTGGTGCCAGCCCAGAGTTCTGCAGCCAGGGCAGTGATTAGGAGAAGGGAGAGGGATCAGAGCCAGCTCAGGCCTGATTCCCCAGCGAGCAGAACCTACCCAACCAGGGCCAAAGCCCCCAAGCTTTCCAACCTGCAGTTAGAGGTGTCAACAAAAACTCAAAAAACTCATTTGCATTTCACTTCTTTTCCTTGGGAAGAATTGTAAGGGGCAGTGAAACGGAACAAGCAGAACACAGAGGAAAAGAACCAAGAGAAGGTCATGAGTGGCGTAACAATTGCCCAGGCGGCCCCGATTGCAGCTCCATCATTTTACAGCACAGGAGGGAGGCCCAGAGAGGGGCAGTGATATGTCTGAGAGCACAGAGCTATTAGAAGAAGAGCCATTGCTGGAACCAGGCATCTAACCTCCAGGGTTGAAGGGGAAAGGGCCTAATCTAGCCTTACAGCTGACAAAACGAAAAAGCTGAATTATGGGTCTCATTTTTTCCAACTGGGACTTGGTTCAAGGTGATTGGATGTGATTCAGTTCTTGGTGATTTTGGTTCTTGGAATAATTGATTCAGATCTAAATCAGTTCCTGGCTAGAACAGTGAAGAACAGAATATGTTTACACACACACACACAGAGTTATATTTCCAATTATTCACTTATTCATTGAAGAGTGTATAAAAATGCATATATATTTAAAAGACAATTAAAATGACTTATAATAATATATTTCTGGTAACTTATTGATAGATCTCTGCTCAGTCTTTTCTCATTGCTTCTATATGTTTTTATTATATATATATATTTACAAAATTAAGATCTCAACTGCTTTATTTTTAAAATTACATAATTTGTGCTTAATCACTTTCCATATCATTAACAGACTTTCTGAAGTGTGACCTTTGAAATGCTACTTGGCATTTCATCATATGATGTGACTGTCATAATTCTTTTCCCCGTTACCCTAAAGTTGGTCATAGGACAGAATGTCTTTGAGTAAGTCTTGAAGAACAGTCCCTGAAAGACTGATGGGCTGGGTGGGAGGTGGCCTTCAAATTCTTGCAGCAATTTAAATCTCTTTCCTCCACCTCTGAGTGGCTTCAGATTGCTTTCAAATGTAGCTGCCTACCTCACTCCCAGCTCTCTTTTATCTTTTTCATTTCTTCTTTTTTCTACTTTTTTCCTAGACCCAAAACAGACAGATTCCTTACATTTGCATATTTTATAACCTCAAAAAGTTTTTATAGAAATGCACTCATTTAATCTTCATAAAAACCCTACAGCATGGGCAAGGCAGAATGATCCCAGTTTTATATAAAGGAAAAATGAAGCAGGCAAAAAATAAAGGAAAAAAGAATTATCTCAATTTTATATTCAATGAATGTATTTTGAGTGCCAACTATTTGCACTTTGGTAGTCACTTAAGGGAGGGCATAAGTAAGTCCATCCTTATCTCAAGGAATTTTCAGTCTAGTGGGGGCACTTTTAAGGGATTCAGTAGATGACGGCTGTTATTATTTTTGGCTGAAATGACTCGCCTTCTGTCAGGTGATTAGTAAGTGGCTCAGGAAAATGAACCAGTACATCCTCTGCTTTCTGTACTCTACTCCCTACACTATGTGACTGTTAGTCAAGGGTAGGTCCAGAATAGGGGGGATGGTCAGGGTAGGTGGATGATGGGGAACCTTTAGAATTCCCTCTTCTTCTTCATCTCAAGCTCCAGTGAAAAGACTTCACACTTGAGACGCTAAATTCTCCTGAGAGGAGTCAGTCCATGGATTAATGCTTTCTTTGTGCTGGAGGTAGAGATGACAGTATTTATCTTTTGATGAACAAATGGTTGTTTGGGATTTAGCTACTTCTACATCTGTGAAAGGATAAAAAACGAGAAAGGAAATAAAAATTATTAATCATCTCCCATGTACCTGTCTCTGTAGTAGGTGCTTTACATGCATTATTTCATTTAAATTGGAACTCACAAGAAGCCTGTTTTATTCATCATTGTATTACTTTGGACCTAGTGGAATGTTTGCCGCATAATAAGCATTGAATAAATGCTGAACTAATGAATGAATTCTCATTTCACAGATAAGAAAATTGAGGTCTGAGAACTTAGGCAACCAGTACCAGGTTACATAGCTAGTAAGTACTGGAATTGGGATTCAAACCCAGTCTGCCTGGCTCTAGAATTGTGCTTTTCCCACTGCTGCACCCTTGGTAAACTGTGTACATGCTTCAGGCTTTGGATGGACTGTTCAGTTATTATGGATGTGGTGAAAATCCAATTCATCGTGCACGGACTACCTTTGGGTCCATTGTTTCCTCTTTCTACAGTCCTGGCATTTTGCTATGAAGACAGCATTTACTGTTGTGTTTTTGCTGGTTGGCTGTCCTCCTCTAAGCACTGGACACATCTTCCTTATATCATCACTTGCACTGGGGCTCTGGATCCTTTAGAGTGGAGAGTATGTTGTTTTCAGCACTGCAAGAGATATTTTTACATTCTTTTCGGAAATGTGAAGAACTCTGGGCTGAGCACAGTGGCTCACACTTGTAATCCCAGCACTTTGGGAGGCTGAGGTGGGCAGATCACTTGAGGTCAGAAGTTCGAGACCAGCCTGGCCAACACGATAAAATTCGTCTCTACTAAAAATGCAAAAATTAGCTGGGCGTGGTGGCATGCACCTGTAGTCCAGCTACTCAGGAGGCTGAGGCAGGAGAATCGCTTGAACCTGGGAGGTGGAGTTTGCAGTGAGCTGAGATCACACCATTGCACTCCACCCTGGGCCACAGAGAGAGACTCTATCTAAAAAAAACAAAACAAAACAAAAACAAAAACAAAAAAAAAAAAGAAAAAGAAAAAAAGAAATGTGAAGAACTCTGGTCTCCCTTTTTAGAAGCTAAGGCAAAGAATAAAGTTAGGTTTTGCAGATGTTCCCTCAAGATGTGCTTCAGTTGCTTTACTAGAGACCCATTATGCAGGGAGAAGAGGGCAGCTAAAGGAGCCGCCTCTTTAAATCTTAGAATGTCAGTGTTCTCATTTGGCTTGACTTCTTAGTCCTTGCCAGGGAGCTAATTGTTAGATCTTGAAGGAAAATCTCTTGCTAGCAAGACTACCTGCTTAGTGCATATATCTTTAAGCCCATTGTATAGACCATTGCATAGATTCCTAAGGGGAATTTAAAATCCAGGTGCTTATGTTTCATGCATTTCCCAGGTCTAACATATAAGATTTGGAAAACACAGTTTTATGAAATAAAATCAGAGCCAAATACTCTGAGGCCGAACACCATTTAACATTATTCTTTCTGAATAGTGAGATTTTTGCTGATAATAAACACATTGACATAAGAAAACAAAGATCTCTGACGGGTTATAGGCACTCTCTGGGAATATCTAGTTGATACTGAAAGGCCATGTCAGGACTGTGTGGGAAAGAAAATTGAAGAGTGTCAAGGAGAGTTGCTTTCAGCTCTGGCAGAGAACACTTTGAGTTGCTTTTTTATTCCCTTACCCCTACCCTATCCCAAAACTCACGCCCATTGCTCAAGTACACAGTGTGCTTGGACCAAACCAACACCAGCAAAGTATTTTCTGGACTGCTCCAGTGTGATTTGTCTTCATCACCCAAGTGTGAGTCTCACCCAAGCAGTCTCTGGGTGTCTTTTGTAAAAGAGAGAGGGGTTTTCCAAAATAGAAGGTTTTGTTTTGCAATTTACAAAAAGTAACAGGATCCTTTCTGAAAAAGGATTCTGTTTTGAATCCCAGAACATAAACTGACACTCCCAATCTTCACTTTCACTTTAGAAAACTTAGACTGTATCTTGCGGGCTCATTATCTGTCAATTTCTAGCCTGAACCAAATCTAAGCCATTCCATGGGGAGATGCCCTAAGGAACATTTTTCTGCCCACTTTTTGAGACTTGCAGTGTGTATTCCTGACATGTACATATATAAATGATGTAATCGATTTGGGATACTGAGCAGATCATGCAGATGTAGTGCCTGGCTTAGAATAACTTACCTTCTGGTTCAAAGCAACCAGGTGACAGAGTTCTCCTAAAACCTCAAAGTTCTGCTAACATAATAAAGCCTTCTTTACTTATCATCAAATCACTTCAAGCTCAGGAATGACTTTTAATATCCTTTTTATGACACATCGTATCTATTACAGGTCAAAAGGAGTTCCCCAAACCAAACAGTAACATCGAGTGAAAACTTATATAAAGTCTTTCTCTATTAGAAAAGTTAGTTTTGGCTCCTGAACATCAGCTTTTATGGGTTCTTATAAAGTCATGGCTATTTCTTAGCAGTAGGATTTTCCAAGCCTTGCAATGAAATTCTTAGTTATACTTGTATTTAAAATGTGGAATGAGTAACTTTGTCTTCCAGGAAGATGTAGTTGACATACTTTTCGCTCGCTATTCCTGCCACTAAATACAACTAAAAACCCTGGATATTATATATGAAACTAGCAGAAGAAAACTCTAAAAGATGGAGAAACGTAGGCAGACCAGCTAGGGACATGATGACCTAAGGAATGACATGGAGATGAGTTCCCTGGATTTTCTTTTTGCCTCATGTATGCTAGATTTGGAGCTAAGGAAGCTAGCAACCCAGAAATGCCTGTGGGTGCAGACATTAAAAGCCCCAAGGAAGCTTGCTGTCTCTAGCCAAAGGACAAGGAAAGGTGCAGCTTGGCAAAACAGAAAACTTACATAATAAGTAATTCTATTCCAAGTAAACACCACAGAAAAACTGTGACCTTACCCTACATGCCAGCAAAGCCTAGACTCCCACCATCACAATGTTGTGATGAGGCAGCCTAAGCCTCTGCCATGATGGAATCAGAGAGAGTCACATAAGGAGCCAAGACTTTTATCTCCACCTCATTGATAATGAGATCCTCCCTATCCCTGTAATGTCAGTGGAAACCATATGAGGAGCCTAAGCTTTTACTGTCACTCAGCAGTAACAAGGCAACCCTCCTCTTCCCCATTGGGACAGTGTCAGAGAAGGTCTAGTGGAGAGTTAGGATTTTCACAATTGCATAATGATAACAAGGCCACCTTCACCTCAGTATCAGTGGAAACCACATGGGGACCCAGAATCCCCATCCCACCCAACAGAAACAAAGTCCTCCTGTCCCCACCCAGATATTGACTGAGGACAAGAGGGGAACCTGGGCTTCTACCTCTACCTATTAGTAACAAGGTGACACCACGTCCTTTTCCTTCTGGAGTGGTATAAAAATAAAAGCCAGCTAAAACAGAAGGTTAAAATAAGGCCCCCACAGTCTCATAATTCAGTACAAAAATGAGGTTTCAATTCAAAATCATTTGTCACACAAGAACCAGAAAGGTAGGCAAAGAGAGAGACAAAGAAAGACAAGCAATAGATGGTAACACTGAGATGACAAAGATGTTAAATTAATCTGACAATAATTTCAAAGTGGTCATGATAAAAATGCTCCAATAAGCAATTTAATAAAACCCTTGGAATAAATTAAAAACAGAAAATAAAAAGACCCAGCAAAGAAATGGAAGATCTAAAGAAAACCAAATGGGAATTTTAGAATGGAAAAAATACAATAACCAAAATAAAAGGCTCAGTTCATAGGCTTATCAATAGAATAGAGGACAGAGGAAAAAATCAGTGAACTGGAAAATAGAAAAATAGAGGTTGCTGACTCTGAACAACGGAGATAAAATAGACTGAAAAAAGAAAGAATACAGCCTCAGAGACTTGTGGGACCATAACAAAGAATCTAACATTCATGTCATCAGAATGCCAGAAGGAGAGGAATAAAAAGGGCTGAAAAAGTACTTGAAGAAATAACAACTGAAAACTTCCCAAATTTGACAGGAGAAATAAGTTTACAGGTTCAAGAGGCTGAGCAAACCTGAAAAGGGAAAACCCAAGGAAATCCATGCTAAGACACATAATAATTAAACTTCTGAAAGCTGAAGACACACAACAATATTGAAAAATGACACCTTACCTATAGTGGGAAAATAGTGTCAGTGGATGTCTCATGAGAAACCATCAAGGCTAGAATGAAATGGCATAATTTTCAAGTGCTGAAAAGAAAGAACTGCCAACCCAGAATCTTATAACCAGTGAAAATATCCTTCAGGAATGAAGGAGAATTCCAGACATTCTCAGATGAAGAAAAACTAAGAGAATTTGTCACCAGTAGACCTACCCTAAAAGAATGACTAAAGGAAGTTCTCTAAACACAAAGCAAAAATAAAAGAAGGAACCTTAGAACATAGGAAGGAATAGAAAACATGATAAGTAAGCATATGGGTAAATACAATAGTCTTTCTTTCTCTCGTAAGTTTTTTGAATTATGTTTGGTAGTTGGAGCAAAAATTACAACATTGTCTAATATGGTTCTAAATTATGTAGCAGGAATATTTGAGATAATTCCATTATAAATAGGGAGGGTAAGGGGACATAAAGCAAGGCAAAGTGTCTTAGTCTGTTTGTGCTGCTATAACAGAATGCCACAGACTAGGCAATTTATAATAAATAGAAATGTATTTGCTTTTAGTTCTGGAAGTCAAGAAGTCAAATATCAAGGTGCCAGCATCTGACGAGGGCCTTCTTGCTGCATCATAACATGGCAGAAAGCATCACATGGTGCAAGGGCAAAGAGAGAGACAAAGAAAGTGAAAAAGGTAGGCAAAGAGAGAGACAAATAAAGTACCACACTTGTGATAATGAACCCACTCCCATGATAATGATATTAGTCCATTCCTGTGACAATGGCATGGATAACACCTCTTTAAAGTCCCATCTCTTAATACTGTTACAGTGGCAATTAGATTTCAACATGAGTTTTGGAGGGGAGAAACATTAAAACCCTAAGAAATTTTGAAAATTAAGTAAAAAAAAAAAAAAGGCAAAACCAGGATTCAAAAAAAACCCCAAAAACTTCACAACCCATAGCATAAGGTTTCTATAATAATAAACCAGTAAAATGATGACACAAGTAGACAGTGATATACTATGTATATATGATATACTATCTATAGCAACCGCTAATAAACTTATACAAAGAGATATGCTCAAAAACATTATAGATTAATCAAAGTGGAATTCTATAAAAGGTTTCTGCAATCTATAGGAAGGATGGAAAAAGTAAGCAAAAGCAAAAGCACAAACAGAAAACAAAAATAAAACAGTAGAGTTGAGTCCAAACACGAAAAATAATTATATTAAATGTAAATGGTTCAAATAAACCAATTAAAGGATAAAGATTGACAGAGTAGATTTAAAAATCTTGACCCAGCTACATTCTGTCTATAAGAAATTCATTTCAAATATTATAATATAGGCAGGCTGAAAATAAAAAGATGGAAAAAATATATCATGCAAATATTAAGCAAAGGAAAGCAGGAGTAACTATGTTAATTTCAGATAAAGTAGACTACAGAACAAAGAAAATTACCAGAGAGTGACATCATATGATGACAAAAGGGTCAATCCATGAATAAGACATAGAAATCTTAAATATATATGTTCCAAAAAACAGAGTTGCAAACTATATGACACAAACATTGATAGAAATGAAAGGAGAAATAGACAAATCCACAATATAGTTGGAGACTTCAACACTCTGTAACAATTGGTAGAACACTATACAGAAAATTAGCAAAAATACTCAGCACTTTGGGAGGCCGAGGTGGGAGGATCACGAAGTCAGGAGATCAAGACCTTCCTGGCTAACGTGGTGAAACCCCGTCTCTACTAAAAATACAAAAAATTAGCCAGGCGTGGTGGCAGGCACCTGTAGTCCCAGCTACTCGGGAGGCTGAGGCAAGAGAATGGTATGAACCTGGGAGGTGGAGCTTGCAGTGAGCCGAGATCACGCCACTGCACTCCAGTCTGGGCAACAGAGCGAGACTCCGTCTCAAAAAAAAAAAAAAAAAAAAAGAAAAAAAGAAAATTAGCAAAAATATAGAAGAACTAAACAATGCTATCAACCAACAAGCTCTAATTGACGTTCATAGAACAATCCACCCAACAACAGCAGAATACACATTCCTTTCAAGTGCCCACAGCACACATAGCAAGCTAGAGCATATTTGAGCCGTAAGACAAACCCCAACAACTTATATGAATTTAAGTCTTACAGAATGTGTTTTCCAACCACAAGGGAACCAAACTAGAAATCCATAACAGAAAGATAACAGGAAACCTTCAAATACTTGGGAAATAGACAACTAAATAAACTAAATAACCTATTGCTCAAAGAGGAAATCTTGAAAATAAAAAATGTGGAACTGAATGAACATTAAAATACATAGCAAAATCTGTGGGACACAGTAAAGCAATACTGAGAAGAAAATTTATAGCATTACATACATCCATAAAAAAGAGGATAACTAAAAAATAATCTAAGTTCCCACCTCAACAACCTAGAAAAAGAAAAACAAAATAAACCCAAAGTAAACAGAAGAGCAAAAATATTAAAGATAGAACAGAAATCAATGGAATTAGAAATATAAAAAATAAAGGAAATTGTTGAAACAAAGAGATGTGGTATTGAAAAGATCAATGAAATTGACAAAACTCTAACAAGATTCACAAAGAGAAAACCAAATTACCAATATTAAGGAAGCTTCACTCCAGATGAGGATATCACTATGGACCCTGTAGACATCAAAAGGAGAATAAGGGGATACCATGAACTATAGTACTTACATGCTAAAATGCAGAGTGATCTATGAAACATGAAGTTAACGAAACTTGGGCATCATTTTGCCCTTATAGAAAGAGCCTACACCTGAGTTGAAAACTTGGTATGCCATTAGCTGCGAGATTTGGGCACATTAATCATGACACTCTACCTCATAGGGTTGTCATGTATGTAAAGTAGATGACGTGCTCTTAATTCCTGGAAGAGGAAAGTGCTATCCCTTTGTTGACTGTGTTCAGCCCACTACCACATATGTTATTTTAGCTAAAGTTCACACAAATGTAGTGTGTTGGTTGTTTTTTGTTTGTTTGTTTGTTTTTTAACTTAGGATATATTTAGTCTACTAAGAGACCCTGGGGGTGTTGAGGGTTAGGATCTTCAGAAACAGCTCTCCACCAATGACATGTGGGGATTAGAAGGATAAGTACCCCAGCTTCCTTGCCCCTTAGTTGGCATACCTGGGGTATGTTCCACACACCCTCCCAGATGGAGTTCCGCAGTGTAAAGAACCTCCACTTGCTCTTTACTGGCTTCCTTCCTTTCACTGTTTCACTTCCCTATTCTCCTACCAGTGTTTCCTAGGAGCAATTTCCAAACAAACTCTTTGCTTGCAAGTCCTTGTCTCACAACTTCTGCAGGCATCCACACCAAGAGCAGTAGGAAATATTACTGTTCCATTTTGCAGATGAAGAAACTGTGGCATTGACAGACTGCTTACTTGATGATGGTTAGTTAGAAAAAGTTAGTAGGAGTTAGTAAGTGGCAGAGCCAGGCTCCTAAGCCCATGCTTTTAACCACCACATTATAATGACATAATACTTCTGAGTACTATGTGCCAGGCACCATGCAAGGTTTTTAATACAATTTATTTTATAGATCATAAAACATGCTCATATAAGTTACATGACTTGTCCTAGGTCATAAGGTACTAAGTGGCAAAGCAAGAATTTAAACTCAGATTTGAGGCCTTCGCCATTCTGCTAGAGATAGATGGCTCCCTAGTGGAAGAAAGCAGGATCCAGGGCTCTTAGTGGAAGGTCCAAGAGGACACAATTTATAGTCCCCCAAAAGGGCTGCATTCCATGTCCCAAGTCTTTGTGTTCCTTTTCTGGCATGTGGTTTGTGAATCTGTGAGTCAGCCTAGATCAGAGTCACCAGGCTATGTGACTCAAGAAATGCTTTCTAGTCCTTCCTTTCCTTTGCTCAGGTACATTTCTAGATGGTTTTATCTCTGAGGATAGACAGAGAAAGGGGTAAATGAGGTAGGGTTGCCAGCGATGACTAGGCATTTTCTCTGTGCTAGGGGCTTTGCTTAAGTTATATCATTTAATCCTCTTAGAAATTTCTTAATAGAAATGCCCTTTTTCTCCTTTTAAAGACCAAGAAATAAAGTTAAGAGAGGCTAAGATATTTGCCCACAGAGTTTACCTAAGTGTTAAGTATTCAAAACCCAAGTCTCTTGGACTCTAAAGCAATCCTTTTTCCACTGAGCCAATAGAGGATCTGATGAGGTAAGGAGAAGGTAGAAAGTTGCCAACAACTTCTAGGGCACTGCTTGTCTAGCACCTGCTGAGAAGTGCCAGGCAATCTCTGATTACAGTGCTTCTAGCATAATATCCCAGCTTTGTGCTCAAATCACAATCAATGCCCATTGTAGAGGCAAATCTGTCATTGGAGGGACAGATCCAGTAAATAAGTCTGTAAACAAAGATCATTACAATCTTACACACATTTCTCTTCACATTGATGAGCATTCTCCAGGTGTTGGGCTCTGTGCTGACCATTACAATATGGGGATTAGAGAACAACAAACTTGTTTCCTACTTAGGAGGATCCTAATACATAGTTTGGAAAAATGGACTACATGCAGATGAGGTTGCTAAATACATGCATGACACTTATATACAAGCTATAGCCTGTGAGGGGACCAGGAAATGACTGGGTTGGTTGGGGTGAATTCTGAGCCCTTTTCTATATACTTTTGACTAATCTGTCATGCCCAATTTGGGATCCCACAACTTGAAAAAATGGGAAAGGAGACAGAATAAATATATGATATGAATTGCTCCAAGACACTCAAATTGCAAGAAATGTCACATTTATATTTTACATAAAAATAAAGCTGGTACATCCACCCACTTTTGTAGGTATTAGGAATTCCAGGATCAGTCACTGGGGTCTGCATCCCCCCTTATGTAAGGAACCTTGGATGTGCTGGGCACCAGGCCTCTGTTCTCATCTACCTGTCACTACTGTCCATTTGAAAGAAGGTGGGTCCCTTAGCATCTTCTTCCCTCTGTGCCAGGCTTGGTCTTGGAGGCTGTCATTCAGGGTCCTAGAGTCACGGGGGCAGGCATCCTGATTCTGCCACCTTGGAGTCCCTGTGTACGTGGGCTCAGTCCTCAGCTACTCCTGGAATGCTGTTTGCCCAGACCTTCCAAGACTTGGGGGACCATCTCTCCAAGGCTAAGGACAGCTCTCTAATCTTAACCTCAAGCTCATATCCCCTATCCATCAGCCAGCTTCCCTCCCTGGGCCTTTATCTTTGGAACCAAAGGCCTAACTATGGGATATCTCCCAGGCATTCTCTGAGCCCCCCTACACAAAACAAAACACAAAGGAGTTGTTTACCATCCTCCCCAACACACACACACGCACACACACACACACACACAGACCCCGTAAGCAACCAAGGCTAACACCTTTGGAAACTGAAAGGCTACCCGTCCTCCCTTTGGAAATTGAAAGGCTACTCTTTCTACCCTTTTGCAAACCAGTGTATGCTGGTGGTGAAGAGCACAGACTGCTTCAATTCATGTCTCAGCTCTGCCATTCATTAGCTGACTAACCTTAAGCAAATTGTTTGGCCTCTCTGTTTTCTGATGCATAAACTGGGGAATAGCTATATCACAGGATATTGAGTTAAGGCTGGTTAAGCATTTAGCGCGGTGTTTAACAAGCACCCATAGAGCAGAAGCACTAGGAGGACTCATTATGCCTCATCCCAGTTCCGCTCTGAATGTGGCAAAGCTCTCTCCTGAAGTTCAGGCAAAATGGAGGAAGGGTTTCTGAGCATTATGGAGGCATCTCAAGAAAAACCCATCTTTTGTGGGCTGACTTGTGTTCCCCACACCATTCATATGTTGAAGCCCTAACCCTCAGTCCTTGAGAATGTCACTGTATTTGAAGATCGGACCTTTAGAGAGGTGATGAAATTAAAATCAGGCTGTTAGGGTGGGTCTAACTCTATCTAATTGGTGTCCTTATAAGAAGGAGAGATTAGGACACAAAGAGACAGCAGGGGTACACGTGCACAGAAGGATGACGACCCTGTGGAGAGGCAGCAAGAGGGTGGCCATCTGGAAACCAAGAAGAGAGGCCTGGAACAGGTTTTTCTCACAGCCCTCTGAGGAAACCAACCCTGCCAACACTTTGATCTTGGACTTTCAGCCTCCTGAAATGTGAGAAAATAAATGTCTGTTGTTTAAGCCACCCAGTGTATGGTATTTTGTCATGGCAGCCCTAGCAAACCAACCATCCCAGAGATAAGGTACCATTAATGCTTCCCAAGTGCATCATTGCCCATCCTTGACCCTCACTTGGGAGGAGGGTTCCCACTGGCTTCAGTAATTGAGAATTTGTGACGCACAGCATAAGCCACCCTTCTGTTTTTAATCATTAGCATCTCACGGCACCAACAAGCTGGAAATGTTAGCACCAAAACATCAGACTTGGGATCAGAAACTCCTAGAAAGTACTCACATGAAGGATATAGTGCTATCTTCTGCAGGAGGCAAAAATGATACTTACGGAAATTGAATCAAAGGTTTGCATATTGATGAGGTGTGGACAACATGCAGATAACTCTTCCCCATCGCCACAATTTGTTTTGTTTTTCCATCACTTAAGCACTATAAGCCCAGTGTCTATGGCTTTTCAAGGGCCTACAAAATGTTTCAGAATGACAAATTAAATGGATTTCAAAATAAGAAAACAAAATGGTCAAAATGAAATAAAAAATAATTTCAAAAACAAAGTTATAAAACGCTTTTCAAAATGTTTTCAACATTTATAGTTAAAATCAGATGCTGGAGCATGTTAATACAATTGACATCATGTGGGTGGTGGTTGTAAAAGTTAGATGGCTTAGGACCTGAGAAGAACTTCAGCTGGTGCTGCTCTCTATTCATCCTCCAGAAACTCACACCAGTGAGTTTAGCAAGGAACAGTGACATGGGGCAGAGTCAGTGCTGCAGAATGGGGGTGGGGGAGAAATGGGGGCTCCCAGTGAAAGCAAATATGCCACAGAGGGAGGGGATTGAGTCCAGCTTAAACCTGGGTGCAAATCTAAATTCTGCTCCTGTGTGACCCTGGGCAACTTGCTTAATCTCTCTGAATTTTGTCACTGGCACAAAAGGGGATAAGAATGCCTACTTCATAGCATTTTCCTGAGGATTAAAGAGAGGAAGAATGTAAGGTGAAGGAGAGGGAGCTCTGTGCCTGGGAAATAGTAAGTGTTCAACAAATACTAGCTATTGTAATCATGGCATTAGGCAGACTCTCACAGGGGAGGGAGAGGAAGGGCTTTTGCTCACTGAGGCTTCTTTTGGAACTTGAGCCACATAGAAAATGTTGAGTGAGTAGATGTTGACTGGATGAGGTCTCCTTCAGGACAGAAAAAACTGTTGAGAAAAACAGCAGTGCAGAGGTTACGGGTACTGCTGGAACAGAATTCCCAAGTTAGGACTGGGAGGCCAGGAGGTGGGGCTGGGACTGGGGGACGCCAAGGACAAAGGATGGTTGGACTCTGGAGAACACCCTGCACCGAAATTACTGTGCACAGCCCAGAGGTGGACTGATGGGTTGCCCATCCTTGTGGGCTCATGCACCTCTCCTGCAGCTCCAGGGCAGGGGGAGCAGAAATTCCCAGGGGGCATCCTAGGAATGCAGGCTGCTTTAGAGTGATAGTTACAGTTTGCAGGTGACTGGGGACAGAGTATCTACTCTGCCAGGAACGGGCAGATACGGGGCAAAATCCCTGAGAGCTGCAGTCTTCTGACACATGCCAGTGTCCAAACCTATGTCCAGGACAAAATGAACACGGCTGTTTCTCTTTTTTAATTTTTAATTTTTGTGGGTACACAGTAGGTGTATATATTTATGGGGTGCATGAGATATTTTGATACAGGCTTGCAATGTGTAATAATCACATCAGGGTAAATGGGGTATCCATCACATCAAGCATTTATTATTTCTTTGTGTTACATACATTCCAATTACACTCTTTTACTTATTTAAAAATGTACAATAAGTTTTTGTTGACTGTAATCACCCTGTTATGCTATCAAATGCTAAATCTTATTCATTCTATGCCACTGTATTTTTGTACCCATTAACCATCTGCCCCTTCCACACCTCCCTACCCCCACCCCACTACCCTTCCCAGCCTCTGGTAACCATCATTCCACTCTCTATCTCCATGAGTTCAATTGTTTTAATGTTTAGCTCCCACAAATGAGTGAGAAAATGCAAAGTTTGTCTTTCCATGCCTGGCTTATTTCACTTAACAAACATAATGTCCTCCAGTTTCTTCCATGTTGCAGATGACAAGATCTTATTCTTTTTATGGCTGAATTGTGTGTATGTACCACATTTTCTTTATCATTCGTCTGTTGTGGACACTTAGGTTGCTTCCAAATCTTGGCTATTGTGCAATAAATATGGGAGTGCAGTGTCTCTTGATAAGCTTGTGGCAAGGGAAGCATCTGCAGGTCCCTTTGGTTTCAGCAGGGGTTGAAAAGTGTTAGAAAGGACAACGTGTTTCATGGAGTAGAAAGAGAAATATAGAGACGGTCTCTGATCAGCAATCATTCTATTAGGGTGGGAATTTTGGAAGCAGGGAGACTTTCTGATCGGTCTTCGAGGATGCTGGGCAGACCTTTGGCAAGTGGGCAAGCGAGCAGTATGGGACATTTCATGTTAGGGGTGGACATTTTTCTGTAGCTGGCCATTTCCTGAAATAAGTAGGGGTTGACAGAGTGCTTTTTCTTTTTCTGTCAAACTGTCATTATGGGGTGCAGGGTGGAGGGGCTGTCACAGCGTCAGTTTGTCAGCAGAGATCTAGACCAGAAGGTCCCCTGGCCAGGGAGCTGGAAGACTAGTGTTCTAGGCTCGGCTAGTCATCAACTGGATAGGTCCCTGGACCTGTTTATTGTCTGTACATTGAAGGTGCAGGACCACCCAAGAATGTCCAAATGCTGACCCTTGGGCCAAATCCAACCTGCAATTGTGTTTTCTTTGGGCTACAAATTATTATTAACATTTTTATTTGCATATCTTTAGGAAGGGTGCGCACTCTCCGACCTACAGTCCCTCTGCTCAATACCAGCCCAGTTCCCGCCTTTAGGGAACCTGCTCTGTCCCTGTAGCCATCTGGGTCTGCAGCCTGGGAACTAGATGACATTAGTGCCTTCCTGGCACTGGCCTTCTGTGGTCCCGCCATTCTCAATGGCACTGTCTCACTTTCCATGCCTTCCTCAGTCACTGCACACTGCCCTACACAAATATTTGACAGGCCAGCCTCTTGAGTCAATTATTCCTTTCAGAAAACTGGAGAGAGAAATGATATAATTAACCACCTGAGAGAAAATGAACAGAGCGAGAAGCTATAAATACCAAGACCCACAATGAAGGGCGGAACCCCGGGGCCCCACTTGACCTTACCCAGCTGAGATGGTCTGACACCTTCCTGGGTGTAGGAGACCCGTGGGGCCAAGCTTGGCTGGGACTTACAGCCATGGCTTTCACACAGCAGGGTGAGAAGCAGCCCCCGAGACCCCAGGCTGAGCAGGCCAGGAAGCAACACCCCACACCCCTCTCCCCCATGTAGCCAGGATCAGAATCAACACCCTTGAAGGGTAAATCCTTTCCTCATGCACTTGTGCCCAGGAAGCAGATGTTCTGTCCCTACTCTGGGGTCTGGGCACTGTTGTGTAGTTGGATCCTTCCACCCTATCCTCAAACCACAGACCAGATAAATCGAATTGAACCGACTTCAAAGCAAACACTGAGCGGAGCCATCTGGGATTCATTCCTGAACCGGCCCTTTTCTAGTTATGTAACCACAGAGATGCAGACAGAAAGACACAGATTGGGAGAACTGGTTTTTGTTGTTGTTGTTGTTGTTAAACCTCCAAATCTTTGCAGTATTGGGATAATTATGGCTTTCATAGCATTGATTACTTTAAGCTGTCAGTAATTTGAATCCTTTTCAGAGTCAGTGACCAACATTTTGCAATTGAATTCTATCTTCCTGCTTCCATTCTGAGTAAAGGAAATAGAATGCTGAGCTCATAGGGCCTTCTTCAGAATGCCACATGCTGGGCACTTTGTGGTCACACCTAGAATGCTACAATGGACACATCTCCTAGGCATCCTCCTGGGTTCATTACACACTTCCTTCCCACGCCATAGTCTCATTCTGGAATGTTCATTAATCTCCTACCTGAAAGAGCAAGAAGAAATATGAAATTTTAGATAGGCCAGGGCTTTTGATGTGAATCATTCATGAATCACCCAAAACATTGTGGTTCATGGATAAAAGGCAAAGGCAAATACTGGATACTTTAAGAAGCTATACTGCCTACATCTATGCAATTTTTAAACATTTTATTTTCTGATTTAAAAGTAATACCTCTCCAATGTGAAAATTCTAAAAATTCTGAGGACTATGGAGAAGAAAATAATTGTTCCAAATCGTTGCTGGGGAGGATTATTCAAACAATAATTGATGCTAATATTTTAGCACATTTTTCCCCAGTTTTCGATTCATGCATATTTACATTTCTAGAACTAAGGCTATATTGCGTTTATAATTGTGTCCTATATTTTTACTGAAACATTTTCCACATAGTAAAAAACTTTATAACCTTAGTTTTCAGTAGCTACATAATTTCAAATAAAATAAATGTACCTTTTTTTTTTTTTTTTTTTTTTTTAGACAGCGTCTTACTCTGTCACCAGGCTGGAGTGCAGTGGCGTGATCTCAGCTCACTGCAACCTCCACCTCACGGTTGAAGTGATTCTTCTGCCTCAGCCTCCTGAGTAGCTGGGACTACAGGCATGCACCACCACGCCTGGCTAATTTTTGTATTTTTGGAACAGACGGGATTTCACCATGTTGGCCATGATGGTTTCGATCCCTTGACCTCATGATCCAACTGCCTTGGCCTCCCAAAGTGCTGGGATTACAGGCATGAGCCACCGTGCTCGGCCCATAACTTTTTTTAAAAACAAATCCCTTATTGTTGGACCAAAGGTTGTGTCTAATGTTTGGCTACTGTAAATGCTGTAGTGAATATCTTTAGCTATAAATTTCTATCTGCATTTCTCATTACTTTCATCAGATCTATTCCTAGAAGTATAATCAACTCTGCATCAAAGATCAAAATTTTTGAATGTTCTTAATACATTTCAGAAGGATTGAACCACCTTTTCACCATTAAGTATCAATGTTTTCTAAAACCTTACTATTTTGATAAATAAAAAATAGAATTTTATATTTGTATTAATTTGCTTTTCTTTAGATACCAGTTAAAATAATTATTTTTCCACATCTTTATTAACAATTTTTAATTTAGCCTATGAACTGAGGTTAAGGCTGATTATGCAAGTTCATGTGCAAAGATGTTCTCATCTCAGGGCAGACCATCTGATGACAAGAGTGGTAAAGGGCCAAGAAGAAGCTTAGCTGAGCTAGGACATCCAGAGGAGGAATAAGTGTGGGGTGATCCCCATTCCTGGTTATATTGGTTATCTTGCTGCATAACAAACTACCATTAAAACTGAATGGTTTCAAATAACAAACATTTATTATCTCACAGTTTCTGTAGGTCAGAAATTCAGGAGCAGTTTAGCTAGTGCTTCTGTCTTGGGGTCTCTTGGAAGGTTTCAGTGAAGATATTGGCTGGGGCTGCAGTCATCTGAAGGCTTGGCTGAGGCTTGGAGGAGCCACTTCTTAGATGACGAACTCACATGGCTGTTGGCAGGAGGCCTCAGTTCCTTACCATCTGGGCCTCTCCACAGAGCAGCTCACAATATGGCTGATGGCTTCTCCCAGAATGAGTGATTAGAGAGATAGATTGCTCTACTTATAGGTTAATAGGTTAATATATCTGTACCTTTTATAATTAAATCTTGAAAGTGACATACCAACACTTCTGCCATATTCTATTGGCCGTACAGAATCAATCTATTATAACATGGAAGGGAAGCATACAACAGTTGTGAAGACCAGCAGGTGAACACCACCAGAGGCCATCTTGAAAGCTGGCTCCCACACTGGCTATGAGTTTTCACTACTTTTTTTTTGAGGAGAAGAGGGAATTATGAGCAGATAGCAGAAACTCTATCACTGCTTACAATATGCTCAAGTTAACCATACATAACACCATTCTCATCATGAGGCTAAAGTCAGCCATTTCTTTTTGTCTCCATAAAACCTGCAATTAAAAGACCATAGCAAAAGATTTTCAGATAGAAATCTGGACTGGGTGTCCAACGCAGTTCAGATCCTGGTGTCTGGTTGGGACTGGTGGTGGTGGCAATAAATTCAAGCAGGCACTACCATGCAGAAGCTGCCTGAGCCCATCAATCCCATGTTCAGGTGCTTCAAGCTCTGTGGTATGAAAGGTCTGGTGGCAAATGTGGAGGGTGTACAGGGAGAAGAAAACTGCTGGACCATGGCTCAGGGGCCCCACAGGTGGGACAGAAACCTTAGGAGAGGTTTGCTTTTTTTTTTAAATAAAAGTGGGTGAGTAAATACAAGAAACCTCAATCCTGGAAGAGGGGCTTGAGGCTAGGAGAGGACAGGAAATAGGGTGTCACAGGTAAGAAATATGTTCTTACTAGAACCTTTGAATCTAAAAATATATGTGTCAGTGGGCATGATCATTAATATGTATGACTATTACCAAAATATGTTGTTGGCACCCATGCTAATTTTAGATGCTGCAGAATTAACCAAATGAGCTCTTCTCTTTTCTCTCCACATCCTCTCCCTTGACATTTTAATCAATCTTGTGACTTCATCTATATTTTTCGTGTGGTTGAATCCTAAATTTGTATTTCCAACCTTGCCATTTTTTCGCTACCACATTTCCAACTTCCTGCATGACATCGCAGCCTGGTTGACTCGTCAGCACTTCAAACTTAGTATGTACAGAACAGAAAGTATCTTCCCTCTGAAAACCGCTCCTTCTCCCATACTCCTTATTTTGATAAAGGCACCATCAGGCATCTAATTTTGAGACTCAAGATGGAGAAAGTAAATCTATTACGTAGATAAAGGGTTTCCTATCACGAGTAATTTAAAAAATTCATGTCTGAGTAGAAGTGGGCAGCCAGCAACAAGCAAGCTGAATAAATGTGTTCATTCAACAAATATTTATTAAGCACCTATTATGTTCCAGAAGGCACAGTTTTAGGCATTGGAGCTTACTGATAAATAAATCAGGCAAGAGTCTCTGGCTTCATGGAGCTTCATTCTAGAGGTGCTAGACCTCTGAGTTTGGCCTAGGAGTAGCAAATTGTACCCTCTTACCAGACCATCAGGTCAAATCAAAAGAGACAGATTGCTCTGCTCTGTCCTACTATGAGCTAAAGGGTGTTCTGCTATTAGCACTGGGTTCTGGAGTATCAGGCAAAAAGTGACATCATAGAGGATGGCAAGAAGTGACAAGAGCCCAAAGAATGTGACTAAGCAAGTGTGGCAGGCTGCATAATGACCCCTGAAAGATGTTCTTGTCCTAATCCCAGAGTTTGTGATTATGTACTCAAACGGGGCTTTGTAGCTGTGATTAAGGATCTTGAGATGATGAGGTGAATTCAATGTAAGCACAAGGCAGAGGAAGGCAAGATTAAACAAAGAAAGATGAGATGGGATGATGAAAGAAGAGGTTGTGGTTATGCACTTTGAAGATGGAGGAAAGGGCCATGAGCCAAGGAATGCTGACAGCTTCTAGAAGCTGAAAAATTCCAGATTCTTCTCTGGAGAATATAGGCCTGCCAACCAAAACCTTGATTTTATTTATTTATTTATTTTTCTTCTTTTTCTTTTATTTTCAGTTGACATGTAATAATTGTGCATATTTACTGAATACAGAGGGATATTTCTATCCATGTATATATACCATGTGTAATGATCAAATCAGAGTAATCAACATGTCTCCTAGCAATAAACACATCTCCTGGTAATAAACGCTTACCATTTCTTTGAAACACCTGCATTTTAGATTCATTTCAGACTTCTGTCCTCCAGAACTATAAAATAAATTTGTGTTGTTTAAGCCACTAAGTTCGTGGTAATTTGTTACAGAAGCAATAGGGTACTACTAGTACAGCAAGCCAGCAGGTTGGCTTGCTACGATTCCATAGGTATCCAAAGTAGATAGTGAGACTCAAGTCAGTTTATTATCCACAACACAGCAAACTGGAGGAACATCAGTAATAGAGGTGATTCCCTATCCCCAAGTTCCACAGGAGACATGATAGGCACAGAGGGCAACCATGCACACAGTGGATTATGCCACAGCTAAGGAATCCAGGGCCAAGAACTCAGCACCTTTTACATCATGCAGTGAACAACTCAATTGCCCTCCACCGGGGAGTGAGTGTTCAGCACAGCAGTCTTGCTATGGTCACCTTGACCTGCTTAATGGTCCACATGACTAATTGCAATAAAGGCTCAGGGTGAGAAGGCTGCTAGGTCTTGCAGTTTGGCACTCTCAGCAGGGGCGTGCAGGGATGCTTGGGGCTCATATGGGGCTGCTTCTTCCCACAGGCAGCTCTCCCAACCTCAGCCTAGCCCTACCAGGCTCTAGAAACTGCCTTGATTCACCTAGGAGAGGTTCATTTTCAGACCCCAGCAAATGCTTCTTTGTCTTCCAAGCAGTTCATTTTGGCTGCCAGAACCTGAAAAGTTCTTGCCCAAGGTTGAGAATTAGACAGAGATGTTCCCACATGGGGCTGTACAAATGCCCACACAGTCTACTGTGGGCCAAGCAAGGTCAGCACGCAGTTGTAAATGCTACCCTGACAAAGCCAGCAAGTTACTGGAGCTGAGCCTCAATAGAATCTTTGTACAGTACAGCTGGTCGCTTAACTCTAGGTGCCCATGGGAGACCTGGAGGACAGATTAACCAGGCCAGCAGCCTCAGGGGAGGGACTGAGGCTCAGCCTCTTTGTCATAACCAATCAGGTGTGAGGGAGGAAGATAGCATTAAGAAATAGCCTCCCGGATATTTCTTTTAGTACAGAATTTGAATTTACTCCTAAGAGGAAGCTACTGGGGCCTGAGCAGTGATTGCCATTGATTCCAGGGCTCTGGGAGCTAAGATTCTAGGCAATAAAGGACTTAAGTGTGTGCATGTGTGTATAAACCCTTGGCATGGAAAAAATATGAAAAAAGAAGATCCAGAGGCATTTCTTATTTTACTCTAAGACAGTCCATTTGAAGATGACCCTTATTCCAGAATACTATCCAAGCCAGGACAACAGTTTCTCCGCAGTGTTTGAGAACAGGCTCCCTTCCTGCCAAGGCATGATTTTTCTGGTGGTTGGTGGTATGATTTAGGGATAACTTGGTGGTACAATGGAGATTACAAATCCCTTCACTAGACATTAAAGAACTACATCTATATTGTATTCACATATCAATGATATTCAAACAAAGCAACAGGAAACAAGATATATTCTAGTCTAAACTCAAAGATAAGAACATCTTTTGGTTTCAAAAACATATGTAGTAAAGCCCTATTAGGTAATATATTTATTTAACTAAATTTTAGAATTTAGTGTAAACTACTCCCATGGAAGATTTGCAATCAGATGTTTCAGCCAGTAACTAAAATGTGCATTCCCCAAAGGTTCAAGAGGTAGGCGACAGACACTCACAATGAGACACTGAGTACCGAGGCAGGGAAGTCAGCCGTGTAGGCAGGGACTCCTTTTCTGCTGCCTCCTAACACCCAGAACAGTGCCAGGTATACAGTAAAGACTCAGTAAATGTTTGTTGAATGGATTAATGAGCAAAAGACATCCTCTTCTTTGAAGGCTGGCCTAGACACTGTTCTAGCACATGAATGTAAAAATCTCACTAAGAAAAATAGCAAATTGAAAAATAATATTTATCATATGATACATGTTTTGCTTAATGAAAAAAATCTCACCTGGCACAGTGGATCATGCCTGTAATCCCAGGACTTCGGGACGCTAAGGTGGGTGGATCTCTTGAGGCCAGGAGTTTGAGATCAGCCTGGGCAACATGACGAAACCCCATCTCCACAAAAAGTTTAAACAATAGCCAGGCACGGTGGCACACACCTGTGGTCCTAGCTACTCGGGAGGCTGAGGTGGGAGGATCACTTGAGCCCACAGAATTTGAGGCTTCAGTGAGCTGTGATCTCACCACTGGACTCAAGCATGGGCTGCAGAGTAAGACCCTGTTTCCAAAACAACAACAACAACAAAAAAAAAAAACCCCAACTCTGTACATTTAGAAGTGCACAGAAAAAAGTGCTACTGAAAGGTTATACTTTGCACTGTTAACCACGGCTACCTCTGAAGACTGGCACTGACTTAGGTAAGAGTCCTACCACATTTTGCATAATTTATGCATTTCTGCATTGTTTAACCTGGTAAAATAAGTTTGTATTACTTTCATTGGTTAGAAAATCAAGATTTTTTTTCAGACCTCACTTAAATAATACTCTCTAATATGTGATTTGATGGAAAAGAATGTTAACTTTTTATTAAAAGAGAAATCAAAGTTTAGAACAGTTCATCATTTCTGAAGGTCAAGATAATCTCCTAACTTCTGATCAAATGGATCTCTATCCACCAGGCCAGTGGTAAGTTATTTTCTAAAATGCTATTTTAAAAAGCTAGTAGAATGTTAAGAACTTCATTAGGTTCAATATTTATTTATTCAATCAATATTTATTGAGTGCTATGCTTACCTTATGGGCTTTTCTGTAAAACAGGGATTGTAGTACAAAGTGTAATATGGTGGAAAGAAGTCGGGGTTCTATGTGGATTTTTTTAAAGTCAATTCCTGTCAGAATTGGAATCTCAGACTGTGGCATTTCCTTGTCAAGGCTGATTGTTACAGCTTATTGTTCATCTCAGTACTTTATTTCCATTCCATCTCATGGGTAGAATGTCCATGTAACAGGATGTGGTCATATGATGTTTCTCCTGTAAACTTATCATAACTGCAACTGTAGATACACAACAATCCATACACTCAATGAAAATAAACTTTCCAATGAGGGCTCAAACTAACCACCTTCGAGAATTGCTCTTTCTGATTGTATTTTAAGGCCATTAAAATATTTGTTTAGTGATTTATTCTTCCTGTAGACAGATGTAGGTATCGGTCTATTTTTCACATTACAGTGGAGTTTTCTTTTTAAATATTCTCCTTGGCCTTGCGGTGAAATGCGCAATATGATACTTCCTCATAGTGACACACGTAAAAGCGCTATTCATCAAACAGTATTTTCAAGCATACTTCTCGTTATTCTTTCAAGTACATAAACATAGAAAAACCCTTTACTCTCTTCATAATAGAAAAAGAACCGAAGATGTGGTACAATTCCTGACATGCATGTACTTGGATCTTAAGAACAGAGCTACCATATTTCCCATAAAGTTCTCTCTTGGTCTCTCTCCTTCTCTTCCCACACCAACTGCATAACTGTATTTGGCCCACAGCTAAATCAAGGTAAATGAGACATGACCTATTAAAAAGGAAATGAATAATTCCAGTGAGGGGAAAATTGCATTCCTGACCAGAAGCATGGAAGTCATGGCTTGGATGTATAGGTTTACTCTACCACTTTGCTAGATGATTTTGCTTTTTGGGTGGCATGTCTTCCATCATCAAAATTACCTTATGTAGTCAGCAAAATAAGTCAAATCATGTTGTGGTGCTATCTACTTTAATTTTTTTCAAGGTTCTTTCTAATGGATTCTTTTAAATTAATGGATGCGTATATAGCACTCCTTTTGGAATATTTCTAATTAAATTCTCTAGAACTCGATTTAAATCAGGACTTAAATGATCTGCATGAACAGGCACATGGGTCAGGGCTTTGTGCATAAAACTATCAGTAGAATTCCT
Organism: Homo sapiens; assembly: GCF_000001405.40. Lineage (NCBI taxonomy): Eukaryota > Metazoa > Chordata > Mammalia > Primates > Hominidae > Homo > Homo sapiens. The sequence goes on along the minus strand of NC_000005.10, from coordinate 73,314,209 downwards.
CATGTCTTCTGAATGCCAGTGGAGCCAGCCTTGTCCCAACTGTGTGGATGTGGAGGAGGAGGTGGGGTTTGAGAAAGAGCTTATTAAGAGCCTGGCATTTATAGAATTAGTAAAATGCCAGAGATTATGTCTGAAAATAGAGTTTGCAAATTGGAAGTGTCACGTGAGCATTCAATGTTAATAATTATCTTCATTATAATCAAGATTAAGGTGGCTTATCTGGACTTCTTGTTCACATAAAGATGTTTGCTTTAGAAATATGCCTGCTAATTACTAAGCTCTGAATTATAGGTCTGAGATACATTTGAATTTACTCTCTCTACTTTTTTAATGATTAAAAACAACATAACAGCTTTTCAGGCAATTCATATCACCCCTAAACTGGAAACAACTCTAATGTCCAGCCAGAGAAGAGTGGATGAGCAAATTACGGTACATTCATATAATGGAATACTACTCGGCAATAGAAAAGAACTAACTACTGATACACATAGCAACACAAGTGAATCTCAAAAACATGCTGATTTATTAAAAAAAAACAGATACAAAAGAGTACATACTGCATGATTCCATTTATATGAGATCCTAGAGTAGGCAAAACCAACCTATAATGACAGAGGGCAGATTGGGGTTGCTTGGGGCCAGGGTGGGGAATTGCCAGCAAAGGGGCACAAGGGAATTTCTGATTGATGAGAATGTTCTATATCATGATTGTGGAAGTGGTCCTGAGGGTGCACACATTTATCAAAATTCACCCAGCTGCACACTTAAAATGGGCATATTTTATTGTGTGTAAATTTCTCTCAATAACGTTGATTTTAAAACAAGAGCTAAAAACAGCAACAACTAAAACATGACCATGGAGTATGTATTTGAGTCTTGGCAAGTGTCAGATTTAAAAAAATATGCACCAAATGGTTTAGTCATGGTTACTCCAAGGGAATAGAATTTGTAGGGGAGGGATGAGAGGAACGTGTTTTGTTTTGTTTTGTTTTGTTTACTGTATGCCTTTCTCATAAATAAGTATTGCCTTTGTAAGAAGAAGAAGAAAGAAGAAGAAGGAGGAGGAAGAAGGAAAGGAGGAGGAGGAAGACGAGGAGGAAGAAAAAGGAGGAGGAAGAGGAGGAAGGAGGAAGAGGAGGAGGAGGAAGAAGAGGAGGAGGAGGAAGAAGAGGAGGAGAGGGAAGAAGAAGAGGAGGAGGAGAGGGAAGAATAAGAGGAGGAGGAGAAGGAAGAAGGAGGAGGAGGAGGAAGGAGAAGAAGAGGAGGAGAAGGAGGAAGAAGGAGGAGGAGGAGAAGAAGAGGAGAAGGAGGGGGAGGAGGAGGAGGCAGGAGGCAGAGGAGGAGGGGGAGGAGGAGGCAGAGGAGGAGGAGGCAGCGGCAGCATAGTCCCAGATAAGATAATGATACACTGAGAGAAGTTGAAAGAAGTCTCCCTGGTTCTTAGTGTGCTCACACTTATGGTATGGGTTTAGCTGCGTGTGGTTATGTGGTTAAATTAACATCATGCTTCGGGCTTGGAAGGGGCAAGCTTCTAGAAGACTCCCCCGTGTGGAGGCTGTGGTCTCCTAATCTGAGCTGGGCTGTGTTTGCGGAGGCACAGCTTCCCCAAGTGGAAAGTAACAGGCAGCCAACAATTTAGCCCTGAGAATGGCTGGGGGAAGGCTGTGGCAGCGCCATGTAACCCTCCAGGAAGTGACAATCTTAGGATAAGGGCTGGTGGGTCCCTAAGGAGCTTCACTGACCGACCACCCCTTCTCTTCTGTGGATTTTAGCGTTTCCTTTTAAAAAGCTGTCTCATCTCAGCTGGGTTAAGGGGAACCCAGAACTTTTTTTGGTTGTCTCATTTGTTTTGGCATTGAATTTCAGAGAATAGGAGATTGTCTTTGGTGGCCAGCCTTCGTGGTGACTGAAGGCATAAAAATGAGGAGCAAGGAGCCAAGGCTGCTTTCACAGACCCCCACCCCCATCCCACTCCCAAGCAGTTCTTGTTCCCAAGATTTTCTGTGAAAAACGGGGCGCGGGGGTGGAGGTTAGGGTAGGGACGCTTGGTTAAAATTACATGTGCCCAATATAAAACAGTAATTTAAAGATTAGCTTGTAGGGCAGCATGCCTTCCCACATGGCAAGAAGCAAGTCTGGCGGGCCTCTGTCTGTCGGGTGATTTGGAGAAGCCCCGGCCGCGCGCCTCTGCCGGGTAAAGGCCTGGGACTGACTGACCCGTCTGTGTTCAGCCACTTCGGAAACAGAAACTTCCCAGGTGGCATGGGAAAGAAAACACCAACCTAATCCTGAAAGGGTAACTTTAAACCAAAGCCCAACCAAGAAAGAGAGTGGGAGAGAGACTGCCAACCAAGACAGGCCAGAAATAAAAGTTCCATTGTCCTTGTGGGACGGCTCACAGCCGCACCTCCTGTCCGCCTGGCCTGCGCTGCACCCCGACACCCGCGAGACCGCGTTCCAGTGGCAGGCGGCCTTCGTCCTGCGTGCTGCAGCGAGGGCTCACGCTGCAAGGAGATGACACTGCACATCATGAAACAGGAATGCAGCTAACAGCAAACCCGCCAGAAAACATGAATGATGTGTCTGGGAGTGCTGGGTCCATGGGCGGAGGGCGGGGTAAGAAAAGGAGGGGAGCGGGGGAAGGGGAATCATCCCAGCTCAGCTGCAGCTGAGGACAGAGACCCTGCCTTCAGGAGTGAGACAGGTCCTAGGAGATTTTAGTGGCTGCAGGCCAAACGGAGCCACTCAGAAGGATCTCCTCCAGCCAAAGTGCAGGCAGCCGCTCACCCTGGGGGCTGAGGCTGTCTAGGGCAGCCATTTGCTTAATAAAGATCCCTTGAGGTTGGCGGGGTGACTCATGCCTGTAATCCCAGCACTTTCGGAGGCCAGGGCTGCAGGAGGATGGCTTGAGGCCAGGAGTTTGAGACCAGCCTGGGCCACTCAGCTAATTTTCTTAGTTTTTGTAGAGAGAGGGTCAGGCTACAAAAAATAAGAAAATTAGTTGAGTGTGATGGCGGTGCCCGCCTGTAGTCCTAGCTACTGGGGAGGCTGAGGCAGGAGGATTGCTTGAGTCAGGAGGTTGAGGTTACAGTGAGCTATGATTGTGCCACTGTACCCTATCCTGGGCGATACAGCAAGACTCTGTCTCAGTTTAAAAAATGTCTTGAAAGGATAAAAATCCCCAAATTAAAGGTTTTAAAAATAAAAGAGTGGCTAGACCATTAACAGACTGACAAAGTAGAAAGAGCCTGGGATGCAAGGCAGGAGCCATGGATTTTAGTCTCTGACTCTGGATAAGTCACCTGTCAGCTTTGGTTTTGACACCAGTTACAGTGAATGGGTTGAGCCCAGCATCTGCCATCCCTTCTGGATCTGGCCTTCCGAGATTCTGTGAGCACAGGCCTCCTGGGTCCAGAGAAGGGGGTTTCCTCACAGACCCTTCCTTCCCTCTGGTTATCTCATTCTCCCCACTGCTTTTCAGAGATCTCTGAGGTTTCGGCCAGCTGGGAAATCACCCTGTTCTTTGACTGAAACCCACTCAAACCCAAAGCCATAACCTAACCCCTCAAACTGGACGAATATAGAGGTGTGGAGCTTGGTGAGCTTGAGGATTCTCAATGCTGGGGAGGGAAGGTGCTGCCACCATGGTGACAAGGGGTCTGGGCATGCTGAAGACAGCTTAGAAGACTTTGCAGTATCACACCTGGGTCCTCCTTCCTCACCTTCCACCAAAAGAGAAAAAATAGAAGCTTTTCCCAAAACTTAAGAACATTCTAAAAACTGGCCCTTCTTTACAGATGGGCTGCATCCCCAGAGGACTGTTTAATCCAGGTGTGATTATGTATGTGTTAGCAGTTAGTATTGGCTAGCAGGCAAGCCAGGGATTTGGCCTCAGATTTGGCTGTAACTAGCTCTGTAGCCTTGGTAGAACCATGGCTCCTCTCAATGTCTTAGTTTCCACATCTGTAAAGCAAAAGGCTGGATGAGATGCTCTCTGACAGACTTTGAAGACATTCTCTGATAAGTGTGAGCTATCCTTCGTGCACCCTGTTCTGCCAATCTCTCCTGTTTTTCCATCTTTTGTCAAGCTGTAGAGGCAGGGTTGGTGAGAAGTGATGGTGAGCTGATGCCTCTAGTAGAACCGCCTAGAAGCACAGCAGTGCTGGGGGATCTCGGACGCTGGCAGTCCTTCGCTCTGATGCATGCCCTTTTCCAGCAGCACAGACAGGCAAATCAGATGGGAGGGCTGGCTTCATGGAAGTGTGATCTTGGAAGGGCCCCATACTTGGTTTAATGTTCCACTGTTGCTGTCTTGAAATTTTAAAAAACCTTTTTAACAAGGGGCCCTGCATTTGCATTTTGCACTGGGCCCTGCAAATTATATAGTCAGTCCCAGCAGGGGGCCTTGCCAGCTACTTGGATCAGGAGCTAGTGGGGACAGATCTGGCAAGGGTACAGTGCCACAGATTCTAGCTCCCCAGACTGCAAGGCAAGAGATCCATGGGGTGTGTGGACGTGGCTAAATGTATGGACGTGCAAGCATTTAATAGTGAAAATATACTGGTAACTCTTAGGTAGGGAACTTTTTCTTAACAAAAAGCACAAAATACATATATCAAATGTGGGCCGGCGCACATGTGTATGTGAACCCAAACACACACACACACACACACACACACACACACACACACACAGATGCACACAAAAAACCTTAAAATGGCCAGAGACTTTGAGCAATTTAAGATCAATAGTGAACCAAGGCTGGGTGTGGTAGCTCTCACCTGTAATCTTGGTGCTTTGGGAGCTGAGATGGAAGGATTACTTGAGGCTGGGAGTTCAAGACCAGCTTGGGCAACACAGCAAGACCCCCATCTCCACAAAAAATTTTTAAAAATTAGCTGGACATGGTGGTGCACAACTATAGTCCTATCTACTTGGGAGGCTGAGGCAGAAGGATCCCTTGAGCCCAGGAGTTCAAGGTTGCAGTGAGCTATAATCATGCCACTACACTCTAGCCTGGGTGACAGAGCATAACTGTCTCTAAAAATAAAGAGTGAACTAAATGTCAACTTACATATGTTTCAAAACTGAGCAAATTTCCTAAATCAATTCATTGGAAGACCCTAATAAGATATTCCAACTTTGAAAACTTTACAGAGGTGACTTTTAAACAGAATATGATGGAGAATCAGGGCATACCTCTGAGTCAGGATGGTCACTTGGGCAGGAGTTTATGCCTTGTCCATGATCTGATCAGAGAGTTTACATGTTCATTACTATCACTGTCTTTCCAAGGAGATACATGCTACCTCTAATATCTGGATATTCTCAGATACTTAATAAAAATTTAGTTGTATTCATCTTTGTGTCTTCACAGAAATATTTGTGTCTTTCACAGAGATGCCAGTGTGACCAGCATAGACTTTGTTAAATAAATATTTGCTTATTTAATGAATACTCATTCACGAGTAGACAGGATTTTTTCTTACTAACTATAACACATCTAATTAAGGAGGATGAACATATATTTAGCTATGCAAGAATATCATGGATTCATAGAACATTAGACAACAAAGTAACCCTTGGCTATTATCTGGTCCAACCCTCTCATTTGATAGATTAGAAAACTGAGGCTCAAAGAGTCTAAATAAGTTATTTGAGGTCACATAGCTAATCTGTACCAGAACCCAGCTCTTCTGACATCTAACCCAAGTGAAATTTTCCACTAAACCACTCTCCCTTAAGAATCGGGAAGCTTAAATAAAGAATTGGAGGTGTTTACTCAGCACATATATAGTCTTCCTAACCCTTCATTATGGAGGGAGAAGAACTCAACTGTTTTAATTGCCACCTGCAAAAGTACTTCGTGATCCACTACAGTTACATTTGTGGCGAGACCCTGTGAAAGACAATTTGAGATCTAAGGCAAAATGAGAAGGAAAGAAGATCTAATAAAAGCTTTTTATTTGCAGATTGGAATTAAGTGCTCTGTGCCCAGGCCTTTGGCTTTATAATGACTTCAGGGTTGCCACTTTAATGCTTCAGCGAGCAGAAAATTGGAGAGCAAAAACGACAATCAGTCAGCCCTGCCAAGCAACACCCCCTCAAACCTAGCAAAATGTAATACTTTGCTTGCTCAGAACAACTCTAAAACCATCTCAGCTCCATTCATACCACAGGTTTTGAGGAAGCTGCAATACAGTGATTTTGTGTCACCAGACCATCTGCCCTTCTGAGTGATTTTTTTCAAAGCTGAATTTCTAATAAGTATTCCAAGTCCAAGGTGGCCAGTCAGATGCAGCCTCTACAGCCCACACAACAAACTGCTGGGCAGGACCTGCAACAGGTCAATGTTTTCCAGGAGGGTGGAGCAGTGACCAGACACCATTAAGACTCAGCCAGGAAATTAGTGAGGTGCAAATTACATGGTGGTGGCTGCAGGGCAAAAGGAAAATTGCAGGCCATTGCCTGAAGAGAGAGAGAAATAGCAGAGTGGTATTTTGGGGCCTGGAGACAGTGAGCCACTGGACATGTTCATCATTGCCTTAAAAAAAAACAGCAGCAACAACTTTTTTTTGCAGTACGGTACACAAACAGAAAAGTACACAAATCATAAAGGCTCAAGGAACTTTTATTGGAACATATCCATTACCCTACGCCCAGATCAAGAAAGAGAGTACCCCTTTGTGTCCCCTTCCTGTCACCCCCAGCCCAGGGGGAATAGCTATTCTGATGCGTCCTTGTCTTTTTGATGTAAGCCAAGTGGCAACCAAGGAGGAGACAAAGTTTTGAAGTTTATCCAGGTTATCCCCATAGGTCAGTTGCTGAAGCCTGGGCCCGGTGGCCTGCTGGGTCCTACCTAGCTCGGTAGCTCCTCTGGTGCAAGTGGATCTTGACAGGGTCAGATTGGGAGAGGAGGAGTGGGCAGCCCCTTGAAGAGAGGAGGAGGGGAGAAAGACACAACACCATGCACTGGCTCTGTCCCCCTCCTGTCCTGCTGCAGAGCTGGTTTCTGCCCTGAAGAAGGCTAGCAGAGATAAGACAGCAAAGTCCCCTCGTAGTGTCAAGGTTGTTGGTCATAGTTGACAGCGTTGGGCTGTTCACATAGGGTTCTTCTGTTTCTTTTTTGGTGTTTTTGTGGGTTTTCTCTCATTGTAGGCTCTCTGAGTTTCCTTATAGTGGTCAACCATTCTGGGGGAGGAGTATAGGTTGTTTTGCTCCATGGGTTTCCTGTTAGGCAACAAAGTCAGGCCTCGAAGGCTTGGCAGCTTCGACACTGATTTTTGTGGCCACGAGTCGTGGCTGGTATTGCTCAGTTTGCCACCTGGCTGCAGTGGCCTATTTTACCCTCGAGTTAGCCACTGTTTCTGAGAATAATCAAGCAGGTTTTAAATAGGCTGCATATTCTGGCTCAGAGTTTGGACATGGCTTCTCTCTGGTATATAGTGCTGGTAGATGTCTGTACCTATAGGGGAGAATCCCACTTTGGGCATCAAAAATAACAGCCAAATTCTTTTTATGTTTTCTGTGGGGGTGGTGAAGAGATGCTTACTGTCTCAGGGGAGATGATCCGGCCCAGTTATAACTGCATCCTTGGCTTGCTGAAAGGAGTTTCATTGTCTCTCTTGGCTCACCTCCATTTACTTCTCAACCCACTGCATTTCAGCTTCCCTGGCCCCACCATGCTCCTCTAAGGCCACCCAAGACTTCCTGGACGTCAAGTCCAATGAAGACTTTTCAGTCGTAATCTTAAATCAGCCTCTTGGTGGCATTAGCACTGTTGACCTCTCTGACCACCATGGCTTCTCTCTTGGCTGCCAGGAGAGCAGCCCAGGCTTTTCTCTGGCATCTCAAGTTCGTCCACTTCAGTCTCTTTCAGAATCCCTCCCACTTCTTCTTGCCTCACTAGTATTGGGCTTTCCTAAGGTTCAGTCCTCAGCTCTCTCTGACTCTACCCTTTCCCTAGGCAATCACATGCACACTGATGGCTTCAGCCTCACAGCTGGAACCACAGCCAGACTTGTCTTCTTAGAGCTCTAGCCTGGCCACTGGCCTCTCCATGGCCTTTCTATAGCATTTAAAGCAATTTCTCTCAACCCCAGCTGCATATTAGAATCATGGCAGCTTAAAAAAAATCCATGTGTGGGCTTTACCACCAGAGCTGTTGATTTAATTGATCTGGATAGGACCTGGACATGGTTATTTTGAAATCTCCCTGGCTAATTCTAATGAACAGCTGGAAATTAGGACACTGAGGCACAAGACACATATATGTAGAGAGCTAAAGTGCTTTGGACAAGAATGCCTTTACAAGCCCACACTGGGCCCTTCTTCAGGATAATGAATCATGACTCTAGCCCTTATACTTTTAAAGCCCTTTGGAGGCATTACCTAGGAATCAGGATGGATGAAAAACAAACAAACAAACAAAAAAACACAAGACTTTGAGAAAAGTCTCTGATTCAGAAGACTAGTTCTCCATCCGCCAACTCCCTTCCCACAGACAAAATTTGCCCTGACCTTGCTTAAATTCTGCAGCTTATTTAGGGTGTTTTTAAGGCTTTAAGCTGCCTGCCCTGTTCTGTCCAGTGCCCTACTTCTCTGAATGCCCCGAGGTTCTCCAACCACAGAATGACCTATAAGACCTGAACAGATGGGTTGAGAGGAGACACGTTACCAGGAGTAGAAGTAGAATCTACTAGGGGAATTTGAATAACTTGGAGCCTAAGTTTCCCTAATTGTCAAAATGGAACTAGCAAGTCCTTCTTTTAGAGAAGATCTGAAAAGCAATTGAAATCATGAAGATGCTAAACTATTGTCATTTGTATTTCCAACTTGAATCCAGACTTAAGTTTATTCACACCAGGGCCAGAAATAACCATAAATGTATGAGCAGCAAGTAACCTTAGAGATAATACTATCCAACCACTTTATTTTACAGGAGAGAAAACAGGCTCAGAGATTATGACTTGCTCAAGGTGATGCTGCCAGCCAATGGCTCAGCTAGGATAGGTTTTCGATTTCCTGACTCCTAGTCCAGTGCTCATTTCACCACTCCAGGCTTCCTAAGGGGTGATTCTTCATCCATGTGGCTGGGCTTGAGTCATCACATGCCACCTTTTCAAGTAATAGACACCCAGACAGGGCACTCTGGAGTGCAGGGTCATCTGGGAACCTAACCTACTTTTTCCCAAAGAAAACCAAAGCTATTACTTTCCCTTTCTTCCCATCCTGCCTCCCTCTGTACTCAAGACCCTGAATATAGCTCTCTGCCTGAAGCTGTGAAACTTCAGAAGCCTTCCTACCTCTTCCTGCTGTGACCTTAGGTTGTCTCTCCAGCACAGTAAACTCCTGGGGGTGAAAGTTAGAAGGGGACTCAGCCCAGACAGGCTGGATGTCTGCTGTGTCACGCCAGATTAACCTGTGCTAGTCTCTGGGCTGACTCGGACCAAATACAGGTCCTCTCTAAGCCTTGGCTTTTCTTACTGATGAAATAGGCATCGTAATGGTATCTGCTATGTGGAGGAGTTGTGAGGATTAAGATAATTTCCCCAAGGCAGAAGTCCTCAAGCATGGTTGCACATTGGAATTCCTTGGGAAGCTTTAAAAAAAATGATGCTTTGGTCCTACTCCTAGAAATGATGATTTAATTGCTCTGGGCATCAGATTTTTAAAATTCCCCAAACAATCCCCATGTGCAGCCAAGATGGAAAACACAGCTCATCTGTGAAGGGCCCAGCACAGCACTGGACAAGTGGTTGGCACTCAAGTGCTTCTCATTTGAGTATAGTAATGATTCAAAGCTCCCTGCCCAACTAGAACTTAGCCTTCTAATGGGCCTTCTGCCTTTCCGATTTTCTGCGAAGGACCTTCCTCCCCCTCCATCTTCCCAGTTCTACCCACAGCTCCCACCCCGAGTTTTTCTGAAACACTGGCCTCCCAAAGGTCAGTGGAAGAAGTAAAAGGGGTCCAGACATCAGGTGACTGCCCGCAGACCCATTCCAGTGGACACTCAGGCACCTACTGGTTGTGTCTATTGAGACTGTTTACCCTCTTGGTGCCTTCCTCCTATAAAATGGGAGGAACTGGCATGTGTTACTCCCCTAGAAGTAATGGGCGCTATGCTAAGCCATTAGAACAGGATGTCTTCTCCAAGTAGGGTGATCACACTGCCTTGCCAGTTATTAACGGTGAGGAGAAAATGAGATAAAGCCGGTGCATAGAGCTTGGGCCAGCCCGCAGGCGGCGCCATTCAGTGGGAGCAGTGGTCTCACTGCTAGGTCTGGCAGATCTGCAAGTCCCTACGGGGCTACCTTGTGGAGCTGGAGGAGGCCCCGCAGGTGGAGGCGACCCTCCCTGCTGGTCTGGACAACACTTCGAAGGCACTACCTCGAAACCGCCCCCTCTTGGCCAATTTCCGGGACCTTTCTCCACTCCGCCCACCGCTCAGCTCCGTTCTGACCTGAGTTGAAACTCGCCGCGCAAGGGAAGCGTGTACCTGGGGAGTACACTGGGGAGTGGTACTGGGGCGCTGACCCGCGCGGACGCCGCGCATCTCCCTAGGGTGCGCGCAGCACGTCCACGAGAAGCGCACTCTGAAGCCAGCCGGGACGCGTTCGGCGGTCGGGGTGGAGGAGGGAAGTGCAGGCTGAGCCCCTCACCCGTGCGAAGCCAGCTGGGCGCCCACTCGCGGGCTGCGGGCACTGCGCGCCTGTCCAGCTGCTGGGCCAGGCCCCCTCCCCTCCCCCTCAATCTGGCAGGCCAGATCTCCGAGGCCCCGCGCCTCGTCGCGCTCCGGAGGCTCCGGGCGGTCTCCTGGGAGCCTGGGAGCCCGCCCCTCCTGAATGTTCCCTCTGACGTATCTGCAAAAGCAAACACTGGGCCTAGGCCGCGGGGGACCGGGCGTTGGAGGAAACAGCTCAATGCCCGGCGGGCCACGCCACTAACAGCCCTGACTCCCGGGCGCTGCATTCGCTCCACGCCTCTGGTTCTTTGCCCGACGGCGCTGTGGGCCCCGAGGGCGACTCGCCGCCCTTCCACATTGCGCGCGGGTGGCTCCTTGAGTACCGGCGGCGCACCACAATCCCTACTCTCAAGATATGGGCTCCAGTCCCGGCTCCTTGGAGTCCTCCCTGGAACCTCGGATAAGCCCCAACTTCTCCCAGCCCGTCACTTCCTTTGGTGGTATAGTGTGTCAAGATATCACAAGTCTGGATTCCAATCCATCCCTGGCCAGTTATGGCCACGTGACCTAAGACAGATTAGATCATCTCTGTGTGCTTCAGTTCCTCTTCTGTAAAATGGGGATAATATTCCTCCCTATATGGCGATGTTGTAAGGCATAAATGAATGTAAAACACCATAGTGCTAGGCATATAATAAATATCGTATAAGTATTTTATATTATCAATAAAGTAGGTATTACAATGTTTACCTTACAGCTTTTTATTTTATTTTTTTTAATAGTAGAGACGGGGTTTCACCATATTGGTTAAGCTGGTCTGAAGCTCCTGACCTCAAATGATCCGCCTCGGCCTCCCAAAGTGCTGGAATTACAGGCTTGAGCCACCATGCCCAGCCAACCCTATAGCTTTGCTGTAAGTATGAAAGAGGTAAGGTAGGTAAATTGCTTGTATTAAGTAGGAGGCAGATAAATAATGCTTATTATTATTACTCCTCAAGAGTCTCCTTCCTTCCTTCCTTTTTTTAAATTTTGGCCTCTTCAGTGTTCATCCTGGGAAGGAACTGTGCAAGTTGGCGCTTCGGGCTTGGTATAAAAACGGCTCCTGAATTCCTGCCCAGTTGTAATTTCCTTGGGGATTTTGAGAGGGGCTCTTCAACGTTGCCAGGCTATCACGGCCCTTTTGTTTGCAAGAGAGCAGTGAGTAAATTATATCTTGGGCTTAGCAAAGCAAAAAATAAACACGATGACAGTAGGACTTTTCGGATGAGCTATTTCATTTCTCCTTTGTATTTTTTTCTTGATCGTTGATGGTCCATTGCAGACTAATGCAATGCTGATGTCTTAATATTAATGTTCGGAGCTGAAGACAGTCATTTGCCTCGTGCTGGTGGGGCGACTGGGCAGGGTTGGGAGCGATCATGAGGCCCAAGTGAAGGCAAGGAAAGATTCTTAGTGTCACTTTCTCTCCTTTCTCCCAACACCTCATGTCTGAGTTCCTGGACAAAACATCTTCCAGATTGCGGGTGAATTTAAACATCGCAGCTTCTTCTTTCAATCATAATTTTCTGCTTGAGCCAAAAGCTGGAGTGTCCTCTTGCACCTGGATTCCCCTCTGCCGCGGTTGAAATGGGAGCGTGTAACTCTTTATATGTGAGACGTTTATGGGCCAGACACTGGCATTCCAACCCCCTCACCCAGGGCACTTGCTATAAAATATTGAAGGCGAGCAGAGGCTATCCTTGGAGGGAATGCTGGTGATGCCAGGCTCATAAAAACCAGCCTTTTAAAAATGAGTCCCTAATCAGGAATTGCACGCCCTCTCCCTCTCCAGTGCGCTCTGGCCTGGCAAAGCCCACTTGGGAAAGTAGGTGCTACTGAAAAGAGTCACTAGCCTCTACCTGTGGGACTTCTGTCTCCAGGGTGCTTCCAAAATCTTTCGGGACTCTGTGTTCAGGACTAGAACTCTTCATCCACGGGGCTCCAGTGCAACCCCCTCCAACCCCCATCAGGATCTGAAGGCAAGGAGGACCAGCGTCCAGGACCCGGTTTCTGCGCCCCCAGGCTCTGTAGAAGTTCTGGGAAGAAGTTCTCATGGAAGCTGAGGGGAGGGAGACGCACGTCGGCGAACTCTGGGCCTAGCCAAGTTTCTATATTTTGAAGGGAGAACCATGTACCTGCCCTTGGCCTCACCTGAAGACAAACACAGGAGCAAAATTAAGCAGCGGAGCAACTTTCTGGAAAGGAGCTTAGGGAGAGAAAGCTGGTGCGAAACCGAGTGCGCGCTAGGCGTGTGCACCCGGGGAACAAGGCGTGCCCAGGGGTGTTCGCAGTGGCGGTGGGATGGATGCCCGCGCCACCTATGCGCAGTTATTTATAAACTCATTGTGGGCATCAGGGTACCCACGACGCCGTTCGTGTCGTTCGTTCCCTTCCTCCTGGAAGGGAAGAGCAAACAAAGCAGTCCTTGGCAACGCTCAACCTCTCTGTGTCATACATGTGGTTTTCAGTGTAAATGAATTTAGTAAACGCCAAGGCAACAACCCTGTTTACTTGTTTCCGTGTAGAAAGGTTAGCTAACGAACCCGAAGCCATCCTTCGCGCTTCTCTTTGATTCCGTCTCAGATTTACGGGCTTCTCCTCGGCTACACGACTCCAGCCATCGCCCCCGCTCCCTTGGCCCAGGCAAAGAGAGCCCTAGGCTCCGATTCCCGCCGCAGCTCAGAGCAAAGCGATTGCAGGATTTATCAACCCCCCTCCCAGGACCTCGGATTTCATCTCTTTCTTTTCCCCCTGCATGTTCAGTTTGTTTTTTCAAGACCTAAGCAATTTTTAATGTACTCTATACTTCCCGCTTAATCCTCATCGTTTATTGTATAATTATAGTTTCAAAGTGATTATGTAATTAAAATCATGTTTCGTTGCAGCAGGACTTCAAAAGGGCGGCAGACCCCCGCTCTGGCATTATTTTCTAGTGATGTAATAATTTCCCTGTGATATTTAAAATAAACACATTAGTCCAAGAATTCTAAACATGTCTCAAAGTATATAGTAGGCTTGATTGGCACGAGGCTGGGTTGTAAAGAAATGGTAAAACCTATCACTAGTTTAATATATTTCTATGCTCCCATGCAGGGTAAATTATAGGATAATGGGGCGCAGGCGATGGTAAGCTCTGTTTATATAATCCATTTCTTCACACGAGTTCCCATTGCTTTCCCTTCCCTTTGCTGTATGTGGTGGTTCTCTGATCCCCTGACCTCAGCCATGTGTTTTCACTTTTTCTTCTGATCTCAATTCCATGACCAGCGGGGAATAAAATACAAATTGAATAGTAACCATTCACAGGCCGCTCTTTTCAAACTGTTGTTAAAACCTCTTTGTCTTGTCTAGCGGTTGATAGATAAATGTGTTGTGTTTCGCCTGACTTTTTTTTCCCCTTCTTCCTCTTTTTTTTCCCGTGGCCAAGGAAAAAATAACCCTCCTCAGCCCAATTATGCTCTTTAAAAATTAAAACCCACACCTCCTTTCAAACCCTCTCCTGCGCGTCCCGCTCTCCCCGGTCTGCCCATTGGTTCGGCGGCTGTAGGAGACGCGGAGGATTCCACCACGTGAAATAAAGAAGCGGCGGGAGCCGAGCACGGCTGGGGGAAGGCGCGGTGCCCCCGTGTGAGGTCTGCGCCATTGTCCGGCGGCCTGAAGGTTCATTTAACATCGAACCTGTATCGCCTCTGATGTCCTAGCGCAGCGCCGAGAATCGGCTCCGAGGGCTGGGGCCGCCCCTCCTAGGAATCGAAGGGGGCAGGGGGTGAGGAAGCCTGGGAGAGGAAAGTTAAAATGAAAAATAAATCTCCTCCGTTGCCCGCCTTTTTCTTTTCATATCCAGACTTGCCTTCGGGGCAAGGTGGACAAGAGGCCGAGCTGTTTTACAGTTTTTCTCCAAAATGAGAAACATAATGGCTCCTGATTTCTGGATCTTGCCTTTCCCAGATCTCTCTCCTTTCTACTTCCTCGGCTTCTTCTTGGGAACGTAAAGGCAGAAAAAACTAATTGTAGAAACTCCTATCCCGCGGCCCGCCCTCCTTTTCATCAGAGCTTCTTCGGGGTCAACGGCGCGGCAGCGTCTTTGTTACTCCACTGCCAACGCCCGAGGGCTAGAGGGGCGGGATGGGAACTTCTCCTGCGGGCTCGGGACCCACTGTTTCTGCCTCTCCAACGGCTTGGCTGTGTGAAAGCGAGCGAAGGTGTCATTCCCGGGAGGGAGAAGCGTCGCCGCAGGGTGACTGGGAAGCCCTTTCCTTGGGCGCGCGGAGCCCAGGGCGCACGGCTGTGCCGCCCGGGTTTGCCCTCGGAGCGCCGGCGGGCCGGGCGGGGGCGCCTAGCGGTGGCAGCCGGGAGCTCGCGGCCGCCAGGGCCACCAGGCTGCTCGCCTCGTCCGGGTAGGGTTTCCTCGGCGGCGCAAACCCCCCGAAATCCTCGAGGCCGCTTGACAGCGCTCTTCGCCATCGGCCCGCGTACCTGTAAACTGAGCCCCGCTCACATGCTTCACATTAAACCTCCGTGCCCGGTGCCTTTTCTCTTTTTTTCCTCCCAAAGAGTTCTTATAAACTTCCCTTCGTTTATGTAGCCTGGTTTTCATTGCTCCGGTTTTGCATGGGTTGCCTTTGTTTAGTTTATTAACCCACGGGGTTACTTTAACTAAACATTTGGGCTGAATACTTTGGGGTCGGATTTCAACGTTTTCTAACGAAATTACTGAGTTTTTTGAAGCTGCACAGAGAACGCTGCGTTGGGTTTATTAGTCAATTTAACAGACTATAAGGGAGGAAAAAAATGCACTCAGGACAGTCCGGGTTCGTATCCACTGGGCGGAAGCAGCTCGATAACCCTCGGGTCGGGGCTTTAACCGAGCGAACCACGCGGCGCGACAATTGGGGCGCGCTTCCAGCGGCAGCAAAGCGCGCGCCCCGGACCTTGGGACCTTCTCCGTCCCCCAGCACCCCACCGGCTCCTCAAGGCGCGCGCCCGAGCTGCCATCGCTGCACGGAGTTCCGACCCGGCTCCTGGCCAGGCCCGCACAGCCCGCCCGCGCAGAACAGGGGGACACGGGAGAGGGCGGGGCCCTGAGACTCGCCTGTGCGTCCCCCGCCGGGCCGCTCCGGCGTTTTGTCCCAGCTCTCGCCACGCAGTTCGGTGCCAGCGACGGAAAGGCACAGGGGCCCCCGGTGGGACAATTCATGGTAAAGGAGTCCTGGTGGAATCTGCCAGAAAGATTAAGGACGAATGGGCAGCCTTTGAGAGGGGCAGGGAGCAAGCTGGCCACCCCATCCTGGGCTAGGGTGCGCCCCGGGCCCACCTGGAAGCTGTGGGGGCTTTGTCCCAAGCCCAAGGAACATCTAGGCAGCTGGGAGAGTTGGACGCACTGCGGGGTGCGGCCCACCCTCCGAAAAACGGCAGTTCCAGGCAGAACCGAGACACCCATCGCCTGCTTGGCCTAAGTGAGCGGGAACGACCGAGATAATCCAATGACGATGCTGCTTCCCAGGTCGGCTCTACCTGGGGCAATGACAAGGACTTTTCTCCACAGTTTCCTAATCAGCCACCACCAACCTCTTTCCCTACTCTCTCAGACTCTCTTCTTTTCCGCAGGATTTTGGCACTGATGCCAGCTGAGAGAGGACCTAGCCAAAACGTCCTTGACCTGTAGGCGTCTGGGATGAAACCGAGAACTTTGTTATGTTTTTTCGGTGTAGGTAATGAAGTGGAATCCCAAACAGAAAAAAAACCTTCAACTATCTGGGAGATAGAGGGTAGAAAGGAGTGAAACATTGAGGTTTCTGAACACCTACCCCGGGCTGGCCACCAGAGCTTCATGTGGGTGAAAAGCAGGGTGTCTGCTACAACAAGCAGCCACCAGGGCTCTGGAGCCCAACCGTTTAAAATTGAATTACAGCAGGTAGAACTGTATATGCAAGAAGTTCAAAATTTGAAAGATATAAAACTATGTAACAGAGGCTCCCAATTCCCCTCCCTAGTGGGTTCCCCTCAGGCTCCCACTTCCCCTCCCTAGTGGGTTCTTGTAAATTGTTCTAGAGAAAATTGAAAGCTTTTGCAAAAGGCTTACCCCGCTTCTTTCCTTGCTCTGCTTCCACCCTCTGGTACCCCCTGTTCATTTGACTCTTCAAAGCCTCCAAGAGGGCCTCCACCTCCTTAGAGGCTGACATGTGTGTGTCCCCCTTTTCCTAGTAGTGCTCTTGAGGCCTGCTAGCTTGTCAAACTCAGCATAGCTCAAAAGGACTCCTCCGGGTAAAGGCGCAGGCCAGTCGCCTCTCCCTGCTTATTTTCCAAGTCCATGCTTTGCCTCTCCTGTCTTTTTTCCTCCATGTCCTATGTCCCTTCTGTAGGCCAGTCCTCAATTCCTCCTCATTTGGATCACTGGGACAGCCTGCCAGCCAGCCTCCCGTTCTTCCATTCCCTTCCCTCCAGCCCACCCAACACTCACCACCACAGCGATTGTCTAAGGCCAACTTGATGTCCCTTATCTCACCAAAAGCCTCTGTGGTTTTCCCTGCCTCTGAGTCACCAGGCTGCAGACTGCTGATTGAACAAGATCCCACCAGATCCACTGCAGAAGTTTGGTCATGGCCCCGAGCCTGTCTGACTCGGACCTCCCTGGGATGACCTTGGCTCCCATGCCAGTTCTCTTGCCCACCTCTCCTGTGAGCACTTGTCTGTCTCACCTTCTCCAGCAGTCTGATTCCTCTGGCTCGCCTGCCCCCAGACCTTCTCTTGAACCTTCTCATGCCTGGCATCCCCTTTTCCCATCTCCGCTGGTCAAAATCCTCCAAGGCTTTGCAAAACGCTTCCGTCCCCTGACTCTCACAGTAATTTGTTTGCTACCATTGACGCAGATGTGTTTCAGAGTCATTCCGGTGTTTGCCCTGTTTCCTCTCCTAGATTATAAACTTAATTCCTCGCGCATACAAAACAAGCAATAATGTTTTCCTTAACTTAATAACATCCCCCTCACTAATCCTCTTTTCTCCACCCCTCCAAAAAAAGAAAGCAAGAAAAGTCCAATAAATACTGAAGTACCTTTCTCTTTCCTAAATCTAAATACTCGTTAATATTAGTTGTTAGATTCTCACAAAAGTAAATCTCACAGAGGCATGCCTTATTTACAGGATTAGCCCCTTTAGAATACATATGCATTTAAAGAGAACTGGTTATTTTAAGCCATCTCCACTTTACTCAGGGAGGTGGGGTGAGGGTGGGCCACATGGGCTGTTGTTCACGCAGTGGAAGAGTGAATGGTAACTTAGGGCTCCATTTCTGACAGGTTTTAGATGCCTGATGAAAATGCTGTCCCTTTAGAATGTTCTACATATTATCTATAGCTGAAGGTCTGGGCGACTATCCAGATTTCATTTCATAAACATTCCTCCTCATACTCCCTGCTCTTCAGGGGTAGGGAGGCCGACTCTGCAGCAGAGGGAAACCTCTCCCAAGACCCCTGCATCTTTCGGTCTTTTTTTTTTTTGGTCCTCCAATTTTCATGAGCACAGCTTCACATCCCTAGCCTATTGATCTGAGCCACTGTGGTGCCAAGAAGTGGAGAAGAAGTTTGAGCCCCTCCCCATAGACTCCATCAGGAAACCTGAAATAAAATGTAATGGAAGTAAAACTGTGTTGGCTGTGCCAGTGCATCCATAAGCCCAACATATTTCCCGTCAGCCACATTGCTGTCCTTAAGCCCCTTTGAGAGCTGCCACTGGTCTGACCAGGTTTTAAATGCCTGACAGTCCTTTGACAGTCCTGTTTTGTAGAGAGATTTTATGAATCTCCACTTGCGCTACTGTAGGGGGCAGAGTGACAAAGGTAATTCATTTTCTACTAGTACTTGCTGCTCACCAACTACAACATCAAACACCAAGCAGGTGCTGGGGATGAGGCATCTTGTCCACTGCTGTGTGGGGGCTGCTGTGGACAAGATGTACAAAGGCCCTGCTTTCTTAGGACTACCCTTCCTGTTAGAGGGACTACAGTAATGTATTTTAGGCTTAACCTCATGGTACCCAGTCTCAGCTGATGGAGAGAACACTGAGCTCAGAGTCAGCCTTGAGCTCCTCTAGTCCATCAATGCTCTTTATGTTTCTAGAATGATTTACTTGACCTCACCCATCAGTTTCTCACCTCCTTTCTTGGAAGGTTTCTGAGACTAAGTCAATGTGCACCGAGATCTTCTAAACATGAAATATTCAGATGATTGGGTCTGGAAGTTTAATTGTGATTATAAAAGGAAATCTGATCAGTTCTGTGTAATAGCAAAAACAGACACACACACTCCTCTCTCCTACTCCCCACCCCCAAGAAAAAAACAAACAAACACCCTGGAAAGAATCTGAAGTTAAAATAAAAAACAGCTGGCAGCGGGCCCATTGTGTGTGATGATAATTAGATAAATGTTTTCCAAGTATGGGATGATCTTATGAAGACAATGGTTAGGAGAAAAAAAAACTTAGGACAGAATTTAGTGAATCAGTGATTCCTGCTTGCCTACAAAGGATTTAAGTGACATACATGTCTCACAATCTCTAATTTGGTACATTTTATTTATTTATTTCATGCATCCTGGGAAACATATCTTTGGCTAAAAGAGTGAAGAAAAACTTGAGGCTTGATTTACAAAAATTAAAGCCACAACTAGGCCTTGGATCAAGGTTGTGTCCTGGGCCTGGAAAGCCTCATCCTTCATTGGCTCAAACCTTTCCTGCCCCGAAGAAAAAGAGTTAAGAGTCTTAAGCTAAAGCAGCTCTTCTGCCATGTGGGACTCTGACTTGGTTGACCCTCTCCCAGATTGTTGTAATCCTGAGTCTGGAACGGATATTGGTCTGGTTGGGGTGAAGGCTGCCTCCTGCTTCTGAGTGGCTTGGGTTCTTCTGAGCAGGCCTGGGTGGGGGCGGGAGCTGCGGTGGAGGAAAAGCAGGTAACACCAGCAAGCTGGCCAACTCTGTGCAAGATCCATGCCTCCCTTTCCCCTTCCCATCCCCCAACCAAATTGTGCTCTTTAGAAATCATACCTATTAGACATTTACACCTTAGTGTGAATTTTAAGGTCCTATGTTAACTCACTCAGGGTTATTTATCTTTTAAGCTTGGGCTTTGATGGTAAAAGAAAGTAATTTATCCCTATTTAAATATTTTCCAGTATGTGAACATGAGGAGGCTTTTGGTGGAAAAGGATTTGAAAGAGAAATAGGAAACTCTCTAAGTTAGATAGTGCAGGGCTGGGAATAAACTGGTGAAATCCCCTCTGCCAGAGCCAAAGAGAGGTAGCACAGTGGACTAGAGATGGAACAAAGAGAAACGGTAAGGAGAGTACCTTGGTTTATTATTTTATTTATTTATTCAGATGGAGTTTTGCTCTTTTTGCCCAGGCTGGAGTGCAATGGCACGACCTCGGCTCATTGCAGCCTCCGCTTCCCAGGTTCAAGTGATTCTCCTGCCTCAGCCTCCCGAGTAGCTGGGATTACAGGTGCGTTCCACCTTGCCTGACTAATTTTGTATTTTTTGTAGAGATGGGGTTTCACCATCTTGGCCAGGCTGGTCTCGAACTCCTGATCTCAGGTGATCCACCTGCCTCAGCCTCCCAAAGTCCTGGGATTACAGGCGTGAGCCACCACGCCCGGCTTACCTTGGTTTAATGAATGGACCGGTCTGCTCTCTGCTTCAAAGACAGGAAGAACAGCCAGCCTACGGTGTCTACAGCATTTACCCTGAACTCTTTTTGGGGACTCAGACCTCTTCCCTTGATCCACCCTCAGATTTTACGACAGGGGTGTGTTATCTGTTGATGGGAAAGATGGTGGCTACTCTGTTCAGAACCAGCCTTGGAAATACTTAGAAACAGGGACAACTGCAAAGTGTATTTGATGCACACAACATACATCATGTCCGTGGCTGATAGGCACTGGGTATTTACTGGTTTGCCTCTATAGAAAGTAAAAAGCAGGTTTAAAATTTTCTTTTTAATTAATGAGGGGTTTAAAAAAATAAAAGCCCACTTTCTGAATATAAAAGACACATGCACTGTGCAAAAAAAGTGCAAATACAAAAAAGCACAAAGAAGAAAGTGTAAAAAAAACCCCAAACAACTCAAAATCTTACCCAGAAGTAAGCATGACTAACATTTATGAGAACCACTTTCCAGAATAACTCTCTAGGCATGCAGGTACTTATAGCTTGATATCTATAGCATCACATGAAAGGGCTGTATAACATGGGCTCCTCTACATGACAGGGCCTGCACATCTTTCCATGACAACGCATATAGAGTTGCATTATATTTTTCCTTTTCTTTTTTCTTATTTGGTGTCAAACGTACACATAGGAAAGTGCACAAATCACACATGTGTGGTGCAATGAATTTTCACAAAGTGAACACACCTACGTTACCAGCAGCCAGATCAAGAAACAGGACATTTCCAGCATTCCAGAAGCTTGTCTTGCCCCCTTCTCCAACTTCTGGCCTCAGGCAATCTGCCTGCCTTGGCCTCCCAAAGTACTGGAATTACAGGCACACGCCACTGCACCCAGCGTGGTGCCGTATTTTTCACACAATTTTAGTATGAAATTGTATAAAACATACAATTTTAGTGTGATTACTAAGAAGCAAACGGAATCAGGAGTCCACCTCCAGAATTGGAAACACCTCAGTCTCTGATTCTGTTTGTGAAGACATGAGTGTAATAATGTGCCCTCTTTCATTCATATTCTTTACTCTAAGGCGCTGACAGTAGCTCTCTCAGCCTGAATTGTCAATATTACCTGCACCAAACTTTGGCAAGATAATCATTGAGCTACAAGGCTCCAATTACTATTAATTATATACAAGAATCATTACTTTTTTTTTATTTAAAAAACAATTAATACATTCACATGGTTGAAGAATCAAGACAACATGGAAAGTATGAATCAAGACATCTCGTTCCTATACTGGTGCCTGCTCTCCACTTCACTGGCCTTGAAGTGTATAGCCAGTTATATTCGCTTCTTCTATATAGCCCCAGTGTTCATGTAAATGTAAGTGTATTTTTTATTCTACCCCACCTTTTTAATGCAAAAGGTAACATATGGCTTATACTTAGCTTGTCCAACCCATGACCCACGGACCGCATGCACCCCAGGATGGTTTTGAATGAGTCCCAACACAAATCCATAAACTTTCTTAAAATATTATGAGTTTTTTTAGTGATGCTTTTTAGCTTGTCAGCTATCGTTAGTGTATTTTATGTGTGGCCCAAGACTATTTTTCTTCTTCCAAGGTGGCCCAGGGAAGCCAAAAAGTTGGACACCGCTGGCGTCCACTGTTCTGTGTCCTCCGTTTTAAGTCTATATCCTGAGCTCCCTTCCTATTGTTGCACAGGGAGCAACAAGGATCTTAATGGTTCTATTAATGAAGGCAGGGGCAGCTACTACATGGAGGAGAACTTGATATTTGAGTACACCCTCCTACCTTTTAGTTTTTCTCTTCATTAACGTTTTTCCGGTTTTACATGTGTATGCAATCTTCCTGGAAGCAACAGAAGCGGTGCCAACCTTCCTCAAAGAAAGGAAGATGGATCACTTTAGCTATTTTTCTCCCTTTCATCTAGAAAAGCACTTTTGGGGAATGTTTTTATACATGGCTTGAGCTCATTATCCAAAGTTGGTCATAAAAAGAGAGTTTGTGCCTGCTTTTGGCTTCATCAGTCACACTCCAGACTCATATCTTCAAACGGCCCCCTTCCCTGGTCTGAAGGCCCGAGTTTCCCACTGTGAGCTGAACGTTGCCACTGAGGTTTCCACCAGAGCACCTTCTCCGTACCTGACACTGATCCAGACTCTGAGGCTTCAGCCCTGTCGGGTAGACAAAGGAAGTTTCTGCTCTCCTGGGGCTTACACCATGGTATGGGGGCGCAGAGGACATATACTGACAAACAAGAAACGTTCAGGTAGTGCCAACAGCCATGAAGGCAAAAAAAAAAAAAAAAGCATGGAAAAGGGGCGAGAGACTAACTAGGTTGTGACTTCAGGTTGGTGGTCAGGGAGGCCTTTCTGAAGAGGTGACGTGAAAGCTGAGCCAGCTACGGGAAGATCTGGGAGAAGAATATTCTAGATAGGAGTTAGAGTGAGGGTGATATGCTTCAGAAACAAACTAAGCATGAGGCTGGCGCCTCATGAACAAGTATAAAAACCTGGGGTTCATCACCTTTCCTGCACATGTAACTGGACCCTCGCACTTCTCCGATCCCCTCGGGATCTTATCAGTCTCCTGGGAGCCTCCTCAGAAGCCCTGGCAGCCCCTTTGCCCTCAGCCTGTCTTCCACCCCTGCATCCCACTATTCCCAAAGTTGCTGCATCCGCCCAGCTAGTTTCCACTGCCACCGCGTTTCGCCAGCCCTTATTGCCTCCTGTAAGGTTACACTGAATTTTAAAAAGAAACAAACCTTCAAGGCAATTGGAGAAAATGACAACTTGACAGTAATTAGGGCCCCGCAGTCTTGGTTTGTTTTCATTACTTTTACATGGTTATGACCTGGCCCCATCCCCTACCAAAAAAGATCAAAACTATTTCAAATCATTACATTGGAACTGTGGGCTTTGTTTGGTGGCTGACTGTTCCTTTTGTTTGTTTAAATCGTGCAACTTCTTTATCTCCTTTATTTGTCTCACCTAGCTTGAATAACTACTTGTCGGGAAATTGATTACCTTTGTTATGAACACAGGTTACAAATGTGTAGAAAGTACAGGACAGCAAGAAAATACTTTTCTTAGTCTCTAGATCTAAGATGTGTCCACATATATAGCCAGGAGATAACTGAAGAAACGATCTACGTTGTTTAAGCAAACACAAAAATAAGTGTTTTTGTTTTGATCTAAGTGACTTAGCACAAATAAAGACTTCTGAAGATAAATGTTTAAAAGAACCTACAGAAGGAGCAGGGCCCACGCCCCCTGCCTGTGGATATGCATGTGTTATTTTAATATCCAGGCCCCAGGTCTCCAGCTCTACAGCCCCCGTAGGTGGACTTGCAGGGCCTCAGGGACTCCTTTCTCTCTGGAATCCCAGGAGTCTGATGTGATATCGCAGGCCAGCCTGCTCCTGGGGTATGGGACTGCTTCCCTTTCTTCCTGGGCTGTGGTGGCTGATTATTTCCATGGAGGGAGGACTGAAGGAGAGGAACAGGCAGGGAATAGGAAGCTCCATACCCTCTCAAGTCTAAAAGTACAAATTTGGCACCAAGTTCGGGATGCAGGCTTTTATCACATTTCTGTTTCTGGACAGCCCTTTGTGAGTATTCTGTGGTGAGTGAGGTTTAGTCAAACAAACTAGAATGTCTCTTACATTACTTTTCTCATAAGAGCAGTGCCTCACACTTGGTGAGCGTTCAGAGTAAGTTTGGTGATTAGATTGCATTTGTTCATTCAGCAGATATTTTATTGAGCACCTACTTTGAGCCAGGCATAGTTCTAAGGATTGGAGATACAACAATGAACAAACAGACAAAAGTTCCTGTTCTTGAGGAGCTTACATGTTTTGAAACAGGGAGCAATTCCAGGTCTGCCACTTCATATAGGGATGATCCCAGGAAAGTATTTTCCTTAGTTCGGTTTTCTTATATCTGTCAAAAAGTTTGACTAAAGCCTTTGAAGACCACTGGCCTGGCTCCAGTCTCAGCCCTCACCAGCTGCCTGCCCATGTAAAACTCCCTGAGCTTTGGTTTTCCATCTGAAAAATAGGCATGATAATGCCTTGTTAGAGATATTGTGGTATTAAATAGATAGCATACATAAAGTACTGTGTGTCGTATACACTAAGTGCTGACTGCCATTAGTAATAGTAGGTGCTCTTGAGGATACAATAAACATGTATAAAGTATAGTTTCTGCCCCACTGAGATTCAATATCTACTCAGGAGGCCAGACTAAAAGCAAGACATAATCACTGAGCAATGCCAGAGAGCATATAATTAAGTGGTTCAGTAAATTGTAGGGTGCTAACTATAAATGCCATAGGAATTCAGAGGAGGAAAAGACGGATTCAGGCTGGTGGAGGGTTGGACTTGTGCCTGGATCTGCAGGAGAGGCATAAAGGAAGATTCAAAGGGCCTTTCCAGGCCTGAGGACTGAGGCAGAGGTGAGCGTGTGGGTGGTAAGAAGTTGGCTGTATAGAAAGGTAGAGTCAAATCACAGCAGGCAGGGAAAGCCCAGCAGTGGAATTTAGACTTGGTATGAGAAGAGGGAAGAGAGATCAGTCTTAAAACCCCCACTCAGGTCAATCTAGGTCAACAGAAGAGAGAGGAGAATACTACTGTCGTTCACTGTGGGTCCTCACCCTGAGTGAGGAAGGCAGGCTGGTGTGTGGGTAATGGAGGAGGGGTCTTAAATAGGGCTGTTTTGGGGAGATGTGAGAACCTATTAACAACCCCCATAGCACTAGTCATGGATTAAGTTAGTAGGCTTGTGAAAAGCACTTTAAAACTAAGTGGTTTGATTTGTAATGTTAATTTCAGGGTATAATGTAACCTGTAGGGATGGTGCTACTATTTGGCTTGCCAGTCGGGGACGGGAGGTTATAAGATTTGGCAGAAGCATGGAGAGGACAAACACCAGTCTTTTGTGTGTGCCTCCTTGCCACCTCTCTGCCACCTTTCTCATAGAGCTGAGGCTGGCAGTGGGGCTCAGGACATTGACACTGCTCCTTCGTTTCAGGGTCAGATTCCCCATTTGGCCAGAGGATTTTGTGATCTGTGCTTTCTGTTTCCGTCCTTTGGTATGAATGACCATCACAAGCAGTGTTTAGAAGACATGCAGTTAGGCGTGCCCAGTAGTGAAAAGGATCCTTTATATTTCACCTTATTTAAATCCAGAGGCTCAAAACATTTCACAAATACCGACGCAGTGGTCTTCTTCAAAGCCTGGATAAGGGGAAAGTCACAAAATAAGGTTAGACAATTCCTGCAGGTTGATGTTACCATAATGGCTAGGAACCTGAGTAGAAAAACATCAGTATGCAATAATCCAGTTAAAGTATCAGGGTAGGAAAATCGTGTTCCTACTTTTCAGATGAAAAAACAAAAGCAGAGAGCAATCAGATAATCTGGCCTTGCTAAAGCTGAGGGAAAGGCTAGGCAGAGAATTAGGCCCCGAAAGTCCTCTAACACATCACACTAGGTGGCTGCAATCAGAACATTCATTGGTGGGATGACTAAATTAATGTAACCAAGTGTTCTTTGTTAAAAATTTATTTTATAGATAGTTTTCTTATTTTTAACTGTAGTAAAATACATATAACATAAAATTTACCATCTTAACCATTTTTATTATTATTATTATTTTGAGAGAAAAAAAGCGTCTCACTTCTTGCCCAGGCTGGAGTGCAATGGTGCAATTAGAGCTCACTGCAGCCTCAACCTCCAGGGCTCAAGCCATCCTCCCACCTTAGCTCCCCAAGGAGCTGGAACTATAGGTGCACACCACCATGCCTGGCAATTTTTTAATTTAATTTAATTATATATATATATATATATATATATATATGTATTTTTTTTTTTTTTTTGGTAAAGACAGGGTCTCGCTTTGTTGCCCAGGCTGGTCTCAAACTCCTGGGCTTAAGCAATCCTCCTGCCTCAGACTCCCAAAGTGTTGGGATCACAGGCGTGAGCCACTGTGCCTGGCCTCCATCTTAACCATGTACAGTCAAGATGTGCAGTTCAGTAGTGTATTAGTTCATTCTCACACTGCTATGAAGAAATATCTGAGACTGGGTAATTTTGAAAGGAAAGAGGTTTAATTGACTCACAGTTCTGCAGGACTGGGGAGGCCTCAGGAAACTTACAATCATGGTGGAAGGGGAAGCAAACACGTTCTTCTTCACATGGAGGTAGGAGAGAGAAGAATGAGAATGAAGGGTAGGGGAAAAGCCCCTTATAAAACCATTGGATCTTGTGAGAACTCACTCACTATCATGAAAACAGCATGAGGGTAACTGCTCCCATGATTCAATTACCTCCCACCAGTACCCCCAACGACATGTGGGGATTATGGGAATTGCAATTCAAGATGAGATTTGGGTGGGGACACAGCCAAACCATATCAAGTAGTTTTAGTACATTCACTTGTTGTGCACGCAATCTCCAAAATTCTTTTGATCTTGCAAAGCTGAAACTGTACCCATTAAACAATAACTCCCCATTCCTACCCCCTCACCAAACTCTTGGCAACCGCCATTCTACTTTCTGTCTTTATGAATTTGACTATTCTAGGTACCACATATAACTAGAATCATACAATATTTATCCCTTTGTGACTGGCTTATTTCACTTAGTATAATATCTTCAAAGTTCATCCATGTTGTAGCATGAGTCAGAATTTCCTTCCTTTTAAAGGCTGAACAATATCCCATTGTATTCATATACTACACTTGCTTATCCATTTATCTGTCAGTGGACAGTATTCATTTATTTTTAAGGTGACTTTTTAAAATTTAATGTTTTATATGGGTTACACATTCACATGGTTCAAAATTCAAAGAGTATAAAAAAGTAAATGTTGAGTCTCTCTTCTGCCCCAACAGCCACCTAGCTTCTTTCTTCATAAGCCATCAATGTAATTTGTTTCCTGAAGATCCTTCCAGAGTTGTTTACACACATGTACAAATGGTAGCATACTATACATGCTGTTTTGCAACTTGCTTTTTTGACTTAACATTTCTTGGCGATATATACATTCATAGAATGTAGACATACATGTATATTGTATTAGGGTTCTCCAGAGAAACAGAACCAATAAGATACAGAATCTATCTGTACAGACACACAAACACACACACACACACACACACACACACACACACAAGGAGATTTATTATGAGGGATTGGCTCACGTGATTATGGAGGCTAAGAAGTTCTGCGATCTGCTCTCTGCAAGCTGGAGACCCAGGAAAGCTGGTAGTGAAGTTCTAGTCCAAGTCTGAAGGCCCAGGAACCAGAAGCTCTGCTGTTTGAAGACAGAAGGTGGATGTCCCTGCTCAAGCAGACAGAACAAATTTGCCCTTGTTTAGCCTTTATGTTTGAGTCAGTCCCTCAACAGATTGGATTATGCCCACCCACATTAGGGAGGGTGGATTTTCTTTACTCAGCCTACCTTCTCAAATGCTAGTCTCTTCTGGAAACACTCTCACAGACACACCCAGACATAATGTTTTACCAGTCATCCAGGTATTGCTTAGCCCAGTCAAGTTGACCTATAAAATTAACCATCACAGCTGGGCGCGGTGGCTGACACCTGTAATCCCAGCACTTTGGGAGGCCAAGGCGGGCGGATCACGAGGTCAGGAGATCAAGACAATCTTGGCTAACACAGTGAAACCCCGTCTGTACTAAAAATACAAAAAGTTAGCTTGGCATGGTGGCATGTGCCTGTAGTCCCAGCTACTCAGGAGGCTGAGGCAGGAGAATCGCTTGAACCCGGGAGGCAGAGGTTGCAGTGAGCTGAGATAGTGCCACTGCACTCCAGCCTGGACGAAAGAGCTAGAATCCATATCAAAAAAAGAAAAATTAACCATCACATGCATACATACACCATCTACATAACTGCATAATATTCTACTCTGTAATTTATTTGTCAAGTTCTCTATTGATATTTAAATTGTTCACAATCTTTTGCAAATAATTCTACAATTGAAAAGTAACATGGTACATTTGTCATTTTACACAAGTGAGAACACTTGTAGAATAAATTCTTTGAAGTGGAACTACTTCATAAAGTGTTCATTTGTCAAAATGTGAGATTGTGATAGATATTGCCAAACTGACTTACATCAATTTTTACCCCTACCAGCAATGTAAGAGGTTGCTTCTTCACACGTTTGTTTATATGTTGAACTATTTACTATTTAATCTCAAGTAGTTCAAATGTTGGGAACACCGTAAACGATGCCACGGCCCTATGAAAAGAGCATTCTTCTTCCTTCTTTTTCGCTCTTCTCCTTGGGCAATTTTCAGGCCAGACTTCTGCATTTTTGACTAGGCTGATTCAAGTTGCAGGAATAGGGAAAATAGATAGCTTAGGTTTGGTGCTGGGATAGGGAGCATTTCACCTAGGCCATCTAAAGTGAGTGAGTGAATGCTCTTGTCCAATAGCTGTTTCATGACCTGCCTGAAATGAAGTGGTGGTCTGCATACAAAGTTTCCCATGTAGGTGTCCACGTCATCAAACCCTCTTCACAATCAGCCCTAATTAGCCACCTCCTCAGGCTGAGCAGGATGTGCAACTCTGCAGCCCGCAGACTCTTCCTCCAGGCCAGGCGCCAGCCCTCCCAGCTCAGTAGGGCTCTCTGGGAGAGTCTAACACAGTTGCAACCTGACTGGGCTCTTCCTGGGGTAAAGACCAACACTCTCACTGCCTAATCTTTATCAAACACTAGCTGTTTAAAAGCTATTTCAAAGAGAAGTGTCCTGAGTTCCCTGATTTGTTTTGACAGCTAATGATCTAAGTGCCATTTAGTATTGTGAATGCAGACAGCAGAATGACAGAGTGGGACTGGGACCTGGCCAACCCCTTCCAGCCCAGCACATAGTAGTAGGTGCTTATTGGGTGTTCCTCATGTATCTCACTCAAGCCCCAGAACCACTTCTCCAAGTATTATTTCACCTATTTTATAATGAAGATTCCAGAGAAGCAAAGTAACTTGCTCCAGATAACGGAGCTAACTGATGGTAGAGATCGGGTTTTAACGTTGGTATTGTGCCCACAGCTCCACTGGACCTTCCTGTTGCAGCCTTTCCTTATGGTGTACCTCCTGCCTGGAGAGTCTTCACCACCCCCGCCAGCCCTTCACCCTGCCCAGTCTGGAGCTGGCTCATTAGGAGGCCTGTGGCCAGCCCAGCACAGATGCTCATCAACCCTGGCCAACTGGAGCTTTCGGAGGGGCTGCAGGCAGTGAGAGATAAAAGGAAAGCACCACCCAGTGTTCCCAGAGAGTGTTGGAATCCAAACTAAACTTCAAGCACTTCCTCCTGTCTGGACTGCCATTCGCCCTGTATGCTCATCATGGCCCCTGGCCCTGGCTTGTCCCTGTCGCCCTTGAAGAGTCACTGATCTCTCTGTCTGCCCTTGGGCCAAGCCCTCCCCTTCTCTGCTCCCATAGCAACCACTCCCAACATAGTGAATTATAAAACTGTTCCCACCTCTGTCAACACTGACTAGGAACTTCTTGAGAGGATATTTGATATTGTTAGGTGCTCACCTTTTTAGCCCCAGTTCCTCACTCAGCATAGACCCATCCTAAAGTATGTTAACCTGAACTGAAATCTCTCACCTGATCCAATAGCACATGGGTAAGAGCCAGGAATCAAAGATGAAGCCAAAAGGCCAGCTGGGGAGGGAGCCACAGAGTGGGCAGATCCAGAACATTTGCTAGGGAAAAGATGCCTGAGGTCCTCCTTAGGGGTGGCAGCCCCATATTCATGGGTGGTCAATCTAGGTTAGAGAAAAAGGGTCAGAGTAGACTATGCCCATCCCATCCCTGAAAGTCCTGGATTCAGGCCCCACCTCTCCTGAGAAGTCCATTCTGCCTACTTCAATCCCATGGATTTCTCTTTTTTGTCTAATTCCAAAGTATTCTTCCTGTGCATTCTTGTATATGGCTTTGTTCTAACTGGACATGACTTTTGACGTATAATGTATTTCTCCAAATCCTTACAGCTAACCCTCATATAGCACAGTCTATCTGTCCAACACTGTTCTAGGCCTAGATATATATTTGATCTCATTAATCTTCACAGTGACCCTACATGGAAGGTACTATTATTATAACCTTTCTACAGAAATATAAATTGAGAGACAGAAGTGTTAAGTAGGTTGCCCAAAGTCACACAGTTAGTAAGTGGTAGGGCCCAGAATCAAACTCAGGTAGTCTGGCTTCAGAATCTATGTTCTTAATCATCCCAAGTGGAATGGAAGCCCCTGGAAAGTCACACTTTCACCCACTTCCCACCAATCTGTGGACCCCCGCACACTGAGTAAGAATCTCAGCAACATCTTTTGAAGAACAGTGGGCAATAGGATAGCTGACCCAGACCTGCCTATACCTGGGGTTGTTATAGCTTAGGTCAGGGGCCACCTGGGTTTCAAAAAGTGTTAGCTCTTTTTGATATCCCTTTATGGTATTATGGTCAAGGATGCCTTTGGGTGTAGATCATGTCTTGGAGATCTTCTCCTCCTAGCCTTCCCCTTTCTGTGGATCTCTGCTGATTTATTCCCAGTAATAAGGGAAGAAAGCCAGCAGGCACTTTTCCCAAGGAGTGTTAGTGTGTGTTTGTTCTTCATTAATGAGATGGTGGAAGCCATGCCAGCTGGAGTTTTACTAACCTGAAAGCCCTTGAATCTGACCTTTCCAGTATTGCCTTCAGTCTAGGAAGTAGACACCAGAAGCTGACAGTGACAGAGCAGGTGAGTTTTACAGGTTGGAGGTGCCCTAGGGTTGTGGGGGAACTGGGAGTTACTATTCCCACTGTCTTAGGTGGGGGTGGAGGAAGTAGATCTTTAGCTTCACAAACAAATGGGTTAATTTACACAGTCAATTACTGCTCTTGCATTCACTTATAGTTCCTAGAAGGGTGAGGAAGAGAGAGAAAAAGGGGATAGACCTACTGGGATAACATGAATTAGATCTTGGATAACAGATTTCTGACCAGCTCATTTTTCCCAAGGTGCAGCATAGCAGAGCTTTTCCTCTACCACCCAGGCCTCTTTGGGGCTCAATTTGCATGAAGCATGAAGTTAGTGCTTGGAGTGTGTTTACTCTCTTCTGTAAGTGGATCACAGCATTCCACCATCAGGAAAGTAAACCAGCCCTAAATAACACATTGAGAAGACCAAGGGACTCGATTAGCCACTTAGCGCTGGGGCTTGACGCCGGCACTCCTGCACATCCCACCCCCTTGAAATCGAACCAGAGTGATTTATGCCAGGTTAGAAGTAAAGGAGGCTGCTTTTAGTTATTTCACTGCATGTGCCTCCTGCAGGGTGGCCAGCTGGTGAAACACCCGTGTGGGCTGCTCGAGTTTTCATATTGATTTGCAAAGGCTCCCACTGATCCAAATGTCATAGCTGGTCTAGTATTCAAAGTTTAAATTCCTTGATTCGGGTCAACTGTTTTGTGCAAACCGAACCTGATGACAGTCTGCCCAGAATGAGCAACTATGAACACTGATTCTAAGATGACATGACAGATCTTCAAACAAAGAAATCCGAACTTGCATATTTGCGGTGGTCACCTGCGAGGTCGACACTGACATTTTTCTTGGTCATGAAACAGTTTTGGAATCTCTCTTTGGAACTCCAGAATTTACAGTACCTTCTTTTGCATGCCTGAGGAATAGCAAAGATTTGGTTTAATTGAGGGTGCATCTGATTTTTGGAAACTATCAAAAATAATTTAGAGCCAAATCTGGTGGGTCAGGGCAGTAATCATATTGGGTGATACCATTTGGGACTTAAACCAAAAAGCGTAATTATCAAGTAATAGATTTAATTTTCCTCCTGAACCAGCCCTGAAGGCTGCCAAAAAGAGTAGTATAGTTGTTTTAGGCAATTGCAGCTTCCCAAAGTATTGATATCAACTTTAAAGGGCTAGCATTTACTCGGCTAAAAAGGTTATGAATTACTTGGGTTTTTAAAAATCATTCTTATTACTTAAAATCACACACATTTATGTAAAAACTCCTCCTCCTCTTAAATAACATGTGATTTTGTTGGCGTTTGAGCTTATTAACCAGCACTGTTTTTCCTGTATTTGTCATAGGCCATTAATTTATTTCAATAGTCCTACCATCACTCCTGTGTTTTCATTGGCAGCAGTCCAGTTCCTGAATGTACTGCCAAGCAAGGAGCAAGTAGTTTATCATAACAAGGGGCCAGGATTATTGTCGAGAAAAGCAGAGGGAGGTCGCATCTGCCCTGCCGGCCAGGGGCTGGAATTTGATTTGGGCTTCTTTTTTATCCAGGGCAGTTGTTCCAGGGAGGTCATCCTCTGCCGTTCAGTTCATTTCACTGTGATTTGCTGAGCACTAAACCTGGGCCTGGCATTGGGCTTGGCACTTGAGAAGGTTTAAAGAGAAGGAGAACATGGTTGCGCCGCACCCCCGCCCCCGCTCCATCGCCTCAGGGAGTTCATCAATAACTGCAAGTGAAGAAAAGGCAAACGCCATGAAAGAGGTGCAAATAAAATGCCATGGGGCCACACAGGGGGAAAGACAGAAAAAGGCGTCCCAAAGCAAGGGGATTGGAGGCACCGCCCACAGAGGGTGGCAAGGGTGGCATTGGCAGTGTTGGTGCAGAATCTGCGGCCACCTACCCTTCTTCCAACAACCGAGGTCCCAGCCAAGCAGTGACAAGCCAGGCCAGTTCCATGTATGGGATTACAGCGTTAGGTGAGAAGTTAATCACAAACATGAATCAGCCTTGTTTTTCCCTTCTAGGCTCGGCTCCCGAGCTCTGCAGGAGAGTGGGCAGGGCCCCTCGCTGTATGTACAGGAAATCATACTGGGGGAAACATGAAGCCAGCCATTTCTCACCAGGGCCAAGCTGTTACCTGCATCTTGAGATTATAGGGGAATTTATTACGTTACATAGGAAGAGAATCCCCTTGGTGTGACAGGCAGGAAGAAAAACCATTCACGGGCCAACTGACTTCTTCAGTTCCACCCAGGCTGTGACCACTGGGCAGTGTCTCCTTTCAGGGCCCCCACATGCCCCACCCCCCCACCCCAGCTCTGTAGCTCTTCTGGACTGAAGGCATCTAGGTCAGAAACCCTTTTGTGCTAAGGTTTCTGTTCTCTGTTTTCTCCCAGCCCAGATGGCCAGCCTATACAGAAACTCCACTTGTTGTCTAAACCAGCAGGACTGGGTTAGGACCTGTGGTTCTGCCAAAAACCCTGCCTAACCCTCTCCTGGAATGTCCCACACTCTCGGCCACTCTTATGTTCCCTCACATCCTTACTACTTCAGCTCTAGAGCATCCCACTTGCCACCTAATATTTGCAGGGTGGCTGTCACTTGCAAAGACTGGCAATAGTGTCTGTCTCCATCACGTTGGAACCCTCTGGCCCTGTTTTCAGATTTCATAAATGCCACCCCTCTGTCTTGATGCTGACCTGGCTGGGCAGCCTTTTAGTGAATGCTATGCTTGGCTCAGAGTCACGCCATCATGAAGTATTTCCCTCCCTTCTGAATTCTGTTTGCAAAATCCTCAGTTGCCAGCAGCTCCCTACAAAGAAAAGCCCTCAATATCATCAGAGGAAAGTAAACCTCTCTAGAATCTTAGTAAATCTTAGTAGGTAGCCAGTATTGCAAAGTGTTTTATTTATTTCTTTCTTTCATTTCTTTTAGAGCACTAAAGTTACTACATGCAACTAATTAATCAGAAAACTTTAGTGACTTTGACTTCATAGGTCATTGCACAAGCCTGCTAATGTTCGAGAAATTCCATTTAACTCTGGATTTGAATGTCACATCTATTTATGTAGCAAAAGGAGTCTAATTCTTTTTTTTTTTTTTTCCTTCTGCCCCAAGAAATGTTCATCTGGGAAACAAGAGCTAGGGAGTACTAGCACCAAAAGGGTTTCTTACTGTTAAAACTTAAGTCAATCTCAAAGTTGGAGTCAAAATTAAAGTGGACTTTGGCAGTTTGATCCAGAAGAGAAAAATCCTGAAGGGAGTGGATGGCCCAGAGATGGCAAGCGGGAGAGGGCTGAGGAGGCGTCAGAAGAGCTCACAGGAAAAGTCACACACAACACATCATTCAGGGAGGTTTTCTCCCTTCCTAACCAACAGAGCTGCACAGGGGAGGGCCCAGATAACGTATGTGACCAGACACAGACATGTGTCCTTTTAACATAGACACACATACACCAGAGGTTAGGCACACATGACACCCTTAAAAGTCAAAATCACTTGTTATTAACAAAGCCCATGCTCACATCTGGGCAAAGGTGAAGGGAAGGGGACGAGATCACACACAGACACACACACACGCACACACTCACCCAAGACACGGATAAACAAGCATGCTGCCTGGAGCTGTCACCTCTCTCTGTAACAGACTGCAGGGGTCTTCTCTTGGGCCTCTCCTGGTGTGTTTCAGGGCTAATTGTTTTCTCAGACCTCTGTTTTTACTTTCAACACAATTCAACACATTAACAGCTCAGCTTAGCCAGGATATGCCAAGACCATGGGGTGGGGGAGGAAGGGAAGTGGTGCCCAGAAGAGGTGCATAGGGTGGGTGAAGAGACAGGGGTGGGCCTGTGGCGATGAGGGAATTGGGGCATGAGCACCAGCACCTTAGAAAACATCTGTGCCTCAAAAAAAGCTTACGGCCAACCTCAGGAATCAAATTCACAAAAAGTCTCAGTGGAAGGTGGCGGCCTCGTGCCGAGGCAAGCTGTTTGTGGGACAGCCCGTGATGATGGCAGATGGGAGGCTCAACAGTTAGGAGAGTTTCTGGCTTTCAGATGAGAATTGACAACAGCCCCTGGCAAACTGACATCATACTAGATTCTTAAAAACCCTGCGGTTTGGCCACCTTCCAACCTACCTGTTCACTTGGACGTTCCAAGGTCACCTGAGTGAGGCACTCCTCAGATGTGGGGTTTTACACTGTTCAACAGCTGATGAATTTCAACACTGTTGCAACTACCTTTCTAGGTAAGTGAGGGAAGTTTTAGGGAAATGAATCAAATTTCCCTTACACTGACTCAAGTGGAAGAATTAGTCCTTTAATTCTGAAGGATGGTTGAAAAATGCTAATGGACATTTATATTAGGAAAATGGAAACAACTTTTATAAAATTCCAGTCAGTTTTCCAAATACTTCCCACTGACGCACCGAGGATGTGTTCTAGTTCTTTCAACATAAAGCACACATTTAGGTAGCCCCCATATAAAGGAACGAGGTACACAGAACCTCACCATTGAAGGACTGGTGGTGCATGGAGACAGTGTGTCTTGAAGATTCATGCTCCAGGAGACACCCAGGTAGCTAAACAGTGTGCTGGGCCCAGTGCCTTGCTGTGGCCTTCCCCACCATCATTCTACCCAGCCAGCAACTGCTCAGTGGCAGAAGACCAACAACATTCTACACACAAGGAATCCGAGGTCTTTCTGGAGAAACAATGCCTGTCCACCGAGGGAGGGGCCTGGGGCCCAGTAACTGAAGGGAGAGGTCAGAATTGAAAGAAATGTTGCAGAATGTCTATCAGGTTTCAGTGAAGATGCCATCTCCTAATGGGCCTACAACCCCCGGAAGGCCCAGCACTTTGTTAGATGCACAGGATGCAGCATGGAGCTCCATCCTCATGCAAAATTTATAACACAATCAATCCATGGCATCTGTTTCCCCAATTGGAAGAGGCTTTTAGTGTATTTAAATGCCAAAGAGAAAGAACTAGTATATACAGAGAGAGGTAGAAGATATGGGAAAGGAAGAGAGATTGGGAAAGAGGCAAGAAGCAAGAATCCAGAGAACAAGTGGAGGGGTTGGTCATGAACAGAGGAAGCAGCCTCTTTCCCTGTCATGGGAGGGTAGGACCCGGCTGCAATTGGGCTTATAGGTTTGGAGTCTGAGGTGCTCACCCACAGCTGCTCACTGTTCAAATTTTGTGTGTAGGCAAGAGCTGGCACATATCACCTAAGTATTTTTGCAAGCACTCAGTCTTTCAGAATTGGAGCTGAACAAGGGGAAAGAGAACAATGGTGAGTAGTCAGGATCCTGAATGGAGCAAGGCTGTATGACAGGAGTCTCTTGTATTTGTATGATGTTTTTGATATTTTTCCAAACTTTTCACTTTGGAGTGCTTAGAGTTAATCAGAGAAGCTGGAAGACACCCTGGAGATGTTACTCATGCAGTGCCCAGAGATGACAGGTCTAGCAGATCCCGGAGGCAGAGCCCTTGGTTCAGCAAAGTCTTTAGGGGCCATGGAGGAGCAATTTCAGCCCAGGTCTGGGTGTGCTGTCTGGTGCTCAGCCAGGAAAGATGACAGCGGAGCTGCTGCATGACACCTATTGTTGTTCTACCTGGAAAATCTCTTAAATGTGAGCATTTAAATTACACCCTCTCTCTGTCAATTTAAAAATGAAACCACCTATACCCAGTTATTTCAAATGAAAGCACCTTATTCTTAGGGTTAGTGACTTTGCTTTTACAATGCTGTGTCTCCAGAGTCTCACACAGCCCCTGGCACATAAGAGTCATACAAGAACTCCTTGAGTAAATGAATGTCTGTAGGACGAGAAAGTACCAAGAATAAAAATGAGAAAATAATTTGGAAATGCATGAAAACCCACTGAAGCAATTTCTACTTCCTCTCCATCCTTGTGGATTAAAAGGTTAATCTGACATTTGAATGAAAGATTTTAAATCCTTAACTTCATTATCCATCCACTGTTAACATCTTGTTTGTAGATCCTTTTAGATTTCTTTTTATATACATATTTTTTTCTTTCTCCCATTTTGCATTAATGGGATCAAACAGCACATCTTTTCTTATGAGCTGTTTTTCTCTTAGCAGTACACTTCAGACATCTTTTCCCAATGTCGATAGATACCATTTGATGTCTAGTTCTAAGTGACAGTAAATGTTGTGGGTAGACATAAGATCACTACCCAAAGGACTATGGGAGAACACTGGCGACATCTGCATTTAAGGGGCAGGCAGAAGAAGAGAGACCCATGAGAGACTCAAAAATGGGCCAAAAAGATGAGGGAGAAGCATGGAGAAGTAGTAACACAGAAGTAAGGAAGGAAGAAGTTTCAAGGAGGAGAAAGTAGCCACTTGCCCAAATGCTGCTGAGGAGTTTGATAAGTCAAGGGCTGAGAGGTATAATTAATTCAGCAAGAGGTGAGTATGTTATGCTTTCCACTTTCCACTGTCTCAACTTCCTCATGCTGTGAAATGAGAAAGGAGATTCTTGTCTGTTTACCTCCGGGGCAGGAGCATTCTTTGGCTTAAAGTGATGTGAACTTTGTGTTTTGGAAAGGTATTGGTTAGGATCACATTTAGCTGCATTTAAGAGAAACCCCAATACAAAAGACTTAACCAAATGGATTTTATTTTGCTCAGCTGAGAAGAAATGTTGAGGCTGGCAGTCAAAGGGTTGTTACAACTGATCAAGGTAGTCAGCAAGGACTCACACCCCTTTAAGCTGCGGATCCACCATTCTTTGAAGATTTCCTCCTTGCGGTTGCAAGGTGGCTGCTCTGCCACCAACCATCATGTTTACATTCCAGTCAGGAAGACAGATCAAAGGAGGATGTGCAAAATGTTCATATTATCTGATTTTTTCCATTTCCATAAGAAACTCTACCCCCTAGACTTTGCTTACACATCATTGGCCACAACTGGGTGGCATGGCTGCTGTCATGTGTCAGAATATCTGGAGATGGGAATATTTTCTCCTGAGCACATTGCCAACCATTTCTTCTGACAGGGAAGAAGGAAACAGACCATAGGGAAGCAACCAGTGGTATCTTCTACGGGGTGATTATATGAGAAAGATTAGGCCTGAGCATAATGGCAGGCAGGCTTCTGAGATTTAATACATCTCTTTGTAAAAGGCAAAAATATTAAAGCAATCCATTTAATTCTAACAGGAAGTAAAGAATAAATCACAATCAGTCCCAGGCTGGTTTTCCTCATAAAGTAGGTCAGTTAGAGGGATCAGTGTCAGCTAAACCTCTGTATTCCAGTCCTTTCAGTTTTAATGACAGGCCCCTTATATTTTAAAAGTAAATTTCACCTTGCAAAAATAGTTGGAAAGATCCAAGCTCAGCAAGTTGCTAGGAGACCTGAGGGACCTCACTGGGTGAGCCATCTGGGGCCTGAATTTCTCTTTCCTGATGACAGATGCGCCTGAAACCTGTTCGGTCTCCAAAGTTGGTTGGAAGTGGGTGGAATTTCAGCTCTGAGCAAACACAGGGAGATTCCCCATCACCAGGCCGCAGCAACTTCTTCAGGGAAGAGCTGCCGCCAGTTCTCTGAGGTAGAAAGAGAAGCCAAACTGCTGAAGTAGAGAAAACGTTTCCCAACCTTCCTTCATCAAGCAGTAACCCAGCTACAGCTGTTCCATTTTCTCCAAGGCTCCTCTGCCCTCATCCTGTTAAAGTTTTCTCCCTAGGGGGCTGGTCTCGAAACAGCATGCTACTAGGGGAAAGGGTCTGTGAGCTGCAGCCCACGATAGCTGAGGCCATCTGCAGATGCCACGATAGATTTGCTTTTCTGCCAAGCCCCCGCCATCTCTCTGCCCCCATCTCCCTGCCCTCCACATTGCTAGAATGATATCTTTGTTAGCTAAATGTGAGCACATGCCAGAAGCTGTTCATCTAAATGAGCAAGTGCTTTCTGGGAATAGGCCTGATGAAAGAGAATCCGAGGAGAGCTCTGTAAGCCCGCCAAGCCCTGGCTGCTGAAAGGAAGGCAGTATTATTTTCAGAGGATGGGGTGTGCCAGGCGGTGGTGAGACACCAGGAAGAGGCAGAGTCGCTTAGCAGGATCTTCATTCTTGCCCTGCTCTCCCGGCCTGGCACCCTCCCACTGAGGACGGGAGATGGCTCTGGGGAAATTCCATTCCATAATTCATTTAAGCAGGATAAACAGAGCTCCTGCTCTGGAAGATCCAGCCCTGAGCAAAAGGCACTTGGAATCGACATGGGGGGCTCGAATGTCCCTGTGAAACATAAACATAAGGAGGCAGGAGACATGAGATGCAGCCGGCTCTGACCCCAAAGAGCCATGGGACCTGAGTAAGTGACTTCGCCTCTCTGTTTTGGTCTCTCGGTAAAGTGATGCTGGGCTTTGTGGATCCCCGAAGGGCTGCAAAGGTTTTTTAGAGTTTCCACAGACATTATTTGATTAAATTTGATTTAAAATTTTTCAACAATGTTAAAAAAATAGGAGATAATCAAAAATGACATGGGCCAAATTTTAACCCACTGAAGACTGCCAATGTGTTCATTATAATGCCGTGTAAACACCTACTTGTGGGTAAACCTTGGAATGAAGTTGTCCTGCCATCTGTTTAATAGAAGAGTATCTGAGGTTGCAAGGAAAGCTATCTTTGAAAAATAGAAAGAAAAAAACAGTTACCATGTGCAACTAGTTATCTGAATAAGGATTTTCTCCGTATTGCACAACGAAGCATTCCAGAAATAAGCAGACCTGACTCCTCTTATCCATCTAACTTCACTTTTTGGGGGTCAACAAAATAGCCTTATTACCTCAGTGACTAGCCTACAATTTACCTTCATTTTAACTTCAAAATGTATTAGCACTAATAAAATACTGCTTTGTCTAATTATCTGTATAACTGTTCTAATATGGTTATATTACTAAAATATTTGAAAATCACTAGAGCAGAGACTGCAAAGGGGCCTCAGCTATCATGAAGGTTCTGGGACCAGGCACATGCTGTGGGTCAGGCAATCACCGAGACAGGAATGCCACATGAAAACGGGAAGCAGTGAGCAAGCAGATTTCATGGGGAGGGGACAGTTCAAGATACCTTCCACATAGCAAGCACTCAATAGCTGTTTGTTCATTGTCAACAAATAGAGCCAACCCTTGGAAGGGGTGTGGTTCTGTTCTAGATTCCTGCACATCCAGGAATTCGTAAAGGAGCAGGGCAAAGACGAGGGTGTAGCATTGGCAAGCAACGAGGAGATCAGACTGGCTGCCTCAAAGTGTTTATGGGAGAGTGGGTACAGTGGGAGAAGAGAATGCAAACTTTGGACTTTCGAGAGTGACCTCTCAGCTGGTAAGCAGCTCTTAATCCTTGCTGCTGATTTCAGAAAATGTTCTGTTTAGGACCACAGGCAGAATTGCTGCCTATTGGCCAGGAGAACCTTGTAACCTGCTGCCAGGGTGTTTGGTTTCATAGAACTGGAAGGAGCATGATACTCTCCCATCACTGCCACTTCATTCCTACAGTGGTAAGTTGAGACAGCAAGTCTCATGCTAGATAGGAATCACCTGGAGAACTTGTTAAAACACAGACTTCTGGACCTTAACTCTCAGAAATCCTGATTCAGTGGGTTTAGCATGAGGCCTGAAAATTTTCATTTCTAACAAGCTCTCAACTGAGACTAATACTGCTAGTCCCTGAACAACATTGAGCACTATCTTAAATATTGATAGGACACTTAATATATCTTGGTCATGGTGCAGGGGGGCTACAGAAGATGGGGAAAAGCTCCTCAATAGAATAACCAGGACAGGGTGTCCTTTTTCACAATTGATGGGTGGCATGGATTAAAGAGAAATCTCAGATCTGAATCCACAGATGGAGGAGGGAAGTCCCATGAACATGGAGCAATAGGGCAGGGTACCCATCTCTGACCCAGCTTCCATATAGTTGTCAGAGAACAACGTGAAGATGAAAAGCAAGTTCAGGTCAAGAGGAAGCCCTAGCAAAATGAGCATGAAAAATGAGAGAGAGTCCAAACATGCTCATACAGCATCCTCAATCTTGGGGCTAGCAGTCCATGGTTATCTGAGCAGTGGGATGAGGCATGTTCTTGAAAGTTCTGTTGTGGGAAGAATGTCCATTTGATGTCAAGAGCGAATCTTGCCCATGGTTACAGATTCAATAATTTGTCTAGTCACAGACCACTCACCCTATTTTCTTTATACTGCTCTTATTTTCACAATGAATACCTTTCTTTGGCAAAAGAGATGCCGGAATATTCCCCTTCCCACATCATTGGTTTAAAAAGTATGTACAGCTTGACAGGATCTCAAAAACAGCTATCATCTTTTGATGTAGTGTCTCTTTGCCAACATGGTGGTAAATGTAGCCATGTTGTTTTCAAATTTGCTGTTAAAATTCTGTTCTAAACCTTTTGAAAGAGACAAACAGATGTCATACAGGGCAGGGTGTTGTGGCTTCAGTTGGGAAAATCATATGACTCACTCCTATAAATGTGTTGAAATACTTTCTTTCTTCCATAATTTAGCCACAAGTGTTAATTAAAGCATCAAATGTGTATTTGGACCTATAAAATCTTCATAACCAGCCAAAGCAAAAGGAAAAGCTATTGAACACTTGGAACTTTAAAAATGCATTTTTGAAATGGCCATATTGGAGTTGAACATTTTCTTTAGCAAAACTAAACTCCAAAAAGGAAAATAGCAACTAAGACGTAAAGCAAATTGCTTTTAAGAATGATCCTGTGGTGGCCAGGCACGGTGGCTCACACCTGTAATCCTAGCACTTTGGGAGGCCGAGGAGGGCGGATCACCTGAGGTCGGGAGTTCATGACCAGCCTGACCAACATGGAGAAACCCCATCTGTACTAAAAATACAAAATTAGCTGGGCGTGGTGGCGCATGCCTGTAATCCCAGCTGCTCAAGAGGCTGAGGCAGGAGAATTGCTTGAACCCGGGAGGCAGAGGTTGCGGTGAGCCGAGATTACACCATTGCACTCCAGCCTGGGCAACAAGAGTGAAACTCCATCTCAAAACAAAAACAAAAACAAAACAAAAAAAAGAATGATCCTGTGGCAAAATTGTTTTACTTTGAAGAACCAGCCTAGAATGTATTTGTAGTGAGTGCTCCATATTTACATATGGTAGAGATGGTCCTCAACTTAAAAATAATTACAAAAGCCCATTTTCAAGTTGGCGTTAAGAACTAAGAATACGTTTTCTCATTTAAAAAGTCATTGAACGTGGTAGAAAAGTGCCAGGATGGACACACACAGGCTCCACAGCCTGTGATTAAGTTGGATAGTGGAGCAAAGGGTGTTCACCTGAGTGAATGAAGCCAGTGTCTCATGAACAGGAATCTGCAGTGGGAAGGAAGACTAGGAAGGGGAACGAAACCTCTTTCCCAGTCTTCCCCCATCCTTTCCTGGATGTCTGAGTGTTGAAAATAGGTTGTTTTATTTATTTATTTTTCAGATAAATACATTTTAAAATATTTCTTCAATTTTTTAAATTTATTTTAGAGACAGAGTCTCACTCTCTTGCCCAGGCTGTAGAGCAGTGATGAGGTCATAGCTCACGGCAGCCTCAAACTCGTGGGTTCAAGCAATCCTGCCTCAGCCTCCCAAGTAGCTGGGACTACAGGTGCATGCTGACCATGCTTGGCTAATTTTTTAATTTTTTGTAGGGATGAGGTCTCACTATGTTGCCCAGGGCCAAATAAGCACATTTTTATTGAGTATCCTATGTGCCACATATTATGCTGGGCCACAGGATGTAATGAGAAAGACTGAAAGATCCTTCCCCTTAAGGAGCAAATAATTTAAGTGGGAA
This sequence comes from Homo sapiens, assembly GCF_000001405.40. NCBI lineage: Eukaryota > Metazoa > Chordata > Mammalia > Primates > Hominidae > Homo > Homo sapiens. The sequence continues at coordinate 73,271,172 of NC_000005.10, read as the reverse complement.
AGAGACAATTTAATAAAGAATTACAAGAAACAAAAAAAAATTAAAAGAGAAAGAATTATGGCCAGGCACGGTAGCTCATGCCTGTAATCCTAGTACTTTGGGAGGCCAAGGTGGGCAGATCACCAGAGATCGGGAATTCAAGACCAGTCTGTCCAACATGGTGAAACCCCATCTCTACTAAAAATACAATAAAAAAGTAGCCAGGTGTGGTGGCACACACCTGTAATCCCAGCTACTTGAGAGGCTGAGGCACGAGAATTGCTTGAACCTGGGAGGTGGAGGTTGCAGTGAGCTGAGATGGCGTCACTGCACTCCAGCCTGGGTGACAGAGTGAGACTCCGTCTCAACAACAACAACAAAAAGAATTACAAGCAAAAGCTTATGAGATTACAGAAGCATCTGACTTATATTTGGTGAATCAAGAAAGGCTCCCTAGAAGAAGCAACATCTAACCTAAGGCTTAAGAGATAATAGCCCAATGAAGGGGTCAGAGGGGCAAGGGGAAAAGGAATGCTTTTCAGGCTGGAAAGCAGCCTGCACAAAGTACCCAGGACATGAGGCATTGGGCTGGTGGGGTAGGGAAACACTGTGATGGGTTCCATTTTGGAGGTGTTGATTGATGTGTCTGTGAGGTGTAGATTGTCCTGTAGACAGTTGGGTACAGGGATGTGCAGCTCAGGAGGGAAGTCTGGGTGGAGAGTACAGACATGGGAGTCATCAGTATGAAGACAGTGGGAGTGGATGGGGATGGGACCCAAGAAGCCAAGAAAATAGAAAGTCAAGAAGTAGGCAGAAGTCACCAGGATCAGGGCTTTGGGGAGGTCACGTAAGCCAAGAATGGAAGTTTTCATTGCATTTCGTCATAACGTCACTGGTGATTTGAGCAAGAGCAGTTTCATAGCAGGAAAACAGGCAGAAGGCAGATGAAGGGGGTTGGAGCTAGAGTGGAAGGTGAGGACCTGGAGAGCACACAAGGCAAACGACTCTTCCAAAACCCTTGCTGAGAGAGGGGGCAATGCCAGAGTGGAGCGGGAGTTTAGGGAGAGGACATTTTTGCTTGTTTGCTTAGATGGCAGAACAGACGGAGGGAGGCAGTAAAGATAAAGCAACTGAAGATATTGGAGGCAAACAGGAAAGAACTAAAGTAAGGTCACCGAGAGAGCAGTAGCAGGTGGGATCCAGTATGGGAGGAGGACTCAGCCCAGATGGAAGGACGGTGGAAAGATGGGTGCTTGCAGGTTGTTTTGGAGAGTTGGTGGAGTTGGGAACAGGAAACTGAGGAAGTTCTTATGGGTTTTCTCTGTGTGAAGGAAGGCAAAGTGTCCTTTAAGAGTGAGGGGGAGAGGGAGGATCCGAGACCTGAGGGGCAAAGAGGACTGCTCTCTCTTCAAACATCTCTGTGTGCAGCTTTCTTCAGCCCCCTAGGGTCAAAGTGCTCCCCGGCTGCCTTAATCTTCAAGCTGTGCCCTTTGGTCCCCACCTACCACCTATCTCCCTTTCTGTATCATCAACATTTCCATATTTCAACCTGGCTGCCTGGGTGTCAGAAGGGAAGTTAGACCAATGTCTCATAACCCTATTGAGGCATTTGTATTTCTGTGGAAACAATCATGTTAACCTAAATAAACCTCTAATTCAAGAGTTTCAACAGAGGAACAGATGGAGTGAATAGTTCTGGGCAGTGGCCAGGATAACTATCTGGAGTCTTCCTTTGGGGGTACCTTTTATCCACACAGTGATCTAAAAGACAAATGCAAATAAAACAGGAAGGTCTGCAGACCTTCAGGTGCAGGGAAGGCACTTTGCAGCCAGCTTCATTATCTAGATAGAACGAGATCTGAGAGCAAAGTTCTGCATGCTCTCCCAGCTCCAGCTGCTCCAGGACCTGGAATGGCCCATCATCTAGAGATTGTGGCTCCTGGAACAACCAATACAGTTAAAGCTCACAGCCAGGGTCAGCCTGGCCTCCTCCATAGCACACTAGCCTCCACTGTGTTAACTCACGTGGTGTAACACACAAGGTGTAAAGCAATGCATCATCCACAACTGGAATGGATCTTGCAGATGGTGTCTACCGATGGTGATGGTAACAATTTGCAATAGGTCAGAACACTTTATTTTATCATCTGTTACTATAGCCTGGGGCACTGGAACTGTTAAAACATGTTTAGACTAAAGTCTTTATACCTATCTATGAGCTTATGCAAAATGTGTGAGACTGTATGTGTGTACTTCCTGTTCCCTTGGGCCTGGAAGTTCAGTAATACACATAGAAACTCTACCTTTAACCACCCTGAACTCTATCAGCTTATGTGCTCAGACTCAGAGGTAAAGATAGTTGCATTTTGAATGAGAAATCATTTTTAAAATATTTTATTGATTTTTATTGTCAAAGAAAAACATCCTCATTGTAGGGAATTTGGAGAATACAAAAAGGCCCCAAAAGAAAATAACTGTGATGTGCAAGCCCAATTCCCAGAAATGACCTATTTGGATCCATTTCATTTTAGTCCTTTACCTCTGTCTGTCTTTCTATCCCTGTCTCTCTCGCTGTCTCTCATTAGGGATCATATCTCTGTGCAATTGTATATCCTGCCTTTTTCACTTAAACCAGGAAATGTAAAAGCAGTATCAGAACCTTTTTATTTCCACATTTTCCTCCTTTATTTCTGTCTGCATCTTTCCTTCCTCCTTTGCCAGTATGCCTTTATTTTGGAGTTTTTCCATTTTTGTCAAAGTTCAATTCAAAATGTAAAACAGTTTATGCTTTTTGAGTTTTATTTCCTCCCTACACTTGTTAAAATAGACTAGTAAAAAGAAAAGTTTTCCAGATTATGATAGATCCGCCTCCAACTGTATAACTGATTCAATTTAGAGTCTTAGGATAATGATCTGCCACCATATGTGGGTTATAACTTGAGGTTTTTATAAAAATGTGTCTTGGATTAACTGACTATGCCACAGTGCCGGGTAGCTGGCTTGTTTCTAAGAAGTAAAATGCCTGACATTTGCTTGATGCCGTCAGTAGAGCTTTCTGATGAAGGCAAATGAAGCAACCAATTAGGGATGTGACTTCAGGTGTGGTCTCCTTCCAATAGAGGTGTTGTGCTCTCTGTCCAAGAAGTTTTCCTACAAGGAGGCATAATGCCTTAGAAAGCAATTATCTTATTTAAGCCTACACTTGTCTGGGGAGCTGAGGTCAGCCACAGAGCCGTTGGAAAGAAGGAGCTGTCTGCCATAGAAAGCACTTTCTTTGGTGGGGGAGAAGGGGTCAGTCTGAACAACTTTGCTTTTGAATTGAGTGACCTTCTGAGCCCACAAGCCTGGTAAGATTAAACGCAGAGCAAACCTCAGGACGCGGTCACCTCCTCTCTCTTCCAATCACTCCCATTTCAAAACAAAAACGGAAATACTTTAAACTTCGCTTTCCATAGCTGATGCCCTCCCCAAAAACTCTGTTACTGCTTCTGCTTGGATTATTTTCATTTCGGTTGTGTTTTTCTGACCGAAGGCCAGGCCCTTGTCTTTGTGTATTTGTAAAGTGCCATGTCTGCTTACTAGTCTTTAGAAATTACAGACAATAACAGGAATGCAAGAGAAACTGGCAGCTAAAGCCTTGCAGCTTTTCTGAACTAACGCTCTGACCAAGAACCAGAATGGAATATTTTTATAAGGCAATATTGAAACATTCTAATCCCAAGAAACTAAATGAAGTCTGCATTAGCGGTATATAAACCAGCACGCCGTGTTGGCACGGGGTCTCTGCTACTCGCATGGTTAGCCGTGATGCCACGTTAACGAGCTGTTGCTTGCAGTCAGTATGAAAGGGAACACATCCTTTCAGTGAGGGAGCCTCAAGACAATTTCATGACAATAATGGCTGAGTTTAGACTTCACGCTGCCCTCTGTCCTTTCTATGCCAGCCTCCTGAAGATCCAGAAGTTCCCTGAGCATGATGGTTTGCATCTTGTGACATGTATCTGGCTGCGCTAAACTTGCAGAATTTAGGAGCCACAGGAAAGAAAGCCCAGTACTGGAGGGACAGCAATGTGAATGTTTGGATTCAGCTGAGAGGCACGACTAGGCCGGGTCAGCTCAGCAAAACGAAACAAAGCAGAGGCAAAGCAGACAAAGCAAAAGAGTTTTATTTCTCTCTCTCCCTCCCTCCCTCCCTCCCTCCCTTCCTTCCTTTGTCCTTTTCTTTCCTTCCTTCGTCCTTTTCTTTCCTTCCTTCTTTCTCTTCCTCTCTCCCTGCCTTGCTTGCAACTGAACTTTGTAGTGAATTGTCTCCTCCTCACTTCCGCTGTAGTCATGACTTCGAAAAGGCAGAAAGAACTTGAAAATAACATTTAAGAGCTTAATATCATGAACACAACCCAATTTAGAAGGTAATTCATATATGAGGTGTGGATTAGACAACAGAATAGACCTTGAAAGAGTCTGTACTAATTGTTCCAGCCCCTAGAATACAGTGATGGCATTAGTACCCATGCAGAAGCAGAATACACCAGCCTAACAAAAATGTGCAAGCTGAGGGTGTTTAAATGGCTACGAAGGCAAGGTCAGTATCACCCCATGGAAAGCATTCCTTCCTCTCGTTACATGGTCCTCCTCAGGGCATGCGCCGAAAGAGGCTGGAACTGTCCTGAAATGAGCTGGCAGCTTCTGGGCAGCTTATATCACCAGGGTGCTAGACCAGGCCCTGTTAAGGCACAACCAGCCCAGGAAACTTTTAGCTGGAAGCATAAGTGTATTGAATTTAATGACCCAGGCAGCAGCAGCAGAGGTCACTGCAACAGAACTCTAAAATGAAATCCTCCCATTGGAACACCGCTCTCTTTTTCTTTAAAAGCAGCCCTGGAAAATCAGAGGCAGAGCCCAGTCAGAACACAGACTTTTTAATTTCATTTTTCATTTTAGGAATCAATAATTGAAATATTTAATGAAATGCAAATCTCACAGAAATCAGGTTTGGAAACTTACAGTTAAATTTTCATCCTAGATTTGTTTCCAAATGTACATTGTTGAGGCAAAGCAGTTAAAATATAAGTTTTAAAACAATTGTTACTATTCTAAGAGGACTTTTTATGAGTACATTGTTCAATGTAGTCACATTTTATTTCTAAAAATAGACAAATAACAAAATGATTCACAGATGTTGATTTACAAGAAAAATAGTGAACTATATAAACTGAAATGTATTTGAAGGAGGGATAGAGGCCCTCATTATAAACCATTCCATAAAAAGAAAGCAATGCCTTCTCCCTGACTTCCCAGGAAATTCCAAATCCCGGCTGGACCCGCAGCACCCGGATATGAGTGCACTCTGGTCCCTGCTTAAGGCCAGTCCTGGGAGCCAGAGCTGCAGACAGTGACAGATGGCATAAGCATCTGGCATCACACCTTGTGACAGGAGTGTACCCTGGTAAGGGTGGATTTTCTGAGATGGCACTTCTCAATAGTTAATCTACATCAGAATTGCCTGGAAAGCTAAAAAAGATGCAGATTCCCAGTCCCCACCCCCTAGAAACTCAGATTCGGTATAACTAGAGTGGATCCTAGAAATCTGCACATTAAATCTGACTTTCAGGTCATTCTGCTACAGACAGAATGTGGACTACAACTTGAGAAACACGCTCCCCCCCCACCCTTGCCCAGGGATACCATTGAAATCATTTACCTACTTTCAGAATCCTGCCTGCCACTGCCAGATAGGGTTCATCCAGTCCATCCTGTGGTTTATATTAATACCTGAGGGCATCTCCAATACCCAAATTTTTGAGAGCCACAAAAAGAATAATTAGAAATGACTGACCTCACGTTTTGACTCTAAACTGTTCACTATACAATTAATGTAAGCATAATTATATACATCAGACTGCTGTTAATAGATGATGTGGTTCTGGAAATACAGCCTAATCCCTGCTGTATTATATTATGTCCAAATATTCCTGCCCCTCCTGGCTTGGCCCCAACCCTAGTAGTCTGTCCTAGGAGATTGAACTTCCTGCCCATTGAAGGTGGGTCAGCCCAGTGACTTGTTTTGTCCGATGAAATGTGAGTGGGAAGTGGGGCTGCTGCTGTGATCAGAAGCTTTAAGGGCCATGCTGTGGTTCTGCCCTCTCTCCTCCCTCTGCCATGAGAACAGTGCGTTCCAGATAGGAACTGCTCCTTTAGTCTTGATCCAAGTGGGGAGACTTGGGGCAGTTGGGAGTTGAGCTACAGCAGTCTGGGGTGAGAAATAAACCTTTGCTGCTGTAAGTTCCTGAGACTGTAGGGTTGTCTGATACTGCAGCCTAACTTAGCAAAACCAGCTGGCTGTTACAGCTTCTCATTAGTACTGGTGAAATACTAGGCTGGGCGTCGCTACGGGAAATGTCTTCGTCCTGGTTCAGTCTGGAATTTTCTTTTGTCATATGAATTCTTTCTGTTCCACACATCAGAATGTGCTTCCTTTTAATGGCATATTTAATATTAACTGCAGAAAATTATGAGTAGTCTTGAAAATGCTCAGAGTTGAAATGTAAAAACTTAACTCATCAGCTGTATCTCTGGAAGTTAATTCTTAATAACATTGAACCTAGAATGTCCCCCTGCCCCACTTCCAGTATACCTTGCAGAGGGACCTGCCACCAATGACTGATTAGCAGGACCGCAATCTGTGTGTGTGGTATTGCAGCTTCTTGTCTGATTTTCTGCTCCAAACATGTGGTAATCTGTCTTACATGTCTCCATAAGGCTATGGCGGTGAGAAAGGGTGTTTACTTGCCGCTATTTTGTGATGGGAGAAAAAAAATTCCCATTTCAGACCATGGTTTTAGTGCTCTACCATGGGCTCCATGATATTTCCTGTGTAACATTATCAAACATTTCTGTGGAACTGCAGTTTTATGGTTTAAAGATCTCATGCCCCCCTCTGTGTTAAGCCAGTGACCATATATCACTGTCAGAACACACCTGTGAGTTCAGATGAGTGGGAGAGAAAGGGGTGGGTCGTAGCCAGTTCACTGAGGATTTCTCATAGGTCACAACCTGTCTTAGCTCCACTGGCAGTATGTGGCCCTTCCTATTAGTCACACCTAGACTTCTACCATGTCAACTCCCAAATTTTCTGTGTTGCCTTGGACTAAGCCCCTGAAGCTAGTTTAAGCACAGAGAAAGGAACTTATTCAAAGATAAAGAAGTTTGCAGCTTGGCCTGGGAAAAATCCTGGAAGCAGAAAGTAGAGAATCAGTGGGAGCCAGCCCAAGCTCTCCCTCTGCAGATCCCTCCCTCCAAGACTCCTTGGTGTCCAAAGACTGGCTTCCCCTGCTCCCCAGGCTCCATGATGGGATGAAGCTGCCCACACCTCCAGAGTCCACATGTGAGAGTTCCAGCCTCAAGCACAGGAGAAAACTGTTAGTCTCAATCCTTGATATCATCAATTTAATAAGTATTTCTTGCACACCTAGTATATTCCAGGCACTGTTACATGCTTGGGATACACAAAGGAATGAAGAAGATCCCTATGGGGTGGGAGGTAAGGGCCAGAATTCTGTTTCATAAACCCATGGTTACCAGGAGCCCAGCCTCATAGTTCTCATCAGAGGCCTCAGTAAGAAGTGTCATCATCAGCTGGGCTAATATCCCAAAAGATGACACACAAACAAAAAGAAAATGGAAAGTGGGAAAATTCTGGCATGGTCTCAAACAGCATTTTCCACTCAGTTCCACCAGTGTATTGCAGGCCTAATGTTATGGCTCTTAATTTGTTCTCATTACTTAGAGCCAGGAGGGTGGCTCATGCTATTACTTTCATTTCACAGAGAAACAAAAACAAAAAGAAGGACAATACAAGAGAAGGAGTTGGATGAAGTCAATGTTGCTTGGGCACCATTCCTTAGAGTCCTTTCAAAACTGATGCCTCTCAAAATATGGTCAAATGGCCACCAGAGTTCATTTCTGGAATGAATCAATGGTTTTCTCACAGCCTTTCTGAAAGCTGTTGTATCCAAGGCAATACTATTCTTGTGACACATTCTAATGAGGTCTATTTGGGAAGAGAAGTGGAAATTGTGGTATTGCATAAGTAGGCCCTGGGCCACTCTTCTAAACTGTATTCTACTCCTTTCAGGCATGCAATAGGCCTCCAGTTGGAGATTTAGAAAGCTATGGTATGCATGGCTATTTTGTAAGTGAAAATACACCTTTGACTTTGACTTTGGTACAGTGAAAACAACCAGGCTCAGAGCAAGGCCTGCCCCAAATGGAGCTGCTCCATGCCTGCTGGGGAGACAGTGCAACAGGGGGCAAACTAAAACCAAGAGTGAGAATAGAAAGCAGGTATTTACCCAACCCTGCCGTAGAAATTGCTAAGAAAATCATGGAGACTCATTTCACTAGAACGTGCTGTGCCTTCACCAAATAGAGGGTGGTTCCATTTAGAGAAAGAAGAAAACAGTTGCAGATGGTAAATGTTAGTCCAATAACGAGTGATAATTGCCAGTCCCACATCCTCGTAGATACGCACTAAACCCAGCAACCCTCAGAATGCATGGGAGCCTCAAAAGGTAACTTCCCAGGCATGAAATGAATGACTTCTATGGAAGGAAGAAGGAAATTTAGTCAAAGAAGATGACTCAAACAAAGACCTGTGGGCAAGAATGAACACAGACTGAGGGGCTGCAGGTTATTTCAAATTCACATTGTGAAGCAGGGAGAGGAGCAATGAGGCTGATAGAGGCAGTGGTATTAGTGTGAGGGTCTTTATTCAGTAAGTGTGAGGAGCCACTAAATGCCCTGATTTAGATTTTGGCTGTTGCTGGGAAACAATTCTCTCTGGGTGTTTCACATTTCTGCACGTGTTGTGAGTGAGGTGCTGTCATTTTGTTCTAGATTGTTTTCAAAGATGTTTGTATAGCAAACGTCCTTGGAAGTTAAAGAGAGTGACTCCCTTTGGAGCAAAGAGGAGGAAGTTTGCTTGCAGCGCAAGAAAAAGGACTCACATTCTCTGACCTGGGCATTTCCCAACTGAGATAGAACTTCATGGTGCTTGTAGCATCCACCTGGGTCACTCGATGAGGCTATGGTTGCCCCTGTGGGATTTAGGGATCAAGGGAAACTGAGATAAACATGAAATTCGTGCCTCATACTATGCTGGGAATTACAAAGTCCTTTATCTCTGACCCAGGAGTTTTATGTCCTCTGTCAGCATCTGCAAAGCTGATAGCATCCAGGCTTGCAAGTCAGGTAAAATCTCAGAGTCTTGGTAGTTCTTGACAGCTGTATATTGGTCCAATAGTCTAGAGGCTGTTGCAATGATTCAAATGACAGATCGTACATTTCTTAACTAGGGCTGTGAAAGTAAGTATAGACAAGAGGCAACAGATTCCAGAAATATTTAGAAAGTAAAATTGACAGAACTTGTGGTGGTTTGGATGGGAGAGTTGGTGAAGGAGAGTGGTCATAGATAATCCCAAGATCTAGTTTGAGTGTTTGAGCCATTGCTGGGCTTCTTACTAAGACAACATTAAAGAAAGAATCTGGCTTGGGAATAGAATAAAGAATTCAGTTTTAAACATGTTGCCTTTGAGGTGCTCTTGGGATATCCAAGAGGGAACGACCGGAAGAGACCTTAACTCTAAGTGTCTGATGCTCAGAGAGAGATGTCAGGACTGCAACCAAGGTTTGGGGGGCCTCAGCATATAGGCGGGTCCATAGCCTATGATGGGCAGCCACCAAGATGGCTCCTAAGGATCCCTGCCTCCTGGTATTCATGCCCTCATGTAGTCCCCACTACATTGAATCAAAGTTGGTCTGTATGATCAATAGAATACTGAAGTGATGTATATGACTGCCAAGGTTAGGTAATAAAAGATGTTGTGGTGTATGCCTTGGTCTCTATCTCGGATTGCTTGCTATGAGGAAACTGGCTGCCATGTGGTGCGGATACCCAAGCAACCTCCTGGAGAGTTCCATGTGGATGAGCCATAGTGGAAGCCAATCCTTTAGTCCCATCAAAGCTTCAGATGTTTGGAGCCTTGGCTGATATCGTGACTGCAACCTCATGAGAGATTCTGAGCCAGAACCACCCACTGTAGCCACTCCCAGATCCCTGACTCTTAGAAAGAGACTGCGTGAGACAATAAATGTTTGTTGTTTTAAGCTAAGTTTTGGGGTAATTTGTCATACAGTAATAGATAATACAGGTGGCAATTATAGTGTGATTACCTTCCACCCCTTCACTCTATGAAGTTGTGGGTGTAGATGATCCACACCCCTCAACTTCATAGAGAAAAGATGCCAACAGGCTGGAACTATCCAGCTCCCACTCCATCACTCCCCATCTGCAAACTTATTAGCCCTACACCTACATTTACTTTCCCTTCAGTCTTAAAGGACTCACCTGTCTGTCTTTGCAACAAAATGACGGTTCCTCACCTTTACTGCGTGTTAGTTTCCTAGGGCTGCTGTAACAAAGCACCACAACCTGGGGTGGCTTCAACTAACAGATGTTGATTCTCTCACAGTTTGGAAGGCTAGTCTGAAATTAAGGCAACAGCAGGGTCATGCTGTCTCTGAGGAATCTAGAAAAGAATCTGTTCCATGCCTTCCTCTTAGCCTCAGTGTTTGCCAGTGATCGTTTGTTCTCCTTGGCTTGCATCTGCATAACCTCAATATCTGCCTTCATCTGCACATGAGATTCTTCCTCTGTATCCAACTCTTCTCTTCTTGTAAGGACAACAGTTGCATTGGATTAAGGCCCCACCCTACTCCAGAATGACCTTGTCTTAATGTACATCTTAATTTAATTACATCTGCAATGACCCTATTTTCAAGTAAGGACACTCTCTGAGGTTCCAGGGATTAGGACTACAATGTATCTTTTTGGGCCTGTAATCCCAGCACTTTGGGAGGTCATGGCAGGAGGATCGCTTGAACCTGGGAGTTCAAGACCAGCCTAGGCAACATAGTGAGACCTCATCTCTACAAAAAAAAATCAAAAAATGAAGCAGGAGAATCACTTGAGCCCAAGAGGTCAAGGCTGCAATGAGCTGTGATTGTGCCGCTATACTTCCATACGGGTGACAGAGCAAGACCTTGCCTCAAAAAAAAGAAGACAATATATATTTGCGGGGGGTGGGGGGCCACAATTAAACCTATAATATACTACAGTGGAGAGTTGGCAGACCCTTCCCCACCCTCAGCTTACTGGCTTCCCTATAGTGGGATTTGACACTATTGATGACATCCCCTCAGAGTTCTTTTCTCCCTTGGCTTTTAGAACACCACCCTTTCAGTTCTCCCACTGACTTAACCATTCCTCAGTCTCCTCAACCGACTCCTCTTCTTCCACCCATCTGCACTCTTGGGTTCCTTGGAGTTCAGTATTTGGCCACCTTTTCTTCTAAAGCTACATCCTGTAATTGAGTAGTCTCAGTCAAACTCATGGCTTTAAAGTGTACCTAAATACCTATGGTTCTCAGGCCTCTATGCTTAGTCCAGGCAATGACCTGAGTCCCAGACCATGTATACAAATGCCTGCTGCACAGAGGAACCTCAGAAACCACGTGTCCCAAACTGACCAAACTCTTGATTGCTCCTCCATACCTGCTGCCCCTCTTGTAATTCTCTTCCTCAGTGAATCTCTCCTTCTCCTAGGTCTCCTAAGTCAAATGTCTGGGATTCATTTTACACCTTTCTATCCCACACCTGAGTCATGTCACTCCTGCCTCCTAAAGAACTCCCAGGTCTGGTCCCCCTGCATTGCCACTTATTTGGTTCAGGCCCTCAGCATCTCTCCTCTCCAGTCTTCCCCACCTCCACCCTCTGTCCCCTACTCAGTCTTCCACACCGCTGTCAGAATCCTCTCCCTACACATGATCCAATCCAGTGCTGTCACGTCCTTGCTGAAACAGCCTTCAATAGCTCTTCATTTCCTTCATGTTAAAATCCAAAATTTTCACCATGGCCTACAAGGCCCTTCACCAGGTCCCAGCCCTGGCTCTCCTCAAAGGCCCACATCACACTAATCCCTTGTCCCTCCTATCACAGTCCAATCTCCCACCCACAGATTTACTTATTTCAAACATGCTGAATTCTCTCATGGCTCTAGGGGCCTCTGACTCCTTCTTTCCCTTTTTCAAGACCTGGCATGTTAGCCGTGAAAATGTACGTCTCAGAGGTACCCTCCTGCTGAGGGTATATAACTGACCAAGAGCCCCAACTGGTATGCTCTGAAATCCATTGCTGTATCTGGGCTAAGGCCATGCTTCCCAAGGGATGCTCTCAGCTATTAACAGAGCCTGGCAGAATATGAAGGCAGGACTTTCCCTAGGAGACACAGAACTTTCTAACAGTCAACTCTGGCTTGAATACTCCTTGAAACCCTTGCTAAACCTTCCTTCTACTAAGGCCAACCTTCCTTTCCTCTCTTCTTTACTCAGGAGCAGACTTGCAAAGTGGTCTGAAGGTCTGAGGTTTCTCTCACACGTAATTTCCCTAATAAAGATGTTTAATTCCACATTGGTGTCAGCTTCTCAAAGGTATCAGACTAAGATACTGAGCTTAAGTGTCTTGAAGTGTCATCCTTTAGGAAACTAGAGAAACAAAAGCAATTTAGGCCAAAGGCAAGAAGAAAATAAATAATAAAACTTAGAGTAGTATCAGTGAAATCTAAAACAGAAAAGCAGGTTAGCCAAGGAAAAAAGAGAGAGGACACAAATTACTGAAATCAGAAATAAAAAAGGAGTGATTAGACCAGGCATGGTGGTTCACGCCTGTAATTCCAGCACTTTGGGAGGCCAAGGTGGGTGGATCACAAGATCAGGAGATCGAGACCATCCTGGCTAACAAGGTGAAACCCCGTCTCTACTAAAAATACAAAAAATTAGCCTGGGATGGTGGCATGTGCCTGTAGTCCCAAATACTCGGGAGGCTGAGGCAGGAAAATCTCTTGAATCCAGGAGATGCAGCGAACCAAGATCCGCCACTGCACTCTAGCCTGGGCGACAGAGTGAGACTCCATCCCCCCAAAAAAAAAAAAAAAAGGAGTGATTACTACTAATCTCATGCTGATCTTGTGGGCATTTAGAGGATAACCAAGGAATACTGCAACAACTCCAGGCCCATACATTTGGTAACTTAAATGAAATCGATCAATTCTTGAAAGATGCAAACTACCAAAGCCCACATAGGGAGAAATAGATAATCTGAATAGGCCCAAATTTATTAGAGACATTGAATCAATAATTAATAATATTCCAAAAAAAAGCACCAGCCCCAGATGGTTTCACCAGTGAATCCTACCAAATAGTTAAGAAAGAAATGATATCAGTTCTCCACAATCTCTTCCAGAAGACAGAAGCAGAGGGAATACATTCTAACTAATTCTATGAGGCCCACCTTATCTTAATACCAAAATCAGACAAAGACACTACAAGAAAGGAAAACAACAGATGAATATCTTTATGACCATAGACGTAAAATTTCTCAACAAAAGATTAGCAATCCAAATCCAACAATATATGAAAAGGATTATACATCATGATCAAGTGAGATTTAATCTAAGTAAACAAGGCTTATTCGATATACAAAAATCAATTGATGTATACAACCACGTCAAGAGGCTAAAGAGAAAATATCACATTGTATTAATAGATGCATAAAAAGCATCTGACAAAATCCAATGCCTATTCATGATAAAAACTCAGCAAACTAGGAATAGAGGGTAACTCCCTCAACTTGAAAAAGAACATTTACAAAAAAAGCCTATGGCTAACATCATGTATAATGGTTAGGAACTAGAAACTTTCCCCCTAAGATCAGGAACAAGGCAAGGATGTTCCCGCTCATTACTCTTTTCAACATTTTACTAGAAGTCCTAGCTAATGCAGTAAGACAAGAAAAAGAAATTATAAGTATACAGATTGGAAAAGAAAAAATAAAACTGTCTTTCCATATGACATGATTATGTACATAGAAAATTCCATAGAATCAATATAAAACTTCTGGAATAAGCCAGTATAACAGCGTTGCAGGACACAAGGTTAAATGCCTCATCTTTCATTATTCCCTGCTTCCTGTGAGGCAGCCTTAGTCACTCCTCCTCAGGCCCTCCAGTGTACTTGCACACACCTCTGTTCCAGCACTGTCTACACTGTGAGGTCATGACTTGCTGGCTTGTCAGTCACCTACACTGTTCTTCCAGATCCTTGAGAAGGAGCAAGCATGGCTCAGACCTCTCTCTGTTCAGGCACCCAACACCTTCCTTAGCACATACAAACCCTGAAGTACTTGTTTAGTGTGTGCTTATGAACAGAGTGTGTTACTCCTAAAGGTCTCCTGGCGAAAAATCTCATTTCACCTGCTGTTTTCCCCACAAAAGCTCTTTTTGCTAAAGAAAAGAGGAAATGCATATGATATCCTCACTTGGGTCACTTCCCTTTTGAGAAATGTTATTTTACTTCAATATTCTGGAATGTCCAAAATCTGTGCTAGGACAATACTTTTTATTTTATTTTATTTTATTTTATTTTATTTTATTTTATTTTATTTTATTTTATTTTATTTTATTTTATTTTACTTTCTGAGACAGGGTCTTGCTTTGTCACCCAGGCTGGAGTGCAGTGGCATGATCCTGGTTCACTGCAGCCTCAACCACCCGGGCTCAAGCAATCTTCCCACCTCAGCTCCTACCCTTCCCACTCCCCAGTAGCTGGAACTACAGGTGCCACCACCACACTTGGCTAATTTTTGTATTTTTTGTAGAGATGGGGTTTCACCGTGTTGCCCAGGCTGGACAATACTTTTTAAAATTGACATATCTAATTATCTTAGGGACAGCAAGCAAACCAGCAGAATTCATCCCCTCAATTTATATATGATGAACAGATGACTTAATATCATATCTGGATTTTAACATTGTCTCAGTCCTATGTCAACAGAATGGTTTTTGATATCATCTCCTGCTGTATGGTAAATTGTTGCCAGGTTCCATACCAGATGAACTGCCAAATGGCCTGAAAAAGAGCAACATGCCACTGCAAATGGCAGGAATAATGAGGATGTGATAACACAGAAGGGGCTCTCAAAGGGAGCTGGAAATGCACCACGGTGAGGTCTGTGGGGAGGTGTGGGACGACGAGAATGGACGTGTAAAGGCGCTACTAACAACTTTGTGCACTGACCCCTGTCCTGCTGGGGGATCTGAGTAGGCAAACCTGTCTATTATACTCACATGAGGCTTTGCCTTTGAAATTTAAGGCTGTGCTGGTAGAGAGGGAAGAGAATGCCTGCAGGAGGATCATTCTTGTGAGAGTAAGCCACTCCATAACAGCTTCACAATCGCCTCTCTGTGATAATTCAGGTCAAAAGGGGAGCGGGTTCATCTCCTTTCCTCCTTCCTAACTCAATCTCACTTTTGTCGTTTTTACCTAGAATCACTTTTTTCAGTGCCTCTATGTAGTCCTTATTAAGCATAGTGGGGAAATGAGTTTTATCACCAAATGTATGGGTAATTTTAAAACAATAGTCAGAAACACATTATTATAAGACATAGTAAGTTGCCCTATATCATCTCTACCTGAGGCTAACTCAACATGCTGGGTAGTATGTTCCTGTGAGGAAGGTCGGGGTGCTGTATTCTCTCTAGTAACCATATGCCCTGGCACAAAGTTGTAAAATTTTTTGGATGGTTAAATATTATTCACTTTTGCCTTATCTGCAATGAAGACTCATCTTCCTTCTGCCAATTAGACCACATCCTAGATACTTCTCTGCACCAGCCATTTATGAACACCGAGAGAATGGAAATTAATTTTATTAACACCTTTCAAAACACAAGGATAATAAACACATTGAACAAAATCTGAGCATTCTCTCCACCTGAATACAAATTTTCATCTTAATCAACCCTCTTGCCTAACATGGCTGGATTTAGATTTCCGTTAGTTGAACTGTCTGTGGCACACTGCTTGCCCTGTTGGCCTGCGTCCTTGAGAGCTGACTAAACCCTTTATTTGTGGGCTTAGACAGAAGTCTGATTTTAGACCCTGGGATAAGATTTGGCCCAATTTAAAAACTGGTTTTAATGAAATCATTGAGTTCTTAGCAGCTTACTCTCTCTTAAAACTCTAATCTGTCACTTTAAAATGTAAAAGGACCTCACATCAAGAAGTCATGGAGGCTCCTGAGAGCCTCATTGAAACGTTCTGTTAGCATCAATTGGGAAGGTCTTGCTAATGGGTCTACACAACACTGATTTATTCAGAGAGTGTCATGTGCTTGAGAGCTGCCTTGGCAAGGAACTGTGCTAAACATAGAGATACACATTCCATGCCCACTGGGCTCACATAAAAGGGAAAAAATACGCAATAGGGGTTTGCCTCAGTGGGGTGAGGCTTGATATTTTCCAGATGGTGACACCACAAGTGAGTTCAATAGAAATATCTTTAGAAAAAGATGCTCAAATATTAAATAAGCAATGAATAGACACAAAGCCACGATCTGCTGCATTTCTTTACATCTGGGCTGGGAGTGTCTCTTGTCCCTAGCTGCAGATGGGGTGGTCTTCTTTGTCAGTGGGAGGCCCCATTGTATTTCCCATTAGGAAGATTATTCTGGCAGGGCAAGTTGTAGAACCTGAATGTTATTCATAAATAGATTCAGGGCTTCTCTTGGGGTGAGAATGGAGGAAAGAGAAGAGAGCAGCAAGGAAGATATTTTTCTTGGATTCAGGAGTCCAGTTCTATGCATTGCATGTAAAAGATCAGGCGTTTTCTTTTCAACCTTGGTAAAGGTCAGTAAACACAACAGTCAGAAGGCAGAAAATGGAGTGGATCAAAATGATGATCATGAAATAGCTTAGAAACAAGCTGGTCAGGACTTCAGACAGCCAGTGATAAGGCAGGAGACCATGGAAAGTGTATTAGTACATTTTCACCCTGCTGATAAAGACATACCTGAGACTGGGAAGAAAAAGAGGTTTAACTGGACTTACAGTTCCACATGTCTGGGAAGGCCTCAGAATCACGGCGGGAGGTGAAAGGCACTTCTTACATGGCAGCAGCAAGAAAAAATGAGGAAGATGCAAAAGCGGAAACCCCTGATAAACCCATCAGATCTCCTGAGACTTATTCACTACCATGAGAACAGTATGGGGGAAACCGCCCCCTTGATTCAAATTATCTCCCACTGGGTACCTCCCACAATATGTGGGAATTATAGGAGTACAATTTAAGATGAAATTTGGGTGGGGACACAGAGCCAAAAAATATCAGAAAGGGAAAACAGAGTCAGCCATGGGAGGCAAGGACAGGCAATGTGGCTGTATCCCACCTGGTGCTTACTAAGTCTATACTTAAGGAAATCAAGGAAGTGATCTGCTTTGCCACCTGTGTGTGTGGGTAGGTGTAGGTATGTACATGTGTTCACGTGTATGTGTGTTGGCAGGTGGAGTTCAGGAGGCCCCAGGAAAGTAGGTGGAAAAGGCCTCAGCCTGTACTTCCCTGGGGCTGTGTTATCCCCCTCCACACTTCTTAAAGGATCACGAGGCCTCTCTTTCAGTTTTTGGCTAAAGTATATAGAATGCTCAAGGCAAAGAAGTACCATCAAAATACTGTTTTTTGGTTGCAGCACTATCAGTGGACGGTTTTGAAGATGTATACTTGTGCAGTGCTATTAGCTATTTCAGCTTAGTGTTCCCAAAGAGCCATGCCAATTTACTGTGTTACTCATCTTCTTCAGCTCAGCCCCATGATGAAACAGTCAAACATCCTCCACAGGGTCTTTCTACCATCATAGACAGATGAATGTTTAGAGACCTACTTAAATGACTTTGCAACCTACTCTCTAGCTTTATTTCCCTAACTTCCCTTAAGATATGAATTACCTGGGGTACCTTGTCAACCACAAGTTGCCAAGCTTCAACCATAATCCGCTGAAACAGCATTATCTGGAAGAGAGGTGTGGTGATCTACACCTTTAACAAATGCTCCAGGTCATACTTATGGTCAGGGTTCAAACTTGTCTATGCCCCAGTTTAGTGCTTTCATAGTCCAGTAGTTCAGTTGTTGTTGTTGTGGGATGGAGCTGGGACATGGATGAGTTTTCAGAGTTCCTCAGGTGATTCTAAGAAGCAGTCAGGGGCCACTGTGGCATACAGCACTTTGTCATGTTCCCCTTGTGGGCTTTGCAGTCAGACTATCTGTGTTTAAATCCGGCTCTGCTATTGCTTGCTACCTGTGCAACTCCAGGCAATTTCTCTAACTTTTCTAAGCCTCAGTTTCCTCAGTTCTAAAATAGGAACCACAATATGACCTGCCTCCTAAGATTATTTTGAGGATTAGAGAGCTAATTGTGTAAAATAGGCTGGCATGTTGCGAGCACTCGGTAGATTTTTTGCTGTCATTATTAATTTCACACATGCCTCTGTGTTAAGAACTGGGGTCACGAAGATGAGTAAGATGCAGCTCCTGGGCCCTGAGAGAGTTTGCCATCTCTCGGGAGAGAAAGACCAATGCAAACTCATGTCTAATCCAGGCTGTAGGAGCAATAGGAACAAACTGTTCTGAGCTTAGTAGAGATGGTGAGTTGTCTCCAGTGGGAAAAAGTGGAACTAGGGACATGAAAGGCAGGTGACTTTTGAGCTGAAGCTTGAAGAATGGCAGGTGGACAAACCCTGTAGGGGGAACAAACTGCAAGCAGAGGGAGTTCATGGTGTCACCAACAGACAGTATTTCAGAGTGGCTGTGTTTAGTGTTTGCGAAATGAGCCTTAAAGGCAGATTGGGATCAAATTCTGAAGACCTATGAAGGCAATATGGAGGGTTTTAGTCATGTGACAATGGGGGCCAACCACCAGAAGGTTGGTAAGTGAGACAATTGGATCTCTAACTTAGAGCAATAATCCTGACAGTAGCATGCAAGACAGGGATGCAGAATGGAGATGCGGGACACAGGGGTGAAGACTGGACCAGACATTTCATTCATTCATTCATTCAGCAAATACTTTTTAGGCACCTACTAATGACAGACAGTTGATGCTGAGCTGCAAGAGCGAACAGGACAAAGTCACTGCCCACATAGTTAGAAGGCAGTTGCAATAGACCAGGTGAGTGAGTAGGAAGCCTGAGCAGACCAGCAGCCGCAGGACAGGAGAGGAGAGGTGGAACAGGAGAGAGATCATGCAGGTCCAACCAACAGACATGGGGACAAATATCCAGATAAGACTAATACCTCAGGCAAAGAGGAAAATTGTATGGGACCGCAGGCACCAAAGGGGTGTGTATCGGAGAGACCACATGTGCCAACCACTCTGCCTTCTCTCACTTCTCTCAATCTCTTGGTGTCTCCAAGCTCCTTCCTGTGAAAGGGTCTTTGTGCATGTCATTTCTTCTATTTTTAAATTTGTTCATGATTGGCTCTTTCTCATCCTCGAGAGGCCTTTCTTGACCAACCCATCTAAGTAGGATTCTCATTGACCCCTACCATCACAAACTGTCCTGCTTATACTTTTCATAGTGTCCATTTGTGAGTGTACTCCCTTCCCACCAATATAAGTCCATGCAAGTAAGAGATATGCCATTAGCTCATTGCCGTATCCCTGGCACCTTGCACAGTATCTAGCCATAGCAGGCAGCCAGTAAATATGTATCGAATAAATAAAACTCTATTTCAGGCATCACTTGTCTAAAGCAGAGGAGGAGACTGCCCTGCTGGAGTGTGACATTCAAGACTTGGGCCCATGACTTGGCAGTGGCATGTTGAGGACGTTGAACCCTGATCTGGGCAGAACGTACTGATTGGCCCACAAGATTGCAGGTGAAAGAGACACATGGAAAATGCTAACAGAAAATGACAAATTGCGAGTTGGGCATTTATAAACCATAAAACATAAGGAAAAGTGTGCTGTATACTCATTTCCTCCATCCTGCCTATTCCTCCATGTATCCCTATGTTGCCCCATAGACCTCTGAAGTCTGGGTGACTTGGTAGTGATACCGAAGAGGTGGGGAACTATTTGGTAGCCTGTATTTGCCATTTGGTGTATGGAGTTGTCTTAGTCTGGAATCACTTGGGTTGTAAGTGAGAGAAACCCACCTAGAGAGCTGAATACAATGGATAACAAGCAATCTCACAGGCATCCAGGGCCAGAAAGCCAGTGACATCTGGCTACAGGGACCTGAACTGGGGCTCTTTCTCTGTTCTCCCATTTCTCTGCACAGAGCAGTTTCTCCTGCTTCCCGTGGTCTACCCCTCATGACTTCAACTTGCTTATGGACTGACTCCAACCCTGACTCTGTATGACCTTTATTTGGTCCATCACCATCCATCAGCCGGCTGACTCAGTCTCTCTTTCTCCAAACATAAATGCTCTGGGGAGGAAGATTAGCTCAGCTGGTCTATAAATGGGCTCCCCCCTGGGGCAGGTGTTTGTTCTTGGTCCAATCATCTCAGGCCAGATCTCTGAGTAAAAGAGGCAGCTGGGACTGGGGACAGGGAAGTTAAGGGAAGTAGACCAAATAAAACAAAATTCCCTTGAATGTAACTTTTGCACTACCCCACCGCTAGTTGTACAGTTTAAAGAGCCTCAATGATGTGAGAGGGAGAGAGTCAAAATAGCATTACCATCATTTAACAACAGTTTCTAATATTACCCAGACCTTAATAAGACCAATGAAGTCTTAGTTAAAAATAGTAACTAAAGTTTACTAAAGCAATATAATATTCTCTGTTATTTAAGCAAATCCCATTCAAACCTTCTAGAGCTTCTTTAAGATTATTTATCCTAAAATAGCTTTAAACTCCCTGAATGACTCAAATGGAACAGATCAAGTAGCATTTCATGTGCCTTAAATATGACATGAATTCTAAGTGATTCTTATGTTTAAGCTTTTTAAGTGAAATATATTGCATGTTATATGCGTTTGTTCAGTATGCATGTAGATCATACAGTTTTGTAGAGTTAACCAAAACTCTAATGATGAATTGTAGTCCAGAGTTTCTATAAGTCTGCTTCTTAAAAATTGCCTTGGAAAAGAATGGCTGAAGTCACCTATTAAATTAAATCATAAAGATACCACAGAGTTCAATTAAGATACAAAGTTTAGGGATATCATAATTTCTGCTCCCTTAACGATACACCCACAAGAAAAATAAAACATTACTGAGGTGGATAGTTTGTCTGGAAGACTAGAAGTTACAATGTTAATATAGTTTGCCTGACCCAAAGTGAAACCCGGTTCTCATGCACTTCCATGAGCATGAACGGTGATGGAATGTCCTGAACAGCAAATGGCACTCTCATCACTAATCAAGTCCTGGAATCTCACCATCAATAGCCATTCTACCATCTTGAAACAGATCCTACTAGTAACCCAATGCTCCTGGAAGAAGGAAGTAAATTAAGCAGAGAGAACAGCGTGGCTGGAGTTACACAGGAGGTTTGAATCTCAGCTTTGCTGATTGCTGGTTGTATTCTCGAATAAGCTACTTAACTCTAGTTTTCTTATTTGTAAAATGGGATAACAATATCCACCCCGTAGGTTTGTGGTGATTGAAAGGAATTTTATATATTAAAAAGCACCTGTACATAGTAGGCACTCAATAAATGGTAGTTATTACTACTATGAAAGAAAAAAACAAAGGTAGGTCCTTTAAGGTTCCAACACTATTTACATTAAAACCCTCTGGATTATGGTTTCTGTGTGGTTCCCAGGTGGCTATATGTCTGTGCCAAACCTCTTCTAATCCCAATCCATGTCCTGTAAGCACAGCACCTTCCCTCTTGCCTCCAAGAGTTCATTTATACCATGTGAGCCACTTGATCCAAATGCCTCTCTACCTGCCCACCTATCATCTTCTGAGACACAGCCCAAGCCACACATGCAGTGGTGGGCTAGGAAACCAGCTCCCCAGAACAAGCCCAGATCTGCAGAGTTTGCTGATTGCCATGATGTAAATATTCCCACCACGGCTGACTTCAAGCTACCAAAGATTTAACAATTGGCTAACAAAATTCCTGATTATTCTCCCTAAGTGTGAGAAGTCACTTAATGACTTCCTTCCAAAGAGTACAGTGTGGAAACACAGGGAATAAAAAGTAAATTTACAGTGAGGAAACCTAACAGATACTACCTCAGCCAGGTGATCAAGATTAACACCAACAGTGGTAAGTCATGTTGGTAGTGTGTATCCTAACATGATGAGATGACAATGGCACTTTACCTCTGAGGTCTTCCTCCCCAGAAACATATAACCCTAGTCTAACTGTATTAATCTGTTTTCACACTGCTATAAGGAACTGCCTGAGACTGGGTAATTTATAAAGGAAAGAAATTTAATTGATTCACAGTTCAGCATGGCTGCAGAAGCCTCAGGAAACACAATCATGGCAGAAGGCAAAGGAGAAGCAAGCCACCTTCTTCATAAGGCGCAGAAAGAAGTGCTGAGTGAAGGAGGAAGAGCCCCTTATAAAACCATCAAGTCACTGGGCGCAGCAGCTCAGGCCTGGAATCCCTACACTTTGGGAGGCCAAGGCGGATTGATCACCTGATGTCAGGAGTTCAAGACCAGCGTGGCCAACCTGGTGAAACTCCGTCTCTACTAAAAATACAAAATTTAGCTGTAGCAGGTGCCTGCAATCCCAGCTACTCAGGAGGCTGAGGCAGGAGAATCACTTAAACCCTGGAGGCAGAGGTTATAGTGAGCCAAGATCGCACCACTGCACTCCAACCTAGGTGACAGAGTGAGACTCCGTCTCAAAAAAAAGAAAAGAAAAGAGAAGAAAAGAAAAGACCATCAGATCTTGTGAGAGCTCACTATCGTGAGAAGAGCATGGGGGAACTGTCCCCATGATCCAATCACTTCCTATTGGATCCCTCCCACAACATGTGGGGATAATGGGGATTATAATTCAAGTTGAGATTTGGGTGGGGACACAACCAAACATATCACTAACCATGAGAAAAACATACAAATCTCAATTGAGGGGAATTCTACAAAATACTAACTAATATGCCTGGAAACTGTCAAGGTCATCAAAAACAATTTAAGTCTGAGAAACAGTCACAGCCAAGAGGAGCCGAAGGAGAAATGACAACTAAATGTAATGTGCTACCCTGGATGGAGTCCTGGAACAGAAAAAGGGCACTAGGAAAAACTAGGAAATAAAGTATACTGAATAAAATTTACTATGGACTTTAGTTAATAATAATGTTAATAATAATGTATCGTGGGTTCATTCATTGTAGCAAATATATCACACTAATGTGAGTTATTAATCATAAGGGAAACTGGATGCAAAGCATATGGGAACTACAGCCATTTTTCTGTAAATCTAAAACTGTTCTAAAATTTTAAATGTATGTTAAAAATATTCTGAATATGGCCGGGCACAGTGGCTCACTCCTGTAATCCCAGCACTTTGGGAGGCTGAGGCAGGTGGATCACGAGGTCAGAAGTTCGAGAACAGTCTGGCCAACATAGTGAAACCCCATCTCTACTAAAAATACCAAAAATTAGCCGGGTGTGGTGGTGTGCGCCTGTAATCCCAGCTACTCATGAGGCTGAGGCAGGAGAATCACGTGAACCCGGGAGGCGGAGGTTGCAGTGAGCTGAGATCGCGCTATTGGACTCCAGCCCAGGCGACAGTGTGAGACTCTGTCTCAAAAAAAAAAAAAAAAAAAAAAATATATATATATATATATATATATATATATAAATCTGTCCATCTCTCTGGGGTGCACGGCCCTGGAGAGCATAGTGCAAGCTCTCCTCACCCGTGCATCCCCAAAGCTCCTTACAACGCGGGCACAGAGTAAATGCCATAGTGTTGAACCCGTGCTCTGAACTAAAAGATACTGGGGAGTAATTCGCCAAGAACATTCAGCTTAACTCTCTTTTCTCCTCTTCCCGTCTGGTTTCTGGTCAAATACAGGAGATTCCAGCATAGGAACTTAGAGCATGGCTTCTAGCTGAAATGCCTAGTGCCTGGTGAAAGCCCTGCCTTGTTGCTTTCCAGCTCTGCAGTCCTGTGCTAGTTGTGTAATTTCCCTGGACCTCAGTCCCTTTATCTGTAAAATGGGAGTGATCATGCTATCTTCATCACAGGTTTTTGGGAAGACCAAATGAATGAATCCACATAAAGTTATTGGTGTAGTGTCTGGCCCATGGCACAGCCTCTGGGAGAGTTGGCTCTTACTATCCCATCCATTGTTCCTCACTTGAGCTGCAAGGGTTTCTCAAGTGAAGCACTGCATTGAGTTCTTGGCTCAGCTTCAGCGCACCTAAGATCTTCCTTACTCACCCTCTGGTATCCTGAATCCTCCTATTAAATCCATATATACATTCTGGCCATTCTCTTTTAGACATCTTTGAACCTGCAAACCGCTAACTTCTCTTTTATTTTAGCTTGAAATCACCACTAGGAATGAACTGGTGAGAACTGTCACACAAACATGCCTCCGTTTACTCAGGAACCCAAATATTTAGATTCTATAAGGAAGTGCAACTTTTTCTTTGCTCTCTCTCTCTTTAGCCACCTGGGAGGAGCTGGAGGACAAAGGACTTCACAGAAGAATGGAGTCCCAAAGAAACAGCTTCAGGAACTGAGGAGAGCCAGAAATTTAATGTATTTAGGGCTCCCTTGTGAAAACACAAAAACAAAAATAAAAATGCCTCCCGCTGCCTCGACATCTCTATTCCACTGATGCCCGACCATTCTTTTGAAAAACAAACGGAAAAAGTGAAGTGTTGATGACAGTCACTGGGGGGTTAGAGTAAGGCCCTGTTGTGGAAGAGGCCTGCTGTTTCACAAAAGACGAGCTTTGTCTTGACTGACATGTCCTTAAAAACAAAACCACAAGTAAACTCTGGGATGTGTGTGTGTGTGTGTGTGTGTGTGTGTGCGCGCGCGCGCACGCGCATGTGCATGCTGATACCCGCTAATGGGTGAATTGGGGGTGGGGCTCGGCACAGTCTGGATTTGATTTGCAGGATTATGAATTTTCTTGAATGTTTTGGGAAAAGTTTGAGGATTTGGTGGATATTTGAGAATTAGAAGTTTTATTTGAGGAGCATTTAAGTACTGAGTTGGTTATCTGGTAAACATCTAGACTCTGTCCTTAGCTACTTTCACGAGTCTCCTTTCTTTCCAGAAAGTTTGAAGTTCTTTAAAAGAAATATTTGTTCCTGAGATTCAAGGGTGGTGATGAGTGTGGTCTTAACTGTAAAGGAAAGAAAAAAGTGAAAAATCTCAAACATTGCTTGAAATTTTTACACTAGATAGTCATATATTCCACTCTGAAAATATAAGATTCTATATCTTGTATATACATTTAAAACATCATACTAATTTCTGGAGTACATGAGACAATGTTTTTTCTTGTAAAAAACTTTTAAAACTAATTTAATAGATATGATTTGTGTCTCATTTTAATCTTCTTTGATTACTAAGGAGGCTATACATTTTTCTATATTTCCTTTCCTATAAATTGTTTAGTCATGTTGTTTTTACATACATATTTTGGAATTTTAGGAGTTCTTCCTTAGCAACTTGTAAGTCCTGTTTTTTTAATTGCAGAATATTTCAGACATATGGAAAAGTAACAGATATATTTAAAGCTCCCTTTGTAACCTTCCCAGTTACCATTTCCTACCCTCTCCTCCAGAGGTAATTTACCACTTACAGTTGCTTTACATCTTTCCCTTCCACATTTTAATAGTTTTAGTCCTTGGTCATCTCTCTCTATATTTCTCTCTCTCTTTTTCTCACACACTCATAAACATACACACACATTCATTAGTTTTTAAACTTTATGTGACTGATAATATGCTAAACTTAGCATCCTGCAACTTGCTTTTTAAAAACTCATTTTGACAGATTTTAAGATCCATTTTATTCATTTCAATGGCTAAATAAATTCCGCTGTATGAATATAACATAAATTATTTTTCCACTCTGAGGGAATCCATTATGTAATTACATATATTCACTCTATTTCTGGTTGGTGTGTGTGTATATGTGCACACATACTATAAATATATTTCCCTATGTCTTCTTATTTTATTTTTGTACAGAAGTGTAAAGTTTTTTATAGAGTTAAGTCTGTTAATTGTTCTCTGTGATTTCTTCTGTTGCTTCAAAGCATATAATGTGTTTACTCCGCCAAAGAGCTAACAAATATTCATTCATATTTTCTTGTACTTTTTCTGAGATGCAAGAGTGGTGATGAGTGTTGGCACTTTGGGAGGCCGAGGCGGGCGGATCACTAGGTTAGGAGTTCAAGACCAGCCTGACCAACATGGTGAAACCCCATCTCTACTAAAGATACAAAATTTAGCTGGGCATGGTGGCACACGACTGTAATCCCAGCTACTCAGGAGGCTGAGGCAGGAGAATCGCTTGAACCGGGGAGGTGGAGGTTGCAGTGAGGTGAGATCGCGCCATTGCACTCCAGCCTGGACAACAGAGCAAGACTCCATCTCAAAATAAAAACAGAAAAGAGAACGACAAGTGAAAAATTTCAAACATCACTGAAAATTTTTACACTAGGTAGTCATACATTCCACTCCAAAAATGTCAGATTCTATATGTCATATACATATTTTAAAACGTCATAGTAATTTCTGGATTATATTGGACAATGCTTTTTCTTATAACTTTTTTTATTAACTTAATAGATGTGATTGAGATTTTTCTTTCTAAAGAATTAAACTTTTTAATTTAATTATTTAGCTACTCTTAAAATTGTGGGTTGGGTAGAAACACACACATAAATCCTCTTCCTCCATATGCTATCCTAACAGGGTTTATTCAATTATATATTCCTTGGTTATAATTTCTTTATCACAAATTACATTTTGCATTGTTATATATGATAAATTTATTTTTGGACTTTCTATTCTGTTTCATTGATATCTATGTTACTTCAGTATTTGGATCCTATTTTAATTATTGTTGTTTAGAAAACATTTTTAGAGCTGATAGTCCCCGTAATTTCTCTTATTCAAAATTTTATTTGATATTCATACTCACTTATATTTCTTATCAATGTTATTAAAGTTTTATAGCATTTCAGGGAAAATTGTGTTGAATTTTTCAATTGGGATTGTGTTAAAACTACACATTAATTTGGGGAGAGTTTACATTTGACTCTGTTTACCCTTCATGCCAAAACAGTTTCCAGTTGTCTTCTTTGTCTTTTCTTTATATACAGTCATCTACCAAAAAGGATGTTTTGATTGATTATTTGAAATATTTATTCATTTCATTTTTATTTCTTATCTTGTACTACCCAAAATTTCCAAAATAATATTAATGTTATTGAGGCCAACGTTGTTCTGGATTTTTCAAATGAATGCGACAAACGTATCTTTGTATAATTTTGGATACTGGCTTACGGAAGTATCCTTCTTTTTTTTTTTTTGTTTTGAGATGGAATCTTGCTCTGTCACCCAGGCTGGAGTGCAGTGGCATGATCTCGGCTCACCTGCAACCTCCGCCTCCCAGGTTCAAGCCATTCTCCTGCCTCAGCCTCCTGAGTAGCTGGGATTACAGGCAGGTGTCACCACACCTGGCTAATTTTTGTATTTTTAGTAGAAATGGGGTTTCACCATGTTGGCCAGGCTGGTCTCAAACTCCTGACCTCAGGTGATCCGCCTGCCTCGGTGTCCCAAAGTGCTGGGATTACAGGCGTGAGCCACTGCGCCCAGCCGGAAGTATCCTTGTTTTCTGTCATCCTATAATGTTTTTATTTGAGCATCTATGAAAATGATCATATTCTCTCTTAGTGACTCTTATTAATACACATTTACGTTACTGTATTTAATACATTTCTCTAAATTTTAAGACCCCTGAATTTTTAGATCAATATATTTTATGTAATTGTTCTTTGTATTCAATATATAATGTTCAATTCTGTTTCTCTGATTTTTGCATTTTTGAAATGCCTGTAGTTCTTGTTTATTTATATTGATTGGGTTTGGTATCAGAATAGTGTTTGCTTTATACAATAATCTGTGTAGCTTTGCAGGTGTGTAGAGGGACATCAGTCAGCGTGACAGCTGCAGCTTCCTTCTGCCGAAGTAACCTATCTTACTGGTGAGTTTGGGATAGAACAGGCCCTGCCTCCTTGCCTCCTCCTGGGAACCAGCCTGCCCACAGAGAACATGCTTTCTGAGCTATAACTCTCACCATACATTTCACAGGGGCAACCTCCATGTGGAGACACATGGTGATTCAGTGCTGCCTGGGAAGAGGGTGTGGGTAATTCAAACTCTAGGGTTTGGTGTTGAAAGATCTATGGTTGTCACTCATCTAAGCCACACCCTCAAATCCAGTATTTATTACTGATAAAGCTGTTCTTTTTATTTCCATCTATCTAATTTCCTTGCCTATCTCTTAATTAACTCTGACTTTCAGTGGAGGAAAAGGGGTGTTACATATTAGTCGTTCAAACTCCAATAGTCTAACATGTTTAAAAGGATTTCCAGAAAGAGAAAATAAAATGGATGAAGGAAAAGCAATATTCTAAAGATAATGTGGCGAAGGTTGCACAACTCTGTGAATATACTAAAACTTTAAATGGTTGAATACTTTCAATGGTTGAATTTTATGGAATGTAAAATACATCTCAATAAAGAGATTTTTAAAAATAGCTAGAAACTTTTCAGAGGTAATGCAAATTACTGATTTTTTCAGAAATTACAATATAAATCAAAATGAAGTCATCCCTAGGTGTATCATAGTGAAAGAGAAAAACCCTTGAGATACAGAAAAGATCTTAAAAGCTACCAGAAAGAAAGACAGATAATCTATTTTTAAGGGTGATTAGTTTAGCAGACTTCTCAGCAGCAAAATAGAAGCTAAAAGACAATGGAATCATATATGCAAAGTGCTGGCAACCAGAGCCCTACCACCAGCTAAACCATCAGGTCAAAAGTCAGGGTGAAATAAATATCTTCTCAAAGTTGGAGATAATTTATCATTATTTCACCTTCACTGAATAAATCCAAAGAAAGCAGAAAGGAGGAAATAAAACAAGAGGAGAAATAGATGAAAGAAATAGAAAGTCAAACTTAAAAAGAATTATCAAAGCTAAGAATAGGTTTTTAGAAAAAAAATAGTTTTAAGACTTAAGATTAACCTAAGAAGAAGAAAATGTACAAATACAGAAAAATTGTGAATTAAAAGGGGTATACATAAAGGTAAAGAAAATATTTTTAAATTGCATGATAATCTTTAACAAGTTTATGCCACTAAATTTGAAAGCTACAAGGAAAGGGTCATTAACCCCTGAAAAATATAAATTTTCCAAGCTATAGGTGAAACTAAATACCTGAATAGCTTATTAACTATTAAAAAACAATATCATTGGTTTAAAAACTTCCAATCATTCAAGGAACCGGTAACCCAACTATTACACAAACTGTTCCAAAAATAAGAGAAAATGTCCCGTTATTTTCTCTATGGACTCTTGAGCTCACTCTCACTTCTTGGCTATTTTAGCCCCCTCCTCACTATCACTCTTTCCAGTATTACTCCTCTCTTAATTCTCGGTGATTCCAACATACACTCAGCAACCCTTCCAGTAGCCTAAACCTTCAGTGCCTTAAGCTCCTCTCCTCCAATGATGTTATCTTCCACCCCATCTCAGCCACTCACTTCCATAACTGGCACCCTCCTCAACTTCAATTTCATGTATCCGCTCACTGACCACCACCTCCTCTTATCTTTCCAGCTCATTATTTCAGCACTCTGTATTTAATAAACCCTTTGACCTACCATTCCCTTCCATTCCCTTCCTCCTACCACCTTTTCAGCACCCATCATGCCCTGATGTTCTATCTTGACAGTGATCCCAGCTGAAAGTCCTCAGTACTCCTGCCCCTCTTTCCCTTAGTTATACTTACTCGGCCAAACTATGGTCCTATTTAATTCAACTTTCCATCTAACCTGAGCCTACAGAAGAAAAACATGCCATCAATCTAATGGACTCATCTTAAATTCAGAATCACAAACCTCAAGTGAGCCCTTAATGCTCTAACGGGCTCATTTTAAATTCAGGATCACAAACCTCAAGTGAGCCCTAATGCTCCCTGGCAGACGTACTGTATTTCCTAATCCATTTATCTCCTACTGTCCTACTTTTTATTTATTTTCACATTTTTGATACCGCTCCCCACATTCTCACTCATGGAAAACCTTGCTTCCCATCACACTGAGGAAACTGGAGCAATCAGAAGAGAATTTAATAAATTCCTACCACCACCTCTGCCCTCCTCCTAGCCGATGGGCCTCCATGTTGTCTTCTTAGCAGCTACTCCAAGTGAATGAGCCACTCATGCTCCCATCTGAACTCAATCTCCCCACTTTGGTGGAACTAGATATTATTTCCTATTACTTATGTGGAACTAGATATTATTTCCTTTTACCTATCTCAGGGCTAGTAAAGGACAGCTCTCCAGCAATTTCTCTCTCTGTCCCTCTGTCTCTCTCTCTCTCTGGTATCATTAACTTTCCCATTCTACTGGATGGGAAATTTCCAAATTTCCATTAGCACATAAACATATGGTTGTTTCTGCTATCTTAAAAAAAAATTTCTCCTGTCCCCATGTCTCCCACCAGCTCTACCAAATTTCTCTGCTCACCTTTGTGTGAAAAATCCTTCAAAGTGTGGTCTGCACTCACTTCAATCCTTTCCTCCCACTCTCTGTGAAATAAAGATTCCCATCAGGTGTTCATTCTACAACACCCCACTGAAATCCCCTCTTCTTCAAGTTTTCCACATTGCTAATTTCATGAACTTGTACCTGCTCTCTTAGCAGCATTTAAACATAGTCAACTATTCCCTTATCCTTGATACCCTTTCTTCACTTGGCTGCCAGGACACTGCACTCTCCTGGTTTCCTCTTACCTCACTATGCAGTCCTCAGTCTCCTTAGCTAGTTCGTCATCTCCTCCCTGACTTCTCAATGTTGGGGAGCCACCAGCACTCAGCTCTTCATCCTCTTCTCTATCCATACTCTTTCTTTTGTTGTTATCACTTAGTCACATGGCTTTACCTCTTACCAATATGCAACAATTGCCAAATTTCTTTCTTTTATTATTTTCTTTTTCTTTTTCTTTTTTTTTTAGACAGGATCTCATTCTGTCATCAAGCTAGAGTGCAGAGCAGCAATCTCGGCTCACTGCAGCATCAACCTCCTGGGCTCAAGTGATCGTCCCACCTCAGTCTCCCGGGTAGCTGGAATCACAGGTGCATGCCACCATGTCCAGCTAATTTTTGTATTTTTTGTAGAGATAGGGTTTCACCATGTTGCCCAGGCTGGTCTCGAACTCCTGAGCTCAAGCGATCTGCCCACCTCATTCTCCCAAAGTGCTGGGATTACAGGTATGAACCACCGTGCCTGGCCCAATTGCCAAATTTCTGTTTCCAGCCCGTACCTCTTTGCTGTGCCCCATACTCATGTATCCAACTGCCTGATAGAAATCTCCACTTGGATAGTCAGTTGCAACCTGAAACTTAACCTGTCCAAAACTGAAGTACTAATCTTTCCCCACATATGCCAACCTAGTTCTCCCCAGCCCAAATGATCACAGTGTATTTCTAGTAGCTCAACTCCAAAGCCTTATAATCTAAAGCTTTCTTTCTCCTATACTCCTCATCCAATCCATCAGGAAATTCTGTTGGCTTCATCTTCAAGGTATGTCTAAAATCTGACCACTTATCCTCACAGTTATGCCACTTATCAGCCTAATTGAAAACAAACTACTTAAATGAAGATGGCTTTGTAGTATAATTTATTTCTCTGGTCTTGTAAACCAGGAATAGAGGATCACCTCTCCAGGACAGCCTCAGGGAAAAAGCATCCCACTTCACTTCTGCCGCTAGCGCCCGGGACTAGGCTTCTATCTCTTCCCTGCAGTTCTGCAGTAGCCTTCCTGGCTGGTCTCCATTCTTACCCTTCTGCAATCAGAAGTCCTTCAAAAAGCTGGTTGTGTCATGCTTTTCCTCTACTGAAACCTTCACAGGCCCATGAGGCAGAAGGTGTATACCACCCACATTCCCTCTCCGAAGCACCCCCTCCATTTCATCTCTGACCTCATCTGTTACCTCCTCCATCACTTCGCTCCAGCCTTGCCAGCCTACCCACTGTGTCTTAGATAGCCAGAGTCTTTGCTGTGGCTGCCTCCTCTGCTTGAAGTTCTCTGCTCCAGACAACTGCCTGGGTAATGCCCTCAATCCAGATTGTTACCTAAATGTCATGTTCTCAAATAGGCCTTCTCTGTGAAAAAAATCTCAAGTAACCCCAGCACCACCACTGCCATACTCCTAATCACCAAACCCAACCTTCCATTTATTCACACACTATGCAATTCACCCATTTAAAGTATACAATCCAAGGGTATTTAGTATATTCACAGAGTTGTGCAACCATCACCACAATCAATTTTAGGACATTTTTGTCATCCCTAAAAGAAACCACATTGTTATCAATCCCCATTTCCCCAAATTCCTCCTCTCGGGCCCTAGGCAAACACCAATCTATTTTTCATGTCTATGGATTTGCCTGTTCTGTACATTTGATCTAAATGAAGTCGTATACTACGTGGCCCTTTGTGACTGGTTTCTTTCACTTAACATTATGTTTTCAAAGTTTATCAACGTAGCATGTATCTACATGTATCAGCAGTATGAATACATGCAGAATACAAGCAGGAATCACTACTTTATTTCTTTTTATGACTGAATGACATTTCATTGTATGGATTTGCCACATTTTTTTCTCCATTCACCAATAGAAATTTGGCTAAAAACCATTGGATTATATAATTTAAATGGGTGAATTGAAATGGAAACATTTGGGTTGTTTCCACTTTCTGACTATCATGAATAATACTACTATAAATATTTGTGTACAAGCTTTTTTGTGGACAGATGTTTTTATTTTTCTTGCATATATAGCTAGGAGTAGAATTACTAGGTCATATGGTTAACTCTATGTTTAACCTTTTTAGGAACTACCAGACTGTTTTCCAAAGTGGCTATACCATTTTGCATTTCCACCTGCAGTATATGAAGGTTCCAATCCCTTCATATCCCTGCCAACACTTGTTATTGATCTTTTTGATGCCTGCTTTAATTTACAATAGCACTTATTACTTTCCAACATGCTATAATATGTTTTTATTTCCTACCTTTTAAAATATTGTGTCTCTCTCTACTGCAATGTAAATTCAAGGAAGGCAGAAATTTTTGCTTTTTTAAATCTGTTTTGTTCACTCTTGAAAGTGCCTAGAACACTGGAAGCAGTCAATAAATATTTGTAGATTGATAAGCCCAGTTACTCAGATGGCTGAGCTGGGTGGATCCCTTGAGCCCAGGATTTTGAGGCCTCGCCACTACTGCCAGCCTGGGTGACAGAGCAAGACCTGGTCTCCAAAAAAAAAAAAAAATTGTGGATTGAAATGGAATGAGTTTAGCATAACTGATACCAAAACCAGACAACAGCATGAGAAAAGGAAGTATAAGTGAGTTCTGTTTATCAGCCTCAAAAATATATTTGTATTATTTAAGTTATGTTTTTATTCACAAATTATATATATATATATATATATATGGTACAATGTGATGTTTCTATACATGTATACATTGTGGAATAATCAAATCAGGCTAATTAACATACCCATTACCACAGATATTTATCATTTATTTATGTGAGAACACTTAAAATCCTCTCTTTTTGAAATTTTGAAGTATATATAACTATTAGCTATATTTGCCATACTAGGCAGTAGATTTCCAGAACTTATGCCTCCTGTCTCACTGCAACTTTGTACCTTTAACCGATGTTTCTCCTTTCCCCATCTTCCCCTCTCCCCTGCTCCCAGCCTCTGGGAACTATCATTCTACTCTGTACTTCTATGAATTCGATGTTTTAGATTCCACTTATAAGTGAGATTATATTATTTGTCTCTCTGTGTCTGGCTTATTGCACTTAGCATAATGTCCTCTAGGTTTATCCATGTTGTTGAAAATTACAGAATTTCCTGTTTTTAAGAAGTTGAATAGTATTCCATTGTGTATATATACCACTTTTTTAAACCCATTTGTCCATTGACGAGCACTTCAGTTGTTTCCATATTTTTGTTTGTTTGCTTGAGAAGGGTCTGGTTCTCTTGCCCAGGCTGCAGTGCAGTGGTGTGATCTCGGCTCACTGCCACCTCTGCCTCCTGGCCTCAAGGGTTCCTCTCACCTCAGCCTCCCGAGTAGCTGGGACTACAGGTATGCGCCATCATGCCCGGCTAATTTTTGTGGGGTTTTTTTGTAGAGACAGGGTTTCATCATGTTGCCCAAGCAACCTGCCTGCCTCTGCCTCCCTAAGTGCTGGGATTACAGGCATGAGCCACTATGCCCAGCTGTTCCTGTATCTTGACTATTGTGAATAATGTTGCAATGAACATGTGCAGACATGTCTTCAACATACTGAGTTTAATTCCTTTGTATTATATACTCAGAGTGGGGATTGCTGGATGGTATAGTAATCCTGTTTTTTATTTTTTGATGAACCTCCATACTGTTTTCCAAAGTGGCTGTACTAGTTTACAATACCACCAATGCTGTACAGGTTCCATATTTCTCCACACCCTCACTAAGACTTGTTATCGTTGATCTTTTTGATAATAGCAATCTAACAGTTGTGAGGTGATATCTCATTGTGGTTTTCGTTTGCATTTTTCTGATCATTAGAGACGTTGAGCATTTTAAAAATATATATGTTGGCCATTTGTATGTCTTCTTTTGAAAAATGTCTATTTAGGTCCTCTGCCCATTTTTTGATAGGGTGATTTGTTTTCTTCTTCTGGGTAGTTTGATTTCCTTATATATTTTGGATATTAGCCCCTTATCTGATGTATGATTTGCAAATATTTTCTCCCAATCTGTGAGTTGTCTCTTCATTCTGTTGTTTCCCTTGCTGTGCAGAAGTTTTCTAGTTTGTTGCAGTCCCATTTGTCTATTTTTTCTTTCATTGGCTATGAGACTCAAAAATTTAAATAAGATATTACCAACGAAATAGATTAAGATCACAAAAACCATCTGTATCTTGGAGAGATAATACAAGCTTACAAAGACAAAGCTACATATTAGACAGTTACTGGGAGACACCGGGCCAAGGATTCCATGGATATGTAAAACAAAAAGTCATAATTGAACTTTGCTTCCCACAGGGCCCATCATATCTCATTAACTATGAAAGAAGCAGAAAATAAATCAAGGAACCACTTTATCCTTCAGGAAGCCAGGAAACAAAATAGGGTACCAACTTGGCATCAAATTTTGTTATAACTTGAGCAGGTTCACAGGGCAAGCATGCTGGGCCTTAGAGTGGCAGGAGTGGGAAGGAAAAGGTAAACAGAAAGTGGGGTGAGAAGCTCCTAGCCTAGAAGCTTGGTGCAGTGCAGGATTCTAGTGACCCTGGGCAGCAGGTTGTGTGCCCTGGGGTCCAATCCTGTACAGGGTGTGGGTATTGAGTTAGGCAGTCAGCTCTCCTAATAACCAATCTATTCCTAGCAGGGACCCAACCACTGGCCAAGGTAAAAAGAACAGGATAGGCCAGGTGCAGTGGCTCATGCCTGTAATCCCAGCACTTTGGGAGGCCGAGGTGGGCAGATCACGAGGTCAAGAGATTGAGACCATCCTGGCCAACATGGTGAAACCCCATCTCTACCAAAAATAGAAAAATTAGCCAGACGTGGTGGCCCAAGCCTGTAATCCCAGCTACTCGGGAGGCTGAGGCAGGAGAATCACTTGAACCCGGGAGGCAGAGGTTGCAGTGAGCCAAGATCGTGCCACTGCACTCCAGCCTGGCAACAGAGTGAGAGTGAGACTCCATCTCAAAAAAAAAAAGAAAAAAAAAAAAAAAAAGAACAGGATACTGTTCCACCTCTGTGCCACTTCCAGGGATTGGCAGGAATCAAGCAGGGTGTCAGACCAGCCAAATGGGGGTAGAGGGCAGGGTTCCAATCCCAGGGATGGGGAGAGGTGAAGAGGGGATCAAGGTCTGGATAGCCAGGAAGTCTAGCTGTGGAAATTGACCAGTTTAGTGTGGTATATGTGATATATATTGGGCGAGGGGTGGGGTGGGGGGTGGGGAAGATGACAAGCACAACATTGTTACCAGTTTCACATATCTGGCACTTAAAATATCTTGTTTTATTTCAAGGGGAGGTGTTTACCTAGCCCCTGTAAGGCTTTGTAAACCCTTGTCCAAATTTTGCATTTCCCACTGCACCCAAGCAGGGCCCAGCACAGTACCCAATAATCCTTTGCAGTTTATAATTGAACCCAGTTCCCTGAATAAAGACTTTCCACAGTGCAGAATCTACATCCCCACGGTCCTCCCAACTCTTTCTGTCATTCCGCGGGGGTGGGGGTGGAAGGCAGATCTCCCCCAGGGCAGAACCGTGCGATTCACCGGACATCTGAACTCTGCCCACAATACTTTTTAACCCGATGGTTACCCCTCTGACTCCGATGACCTTTCGGGGGTGGGGGAGGCAGGAAAGCCACCCTTCCTTTCTCCTCGTTATCCCACCCTGTCACCTCCGTTTTCTGCAAAACACATGTACGTTTGAAAAAAACGTCTTTCATCTGGGACATGTTTTCTTTACCAGAGCAAGTGTGTGTGAAGGGGCGGGGAGGGGCGGGGAAGGGAAGGGGTACCAAAGTGCCCAGCAGCAGGAGCACCTACAAAAACAATCCTTCCCGGGCGAGGCACCGGGGGAAAATCGTACCAAGGAAGGTGACTCGCCACTCCCGGAGGCTGGGCCGCTCGCCTTGGGCAGTCCTGGGCGGTGATGGGGGAGGAGGGATGAAGGGAAAAAGATGGAGGTGGGGGAAGGGCAAGAGGCGGGGGAGGGGGTGGTCCCGAGCAATTCAATGGCGCTTTGATTTAACAACTCCAAGCCCTTTGAAAACATTTTGCCAAGAAAAGCTTGCCATCAACACGTATAATCTCTTATCAGAGGCCCCTGAAAGCCCGGGCCCCGGGGTTAATTCCCCCATCGCAATGAGTTTGAATCAGCTCTAAACCCGCAGTGACATGAAAGCGCCCGAGCCTCGGGCCGCACAGAGCCCACTGAGATCCGCCGACCAGGGAGGATTACGGGGCCTGTTCCGCGGCGGGCTCGCCGGCGGGACGGGCAGGCTCAAAAGAAAAAGAATAATTAGGGATAATTGCTTGTGTCCAAACACAAGCATTAAGGCCCCCTGTTCCCCTTTGGGACTTTGTGAGCCAGAATGAAAGAGACACCCCCTGTTTTGACAGCTGGACCAGCGGCCTGGATCGGTGACCGAGGGAGGAAGCTTTCCCGGCTGCTGGGAACGCGGCCGAGCAGGGCTGCGGGTGGGCAGGGGACCGGCCCGGCCCAGCGCGGGCGGGGTCCACGCGTGGGTCACCGCTTCGGCGACAGCCCTCCCTGCGCTCGGGAGCGTGCGGGTGGCGTCCCCGCCCCTCGCCTGAGGCCTGCGGAAGCCCGCGGAAGCCCAGGAGCCTGGTGCGGGCTTTGGGCAACAGAGGGCAGCGTCCTGCGCACACGCCTCTCGAAGACCCAAGGGGAAGCGCGGACCTGGCGCCCCCTGCGAGCCGCTGGGACGTCTGGGGCCGCAAAGCCCTGGCCGTGACACCCCTCGAAGTTCCACACCCCGCCGCGTGTGATCTCTTCAGCCCCACCAACACTCACAAGCGGGAATATCTGATCCCACCTCGTTCGGCGTGGGGCGGCCTGAGCCACATTTGGAGACACCCGAGTCCCAGGGTGGTCCCAGCCACATCCGCCCTTGAAGCTGAGGCGCGAGTAGGAGGCCTCCCTTAGTGACTGGGGAGTGACGGGAGAATTAAACGCAACGAGGGCAACGGCTTAATGCACACCCTCTGGATCAGGTCTTGCCCACTGCCCCGCAATCCTGAGAGTGGCTTGATGTTGGGGTTTGGGGCCAGGGCTTTCCGGAAAGGAGCCTGCACAGGCCAAGGCCTCCAACCTCCGGGGGCCCAACTGCCTGGGAGCTTGGCTATTTGCCCTGTGTCATGCGAACTCCAGGAAGTCACAGTGCCTGAGGTGGCCAAGATATTCTTTGAGAGATCCTTGATAGGGGTGCAAAAGTTGGCTGGTGTCAGCGGGATGCCAGCGCCTAAGCGGGGATGGGGAGGAGGGCAGAGAAGGGAGGAAACCTGAAGGAAATATGCACTTCGAGACCACCCTGAACACCTGGACCACCCAGGCTGAGGCCTGGAACTGCTGAGCCTCGAGGCCAGCATGGCCAACAGGCCAGACAGTTCGGAAAGGGCAGTGAATCTTCCAGAAGGCCTATCTGGGAGGATATCGCTCTGTCTCTGGGCGGCGGCCCGAAGCCCAGCGGCAGGCAGAACCACCTCCGCGGCAACCCCAGATGCTCCACCAGCTCTCCTGCCTCCAAATAGAGATCACATGCGGGGCTGGAGGAAGAGTGGGGAAGCGGCGCGGTGGACACGCGGGCATGAGTGATTAATTAAAGGGAAACCACATCCGACAAGAAAAGAGTTTTCTGAAAGGAGCCGAGTCCAAGAAGAGCTCCCGACCCTGCAGCTGCAGCCCAGACGGATCCGCCAGCTGCCAGGCCCTCCCCACGCAGCACAGGATGCTCACTGAGGCCTCCTGGCCTGCGGAGGGGACCCGGCTTTCGAAACCCGAGTGTTTTAAATAAAGCCCAAAGTTAAGAGTTTTCCAGTTCGGCCCGGGGCTGGGCAGGGAGGTGGCTGGGATGATCACTGGTCTCCTAAGGGCGGCCGCAGCCACCTGGGCTCTCCTGACTGCAGCACGCGATTGTTAGAGAAAGTGCTCGCCTCGGCGGTCTCCTAAACTCTCCCGGGTTTCTGAGTCTATACAGCAGGAATCCAGGTTAGTAAGTAAAGTAAAGCCAGCTTGAGTTCACCAGACGTGACTGTGATGGAGAGGAAGATTTGAGATCGAAAGTTTCAGACTTAGGCAAAACTCAAACATGCCCATGTTTTTCTCTCCTTCCTGCCACCCCCATGATTTTGGGGAAAACCGATGACAGCAACATTGCCACCAAATAGAGAAAGAATGCTATTTAGTGAACATCTATTTATTTTCATTTGACTTCTGATGACCAGTGTTGTTAAAATACTCTCAGCCTGTCAAAGATTAACATACAAAATAGAGTGTATAATTGTAGGTGGATTTTTTGTTTGTTTGGGGTTTGTTTTGTTTTTTAAATTGTAAACTCCTACTAGTTTTCTTCACCAGAGAATAGTTGGGAATATTCTAAATGAGGAAAGGTATTGTGTTTCTCTGCTGTATAAGGATGACCTATTCCACCTCCCTCCTTTGAGTATAAAATTCAAGAAATCATAAAATGTGGATTTTTGAAGTAGTGAACTGTTTCTTTGTGCAGAAATGGGTGATGGTATCTGAATATGTGTCCTGCATCACACTTCTCAAATTAGGTCTGAGGTTTAGAGGTAATCAATGCTTTATTTATTTGTCCTAGAAGACAGGAGGTGGGAAGGAGAATATTCTGATGACAGCAAGAGAGACCTTCCTGCTCCTTTCCCATGATTCTGCAATCCTCCCTCTTCTCTCTCCAGCTGCTTAATCAGCCTGCCCTAAAGAGAGGGCTTTGGTTTGGGGTTTTGGTTTTGTTTTGTTTTTGAGATTTAGTACTGCATATATTTCAGCACGCTACATGGAGTTCAACAACACGTAAAAGCCATGAAATTTGACATTCGTTTCAGAGCCTTGGCTAAGAGATGAAATTATTATACCAAGAAAAAAATGATACTTAGGAAAGTGAGAACTTCCATCGAATCCATACCTCACCAGCATTATGACATTTTTGCTTAAGCTGCTGTGTGGGCCTGTTTCCTTGATGGGCTCAAAATAGGCGAGACAAACCAAAAAAGGAGGTGTGAAAATGACGCAAGAAGTCTGATTCCGTGCCCCGCAAAAGTCAGTTTGGCTCCCGAAGTTACTCCATGGTTACGCCTGCAGGCCGCACCCCAAACAGACTGGTAACCCCAGAGTACATTGCAGGAGTCCTGCACCTGCGGCAAGGCCGGCGTTTGGCGGACGCCGAAGTTGCAGGCCTGAGATTAGACAATTGAGAAGGGGGCTGGGGCGGGGGCAACCCTTTAAAACTGAGAACCCACAATTCGGAATCCAGGATTACTAGCGCCCCTCGCAGGGCTTCGGAAGGGGCAGTGCAAGCGAGGAACCCAGAAACTCAGGCTCCGTGAGTTTCAGGGCACATTTGTTTGGGGGTTTTAAAATACGTCTCTTTTGCCCCACATGTCCCTGCTAGCGCAGCCCCCTAACTGCTCTGGCCGACCGTGGACGCCAGCTAGTTCTAGAGGCGTGGAGTCTGGAAGCAGCGCTTGGGTAAGGAGAAGCACTCGGAGAATATCCTCGAGGAGTTTAGGGCTTTTTGAGAAGCTCCCCCTCAAAGGTCTGATGGGGAGTCCCGGGCGTGAGCCCCTCCAGCTGGGAGGCCTGGAGCCGCGGAGGGTCCTCCTCCCTCTCCAGCCTCCGCGCTCCAGCCCCGCGGCCCGGAGCATTGGGCCCACCTAGCCCCAGGACTACGTGGCCGGCCCAGCGCTGTAATTGCTCTGTTCCTTCACGAGGCCCAGAGAGAGGGGCGCAACTCCCTGATCGTCAGATCGCCCTTCCCCGCCAGCAAAGCGACCGCGGGCCTGTTCCCGCCTCTACCCCTGAGGCGCTGGGCGCAGCGGTCCTGCTTTCCCAGACCAGGGCGCGCGTCTCTGGGTTCATGCCTCAGAGGTGGCCCCGGGGTTGGGGAAGAGGGCAGTAAATAGAATCTGATCGGCCTTGGGAATCCCCCTGTCCCGCCTACCCAGGCTTGGCAAACAGGCCGCGCAAACCCTCCTGAGAACCGGACAGTCTGGGGCGAGGGCTAGCAGTAGCCTGTCCAAACCAAAGAGAATGAGTTCGAGTTTTAAAGCAAATCTCAGGCTTCACTGTTTAGCTTGATGGACTCAGCTTCTCCTTTTAGGGAGCAAATTAAAGTTCAGATGGAAAAAGCTAAAAGATGTTGCCCACCCTCGGGTCTCCCTCTTTGTCCAAAGATATGCACATCCCCCTCACCTCCCCTTCCATCTTTCACAACTGCCTGAACTACTACAGCAATGAAACATGTGTTTTGTGGAAAATGTTACAATAAGTGACAATGAAAGCTATAATAAAAAAGAAGTAAAGATCTTTATACCAGTGTTGCTGTGCACAATGTGTGTATGCATATACATGTCTCTATGCATGTGTATCTATTTATATGTTTATAGATAGATATTTGTTGGTTTGCTTGAGTGTATACTGTAGGTTTAAATTTGCATTCTAAAACTGCAAAAATACAGTTTTATGTCACAACCACAAATGCCAAGCTTGGTCACACATGATCTTTTAAAGGCCAACTAAAATGCTATTTTCTTTTCATTTTTATTTAGAACCTCCAAAACAGGAGCAAGCTTTACTTTTAAAATGAAACCACTCTACATGTGAAAGATGACATGCATAAATGGTATTTACAATGGAATGTTTAAAATTCATTTCTTTCTGTAATGTAACCTGACTTCTGAGCAAAGGGATTTCGCTTCTTGGTGGGGCCTCTAGGCAGAGCCAGTTCTTGGCACCAATAGCATTGCCTGATGCTGTAAAACACTAAATCTGGACAGATTTACACAGAACAGAAGCTTTCATTTCACCCTTCAAATTCCAGCCAAACAGGATTGGGGACTTTTCTATGTTCCAGACTCCCTGAATGTTTTTCCAGGTTGTGTGGTTGAGTTCCAGC
This sequence comes from Homo sapiens, assembly GCF_000001405.40. Taxonomy (NCBI): domain Eukaryota; kingdom Metazoa; phylum Chordata; class Mammalia; order Primates; family Hominidae; genus Homo; species Homo sapiens. The sequence goes on along the minus strand of NC_000005.10, from coordinate 73,229,327 downwards.
CTACAGCAGCTCAACCAGAATCACCACATTATTAGGCACAGAAATGAGATCTATGTCCTCATATTTTTTATTGTGTCCACATTGTGAAACAAAGGCATTTTAAAGATGCAGCTACTGGGACATTAATGAGACAATGCATGTCTATGTGATGAAATAGCAATTTGGAGATGGGTTTTACATGTCAGAAAGAAATATTGTTTTATTTGTAGTCCTTTACTTGCAACTGTCTTCACAGTTGTTTATTTTTTCTAAATAATATTTTTATGAAGACAAAAATTAATCAAGAAGCCATTCAAGATCATTTTTCCAGACACCACATGAATGAAGCTAACTTCTTTCCATTAGGACAGGCATAGATTTTCCTCTAACTTTAAAATAAATGACTGCTATTTACACTGGTAGAGAGACCACTCCGAAAGCTGTTTTCCTCTACTGTTAATGAAAAGTATACTATATTTCCCCCAAATGAAACTTAGAATTATTTAACTGGACTGCCAGGTGTATCACTATTAATAGTGTTTAAGTACATTTTGGGAGAGGTGGAAGGGCTCCTCTGCTACACCCTAGATGTACTCGATACATAGAGTTATACTCTCAAGATGCTTATAACTTACCACAAATACAATTCAGGACATACGTTGTGAGACAAAAAGCAAAGGCATTTGCATGATCAGAGTTAGGACAGAGAATGGACTAAAAACATATCTCCTTGGTGCTAAATTCATTCATAGCTGGTAAGATAATTAAGGACATTTTTTTCCACATAAATTTAGTCACATATGTTTGAAGCTTTGTGCAACTGTGGCATGTACCGATACTTCTGCAGAAACCCCTCTAAAGCACCCAAGGAGCCTGAAATATTAAGGTAGCCCCCACATCTCCCTTCTTTTACAGGACATGCTTGTGAAGAATAGCGGAAAATACAACGTACTGAGTTAGACAAATATTTAACTTGTTCCACGTCCAAGGTAAATCAGATTTCAGGCCAACATATGGGCTCCAGTTCAGGGCCCGAGGCCCAGGCCTCAGGTTAGGCCTGGGAGTAAATGATGTGTATGGTCATTGTCAGAGACTCTGGCTGGGCCAGGCAGACTTGGGTCACCCACCTTCCCACGGACCATGGAGGGACTGAGCTTTGCCTTACGCAAGAACCCATCACAGTGTAGAGCTCTCTGAGGTAGGCCCTGCATGGCTGGTCTAGAATCCGAAGTTAACCTCTTACTTGTCTGAGTTCCTTTAGGGCAGGCACTATTATTTATTAGCTTGAGGTTCCTTACATTCAGCACTATGTCTGGTACATGGTAAGCACTTGATATGTCTGATAAATCACATCAATCATTTAGGTTGCTGGTGAAGAAGACCACTTAGTTAGGGTCTTTGGATCTTCAGATGGCTTCAGACCATCTAGATGTGTTCTGTACTACAGTGGCCTCTAGCCACAGGTGGCAATTGATGCTTGAAATGTATCTAGTCCAAATTGATGCAGGCCGTAAGTGTAAAATACATTCTGGACTTTGTAGGTTGTCTTAGTAAGTCTAGGCTGCTATAACAAATTACCACAGACTGGGTTGCTTCAGCAACATTGATTTCTCACAGTTCTGGAAGCTGAAAGTTCAAGATTAGGGTGCCAGAATGGTTGGGTTCTTGTTGAGGACCCTCTTCCTGTTTACATCCCCACATGGCCTTTCCCTGGTGCTTGCAAGAGGGGTGGTGTGGGGGTGGGCTCAAGGAGGGAGAGATATATCATGTCTCTTCCTTTTCTTGTAAGGGCATTAATCCTATTATGGGAACTCCATCCTTCTGACTTCATCTAAACCTAGTTACCATCCAAAGGTTTCACTTTCTAATATCATGACATTGGGGATTAGGGCTTCAACATAGTAATTTTGGGGGCAGTGCAAGCATTCAGTCCACAGCAAGGAGATTATAAAATCGGAATGCAAAAGTCTCATTAATAATTTTATATTAGTTATATATTGAATGATACTTTGGGTATATTGGGTTAGATAAAATATGTTTGTGGAAGCCAACAAAAAATAAACAATGGGGGAAAGGACACACTATTCAATAAATAATGGCTGGGAGTATGCTGAAGAATGAAACTGGACCCCTATCTCTCACCATATACAAAAATTAACTGAAGATAAATTAGAGACTTAAATGTAAGACATCAAACTATAAAAATCCTATTAAAAACCTGGAAAAACTCTTCTGGACATTGGCTTAGGCAAATATTTTATTGGTAAGACCTCAAAAGCAAATGCAACAGAAACAAAAATAGACAAATGGGACTAAATTAAACTAAACAGCTTCTGCACAGCAAAAGAATCAATCAACAGACAACCTATAGAATGGGAGAATGTATTTCCAAATTATGCATCTAACAAAGGATGAATATCTAGAATCTATAAGGAACTAAAATGAATCAACAAGAAAAAAATAACCCTATTACAAAATAAGCAAAGGACATGAAAAGACACTTTTCAAAAGAAGACATACAAGCAGCCAGCAAACATATGAAAAAATACTCAACATCATTAATCATCAGAGAAATACAAATTAAAACCACAGTGAAATACCACCTCATATCAGTCAGAATGACTATTATTAAAAAATCAAAAACTAACAGATGTTGGCTGGCAAGGCTGCAGAGAAAAGTGAACACTTATACACTGTTGGTGGGCATGTAAATCAATAAAACCTCTATGGAAAATAGTGTGGAGACTTCTCAAAGAACTAAAAGTAGAGCTACCATTCAACCCAGCAATCTTATTACTGTGTATCTACCCAAAGGAAAAGAAATTGTTATACGAAAGTGACACCTGCACTTGTATGTTATTGCAGCATTATTCACGAGAGCAAAGTCATGGAATCAACCTAAGTGTCTACCAACAGTTGACCGGATAAAGAAAATGTGGTACTTAAACACCACAGAATACCATGCAGCCATAAAAAACAATGAAATCATGTTCTTCACAGCAACATGGAGGGAGTTGGAGACAATTATCCTAAGTGAAACAACTCAGAATCAGAAAATCAAATACCACATGTTCTCATTCATAAGTGGAAGTTAAGCAATGAGTATGCATGGATCTAAAAATGGAAGTAATAGACACTGGGGACTCTAAAGGTGTGGGGGGATGAAGGCTGAAGAACTACCTATTGGGTAGTTTACTATTTTGGTGATGGTTCACTAGAAGCCAAAACACTTCAGCATTATGCAATATACCCATGTAACAAGCTTGCACATGTATCACCTCTGTCTAAAATTTTGTTAAATGTATATAAATAGACATTAATGTATGTACACACATATTTGTGGTAGGTAGCCTCTAAGATGGCCCCTGCTGAGCTCAGCCTCCCAGTAGTCATGCCCATATGTAATTCCCTCCCCTAGGCTCTAGGCTAGGCTTAGTATTTCAATACTAACAAATGACTATGACAGAAGTGATGGGCTGCAGCTTCCAAGCTGAGATTACAAAAAGACTGCGGCTTCTATCTTGGGTGCTCCCTCTCTCACTCATTAGCTTGCGCCACCTCTATCTCTCTTTCTATCTCAAAGCCATCGTGCATTGCTGACCCAACACAATGGTAAAATATTAAATGTGTGTTTTAAGCTACAATTTTGGGACAATTTGTTATGCACAATAAATAATAAATTCACTATTACAAAAATTAATTTCACCAGTTTCTTTACACTTTTTAAGATATGGCTACTGGAACATTTTGATTACATGTGTGGCTCCCATTATATTTCTACTGGACAGCACTGGTCTGTCTCTGTGACTCAGATGGGACAACACTGATCCAGATTTAATTTGGGATTCTAAGGAGCTGGACTCAAATGTATGTTATTTAAAAACATGAAATATTTAGGTATAAATCTAACAAAATATGTTCTAATCTATAATCCCTTGGCTAAACCAATTTCTGATATTTACATATTAAACAGTTGTGGACTGAGAGTCAAGAGTTATCCTAGTCCCAGGGTAGCCCATAGTCAGCTAAAAATTTTACCCAGAGAGGCAACTTTTAAGCGTCCCTTGCAGTGTTAACATTTTGTGATCCAACAACTGCTTACTTCAGCATTCACTTGAAACCAAGGAGTAACAGCAGAATTGGTAATAGCTGGTTTGGTGTTTTCTTTTAATAATGAACCCAATGTTAGTAGCTCCACTTCTCTAAAATAGTCTTTTAGCAAAGAGTGGTGAGAAGGTCATGGGGAGGAGGAAACCATCTAAGACTAAGGAGCATTCTCCAGCACACCCCAAACGGCTCCCTAAATCTTCTGCAGCTCTCCACAGACCTTCCTGGAAGTTCTTGCATCTCTGTTCGTTACCACTCCTGACATCTCAGAACTCCAGAAAACTGTGTTTTCATTTAAGAGTGTTTGTAGCTAAATTTGAAGTTGGGAAGAAATGAAAGACTTAGCTCTCTATTTATTTGTATTTGCAGAACCACAGAAAGCCAAGGTGATCATTAGAAAAATATTTTAGAATGCTATCTTTTCTATCAGATTGTATTTTTCTAGTACAGTGACAAATTCTCTTAAGTTTTCAATAGCTAAACATATCAGTTTCCATTGTTGACCAGAAAGCTGATTTGAGTCTCCAGTGCTCGGTATTTATAGGTAATCATGGACTAGGACTGTGTTACAAGAATGAACATTTGTCTTGTGTGGGTTTTTTTTTTTTTTTTTTTTGCATTTAAGTAAGAAATTCTCTTCCTTACATATCTTAAATGCATTTTATTTTGACAACATGATTGCAGATACAATACATGGCACTTCAAAGAGGGATGACTTTTCTAGTATGTTTTGACCAAAAGTGGATCGTCTACTCAAAGACTATCATTGACAGTTTCAATCACTTAAAAATGACCACTGAAAAATGTTGCTGAAGACATTCCAGCTTTGGACATACTGGGTGATTTAGTGAGGGGCAGACATTAACACAGGCCATCATTCCATAACTGTTAGTGGATTGCGGCTGCTCTGAAATTTTGCGTAAAAAAGTGAGACATGTTGTTAATGTAAATTAGCATTATTTTAGCAGATAGTACTTAATGTTTTGTTACATCTATTTCTATTGCCTTTAATTTTTCAAATTGTTGTAACAATATTTTAGTAGATTTTAGATTTCCTGTTAGAAATGAGCTTTAGAAATCCCTTGTTCAACTGTAGAAATAATCCTGAGGGAATGAAAAAGCTATGTTAACTGTTTTGAGAAAACAATTACAAATCAGAGCTTTGTATTAAATGACTGTTTTAATTCTAGATTTTGAGTTTCAAATTTTAAATCAACATCATTTTTCTCCTCTTAGTGCTTGTCTAAGTACACAAAATAAGTTAATCAATAATTTCAGATGATATTAAAGTCTTTTCAAGTTTTGGCCAGGTGTGGTGGCTCATGCCTGTAATCCCAGCATTTTGGGAGGCCGAGGCAGGCAGATCACGAGGCCAGGAGTTTGAGACCAGTCTGGCCAACACAGTGAAACCGCATCTCTACTAAAAATACAAAAAATTAGTGGGGGGAGCCTGTAATCGCAACTACTCGGGAGGCTGAGGCAGGAGAATCGCTTGAACCGGGAGGCAGAGGATGCAGTGAGCCGAGATTGTGCCATTGCACTCCAGCCCAGGCAACAGTGAGAGACTTGGTCTCAAAAAAAAAAAAAAAAAAAAAAAAGTCTTCCCAAGTTTTTAAAACAATGGAATTAAAGTAGTGTGTATGCTCTTCTGTTTTCTATAGGCACTAACGCCAGACATTGCTTCACTGAACTAAGCAAGCTGGCTTTCTAAACATGCTCAACATATGCTTCTGATAACTTTCTGAAACTAGTAATGAATGGCACAGTATGTTAGAGCATGCTTATTTAAATTAATATCCAAGAAGTAAAGGTTCTTAATTTTTATTCTCATTTTAAAGCCAGTTTTCTTCGCTTTAGCATTTAATACCATGCAATAATCATTCAAATCTCCCATATCTTGGAGAGCTTTCTTTTTTCTTACATTTGGAGGTGTAACATAATTTTTTAAAAATAAAGAACACCATTTTCTAGCAGAAAAATTATGTTAGTTTCTTCAGGAAGTGATTATTTATATTGTAAAGGTTTGGAACATGAAATTTTATACCTTCAACTCTTCGAATCTAATCAAGCCATTTTTGGCCTTTGTCTCATTTTTAATCCTTCTTCTCATCTTCCTCTTTGTGGATCTTACATCCTTCCCCAACCATACACAATTTCATTATTCTTCCCTGAAAGCCATTCTCTGTAGCTCTCTATTCTAGGCAGATCCTGTAACTTCAGTAATCTTCCAGCATCAGCAGACCCTTTCTGGTTCCTCAGCCACTGGTGAAAAACTCTGTGCCTTCCTCCAGTGGCTCCCCCTCCTCCTCCCTGACCCACCACAAGCAGCAGAAGGGTAGGATGCATTCCCTCCCTCTTTTCTCTGCTGAACCCAAAGAAAATTCCCCAAGAAGCTTTCCAGACAGACCCGGCTTTAGCAAAGGAACATGCTTACAGGGCAAGAAGAGAAAGAGGGAGGACTTCTTAAGACTTATAATAACATTAAAAACAAGGAAAAGAGTTGACATGCGGCTTTAGGTGTGTGTAGGATGCTTCTAGTTGTCTTTCTAAAGCATCCTGCTTGCTACTTTCCCAACCCATCCAGGGTACTCCCACATAATTTGCTGTTACTAGCCATGCAAGTATTTTTCTAATTCACAATTCAAACTCCACCTTGCAAACAGGTGCCTTTTAGTGCAATCTGCACGTGTGGCTATTATTCTGTTTCTTTGAAAAAGGTGATGAATGGCACAAGGGACTATCAGGCCCGCCATCCCTGGGTAATCTGCCATGAATCTCTGTGTGGATCCAGACCCTCCCTTTGTTTGCAGTTCAGCATGTGATTCCTGTGGATGACTGACAACGGCAGACTTGTAACAACATTATTTCAGGAGGATAATAAACAGCCATCATAAATTCCTTTTTTAATAGTTTATTGCAGATTGTAGGCTATTGACAATGACTTTATTTTACAACATGAAAGAAAATAGTTCCTTGTTGCTGCTAGTCTCTAAAACCACTTTAAGACTTTTTAGTAACCTCTGAGAAAACCTAGCCTTTCATGAAATGAATCATAAATAGTCGAGTTAAGAAAATCACTGTTAAATAGGAAGAGAGAGAAAAGGAATAAAAAAGACATAATCTGTCTAAGATACAAAAGAGATGCTCTAGGAGTCCCTTTCATGCAAATAAAATTTTAATTAAACTTTCATGGCTGTTTTTCTATGTCTTTCTTTCCTGAGTGATGAGTGAAATGGAATGATAAATGTCTAAAAGTCTTAACCATAACTATGTAGAGAAATGAAAATTAGTTAGGAGGTAGCTCACTCTGAGATTTCAATAAGGAATTCAGTTTCATTTCATTTCTTGTTCTGCTAGAAGTATATCACTTCACTACTAATTCCTTTCTGTGAAAAAGGGACATTACATTTTTCACTGACAATCTCATATTTTGTTAGGATTTCTACATCTTTACCTCAAATTATGAGGCAACAGATCTTTACCACTGTCAGTTCTTATAGTTTCAGACCACACACCAGTACCTATGCCAAAAATGTCTATCATGAAATAGAAAATAATTTTATGGACATTTAATTAGAGAAGAGAGTTTATAAGAGTGTGTGCATCCATTTCTCCTTTCCTTTAAATATGTGTTGTTTTTCATTGTAAAAACATGTAAGTCTCAAAATATCTTTTTAAAAAGCAATTCTTATAAAACACACATAGAGCTAGAACCATGCAAGTCAGATACATATGTGACTAATCATATTTTTGATATATCTCTCTGCCTAATCATTAAATTTAAATGCCATATAAGAATTTGTAATCCACAATAAATTATTTCATAGAAATAATTTAAGAGGGCTGCTGACTAATGTGAAACATTCTACATTTCTACCAGCAATTGGCTGCCAAATGTTGTTAAAAAAAAAAAAGTCCCAGATATAAGTTGACATAAATTATAGTGAATATAAATCTCTAATGATCAAGTGGCAGTTAGAGATTATTGCGTCTAGGAGACAGGGAAAAAACATATTAGACATCATGAAGTCTTTCCAGTTTCCAGTCTACATATTAGGAAACTGGATCTTTAAAATTCCCCTCAAAGCCATTGAATTTCTTTGTTTAATGTCCTCAATTCAATGTCCTACATTTCAAAATATATTGTAATAGAGTTTATGGAGCATAGAAAATAGAGGAAAAATCATATTTTAATGACAAGAGAGACTGCCTACGTTCTATTTTTAAATGTAAATTAGAAAATCAACTAAGACTTCTAACTTTTTTCAAATGTTCTTCTTGGAGTATACGTTTTGCAAAAGATCAGAATAATGCAAAGTGATAATTACTCAAATACTAGTTACGAAGGAAGTTTCCCCCTTTTCAGATTCTTAGGTTTTGGGCAAAGCTGGAAACATTTGAGTGGAAATAATGTTCAGATTATAAAAAGCAGCAGCACATGAGTGAAATCAGGCAGAATTGGCCTGACAGGGGGTCAGAAACCAGAAACAGTGACATGCAGCCACTCAAATGGCAGCATTATTCAGGTAGAAATCCATAATTAGCTGAATTTTTTGAGTTTAAAGGATTACTATAAAATACAGGGGGAAAATAATAAGTCAGGTCAGGAAAATTAATTCCCTTTCCAAATCTTCATCCTTTCCTTCAAGATGTAACTCCAAAGAAAGACAATTGCATCAAAGAAGGTTAGGGGCCTAATTTTGAACACTGCCTTTTAAACACATTCTAGAGGCCTATTAGACATCATGTAAACTGTAGACAGCAGCGCTCCTACCACCCGAATACTTAACATCTGTACACCAGCTTCTTGGGAGCAGAAATAGAGACATGTGCATTTTAACATATTCCAAGAATAAAGTCTCAGGGGAAAATCTACCTTTCACCATACATGGCCATTGTGCAGCTCTATCCAAGAACCCAATACAGATACTGATGTAATATTGCCACTATCCACCACCCCCCGGGTTGGCAGTGGTTTAAGGAGATACTTTGGGGAGCCCCCTATAAAGTCGGTCTTCTAAAATGTGAATGGTGCTGATGGAAAAGGCTAAAATGTGTTTTTCACGCATGAATTGAACTATCAGCATGTGGGGTATGTCAGAGTATTTTTTAATCAATCTTTATAAAAATATCTATGGTTATAATAATTTACAGTTATTGTATCTACTAAACATTTTATGTGCTTGGGCTTTAAGTTGTGATCTTATTTCTTTGGGGCATATCCTAGTAACCACCTGCCTAGTAATGAAAAAGAAGATCTGGGGGATAAAGCGAATGCTAGGTGATATTTTCTAAGTGGCTTTGGGAAATTGTCCAACACAGTTAGATTAAAACCTTGCTGATTATTAAAGAGGGGAAATGCAACTAAATACATAGAACTGCAATAATGTAATTCCAAAGGAAATATAGTGTTAGAAATGATACTTTGAATTTTTTAACAGACTTTCATAATTAAAACATTGTAAAATTAGCATGCATGAGTGCAGTGGCCATTTAAAGAACATATAACAGACATGACAATGTAGTCAAATAAGAGACTATGATGTTTTATTACAGAACCTGAAAGGCATGCAGAGGAGGGGGACCAGAAGGCTCCAATTCTAACTCTACTCTGCTCTTACTAGTTATCTGACTGTGGCTAAGTCCTTCACCAGGAAGCAATGGAGATAATATCTGTACTGCTTACCTCACAGCTATTATGAACATCAAATAAAATAGCATATAGAAAGGCAGGATGTGGTGGTTCACACCTGTAATCCCAGCACTTTGGGAGGCGGATCACTTGAGGTCAGGAGTTCAAGACCAGCCTGGCCAACATGGTGAAACCTCATCCCTACTAAAAATACAAAAATCAGCTGGGTGTGGTGGTGCGCTCTGTGGTGTGCGTGTGGTGCCTTCCTGTAGTCCCAGCTACTCAAGAGGCTGAGGCAGGAGAATCGCTTTAACCCAAGAGGCAGAGGTTGCAGTGAGCCAAGATGGTGCCACTGCACTCCAGTTAGGCGACAGAGTGAGACTCCATCTCAAAAAACGAAAAAGATAACATATATAAAATTGCCTTGAAAACTGTTAAATATTGCAGGAGCACAAGATACTCTCATCATCATATTCTCAACCATCCTGCAATAATGGGGTGCCACTGCATGTCAGTGCTAATGTAGGGCTCCCACTGGGAGGAAAGTAATCAAAAGAACCCCATGGTGGTACTCCACTCAAGTTCTCTGGAAGGAGCCCTCTGGGCATTGAGGAAGGGCTGCGGCCCCTCTCTACACTTCATCCCCTGCTCCTGATGGACACTTTATGTCCAGAATGTTCTCCAGGAAAAGGGGTCAGCACACTTGTGCTCATGGAGCAGGCATTGCTCTCTCAATGAATCACCCACTACCTGAGAGGCTCCCACACGTGCCAACTGATGAGATTTATTTTGAAAATATAAAGGCTGTTTTCTGTTGTTGAAAGTTTGGCAATTCATTAACATCTCCACCAGAGGGTGAGCAGGAGAAAGGAAAGCTGGGAACTCCAGTCCACCTCGCATTTCTTAGTAGTTAGTACTTCTAGTACTAGCTGGGTTTGGTGGGAAAAGAGCAAAGGCTCTTCTCAATACCTCGAGAATCAGAATACATCTTAAGAGAACAGAGAAGTGCCAAACCTCCAATGCTGCATGGCCTGTTCTCTTTTAATGCAACAGTAGTGCATCATCTGTTTTTCTGCTCAGCTCATCCCTTTCTGCAAAATATATTAGACTTAGAATGTGTTCAGTTAATTGTTACCCAGGAGTGATTTTAGCCCCATGGGGAGAAAAGGGGCCCTAAAAATGTTAATTATCTGGAGCATAGAGCTTAACATTCTGGATTCCAAGATGGTATTTAAGCCTATTTAGATTTTCTCTAAATTCTTTGAGGCTAATGCAACTTCTGAATGTGTCTAATAATCTCTAATTATTTGTGGAAATGGTAGATGTGAGGAGACCAGATTAAATCCACAGATAATCACAAAATCTCATTTTAGCCAGCAGTACAGCTCTTTCCCACCAAACCCAGCTAGTACTAGAGGTACTAACTACTAAGAAATGCAAGGTAGACTGGAGTTCCCAGTTTTCCTTTCTCCTGCCCATCCTCTGGTGGAGATGTTAATGAATTGCCAGACTTCCAATGACAACAAAAAAAGCCAGCAAAAAAAGAAAGTGGAAACTCAGGGGCCTGGGCCACTACCCAGCTAGAAAAGCAGATGCTGAGGAACTGGAAGGCAGGCTTCCTATCATAAAGGAGCAAAGCACATGCCCACACCTGAGCAGCTGGGCTACCATTTCCAGAAGGCGCAGCACTGTCCCAACTTTCTGTACTGTCACACTTACACCATCGTGTTCTGTCCAGTTTGACCAGCTTCATTCTTGGAAGGTGGTGCAACAGAACTATAACCTGGAGCCTCCTCTCCCATCTCAAAGCACCAGATAAGGACCAGGCCAGGGATGGTCCAAGTGCTGTCCTCAGTTGACTAATAGGATGAGGAAAGAAAGAGGAAGACAAAGACTTTGTTTTGGGGATGACTCTATAAATCCCACAAGCCTTTGCTTTAGTGTTGCTCCCTCTTAATGCTTTTCATTTTTTCTAACTTGATGGTTTATTAACGTCAGCACTGCAGTTTCACAATCCTTTTGAACCCAGGTCTAGATTTAATGAATGCAAAAATTTTACATGATTTGTAAGTTATGTGAAGTTTCCAAATAAATATCATCAGTGAAAAAATCAATGCAAGTCATTTTGGAGCAAAGATTTTTCAAAAGACTGGAGACTATCTGATGAGACAATTTCATGTCTACTCTTGGTAAGGACCCACAAGATATTATTTGATCTTTGGTAGGTGTATTTCTTTCCCCTCCTCCTTTTCCTGGGCCATTTTCATTTGGGTTGGAGCCCTCTGGAACTTTTGGCTAGTTTTGGTTCAAATGAGTTAAGAATTAAATTTGGGCCAGGCATAGTACCTCACGCCTGTAGTCCCAGCACTTTGGGAGGCCTAGGCAGGCAGATGGCTTGAGCCTAGGAGTTTGAGACTAGCCTGGACAACATGGCGAAAACCCGTCTCTACTAAAAATACAAAAATTAGCTGGGTGTGGTGGTGCACGCTTGTAGTCCCAGCTATTCTGGAGGCTGAGGCAGGAGGATCACTTAAACCAAGGAGGTCGAGGCTGGGGTGAGCTGAGATCGCCAGCCTGGGTGACAAAGTGAGAACCTATCTCTGGGCTGGGCGGGGGTGGTGGGAAGAGAGACAGAGAGAGAGAGAGAGAGAGAGAGAGAGAGAGAGAGAGAGAGAGAGAGAATTAAATTTGGAAGCAGGGAGAAGAAAAATGGAGACGATTTGGTGAAGGAAAGAGAACCAGGTGACCATAACTTCTTCGGGTGGAATAACAGAAAGGTGTAGAAGTCTCTACTAAGAGATGAAAGATCTGACATGGAGAAAATAGAAAAAGAAAAGGTGGCCATTCAATTTTATATATATATATATCTCCTGAAGTTAAACTTTCTGGCCACAGAGCTCAGAATCACCATAATTACTTTATGTTCTAAATGATGTCCTTTAGGCTCCCAACATCTCAAGTCTCAGTAGCTGCAAAATGGGGGTGACAGCTGGTCGCCAGCGCAGGGAAGGTGCGTTCGGAGGCTGGGGGTGGAGGGGAACGCAGGGAGAAGCTCGCCACCTTTCTTCCCGGAGCGGAATTCCCTGGAGTTGGAGTGACTTTCCGGCTGATTCACAGCTCTGCTCTCCCTCGCGTCCCTTGCGGCCACTTCCAGCGCTCGATCCGAGTCTCCGGGGGCGGCAGAGCCTGGGTGCCAAGGCGGCCGACCGCAGGCCTGTTCCCGGAGGTCGGGGATCGTCTCCCGCGGACCTTTCCACCCCGGCCAATTCTTGGGCACTCCACTCGCTGGGCAGCCCCGCGGCCTCCCCAGCTGCCTGCGCCGTCCTGGCTCCCGCGCTCCAGGTCCCTCTCCGCGTGCTCTGCGCCACAGCTCCTCTCTCCTGCCCCCATGCGGCCATAGGGGGAAAACCGCGCGGGTGCTCAAGGGCCCTGGCCGCCCTGGCCGCCGCCGCCGCGCCCTCGATGCTGGGCGCTTGGGTGGTGCGCGGGTGCACCGCACTTGGGCAGGGAGGAAAAGCTGCGCTCCGAGGAGGATGGTGCTGATTCTGCGGGACAGAGACTCCCTGGGATCTTCGAGAAGGTTTCGGCAGCTCCGCACCCCCCCCCCCCGCCCCATCTAAGGCTGTTGACCCAGAAGTGCGGACAAGGAGGAAGCCTTCTCCCCAGCGCCGCGAGGCTGGCCGCTTCGTGAACGAGAACGTGGTTATGCACGGACGGAGGGCAGGGTGTCTGCAGTGAGGTGGTGGGAGATGGGGCGGATAAAGCTTGGGGTTTAAGGCACCACGAGTAACGTAGTCCCAGCTTTGCAGCTCCGGGCTTAGGTGTTTATTTCATTTTAAGTTCCCCCTTTCACTGCCTGTACTAGCCTAGAGGGAGTTACAAATGACTTCCACATCCTGGTAGTACGTGGGTTCGTGGCCTTTCCCTTAGCCAGCCCAGCCAGCGAGGTTTCAGCTGCCAGAAAATGTGTTTCCCATCCAACATTTCTCACACAAGGACAAAATATAACGTGTCTAAAAATGGCGAGCTTCCTGTCTGGGCTCCCCTCTCCCACCCCGGTTCCCCACTTAGGAATAAAACTTGAGGAACAAAGATTAGTTTGAAATCTATTTTTCTTTGGACATCCCAGATTTCTGCTGGTTCAGTGTCCCGTGTCAGGTGAAATTATTCATGAGGCTCTGAACTGAGTTGATAAGTCTTACTCCTTATCCCTAGAAATTCCAACTGGATTTAAATCACTCCCTGGTTGCTGCAGAAGGTCTATGTTTTATGGGAGTTCTCTAGTGAGCTTTGAAGTATTTGCTTACCAAATCCGTTTCTCAGCTTCCAGCTCCTGAATAAATTACCTGCCGCTTCTCTCTGCTGCCACTCCCCCGCCCTCCTGAAATATGAACAGTGGGGATGTTTTCTGAACAATAGGTTGGAATGAGGGCTCTGGGACTTATCAGTCAATTGCCAGCCCCAGGACACCCATTTGCAGCCGTGGCTGACTGGAGATTTCCAATGGCTAATGGAATAGGCAGGGAATGGGGGCCCGTGGACCTTATTCCATTCACAGGTTTATCCCTCACTCACAGGGAATCACTTAACGAGTGTCACCATATACTATCTCAAGCCTGGTTGCTTCGTCAGGGAAATGGTCATTAGAATCCTCATTTAGAGAACACATTAAAATCCTCATGTTGAAAACATCCTGGAGCTTTTTTTGAGGATTGCCACTTGCCAGAGGTTAGTGCTAATTGATGTCAGGCAGGTCTGTTTGCAAAGACTGAAGACTATAGACTTCTATTTATTTTGTTCTTTGCATAAGGGCTAGAGAGGGTAAAGGGAAATTGGGCAGCCAAGACCCTTGGGTGAGCCAAGAGGCATTTCGCATTATGTCCCAGCTGCTTAGAAAGTATTTTTGTCCATCCTCCTGTATGAACAGGATGGGGCATGTCTAAATTGTCCATTTTTATGTCTGCCGGGAAGATGCTTCCCTTTCTGTCCCTAATACCTAAAATGTCACTAAAATCACCGTTTTCTTCGTTCATGCAATATGTTAAAGAGTTCATTAAAGACTCCCCAGGGGGCTCCAGAGCAGCCTCTTCTGGGGTTGTGATTTGTCACATTTCCATGATTCACTTCACCAGGGGCCTCAGTAGCTGGAGGATTCCTTGACTCTCTCACTGGGACTTCCCAGACATGAACAAGGATCCCATTACCCTTTTCTTACTTCGAGTTTTTCTAAACCAACAACACCAACAACAACAAAAAGTAAAACAAACAAAAAATTAAAATATACCAAAGCAAAGACATCTGGCTATTTACAAAGCACAGATTTCTTACCCTAAAATAATTGAAGCCTGTCCCAGACTTGGCTGATCCTGCCTCTGGCTGGGCTCAGGGCTTCAGCCTCCTGGTCCTCTGATTGCTGCTGCTTCATTGGAGGAAGCTGCTCCCTGGTCTTCATCTTCGGGGGACTTAGAGCATGGCTGGACGCCCACTTTTTTGTGCACTTCACCCCATGGCCTCTGAGCCTGAGCAGTGGTCCTCTCGGGGAAGAAAAGCCTTTCTCAGGTCTCAAGGTTCCTCCCTGGGCCTCCTGGTAGCCCTAGGCACTCCTTGGGTAGCACGCAGGAAGGTTCAGAGCCCTTACCTGTCACTCGCTACTCTCAGGCAGCCAGCCTAGGCTGTGGGTGCTGGGCCCCATCCACCCAGAAGCCTGCCTACTTTCTATTCACCCCTCCCCTCTCCATCTTTCCCCCAGCCAGCCAACACCACTGAAAACCACCTGTTTTGTGTTTTGAAATCCTGGAAGCACGCCCATCCTCCACCCTCGCAGACCTCCCACTGTGTTCCAGTTTCCTGTTCAAACTCCAGATTTGAGTTCTTGACTCATTTCAAGAACATTCAAAAGTCACATACGCTGAGCTTGCTGCATATTCAAGTCTTTTCTTCTCTGCTCAGGTGGCCAATGGTCCCCCTCTCAGGCGAAGGGGAATCTTGTAAAGTTTCAAGCCTGGCAGCCCCCAGGGGTGATCCTCAGACTAGTCAGAGATCAAGTACCTGCAAAGTCACAGTCATCTCTACAGGGCACCGTGTAACCAATTAGTCCCCTCAAATGTGCTAGGAACAATTTTACAAGCAAAAACTATGACCCTGTTATGTCATCTACTGTAAAATCACAACCACAAGCAAACAGGTTCACACACAATTACAAGCACAAAGGAAATTACTGACTTCCCCGATTGGCAGACTGGCAGTTTCTGAATGTTCTGGCGATGCCAATTTGTTCAATAATCTCCTCCTCCTCCTCCTCCTCCTTCTTTCTTTCTTTCTTCTTCTTGTTCTTGTTCTTCTTCTCCTTCTTCTTCCTTCTTCTTCTTCTTCTTCTTTATTATTATTATTATTATTATTATTATTATTATACTTTAAGTTCCGGGAAACGTGGAGAACGTGCAGGTTTGTTACATAGGTATACAAGTGGCATGGTGGTTTGCTGCACCCATCAACTCGTCATCTACATTAAATATTTCTCCTAATGTTATCCCTCCCCTAGCCCACACCCCTC
Organism: Homo sapiens; assembly: GCF_000001405.40. Taxonomy (NCBI): domain Eukaryota; kingdom Metazoa; phylum Chordata; class Mammalia; order Primates; family Hominidae; genus Homo; species Homo sapiens. Next base: position 73,213,056 of record NC_000005.10, on the reverse strand, counting down.
AGCAGGCCCCGGTGTGTGATGTTCCCCTCCCTGTGTCCATGTGTTCTCATTGTTCAGCTCCCGCTTATGAGTGGGAACATGCGGTGTTTGGTTTTCTGTTCCTGTGTTAGTTTGCTGAGAATAATGGTTTCCAGCTTCATCCATGTCCCTGCACAGGACATGAACTCATCCTTTTTTATGGCTGCATAGTATTCCATGGTGTATATGTGCCACATTTTCTTTATCCAGTCTATCATTGATGTGCATTTGGGTTGGTTCCAAGTCTTTGCTATTGTAGACAGTGCTGCAATAAACATACCTGTGTATGTGTCTTTGTATTAGAATGACTTATGATCCCTTGGGTATACAGCCAGTAATGGGATTGCTGAGTCAAATGGTATTTCTGGTTCTAGATCCTTGAGGAATCACCACACTGTCTTCCACAATGGTTGAACTAATTTATGCTCCCACCAACAGTGTAAAAGCATTCCTATTTCTCCACATTCTCTCCAGCATCTGTTGTTTCCTGACTTTTTAATGATCGCCATTCTAACTGGGGTGAGATGGTATCTCACTGTGGTTTTGATTTGCATTTCTCTAATGACCAGTGATGATGAGCTTTTTTTTTTTTCATATGTTTGTTGGCCACATAAATGTCTTGAGAAGTGTCTGTTTATATCCTTCACCCACTTTTTGATGGGGTTGTTTATTTTTTTCTTGTAAATTTGCTTAAGTTCCCTGTAGATTCTGGATACTAGCCCTTTGTCAGATGGATAGATTGTAAAAATTTTCTCCCATTCTGTAGATTGCCTGTTCACTCTGATGGTAGTTTCTTTTGCTGTGCAGAAGCTCTTTAGTTTAATTAGATCCCATTTGTCAATTTTGTCTTTTGTTGCAATTGCTTTCAGAGTTTTAGTCATGAAGTCTTTGCCCATGCCTATGTCCTGAATGGTATTACCTAGGTTTTCTTCTAGGGTTTTTATGGTTTTGGGTTTTACATTTAAGTCTTTAATCCATCTTGAGTTAATTTTTGCATAAGGTATAAGGAAGGGGTCCAATTTCAGTTTTCTGCATATGGTTAGCCAGTTTTCCCAATACCATTTATTAAATAGGGAATCTTTTCCCCACTGCTTGTTTTTGTCAGGTTTGTCAAAGATCAGATGGTTGTAAATGTGTGGCATTATGTCTGAGGCCTCTCTTCTGTTCCATTGGTCTATATATCTATTTTGGTACCAGTACCATGCTGTTTTGGTTACTGTAGCCTTGTAGTACAGTTTGAAGTCAGGTAACGTGATACCTCCAGCTTTGTTCTTTTTGCTTAGGATTGTCTTGGCTATATGGGCTCTTTTGGTTCCGTATGAAATTTAAAGTAGTTTTTTCTAATTCTGTGAAGAAAGTCAATGGTAGCTTGATGGGGATAACATTTAATCTATAAATTACTTTGGGCAGTATGGCCATTTTTACAATATTGATTCTTCCTATCCATGAGCATGGAATGTTTTTCCATTTGTTTCTGTCCTGTCTTATTTTTTTGAGCAGTGTTTTGTAGTTCTCCTTGAAGAGATCCTTCACATCCATTATAAGTTGTATTCCTAGGTATTTTATTCTCTTTGTAGCAATTGTGAATGGGAGTTCACTCATGATTTGGCTCTCTGTCTATTACTGGAATATAGGAATGCTTGTGATTTTTGCACATTGATTTTGTATCCTGAGAATTTGCAGAAGTTGCTTATCAGCTTTGGGAGATTTTGGGCTGAGACGATGGGGTTTTCTAAATATACAATCATGTCATCTGCAAACAGAGACAATTTGACTTCCTCTCTTCGTATCTCAATACCCTTTATTTCTCTCTCTTGCCTGATTGCCCTGGCCAGAACTTCCAATGCTATGTTGAATAGGAGTAGTGAGAGAGGGCATTCTTGTCTTGTGCTGGTTTTCAAAGGGAATGCTTCCAGCTTTTGCCCATTCAGTATGATATTGGCCGTGGGTTTGTCATAAGTAGCTCTTATTATTTAGAGATATGTTCCATCAATACCTAGTTTATTGAGAGTTTTTAGCTTGGAGGGGTGTTTAATTTTGTTGAAGGCCTTTTCTGCATGTATTGAGATAATCATGTGGTTTTTGTCATTGGTTCTGTTTATGTGATGGATTATGTGTATTGATTTATATATGTTGAACCAGCTTTGCATCCCAGGGATGAAGCTGACTTGATGGTGGTGGATATGCTTTTAGATATGTTGCTGGATTCAGTTTGCCAGTATTTTATTGAGGATTTTTGCATCGATGTTCATGAGGGATATTGGCCTGAATTTTTCTTTTTTTGTTGTGTCTCTGCCAGGTTTTGGTATCAGGATGATGCTGGCCTCATAAAATGAGTTAGGGAGGAGTCCCTCTTTTTCTATTGTTTGGAATAGTTTCAGAAGGAATGGTACCAGCTTGTCTTTGTACCTGTGGTAGAATTCGGCCATGAATCCATCTGGTCCTGAGCTTTTTTTGGTTGGTAGGCTATTAATTACTGCCTCAATTTCAGAACTTGTTATTGGTCTATTCAGGGATTTGACTTCTTCCTGGTTTAGTCTTGGGAGGGTGTGTGTGTCCAGGAATTTATCCATTTCTTCTAGATTTTCTAGTTTATTTGCATAGAGATGTTTATAGTAGTCTCTGATTATAGTTTGTATATCTGTGGGATCAGTGGTGATATCCCCTTTATCATTTTTTATTGTGTCTACTTGATTTTTCTCTGTTTTCTTCTTTATCAGTCTGGCTGGCAGTCTATCTATTTTGTTAATCTTTTCAAAAAAACAGCTCCTGGATTCATTGAATTTTTGAAGGGTTTTTCGTGTCTCTGTCTCCTTCACTTCTGCTCTGATCTTAGTTATTTCTTGTCTTCTGCTAGCTTTTGAATTAGTTTGCTCTTGCTTCTCTAGTTCTTTTCATTGGGATGTTAGGGTGTCGATTTTAGATCTTTCCTGCTTTCTCCTGTGGGCATTTAGTGCTATAAATTTTCCTCTAAACACTGCTTTAGCTGTGTCCCAGAGATTCTCACACGTTGTGTCTTTGTTCTCATTGGTTTCAAAGAACTTATTTATTTCTGCCTTCTTTCGTTATTTACCCAGTAGTCATTCAGGAGCAGGTTGTTCAGTTTCCATGTAGTTGTGCAGTTTTGAGTGGGTTTCTTAATCCTGAGTTCTAATTTGATTGCACGGTGGTCTGATAGACTGTTTGTTATGATTTCTGTTCTTTTGCTGAGGAGTGTTTTACTTCCAATTATGTGGTCAGTTTTATAATAAGTGTGATGTGGTGCCAAGAAGAATGTATATTCTGTTGATTTGAGGTGGAGAGTTCTATAGATGTCTATTAGGTCCACTTGGTCCAGAGCTGAGTTCTAGTCCTGAATATCCTTGTTAATTTTCTGTCTTGTTGATTTGTCTAATATTGACAGTGGGGTGTTAAAATCTCCCACTATTATTGTGTGGGAGTCTAAGTCTCTTTGGAGGTCTCTAAGAACTTGCTTTATGAATCTGGGTGCTCCTGTATTGGGTGCATATATATTTAGGATAGTTAGCTCTTCTTGTTGCATTGATCCCTGACCATTATGTAATGTCTTTCTTTGTATTTTTTTTATCTTTGTTGGTTTAAAGTCTGTTTTATCAGAGACTAGGATTGCAACCTCTGCTTTTTTTGCTTTCCATTTGCTTGGTAAATATTCTTCCATCCCTTTATTTTGAACCTATGTGTGTCTTTGCACATGAGATGGGTCTCTTGAATACAGCACACCAATGGGTCTTGACTCTTTATCCAATTTGCCAACCAGTGTCTTTTAATTGGGGCATTTAGCCCATTTACATTTCAGGTTAATATTTTTATGTGTGAATTTGATCCATCATTATGATGCTAGCTGGTTATTTTGCCCATTGGTTGATGCAATTTCTTCATGGTGTAGATGGTCTTTACAATTTGGCATCTTTTTGTAGTGGCTGGTGCAGGTTTTTCCTTTCCATATTTAGTGCTTCCTTCAGGAGATCTTGTAAGGCAGGCCTGGTGGTGACAAAATCTCTCAGCATTTGCTTGTCTGTGAAGGATTTTATTTCTCCTTTGTTTTTGAAGCTTAGTTTGGCTGGATATGAAATTCTGGGTTGAAAATTACTTTCTTTAGGAATGTTGAATATTGGCCCCCCACTTTCTTCTGGCTTGTAGGGTTTCTGCCAAGAGATCTGCTGTTAGTCTGATGGGCTTCCCTTTGTGAGTAACCCAACCTTTCTCTCTGGCTGCTCTTTTTCCTTCATTTCAACCTTGGTGAATCTGACAATTATGTGTCTTGGGATTACTCTTCTCGAGGAGTATCTTTGTGGTGTTCTCTTTATTTCCTGAATTTGAATATTGGCCTGTCTTGCTAGGCTGGGGAAGTTCTCCTGGATGATATCCTGAAGAGTGCTTTCCTAGTTGGTTCCATTCTCCCCATCACTTTCAGGTACACTAATCAAACATAGGTTTGGTCTTTCCACATAGTCCCATATTTCTTGGAGGCTTTGTTCATTCCTTTTCATTCTTTTTTCTCTAATCTTGTCTTCATGCTTTATTTCATTAAGTTGATCTTCAATCTCTGATATCCTTTCTTCTGCTTGATCGATTTGGCTATTCATACTTGTGTATGCTTCAGGAAGTTCTCATGCTGTGTTTTTCAGCTCCATCAGTTCATCTATGTTCTTCTCTAAACTGGTTATTCTAGTTAACAATTCCTCTAACCTTTTTCAAGTTTCTTAGCTTCCTTGCATTGGGTTAGAACATGCTCCTCTAGCTCATAGGAGTTTGTTATTACCCACCTTCTGAAGTCTACTTCTGTCAATTTGTCAAACTCATTCTCCATCCAGTTTTGTTCCCTTGCTGGCAAGGAGTTGTGATCCTTTGGAGGAGAAGAGGCATTCTGGGTTTTGCAATTTTCAGCTTTTTTTGTGGTGGTTTTTCCTTATCTTCGTGGATTTATCTACCTTTGGTCTTTGATGTTGGTAAGCTTCGGATGGGGTTTTTGTGTGGACAACCTTTTTGTTGATGTTGATGCTATTCCTTTCTGTTTGTTAGTTTTCCTTCTAATAGTCAGGCCTCTCTGCTGCAGGTCTGCTAGAGTTTGCTGGAGGTCCACTCCAGACTCTGTTTGCCTGGGTATCACCCATGGAGGCTGCAGAACAGCAAAGACTGCTGCCTGTTCCTTCCTCTGGAAGCTTCATCCCAGAGGGGCACCTGCCAGATGCCAGTTGGAGCTCTCCTTTATGAAATGTCTGTCGACCCCTGCTGGGAGGTATCTCCCAGTCAGGAGGCACAGGGGTCAGGGACCCACTTGAGGAGGCAGTCTGTCCCTTAGCAGAGCTCAAGTACTGTGCTGGGAGATCTGCTGCTCTCTTCAGAGCTGGCAGGCAGGAACGTTTAAGTCTGCTGAAGGTGCACCCACAGCTGCCCCCTTACCCCAGGTGCTCTGTCCCAGGGAGATGGGAGTTTGATTTATAAGCCCCTGACTGGGTCTACTGTCTTTCTTTCAGAGATGCCCTGCCCAGAGAGGAGGAATCTAGAGAGGCAGTCTGGCTACAGCAGCTTTGCCAAGCTCCTGGGCTCCACCCAGTTCAAACTTCCCGGCGGGTTTGTTTACACTGTGAGGGGAAAACCACCTACTCAAGCCTCAGTAATGGTGGACGCCCCTCCTCCCACCAAGCTCCAGCATCCCAGGTCGACTTCAGACTGCTGTGCTGGCAGGGAGAATTTCAAACCAGTGGATCTTAGCTTGCTGTGCTCCATGGGGGTGGGATCCAGTGAGCTAGACCACTTGGCTTTCCTGGCTTCAGCCCCCTTTTCAGGGGGTTAACGTTTCTGTCTCACTGGCATTCCAGGTGCCACTGGGGTATGAAAAAAAAACTCCTGCAGCTAGCCCAGTGTCTGCCCAAATGGCTGCCCTGTTCTGTGCTTGAAACCCAGGGCCCTAGTGGTGTAGGCACCCGAGGGAATTTCCTGGCCTGTGGGTTGTGAAGACCATGGGAAAAGCGTAGTATCTGGGCCAGAATGCACCATCCCTCACGGCACAGTCCCTCACGGCTTCCCTTGGCTAGGGGAGGGAGTTCCCCGACCCCCTGTGCTTCCCGGGTGAGGCGACAGCCCACCCTGCTTCTGCTCACCCTCTGTGAGCTGCATCCATTCACTGTCTAACCAGTGCCAATGAGATGAGCCAGGTACCTCAATTGGAAATGCAGAAATCACCCGCCTCCTGCGTTGATGTCACTGGAAACTGCAGACCAGACCTGTTCCTATTTGGCCATCTTGCCAGCCCTCTTCTTTCTTCTTTTTTGCCTTCCACCAACATTTGCTACCAGGCAAGTGGAAGTAGGTGTCATAGGTTGGAGAAAATCTTTTGGAAGATAACAAATTTGAAATCAACAAAGCACTCTACACAGAATAATGGCCTTCCCCAAATGTCCACTTCCTAATGCCCATAACCTGTGAATAAGTTACCTCACAAGGCAAGAAGGACTTTGCAGATGTAATTAAGTTATAGATCTTGAGATGAGGAGATTATCCTGGATTAGCTGGATGGGCCCTATGTAATCACAAGGCTCTTGATAAGTGGAAGATGGAGGCAGGAGAGTTAGGGTCAGAGAAAGATTTGAAGATGCTAAGCTGCTGGCTTTGAAGATGAAGGGAGATGGTGAGTCAAGGAATGTAGGAAGCCTCTAGAAGTTGAGAAAAGAACACCTTTTGGATTTGATGGGAACCCTCTGGTACAACATGAAGAATAAAACAGCATCCCCATTTATTGTTTTTTATTCCATAGCTGTCATTTGTCATTTGCCCACTGCCTATGTTATGCCAGGACCTGTGCTAGTTATGGATATGCTAGCAAGAACATTTTGAGGTAAGTGTTGTTTTGCACTTTTTATAGAGGAGGAAACAGGCTCAGAATAGGTAAGTAAATTACCCAGAGCTAAACATTAATAGTTGATAGGTGGAGAGAAAGGATACAAACTCAACTTCAGTGGATTCCAAAGCCCTTACTGCTTCCTCCACCCCTTCTCAGAGAGCAGCCACGGCAATGCTGGCTCAGTCAGAGAATTGCCTTTTCGTGGGGATTCCTGCCATTGTAGGTAGTGAGCCATAGTCAAACCACTGGTTGGAAAGCCCTTTTTGGTTGCAAATAAGATTGGGATTAAATTTTCCTCAGTGGCATAATCAGAAATTCTTTATTGGTAAACTGGACTTAGGTTCAGTTAATGCACAGAACTGTGCATTGCTTTATATGATAAAACATCAATTTTAAAGCACAGGATGGAGGAGATTCAGTGTCTATGACCAGCAGCAACTCCGCCCTGTGCTGGCTACACAGAAGCCCCACTTTCCTTGGTGAGGGGTAAGGAAGGCAGCAGGGAAGACCTGGCTGATGTCCTCTTTGCCTGGATCCAGTGAATCTCAACCCCAGCTGCACATTGCAATCACCTCAGAAGCCAGAGACACATGCACGTGGCCAGGCCCCACCTCAGCCAGTTAAACTCCACCCTGTAGAGTGGGGCCTGGGCCCCAAGGGACTACTCCATCTCCCCAGGTGGTAGATGCCTGCTGCCAGAGTGTGTGCTTATCTGGATGTGCCAGCCTGTTGGCGCAGAAACCACAGGACCTACAGGAGTCCCTGAGTGCCTCTCACAGAAGAGCATGCGACAGCCTCATTCACAGGGTGCTAGTGGCTGGTAAAGCACAGCAGACCTCTCCCTGGAAGGGTGCATTTTGAGGTGACCAGCATCCTCATTTGCCCAGGGCTTTGCAGGTAAAGGATGCGTTCCTAGGATGTGAGACTTTAAAGTGCTAAAATCAGAAAACTCTCAGGCATTTTGACAGGGAACCACAAGTCTGAGGTCCCCAGGAATAAACTGTCATGGTTAGATGGTAGAACTCTGCATCAGAGAAAGGGTGTGTGTGTGTGAGCGTGAGAGTGTGTGTGTGTTGCACCAATATGTGCATGTGGGTGTATGTGTGCGCATCTGCACCCATTTGTGCATGTGTGAGTGTGAGAGTTTGTGTATGCATGGGTGTGTGACTTGTTCAAGTGTGTTCATGTGTGTGAGAGCATGAGTTGTATGTGTGTGAGAGAGTACAAGAGAGATTTTGTGTGTGAATCTGAGAGTGTGCGAGTGTTGTATGAATGTGTGTGTGAGTGTGCATTAGTGTGTGGGAGTGTATACATGTCCAAGAGTGTGTGTGCACATGTGTGAGAGTGGTGGGTGAGTGTGCGTATGTGTGTGTGTGTGAGTGTGAGAGCACAGACACTCTGCAGAGAGCAGATCTTGCCAGACCAGAATCGCCCCACTGCAGTGGCCTCTAAGCCTTTTGAGGGCATGTGCCTTTTGAGGGCATATGCCTCCTGAATGGGCCCTGAATCCTGCCAGAGAGCAGCTCAGAGAAGAGTTTACCCTGAGTGGTTCATTGAGCTCAGGGGTAGAAGTTGTAAATTTCTTTTGCTCTACCACAGTATAATTAGCTCCCCCTCTTGTGAGGAATGAAAGGGCCGTGTGCTTCTGACAGCTGTGGGAGCCGCCTTCCTGCCTGGATAAATCTAGTCTCCAACGATATTGTTGCACCTGTTTAAACAAGGAACAGAATAGGTATTTATTTAAAGTTCAAGAGGCCATATGAGCCATGGCCTAAATATAGGCCTGGATATAATTATAAAGATACTTAATTCTTTGTTCTGAAAGATTTTTGCAGCCCACTATTCCCTCAAAGGCTTGGGCAGCTTCCTTTAACACATGTACCTCCCAGAACGAGTAAAGGCAGGGCGTGAGAATGCCTCTTGGAGGCCAGGCATTGTGGAAGACCCCTGGCCCCAGCCCTGACCTTGCTCATCATCAGAACCACCAAGGGGAAGACTCGATAAAGGTACAGAGCTCTAGGTCCTCTCCCAGCAATCATCATTCCTGTGCTCTTGGAGTGGAGCCCAGGAATCTGTATTTTTAAGCTCCCCACATGATTCTAATGCTTACCCAAGTTTGGGAACCCTTGATCTAAGGCATGGTAGTGGGGGCGAGGGGAAGCGGTCCTTTCTGTGAGGCATTTCTGGGACCAGGTCAGGGATACTACTAATTGGTATTTACTGAGCCCTCCTCACATACAGGCACCCACCATGATTCCCATTTTCCAGATGAGGCAACTGAGCTCTTTCATTCATTTCTCTGCTGTGTACTGAAGTACCTCAAAGCAGGAGTTCACCATGTTTTTGAGGCCATGGAACCTTTTGAGACTCTAGTGAAAGCTATAAACCCTCTCACCATAAAACTGTACATGCATGGAAGATTTTGCAGTGTTGGAGGGTTCATGGAGCCCCCTAAAGCCCATCCAAGAATGCTTGATTAAGAATAGTCATCATGAAGGACATTCTCTCAGGGCAGGCCACCAACAGGCACAGTAAGCTTGATCCGTAGCAGCCTGAGGAAGGGCTTCTGGAGCACCTGCGTGTGCAGAGCACATTGAGAGATGCTGTGGGCACAGAAGTGAAGATGACATGCAATGAGCTGGAAAGACTCAACTGAACAGAAAGAGAGATAATATGAAATTCAAGGTAGTTTATGCTAAGTCCTAAACAACAGGGGCCAACAAGCCCTGCAGCTCAGGGTGGCAAGGAGTCATGCACTGTGGCCTTGGTAGGAGGGCTGAGAGGTTGGAGGTTGGGAGGTGAGGCCTGACCTGAGCTCAGCAGGCAGGAGAGAATTCTGGGCAATGGGGGCTTGGTGAACAGCATCTCTTTTTTTTTTTGAGATGGAGTTTTGCTCTTGTCACTCTGAAGTACAATGGCGCAATCTCAGCCTACTGCAACCTCTGCCTCCTGGGTTCAAGCGATTCTCCTGCCTCAGTCTCCCGAGTAGCTGGGATTACAGGCACCCGTCACCATGCCCAGCTAATTTTAGTATTTTTAGTGGAGATGGGGTTTCTCCATGTTGGTCAAGCTGGTCTCGAACTCCTGACCTCAGGTGATCCACCCTCCTCGGCCTCCCAAAGTGCTGGGATTACAAGCCTGAGCCACCACGCCCAGCTAGTGAACAGTATCTCAAAGGAGAGGACGGTTTTGGGGAGGACAGGAGAACCACTAGTAGGGCAGAGACAAGGAAAAAAAGCCTGGTCATTTGGTTTGGTTTTAAGGGATTCTGCATACGGAAGTTTTTAAAAAGGAAACGAAAGAGCAGAATAAGAAAACTATTTTTTAAATGTTCAAACGGGGTGAAAAGTTTTGTAGCCTTTTTATTTTAATTTATTCTTTTTTTTTTTTTTTTTTTTTGAGTCTTGCTCTGTCACCCAGGTGGAGTGCAGTGGTGTGATCTCCGTTCACTGCAACCTCCACCGTCCAGGTTCAAGTGATTCTTCTGCCTCAGCCCCCTGACTAATTTTTGTATTTTTGGTAGAGACGGAGTGGAAATCATGTTGGCCAGGATGGTCTCAAACTCCTGGGTTAAAAGCGATCCACTGGCCTCAACCTCCCAAAGTACTGGGATTACAGATGTGAGTCACCACGCCCACCTGTAGTCTTTAAAAAATATGTTTACGTTGAACAATTAAATTATTGAAACACAAAACATGCTATATAATTGTTCTGTTCAGAAAAAATATTACAGAATTTACAAAAAATATTAACTCAGTTCCCCACAAGCAATGTAGTCCAGTAACAGGGCCAGAGATAAAGTTGCAACCTCTGTCAGCTTCTATGGGACCGTGTCCATAACCTCATTTGCAGATGAGGTCTAACTTCGAAGTGTAACCTCTTTGTGAAAGCAGAGTTTCAGGCCAGCAGTCCTCCTGCCGCCCTCCCTCCCTCCCTCCGCCCTGTGATAGGCCCTGCGAAAGGCTCTGCCTTAGAGTGGGGAGGGTCTGTGCCGGGATGTGTCCCTTTGGGTCCCATTGGAGAGGGCTCTGGGGCCCCGCTAGCGTTTCCTCCTTTGTCCTGTAGGGGGAGCCGCTGCAGTTTCGCGGGAAGTCGGCCCGGCGGAGGGCAGAGCCCTGGGCGTGGAGGAAGCTGGAGCCAGGGGAGACTGGCAGGAAAGGATCACGTGGGCCAGCGAGAGGAGAGCCTGGACAGGGGCCAGCAAAGGGCGAACTTCTGCAGACGAGGACTATCCAGCCCTAGGGGTACGGGAGAGGGAAAGACGAGGCCGAGAGGGACCCTGACTTTGCAGCAGGGTGTCTGGGCATTGGTGGCTCCACCTGCAGAACCAAAAGAATCCACCAGGTCTGATGGGCAAAGGTAACAAACTCGGCGTGAGTCCTGCCTCGCTGCGTGGGTCGTCTCAACTGTGCTTCCTGCCGAACGCCCTAGTAGCTCCCTAAAAGATGGGTGCTGCGGGCAGGGTCCCCTGCGCGCCTGCCACCGTATTCTCTCTGAAGAGGGTGCAGGTTCTGAGAAGCACCTGCTTTTTTCAGCTAGGGAGGTCCTGATCTTTTTGCTCTTGTCCCAGGACATGGCATCATAATGTGAGACTTAGATTCTTGAAATTGGGAAGGGATTTCAGCAACTCGAGGGCAAGTTGCAGATATATGCAGGTGAAAGTCAATCATAAGAAGACAAGGCCAAGAGTGAATCTGTAATGTGAATGTTAGGTGTGGGCAGAAATATGAAATGTGCTGGCTGGAATGGACCTTTACTTTTCAGGAATAGCAGGAATTAACATAGAAAGAGGTTTATGTGGAATTAGAAGGAAGAGTGGAATCAGATATCTATTTCCCATAGTGGTCCAGTTTGCTATGAGTTTCAGAAATGCACATCACCACGATCTGGTATCGTGAAATGATTTCTTAGGTAAATAAGATGGTTTTCTGTTTCCAAATATAATATATATATATATATTTTTGAGACGGAGTTTCATTCTTTTTGCCCAAGCTGGAGTGCAATGGCACCATCTCGGCTCACTGCAACCTCCGCCTCCTGGATTCAAGAGATTCTTGTGCCTCAGCCTCCCGAGTAGCTGGGACTACAGGTTCACGCCACCATGCCCAGCTAATTTTGTATTTTTAGTAGAGAAAGGATTTCACCATGTTGGCCAGGCTGGTCTCAAACTCCTGGCTTCAAGTGATCTGCCCGCCTCAGCCTCCCAAATTGCTGGAATTACAGGCGTGAGCCACCACGCCCAGCCCCAAATATAATTTCTTTGCATAAAAATGAGCTTACTAAACAGACTCGGAAATTATTGTGAGATCCTATAACCCATTTTAAAAAAACAATTGAAAACATGCTGCATGTCTGATTTCCCATGTTGAGACAAAGCTACATATGACCACTTTTGAAGAACAATAGCAATATAAAGGTACATTTAGCTCTATTCTCATTTAAAAACGCTGTTATTTTAATTGACAAAACTTCACTGCTGGATTTCATTCTCCGTTTTGCACGGAACTTCCTTAGTCCTCACAAGTATGGTGTTTTAATTATATGTTTTTGTATTGACTGGTAAAAAGAACCAAACTCCATCCTGTCTCGTCCAGAACAACTCAAAAAAAAAAAAATGATGCTGTCATCTTCAATTCTCTTCTCTTGTAAGTTTTGCTCAGAAATGGGATATGTGCTGGAGTCTGCTATAATCACTGTGGTAGCAACACTGAGTGTTTCTGGCTTGTCAGGTCCTGTTCTAAACTATATACATTAACAGATTTAATGCCAAAGCAACACTTTGAAGAAGATAGACTATTATACTATGTAGAGATGAGGGAAGTGAAGCAAGAGTATAATGCCTAAAGTCACTGAGCCAGTAGACAGCAGAACCAAGTTTGAGATCCAGCCCATCTGATTCCCGGGTTCTCGCTCTTAAGCACTCCAGCATTGTGTCTATCATTCCAGAACTCAAGAAATGCCCTTCGTTTGGTGGAGCACAGGGGCTCTGAGCTCTGGGAATTATAACTGATTAGATCTCAACATAGGCCCAAATGTCAACAGATTTTTCTTTCTGGTTTGTGGGAGTTTCAAAGCAAATAAAGCCATCACCTGGTGTATAAGTGACAATCGCCTCAAGGCCCATGTAACTTCCCTGGTGTGTCTCCCCTGTGTTTCTCAGAAAGGACTCAAATGATATTTTTTCATTACATTTCCTTGGATGTCCACTGTGGGGACAAGAGTTACTTTATTTTAAATGCTAATCCGCCTGACTAACCCCGACTCCGGGAATGCCTCCAAAATGTCAAGTTGTATTACTCTTTATGTAGGAACATCTATTCACTCTCAAGTTTCCTCCAAAACAATCCTTGGTGCTGTTGCAGAAATCATAGGATGTGATGCCTGTAGCCACCTATGTATTCTTCCAGAGTGCACATACTTTCACCAAGATAAAAGCCCTGGGTCTGTGGGCAGTTGCAGTGCGGAGATCTATCTCAGTCTTATGGTTGTCTGCCTCATTCTTGAGTTTCTTGGCTCCTTCAGCATTTGGGGGTTGCTTTGCATATATGGCCATTTCAAGGAAAATCCACTCTGTATCAAATGTAGGAACAGTTCCTCATCTTAGAAGTGAGAAAAACCAGCTCAGAACAAGGAAGTCAAGGTAGAACTTCTCAGAGTTGAACATGGGGAGAGTGTCTTAAACCCTGACAGCCTAGGCTGACAAGAGCAATTCATTTAGGTTCCTCCCTGCAGGAGGCATGACTAGTGTTTAGCAATATCCTCATCTTTCCTGCTTCCTGGGTGTGCACTAGCATCGACTTCTCAGATCCCTTGTAGCTAGGCAGAGTCATGTGGCTAGTTCTGTTCAGTAATGTGGATGGAAATGTCACACATTGCTTCTGGACTGAGACAGTGAAAACCCCTGTGTGGTTTTCCAGGTTCCTCCTCCCCTGCTGCAGCTAACATGGAGGACTTGCATGGAGATGGTGGAGTCACAGGATGAACACAGGCTAAGTCACTACCTGGAGGACAGCTGCCTGGACAGTCACCTGGATCGCAGTGGACTGCATGAATGAAAACAAAGTGAGATTGAAGAGAATGAAAACAAAGTGAGATTGAAGAGTTATTTGTTACTGCAGCAAAACTTGGCCTACCCTGATATACTCACCTCTCTTTGTCCCCTAGGTTTCCTTTTTTGGTATAGGCAGTTTGCCAACCCCCTACATTCTCAGTCTGATTTCCTCATCCCAGTCACCATGGGAGGCAACTGCTACTGATCATTGCACAGACAAGGAAATTCAGGTCACAGCAATGAGAGCCAGAGAGTCAATTCGGCAAGGTCTCTGTCTTACTCTGCATTCTTTACCTCCTTCCCACTGCCCATCTCCTTCTGGGCTCCCCACCCAGTCCTTTGTGGGATGCAAAGGGTGAAAGGGATTGGAAGACTCAGGAGCCATGAGGCCCAGGTCCCACCACAACCTTGATGATGCCAAAAGGGGCAAGAATAGAAAAAAATCTGCCCTACTGAGGTGGGCATCTGCTTTCCCCCACCTCAGGAAAGAGGGCAGCAGTGTCCTCCTGAAGGCTGTGACTTCCTAAAGTCTGTGAGGGTTTAATGTGGAAATATCATGGAAGGGAGCGGGAGGGAACATGCCTTGAGATGAGGGAGTAGCCCGATCCTGAGAGAGGGTTCTGACTTCTCCCAGACTTAGAGAGGGGAACAGAGGGCCAGGGAATATGAGGAAGTTGAGATTTGGCAGCTAGTAGATGCCAAGCCTGGAGTCAGTGAGGGGAGGAGAGCTGTGAGGGCCTCCCTGAGCCTCCTAGCAGTGCCTGACAGACAGGCAGGGAGGCCTGGGGTCCGCCAAAAGCACAATGGTAAAGGCAGCAACCCCAAGGCCAAAGGCTGTGCCCCTTTCCCTCCCATGTTCTAGCCTCACACAAGCCCAGAATTCTCACAGGCTCCCCGGATTGGGAAAAGCAGTACTCTGATTTTTTGGAGGCTAAATTTTGTTTCGGGGAACTAAAGGAATGTCACATTTCTTAAATTTTATATTGTGCCTTCAAGGATGTGGTTGACTACATGGTCACGAGACCTGTGCCATCATACAGAGCCCCACACTTAAAATAGCCCACAGTGGTTTACTGGTCTGCTGTCACCACCTTGAAACTCTTAATAACTTTTGAACAAGGAACCCTACATGTTCGTTTTGCACTTATGTGCAAATTGTGTGGATAGTCCTGCTAAAATTTATGCCTCCGCCATCCCCATGTGGCAGAAGTTTCAAGAGCCTTATACCTTTAGGGGAAATCCTCACTAAGCAAGCTTGAGCAATTGATGAGAAGGTTAACCACAGCCAAGCCCACTACACTGCTACATGCATCATGACCACCTCATGTTTGCTCGTGCTGTCCTATCTCTGTAATACTCCTTTGATGAAGGGGTTGGTTACAAACATCGTTTTCATGAAAATAGAACCAAATATAAACTTAATATGTATTAATATAAAGCTAAATATGAAAACCACGGTGGCACATAGAAGGGGTAGCTGAAATGAAACAAAGCTGCTCAGGGGGATATTTCTGGGTGAATTCCAATGGAGAGGGCTCCAAAGTGCAAGAGAGCCCTGAGCACTAATATATGCATCACAGTGTCCCCGGCTACCTCGAAGCAACCAGCCCTCACCTAGTGCTGATAGCTTGGAGTGTTTCTCTCTGCAGATGCAGCCCCCTCATGTTCCTTGGCCTTTCATTTGCATAGATCTTCAGAAGTTATAAATCACTCTGGAGTCTTTGTATGTATTTGGGACTGAATAATTTGCTTTTGAGGCTGTCAGATCCTGACCTTTGTAATTTCTCTGCAGTTTGTTCCCAGGTTCTTGGGGCTTGAAAAGATCCCTTTATGGAGTGAAGCCACTTTTTCTCAACGTTCTGAAACTCACGCTGCTCCAGCCTGAGGCTTCCAGAAGTGCCCTACAGGTGCCTGAGTGTGTGGGCCTGCTGCCTGCAAGTGCACCCGGGGAGTGCGGGGTTTGGCGTTTACAGATGTGACCAGGGGCTAAGAGACTGGGGCGCAGCCTCTCCCCAACACGGACTCTATTTCCCCACACGCTCACTTCCCCTCCCTCAACTGCAGTCTTCTTTCTCTATAACTAACACAGGGATCACTGCCTCTATTTTCTTAGAGGTATTGTTCATCGCTCACCCCTCACGCAGTAAGTATGTGTTCAGGCACAGAGCAAAGGGCTGAGAGAAGGGAGCTGCTGTGGGTGCCTTCAAGGAACTTACCACAGCAACAGTTAACAGCAGCAGGAAGATATTGTTAAGTGTTTTCTGTGTACCAGTCACTGTTCTAAGCATCTCTCATGGATGATTCTGTTTAATCCTCAAAATGACCCTTGGAAGTGGGCATTCCTATTATCCCCTTTTAACAGATGAGAAAAATACAACACTGAAAAGCCAAAGAAATTCACTCTGGCTAGCAAGCGTTGGAGGCAGAATTCAAAACCAGGCTGAGTCCAGCAGTATAATCCCACTCGTGCTACCTAGAAAGCTCATTACAGCAAGGGCCCCAAGCAAGGGTACATCCTGACACTCACTGAGAAATGTGGGATGTTTAGACATGAAGGGAGCTTGGGGGTAGCAGCCTCATGGAAGATGGTAATGAGGCCTAAAACCATCCCCTAAAGGCAGGGAAGCATGGGCACTCCTAACCTCCCAAGGAGTGGCCAGATAAGGTTGGGGCCCTTTGGTAACCAATCCAGTCCAGGGACACAGGTGAGCAGTCAATGAAGAGGCACCATTCTGAGTCTGCCCAGAACAGGTGACTCAGATTGTCCAGCCCATCCAGGGCCACTAGCTGTGCTTCTAAAGGAGAAGGTGCTAACAATGGAAAGAAAGTCCACGAAAGACCTACTCTTTCAGAAGCTTGAAGGAAACCAAGAGGAGAGCTTGCTCTGCTTTGTGCCCTAATGGTGGAGTTTTAAGGCAGATGAGGACAGAGTCTTTCCTCCAATTGACTGGAACAACTGTCAGAGCTAAACCGAGGAGTGGTCACATCCCAGTGCATGAGAGGAGGTAGAGTGTGAACATCATGAAATTGCCAATGCGATAGGTCACAAACAGTAGAATATTGCCAGTTTCATTTGTTCATTCTAGTTCACCCTGGTTGGCAGCAGAGCATTTGGCTGTAGCCGGTACAAGGTGGGTTGACACAGTGGTCTTAGGTAAGTGCAGGGAGCAGCCCACATGGGGAGGGCAGAGACATTGGATCAGAGCAGAGGACAGATAGGGCACACATGCATGAGCCACCCCAAAGAGCCCTTGAACCTAAAGGAAGGAACTGTCTGTGGCTGCTGCATTTCCTTGAGCAGGAGCTGGAGGCTGAGACCAATGTCCTGTGAACATTGTTCAGACCCTGTTCTGAGTGTTGCGGCTGGGGAATGTGGGTTATACCAACACTCAGGCAGAGGTGGCCACCAACACCAGGCACCCGTGGGCTGGGTGATCAGGAGAGGCTCCTGGGAGGAGGTGTACCTGGGGCTAAGCCTTCAAGGATAGGTGGGAATTAAAACAGGTTCAGAGAAGAGGAGAAGTTTTAGACCAGAGAAACCTAAAATTCTAAAGGCAGTTTGAAATAGAGGAGTCACAAAATAGTATGGCTACTATGATTCCTTTTTTGTTAAAAGTATAAGTGAATATATACACACACATACAGACACTCATATTATATATATAGAATGATGGAAGGAGGAACATATAACAAAATTTTAGCTATTTTGTCATTATAGGGTGGTTTTTTTTTCCTTCTTTGTGCTCATTTGCGTTTTCTAATTGTTCTACAGTAAGCATATATTACTCCTATGACTTTTTTTAGAGGATAAGGAATAAAGGTTGCTCTGAATCTCATCAGTGTGTAAGATGGTTCAGGTATGAAGCAATATCTGACTGTAAGTTAGAATTCTCTCAAGGTATTACAGAAATAGGGAACTTCATTAATTTCTACAGCTTCTAGTATATATGACATAATGGCTAAGAGGACGTAATCTGAAGGTTTGATTCTGTCTCCACAGCTTGCTAGCTAGTCACATGGAACAGTGGTAATACCTGCCTCTCAGGCTCCCTGTGAGGATTCAACGGGATAGTGTATGCGAGACACCTGCCGCATGGGAAGCACGCAACACATGTTAGCTATTAATAGTGACACCTCTCTCTCTCTTGCTCTCTCTCTCTCTTTCTCTCCTTCCCTCTCACACACCCCCAGAACGTTATTTGAACACTGCTCTCAGCCATCCACATGACAGTGTTGTCATAGACCAACCAGCGTTTCTCAAATGTTGACGTGCAAACAGATGACCTGGAGATCTTTTTTTTTTATTGTTTTGTTGAGATGGAGTCTTGCTCTGTTGCCCAGGCTGGAGTGCAGTGGCGTGATCTTGGCTCACTGCAACATCTGCCTCCCAGGTTCAAGCAATTCTCCTGCCTCAGCCTCCTGAGCAGCTGTGATTACAGGTGCGTGCCACCACGCCCGGCTAATTTTTGTACTTTTAGTAGAGACAGGGTTTCACCATGTTGGCCAGGCTGGTCTCGAACTCCTGACCTCAAATGATCCACCCCTCTCGGCCTCCCACAGTGTTGGGATTACAGCCCCATGCCCAGCCAACCTGGAGATCTTGTTCAAATGAAGGCACTGACTCAAAAGGCCTGGAGTGGAGGCAGATTCTGCATTTCTAACAGGCTCCTGGTGATGTCCTGCTGCTGGTCAGGAGATCACACTTTGAGATGTGAAGTCAAGGATGCGTTAATATCCTTTTAGGACTTCCAGGAACAGAATGCCCTTAAATGTGTTTAGATAGAACCTATCCTGTGGATTCCATTCTCTCTTAAGTAGCACTATGTCATCCTGTTCATCTATACACATAGCCACCTACTATGTGTAAGACCCTATGCACTTGTTACAATACAGGGCCCTGACCTTAAGGAGCTTGTATTCAGCATCTCAATGCACATGTAGGTGGCCCAGGAAACTGATCCTGGGCACTCAGTGAGAACTGCCTACAACAAATGAGAGCAACACTCCAGAGTCTATTGTAAATTCCAAAGAGAACTGAAGTCCAAATACTTACTTTGAAATGTTGAGGATGAGCACGTGCTCCAGATGCAGGGTTGCATTAATACATCTTAACTTTACAATGAGAGTTACGTCTATCTATATAAATACCTACTCTCTTAGGACATGTGATATTGTGGCATATTGCCACGTTTCCATAGTGGCAAGTTTTTCTCATTCCTTGTTAGTGGAGGAACCACGGGTTGAGACATGGAAGTCACCTGGAACATAAGACACAGGCTTGCAGTGCACCACACCACTGTGTCCATTGTTTAAGGAACATGTTGGTCTCATCTGGCTGCCTCTTGTGGGACTCGCAGCTCCTGCCTTATTCCATTTGAAGATTACTATTTGCTATGGAAAAAGTGATGTCAAATTTATGGGGTGGGGCTTGGGGCCATGAACAAACACAAAATAGTTGACCCCACAGGGTAGGAGTTATTATTAGGTTTAGGAGTCGCCACCTTATGTGGGTCACCCACCCCAGGCCCTGCTTTTTGGGTGGAGCAGTCTGGCAAGGTGTGGGGTGGTACACTTGGCAGAAAGTGTCTGTTCTAAATAGCACAGGTGAATTGGCACAGGTATATCATCCCTACTGAAACAGGACATGATCTACCTGCAGGAACAATGGGAGAAAAAGTGAGAGGTGACTTGAAGTGGCACACTAAGACAAGTGATCAAATGTTAGAATAATTTCAAGGATGGCTATTGCCCTAGAAAGCAAGAACCCTCCAGAACTAGTTTCATCCTTTCTATACTTTCACCACAGGCTAAGCATGGTATCCCCAGCCTTATCAAGTCAAATTTTAAACTGCTTAATGCCACCTCCCTCTGTCCACCCCCACATCATGCTGATTTTATAAGGAGATTGCCTGTATTTAAATCCAGCTCTATTACTTACTACCTGTGTGTACCTGTGTGAAAACTGGTAAGGTTTTTTTGTTTGGTTAGTTTTTGGTTTTTGAGACAGAGTCTCGCTGTGTTGCTCAGGCTAGAGTACAGTGGTGTGATCTTGGCTCTCTGCAACCTCCACCTCCCAGGTTCAAGCAATTCTCGGCCTCAGCCTCCTGAGTAGCTGGGGTTACAGGCGCTCACCACCATGCCTGACTAATTTTTGTATTTTTAGTAGAGATGGGGTTTCGCCATGTTGGCCAGGCTGGTCTCACACTCCTGGCCTCAAGTGATCCACCTGCTTGAGCCTCCCAAAGTGCTGAGATTACAGGTGTGAGCTATTGTGCCTGGCCCCAAGAGCTCTTTTTGGAGTTAAGAAATTTCCATCAAGTGAGGACACTTTGGAAGGAAAACTCCTGGAAAATAGGGCTTTCCCGGCATCCTTGGAGTTGAACAGAGCTGAAGTTGGCCAGAACTGCCATGGGAAACCATGGGAGAATTTACTAAGAGAGTCTTTAGTCCTAGATCACAGGGAGGGGAGATATAAACAGGACTGCCCATATCACGTGCTAATTATGTCCCAGGCATTATATCCTTTGATTCTCCCAATAAACCTATGCCATAAACAGTAGCATCAATTTCATTTCACAGATGTGGACATTGACACTTTACCGAGGGCAAGAACCTTGCCCAAGTGTATTAGTCCATTCTCCTACTGCTATGAAGAAATACTTGAGACTGAGTAATTTATAAAGAAAAGACGTTTAATTGACTCACAGTTCCACATGGCTGGGGAGGCCTCAGGAAACTTACAATCATGGCAGAAGGTGCCTTTTCACAGTGCAGTAGGAGAGAGAATGAGTGCCAGCAGGGGAAATGCCAGACGCTTATAAAACCATCAGATCTCATGAGAACTCACTCATTAGCTCTAGAACAGCATGGGAGAAACTGGCTCCATGATTCAATTACCTCCCACCAGGTTCCTCCCACAGCACGTGGGGATTATGGGGATTATAATTCAAGGTAAGATTTGGGTGGGGATGCAGCCAAACCCTATCATCAAGGCTATATATAGCACAGTGGTAGAGCAAAACTTTGAGCCCATTTTGACTCCGGAACTTATTTTCTTAATCACTATTCTAGGTCCTTAAAGAAAAGGACTGAACTGGAACCTTACAGTTCAAATATATCCTGCTAAAAGTATTAGTTATCTCCTGATCCATGAAACAAGCACACATCATGGCCCGGTGATAGAGAGCCTGTCAGATCAGGCTGTGGGGAACAGGAAGGAGACCAGGCTCGCCCTGCTGGTTTTCACTGGTGAAGGCAGTAAAATCGGAGATAGACCGGAGCCTGCAATAATACCACTGCCACCATTTATGGAGCGCCGTGCTAAACAGCAGCTGAGTCTCACAGCAACATTAAGAGGCTGGGACTATTAACCCCACTTGTCGGATCAAAGAGACAGAGGCATGACAATTTTCAGGGACGTGTTCACAGCCACTCAGCCAGTCAGGGGCCAAGTCTTTTGGCTACAGGAAATTGGCTGCTCTGCTCCTACTGCCTGTGGACCAGAGACCTGGTGACTGCACATGAGTGTTAGGCCACCCGAGGACCCAGACTGTGAACTCAGCCTGCATTCTGGCTCACCAGGACAGTTTCGGGAGCCCTCTTTGACTATTGCCTTTGACAAGGCTGAAGATGGGCTAAGACCAGAATCCTCAACCAAATTTAAAACTACTTAAGCTTGGAATATTCCGTTCTTTTCTGTGGCTGTAAGTCTCCCTCTCAGCACCCAGAGCCTTTCTCCTGACTGGTGGCTGCCTGCATGGTTTGCCAACGCAGCATCCACTCTGCATTTGTTCCACAAAGCGCTGCTAAGTGCCTCCTTTGTGCCTAACACTGGGCCTTTGGTGGAGATCAGACGGCCATTTGACCTGGGGCCCTACCTTGAGCAAGGATGAGGCCACATTGGAAATGCTGATTTTGCCCATAAACTCATGCTCCAAGTTGTTTCACAGTAATTAAAAATTCAGCAAAGGAAAAAAAATTCCCAGCAGACACCATAGGTGGGAAACCTCTGTGTAGAAGCTGGTGAAAAACCAATCCTCCAGTTCTAATGGCACCTGGATCTGAGAAAGAAAGGGACTTGGACTCCACAGACAGGGGGCAGAGACTTTATGAGTCATCCCGGTGAGGATAATGGGCATTGAAACACGGCTTTGCAAACTCTGAAGTGATGCATGAGTGTTTGTTGGTTGCTATTTTAATTACATAAAATACATATCTAAGACAATATCCAAGAAATGAAGATTAGGAACTAGAGCAGATTAACAGGAGAGAAATCTGGGATCATGTAAACTGTTCAGGAGCCCCAAATAATAGAATGTCTTATTTTTTTTTTTACCCAGTCTACAGGCAACCCTAGTCACAGGAGGCTGGTGTGAGGGCCACTTTCTAGATTTCCTTTTGACATGTCTTTTTTTTCCTAGAAGGCATCCCCATCTCCCTATTGTCCTCTGCTAACTCTTTGCATCTCCACCTCCACCTAGGACTATGAAATATGTCTTTGCAGGTCATACTCAGCACAGCTACAGGGAGTGCCATTCACATCAAAGTCTACATGAATGAGACCACTGGGCCTTAAACTCAGCTGCATGTTGGAAACATTTGGAGGAAATTTAAACATTATTGATGTCTTAGTCCCTCCTCCAGGTTGTCTGATGTAATTGTTCTGAGTTGCATCCTGGCTTGGGATTTTTTTAAATGCCCAAGTAATTCTAATATGCACCCACCATGTTTGAGAACCAGTAAATTAGACTATGCTGTGAATGGTGCCCACTGAGGATGTGTGGTAGATAGTCTGCATAGCCCTTCAGATGAGCCCCGCCCACCCCAGCTGGCCTGATGCAATCCCCAGTGACCTGAACTTGCTAATGGAACAGATCACAGACTAAATACATACCTCTCTGCCTTTTACGTTGTTTTCCCTTGGGTCGGGATTGGGGTTTGGGAAAGTGTAGGGACTGAACTGTGATCCTTTAAGGAATCCCTTACACTTTCTGCATCCTTCTGAGGAATGAAGGAGAGGCAAGGGTCTAATCCTGCTGAAAAACTGGGAATTTTTTCAAGGCCAGTTTTGGAGGCTGCCCAACTCTGGTGCTCTGCCCAGGGTGAGCATGCTGTTTTGATCGCCTGACTAAGAGAGTGATTTAGGCTTTTGGAAGAATCTGGCTCATTTCCCCCGGTACCTCAGCCATTCCCGGCTTGTAAATCAGCCACCTTTAGCAGCTGCATTTTACTTTCCCAGGCCACAAGGGAACTGTGTAGTTTTTACTGAATTAGCAACTTAATTGCACCAAATATAGCTCTAATGCTCCCAAAGAACTCGTGGCAGCTCCCAAAGGTGTCTGGCTTCCTGCTCTTCCTCCCTCCCATCCTGTCCCCACCAAACTCAGGGACCAGGTTAAATTCTGGAAAATTCGAGCTTATTAAGTCACAGCCTCTGGAATGAACTTACTTTACTTTGTTTATGTCAAATCTTGCCATATGAATTTAATGTCACTGTGTCCATAACAACTGATGTCCTTCAAGTAGGAAGATGGGGGATCAAAAAAAATCCCACAAAAATCCAGCCATATGAGACAAATATGTGATACAAACAAGTCCTTGGTGTCATGGTTTAGTTAAAGCTTGCCTATTTTACAGCTCAGATGCTCTGTAACTCATTGACAGCTCTCCTGCTGATAAGTGCATCTGTTATTCTAAAGTTACAAGTCAAACTTCTTTAGCCAAAACCTTGCATCTGTCATGTGTATTTATACTTGGCATTTCAAAGTTAATATTTTTGGTTCAGCAGAGGAATTCAAAACAAACATTTTTTCTTAAATTCCAAATTCTTGAGCAGTTATTTGAATCCAGACAGAAGGAAGAGAGAGACAGAGAAACAGAGAGACAGAGAGAGAGGACCAAGTATGGAACAGGCTGCTAGTTGCCTACCTAACAATTATTCTACCCTTTTCCCTTTGTAACAGAACAGCAACCAAGAAGACTACATTTCCCAGACTCCTGCGCAGCTTAGTGTGGCCATCTGGCCAAATTCTGGTCAGAAGGTGGAAGTGTTAAGTACAGCATGGATCTTTCAGGAAGGCTTTCTTTAAGAGAGTTGAATCAGGTGTGAGGTATGCTCTTTTTTTCCTGTCTGTTTCTCTTTCCTTCTGCTTCGAGCATGGACATAATGCTGGAGCTTCAGCAGCCATCTTAGACCATAAGGTGACTTTCAAGAGGAAAGCCACATGCTGAAGGAAGATGGCACAGGAGGAAGATAGGAGCCTAGGCCACTGAGGACAGAGGGAGCAGTGCTTTAATACCTACCTCTAGACTTCCTTTATGTGACAGAGAAGTAAACTGATCTTCTTTAAGTTAAAGTTATGTTGAGTTTTTAGTTATATGAGAACAAATCTAGGTCGGGTGCTGTGGCTCACGCCTCTAATCCCAGCACTTTGGGAGGCTGAGGCAGGCAGATCACTTGAGGTCAGGAGTTCGAGACCAGCCTGGCCAACATGGTGAAACCCCAATCTCAACTCAAAATTAGCCAGGCATGGTGGCGTGCGCCAGAAATCCCACTATTCGATAGGATGAGGCAGGAGAACTGCTTGAACCTGGGAGGTGTAGGTTGCAGTGCGCTGAAATCACGCCATTGCACTCCAGCCTGGGTGGCAGAACAAGACTCCATCTCAAAAAAAAAAAAAAAAAAAGAAAAAAAGAAAGAAAGAAAAGAAAACAAATCTAACCCTAAATGTTATGTTAGGGTAAAATTGATTTTTTAAAAAAGTCATTTTTCAAACTCTGTTAGCACCTTTTTACCCATGTTAGTCCATCTGCTAAAATGAACATCAGTATTTGAAAAGGTGTACATCAAGCTTGTCCAACCCGTGGCCCACAGGCTGCATGTGGCCCAGGATGGCTTTGAATGTGGCCTAACACAAATTCGTGAACTTTCTTAAAACATTATGAGATTTTGTGTGTGTGTGTGTGTGTGTGTGTGTGTGTGTGTGTTAGCTCATCAGCTATCATAGTGTTAGAGTATTTTATGTGTGGCCCAAGACAATTCTTCTTCTTTCAATGTGACCCAGGGAAACCAAAAGGTTGGATACCCCTGGACTGTACCTAATTATTTCTTGTGCTCAGCAAGGTTAAGCAACTTGCCTAAAGTCACCCAGCAAACAAGTAGCAAACCCAATATTCTAATTCAGCCTAAACTTTTAATTGAATTTTCTTTCCCTATCAAGAGAGCACAAGTTAATAACTATAGCTGACATACAGCTCTGCGGAGTTTGTAGTTTTTGATCATATATTATCATGTTTTAGCCTCACCAAGCTGTGCCGTGGTTAGGTCTAGCCTGAATCCATCCTGAACCCAAGGAGTATGGTAGAGATTTGCTTACTCTAAACATGTTGCCCCTTACAGAATCTGCCTGGTTTTTATGAGTAAGGCTTTTGGGTATCTCTCATTTACCTACCCATCACCTATGATGCCACCAGTTAATGGCAATAGATTCTGTGTAACACAAGGGAAGAGACCATCTGATGTTCTGTAGAAAGTTATCTTTGCTTTGAAGATTTTAGTTGCAGGGTGGGTCCATGGACAAGGTCTGTTGACTTTCTGCAACTTTCAAATTCAGTTGGTTATTATATTGACAAAGGTAGCATGGGAGAACACTGAACAAATGACATGGCTTATCAGGGAAATTAGACATGTCAGCCCATCAAAATTCAGGAGAGGGAAGCCTCTTTGTTTATTTGGGCCATTCTGGTTCAAGGAGTGGGGATGACAAATTTATTCAAGAGAATTTTAAGTCCTACCCCAGAAACACAAGTTAAGTGACAAAGAGGTATGCTTCTCTCTCCATGCTGAGAATAGTGTGTTACCCGATAGTGGGGCCTGCAGCAGGGCTGTGAAGACAGTGCTGGGCCCTGGAGGGAGGTGATTTACCCCCATGACCCACAGGGCTGTGAGGACACATGTGCTCAGAGCCTGGCTCACTGCATGCCAATAGCATGAGATCCCGAAATGTTTGTTGCTCAGAGTTGAACAAATTTCTGAGTGCCTTTATTACTAATCCTGAAGAATAATGTTTTTTCAGTATCACACATTAAGACATGGAAAGAAAACCCCATTTTAAAAATACAGAAGAAATCATTATATAATACACATCCTAAAACTAGGTCCTCGGTGGTTGGTCTTAGCACATTGTCACATTTAAAGGAAAGAGTAGGATTAGGTTCCGCTACATGTAACAGAAAAATAGAAATAATAGAGGCTTAAACAGGATGTAAAAGGTTTTTTTGTCTCCCATTTAAAAGAAGCCTGGAGTAGATAATTAGGCAACATCATAGTTATTGGGGATCCAGCCGTTGTTTTTTTTTTTATCTTTTTTTCATCTTGGTTACAAGTACCTTGTATCCTCAAGGTCACCTCATAGTTCAAGGTAGCTGCTAGGGCTTCCACAATCATATACAAATGTATTCTCTGAGAATGAGAAAAAGCAGAAAGTCAAAAAAGGAATTTTCCCAGCCATTCGTTCTCCATGTAGGCTTTCGGGAAGTCCTTTTTACAAACTTCTGCTTATATATGATTACCCAGAACTTACCACATGACCAAATTTAGCTGCAAAGGCATCTGGAAAATGTAGTCTTTTAAATGGGCACATTGCCCCACTTCTTAATAACATAGAACTGCAGTTCTCAACCTTTTCGGTCTTGAAAAAGGTTGATACCTCTTATACCCTAAAAAATTGTTGAGGACCCCAAAGAGCTTTTATTTATGTGAGTAATATCTATTAGTATTTGCCATATTAGAAATTAAAGCCAAAAAATCTGAAAATATTTGTTTATTCATTTAAAAAGTATATTTATATGCCCTTTACATGTTAAATAACATATGCTTTCCAAGGAAAAAAAATAAAGTGAAAAGAGTGATATTGTTTGACATTTTTGCAAATTTATTCAGTGTTTGACTTAATAGGAGACAGCCAGACTCTTTTATATCTGCTTCTACACTGACTCTGTTACAATACGACATCTTGCTTGAATTATATGGAGAAAATCTGGACTCATGCAGATATGTAACTGAAAAATATAAAAGTGTTTTTAAAACTTTTTCAGGTAATTGTGGATATTTTTCTTTGGTATGATACCATAATTCATGTGGTAGTTATTTAAAGGTTAGTTGCAATGTAGAATCTGAAACCATATCAACGAATATTTTGTACTCTTATGTTAAAATTCACTGGGATATCTTGCATAGTGAATGGATTTTTAACCACACATGATATTGCAATATCACATAATAGTTATATGGAAAATGTTTGTTTAATGAATTATGCAGACCTTTCAAATGCTGACACATTTCATTATATAATTTTTAAATCACATTTTAAAATATCACCACTGATCTAACAAGAAAAAAACACTTTCAAGAAGTTGTCAAGCTCATGATGACAAACATAAGTTTTCAAAAATTCTAATTTTTACTTGAAAGGTTGAATGTTATCATTGGCAACTAATACTGTCAGATATTTCTCTTGAAGTGGCAGGCTCACTTTGTTCAGTTTTGAAAAAATATCTACAAAGTACACACATCTGAATAACTATGGTGTATCTGGCAGTCACTCCTCCAAGCAAAAATGGCATTCCATGAGAAATGTGGCTAGTTCAGCTTGCAACTCACAGAACTGCTTTCCCTCCAAGTAACCATCATAGTCATGCAGGCAGCAGAAGCATGTTATGTGTACCTCCCATTCCATCACACAGACTGTTAAAAAGCTATGTACTCAACGGTTGAGATTTAACAAAATTAATAATTTTTACTGCTTCAATAAGGGCAATTTAAAAGTGAAACTGGCCATTTTGATTGTACCTCGTTGTTTTTACTGTGAGTGCACGGTGGTGAAGAACAGTTATTGCTAGATAGTTTGGTGCTTGTATTAGTTTTCTGTGGCTGCTCTAACAAATTATTACAAACTAGGTGGCTTAAAACAACAGACATGATCGAGACCATCCCGGCTAAAACGGTGAAACCCCGTCTCTACTAAAAATACAAAAAATTAGCCAGGCGTAGTGGCGGGCTCCTGTAGTCCCAGCTACTTGGGAGGCTGAGGCAGGAGAATGGCGTGAACCCGGGAGGCGGAGCTTGCAGTGAGCCGAGATCCCGCCACTGCACTCCAGCCTGGGCGACAGAGCGAGACTCCGTCTCAAAAAACAAAAAAAAACAAAACAAAACAAAAAAAAAAAACAACAGACATTTATTCTCTCATAGCTCTGGAGATCAGAAGTCTGAAGTCAAGGTGTCAGCAAGGCCACACTCCATCTGGAGGCTCTCAGGGAGAGTCTGTTCCTTGCCTCTCCCAGCCTCTGTGGCTGCCAGCATTCCTTGGCTTGTGGCCGCATCACTCCAATCTCGGCCTCTATTTTCACATGGCCTTCTCTTCTTCTGTCTGTAAAGTCTCCTTCTGTCTCCTTATAGGTATACATGTGGTTGCATTTAGGGACCCCCCCAGATGATCTAGGATCATCTCCCCATCTCCTTAAATTAATCACATCTGCAAAGACCCTTTTTACAGATAAAGCAACATTTACTAGGTTCCAGAGATTAGGTCCTGATATCTTTGTGGTGGGGGATGGGGGGGTGGTTGGTGTGCATTTTTCAGTCTGCTACAGTGCTATTGCTGTGATTGGTGCTAAGACACCAGCAGTTTGAGCCACTATTGCTTTTATACCATCAATGCAGATGTCCTTTCAATCAAGAAGGTAAATAATGTTTTAGAATTATTATTTAATTTGTTTTGACCTTGCATAACATGCACCCCAAACCCCTCTGCCAAAAGCAAACAAACAAAGGTCTCAGGGAGTCCCAGGGACTTATGGACCACACTTTGGTAACTGCTGATGTCAGGGAATAGATGTTAGGTATACAAATAGAATTCTCTGCCTCAACAGCCTGGAAGAGAGGCTAGTCTTTTCCATTCCTTCAAAGTGAGCCCATTAATTTCTGAGTTCACTTTGGGGGAAACAGAAAAGGAGATGTAAGACTCACTAGTCTCAAATGATAGATAAAGCCACAGGACTACATGACCCTTTGGAAAAGAGGTTTCCACAAGAGTTCTTCACCTGGGATCCACAGAGCTCCCCAGATGATGAGGATATGCATAGTTCTGGGGAGGAACCAGAGCGGGAAGGAGGAGAGCAAGAGCCAGGGTCCAACAGAGCCCAAGAGAATCAGGGATGGGAAGCCTGCAAGGGAGCATGAGAGCAACTTGGGCTGGCAAAGAGCCTTCACCACGGTCCCAGCGTTCCAAAGGCCCAGCATGCTTCCGTGAGTCCTGTTCAGGCTGTTGAGAGATCAGGGTGTCCCTCATGGCTGAGGTGGGATCAAACCAGCCCCAGAGAGAGGAGGAGGAGTCCAAGCCAGAGGAACCAGGGGGCCAGGGGGCAGGTGCAGCCACTGCGGCCACTGATTCTGCCTCTCACACCCCGAAAGGGAGACGTGCAGACTTCCTCCCTGCACTCCACCTTCTGCTGAGGAATCAGATTACTTAGGTTATTTTCAGCTTCACCTCTCAGGGTACAAAGGTGGTGGCTCCCCGTAAATGAATTACCGTCTGCCAGGAGTGAACAGTTTTTCTAGGTGTGGTAGCGAGGGCTGGGTTGGGAAATCTATCAAAGAAAGAAAGACTCGTGGGGTAATCTGATCTGATATTCTGTGTGTGCTGCTGTGACACTGCCATTAGCTAGCAGAGGACTTTAGCAACAACGTATATATATGTGAAATACCGTTCATGTACATGAACCTCTGCTCCCTCCCAAGAGGCTTTGTGTATATGTGTCCATGTAAAAGTGTTATTCATATTACAATGCATTTGTGTCCACGTAGATGTATGCATACATGTCACATTTGTATCTATGTGTCTTGCATGTTTACCTATGACATATGTAAGCAGCGGCATGATGATGCAATGAAAACGCCAGGACTGAAGAAGATGAGATTAACAGAAGTACACAGAGACAGATCATTTCCTTCTTTTCCTCCTTTATTCCAAAAATAATTTTATCAACAGTTAATATATGAACATGGTTTAAAAAAATCATTAATCGCCATCAAGTAAAGTGAAAAATGAGTCTCCCATCCTCCACTCCAGAAATAATTATCACTAGTTCTTATGTATTCTTCAAGAGATATTTCATATATTTGAAAAAAATGAGTATATACACACACACATATAGTTGTATATATATTATATGTATACATATGTGTGTATATGTATCTATATCCCTTTTGAATTAGTTCTTTTAAACTAGTGAATTGCAGGGTTGGAAAAGGAAAATCTCTATCTTCTCATACCTTGTATATAAGCACAAATTCCAGAGCACATATTTGTTTGCATCTATGATTTACACATGTGTAGGCTTTGTGATAGAGGGCAAATTTTTTTGTTATAGAAAACTTCTGGAACCTAGAAAACTAATTTCCTTACCAGAACATCTGGTAATTAATCTTAAAAGCTCAAGACAAAAAAATTTCCCTATCTGAGACCTTTGTGCTTTCCCAAAGGCAGGTGAGAATCATTCCAGTGGAGCTGTCTGCACTTTCTGACTTGTCATCAATTCCTTAGGAGCAATCCAGTAAAGGTTTATTTAGTACATCCCTCTGTTGATTTTATAACCACTGCTGACTGCTTGGGACATAAAACTCTTGATGATTTACAAGCAGTAAGTGGGCAAGAAATTCATAAATCACATTCCATAATAAGGGTGTAGGTGAATATACACACATACACTTATTCATATCCACTTTCAGAGGAAGAGCTGTAGGTATGTCCAGAAAATATATTCATTTTTAATTCAAAAAATGGAGAGCTCATTGATAAGAGGCCCACAGTCAATAACATCTGAGAGGTAAATTATATCAGGTAATATTTTAATGTAAAGCAAGAGGCTTTGCTCTTGTGTTTCTGAAAGAGGAGACTGGTTCGTGCTTTTGAGATGTTCAAAGGGGTTTTTATGATCTCTGAAGGAAAACAATAATTTTTTTTCTAAAAAGCTTTACTGACCAAGCCAAAAATGTTGAAGATTGCCAAGGTTTCCTGATACTCTTGAAATTATTCTGCAACAGATAATTCTCAACTAAACAGTCATTTGAAGATCTCTCTCTCCTTTTTTCTAAGTCTGGTTTTAGAAAAATCCCTAATAGTATTCTAAAAGTGGGAAAAATATAAGTTTTTAATTCCAGGGAAGTAGTAGGGCTTCAGGGAACTAATAGAGAAGGAGAAAAATCTTGTAAAACATATTTGTTTGGAAAGTAAAATTTAATAATTATGAATCTGCTACCATGAATAGTTTGCCAACCATCTGCCTCTCAAAATATAGTATGAAACAGCTAGAAATTTAAGATGCAATTGGCAAAATGTAATTCTTATTTGGATTCTGATTCAAACCAAACAAAGAAGAAAAAATAAGAGAGAGTGAGATGGGGGAAAATTGGGGAAATTTGAACACTGATTAGGTATTTGATGACATTCAAAAATAATTGTAAATTTTTAAGTTATAATAATGGTGTTCTAATTCTTTCAAGTCTTTATCTTTTAAAGATACACAACAAAATATTTTAGACTGAAATTATTTGATGGCTTGAATTTGCTTTTAAAAAATCCAACTGGGGGAATTGTGAGTGGGGGGTATAAATTAAACAAGATTGGCCATGAGTAGATAATCACTGAAGCTGGATGAAAGATACATGGGGTTTCATATACAGGCATACTTAGAGACATTGTGGGCTCGGTTTCAGACCACTGCAAGAAAGCAAATAATGCAATAAAGTGAGTCACACAAATTTTTTTGTTTCCCAATGCATATAAAAGTATATTTATGGGCCAGGCGTGGTGGCTCACGCCTGTAATCCCAGCACTTTGGGAGGCTGAGGTGGGTAGATCACTTGAGGTCAGGAGTTCAAGACCAGCCTGGCCAACATGGTGAAATCCCGTGTCTACTAAAACTACAAAAATTAGCTGGGCGTGGTAGTGGGCGCCTATAATCCCAGCTGCTTGGGAGGCTGAAGCATGAGAATGGTTTGAACCCAAGAGGCAGAGGTTGCAGTGAGCCAAGATTATGCCACTGCACTTCAGCCTGGGCAACAGAGCGAGACTCCATCTAAAAATATATATATATTTACACTATACTTGTCTGTTAAGGGTGCAGTAGCATTATGTCTAAAAAACAATGTACATACCTTAATTATAAAATACTTTGTTGCTTATTGCTTAAAAATGCTAGTGATCATCTGAGCCTTCAGCAAGTCATAATCTTTTTGCTGGTGGAGGGTCTTGCCTGGATGTTGATGCCTGCTGACTAATCAGTATGGTGTTTGCTGAAGGTTAAGGTGGCTGTAGTCATTTCTTAGTAAGACAACAGTGAGGTTTGCTGCATGGTTGAACTCTTCCTTTCATGAAAGATTTCTCTGTAGCATGAGATGATGTTTGATAGCATTTTTCCCACAGCAGAAGTCAACTTTCAAAATTGGAGTCAATCCTCTAAAACCCTGCTGCTGCCTTATCAACTAAGTTTATGAAATATTCTCAATTCTTTGTTGTTATCACAACGATGTTCACAGCATCTTAATCAGGAGTAGTTTCCATCTCATGGAACAATTTTGTTTACTCATTCATAAGAAGCAACTTCTCATTCATTCCAGTTTGATCATGAGATTGGAGCAATTCAATCACATCTTCAGGCTCCACTTCTAAATCTAGTTCTCTTGCTGTTCCCTTCATGTCTGCAGTTACTTCCTCCACTGAAGTCTTGAGCCTCTCAAAGTCATCCAAGAGGACTGGAATCAACTTCTTCCAAACACCTGTTAATGTTGCCATTTTTACTTCCTCCTACGAATCACAAATGTTCTTAATGGTATCTAGAATGATAAATCCTTTCCAGAAGGTTTTCAATTTACTTTTCCCAGATCCATCAGAGCAATCACTATTTATGGCAGCTATAGTCTTACAAAATCCATTTCCTAAGTAATAAGACTTAAAAATAGAAATCATTCCTTTATCCATGGGTTGCAGAGTGAACGTTATCTTAGTGAGCATGAAAACAACATTAATTTGCTTGTACATCTCCCTCAGAACTCTTGGGTCGATGAGCAGTAATATTTTTAATGGGATCCTTCTGAGCAGCAGGTGTCAACGGTGAACTTAGAATAATCAGGAAACCATGCTATAAATAGATGTGCTCTCATGCAGGCTTTGTTGTTTCATTTCTAGAGCACAGGCAGAGTAGATTTAGCATTATTCTTAAGGGCCTTGGGATTTTGGAATGGTCAATGAGCATTGGCTTCAGCTTCAAGCCACCAGCTGCTTTAGCCCCTAAGTCAAGAAAGTCAGCCCTTCCTTTGAAGCTTTGAAGCCAGGCACTGACTTCTCCTCTCTAGCTGTGAAAGAATTAGATGGTCTTCCATCTAGAGGGCTGTTTTATCTACAGTGAAAATCTGTTGTTTAGTGTAGCCACCTCCATCAATGATCTTAGCCAGATCTTCTGAATAACTTACTGCAGCTTCTAAATCAGCACTTGCTGCTTCGCTTTGCACTTTTATGTTATGGAGATGGCTTCTTTCCTTAAACCTCATGAAGCAACCTCTGCTAGCTTCCAACTTTTCTTCTGCAGCTTCCTTACTTCTCTCAGCCTTCATAGAATTGAAGAGAATTTGGGCCTTGCTCTGGATTAGGCTTTGGCTTAAGAGAATGTTGTAGCTGGTTTCTATCCAGACCACTCAAACTTTCTCCACATCACTAATAAGGCTGTTTCAATTTCTTATTATTCGTGTATCCACTGAAGTAGCACTTTTAATTTCCTTCATGAACATTTCTTTTGCATTCACAACTGGCTAATTATTTGGTACAAGAAACCTAGCTTTCAGCCAGTCTGGGCTTTCAACACACCTTCCTCACTAAGCTTAATTTCAAGTGAGCTTTTGATTTTGAGTGAGAGACATGCGACTCTTCCTTATACTTGAACACTTAGAGGCCATTGTAGGGTTATTAGTTGGCTTAATTTCAATATTGTTGTGTCTCAAGGAATAGGAAGGCCCAAGGAGAGGGAGAGAGTCGGGAGAATGGCCAGTGGGTGGAGCAGTCAGAGTGCACACATTTATCAAGTAAGTTCATCATCTTATATGAGCAAGGTTGATGGTGCCCCAAAACATTTACAACAGTAACATTAAAGATCACTGATTGCAGATCACCATAACTGATATAATAACAATGAAAAAGTCTGGAATATTGCAATAATTACTAAAATGTGATGTAGACACACAAAGTGAGCACACGCTGTTAGAAAAATGGCACTGAGACTTGCTCCACATGGGATTGCCACAAACCTTCCATTTGTTAAAAAAAAAAAATCTGCAAAGTCCAATAAAATGAGGTCTTCCTGTACTCTTTTATGTACGCTTGTATTTGTTTGAAATTTTTTGCAATGTGAAAAACAACAAAAACAGCTAACAAGCTAGAATGGTTACTCATTATGTATTTGAACATTTTTTCATGTATTCATATCACATTTATTATTCAACAGAAACCAAGCATTGGTTGCGTAAAGGGCTCTGAGTGAGACATTTCAGTAAATGCTGAGTGGTGTGAGCTGCAGTCACTCCAAACAGTGCAGGTTGTGACGGGTGGGGACACTACTGATATCTAGACCACATCAGCCTCTGTGTTGTGTGCTGGAGCCTCTCTCCTCTAGGTAAGTAAGAAGGTGTCTACCCGTTGGTTACTGTGAAGAGCTTCTGTTTAGGGGAACGGCCACCCAGCAGTATTCAGCTTCGGTGCAATCTACTCCACTGATCTAACAGTCATCAACAGCTAGTTGGAAGCTAGCAGAGGTTGCTTCATGAGGTTTAAGGAAAGAAGCCATCTCCATAACATAAAAGTGCAAAGCGAAGCAGCAAGTGCTGATTTAGAAGCTGCAGCAAGTTATTCAGAAGATCTGGCTAAGATCATTGATGGAGGTGGCTACGCTAAACAACAGATTTTCACTGTTAGTCATCTAACAGGACCGGAGAAGCCCCAGAGGTCTGAAGCTGAAAACAGAGACTCAAGGCCAGCTCTCCAGAAAAAAAAGGAGGCTTTATTTTTATGCTGTACCTAAAAAAGAAAAAGTAAGGAGAGCAGTCAAAGGGCTGGTTTTGTAGCAGACAGCCATGTGGTGAATTTGAAACTTACACCAGTGCCTGGCCTGCAGAGCAGAAGGGAATGTGACTGGGATCTCTGGAAAGCCCTCCACCTCTAGAAGGCACTTCCCAGAGGGCAGTGAAAACAGAGCCTCCTTGCACAAGAGATTTGCCCTCCAGTGGCCCAAAAAGGAGAAAGAAAAGTCCTGAGAGCTTTGTGAAAGCTTCTTCCCCTTGGTGTCTGAGCCTTGTTTCTCAAACCTGGATGATCCCTTTCCTCTCCATCAAAACCATCAGCTGTTATCAGTCACTGTAGGCAAAAAACCCAGCCCAAATTGCTCCCAGGAGATAACAAGTTCTTAAGAAACTCGTGGCTGGGCGCGGTGGCTCACACCTGTAATCCTAGCACTTTGAGAGGCTGAGGCACGCAGATCACCTGAGGTTGGGAGTTTGAGACCAGCCTGGCCAACATGGAGAAGCCCCATCCCTACTAAAAATACAAAATTAGCTGGGCATGGTGGTGCATGCCTGTAATCCCAGCTACTCAGGAGGCTGAGGCAGGAGAATCGTTTGAACCTGGGAGGCAGAGGTTGCAATGAGCTGATACCACGTCATTGCACTCCAGCCCTGACAACAAGAGCGAAACTCCATCTCAAAAAAAGAAAAGAAAAGAGAAGAAAAGAAAAGAAACTCGTTTCCTGTAATCAACAAGACCTTTTAACTTTATTTTTAATTCTGTGTAGATCCACAGAGCATGCCCACCACATGGCCCCTCTCCAGGCTGAGGATGGAGGAGAGGGGAGAAATGGCTCCCGATATTCTGGTCACTTAGCTCTGAATGTCACCAGCAAAGTGAATATTATACCCGTATATGCCCTCTGGGTCTTGCCCTAACCAGTCAATGTGCAAAATGTGATCGCAGCTCCC
This sequence comes from Homo sapiens, assembly GCF_000001405.40. Lineage (NCBI taxonomy): Eukaryota > Metazoa > Chordata > Mammalia > Primates > Hominidae > Homo > Homo sapiens. The sequence continues at coordinate 73,177,050 of NC_000005.10, read as the reverse complement.
TCTTCAAAAAACACTTCCATGGCTTCCCAACTGCTCTTTAAACAAAGCCTAAAATGTTTGACAAGACTGACAAGGTTGACCAGGCCCTGTGGGTTCTGGCTGGACACCAAACCTTCAGGTACCCGCCTTGAGCCAGGGCTGCTTCCTCCACTGATAATCTAAGGGAGAAGAGCATAGCCAGGAGCTGGACTCCAATCAGTGCCCCAGATCATAGTTTCCCATGGTTCATCCCTGATGAGATACTGAGTGAAAGAATGATAAAAGGCAAATATCTGGACAACAAAACAGAAACTCTGTCGAGAATGTGTCCTGCTGGTCAGAGACGTAGCAAGGACCTGGTTGGAAGTCAGAGTTTAGGAGCCACACAGTGGGCTTCCCATCAGATTGGCCCCTGAAATTCCCAAATAAAGAAATAGAGAGCATGAGTGGTTGTCTCAAAGCAAGAAAATCGGTGGGTGTAATTTCTTGGTTACTGGAAGGCACCTCTGTTTGAGGGTTGCAGCAGCAGAAAAATAAAAAGGTTTACACAACCTGCTGAATGCCTCATAACACTGCCTCCCACATGGGGCTCTGCCAGGCCCCTCCCTCCTGCCCTCTCCTCTTTGTCTAGGAGACAGCCACTGTTCCTTTAGCTCCTAGCACAGTCTCCACAGGTCCACAGACACCCTGTGAACAGTGCTTTCTGGGATTATGCAAGGCAATGACCCTGACTTCACTTCCGAAGCAAGCCTCATGACCCTTTAATGAGTCCAAATCCCTCTTAGGGCTACAGGACTTCTCAGTGGTGTCAGAGAATAATTAATAGATGATTAATACAGATAATGAATCCGTATCTTTCTCCCCCACTAGACTACTAGACTAGAGGCTCTGCAAGGGCAGAACCATGTATGCTCTCTTCTTGGTGACATTTTTAAGTTATATTTCCACCTGATGGACCCAGACCGACACAGAGTAGATGCTCAATAAATAAATATTGCACTAATGAACAAATTCCTGTTTTCTGATCCCTGACTGCTGCAGATCCTACTCCTACCTCGAGCTCTTGAAGCCATTAGCCCTGAAGCACTCTCTTTGGAAGCATAAATGACCTCTACATTAGCACTTTTCCCTCTGTCTTGGAACAGGAATTGTTGGTGCCAGAAAATAACCATCCCAACCCTCCAGGCCACCTCCCTGCATATCTGACTCTAGGCATCTCCAAGACAAACTGGCTGCTCTGCCCTACCCAGCTGTATGTGGGGATGCCCTTTTCCTAATAACATTTTCTTTTTTGAGCTACTTTTGATGTTCATTGTAGCCCAAATTTATGAACATAAAATTATGGGGTGGGTGAAAATGGCAGGGGGCTGGGGAGAGACAGTCAGAGAAGCACTCAAGGCAAGGGTGGCATGAGGGGCCCAAAATGTCATCTGCTGGTCAGCATGCCACTGGTGATGCTCAGCCTGGTCCTTGTCACCAAACTTCTTCTCCAAAACCAATGGCCCTCAGCTAGGGACCAGTGTCTCAGGGATCTGCTGAACATAAAGCTAGTTTCTTTAAATGAAATCATTTTCACTTATCACCTATCATCAAACATGACAGTGTATGTGAAAAGGTTTTGTCCCCAAGATATAACATAAATGACAACAATAATATACCAAGCTTACTTCACTCATATCCTTGGAAACCTAGATACTTCTGATCAAAATTAGTAAAAGTTGCTCCATATACAAACGCTATGTCAAAATTTTTTTAAGAATTGCTTAATCCTGTGTCTTCCTTTAGGATGTACCACCCTTACCTTGAGTGGCATTGCCTTTGAAGCCCAAAGCAAATATTTTCTTTTAAAACCTAATGGTTTTAAACTGTCTCTTCTAAAGTCTGTGAGTCAGTTCCAGTTGTTTATTACACAGCCAAATTCAGAGAGATTAAGGACACCAAAGTTTTTTTAATGAAGAAGATGAGTTTCTTTTAGTCATAAAGATTGTTTCTATCATATCATTCCCCATGTGTTGACATGGCAACTCTGCTCTGTCTTGCTCCACAGACCTACGGGTACTTAGGGAAGTCCTGTGTTCTGTCAGCCACTGGTCCCAGCTAGTTCATGCTTGGCGCAGGCCCCAGCCTGGGGTGGACCAAGAGCCCACCCATGTTCATCACACGTCAAGCTTCAACCTTGCAGAAGAGAACAGCAGCAGCCAAGGGTCACTGTGACTCAGTGATCGGGAAGGATGTATTCACAGCGCTATCCTATTATGGTCTATTTTGTGTAATTTAGTCAGGTATCCAATACTATTCTAGCAGGAGACATGATTTATTTTATTTCATTGGTTTGATGTTTTTGTTTTGTTTTGTTTTATAGTCTTTAAGGTACCCAGAGTCCTCAGAGAGGCCAGATGGCAGCTGAGTTGTTTGGGATTAGTGAGTCTGCTTTGGGGCCAAGGACAGCCACCAGGAAATCTCCAGCTGGGCCTGCTTTCTCTTCCCTGCTTCCTTCCCACCCGACTCTCACCTCTGTGGAAACTCCCAAAGTCTCAGAAGTCGTGATTTTTCCATTGGCTGCTGGGGTTAAAATTGAGCCACCAATGCCTTCCTACAGAGAAGGGGGAGGGTGGTGGATGAAAAAGTGAAATTCCTGCTCCTGAACCTTATACAGGAGATTTCTTACCCGAGGGAATTTGAAACTGTTCCGGAGGAGAATTTCCCCAGCCCAGCCTAATTTTTACCAATCTGAGAAATTGCACCTCCCACTTCCCCTTTCCCCCCTTGAATGATCTCTGTCAGGCTGCCTGGGCGCTGCTGTAACTTCTGAAGGTTACAACATAGAACACCACGGTTGTCAGGTAACAATGACGGAAACACTTGCTCCCTGAGCTGAGCATTGTGTTATTATATCAGAATAGCCTCTAGCGAGGGAGAGAGTATATTTCTTCATAAGGGGGAGGAGAGAAGCAGGCACAGGCCTCCTCTTCCAGCTGTGTCTCTTCTAGCTGGTCAACATCAGGATTGGGCCTGAAATGTGAGCAGAAAACACAGGTACATTATGGTCCAAAGCACCATTCACAGAACCAAGGCTGCCATCGTGGGCAACAGGCTAAGAAGAGATTCACAGTCTCCCAACACCTTATTCATGGACCAAACAGCCACAGATCATGACGGAGATGGCTAGAAGGAGTGCATTCCCCCAGTAGACACGCCATACCTGTGATTTCCACCGTCCGTGAAAGAAAGGCAGCCCTCATCAACCACAAATGCAGAGTTATCTTGAGGGTAGATGGTGTAGTATTGAGGAGGACTTGACATGGCGGCTGCTGCCCCTCCAGAGGTTATGAGGCCGCAGGGGCTCACCACAGACTGCAGGTAGCTGGTATTTATCCCCATAGGCTCTGGAGAACCATAAGGAGGAGGGATGTACTGCACCACAGTGGCCCCATGGAAGGTGATGGGTTGGTTGATGCCAGTGAAAACAAATGATGGTCCTCCTGGTGTCTGTTCCGAGTCCGGGACCCTTTCCTCACTTTCTTTGCACAACTGGCAGGAGAGCATTTTGAACTTGCACACAGCAATCAGGATGAATGTCACCCCAACTGACAGCAGGACGGGCCCAAGGAGCTGGGTCCATTCAAAGTGGGAGACACCTTGGTATTTGATCCAGCCCATGACAGTGAATGTGATCCCCACCAGTCCCAGAAAGATGCCTGAGAAGAGCAAGGTGGCCCCCGCCTTGTCATCATCGGACACCTGGATGTCAGCGGTGCTGGGTGTGTAAGGAGTGACGGAGAACACATTGACAGGGAAGTCCTCCAAGCGGCCGCTGCCCTGCTCCATTGCTCCTTGTGGGCTCACCCTGCTTCTTAGAGTGGAGAGGATTGTGAGAACCAAGGAATCACAGGTCCAAATTAGTTATAGAAGAACTTAGGGCTTGTGCTTAACAGGGTGTAACACACAGAGGGCTGGACCTTGTTTAGAAGAATAAAGGTCTGAGAAATGAAGCCTGAAGTTTTCTCATGTATTGTCAACAAGTGGAGGTCTCTGTTTTGCAAGTCAATGACAAGCTGTCTCTCTAATTCACATTCATTCATTCACACATTCAAAAATTAACTTATTGAGCCCATCTTTCTCTTTCTTTTTCTTTTCTTTTCTTTTTTTTGTTTTGTTTTGTTTTTTTAGGGTGTGGGTCTCACTCTGTCACCCAGCTGGAATGCAGTGGCACAATGATAGCTCACTGCAGCCTCAACCTCCTGGGTCAAGCGATCCTCCCACCTCATCCTCTCCAGTAGCCAGGACTACAGGCACACATCACAATGCTCAGCCAATTTTTAAAATTTTTTGTAGAGATAGGGTCTCATTATGTTGACCAGGCTGGTCTCAAAACTCCTGGACTCAAGTGCTCCTCCTGCCTTGGCCCCAGGAGGTACTCTTCTATAGCAATTTAAGACGCTGCCATAAGACCCTGTTTTTGTCCTACCCAACTTTGTAGAAATGGCAGAGCTCCCTCAAGGGTCTCCAGCAGTGAATGGGGCCCTTGATATATCCACACATGCACAGGAGTCTAACCTGATTTACCTAGTGGTTCAGTTCATTAGGAATAGACAGACACCTATTTCTTGACTGCGTGTGTATTCCTATCTACTTCAAGAACCCCTAGCTGTGATGATACTTAAACTTTAATAACAGTTCTCACAAAGCCCTGAGATCCTGTTCTTTTCTGGCCAGCCCCACATGCCTTTTGCTTTCTGCGTTTGGGGAGTAATTCCAGCTTTGGGAGAGGAACAACGTCATAGGAAACCTTTTTATGCACTGCATCACTGCCAGTGGTTGAATAAGCATCAGATATGACCTGGCTCACTAGGACACATGCTTCGGACCCTCCCTCCATGGTGGCCACACAGTTCCTGGTCTTCAAGGTGAAACAACCAGCTGTGTTTTGGAACCTACTATGTTTTACAACCAAACCCAAGTTGATGTAGAGAAGACAGTTTAATTTTCAATAACATTATCTGTCATTCATGACTGCAAAACTTCCAAACAGCCCCATGAGTTTCTTCCTCCACTGATTAATAACTGTAGCCTTCTTTCCTTCCTAGACAGATTTTATTCAAGCCGATGCTCTCTGCAGTAATTAAATATTATATTAGCTCCTTTTGCAGAATTGAGAGGGCTGCCGTCTTGCCCTAAGGCAGGGCTTCCTAAACTTCCCTTGACAAAGAAATCACATGGGCCACTTTTTTAAAGGACAAAATGTGAGCTCCCATTTCAGACCAACAGAACCAAATATCCAAGGGAAGGACCTCAGGTGATTCATCATCAAGAAATCTTAGGAAACCCAACCCCAGGTTAACCTTAAATGCTTCTAGGAGACCAAAGGACATTTTTCCCCATGAAAATGCCTCTCCCTGCTACAGGACAAGGCTTGTAATCTCCTACTTCACTGCCAAACAGATGGAAAAGCAAGCAGGTGACCCCTGAGGTATCTTCCTGGATGTGCCTTGGAGCAGCAAGGCTGGAGTGGAGTTGCTATAGGAACAGGCTGCCCTTTTTCCCACTGAGCTAGATCAGAGATCCAGGAAAGCCAGATTTTCTCTTTAACTATAAATTTCTGGTAAGTTAGCCTGCCATTATTTTCAGGTTCTTAACTCCTAAGTTAACAGTCAAAACAATCCCTGACATTTAGAAAAAAGCTAGGATCTCAAAACTGTCTTCTAAATCACTCAATTTATGTTTTCCATTTGCCTTTAGCTATATCCACTAAGAATAACTGGGAAGCCTGAGAGAGTAGAGGAAACAGATCACCCTCCTTTAGACAGCTCATGAATGCAAACTGGAACTGCTTTCAGAGCAGAAAGATCAGAAAGTTCTCCAATTACATTTTCAAGGTCCGTTTGACTCAGCTGCTTCTTCCAAAAGCCCCACCTCTGTCTAGATGGTAAATAGCAATTTTTTTTTAAAGCTAACCAACTGAATTCAATAGCATATTCAAAGGACTATATGCCATGACCAAGTGGAAGGCAAGGCTGGTTCAACGTACAAAAATCAATCTATGTGATGCAGTATATTCACAGAATGAAGGGGAAAAAACAACACACGATCATCTCAATTGATGAGTGAAGGGGAAACATTTATTGAATACTTACTATGTACCAGGTGTAATTCTATACATTTAATATAGGTGACATAATTTCATTCTTTTAACAACCAGGTTACAGTCAAGAAAACTATGCTGATTATTAAGCTATGGTGACTCAGCTCCAAACCCACCTTTCTAAACTTCTCTTTGTCTCAGACTCTCAAAGCACACTTTTCCTTTCCCAGGCTGCTCCAGTTAGGCTTTGCCAATAGGGGGTGCTACAGGGAGACTTCAAGGTGGGAGAAAGGAGAAGGCACTTAGCAGTTTCTATTTTGCTTGCTGTTACTGTCAGTGTCACTCCAACAACAGTTCTTCTTCCTGGCAGTAACAGTTCCAGTTTCCAGAACCCTCCTCCTGCCCTCCAATCAGCCTCACTGTGCCCCTTCAGGGAAACCAACACCAGCCACTGTTCTTTGTCCAAGCTCCTGAGATGCCAGCATTAGCTGAAGGACGTTTTCTACTCAGAGAGCTGCATCCCAGCTCCACAAGGGCCCTTATCCAAGCTTCTGATTTCTAATATAAGCCCAACCTCTTCCTTTTGTTCCCCCAGCCTGCTTTCACTAAGTCTAAGTGTTCTTAGTGTTTATTTTTTGCCTTTTCAATCCTCCAGTATCTGTTAAACTAATTTCCTATACCAAATTCTCTCTATTAAAATAACTGGTATAGTTTCTGTTTCCCTAAGTGATTCTGACTGATATGTCGTATTCACAGTGGGGTTAGGAAACATACCTGTGAAGATGGGATTCTGGAATTGATTTGGTCATATTCTTGGCCTCAAATACAATGCTGAGTCCTCATCAATGAAACATGGGATATTAGTAGATCATGGCATGAAGTGGCATCAAAACTAATAAAAATAGCACCTGTAGTAGGTTGTGAAAAATTGCCTATTGGAGCAAATGCCTTGGGGACCAACTGGCTGCTACACTTAATCACTATGACAATAATGATGAACTGCAAGTTCTGTGGGATGGAGATGGCCACTTCAGAATGCCCTGCAATACTTATAAAAGGAAAAGTAACAAGCTCAGGTCTTTAAATTCAGCTCAAGTCACAGTCAGAGAACCAGAGAGTTTCTGTGGTGGTCCTAAAAGAAACTTGTATCCTATATTTACAGGGCTGACATCACCAAAAGTCAACAAAATTTAAATAGATATCTTTCTATATAGCTATACATCTGTGGAGGCTACAGCCACTCCCTCTTAGATGCTAACCCACCGTGTTCACTGCTGTCTAACTCGTTCCAGGAATGCCTTTAAAATGCCTGTTTTGGAAGGGGAACATCACACACCAGGGCCTGTTTTGGGGTGGGGGGAGGGGGGAGGGATAGCATTTGGAGATATACCTAATGTTAAATGACGAGTTACTGGGTGCAGCACACCAACATGGCACATGTATACATATGTAACTAACCTGCACGTTGTGCACATGTACCCTAACACTTAAAGTATAGTAAAAAAAAAAGTCTGTTTTATCTACTGTTCCTTGCATGAGAGCATGTACTTACTGTAAGCCCTGCCCTTAGATCAAAACAACTTTAATGTTATAGTACTTACCATAAATCCTGACCTTAAGCAATTGTTCTACACATCCCTTCTGAAGCATACATACCCTTTCCCTGAGGTATGTAAGCTCTGGGTCTGGTGAGTAATGGTATAGGATCCACCATCTTGTCTCATGGCTTCCAGGAGCATGGCCTCTGTTCTTAAGTCCCTATTATATGTTCCTTTCTGAGAAACTGGATTTGTCAGCCTCTTTCCTCAGCCTCTTAGCTTCCATGGCCTTTGAGGATAGGTTTGCATAAACCTGCTTACCATGGAACAGTATCTATATCTACATGCGATTGGTTCAGTTTCTCTGGAGAACCCTAATAGACAATGATACTTAAAGTATCTATGGTAAGTAGTGATGCTGTACAGAGTAATCATAGATAAAACCACAGCGCAGGCCTCCAGGGTTTTAGAGAAAATCCATGCTGCTTCTGCAGGCAGCTATTCTTCTTTTGAGACACAGCTCATGATTCTTTACTGGGCCCTGGCTACTGGGCCCTGCATCACCCTAGGACACTGAATGACCCCTGAGCTGCCAATCATGACCTGAGCATATCTGACCCACACAACTGTAAGTTTGAGCATGCACAGCAGTGATTCATTATCAAGTAAAAATGGTATTTAAGAACTTGGACATGAGCAGGTCTAGAATTACAAGTAACTACATAAACAGGCGGTTCAGAGCCTTACACTTACTCTTACTGTGTGGCATCTTCTCCTACAATCCAAACCTATGGCCTAGTAGGGAGCTCTTCCCAGCTAGATGACTGAGGAGAAAAAATCTTAGGTCTTGTGTATACGTTATTCTGCACAACAGTGGACTGCTGAAGCATTATGACACCCATCAGGAGTGTCCCTGAAAGATGCTAGAAATAGGGTAGAATGGAAATCCTAGCGAGCAGAACTTCAAGCAGGACATTTGGTTGTCCATGTTGTCTGAGCTGAGAGATGGCCAATAATACAATCGATGTTGGTTCATAGGCAGAGGTGAGTGGTGTCCTAGGTTTCAAGGACTCAGAAAGAACAAGATTGGAATGTGAGTAACAGGAAGTATGGTGAACAAGTATAAGGATATCTCAAAGTGGGCACAGAGTGTAAAGATAGTTGTGTTCCCTGTGAACACTCACCCAAGGGCATCCACTGCAAAGGAGGCTCTACCAGTCAGGTGAACAAGCTGGTGTATTCTGTGGATATCAGTCAGTCTTTTCCCCCAGACATCAGTGTTTCCTTGATAAGCCCATGTACACAGGATGCAGGCTACCATGATGAAAGCATGAAGGCGATGCATGAGCTTAAAACTAGTAGCTAATCTGGCTACCATCACTGTTGAGTACCTAACCTACCAAAAGCAGAGACCAATGCTGAGTCCTCAGTGTGGCACTATTCCCTGAAGATCACAGCCAAATATCTGATGGCAGCTGGATCATGGTGGACTCCTTCCAGGAGGGGCAGCAATTTGTCCTTACTCAACTAAACACATATTCTGGGTTATGGATTTGCCCTCCCTCACTTTAATACTTCTACCAGCATCATCGTATATGGTGTGCAGAATGCTATATTCACCATGATGGTATTCTGCAAAACGTTGCTCCTGATCAAAGAACTTAGTTCACAGCAAAAGAAGTACAGCAATGATCCTATGCTCATAAAATTCATTGCTATAATTACATCCTCTATCATCCAGAAGCAGCTAGCCCAAAAGAATGGTAGAATGGCTTACTGAAGGTTCAGTTATAGCACCAGTAAGGAGATATCACCCTGATTAGATAGCATCTTGGGTAGGTTCCCTAGAAAGAGATGCTGAGGGGGTCACTTGAATGCCATAGATTTGTTGGAGAATGCTCTAGGAAACAATGCCTAATGGGAGTGAGGGTAGCCAAATTGCACAAAGGGAAAAGTTGAACTATGATGCAGTTGCAACATAGGCTTCAGCTGAATGCTTAGGTCTTCCTGGAGCTTGAATGCTGCTTCAGAATTGTTCCAAATTGAAGTTAAGGTGCCAGGCCTTTGTATTCCCGTATCGGCCAGCGACTGGATGCAGGTTGCCACCAAGAAGGGGACATAATCTTGGTCAAGGCGGCCTTCTTTCCTGCTGAGGAAAATGCCCAGAGAGGAGTGTAGTATGAACGGTCAGCAGGCAACACTTCTGGTAGTTGGGGGAATAAATGCCTCAGTCTTAAGGTGGATCTGAGCAGTGTTCCACAGCATCCGCCATAGATGTCATTTCATCTCCAGGATAAAGTACATACTTTAAACCAGCAAGCAATATACAGCATTGTTTCTTTCATTGTCAGAATACATGGGTCTAGAAATTAAGGAGAGAAAGTAGGAGTGACTCCTCTCACTATCACACCTGATAATCTACTCACATTATTTTTTCTGACTGTCTTTCAACTTTGACCTGGGAGGTCTTAGTCTTACTGTTGTGTACCAAGGGACACAACAATAGAAAAGTGACACTGCCACTTGGCCATTCTGAGCTTCTCATGACCCTGAACCAGCAAGCAAAGAAGGGGTTGCTTTCCTGGCCAGGATACTTGCTCTTTATTACCAAGAGGAAACTAGGATGCTACAACATCATGGGAGCAGAAAGGACTATATTTAGAACCTAGGGACTCTCTGGGACCTCTCTTCATATTTTTATGCCCAATAATAAAAGTTAAAGGAAAATTGTAATGACCGACACACAGGACCATTGTGGATTCAGATTCTTCCAAAAAGAAAGCTTGCGTCACTCCACCAGGTAAAGAACCGATCAACTGAGGCCTTGATGAGGGCAAAGGAAACAGGGACTAAGTAGTGGAAGAAAAAAGTTACAAATATCAACTAGGGACTCATGGCCAATTGCAGGAATAAACGTGGTAGCAGCTCTGCATAGCTTCTTCCTTAATTGTTATGTATATATTTATTTGTGTATACAAATCAATTTCTTTTTCTGCCTTTCCTCCTTCCCCTTATTATTTTACATAAATATTGTTGTCTGTGGTTAACTTTACAATTTAGTCTTTATCCAGATGGGATTGTGGCCAAATTTGAGAAGAATGAACATTGCCCAGAGATGAACGCATGAATGATTCTTGGAAGTTTGTATCTCCCATTTCAAGGAGAGGATGAGGGCATCTTTATTTGGACACCAGTTTCATCTTGTTATGCAAAGCACAAAGTGGTTTTTGTTTGTGGATACAAGTGCAAATAATGTATAGAAGGCTGTGTGTGGATGCTGAGTAGCCAAAGGGGTAGATGGTGGTAGTTATCAAGCTATTGTCCCTCAGGTCCAAATCCATCCTTCTCTACTGTGTTTTGTAGTGATGGGGCTGGGACTCCACAAGCCACATTTCACCTGGCTTGCTATTAGGCATTGCCACAGGAGGCATTAGAGGGAGGCTACAAGGTGGAAGGAGGGAGAAGGGATTTGCTGTTTTCTGTTTTGCTTGCTATTTCTGTTATTTCACCCAGCAACGCTTCTTGTGGTAGTCACAATTGGGTCCAGTTTCCAGTCTGTCCCCATATCCCCACTCTCATTGTACCCTTCAGAGGTACTAGCACCAGCTGGACAGTGCCCTCCTGAGAGGTCTCAGTCCCAGCCCTAGGGGTCTCTCCCCCAAGCTCTAAGCCCTGATACCCTAACTGCTTTGCATTGATTCCTCAGCCCTAGAAGTGGTGGCTTCTTCCTATTACATCAATGTTTCTCTTTTGTCTTTTCAATCTTCTACTATCTGTTTAACCAATACCCCAGATTAATTTCACCATTAAAAATCACTGCTGTGTTTCTGTTTTCATGAGTGGATTCTATCTGAAGCAGAAATGGAGGGAAAATTAGAGAGTGGCAGAGCTGAAATGGAACCCAGGTGGCATATTAGAGTCTCATTGTGGCTTCATTCTCTAAAAATGCTTGGTGGCTCCTGTGCTGTTCCTGTCAGACATATGACATTTCTGAAGACACTGTCTAATTATTTTTCAGATTGCTGGGGATAGGAGTTGATAACCCACCAGCAGTCTGAATTTTTGTGTTTTATCTTAAAAGCCCTTTGAATTTTTCATTCCCCTCCCTGCTCTATGGGGATTCTTTTTAATTTTTTTGAATATTAAAAAGATTTACTGCCAAGACAAAATAAAAAGGTGAGTTTCCTACCTGTTTCAATGAAGTAATATTTTCCACATCATAACAATTTGTGGTACTTGTTAGAAACGCAGATTTTCAGCACTATTGGCAATGAGTGAATCAAAAACCCTGGATGTGAGGCACATAAATCTGAACTTGTATTATAAGTTCCCCAGATGATTCTTGGGCAGATTGAAGAGTGAGAACCCCTAGGGTAGTGGTGAGGTGTTATTGCATTAAATATATAGACTTGGGAAATTTGTCTAATGGCTAGACAATTTCTCTATGCCTGATATCTCAACACTTCTAGGAGCAAAAGTCCCATTAAAGGAAGTAGTTTTGCCCTGCTTTGATAGCTACTTCAGGCTAATAACAGGAAAGGTGGCAATGAGATGGTATGGCCAGGGACCAAGAAATACCCAAATCCTGCCACCCACCCTACCACTCCCCATGACTTCCCCATGGGAGACAGAGGCACAGAAGCACAGAACAAATTTACTGCTATAGGGCTTGAGCTGTAGAGAATGCCCCCATGCACAGAACTCAGGTAAGCTTGGCTAGAGCGCATGGTCAAGGCTGGAGGCCTCCCCTAAACTTGAACATGACCTCAAAGAAGCATAGGAAAAGTGATAACCAGAGAGGGCCAGGGCATGCAGACTCTCTGAGGACAGAGATATGTGGAGGAGAATGGGAGATGACATAAAAGATGATTGGGTCTCCTTCTACCTGCCAAAAGGCTCAGCCATCTTACCATCTTAACGCAGCAGCCACGTAAAAGAAGGAAGTAGAAAGGAGCTCCATTTAACCAAGTGCCCTTTTCAATCACAATGCTACCACCCATGTGTAAACATAGTCCAATTAATCTAGAACTTAAGCGAGGAGATTCATAACTACTCCTTCCAGAGAAAAGCATCAGATAAAAGATGATACCATCCAGGAATTTCTTTGGTGAAAATAAGAGAAATTCTTTTAACACTAATGCCAAACTTTTTATCAGTACAGTATAATTAAATGGTCTCAAATGGCTGATAGTCTCAGTGGTCAAGTAAGGCTCTTCCTTTAATTCTCAAACTTCATTTTTACTGTTAGGGTGTCACATGTAATAAAAACACATGGTTTTCCCTTGCAATTGTTGTTTGAGAATATTTAGCATAGAAACTTGAAAAACATTTGTTAACCAAGCCAACTTTGTGAGCAACCTTTGTTATTAAGGTGAGCTATTAATTCATTTGCTTTATCCAGAATTTTACCCTTTGTACTGGGTGGAACATACCTTCTTTGAAAAATGGAAATAATAGGCTGGGTGCGGTGGCTCATGCCTATAATCCCAGCACTTTGGGAGGCCGAGGTGGGCAGATGGCTTGAGGTCAGGAGTTCAAGACCAACCCGGCCAACATAGTGAAACCCTGTCTCTACTAAAAATAATAAAAATAAAAATTAGCCGGGCATGGTGGTGCGTGCCTGTAGTCCCAGCTACTCGAGAGGCTGAGGCAGGAGAATCACTTGAGCCCGGGAGATGGAGGTTGCAGTGAGCTGAGATCATGCCACTGCACTCCAACTTGGGCAACAGAGTGAGACTTTGTCTCAAAAAAAAAAAAAGGAAAGAAAGAAAAATGAAAATGATAATTTACATTATTCACAACTTCTCAGAAAAAATATAGAAAATAATAATTCAATCCTGAATTCAGAAAATCTGGCTGGTAAGTTTTCAAAGTTATTAATCATTTTTTTCTTTGGGGTCCATGACAAAGGAAATTATTTTAATTTGTTGAGAATGCATATATTCAATGTGCTATTTCCTTTTTGACAAAGCTTCCTGCTACTTAATTCCCTTAAGTAAGGAAATCCAGAGGCCAATTCTTTGTGGTGGTGTTCTCAATGGATGCAATGGCTACTGAAGAAACCTTAGGACCCCATCTTATTGAACTATTTGTACCAGTTATTTTATCTGATCAAGCTCTGGGCACGTCTTCACAAGCATTATCAATGGGAGCTGTCTCCCTTAGGGCTCCCCCAGCTCTGATCCTTGTTCTCCAATTGCAGCAAATAAAAGGAACTGACTGAATCAGAGATTAAATGACATGTCTTAAGATGCAGTTCACAATGACAAATGAAAACTGGTCCACTAGGCCAGGGGTGATGGCTCACGCCTGTAATCCCAGCAGTTTGGGAGGCTGAAGTGGGTGGATCACCTGAGATTGGGAGTTCAAGAACCAGCCCGGCCCAGATGGTGAAACCCCATCTCTACTAAAAATACAAAAATTAGCCAGGCATGGTGGCACGCGCCTGTAATCCCAGCTACTCAGGAGGCTGAGACAGGGGATTCGCCTCACTGCACTCCAGCTTGGGCGGCAAAGCGAGACTCCATCTCAAAAAAAAAAAAAAAAAAAGAAAAAGAAAAAAGAAAACTTGTCAACTAAAATTAAATACTTTTTAAAAAATTTAAGTTAATCAATCGGTCATTTAGCAAATTAGTCTTTAAGCAAATTGACCTAAATTCATTTTGCATAAATAGAACAAAGACCTGTAAAATGGTTACATCCCTTCGGTCTGTGCTTTTATCAAAATGTTCAAAATTAATTTTTTGGGAGGTTGGCAATATTTACTCAAATTTAAATTTTAATCTCTCACTAATTATTTATATATGGCTTTTTAGCACATTCAGATTTTTTTAAATAAGAGCACCCTTTTTGGTTTAGACTGCCTGTTTTGACCTAAGTTTTTCTTCAGCCATGTCTGGAGAGCAGTGCCACCTCCTTCCAAAGCATTTGTGACAGTGACCTTTCAGGAAATTGCAGGCAATGTTTCGTTTGCTAGATGGACTGTGGTTTATAATTAGGAAGGACTGTGCTTCTTACTAACACTTTGTATATCTACTTCCAGATATTTTTTACTTCTGCAGGTTCACACATCTCATAAAAATGAAATCTCATTAAACTTGATTTTTCTGGCCCAGTGCAGTGGCTCACATCTGTAATCCCAGCACTTTGGGAGGCCGAGGCAGGCAAATCACTTGAGGTCATGAGTTCGAGACCATCCTGGCCAAAATGGTGAAACCCTGTCTCCACTAAAAATACAGGAAAATTAGCCAGGTGTGGTGCTGGGTGCCTGTAATCCCAGATACTCAGGAGTCTGAGGCAGGAGAATTGTTTGAACCCAGGAGGTGGAGGCTACAGTGAGCCAAGATTGCACCACTGCACTCCAGCCCGGGCAACCCAGCAAGACTCTATCTAAAAAAAAAAAATTATTTTTCTTCAACTCACCTTTTTACCTAGTAGCTCATGTCATCTTTCCCAAATTCATACAATTTTAGTTTTTAATATTTTGACAAGAATGAGTGATTCAATTATAGCTGGAAGTTTCTCAAACAAGCAATACAAAGATATCAAATAGATATCAAAGTTTAAGCTCATTTTCTTCTCCACAATAAAATCCATAATTTGAATAAGAATCTAGGGTAAACCATTTTTAAAACTTTATGAATGCATTGTTTTGGCAAGTCACTGGGAAAACAGCTTTAAATCTGAGTGGGGAAGAGTATAACTTGACACAACCTCTTTTTGGGGGGCTTGGCAATATTTACTAAAATTCAAAATGTACGTACAACAGAATTAAAGAAGCTACAAACATCTTCTAGGAATGTAACCTACATACTTACAATAGACACCTTACAAAAGGATACTTTAGCAGAATAGACAATGAATCACTATCTGTACTAACAAAGTACAGGGATGGGGAACCCTACATGTCCATCAGTAGTGGACTGGCTAAATAACTTATGGTGGTAAAATATAAGGTTCTCTTCCACTGTTAAAGAGCAAGTCAGCTGTACATACACAGGTATGGAATAATCTCTAAGATGTGTTATTGGTTGAAAAAGAAAGCAGAGTGAGTACTGTAGTGTGCTTATTATGCCATTATTTGCAAGGGGAAAGACATACACATCATTGAATGTCTGTGCATAAAATGTCATTGAAAGAATATGAAATAAATTTGACAGAAGAACTGAGAGGGTGTTCCAGTTATCTATTGCTATATAACAATCCACTCCCAATTTTGTGGCTTAAAACAGTTATGTGGCTTGGCTGAGTTTTGTCAGGCAGTCAGCAAGGGCTGCCAGAACCTAGAAGCTCACCTGAGTGGGACATCAAGATGGTTCACTCATGTGACTGACAGCTGATGCTAGGAGCTTCGCTGGCTCATCAACCAGAGCACTCACCTGTGTCTTTCCATGTGGTTTCTCCCGGCCAGGGGACTGGGTTTCAAGAGGAAGTGTCTTAGGAGCAAGTACTCCTGGGGTCCCAGGTGGAAGCTGTGAGGCGTCTTATGACCTGGCTTTGGCAGTCCCAGAATATCACTCTCATTTCATTCTATTGCTCAAGCAAGTCACTAAACCAACCCAGATACAAAGGGAAGGGAATTCGATTCTTCCTTTCTATAGTTGGAATGTCAAGGTCACATTGCAGAAGAACACTTGGGAGAGGAAATATTACCATCTTTCTCTTTGGAAAATACAATCTTCTGCAGAGGGAGATTTACTTTTCACTGTTCAGTCTGTGATACTGCTTGAATTTTCGTCCATGTGAACATCCAAATATAGTCCAAGATTTTAGATCAACCATGTTTATATACCCATTCACTTGTGGCTGGTTAGTAACCTCATCCTTCTTTACTGGCAAGTTTTCAGTGAGTCCTCAGGTGGTAACACTCTGTCACAATCAACAATAATGGCAGGTTCTGAATTTTTCTGAGTTTCTTACATATTTTCACTGCTTTTCAGACTTAGACATCAAGCTTCCTGTTTTTAACCACCAATCCACATTCCCCGTTAAAAATTGTAATTTTGAAATGATTATAGTTTAAAAAGATGAATAATGAATGACAGTATAACCACAAAAACAGAGTTTTCAGAGGTTATCAGAGACCTGCGGTGGGAAGTGAAACTAAGCGTGGTCATATAGTTCTGAACAAATCGTTTGATTGAACACATTGTGGTTGGAAGTAAATTGCTTTGTGGAAGCTGTGTGTGTGTGATTAAATGTCTTTTTTCAAAAGTTTGGTAGAGTGGCAAACCCATGTTTCAAAGATCTGTCTGCTTGTGCTGTGATCCTGCAGGGTAATCTATTGGCCATATTCACTTGGATCAGACTACAGACAGAACACTACCAGGTTCTCTGATAACAAAAAAGCCCCAAAATATTTCAACAACTTATAGCACATAAAAAGCAAAATAAAACAAAACAAAGCCACAAGCTTGGGTGACATGGAAAAACAGGAACCTGCATGTTTTACTTGCAAATACATGTCTCAAAACCCTTCAAGATTTCCAAAATTCAAAAGAATGTCTTCCTAAACATTTAGGTAAAAATGGCACCATGTGGCCTCCCCTACGCTGGTGCACCACAGGAGGTGGGGGTTCAGGAAAGAGGGGTTGGGGAGAAAAGAGAGAAGCCACAAGAAGGGACCTGGACATTCTTCTCTGCACTGTAGGACCCTGTCAGTGGCCACCACTACCTGGCAATCCTGAGATGATCAACAAAATCAGAAAAGGTCCGGATGACAAAATCAGACTCCAGAGGAAGGTGGTTCATGGGTCCACGTGGATGTGAGAGGAACACAGGGTCAGGATGCATAGTCTGCTGGGAAGCCTTCTGAGAAACCCAGGTGCTAGACCTGTCCTGGTGTCCAGCACAAGGCGGGAACATCCTCCATGATATTCCTCCAGTCTTTAGGGCTAGATCAGTGAAAGTAGGCAGATGTCATGGCAAGGGGTGACTACGGTCAGAAATGCACACCCTGCGCAGCTCTGTACCTTCAGAGGGCCACAGTTGCAGACCTGCAGGGAGTAGCAACGAGGATGGGGTGACCTATGCCACTTGGCCCCACCCCCTCAAGGACATGCGGCAAGAGGATCCTTGCACAGTAAGGACCTGGATGGAGCAGACGCGGAACCTCGACCCTAAGAATAGATTCTCTACTTAAATGAGCATCAGGTGTCTATAAGTCATTTAGGGGGAATATTTGGGGGAAATCTCAATTATAGGAATTATCTACTCACCTGTTATATTTACTTGAATTGTGTTGGACCATGGCAGCCTCAAGGTTATATTCAACTTTTACAATAAAATGACAGGGTGGTTGAATCATGACTATACTATTATTAGCTACAGGATGGATCTTGTTGAAAATCAAAACTGTCCCCTCATTCTTCAGATTTTATTTTATTTCAAGAATAACAAGAGCCTGGGGGTGGTGGTTCACACCTGTGATCCCAATAATTTGGGAGGCTGAAGCAAGTGGATCGCTTGAGCCCAGGAGTTCAAGACCAGCCTGAGGACATGGCAAAACCCCACCTCTACAAAAAAAAATATATAAAAATTAGCCAGGCATGGTGGTGCAGCCTGTAGTCTCAGCTACTTGAGAGGTAAGGTGGAGAATCACTTGAGCCTGAGAGATCGAGGTGTCAATGAGCTATGATCATGCCACCACCCTCCAGCCTGGGTGACAGAGTGAGACCCTATCTCAAAAAAACAAAACAAAACAGTAACAAGAATATTGTAGGTGGCGGTGGCGATCATTGCTGTATGGAGTATGGATTCTGTGTCTTTACACCGTATTCTTGCTTGAACTTTCTGATATCCTGGTGAGAAGCAAGGCCTCTGTTTTACAGATGATTAATCTCAGAACAGGAAAGTAGGCTATTTGATTTAGTGGTAGTGCAGGAGGACAATCTGTTTTCCTAAAGTGTTTTTAAAATTGCTCATCCATGAAGGGCAGGCACTGGCAGGCAAGTGATCTGCCTGTGTTCTCGAGCGAGGCTGGTGTCTGCTGAGGTTGGTTGGGTAGGCAGTTTCCTGGGTGTCCTGATAATCTTTAGATTTTTTTCCCCAGCTGCGATGATTTGAATGTTTGTCTCCTCCAAAACTCATGTTGAGCTTTGATCCCTACTGTTGGAAATTGGCCTGATGGGAAGTGTTTGGGTCATGAGGGGATCCCTGATGAATAGAATAATGCCCTTTTTTGGGGGTGACTTCTCACCCTATTAGTTCCCTGTAAAGCTGGTTGTTAAAAGAGCCTGGTGCCTCCCCACTGTTTTTCTTGCTTCCCCTCCTGCCATGTGATCTCTGCACACATGAGCTCCCCGTCTTCCATCATGAGTGAGAGCAGCCTGAGGCCCTCACCAGAGGCAGATGCCCAGTCATCAAAATTATAAGCCAAATAAACTTCTCTTTATAAATGACTCAGCCTCATGTATTCCTTTATAGCAGCAGAAAATGCACTCAGACACCAACTGAACTGAAAACTACCTTGATGGGGCTGGAATTTAAGTCACAGCCACTGCCATTTCCAGCAAATGATAAGGTGAGCCTCCCAGAGGCCCAGCTCTTGGTGTGAGAAGCTTCTGGATGGAGTAGGTCTGCAGTGGGCTTGCTTCTGAGCTCAGGAATTTATGTACTTGTATGTTAGTTTCCACTTCAGAATAACCACACACTTAGAGGCTTAAAACTACATTCATTTATTCGTTCACGGTTCTGTAGGTCAGGCATCCCTCTGTATTATCTGGAGGCTCAGGAAATAATCTGTTCCCAAGCTCATTCAGGCTGTTGGCCGAATTTGGTCCTAAGCAACATAAGACTGAGGTTCCAATTCCCTGCCAGAAATTCCTTTCTGCTCCTAGAAGCCCCCCACATTCCTTCTCACTTGGGCCGCTCCATCTTCAAAACAGCAATAGTGCTGCAAGACTAGCCAAGCTCTTGAGCTTCAAGTCTCTCTGATTTCCCCCTTTCTGCCCTACTCTTCTGCCACAACAGCCATGGAAAGTTATCCGGTTTTAAGGAGCCATGTGATTAAATTACACCCACCCAGATACTCCCTTTTTGTGGGTCCACTGTGCCGTATAACATAACACAATCATAGGAACGATGCCACATGTTCTCAGGCTTTGAGGAATAAAGATGTGGGATTTTTTTTTTTTTAGCGGGGAGCATTTTTAGAATTCTGCCTGCCACATTCTGTTTCTGTTGCTGAGACCCAAAGAGAGTTAGTAAAGGACGAATGAGTCTGCTAAGAGTGACCAGGGGACATGTTTGTCCAGGCCTCATCAACATTGCTAAGCACGTTCAAGTAACAACACTGCAGTGGGTCTTGCAGGCCTTCACATGTCCAATTTACTCTACTGCAGCGGTTCTCCAAGTGGGGGCCCAGAACCAGCAGCAGCAGCACCTGGGAACTTGTTAGAAATATATATTTTGGGCCCCACCTCGACCTACAGAATTAGAAACTCTGGAGATGGGGCCAGAGGTCTGTGTTTTAGCCAGTCCCTTGGGTGATTCTGATGCTTGCTCAGGTTTGAAAACTATTTCTCTAAGGTAGGTCCCCAGTTTCCTTTTCTATGGAAGTAAAAGTTGGGGAGGAGTCAGATAGGTAATCTCTAAAATGACTTCCATTTCTAACAACGTATGATTTGTGAATATTACAAAAAAGATTACACTGTAGAGACCAAAGAATGCACATATATGTCAATTGTGTGTGTGTGTGTGTGTGTGTGTGCGCGCGCTTCCATGCATGTCACGGTTAAGAGTACAGGCTTTGGAGTCTTTTCTACAATCAAATTCTGGCTTCTCCAATCACTAGCTATGTAAATGGGCCAGCTGCTTAGCCTCACTGAGCCTCAGTTTCCTCATTTATGAATGATGGGACCTACATCATAAGGTTATCAGGATCAAGTGAGATCATACAGAGAACACATAGCGTAGTAAGTTCAGTGACTTTCGGCTATAATTACTTCATCCTGTTCAGTTTCTGGAAACTTTCTCCTTGAGTGCTTGAGTCTATGGTGGGGGTAAAGCACCCAGGCCCTTGTCAGGAGGCCCTGAAGGCAGCCCCGGGAGGCACTGCCTGGGGACTGAGGATGAGCTGCTCCTAGGCCTGAAGGCAAAAGTGAACCTTCTCTGATTCCTAGAGTCAGCTTAAGTCCTGTCACTGCAAAGGAAGACATCTTGGTAAAGCGTGTGTATATAATCCCACAGCCACCATGATCTCCTCCTCAGAGATCATACAACCCGAGGCAGAAAGCACGCATCTCAACACCAAGTCGGCTGAGATGTGGAGAGCGGGGCTGGAAACCCTCAGGGGCATTTGCAGAGTTTTTATTATATTTGTTATTATTGGTTTTTGTGTTTCATTGTTGTTTTTGTTTGTTTTACATGTTCAAAGGAACAGAAATAGTTAAGGCCTGGAATAGAGTCAACATGTGCCTCTGTAAAGTTGAGGTAGGTCGGGAAGTGTGTCACCGGGGGAACATAAAGCAACCCCCGCCCCTGCCCTGGCTCACAGGCCTCACCAGCGGAGCTGCGAGAGGTCTTTCCAGAGCTTGCTGAGAGGCCTGAGTGGAGATGAAGACCCTGTGAGCCAGAAGTGTGGGAGAGAACAGCCTCCTCGCACAGGCCTCTGTCCTCCAAGGGGAGCTGTGCTTTTCTCAGCCTGCTGGCAGTTGCCTGTGGCACTGAGGCACTGAGGGAGGGAAGGCAGAGACCACCCAGTGTGAATTGCTGCTGCCTGAAATGGAAACTGTTCTCCCAGCCATAGGCAGGCAGAGCCAGGAGGGGCTATTCCACAGCTGCTCCCCACCCGCAGCCCATTCCCAGGCTCCACATGGCTCCCTCAGCCTCAATGCCACCAAGAGAGCTGCTCAACCTGCGAGGCACTAGCCCGTCTGCTAACAACCACAGAACGCTCTGGGAGGGATGCGGCTGGGTCTCCTTTGCCTCCTCTGAGCCACAGAGATTGGCCCCCCGGGGACAGGTCTTCCGATTTGGGTTCAATCTCTGGCTGAGGTCTTAAGCAGTTTTTCTATGCTTGATGATATGTGAGTGAGAGCCTGAGAACTCTTCCTGCCTCCTCTTGGAGAATGTCTGCCAGCTCCACATAGGAGGTAAGCTGTTCCAGGAATCGTGCATGTGAATTCGGCTTCATAGTTTTGGCTTCATAGATGGCTTCATAGTTTCAAGATTAAGGGCCAAAGATGAATTCACAACGGTTCTTGCCACCCAGTACTTCATTTATTCCTCTTTAATGTCCTCTATATATTAATCCATTTAGGTCCTTTCATGCAGACCAAAGTTGTCCAACATTGGAGTAATACTTTCTTGTCCCTTTGGTCCCCTCTAAAAAGCCCACCAATAATTTGATTCAAAGTAGAAGAACTTTGGATAACAGAGCGTTCTGCAATACTAAACAAGGTTCATAAAGTGCCACTCTGGAAGGAGTCTTAAAGACCAACAGCCAGCACCACGGATATATTTTTAAATGGTGCTGAGTAAGAAACGTTAGGAAGCAAATGAGGACTATAACATAATGTAATATATGTAAATTTTAAATAAATACACAAAATAATAATCATATCTTATAGAACTACATACCTATTCAAGGATAAATATCTTTCACATTGATGTAGTGGCCTGTTGGGAAGAAAGGAATTAGTGCTGGGAATGGAGAAGGAGGGAGGGAGAGAGGAAGGGAGGAAGGAGGGAAGGAAGGAAGGAAGGAAGGAAGGAAGGAAGGAAGGAAGGAAAGAAGGAAGGGGAAGGGAGGAAGGGAGAGGAAGGGGAACAGGGAAGAAGGGAGGAGAGGAAAGGGAAGAATTTAATAATGATGATAGCAGATTATGTCTTGAAGAATATGGAGTAACTCTAACATAAGTTAAAAAGGAAGCAAGCCCTAAATTAAACCTTTCATTTTACAGATGGAGAAACTGAGGCTCAGAAAGATGAACTGTTTGATGCTGGGATTTTATTGCTGTTCAGAGGCAGAAACCAGGCATTTTGACTTCCAATTCAATGTGCTTTCTACTGCATCAAACTGCTACACGTATACTTATAATGCCTCACTTCCTTCCCTTCTAATGAGTAATTCATCTAAGTATAGTTTTAACTGGAGAGGTTGATCATTGCTGGCCCAATTCATGGTCCCTCTCCCAGAGAAGCCACCCACCCCTACTGAAAGACTGAGGCCTTGTTGGACACCAGGTGACCCGGATCACCTTCTCTTGGCCGATGGGCCTGAGGTGGGAAACTGATTCAAGGGCAGCCCTTCCAGAGACAGGGTGGGGGTCACCAAGCATCCTGGTTTGCCTTGGACTGAGGGGGGTCCCAGGATGCAAAACTCTCTGTGCTGAAACTAGAAAAGTTCTGAGCCACCTGGGACAAGCTGGTCATCCTGGCAGGGAGGGACTTAGGACCTGTAAGGCCAGCTTCAAAAATAGATTCTCAGTGAGAAACAGGGAATCTAGCAGACCGAGACTGTTGGCTGCAATAGAAGTGCCGTGGTGTAGAAAGAGGGCAAGGGGCACTAAGGAGCTTCCATACGGGTCCTATATAAACAAAACTCAAGAGCAGAAACTTCGAGAAGTGGAGGACACTGGTTGACCAAGAGAGGAGAAAAGGGTCTATCTTTGTTTAAAGACAAGCAGATACCTGCCCGCAAGAGAAGGACTCTGCTGCAGAGAGGATAAAACTCTCGCATTGGCCCTTCATTTCAGAGGCACACGGTGGCAAGATGGGGGTGCAGATCTCCAAGAAGAGGAAGTTTGTCACTGATGGCATCCTCAAAGTGGAACTGAAAAAGTTCTCACTCGAGAGCTGGCTGAGGATGGCTACTCTGGAGTTGAGGTCCAAATTACGTCAACCAGAACAGGAATTAATACAGGAGCTTAAAATAAATTATTTAGGCAGATAGTGAGGGTAAGAGAATCCTCGGCAAGACTTCTCTCTTAACAAAAAGCAGCCCCCGAATCATTTATTTTCTAACAAAGAGCAGCCTGTAAAATTGAGCTGCAAACATAGATAAACAAGCTGGAAGCTTGCATGGAGAATGCCAGCAGCTGTGCCAATAGAAAAAGGCTACCCGGGGGTCAGGCATGTTCAACATGGAGGCTCCATCTTCCCTTTTCTTTGTCAACCACATGTACAATAAAGGAACAGGCAACATGGCACAGGCCAGGTAGAGAACCCATCACATAAAAAATAAGGGTGGTATGGCCAGTTTCTTTACAAGCTATGTAAATGACACACCTGGTCCCACCAATCGAAACCGTCTGCTCAAGCTCATCTATAAAACGCTGTGCATTTCACCATGAAACTGAAAAACCTGCTTGGGAGCCCATCTCTGCAGGAGAGAGAGCTTTTTTCTTTCTTTTGCCTATTAAACCTCTGCTCCTAACCTCACTCCTTACGTGTCCACATCCTTGATTTCCTTGGTGTGAGGCAACGAACCTCGGTTACTACTCTAGACAAATGACGCTGCTTCAAAATCATAATCTTAGCCACCAAAACACAGAATGTTCTTGGTGAGAAGGGCTGGCAGATTTGGAAATTGCCTGCTGTAGTTCAGAAGAGGTTTGGCTTCCAGAGGGCAGTGTAGAGCTTTTTGCTGGAAAGGTAGCCACAAGAGGTATGTGTGTGTTTGCCTAGGTGGAGTCTCAGTGTTACCTCCTGGGAGGGCTTGCAGCGCAGAGGGCCTGCTGTGGTGTGCTGTGGTTCATCAGGCGGGGCGTAGGGGGCCACAGGCTTCAAGGCTGTGGTGTCTGAAAACTCTAAATGCAGGAAGTTTGTGGATGACCTGATGATCCTCAGCAGGAACTCTGTTTACCTCATTGACACCGCCATGTGCCAGGTGCTGCTCCAACAGGGTGTGCTGGCCATCAAGGGAAGGTCATGCTGCCCTGGGACCCAGCTGGTAAGACTGACTCTAGGAAGGCCCTGCCTGAGCACATGAGTATCGTGGAACCCAAAGATGAAGTACTGCCCACTACCCCATCTCAGAATAGAAGGGTGGGGAGGAAGCCATAGCTCCTGCCATGCCGCAGCCAACCCCCACAACATGACAGGTTCTCCTTGACAGCTGTGTCTGGCATCTGGATGTTGTCCTGGAAAGGCCTTTAATAAAATCTTGTACAAAGGCACAAAGCCTGACTCGACTGTATGTCCAGTGTTCAGACTGAGGGGCATGTTGGCCTGCAGAGCATTCCTTGACCTCTTGGTTAAGGAATTTGCAGGGCCCAGCACGGGAGGACCCAAGCAGAGCTAACCAGAGGAATGTCCCATGTGAGAGTGAAGGCTGATGGCTAGCAGGGCAGCACCTCAATTAACTGTTCTGTAATTCAGGATTGTAGCTTTAGAAGGGGGATATATTTAGAATGATTTTTCCTATGCCTAAGGAAATACGCATTGCACATAGAAAGTAAATACAATGGCCATTATAGTGTGCGTCATACTGTGCTAAATGTTCTTTGCATTCACAATCATTTACTCCTCAACATCTGGTACGTGGAAAGGAAATGTGCTGCACCACTGAAGCTCAGGCTCAGAAGCAAATTTGCCTGAGCAGTATGGAGCTGGCATTAGAATCCACATTCCTAAGTTCTGCTCTCTTGACCATTCTGTTCTGGAAAACTGTAAGGAACATTTAAATTGTCAACACAATAACAACAAAGCACCTCTTACATCAGTCTTTGGTAGCCCTGAGTGTGGTCTCAGCCTTCCTCCAAGGCTCGCAGGTGCACAGCTTACAACCAACCCCTCTTCTCGGGAGCTACTCTCATTAGCTTTCTGCTCCTTATAACCATGAGTCTGACCAGCATGATTTTTATTTTAGGAAAACTGGCTTTCAGTAGCTCCTTCCTCAAAAACCACTGTGGCCAATTTCAGGTTCTCAAAGAGACTCTTTCCAGATGCTCCTGTTTGCTGTTGCTGCTGCTTCTGCTTTCATTGCCAAGGAGAGGGTTGCAGCAGAAGACGCTCCTCTTCTGTAATAAGCTGGTTCTCTCCACTCAGCCTGAGTACACTCAGGGCTCCAGACACTAAAGAGCAAAACCCTCTCCTCCATCCCCACTCAGATGCCCACTTCTGCAGCCATCACCGTATAGGATCAAACTTCTTGACAAAATTATTTATTCCCCAGGCCTCCATTTCCTCCCTTCCTGTGCAATCCTGAAGGCCCTTCCACCTTCCCACCCCTAGGAAAATACTCTGGCCTTGGTCCCCAGGGCCCACAAAGCGGCCAAACCCAGTGAACTTTTTCCTGCCTTTAACCCCTGACGAAGTTTCTGTAACTTCCCACACCATCGGCCACATGTTCTCCTTGAACTCAGCCCTCTCACCTGCCAAGGTACAAAAGGCCTCACTGCCTCGCCCTCTCCTCAGCCCATTAGACTCTATTTCCCTCCCCTTCACTGGCTCCACCCTCCTCCCTCCCACCTAATAAGGAAACACTTTCTGGATTTTTTGTCCTTCCCACATTATCTCCAAGACCTCGCCTTCCCAAAACCTCATCTGTCCGAGGCTCTGGGTACTGTCCCGGAGTAACAGTGAATTTGAGGTCTGCAGGGAGACACTTTTGCATATGTGTGTGTAGCCTTTTGTAAAGTGCCTGTGTGGATCTGGTTTTCACTGTTTAGCAAACAGGATCACCTGGGCCTTGTTTATCCCATTACTTTGTTATGAGACTTTTAGTTTGGCTGGCAGAATTCAGCCAGAGAATGCCCTGTGCAGGCGCAGAGAAGGATTGCAAAGTGCCAGGGGTGGGTGACTGGTTAACCATTTACTTCCCTCCCAGGGAGGACAGCAGAAAAGAGGCCCCAGCTGCTGCCCACTCCTGCCCACAGCCTTGGTGTTCCTGATCCAGCACGTTGCCATCATCCTCGCCCCAGATACCAGCCAAGGAGGCTGGAAGGCCAACCAAGCTCCAACCACTGGGCGTCCCATCGCAGCGTGGCTTTACTGCTAACGTTGGCATTGCTGTTTGTGCCAGGGGTTCTGTTCAAAACCAAGCTCTTAGAAGAATTTGGAGGAAATTATGACTGCAACCATGTCTTTGTAAGTGTTATCTTCTAAGGAAGAATTTATAGACTTTGGAGTAATCCGTAACAACTCTACATTAAATTTCCCCCTCAATTTTTATTATTATTGTGGAAAGTTGTGGGAAAATGTTGAAAAGTCAGAAATGTTGAAAGTACAATGAAAATCTATATGTCTTCCACCTTCTTCAACAATTTTAATGCTTGCCAGATGAGTTTCATCTCTGCATTTGTGTACATATTTTTGTTGTTATTGAACCATTTAAAAATAAGTTGCCAATAGTATGTTTCATTCCTAAATACTTCAGCATGCATCTCCTAAGAACAGGAAGTTAGATACCTCTATTTAACACCTAAGAAGATTAACACCCATTCTATAATATTATTTAATAGCCAAGCCATATGCAAAATTTCCCAGTCATCCTAAAAATATATTTTATAGCTTTGGTTTTGCCAAATCAGCATCCAACTGAGAATCAGATGTTGCATTTGGTTATTACTTCTCTTTAGTCTATTTAAAACAAATTTTTTTTACTGAAGTAAAACTAACATTCAGTACATGTTAATACATTCATTTTAAGTGCATACTGGATGAGTTAAAAAAAAAATGTGTATGTCCTTATCACTACCACCACAGTCAAAATATTTACAAAGTTCACTCCTTCTCCCTTTGCAGCCTATCTCTCCTCCTCTCACCCCCACAGCCCCGACTCCAGGCAGCCACTGATCTGATTTTTCTATCTATAGGCAGCTTTGCTTGCTCAAGAACTTCATAAATGTGATAATACAGTTTATGATCTTCTGTGGTTTCTTTCGCCGAGTCTGATCTACCTGGGATTCACCTATGTTGTTGAATATGTGAGTGGGTGGCTCCTTTCATTGCTGAGTAGTATGCTAGTGCATGAGTCTACCACCATTTGCCTATCCATTTACCCACTGATGAAGATTTGGATTGTTTCCAGTGTTAGGCCATTCTGATTAAAGTCTTTATGAAAATTTTTGTAAAACTCTTTTTGTAGACATATGTTTTCATTTCTCTGGGGTAAAAATCTGGAGTAGAATTTATGGATCATATAAGTGTATATTTAACTTTATAAGAAACTGCCAAACTGCTTCCAAAATGTTGACAACACTTTGCACTCCTGCCAGCAACATATGAGAGTTCTAGTTTCTCCGCATCCTCACCAATGCTTGATATTATCAATCCTTTACTTTTTGCCATTTTCGTGGGTGTGTAGTAGTATCTCTGTGTGGTCTTAATTTGCATGTCCCTGATAACCAGAGCTGCTGTTTTGTGTGGTTCTTGGCCACGCATATATATATATATATATATATATATATATATATATATATATATTCCTTTTGTAGTATGTCTGTTCAAATATTTTGTCTTTTTAAAAAGTAAGTTTTTGGGTTTTTGTTTGTTTGTTTGTTTTTGAGAGGGAGTTTTATTCTTGTTGCCCAGGCTGGAGTGCAGGGGCACAAATCTCAGCTCACTGCAACTTTCATCTCCTGGGTTCAAGTGATTCTCCTGCCTCAGCCTCCCGAGCAGCTGGGAAGAAAGGCATGCACCACCATGCCTGGCTAATTTTTTTGTGTAATTTTTAGAGAGATGGGGTTTCGCCATATTGGCCAGGCTGGTCTTGAACTCTTGACCTCAGGTGATCCACCCGCCTCAGCCTCCCAAAGTGCTGGGATTACAGGCATGAGCCACCGCGCCAGGTCATAAGTTATCTTTTTGTTATTGAGATTTACATATAAATCCTTTGCCAGATTTATGTATTACGAATATCTTCTGCCGGTCAGTGATGACTTTTCAAGTACCCAGGTGACTTTTCTTTTTATTAATATTGTCTTTTAAAAGCAGAAATTTTGTATCTTGATGAAGCTCAGTTTGTCAATATTTTCTTCATGGTTGGTGCTTTCTGTGTCCTGTCTAAGAAGTCTTTGCTTACCTCAAGGTTACCAAGATATCCTTCTATGTTTTAGTCTAGAAGTTGTGTAGTTTTAGCTTTTGCATTTAGGCCTATAATCCATTTAGAGTTAATTTTTGTATACGGCATCAGATAGGAACTAATGTTTGTTGTTTGTTTTTGTTTTGCTTTGTTTCCCACACATATACCCAGTTGTTCCAGTGCCATTTGTTGAAAAGACTCTATTTTCCCAATTGAACCACCTTGGCCTATTTATTTAAAAAAAAATCAATTGACCATATATATGGGTCTATTTCTGGACTGTATTCTAGTTCATTGATCTGTATGGCTATCCTCTGCCAATATCACAGTGTCTTGATTACTATTGTTTACAGTAGTCTTAAAATCAGTTGTGTAAATCTTCGGAATTGTTATTATTTTCCAAAATAATTTTGGCTCTTCTGGTTCATTCATTCATTTAATACCGATTTAATTTCTTTGAGAAATGTTTTAGAGTTATCAGTACACAGGGTGTGTGTGTGTGTTATTCTAAATATTAATCATATTATTATAAAACATTATTCTCTGGTATTGTAAATAGGATTTTTATTTCATTTTCCAATTGTTTGTACTGATATATAGACATACAATTTATTTATGTATATTGATTTTGTGTTCTGCGTCCTTACTAAATTCACTTTTTGGTTTTAGCAGCTTTTGTGTAAACTCTTTGAGATTTTCTATGGTCACAATCATGTTTTACGTCTTCCTTTCCAACATATGTGCTTTTGTTTCTTTTTTCTTGACTTTTTGTATGGCTAGGATCACAGCAAAATGTTTAACAGAAGTGATGAAAGAAAACTTCCTTTCCCTGGCCCTCATCTTAGAGAAAACATTCAGTCTTTCACCAAAAAATATGACACTAGGTAAAGGTTAGCAGACGCAGAAGCATTTGACAAAATTCAAAATTCATTTGGAATAAAATGCTAAAGGCATCTATATTGTCTCTCTCTCTCTCTCTCTTTTTATTTATTTATTTTTTTGAGACAGAGTCCTGCTCTGTTGCCCAGGCTGGAGAGCAGTGGCGTGATCTCAGCTCACTGCAGCCTCAACTTCCCAACTCAAGCGATTCTCCCACCTCAGCCTCCTAAGTAGCTAGAACTACAGGTGAGCACCACTACAGCCAGTTAGTTTTTCGATTTTTTTTGTAGAGATGGAGGGGGTCTCACTATGTTGCCCAGACTGGTCTTGAACTCCTGGGCTCAAGCAACCCTCCTGCCTCAGCCTCCCAAAGTGCTGGGATTCGAGGTGTGAGTCCCTGCGTCCAGCCTA
Source organism: Homo sapiens (assembly GCF_000001405.40). Classification (NCBI taxonomy): domain Eukaryota; kingdom Metazoa; phylum Chordata; class Mammalia; order Primates; family Hominidae; genus Homo; species Homo sapiens. The sequence goes on along the minus strand of NC_000005.10, from coordinate 73,147,193 downwards.
GATTGCCTTCCTTTAAAGACTGTTGCATTTTGTTTTTGTAGGCAGTTGATTCATTAATGGATTGACCTATTCTTTTTTTTGAGGAAGATCTAGAGTAGCCTTTATTTTAGGTTAGTTTGGTCCTAATCCTGAGATGTGGTCTTTCTGGTACTCTACTCAAAGCCCTTGGTGTCCAATGAGGTCTTTTCACTCTGGTTGTTCAAATTTTAAGCATCTCCCAACTCTGTATAAGCTCCAGAATTTGTTTAGTTCACAGTTCCCTGGCAACCATTCTTTCCCCGGTGGTGCTTTGATCCACCTTGTGGTGCCTCACTCTGCACAAGTGCCGATTGGTATTTAGCCAAAGACTCGAAGGGAACCCTATGATCTGGAAATCTTTTTTTTCGTTTTTTTGAGGCAGAGTCTTGCTCTGCTGCCCTGGTGCAATCTTGGCTCACTGCAACCTCCACCTCCTGGGTTCCAGTGATTCTTGTGCCTCAGCCTCCCAAGCAGCTGGTACTACAGGCACCCACCACCACGCCCAGCTAACTGTTGCATTTTTACTAGAGATGGGGTTTCACCATATTGGCCAGGCTGGTCACGAACTCCTGGGCTCAAACATGCTCCCGCCTCAGCCTCCCAAAGTGCTGGGATTACAGGCATGAGGCACTGCACTCTGCCAACCTGGAATTCTTTCTCTGCGTAGTTTCTTCTTCTAAAGGGTTCTTTCTGCCTTAGTCTCCCCGAACTCCAGTATCTGTGTCTTCAGCTCAGTGAGACTTCTGCATTTTGCTTAGCTTCTCCCTCTCTGTGTTGGAATTCAGCAAATGGCTCTGACAGAACGTCTGGGTGGTTGGAAGGCTCACCTTGTTTGTTTCCTTTCTGTCTTGATTAGAGCCCTGTCCTACCAATTATGTCTGAAACCAGTTATTTGATATATTTACCCAACTTTCTAGTTTTGTATGGCAGGATGGCCAGCCAGTACTAGTTACTATGCCATGGGTGGAAGCAGAAGAGTCATTAATCTCTTCTCATTTAGAGCAGGGGTCAGTTAACTTTTTCTTAAGAGCCAGATAGTAAACACATTAGGTTTTCAGGCAACACTGTTTCTGTTGCAATAGCTCAGCCATGTCAATATAGCACAAAAGCGGCCATAGTCAATACCTAAGTTAGTGAGCATCATTATGTTCAAATGAAACTTTATTTATAAAAACAGGCAACAGACCCGCAGCCCATAGTTCACCAGCCCTTGATCTAGAACAATACTCCAGCCATTTTCCCCCTGTGACATTGACTTTGTCAAGACTCCAAGCCAGTCATCTTACTGAATGCTCCAAATCCTATTTTCTCAAGATATCACATAACATATTCCTTTATCCCTTATATTTTCTATAAAAGGTCGTTGGGTCAAAGGCCTCATGAGAATCAAGCTAAACATTTTTTTCACAGGAATAATCTCTTAGGTGATGTTGAAAATATTAACTTTTGAAAAAGCATCATTAAAGTCAGTGCAACTGAGTTGAGATCATTCCTGAATTCATTCATTCTCCCATCTGTCATCCATCCGCCAAAAACTCATGACACGGTTACCTCTGCCAGGTGTGGTGCTATGAGTGCTCAACAGGATACAGCGATGTGGTCCAACTTGCCCTCAGTGGGGTTGGGGTGGGATTGGTGGGTGACACCGAAGCACAGTGCTAGAAAAGTCAGCATCTCACTCTTTTTCTGGGCCAGGGCCAAAGGGCTTACTTTATCTGGAACACTTGTAACAATGCAGATTCACTAGCCCCTTGGACCACTGGAATAGAATCTCTTGATGAGACACAGAAATCTGTGTTTTAACTGGTTCCACTGATATTAACAGGTCAAAGGACTGTTAATATCCAAAAGGACACCACACTGAAGGCCGGTGTGATGAAACTCAGCTCCTAAGGGGGAAAGCCACCTACCTGGAAGGAGGCTGCATCTTCTTCTGATTTACTATTAGGTGTACCGGAGGTGAACATGCCTCACAGGTCAGCAGTCACCCAGCAGTCACCCACTGCTTTCATTATAAGAGAAAAAGCATCCTGGCCTTGGGAACTGTAGTGATTCTTAAATATGTTCACAAATTCATTGTGACAACTCCCTTCAAAAGGTGAAGGCTAATTCCTCTCCCCTTTGGTGTGGGCCAGACTTAGTGATTCACTTCTAACAAATAGAGTTTAGCAGAAGTGATGGTGTGTGACTGCAAGACCGGATCCTGAAAACCCTTGCAGCATCCCCCTTGCTCTCCCTTCAATCTCTTGCTCTGAGGGGCCCTGGGCATCATGCTGAAAAGACATTCCAGCATGGTCTTTGGGATGTCTGTGGGAGTCCACATGGAAAGAGCTGAGTCCACAGCCAGCATGAACCAGCCAGCCATGTGAGTGACTGTTCTAGTCTGTTCAGGCTGTCCTAACAAAAATACTAGAGACCAGGTGGCTCATAAACAACAGATATTTCTTTCTCATAGTTCTGGAGACTGGGAAGTCCCAGATCAAGGCACCGGCAGATTCAGGGTCTGGAGAGGGCCAACTTCCTGATTCATAGATGGCTGTCTTCTTGCCATGTCCTCCCATGGTGAAAGAGGCAAGGGAGCTCTCTGGGGTCTCTTTTATAAGGACACTAATCTCATTCATGAAGGTTCCACCCTCATGACCTAATCACCTCCAAGGACCTCACCTCCAAATATCATCACATTGTGAATGAAGTTTCATCATATGAATTTAAGGAGGACACAGACATTCAATCTGTAACAGTGACTATCTTGGAAGTGGGCTCTCCAGCCCCAGTCATGCCTTCAGAGGACTGCAGTCCTGGCTGACATCTTGACCACAACCTCACAGAGAGCTACCCAGCTGAACCACTAGAATTGCTGACCCACAGAAACATGCAAGGTAATATATGTGTTTTGCTCTTTGAAGCCCTTCATTTTTGGCCAGTTGGTTATGCAGCAATAGATAACGAATACAGGAACTTTGCACATATTTAGGGCTACTTCTGAGATCACATTGGGGAGCCCTGTCTGTCACTCCATTTGGGGCAGCCAGCTTCAGAACCACATGATATGGAGTTCTGCATGCTTTCCTGTTTGGCACATGTATCTTCTCAACTGGCTCCTGAGCTCACAGTGAAATTCCCGGGCAAATACCTACATCAGGCCTCCAGAGCCAGGAGTTGGGGCATTCACCCCCTGAGTGAACTATGTTTGGAGATGACGCCATTACCTCCCCATCCCCAGCTGCTCTTTTGGGACTTCCGTCTGCATGTAAGGCAGCTGGGCAGCCCTGCTTCTGGCTGGGAACAACTTTTCTGGGTGTAGAGCCAGCAGCACATGTGGGTATCAAAGCTGCAACCTTTGTTTCGTTAATGTCACAATCTAACAAAACCAGCTGACTGGCCAAGATTTTGAAAAATAATAAAATGATGGTTTAGTGCCAAAACATTCCAGCCGATGCAATAGGGCCTACGAAGAAAAGTTAAAATGTAAGGGATCACCAAAACTTTTTGTTTAGAGTGAGTTTGGGGGTGAGGGAGCAAAGCACAGTATTGAGATATTTACTTGTTGGTTTGGTTTTGTGTTTTGTATCTCTCTGACAGGTAGGCGAAAAGTGACTTTTCTTACATCAAAAAATATTTAGGTTAATTTTTTAAAAAATTAGACTACAATCTAGTAAATAATAGGCAAAGAATATAAATAGTTCACAAAAAAGAAGATTCAAAACACTTTTAACATTTAAAAAGATGCTCAATCTCACTCATAGAGAAATGTAAATTACGGCTGTCCTCAAATCCAACCTCTCACCTATCAGATCAGCCAAAATGCAGAAGTCAAATTTAGATGACACTTTCCATTGACGAAGCTATAAGGAAATAGACATATTTATATGTTGCTAATAAGTGCAAAATGGCACAGCCCTTATGGAGGAGAATTTGGCAATATCTAACAGAATTACACATGCATTTATGTTTTAAAGTAGCAATGACACTTTTAGGAGTTTGCACTGCAGACACACCTTCACAAATCAAAAGGAACATAAGCACAAGATGATTCATTCTGACATTGTTTGTAACATTGAAAGATTAGAAACAATCGAGATGCCCATCATTAGAGGACTAGTTGAAGAAACTATGGTACAGTCACACAATGGGGCACTGTCCAGCCATACCAAAAAAGTGAGAAGCCTCGCTATATATGGAGTGATTGCCAGGAGATACAACTAAATGAGAAAAGCAAGGTGCAGGGCCGCATATATTAGTGTGTGTGCATGTGTGTGTGTGTGTGGTGTATGTATTGCAAAAAGAGACTGGAAGGTAGAACAGGGTAGATGAGACAGGGATAGGATTGAGACTTCTCTACATACACTTTTTAATACAGGATATGTTGTATGTGTTCAAAAATAAAATTAAATTAAAAAACAAAATTAGCCTTAATGTTGAATATAAACATGAATAAATGACCCTAATGATATATCAAATTGGTAATATGAAAACAAAGAAAAAATTATTTAAATGAGTTTAATATACTATTCTAACTTCACATACATAGATATGTTTGAAGGATAAAAATCTTCAAAAAATCTTGTTACTTAACTCTAGTTTTATTGTTATTAACAATATTGAATTGTAATTTTGAAACTTTTTTATATTATACAATAAATCAAGGTAAATGTGTAATAAATAGGTAAATGTGATAGTTCATTTTATGCAGCAACTGGATTGTGTTAACAGAAACCAAGATTTTCAGAGTAAGAAAAAAGAAACAAAAATATAAAATCAAAGTGATAGGGTTTGGATCTGTGTCCCCACCCAATCTCATGTCGAATTACAACCCCCAGTGTTGGAAGTGGGGCCTGGTGGGAGGCGATTCGATCATGGGGGTGGATCCTTCATGAATGGTTTAGCACTATCCCCTTGGTGCTGCCTCGTGATAGAGTTCTCATGAGACCTGGTTGTTTAAAGGTGTGTAGCGCCTCCCCTCTCCTCCCGGCCCACTTCTCGGTCCTGCTCCTGCCATGTAAGACACCTGCTCCCACTTTGCCTTCTGCCATGAGTAAAAGTTACCTGAGGCCTCCCCAAAAGCAGACGCTGCCATGCATCCTGTACAGCCTGTGGAACCCTGAGCCAATTAAACCCCTTTTCCTTATAAATTAACCAGTCTCGGGTATTTCTTTTATAGCAGTGTGAGAACAGACTAATACACAGAGTTAAGAAAAAAAGTGTTAAGTTAAATTTAAATTGGAAATGTTAATGTCAATTTATGGTTTTAAAAAAATCTCTTAGCTCTTGAAAGTGCTGGAAATGACACTTCAGTAGCAATAAGCAAACTTCAACTCCAAATCTTGGTTTCTAAATATATTTTCCACAGAAGGATTCAGGGCTAGAGAAATGGCTTTTCCAGGTATGGGGCAGGGAAACAAAGTGAGCCTAGGGTAGCTTACTCTCTGGGGTACATGTCAAAAATACAGAAGAACCACCACAAAGGATTGACCAAATTTGGAATTATTTGAACATAAAAGAAAACATTGATTTAATTGAAATTCATGACTTTATATGAGTTTATAGGGACAGGAGAGAGAGAGGAAAAAAAAAAAAACCAGGGAGAGAGAGTCTCATTTGCCATTACTGTAGAGATTTTCACACCAACTCCTTGCTCTGTGCTATGGATTGAATTGTGTACCACTCCCTGCTACCCCCTAAATTCATAGGTTGAAGCCTTAACCCCCAAGGTGATGTAAAAATATTTGGAGACAAGACCTTTCCAAAGGTAACTAAGATTAAGACAGCTTATAAAGCCCTAAAGCAAAAAGACAAGTGTCCTTATAAGAAGAAGAGACACGAAGAGTGTGGACCCACAGAGGTAAGGCCATGTGAGGGCACAGCAAGAAGGTGGCCATCTGCAAGCCAAGGAAAGAGGCCTCACCAGAAACCAACCCTGCCACTTCCTTGATCTTGGACTTCCAGTCCCCACAACTGTGAGAAAATAAATTTCTGTTTAAGCCACCCAGTGTGTGGTATTTTCTTATGCCAGCCCTAGCAGACTAATACACTCTGAAAATTGGTATTTAAAGGTAAAAAAGAAATTCTTATCCTGGCTTTTTAGGAACACCTGTAGTCCATCCTGGTTGATGCATGAATGCTTGCCCTTCTTTACAGAGGCCTGTGATGACATCATTGAATCAGACAGGCAAGGGTCATTAGTGGATGCTAGAGCCATTAGCAAAAGGTTTGCTGGGGAACAAACAGGGATTCGCACTGTGCCAAAATATTACCCCAAGATTCAGCAGCCACCACCTTAGAGTTCACACTTTGCACCCCTAAATGTGAGCAACCTCCCATTAAGGGCCTTCTGATATGAGGAAGTCTGAAACATACAGCTTTTCCTCTAAAGTATTTTTGTTTAAATGTTTAACAATAGTCTACATGAGCTTTTAGGTCTAACTTCTAGTTCTAGTTTCCAGGGATACAGGGAACAGAGAACCATGTCAACCAACTCTCTGAGGAGACTAGAATGCAAGACATTATACCACTGGCTGGTCAGTGAAATGAAAATAAAAATGGACTGAAGCGGTAGTCTGTATTAATGAAATAAAACTGACTTAAGAAAAATGATTGGAGGCCAGGTGCAGTGGCTCACACCTGTAATTCCAGCACTTAGGTCAGGAGTTCGATACCAGCCTGGCCAACATGGCAAAACCCCGTTTCTACTAAAAATACAGGAAAATTAGCCAGGCGTGGTAGTGTGCACCTGTAATTCTAGCTACTCGGGAGGCTGAGGCACGAGAATTGCTTGAACCCAGGAAGCAGAGGCTGCAGTGAGCTAAGATCACGCCATAGCACTCCAGCCTAGGTGGAATGAGACTCTGTCTCAAAAGATAAATAAATAAAAATTTTAAAAATTATAAAATGATTGGAATATGGTAGCTGGGGATGGTGGCAGGCACCTGTAATCCCAGCTACTTGGGAGGCTGAGGTGAGAGGATCACTTGAACCCGGGAGGTGGAGGCTGCAGTGAGCCGAGACTGTGCCACTGTACTCCAGCCCGGGTGACAGAGCGAGACTCCAAATAAAAAGTAAATAAATAATATGGATTGCATATTAGATAATAATAGTGTATCAATGTTAAATTTCCTGAATTTGATACTTGGATCATGGTACTGTTGCCTTTTAAAAAGAACATCCTTATTTTTAGGAGATAAATCCTGAAGTATTTTGGGATACAGAATTGTAATGTTGACAGTTTACTCTCAAATGATTCAATATTAAGACAATAATATTGCATTAGTCAGGGTTCTCCTGAGAAACAAAACCAATACGGGACAGAGAGAGAGGGAGTGTGTGTGTGTGTGTGTGTGTGTTTGTGTGTGTGTGTCACAGAGAGAGAGATTTATTATGGAAATTGACTCGTAATTATGGAGGCTGAGAAGTCCCACAATATACTGTCTGCAAGCTGGAGAAACAGCAAAGCTGGTTGTGTAATTTCAGCCTAAGTCAGGAAACAGGAGAACAGGTGGAGGGAGGGGACCTGTAAGTCCTGGAGTCCAAACTCCCAAGCACAAGGAACTCTGGTGTGTGAGGGCAGGTAAAGATGAATGTCTCAGCTGAAGAAGAGAGAGCAGATTCACCTAGCTTCTGCTGTTTTGTTCTATTAGGGCCCTCAATGAATTGGATGAGGGTGGATCTTCTTTGGATTCGCTCTCACCCAGTGGATTCAAATGTTAACCTCTTCCGGAATCCAATATACACCCAGGAATAATGCTTTTAAAGTTTTCATTTTTTTTAAGTTTTTTATTTTTTGCTTCTTTATTGATTTATGTTTATTGAGAAGTTTTCACTATGTTGCCCAGATTGGCCTCCAACTCTGGGGCTCAAGCAATTCTCCTGCTTCAGCCTTTGGAGTAACTAGGATTCCAGGCACACGCCACAGAATTAATGTTACCAGCTATCTGGACATCCCTTGCCCCAGTCAAACTGACACATACAATTAACCATCACAAATATGTGTAGGGATAGATACATATTATATATTGTAATATATATTTTATATATACACACATTCAAAATAAATACAACTGAAACAATAAAAACTTTCAGACAAAAATACAAAACTTAATTTTAGCATTTTTTTCCTCATAGCAAAAAATTGGAAACAACATAGACACTTAACAGCAGGGAACTTGTGGAAAAAGTACACTCGCTTGTCAAGGATCTTTTAATCTTTTAATTTTTTTTTTTTGAGACAGAGTCTTGTGTTTTCTCCCAGGCTGGAGTGTGGTAGGCACAACCTCTGCCTCCCAAGTTCAAGTGATTCTCGTGCCTCAGCCTCCTGAGTAACTGGGATTACAGGCGCACACCACCACGCCCAGCTAATTTTTGTATTTTTAGTAGAAACGGGGTTTCACCATGTTGGCCAGGCTAGTCTTGAACTCCCAACCTCAGGTGATCCACCTGCCTCAGCCTCCCAGAGTGCTGGGATTATAGGCATGAGCCACCATGCCCAGCTCTTTTAATCTTTTAATATTACAAATAATAATAATAAATTTCTCAGTAGCATGCCATGCTGTTTGATAGCACTTATCTACTTCATGATCTGGCTGGCAGCCAGTCTCTATAATCTCCAGCGTTTGCTGGGGAGGTGTTCCTGGCCAGAGCTGCACCCCACCAGCCTGCCTAGGGCTCCAGCCCCTCCCCTGCTGTACCTGGGCTCAAGACCCAGCCCCACCTAGGCTCCTCACTATGTCTCTGTAGATTGCCCAGCTAAGACTAATTCCAGGGGCATTGGGCAGCACCATTCTGTGGTTCTTCTTACACACACACACACACACCCCTAACCACAGGCCATTCTGTCCATCCCAACTCCCTGCAGAAGAGGCTACATGCTGTGACCACCCTCTGCCCGGCTCTTCCGTGCTGCTCCCGCCAATTACCAGTGCTAAGGGAATTTCCAACTGAAGTAGCAAGTGTTGAAGTGATTTTTCTTCCCAGGTTGGGGAACCAAAATTGCCTGCCCAATAGCAAAGAGCACGCCGCTCTGGTGCATGCTATGGCCTTACACTGAACTTGAAGTTTCCTTTTGAAACTTTGACAGACACTTTGCCCTCTCTAATCTCATCCCACTTCCACCTGGCAAGGTTCCAGAGGGAAAGGTTTCCAAAGCCAGGAGCCTAGGGAAAGGAGTGGAGGAGACCCTTATAGGAGCTGGACTGGAATTTTAGTGTCTTTCTAGAGCTGAAAGGCACCCTAGAAATGGGCGAGGATGGGAGAGGGGCAGTTGCCTGCCCACAGCCACATATAATGGTGCTAAGATCCTTTCCCGGTGCACAGCTGTGACGGACACAGGCCTTGGCATCAGGCAGACCTCGGCACAGGTTCTGGCTCTGCCAGAGTCTACCTGCAGGACTTGTAATAACATGTTACCTTTCCCAGATCAGCAGGGATGAGTCCATGAGATACTGCAGGGAAGTTGCTTAGAGAGGCCTGGCCCCTGTAAGACCTGTGCTTCCGTCCTCACCTGCAGGCTCCTAGGGGTAAACTCCAGCTTGACAGAAAAGGCTGAGACAGCAGCAGGGTAGGCTCCCAGCAACTCTACTGCCTGGAGGACCAGTGATATAGGAGTTAAAAAGGAATTATTTAGGCAGATAGTGAAGGTAAGGAAGCCCTTGGTAAGGTTTTCCTTTTGATGAAAAGCAGCCCCCAAAATCATTTTGTTTTCTAACAAAGACCAGCCTGTAAAATCCAGCTGCAGATATAGACAAGGAAGCTGGAAGCTTGGACAGGCAAATGCTGACAGTTGTGCCAATAGGAAAATGCTACCTGGGAACAGGCATGTTCAAAATGGCGGCTCTATTTGCCGTTTTCTTCTCTTTGCCAGCCATGTATACAGTAAGGAGCTGAAAAGATGGTGCTAGCAGAGTAGAAAGTCCATTTGCATAATAAGATTGGGGGGAAAACCAGCCTTCCCCCACACACCATGTAAACATCACACCTGATCGAACCAATCTGTGGGCCCTATGTAAATCAGATGCCGCCTCCTCAAGCCTGCCTACAAAGTCTGGCGCAGTCCACCGAAGGCTGGCTTTTCCCTTTCGGACACCTCTCTCTCGAAAGAGAGCTACTCTCCTTTCTCCTTCCTTCTGCCTATTAAACTTTCTGCTCCTTAGCCCATTCATGTGTCCGTCTGTTTAATCTTCTTGGCGCAAGATGAGGAACCCCAGGTTTTTACCCAAAACAATTACGCTGCTTCGCCAGGAGAAAGGAACAGAGTTTCAGAGCCTACATAAAGGAATCTTGGAGGCAGTGTAACACCTATGGGTCTGAGGAAAGGCAGGTGCACCACCAGCCGCATCTGGAGGGGGGGTCTAGGACACTAGGCAGACAGAGAAATGGCTGCTTCCTGGGTGGGATCTGGTCCCCTAGGAAGACTTTGAGTTTGAGGAAGAGCCTCAGCCCCTGCAGAGGCTCTCCAAGCCTCTCCATCCAGCTGGGTTCTGACCACTCAGTCCTATCTTCCCAGGAAAAGAGACAGTCCTCCTGCTTCGTGAAAACCCCTTATAAATTAGTTATTTGGCCTACCTGGTACCAGCAGGCAGGATTCACTTGCTATTCAAAAGCCTTTAAGGAAATGTCCTGGGAGTGGCTTGGCTCAGGACAGCTGCGGAGTTTCCTCCCCCGCGACCTACTCACTCACCCACCCTGCCCAACTTCCAGCCCCTTGCGGCTCTGAGCAGCTTTGGGAGAGAACACACGGTGTTTAAGTGGCTGCCCACTGCCCTCATGAGCCTGCTGCCTGCCCGGCCTGTCCCCTTGGGGAGGGAGGGGATATGTCACACTACACTTCTGGCCTCACCTCAGCCAATATCTCCCCGGGGAGGTCGCCGGGCAGGGGCAGACAGCATTTTCAAGCAGTCACATGCCATACCGAGCAGGGGTCTCCCCCCACCAAGCATTCCTTAGGGAGGAAAAGCTGCATCCCAGTTGTCCACTTGGTTCCTCTTGGGGTGCTCGTGCTGGCGGCAGCATGCATGAGACTCCAGGAATCCCAAGTATGCAAGATCCCGGGAGGGCTTATGGCCTGCAGCCGAAGCCAAAGCCAGAAGACCATGCATGGTTCCCCTTCAACAGTCCAGGACGTTTCTCCCCTCAGGCCCACCACCCCCACAGTGTGCTTCCTGACTACCCTCTCTCTGGGAGAAGCTCCTACATCAGGGGCCCATGGAGCAGGGTTTTCTGCACCCAGGGAGCAGCCAGCAGAAGCCAGCCCACCGTCCTAACCCGGGAAAGTCACCCACCCTGATTCACCAGGGGTTGGGGGCACTGAGGGCCAGGACAGTTTTCACACTACTCCTCACTTGAAGTCTCCAGTATTTTCCATTTTGACCCAAATATCATTTTCCTCCATCTCTGCCTGTTGTGATAAACATCATCTGGTGCTCCCACGGAGCACAGTCTTGGCCTCTTCCAAGATGAAGAAGCAAAGATAAAAACCACACCTTCCTTAATAAATGAGTCCAAGATCCCCCGTCTGGAGATAGAGGGGTACTGCACACTTGTGAGAGGAACAGGAGGGTGATGAGCCCCTGGCTTTGTTTCCCACGCCCTTGTGGGTGTCTCACCAACAGAGCTTCCTGGGACACTGGGACAGAGAGACTGTAGGAAGCCCCCATGAGCACTGGCGGCTGGGGGCTGAGTGTGAACCCACACCCCTCCCCATGAGAACCCCTAGCACAGGCTGGGACATGTACACAGGACTCCCCAGAAGGCCAAGAAGCGACAAGAGAGGTCATAATCCCAGATTATCTAGCCCACAGGGTATGACCTCTGCAGTTTATCTTGTCACCATAGGCAGCATTTCCCAGATTCCCAGATGGTAAACATTATCTCCTGGGGTGGAGGAGGTGGTAGATTTATTGGGCAGGGGAATTTGACATTTTCAACAATTACTCTAGGTGGTTCTCATCTTCCTGGAATTTAGGAAACACTGCAGGAATTTCCACCACTTGACAGGGGCCCCACCTGAGCTCTGCATATGCTCTCAGGAAAGATCCTGGCTGATCGGCCGAACTGCCAGGTATCTCTTCCATGACCTAAGGCCAGTTCTGAGGTCTAATTCCCAGTTCCTGTCTCTGGACCCACTCCTTTCCTAAGACCTACCCTGGAATGATGGCCCCTTCGGGAAAGACCCACTGCCCACATTGCCTCAGTGCTCAACACAGCACCCATATCAGAAAACCAATGGCCACATCCACATGACTGGGGCAGGGGGCAGGCACCATAACTCTTCCTATCCCCACGTGAAACTCTCAGGTAGAAACTGGGTGAATATTGCCTGCCCCTCAGCTTTCATCCTCTGGTGGCAAGGGTGGGTCGTCCCACCTGAATTTGTAGACCTCATCACTATTGTATCTAAAGTGGGGCTATCAGACCTCCCAAAGCCATAGGAGGAAAATTTGGAGCAAGATTTGTAAGATTCTGTGTGCTGATGATAATGTCTGGTATTCTAAACCAAGTAACACACATGAAGAGATACTCAATATCATTGGCCATTGGAGAAATACAATTCAATGAAAAACTGCTTCATATCAAGTAGGATAGCTATACTTTTTTAAAAATAGAAAACAAGTGTTGGTGAGGAAATGGAAAAATTAGACCCCTCAACACATTGCTGGTAGAAACGTAAAATGGTGGAAAACAGGCTGGTGGTTCTTCCAAAACTTAAAGTTAACATGTGATCCGGCAATTCTGCTGCTAGGTGTATACCCTAAAGAATTGAAAACAGGTACTCCAACAAATACTTGCACATGTACGTTCATAGCAGCATCATTCACAATGGTCAAAAGGTAGACACAACCTAGATGTCCACCCATGGATGAATGGATAAACAAAGTGTGGTATATTCACACAATGGAGTAGTACTTGGCCATAAAAAATGAAGTACTGATATATGTTACAACATGCTAAATGAAAACATGCTAAATGAAAGACATCAGACACAAAAGGTCACATATTTATGATTCCACTTATATGAAATACCCAGAATAGGTAAACACATACAGACAGAAAGCAGACTGGTGTTTTCCAGGAGCTGAGGCATAGAGGAGGAGAAGGAGGGGCTGCTTAATGTGTGTGGGGTTTTATTTTAGGGTGATGAAAATGATTTGGAATTAGATAGAGGTGGTGGTTTGTATAACACTGTGAACGTATTAAAGGCCACTGAATTGTTCACTTTAAAATGGTTAATTGTAGGCTGGGCACAATGACTCACCCACTGAATATGGCAAAGGACTGATAGAAATGAAATAGACTTCCATAACCTGCAATCCCAACAGTTTGGGAGGCCAAGGCAGGAGGACTGCTTGAACCCTGGGAGTTGGAGACCAGCCTGGGTAGTATAGTAAAATCCCATCTCTATGAAAAATTTAAAAAATTAGCTGGGTGTGGTGGCACTCGCCTGTACTCCCAGCTACTCAGGAGGCTGAAGTAGGAAGATGGCTTGAGCCCAGAGTTAGAGGCTGCAGTGAGCTGTGATCGCATCACTGTATTCCAGCCTGGGCAACAAAGTGAGACCCAGTCTCGAAATACATACATACATACAAACATAAATTGTTCATTGTATTATGCAAATTTTACCTCAATAAAAAAGCTAACAAACCTAAGAAAAACAAGGCACAGTCCACCGAGGGGGCTTTCAGAAGCTGTCATCCTCTGCCAGCACCGTGCTAGGAAAAGAACGCGTCTTGCTGGGGGTAAATGATTTGGCCCAGCTCTGCTGCATGTGATTTCAGCCCCACAATAAACATTCTCACACTTTCAGCATTTTCAAAGCTGGGAGGTTTGAAGACTTCAGCTTCAGTCTCAGGTTTGCTGAATACTGTGAAGGACTGATGGAACCGGAGTAGATTCCATAACCAGAAGATCAAACTTATTCCTGAGCCTGGCAACCCCCTTGCTGAAGTTTACTAGCATAGCATATAAATGTAAAATACCCAGTTACAAACCCCAACACTGAGCCATTAAAAAGGTTCTTGATTAATATGAGGACTCATAAATGCTTAAAAGTAATTCTACCTAGAAGTTTCAGCTCAGGCATTTTAAACAGCGGCAGAAGGAAGTTTTGTTCTAATTTTTAAATGTGAATAATTAACCTCCCAGGAGGAAAAATAGCAGAATTTTAAGAGCAGTTCAAGCCAATAAATGTCCAATTTAAAAATAGATTAGTACTGCTGGTACCAACTGCCACCCTGACTTATCTCAGTGGCAATTAACATGAAATCAGTCATTACTTCAGTCAAACTGTTGGAGCCTGCACGCCCCTTTGCTCTGCTTTCAGGCACTTAAATGCTGGAATGAACCAATTTGGGGGAGATTATGGCTTGTGTAAAAGGCATTAAAAAATTCACATTTTTGCTACACTAAATGTTGTTACCAAAAAAGCTGTTACTACAGATTTCGTATTCTAAAAATCAGTTTCTTCCAGTTGGAAATACCATTAGTCATTATTTCTTAAGGTTTAGATCTAGCATTAAATAAATACATATTAACACACCCAACTATACAACAGGCTTTGGCTAGCAGTATCCTTATAAGAATAAAAAAGCAATGGTTCAGTCAGTTTTGTTCTAATATGTCATCATACAGAAAGGCAAATCCTTCCTGAGCCTCTTGAGGAGAACCTAGTTGCCAAAGTGTTCCTAGAAATTTCCTGTCAAGAAATTTCACTATAAAGAGACTCCAGGGTATGAACATGCTTGTGACTGCCCCAGCATAAAGCCTCCCTAATCGTCTTCTTTCAAAAGCAAAGAAAAGAAAAGGGGAGTAAGAAGAGGAGAAAAGAGGAGGGGAGAGAAAGAGAGAAGGGAAGAAGAGAAGAAATAATAAAGAAATGAAGGGAGTAATCTTGTTTCTCTGTTTCAGAAGCAGCTAACCCTGGAGAGAGAATGGACCAAGCTAAACATTAACCATTGCTGCTGGTAGGCCTCTGACAGCACAAGGTGGTGAGCCTGTCTTTCAGAAACCAGCTAGCTGGGTTCAAAACCAAGCCCATCATGTAGAAGCTATGTGACCTTGAAGAAGTTAATTAGACTCTCTGAACCTTTGGTTCTTTATCCACCAATAAAAATAATCTCACCTACCACCCAGGGTTGTAGGTCCAAGTGTATAATGTACAAATGAATAAATTAAGACAGTCTCACTCCTGTTGTCATTCCCTTGTCATTGAAAAGACATTGAGTACAAATGGATAGATGCTATCCAAAGAGGACACGTTCAGTGCCTGGACCATGGGCACTTTGCCCCTCTCCATGGTCTGAAGCACTAATGGCTGGAATCTAACCTGGAAGGTTGGTTACCCTTGTTGATGCTGTAGCAGGAAAGTCAGAATATAGCCAATGCTATTGTATTTTTTATTTAAAAAAAATTAAATAAAATAGTGATCCATTGCATATAAAACTGAACTAGAGTCCATAGTTTACGGTGGGGAAGGCTCAGAAGATAGAGGCAAGAATGTAGCTGCAGCATTTTCTTTTTCTTCATATCTAGGAGGCAATTCAGATGGAAGATGTGGAGTGTGTGAGGCCTCAGAAGATGAATTCGTCCCAGAAATGGTATATATAGATTCACAGTCTCTTTCAGAGGCTGCACCCTCTGAAGTTGGGGTCCTGCTAAAGAGAAGGAGAGAGAACATGAAGGGGAGGGGATGAAAACAGTGACACCCCTTTAGTACTAGGTTCTTTTCAAATGTTTGATTACATGCACTTAAGAGTATTTGCAAGAATCTGAGGAGTAATTTCTCCCTCACTCTACTTTTCATAGATTTGTTTTGATTTCTTACCTCTTCCTTTTCCTAGAGCTGAGTGTAACATTAAGACAGTCTCACTCCTGCTGTCATTCCCTTTGTCATTGAAAAGACATTGAAAACAAATTTACAGACACCATCCAAAGAGAACATAGACACACACACACACACACACACACTTACTGTTCTCTGCTATTCTGTCTTCTGGGACAGCTAACATAAGGTAGACAAACTTTTGCATATGGAAAATTAAAACATTAAGCCACAAACCTGAAGGACGGCAGGAAGGCATATTGGCTAATGGAGTGGGCTCTAACAAAGGCCAACCTGCACTGGAATCTACTCTGCTGCTTCCCAGCTGTGTGATCTTGGGCAAGTTAGTTAACATTGCTAAAGCTCAGTTTCCTTATCTTGAAATGAAGATGATAACATTCCTTTCTCCTAGACTGGATATGGGAGTTACATAAACTAATGCAAGAAAAGCCAGACCCTAGGACACAGAAATCATAGTAGCAGCAGCAGTAGTTTAAGTTACTAGACACTGATTTTAGGGTTTGGGGAAGTTTATCATTAGAAGAAAAAAAATACAAACATTCACGATGAGAATTCTACAGAGGTCCAGCCCTAGCCTGCCCTTTCTCCATGCAGGGCCGTTCCCACATGCACCTCCCTGGATCCCCCCATCACGACCCCATATGAAGCTGTAAAGCCAATTCTGTCCTTGTCAGCCACCTCTTTCCCTCTCCCATCAGATAACCTGTCCCCCTGCTTTTGTGGGAAAAGAATCTCTACACAACTTCATTCCCTCCAGGCCCCAGAGAAAAGGCACCCTGGCCCCTGCTCCAAGGCCCACTGCCTGCTCTGTCAAGGCAGGGTGGAGAGGGAGTTCCTTAAACACGAATAACAAGGTAAGGTGGTGCTATCCCCAGCAATGAGCACCAGTCTCTCTGTGCCTGCTGCTCACTGCATGCAAAAATGCACATATCTCATTGTCTTACCTGCTTCACCCTGTGACAATGTGAAGCAATTCTTCCTTCCCTTCCTAAACCCTGGTTTCCCATTCTAGAAGGTACCACCAGAGCCTTCTCCAGCCCTGCTCCCTGAGCACACCATTTCTGGGGTATGCACAAGCCCCTCCTGGGGGTCTCCCACTAGTCCCTGACTCTTTGCCCTTCTGGTTCTCCAACAACCTCTGCAGCTCCATCTCCATCACCTCCTCTCTCTCCCAAAACCCAGCCCTTCCCAGTCTGCCTCCAAGGCCCTCATCTCACTGTACCGCCACCATCAGCCGCCCACCATCCTTTCCCCACCGAAACCAAGCTCATCACTCACGTCTTCTCAGTTGGGGACCTCTGAGCTTCCCTGTCACTCACCCTGGAACTCATCATCTTCGCCTCTTCCTCAATGTCATTCTCCATCCAGACCCCCTCCCCCAGGCTCCTGGCACCTCAGGCCCGTCCCACTAGAGCCTGCCTCGCTGCATTCTGTGTGGGGTGGGTATTGACCTGATATTCTCTGCGGCCCAGGGAAGGAGCGAATATTGAAGGAGAGGCCCAGTTGTGTTGGATCGGGGCTCAGGCTGACTTTAGCCAGTCACCCAAGCACGGCCATCAGAGTACTAAAGCCCTTCTGTAACTGTTGGGGATCCCCTGAGACCCTCACACCTCTCCATGATCTAAAGCAGTGAAGCCTAGCATAGCAGGGGCCTCCTGGCCCAGTCCTGGTGCTCAGTCTGATTGGTGGGTCATTAAACATTCTTTTTTTTCCCCCTGAGATAGAGTCTCTCTCTGTTGCCCAGGCTGGAGTGCAGTGGCGCGATCTCGGCTTGGAGCAGAAGAATAGGGTGTGGAGGCAGGGAATCTACGGCCGTTTCACGCTGACTTCCTAGAACTAAATTGAAAGGAAAACCCTAACTTTCCACCCCTGAGTAACAAAAGGACCAAAGACTACTCCCTTTGCAAACACCCACCTTTCGGCAGATGGGAAATTGAAAGTGCCTCTAATTGGTTGCTTTTTGCAACCAATCAGACATTTGCATAGGACAACAACTTTGTAACTTCACTTCAGCCTCTGATTGGCTGCTTTCTGCAACCAATCAGACGGATTGTGGGCCACCACTTCATTTACATGAGGTGAACACAAAGTGGCCAATGGGAAACCTCTAGGGGTGATTTGGACCCAAGAAGATTCTGGAACTGGGCCCTTGAGCAGCTGTTCAGGCTTGCTCCCACCCTGTGGAGTGTACTTCCATTTTCAATAAAATTTTGCTTTTGTTGCTTCATTCTTTCCTTGCTTCGTTTGTGCATTTTGTCCAGTTCTTTGTTCAAAACACAAAGTACGTGGACACCCTCCGCCGGTAACAGGCTCACTGCAACCTCTGTCTCTTGCGTTCAATCGATCCTCATGCCTCAGCCTCCCGAGTAGCTAGGATTACAGGTGCCTACCACCATCCCCAGCTAATTCTTCTATTTTTCGTAGAGACAGGGTTTTGCCACGTTGGCCAGGCTGGTCTCAAACTCCTAAGCTCAAGTGATCCACTCACCTTGGCCTCTCAAAATGCTGGGATTACAGGTGTGAGCCACAGCACCCGGCAAGGGTTGTTAAACATTCTGAGTATCACCCCTGTTAGGAGCACATAAAGATAGATGCCTGGAGTAGGCTTCATATTAACCCAGCATGATCACTTTATCATTTTTAACTTATGTGCTGCCCAAATTTCGGCAAAGGTACTGTTAATATCAAGACACTAATTCTGACATAACATCAGCAAAAAAGATACTCACACTTGAATGCCTCCTGGTGAACCACACAGCCTTAATACTAGTGTGGCCTGAATTCAGGCCTCTCTTGAAGTTCAAATTGAAATTCTTACCCATAGTTGAAAATACTGTAATATGAAGGGGGGTTTTCATTCGGAAGCAGACTGTTAGTTCCAGGACTCTCAGCGACCGCAGAAGCTGAAGATTCAGGAAAGTAAGGTGGTGGAGGGGGTGGAAATATTATTACCGAGTCACCTAAGGCAAAACAATATTTAGTTGACAACAGGTGGGTAATAAATGGAAGCAAATTAGCAAAAGCAAAATTAATTATATATTTGGCCCATCTATATAAAAGGTCAACACACCTGCTGCTAACTCCAAAATTTAAAAGTAAGCCCATTAAATGTATAGAGATAGAAAAGTAGACTAGGTTACCAGGGGCTAGGAGGGGTTCGGGAGGAGGAAGGGAGTGGGAATTGCTGTTTGGTGAGTACAGAGTTGCTGTTGGGGATAATGGAAGAGTTCCAGAAATTGATGATGATAATGGTTGAACAACATTGTGACTGTATTCAATGCCACTAAACCATTTAAAAACGGTTTGGCTGGGTGCAGTGGCTCACACCTATAATCCCACCACTTCGGGAAGCTGAGGAGGAAGGATCGCTTGAGCCCAGGAGTTGGAGACCAGCCTGGGCAACACAGCGCTATCTCATCTCAAAAAAATTAAAAGAAAAAATTTAGCCAGATGTGGGAGTACACGCCTGCAGTCCCAGCTACTCGGAAGGCTGAGATAGGAGGACTGCTTGAGCCCAGGAGTTCTAGGCTGCAGTGAACTATGATTGTACCACTGCACTCCAGCCTGGGTGACAGAGCAAGACCCTGTCTTAAAAAAAAAAAAAAAGCCAGGCGTGGTGGCTCACGCCTGTAATCCCAGCATTTTGGAAGGCCGAAGCGGGTGGATCACTTGAGGTCAGGAGTTCAAGACCAGCCTGGCCAACACGGCGAAACCCTGTCTCTACTAAAAATACAAAGAAAAAACAATCAGGCAGGCGTGGTGGCAGGCGCCTGTAATCCCAGCTATTCGGGAGGCTGAGGCAGGAGAATTGCTTGAACCCGGGAGGCAGAGGTTGTGGTGAGCCAGGATCATGCCACTGCACTCCAGCCTGGGTGACAGAGTGAGATTCTGTTTCAAAACAAAACAAAACGAAACAAAAAGCAGTTTAAATTGTTTATGCTTTATATATATATATATATATATATTTTTTTTTTTTTTTTACCACAAATTTTTTAAAAGTAGGCCTACATTTCAGAATCCAGAGTGCTGACAATTATGGTATGAAAGCAGGTCTATATTTTGTAGCAAGTCTAAGACCAAGCCTTTTTGTGAATTGTTTGCTAACAAGCTCCTTTCCCTCCTCTGGGGTGTCTACTGCTGAAAAAGCTTTTCTCGTTTTCAGCCTACAACTTTAATTCACAAGTTAGCTGTTGGCTAAAGTGCCTTGTTCCTCAAATGTAGTTTCAGCCCCTGAGCAAATGACAGTAAGCCATATTACAGCCCCTAACTGTTATTTACCAAAATTTCACCCATACAGATGAAGGTTGAACCCAAAGAAGTTTGGTTTTTGCATTTCTGTGGCTACTGTTCACTCCAGAATACATCCTCATGTTTTGAGGAGAAACTAGGGACCAGATGCAAACTCTAATTTGTATTCCGATTCCAATATAAAATGCACCACACAAGTGGACCAGAACAGTGTAGAGCTCTGGCAGCACCACTGCTGGGGGCCTGGTGAAAGCCTCTGAGAAGCTGGCAATAGCAATAACAGTTCAGAAAAAATGAAGAAGATGGGGCTTTACTTCCCTGTAGTGGTTCACACTCCTAGCATGTCTGATGCTTGCTTAGGGTGGCATAGGATTCTTTAAAGTGATGGGGGTTCCAACCTGAACAAGCTAGGCGACCTCCTTGACCTCAGCCGCCACAGCTGTAAACTGCAGGCCAGGCAGTTCTTGCATCACAGGACAGATAGAAGGAAGGACTAGATGGACTGATTTGCATCTGGCAGTGAACACAGTGCGGAGCACAGAGCCAACTCTCTCAGCTCAACACCAGCCGAGGGCACTGATTTGCATGATGAAGAAACACCACAGAGGCAATTGGCCACTGGCTCCACTCTCTACCCTTCATGAGCCACAGCAGCCTCAATCATTTCCCAGAGGGAATTTAGCCCTTCAGAAAATGCATTAATTCCATCTCCCCTTCCTTCTCCAAGGAGAAGGCAATGAGAGTTTAAAATACGTTTTGCTAATCTAAAGGTGAGAAAGCATAATAGCGGTCCTGAGATTCTCATTTACTTTTTTAGAAGGTCTTGGTAGGTTAGAGGAATTGGGGTTGTGTTCACTTCCATTACACACTGTAGAATAAAGAACCTGTGAAGTAACCCTTGAGGGCAGGCCAATCACCTCTCAAAAACACACAAGGATATGCTCCAGTAACCCTGTTACCTCCAAGGGTCTCCAGCCCTTTGGCCCAGCAGCTCCGCCTGCCCACACCCTGCAACCTGCTCTCCCTGGAAAGAGGCCTCTCCTCTGCGAGTTCCCTTTCATGCGTCTTTCAGAACTTGATGTCCTCTGTGAGCAGACAACATATACACCCCTCCAAGGAGAGCTGTCTCATATACCTGCTGTGTATCCAGGATAGCACTGAGTGTACCCACAACAAGGAGAGCATGCTTCTTGGATTCTAAAAATGTAAACCCTATTCCACAATATCAAAGGAGAGGAATTAGGATGCAAGATTTTCATAGGTTTGATGGGGACTTAAAGAGTTAAGTAGAAAAGATTTTAAACCATGCAGTGCCAACTTCAGGACAAGGACACCAGGAGCAGCACCACAGCTCTGTCCACTCTGATTCCAGCTACCAGGTGGAAGGCTGGGCCCCAAAACTCCCCTCGAACCGTTCCCAACTAGATGAAAGCATAGCAGCGTTGGATGAACATATTTACTTGTACCCCACGGTGTTCCTCAAGAACACTAAGAACATCTATCAAATTAAAGGGAGCCCCTTTTTTCATGTAATAACTTCCAGGAACACTTGGTGAAGGATAAAATGGAATCACACCCACGTGCCCTGGGCAGGGTGCTATGCAAGGGCTATTCTGTGGGTGTGCCCAGACACTTGGGTTGGAACCTTGCTCTACCACTTGCTAGGGTGTGACCTTAGGCAAGTCACTTGATATCTACATGCCTCATCTTCTTCCTGTGTAACATGGAGGTACTAACGTTATCTGCCCCCTTGGATTGCTGTAGGTGTGAATGAATTTCACACAGGGGACCTTTAAGAGCACATGATAAAGCACTTAAATGGGTGTTTGGCACAAAAATAGACCCTATATAAGTGTTAGCTATTGTGAATATATAACTAATATTTGTGTTGTCACCATAAATATATTAATGCATAAATATATTAATAAATAAGCTGGGAGCATCTACCCTGGCTCTACACAAGGAATGGCTGCAGATCCATCTGCCCCTCCTCTCCAAGGCTGGTGCCATGCAAGTCCAGCAACCCAGTTCCTCCCCTCCAGGCTGCAGTCAGTGAATTCCACTGCTTCCAGTAGACAGCCCCAAACAGGAGATGCATCTCACTTGTCACATTCCCTCTCTGTCCTCTCCATGGTTTCTGTTCTGAAGATCTCTTTTCCTAGCCTTTTAAATGTCAGTGGTTTCACAACTTTACTCTTTCAAAAGTAGGAGACTGAAAAAAAGTGATCTGCCAATGAACAGCGATGGGGTTTTTCCTTGGTTGTGTGAAGCTGAGGCCAACGCTACTGCTATTGTTCTGAGGGGGCAGGCTCTGGGAAATGGCACTCCATCTCTTCTGTAGAACCCGGGGGACCCAAAAGGAACTTGTAGGCATTCCACGGGAGAAAGGTGCTGTCATATTCCATCTTGGTTCATCCCGCTGCTTCCAAGCTTTGCCTCAGCCCTGCAGCCACGGATGATGTCACAAAAAAAGAAGGACAACACAGAGACAGTGCAGAGGCCCCTCAAAACACCTGGAGACTGCTGGACTCAGACAGATCCAGAATCCTAGAATGTTAGTGCTGCAGGAATCTTAGAGAGGCACTGCTCATTTTATAGAGACATAAACCAAGGCAGGAGAGGTTAAGGACTTACAAGGACAGCCAGCTAGTGACAGCCTGGGAGGAGAAACCAAGTGTCCCACAACTAAAATGCTATGTGGTTTTGGTGTGAGAATAACAGGGGTAACAGGGTCACTTAGTGAGTCCCTAAGGTGGCAGAAGGCTCCAAGGCTGTCCTCATGGTTCTTCTCACTTTCCTCTTAATTTGCTCTGTGACCTCAGTCAAGGTCACTACTTAATATCCCAATGCTTTGCAAAGTAGGAAAGAGTTGCTGGGGGGGAAAAGATGTATACAAGGTTCCTACGGGGCTTCCCACAGCAGCACCATTGTGTATGTACACATGATGGGGGTGTGTGCGTGTGCACACACATGTGTGAGAGATGGAAGAATTGAGAAAGAGAATCCAGACGAGAACCAAGAGCAGCTGGTGAAACCCTGCTGCAAAGCCACTGTGATAGAAGCAAGAACGCAAATAACAGCAACCCACCTACAGTGACCTGGACAGGCTCCATAATCTGGATCTGTCCCTCTTCTCTCTCAGAGGCATCCTGGCCAGCATTCAGCGTGTTTCTCTTCTTAACATGGGCAACCACGAAGAAACACAATCCCACAAGCACAATCAAGGGCCCCATGATCTGCAGAGAAAGGAACCCACACATCCGGGGCTCTGAGTCGCCAGTGTCTGTCTCGTTTAGCGGTTCCTGCGCCCAGTTGGAGCCACATCCAGGGACCCAAATGCCCAGGACGCTGATGAGCATGCCGCTTGTCAAGAACAGAAACCCAAAGATAAGGCACTGGGCAAACTGGCGGCTCTCTCCACAGATGAAGGCTCGGTCGGGGTCCATCTGCTGACCTCTCTGCAGCCCTGCACGGAGCTGAAGTTGCGCCCGGGAGCGGGCCAGGATCACAGCCCCAAGCCCAACCACGGCACATGCAGGCCCCGCCACCTTGAGCACCATGGGGCAGTCTGGGAGGGGCTTATATTGGCATGCCTGGAACCCAAAGATGGAGAGCAGGACTCCCACACACAACAAGACGGCGCCGAAGACAAAGAAGCAGAAGATGAGTTTGCTGACGTGTCTGTCCTGCTGGTCCCCATCTGGCTCAGCAGCAGCTGCAGGAGACATGTCCAGGAGAGGCCCCTTCCCGGAGGCAGGGTGGGATGTGTTTTCTTCCCTCCAAGATTTCAGCAGCTCTGCAAACACAACCAAACACCAAATTAACGTGGGCACAGGTGTTCCAGAACCACCCTGGTTTTTTGCTGATCATTTCTGAAATCACACCACAATGAGGCCTTGGGGGTAGAACTTTATACAACTGATAAGCTGTAGAACAATGAGTTGGTTTATGAGTCAGATAAACTAGCATTCAGAAACTCCTAAATATGTAATTTTACAAGATATTCAAAACAGGAAATTAAATTACTACACATCTAAGGGTATCTTTTTTAAAAACTGAAAGAACAAAAGTAGCTGGGTGTGGCATTTCCTTTTCTGAGTCTTACAAACTCATTTCCCTGGGGAAAAAAGCACTGGTGAATGAGGGAAGAACCACAGGGATTCTTTCTGATTGCAAATGCCCCACTTTTCATCATAGCTGCTCTCAGCATTTTCAAGTCAGTTCAGTAACTAACTTTCCATTTCCTGTTTTAGACTACAGCAGCTTTCCATTTCATGTTTTATTCTAAGGCTACATCTACAAAAGACCCAATTTCAGCAATTTCAATAGAATAAGAAGTCTGTTCAGGAACACAGTGGGTTTGGTGGACTTTTAAGTTGATTCTATCAAAATGTGGTTCTTGAGGCCAGGCGTGGTGGCTTGCGCCTGTAATCCCAGCACTTTGGGAGGCAGAGGCAGGCAGATTGCTTGAGCTCAGGAGTTCGAGACCAGCCTGGGTGACATAGCAAAACCCCATCTCTGCTAAAAATACAAACTTTAGCCAGGCATGGTGCCTGTGGTCCCAGCTACTTGGTAGGCTGAGGTGGGAGGATTGCTTGAGCCCAGGAGCTGGAGGTTGCAGTGAGCCAAGATCACGCCACTACTCTCCAGCCTGGGCAACAGAGTGAGACCCTGCCAAAAACAAAACAAAACAAAACAAAATGGTTCTTGGGTTCTCAACAAGCACAGACTGGTGACCCAGTTGCTTGGATCTGGGATGACCCTGGAAAGTGTTGCACAGCAGGTCAACAGGAGCTCAATTTTCAGAGTGGACAGGTACCCAAAGGCTGGTGTGGCCTCTCACTCACCCTCCTCCATGGTGTCACCTACTTCCACAAAGAGGTTGAGACTCAGTTAAAAAACAAGCAGCCAATAAAACTGCTAGTTATAAAGCACAAAATGGGTGGAAGGGGGGAACTTGGCTTTGAAAGAATAGTATAAGTGGAATCAAGTGAGAAAGCACCTTCCAGAAAATCACCCAAGCCCTGTACTTCAGGGGTATAATATATTAAATATGCCAAGTGGTTGTTAAAGAGTTGTCTAGCTTACACAGAGCTGACCTAATTATCTCGTTATCTTATTTTACTCCAATGAATGGGATATTTTACCAGGACCCCGTAAGTCAGGTCCTGCAATTGCAAAGACAATCCAAAATCGTGAAGACTATTTTCACCTGCCCAAGGAAAGAAAACTTTTAAAATATTTTGTGCCGCTCACATCCATGGTCCCATGAAGGAACTCAAGACTGAGGCCCTAAGCCCAAGATGATCTTGACAAACCAAAATCACACTGAGGGAAGGTCAGTTTAGGTAAAGAAAGCAAACAGGCAATCTTACACTGGGAAAAACTTTTCCAGGAAAAAGTATGATAGAATCAGAAGGAAGTTGGAGAAAAAAAGGAAATATAGGAGGGAAAAAAGCTTTCATTTCAAACTTGGAAAAACTTGATATACAGATGCAGTTAAGCTGAGACAAAGCATTGCACTAATTTTTTAATCTTCCCATTTTTTATTAAGTCAGTAACATCCTGCAGTGAATAAGAATTTCATATTGAGTATACAGTAGTCCTCATTTATCCTACAGGGAGTACATTCCAAAACTCTCAGTGGAATGAAACGATGGAGAGTCCTGAAACCTATATATATTGGTTTTTTGTTATTGTTGTTGTTTTAATTTTTTTCCTGAATCATGCAATCTCTTTTGCGGTTTCGGAGACAAGAAAGAGAAGGGTGATTCTCGGCTGCAAAGTCCTATCAGGAATTCATTTATTCCCAGTATAGTCAACTTTGCAGTGAGTCACAAGGCTTCAACTGTCTTAAGGCAAATTCCCAAACACCAGTAAATAGAAGCCCAAAACTGAATCTGTAGTTTCTTGTCCGTGGACTAGTGGACGGAGCACCTGGCTGAGTGTTCACCTCTGATCCATAATAGTGTGGAAATACTCTCTCTCTCTCCTTCTCCCACAGATGCACTCACAAACGGATACAAAGACACCCACATTCACTCGCAATGAAACCTTTTCCAAACACCACCCTACACTTAAACTCCCCAAAGCCAAACTCCCCTCTCCAACACTCCTATTGGTTTTCCAAAAGACATTTCCAAAATTCACAGCACCTCTCCACGTCCAAAGCTATGGTGCGTTTGGGGAACGAAACGAGAGGCAAATGCCTTCTGTGCGAAATCGGTTTGCGGCTTTTAGGGAGCCCGAGCGCAAGCAACAGCCGGAGGGGCTCGCAGGGACGCAGGTTGGGCTCGGATACCCAGCGCCTCCGCGCTGCCGCGGCTCCCCGCGCCCAGCCTGGCCGCACAGCTCAGCGCCCGACCCGCCGCCGCCGGCGCAGGCGCGCGGGCCGGGGCAGCTTACCTGAAGCTGGGTCCGGCGCCTGGCTGACCGCGCTGCTGTGGGCACTGGCTGGGCGCGGCGTCCGCCTCCGCACGCGGCCTCGGCTGCGCCGGCCGCCCTGCACCCTACCCACCGCGCGTCCTGGTGCGGAGGGCGGACCCGGCAGTATTTAGAGAAGGAGGCGGTGCTGCGCGGGCGCGGCGGCCCGGGGAGGGCAGGGCAGGGCAGTGCAGGAGCGACCGGTGGGAGCTGGCCGCCACTGGGGGCCCGGGGCGCGCCCGCGAGGGAATGGAGAGCCAGGGGCGGCTTCGGAACCCAGGGCTGGCGGGTTTGGCAGCCTCCGCGCTCGTGGCCGTGCGCGCGAGGAATCTGGGAGAAATGGGCACCTTCCACGGCTGCCTGGCCCGCACACCTGGCGGGGCCGGCGAGTTGAGATGCCCCCGCCGGCTGGCGGAACTGTGCGCCCCGCCCGCCGAGGCCCGCTCCCCCTCGAGGCCTGAGGCCCAGTTCTATAGGGGCGCGAGAGAGCGGCGGCGTGGGGGGCGCGGAGGAAGCGCCGGCCCCCGCCTCCACCGCCTCCTTCGTGGTTGCGGCCCAGGCCGAACAGGGTACCGTGCCCCGGCCGCCTTGGCCTTGGCCACCGCGAGGTCCGGGGCGACTACACCCAGCAGCCCTGTGGCCCTCCTACTGCTCTGGAGACCTGGAGTGGGGTTACAGAGGGAAGCGACTCGCTGCGAGCTCCCCATCGAATATGGAGCCACCAGGTCACGGGACGACGTGCGCTCTACAGAATGTGAGACAAGGGCCCTCCACACCCAGCCATTCAGGCCTGAGGTCCTGGCTCCGAGACTGAGGCCGAGACGCGGCAAGCCCCGCGCCGGACCAGCTCTGCCCCTCCCGCACCCACGTGTCTGCGCACAGCCCTCCTTTGCGATAGAACCCCCTTCCTGGTTCTCCACCACTAATGATCTGCCGGAATTAAACTGGTAACTTTCCCTGCCCTTGAACCGGGAGTTTCGGGATGAGTTTGCCAATCCCTGTGCTATTTGTAACCAGCCCCGTGACACGTGATACGGATCCAACTGTGCTAGTTTCCACACCAGGGGTCAGGGCACGGTGGAAGGTGAGTCAAGGGTTCTCTGCCCAAGCGCAGAGGTGCCCTGAGCCACGGGGACTTCCCAGCCCTGCCTTCTCTTCTCAGCTTCCTGTCTGCCTTGCCTGAAACCCTATCTAGAGTTAAGGCCAATGGATGAAACTTTTCAATGTGCAAGCAAGCACTTTACCTACCTGATACAACAAGAGATTCCTGGTCATGCTCACTGAAGGTAAAGTATGAAGCAGGCTTAGCTAATCATCAGAGGTGAGAAGAGACTTAAAGAACCAGTCAGAGAGGTAAAGAGGGGAGGGGGTTACCTGGGCTTTAGGGTTCACCAGGGAGGCAGAACGGACAAGTTCTTGCCATTGGAATTTGGTGGGGCACTTGCCTGGGTGGCCAAAGGTGGACTTTTTCATAGCCAGGGTGCCCGACCTCTGTAAATCCCCGCCATAACTAACAGCCCTGATTACTGTCGAAATGAACAATGCCAACACTCACGACCCCTTGCTTTGTGGTTCTTTGCTACATCTCTCCAGCAGTTCAGAAAAGGTTGGAGGCAGCAGGGGACAGGAGACTGAGAAAAACAGTCATTTGTCAGTTGAGGAAACTGAGGTCCAGGCTGACAGAGGTAAAGTAACCTCTGCAGCTGGTTGACATGCAGAGAAGGCCTGAGCCAGATGCAGATGCGCTGACCATTCAGTGTTTCTCCCGCAGCACACCTGTCACTCAGAGAACACACCATGCTGTGAACCCAGAAAACGCCCTCATGGCCTTGTGATGCCAAGCACGTTTAGATTATTATAACAATACAGGCACTGTGTCCCAAGGACATTGCAGTAATCTATGTTTGGGGTGGAGATATCCTTCCTGGTCCAAGTGTCAAGGTATACCACCTTCTGGAAGGGCACCAAAGCATGTCCAGCGAATGGGCAGATACCCAAGAGTGGATTGTACAACAGCAGGCACTGGCTTTCTAAGAACTCAGGCCCTCATTATAGGATTTGTCCCCTCTGACACAGGCCTGTGAACAACTCTTCATTGTGCAAAAGGGTTTCCTTGTCCTTTCCCTACTCATTCTTCCCTTCCCCCTTATTTGAAACTGAATCTCTGGCCATGTCATGTGCAGGCCTGCAAGGGGCCTGTTGATACAGCTGCCCCTCTGGTGCCACATGACTGCAGGCTCACCACCCATGACAGACTTGAATATCCTGGCACCAAGGACAATCAGATTAGCCTCCACTTGGTATATCTGCTGTTCTCACTGTTTGTGTCTATGAGAGCCTGTTTGACTAAATTAAACTCCTTGGAAATTGATCATCGATTATGTATGAAAGACATACCCACCAGCCTTTGAGGTACTTATCTTTGTAGCCCACCTAGCCTTAGGAGAGAAGCTGCGTGGCCTGGTCACTATCTAGTGGTCTTCCCTGGCCTGTGTGGTAGTGAAAAAGATAAAAGCCAGACCGAATCCTTAGAAAAACAGCATCAGAACAAGATTAAAAACCTCGAATTCAGTGACTGTAGAAGCATAAAGCAGAGGCATGTGTTCATGTATTTAGCCAGCACAGATTTACCAACTACCAATAAAACACGGAACTTGTATTTTATTGAGGAGAAAGGCAATAAAATATGTAAGTTATACAGAGAATTAGAAAGTGATTGAGTGCCAGGGAGAACAATAAATCACAGATGGGGACTGGGGAGCACCCCATTTTAAATAGGGGAGTTAAGGAAGGCATCTCTGAGAAGGTGAGATTGCAGCAAAAACTTGAAGGGAATGAGGAAGCAAGTGTATCAATGATCTATTATTGCATAACAACTTACCCCAAAACTTTGAAGTTTGAAACAGCAAAAATGTATTCTCAGGGTTTCTGATCAGGGTCAGAAACTGCAAGTGGCTTAGCTGGGTACTTCTGGCTGAGCCTCTCAGAGGCTGCAGTCTAGCAGTTGGCCAGGGCTGTGGTCATCTGAAGGCTGGACTGGGGCTGGAGGATCTGCTGCCAAGGTGGCACATTCACAGGGCTATTGGCAGGAGGCCTCAGTTCCTCACTATGTGGATTTCTCCACCCAGCCTCCCCTCACGTGAGTGATCCAAGGGAGAGCAAACAAAGGGGAAGCTGTGGTGCCTTTTCTGACGAGGCTCTGCACTTCCATACCATCACTTCTCTTTATTCTGGTCCTTAGAATTGAGTCACAAAGTCAAGGGGAATGGGATTAGGTGCCACCTCTTGTAGGGAAGAGTAAGAATTTGTAAGCATAGTTCGTGATTTTTTGTGGGAAGTAGGGAAGAGTGCTTCAGGCAGAAGTAACCACAGGTGCAAAGGCCCTGAGGTAGGAACACACATATTAGCATATTCAAAGGAGAGCAAGAGGCCAGGGTGGCTGCAGTTGGTGAGCAAGGGGGAGAGTAGGAGAGGAGGTCAGAGAGGAAAGGCATGTGCAGGGCCAAGGGCACCAGGTTGTGCAGGGCCTTTAAGTAGGTGGGAAGCCTTTGAATGGTTTTTGAGCTGATGTGATGAGCTTTGACAGTGATGTGATCTGATTTCTTTTAAAAAAGAAATTGGTGGCTGTTGCAGTAAGAATAGCCCAAGGAGGAGCCAGGATGGATGGGAAGAGGCCAGTTAGGAGGCTGTGGTAACAACCCAGGAGTTATGTCTGTAGCTTGTGTATGAAGGTGATGAAAGGGATGAGACTTTGGATATATCTTGAAGATAGAGTCAATGGGATTTTCCATGAACCACATGTGGGTTTTGATTCCAAGGTTTTGGATCTGAGCAAGTGGAAGAATGGTTCTGGCATGAGCAAGATGGGGAATCCTAAGAGTGGGACAAGTTTGAGAGGAGGAGCTTCAGAGTCCATTTGGGGACATGTTAATTTTGTCCATTAGACATCCGAGTAGAGAAGCTGAGTAGGCAATTGAATATGGAGGCTTGGAGTTCAGGAATTCGGAAGGAATACTTTCCTGTGGTCTGTGAGTGACATTACAAAATTGAGGAGGCTGGGCTCCCTCTCTGGAAGAGTAACAATTAGTCCTTTGGAGGGTTCTAAACACACAAAGCAAGGGAGGGGCTGGTGCCAACCAAGTGCAGTTTTCAGATGTTTCTGGGGTGCAGAGCACAGCTAGTGCGGCTGGGAGGCATGAGTTTCACCCAGAGCAGGGGGCTTCTGCTGCTCTGTTCCCAAAACAGTGCCCTAAGGAACACATATCTTTCACTTCAACAAGACAGGCCACGTATTTCTTCCCAGGGCACTGCCAACCCTGAGAAGAAACTCAGGGCAAGTGGATTGACCTGCAGAATTCAGTGGCACCATTTTTCAGAATTCATAAGATGGCAGAAAGACAATCAGCTAATCAAGTCTGCCAACTTCTAGGTCTCTTTTCTCTTTTGGTCTCTTTCTAATTCTGCCCCAAATTAATCTTAGCACCCAGAAGCACACATTTCCCTGCTTCCAATTTCTGATGTTTTCTGAGCCCCAGCTGGGCTTGGTTTATAGGAATTTATTCTTGAGCGCTCAGTCTTGGGTCCATGTTTCAACACATATTTCCAGGACTCCCAATGACTCCTCTGAACCAACCTGGGCCCCATCCAGCTGTATAACCCTGAAAAGGGTGTACCAAAGTCCCTGGGATATTTTCCTCCTCCCTAACCCCCAGGTCGGACTTAGACCCAGGGGCTTCAGAGACATATCAGGAGTGCAAGTAGAGGCTGACTAATTTGGAAAGCTTGAATTAAGGGTTTAGACTGGCTCCCTTAGCTGATCCTAGTGCAAAGGCTAATCTTTTGCAGAGTCATTTTATGGCGTGAGATGGTGCTGTTGATTTTGCACAGTTAATAACAGCTCAGCCTGAGTGCTGCTAGCCTTAGCCAAGGGTGTAGAATGCAAGCAGTTGTTTCAGCGAAAGTAAGAATTTGCTGGGAGCACACTTGGCTTTTCTGAAGAGGCCTCTGCACTGCCAAGGGAGAAAGACCCCCCCTCAACAGTGGCCACAGCATCTGGTCTGTGGCTAGAGGAGACCAACGTGTTGATATTAAGAGTTCTTTGGAAAAGTACTGTCTCTTCACTCATTCACTGCTGACTGGATCCCAAAGAATGCACTGTCTCCCCAGCATGCAGAAAGGGGATGAATCAAACTGAGTTTAGATCCTGGCTTTGTCACTTACCAGCTGTGTGACCTGGGGCAAGTAAACATCTTTTCTGTATCTTAGTGTTCTCATCTGTAATGTGAGAATAACCAGACCTACCTCGAAGGATGTCTTGCTTGAAGAGTAAATATCTGGCACATGGAGAGTGATCAATAAATGGATTTCTCCTTAACTACTACTCGTCTAGCTACACTCATCTCATCTTCCACCTGTGGCTCAGGAAGCTTGAGCTGATGAATCCATGGAGACTGTAAAGAAATAGCAGGGGAGGTCGATCAGGGTGCTCACTGAGAGCAAACTGTGGCTCTGTTGATTTCTGATGCCCAGTTGGCAATGGTTGGAGTTCCCAGCCTGCCAGCTCAGCTGTTTCTCCCTATAGCGCATCTCTCAGTTATTTCTAGGAGTTCTTAAAGGTGTGCATCGCATCATCTCAAAAACCAGCCCGTCCAACTTGTGTTATCTGCCCTGTTGATCTACCTTTGTTTTCCCAAGGTCTGCAGCCTCCAAAGCTTCTGAAATGGGACTTGCTGCTGCTGGTATCTTTAGAGGGGCATGTGGTATCCTGCCAAGGGTGATTCCTTAGCCTGTCAGTGGCCCAGGGCTCAGGATTCTACCTGCCTCACATCTCCTGGATCCATCTGCATGTCTTGGCCCAATCTCCATATCCTCGGTTCTGGCCCCTCCACTACCTGGTTGCCACTGATGATTCCAAGGATTCAGATCAGCTCACAGTGCTCCAAAAATATAGCAAAGTGAAACAAATGTGCAAATAAATGATAAAAACAAAAGAAGAAAAAGAAAGAAAAGACTTATTGTATATCCTACCTCCTTCAAACAGCTTGCTGTGATGTGCATGGTGGTGTGGGAACCTTCTGATGTCATACATACAGGTAACTTACCTAGTTTTGGATCAGGCATGGAAACTTGTCTGAGACACTTGGAGATGACTCCCAAAATGGTCTGACCCAGAAATCCAGAAAGGGGCCATCTGACTGTCCCAGGGTGCTGTACATGGGGAACATGCCACCTGGCTGGGGATCCAGGGAGCAAGGGTCTTCCTGGGTGTGGCAGGTCATCTCCTCACAGTAACACACGAACACTTGACTTCTCCCACAAAAACTTCTGGCCTAAAAAATTAATCAATACTTATCTAAACACCTGAGAGCCGAGAGTCTTTGATAAATTAAAAGGCAGTTTGGCAGTAAGCCACCTCCTGAATGCCCCAGATTTTCATAAAAGGCCCTTTGTGGAAGCCACAGAATGCAGGTAAAGCTAGGATTTGAGGCGGTGCTGATTGAGAGAAGATAAAGAGAAAACTACTTTTTAGGGTTTTTTCTTTTTAACTTACCTCATGGGGTGTTTAAAGAATTGAATGAGTACAGAAAACAAGACTTGCTGTAATTTTGGTTGGATGTGATTCCAGGGGAAATATTTTTTCTTAAATGAAAATATAATAGCTAACCCCTACATAAAGCTTACTATGTGTTTTTAGGGGTTTACAAATGTATTCACTCCTTTGTGTTTCATAAGAACCCTGTGAAGTGAGTACTGCTGCTGCCCCACTGGACAGGTGCACAGGGAGGCTGGGCACTTGCTCCCTCACCTTGCCAGCCAGGGGCATTGCCGGATGGGAAGCGCCAGTTCTCTCTCCTCTCCAGCGGGTGTCTGTGTGCTCTGCCACAGCACCCATTCATTCTTTGCAGTTCCAGTTAAATGCCATTTCCCCAGTGAAGATGGGCCCTGGCTCCCCGTTCCCCCTTGTTATTTTCATACCTGGCGTTCTGGTGTTTTTCATTCAGGACACTTACCACAGCCATAGTTGTTTACTATTCCTTTCAGACCACTTCTTCCCCACCCTTTGCTGCTTATACTATGTGTCACCCTCTCCCCTTCCTGTCACTCTCATCATTGGCTTCCGTCTCTACCACTTCAAATCCTCCCTTAATCCTACATGCTTCCAACCTCCATGTGGTTGAGTGCTAGAGTTTGGGTGTTTTTATCCCCTCAAATCTCATGTTGAAATTTGATCCCCGGTGTTGGAGGTGGGGCCTAATGGGAAGTGTTTGGGTCGTGAGGGTGGATCCTTCATGATTAGATTAATGCTCCCCGGGGAAGATTAATAGTTCTAGCTCTATTAGTTTCCAAGAAAGCTGGTTGTTAACAAAAAGCCTGGAGGCCACATGGTGATCTGTACATACCAGGTTTCCTTCGCCTTCTGTCTTGATTGGAAACAGCCTGAAGCCCTCACCAGAAGCCAGAGGCAGATGCTGGTGCCATGCTTCTTGTACAGTCTGCAGAACTGTGAGCCAAATAAACCTCTTTTCTTTATAAATTACCCAGCCTCGGGTATTCCTTTATAGTAACACAAACACACTAAGACAATACCAATTCAGAATTCAGGCCTTCTCATCAACAAATCTTTCCTCTTCCAACCACCTCAGCCAACACCTCCTACCAGCTCACCCTGGACCAGGGACTACCTGAAACAGCCCCTTCTGCAAAAACAGGAATTGGAGCATCTCTTTCCATCTTGCTTTTCCAGCCATTCCTGCTACAACTGTCCTTCACTCTAACTAGACCCTTCACTTGTTCCAATTAACTATTTTTTCTTTACTTCTTTCTTGTGTAGTTTAGATTCTATGCTCTATCAATTCAGTAGCAGTCTCTCTGATAGACTTAAATTTCAAAGCCTGTGTCTTTGCATCATGCCATCTGGTAATGTT
Source organism: Homo sapiens (assembly GCF_000001405.40). Classification (NCBI taxonomy): domain Eukaryota; kingdom Metazoa; phylum Chordata; class Mammalia; order Primates; family Hominidae; genus Homo; species Homo sapiens. Next base: position 73,112,753 of record NC_000005.10, on the reverse strand, counting down.
GCCATTACCTACTTTTCTGAGCCTGTCCTCAGTAGCTAAGTGCTACTGGTGAACGACCCAACTCTAAAATTGACTGCTATCTGTGTAAATCAATGTTCACTAAACTGAAGTGGGCCCTCAACAATGCCTGGCTACCCAACCCCATTTTGTTCCTAGGCTCACTTTCTGCATAACTGTTTTCAGCAGGTAGTCCCAAAGTCCAGTGAGCCTTTTTCCCTGCTCAGGTGACAGACACCCTTGATGGTTCTGATCCTTGCCTGGCCAGCATGGTTCTTCAGGGAAGACAACAAGCAAGGGTAAAGCAAGGGTAAATCCTTGGCCAAGCACACTCCCCCTATAGTGCCCCTGGCTTGGAGTCCCAGTGTTATAGCTCTTTAGTTTGCTCTTCAGTGCTTGATACCTGAAGCATACTTGCTTCCAGCCCAGGTCAGGGAGCTTCAAGTCTGTGCCAAAGCTGTGCCAAAGCTGAATCTCCCTTCATGGTGACTTTTCCCTGATATTGGACCCAGGTCAGTGTTCTAAGCTCACTTCACTTCTGATGAGTTCTTCCTTCAGGGCCCTAGATATTTCTTGCTAGAGACCTAAGTCTGAATTATCTCCATCCATCAGCATGGCTTAAAATAAGGATTGGTGAACTTATTCTGTAATAGGCTAGATAGCAAATATTTTAGGCCCTATAGGTCATTTGAGTTATTTGGTCTCTGTTGCAACTACTCACCTCTACCATCACAGCTAGAAAGCAGCCATAAACATAGACAATATAAACAAATGAGCATGGCTATGATTCAATACAACTTTACTTATGAACACCAATATTTGAATTTCATAGAATTTTCACGTCACAAAATATTCTTCTTTTAATTTTTTTCAGCCATTGAAAGTATAAGTTCTCCTATTCAAGTAGGTGTAGTTAGAAATAAACAAAATAAAGTCATTCTTAGTTCACTGGTCTTACAAAAACAGGAGGCAGCCAGATTTGGCCCTTGGGCTATAGCTTGCTCACTTCTGCAATACTAATTTGTTGAACTTAAAAAGAAATAGGGGGTAAATCTGGCAAGATGGTGGAGTAGAAAATACCAGGAATCTATCTCCCCACTTAGACAATGATTTGCTGGCAGAATCTGTTTGATGTAACTGTTTTATAACTCTGAAATCTATTGCAGGCTTAAAAACTTCCAGTGGAAGGTTGGGCAGTAAATTGCAGTTACTGTCAATCAGTTTTAGCTCTTAGCAGAGTAGTAACCATATCACCCATCCTTCACCTCCAGCCCATACACATTGTGGGAGTCTTAAAAGGAGAAGAGAGAAAAGCTAGAACTGTTGTAATGGTAGTTCGTACCTTCACTTTTTGTATTCTGCATGATTTAAGAGATTAATATATTAAAAAAATATTTGTTTAAAAGCTAGTATTATTGTAACTTTGGTTTGTAAATCCACATTTTATTTACTACATAATTGAAGAGATCAATGCATTTAAAAGATTTATTAGTTTATGCTTTTGTCACACAATGTGTGAATATGCAGTCTGTGACAACAACAACTGAAAGGGGTGGAGATAAAGCCATAAAGGAGCAGAGTCTTTGTGTGTTATTGAGGTTAAGCTTTTCTAAATTCAAATTAGTGTTATAACTTTAGGATGTTACATGTAATCCCCTTTACATTTAACTGCAAAGAGATAGGTATAGAATATACACAAAAGGAAATGAGAAAAGAATTTAAACAGCACTATGTTTTTAAAAAAAAAATCAATTAAACACAAAAGAGCAATGCAGGAAATAAGGGACAAAAAAAGCTGTAAGTCATATAAAAAAATGGCAGAATGACAGAAGTACGTCCCTTCTTATTAGTAATAACTTTAAATGTAAATGGATGAAACTCTCCAATGAAAAGACAGAGATGATTGGCAGGAAATATTTTTTTCTGAAAAACAACAACAATAACAGCAACAAAACCCATGATCCAACTACATGCTGTCTACAAGAGACTTGCTTTAGCTCCAAAGACACATATAGAATAAAAGTAAAACGATGGAAAAAGATATTGCATGCAAATAGTAAACAAAAGATAACACAGGTGACTATACTAATATCAGACAAAATAGATTTTAAATTGTAAAAATGGTTACAAGAGACAAGAAGGGCAATATAAATAAAAGTTTCAACACATTAAGAAACTAGAACAACTATAAACATTTACAACCTAATGACAGATCATCAAAATATATTCAGCAAAAACTGACAGAATCAAAGGGAGAAATAGAAAGTTGTAAAATAACAGTTGTAAACATCCATATCCCACTCTCAATAACAGACAGAACAACCAGACAAGTAAGATACACAAGAAAATAGAGGACTTAAGAAACCAACATAATAAACCAACTAGATCTAACAGACATAAACAGAACACTCTGCCCAGCAACGACAACATACACATTCTTCTCAAGTGCACATGGGGCATGGTCCAGGGTAGATCATATGATAGGCCACAAATTGTCTCAATATATTTGAAAAAATAGATGTCTGCATGTTGGAAGTCCAAGGCAGGAGGATCACTTGAGCCCAGGAGTTTGAGACCAGGCTGGGCAACATAGCAAGACTTTATTTCTACAAACAAAAAAAAAGAAAAAAATTAGCCAGGCATGGTGTGCATACCTGTGGTCCCAGCTACTTTGGAGGCTGTGGTGGGAGGATCATTTGAGCCCAAAAGGTTGAGGCTGCAGTGAGTTGTGATCACACTACTGCACTCTAGCCAGGGCAACAGAGACAAGGTCAAAAAAAAAAAAAAGATAGATAGATATCATACAAAGTATCTTCTGTAACTACAACAAGACAAAATTAGAAAGCAGAATCAGAAGTAAAACTAGAAAACTCACAAAATTGTGGTTAAGCTTGTCTAAATTCAAATTAGAATGTTATAACTTTAGGATGCTAAACAACCAATGTTTCAAAGAAGAAATCACAAAGAAAATTAGAAAATACTTACAGATGAATGAAAATAAAAACAGAACATACCAAAACTTACGGCACTCAGCAAATGCACTGATCACAGGGAAACGTATAGCTATAAATGTTTACATTAAAAAAAAAAAACCTAAACAAAGCTAGCAAAGAGAAGGAAATAATAAAGATCAGAGCAAAAATAAACAAAATAGACAATACAAAAAATAGAAAAGATTAATGAAACAAAAGTTGGTTATCTGAAAAGATCAACAAAATTTACAAACCTTTAGGGAGAGGGACTAAGAATAAAAGAAGATTCAAATTATTAAAATCAGAAATGAAAGTGAGGATATTACTACCAATCCTACATAAATAAAAAGGATTTTGAGAGAGTACTATGAACAATTGTACATCAACAAATTGGATAGCCTAAATGAAATTGACAGGTTCCTAGAACACAAAACTTACAGCAAGGTGAAATCACAAAGAAATAGAAAATTTGAATGCACCTATAAATAGTCAGGAGATTGAATCAGTAGTCATAAATGTCTCATCAAAGAAAAGCCTTGGACCTGATGGCTTCACCATGAGTTTTACCAAACACTTAAAAAAGAACAATACTAATCCTTTTCAAACTTTTCCAAGAATTGAAGAGGCAGGAACACTTCCTGACTCATTCCATGAAACTAATGTTACACTGATACTGAAGCCAGACAAAGACACTGTAAGAAAAGAAAACTATCAGACCAGAAGGACAGAGTAAAAAATAAAATAAGAAAACTGTTGACCAATATTTCTTATGATATTGGTGCAAAAATCCTCAACAAAATATTAGCAAACCAAATTCAGCAGTATATTAAAAGGATCATATGCCATGATGAAGTGGAATTTATTTCTGGAATGCAAGAATGGTTAAACATATGAAAATTGACCAATGTAATGCACCATGTTAACAGAATGAAGGAGAAAAAACACGTGGTTACCGCAATTGATGCAGAAAAAGCATTTGACAAAAATTCAACACTGTTTTATGATTAAAAATACTCAATAAACCAGGAACGGAAGGAAACTATACCAACAGTGAAAGCCATGTGGGAAAACCCACAGCAAACATGATATTTAATGGTGAAAAACTGAACACTTTTCCTCTAAGATCAGGAATGAGGCAAGGATACCTACTTTTACTACTTCTGTTTAACATAGCCCTGGAAGTACTAGCCAGGGCATTTAGGCAAGAAAAATAATAATAATAGAAGACATCCAAATTGGAAAGAAAGAAGTAAAATTCTCAATGTTTGCAGATAATATGGTGTTGTATGCTGAAAATCCTAAATATTACACACACACACAAATTGTTAGAATAAAATGAATTCAGCAAAGTAGTAGGATACAAAGTCAACACAATGCAAAAATCATTTGCATTTCTATACACTGAAAATGAATAATTTGAAAAGGGAAGTATGAAAACAATTCCATTTATAATAGCACCAAAAAGAAGAAAATAATTAGAAATTAATTTAGACAAGGAAAGTCTTGTACAATAAAAACTACAAGATATTGCTGAAAGAAATTAAAGAAAGTATAATTAAACAGAAACACATCCCATGTTCATGGGTTGGAAGGCTTAATATTGTTAAGATGTCAATACTACCCAAAGTGACCTACAGATTTGATGCAATTCCTCTCAAAATCCCAGTGATATTTTGGAGAGAAACAGAATAACTGATGCTAAAATTCATTTGAGATCTCAAGAGATCCTGAATAGCCAAAAATCTTAAAAAAGAAGACCAAAGCTGAAGGACTCACATTTCCTGATTTCAAAACTTACTACAAAGCTGCAGTAATCAAAACAGTGTGGTACCGGCATAAAAACATACATATAGACCAATTGAATAAAATTGACATCCCAGAAATAAACTCTTACATGTATGGCCAAATGATTTTTGACAAGGGTGTCATGACCATTCAATGGGGAAAGAACATTCTTCTCAACAAATGGTTTGGGAAGACTGAATATCCATATACAAAATAATGAAGTTGGACCTTACCTAACACCATACAGAAAAATCACTCAAAATTAATCAAAGACTTAAATGTAACACCTAAGACTAGAAGGAAAACATAAGGCAAAAGCTTCATGACATTGGATTTGGCAATGATTTTTTTTTTTTTTTTTTTTTTTTTTTAGACAGAGTCTTGCTCTGTTACCCAGGTTGGAGTGCAGTGGCTCAATCTCTGCTCACTGCAACCTCTGCCTCCCAGGTTCCAACGATTCTCCCGCCTAAGCCTCCAGAGTAGCTGGGATTACAGGCATGCACCACCACGCCTGGCTAATGTTTGTATTTTAAATAGATACGAGGTTTCACCAGGTTGGCCAGACTGGTCTTTAACTCCTGACCTCAGGTGATCTGCCGCCTCAGCCTCCCAAAGTGCTGGGACTACAGGCATAAGCCACCACGCCCAACTGGCAATGATTTTTTGGAAATGACATCAAAGGCGCAGGCAAAAAAGAAAAACAGAGAGAAATTGGATTTCATGAAAGTTTGAAAAATTTATGCATCAAAAGACACTATCAACAGAGTAAAAAGGCAACCCACAGAATGGGAGAAAATCTTCGCAAACCGTATATCTAATAAGGAATTAATATCCAGCATATATAGAGAACTCACCTAAAACTCAAAAACAAAAAAACCAAACAACCTGATTCAAAAAATGGGCAATGGAATTTTATAGACATTTATCCAAACAGGATATACATATATCCCCACTAAGCACATGAAAAGATGTTCAATATCACTGATCATTAGAAAAATGCAAACCAAACTACAATGAGATGCCACCTCATGACTGCTATCAAAAAGAAAAAAACAGAAAATAAGTGTTAGAGAGGATGTAGAGAGATTGGAACCCTTGTGCACTGTTGGTGGGAACGTAAACTGGTATGAAAAGAGTTTATGGTGGCATGGTGGTTCCTCAAAAAATTAAAAATAAAATTACTATATGATCCAGCAATTCCACTTCTGGGTATATACCCAAAAGAACTGAAAGCGAGGTCTCAAAGAGCTCTTTGTACATCAAAGTTCATGGCAGCATTATTCACAATAAACAAAAGATGGAAGCAACTCAAGTGCCCATTTACAGATGAATGGATAAGCAAAATATGGTATAGACACACAATGGAATATTATTCAGCCTTAAAAAGGAAGGAAATTCTGACACATGCTACAAAGATGAATCTCAAGGACACTATGCTAAGTAAAATAAGCCAGTCACAAAAAGACAGATACTTTTTGATTCCAATTACATGAGGGGTGCTTACAGTAGTCAACTCACAGAGACAGAAAGTAGAATGGTGGTTATCATGGGCTTGGGGGAGAGGAGAATGAAGGCTTATTAATGGGCATAAACTTTCAGTTTTGTTTTCCTTTTTCTTTTCTTTTTTTTTTTTTTTGAGACAGTCTCACTCTCTGTCACCCAGGCTGGAGTGCAGTGGCATGATCATGGCTCGTTGTGGCCCCAGTCTCCCCAGCTTCAAGTGATTTTCCCACCTCAGTCCCCCAAGTAGCTGGGACTACAGGCAGGCACCATCACGACTGGCTAATTTTTGTATTTTTTTTTTTTTTTTTTTTTTTGGTAGAGATGGAGTTTCACCATGTTGCCTAGGCCGGTCTGGAACTCCTGGACTCAAGCGATGCCTCCTTGGCCTCCCAAAATGCTGGGATTACAGGTATGAACCTGACCTAAAGTTTCAGTTTTCATCTTTTCAAGATGAAAAGAATTATGAAGATGGGTGATGGTGACAGTTGCACAATATTATGAATGTGTTTAATACCACTGAATTGTACATTTAAAAATAGTTAAGATGGTAAATTGTATTGATGTGTGAAGGAAACCAGAATGTGTTACCCCAAAATATTCTTCTTTGACTTAAATATTTTTGAATTAAAGGCAATTAAGAAGTAGCAAACAAAAGAAAAGATCTCTCTATCCATCTGCTTTTCTGCCTAAAGATAGGATATAAAGTCCACTTTACTGGAGATAGCACTTATCAGCCCAGAAATAGCACCAGAAGAACCTACAAAAAAGCCTTATTCTGTTGGTGTATTCCCACAGATTTATCTTGCTACAGTTTCTTGCCTTTGGAAATCTAAAACTGCTTTCCTATGTCCTGTCACTTCTATAAAATTTATTGTTCTTTGTTGTTGAAGATATGATGCTCATAGTTTTAAGCTACCACTTTGAGTTACCTTTCACTGAGATTTCTTCCACATGGTGTACACTATACACGTTAGTTAATACACTTGCTGGCCAGGTACAGTGGCTCACACATGTAATTCCAGAACTCTGGGAGGCTGGGGTGGGTGGATACATTGAGCTCAGTAGTTTGAGATCAGCCTGAGCAATACAGCAAAACTCCATCTCTACAAAAAATGCAGTATTAGCCTGGCATGGTGGTGCATGCTTGTAGTCCCAGCTACTCGGGAGGCTGAGGTGGGAGGATCGCTTGAGCCCGGGAGGCAGAGGTTGCAGTGAGCCGTGATCTTGCCACTGCACTTCAGTCTGGGCACTAGAGCGAGATCCTGTCTCAAAAGTAATTAATTATTTAATTAATTTATTAACTTGCTGTTTTTCTCTTGCTAATCTATCTTGTGTTACAGGAGTCTGTTTCAACTACAAATTTATGAGAGTTGAGGAGAATATTTTAGAAGATTATATTTTAACTCCTTATTTCTTGCCACAATTAAAAGAAAAACTGAAAAAAAGGGGGAAGAAAGGAGTAGGGTTGTTGACCCTGCCCTGCCCTCCTCTCCCTGGATGCGCCCAATTATCCTGGATGAGAAGGATGCTGAGAAGGCTCTAAGCAGGATGCTCACTGGATGGCTCTGAGTTCAGGCCATCATATCCTAGGTGCCTTCCCTAGTTCATGTCTTTCTGGAGCCACAATAAGTCCTTTTTATGTATAGCTTGAATTCTTTCCCTCTGGTCTAATCCTCCCCACCTCACCCAGCCTCCACCTTTAGTCTGCAGCACAAATTCCTCCCCCAAACTTTTTGCCAGATTCAAGGGGGAGCTAAATAAACCAGCAGTCTTCAAACTGGGGTATGGGAATTCTAGGGAGACAGAAGACTTCCTCAGAGCACCAGACCCAGGTAGTTTCAAAGGAACCAATTTTTATATCCTCCACTAAGATCTCTTTCCGAAATATATCTGCCCTCAGGCACTACCTGGCATCAAACTGCTTCTCCCATTGACTCTATTTAGTTCACTTCACTGGAAGTAAAGGCCTCAGGGCCTCAAACAAAGGAGCAATTCTGAGTACTGTGTTGGAGTCAGTCATTACTCAAAGGCCAGAGCAACCAGTCCTTTTCAGAGTCAAGTGGTTTCCAATTATAGGCAATTTCTCAGGGTCAATTGGTTCCCAACTACAGTCAATTATAGACCCCATATACAATGGTGGTCCCATAAGATTATACTGGAGCTAGAAGATTGCAATTGCTTGGTGACTTCATAGCCATCATAATGTGTAGCACATATTATGTAGTACATAATATGTAGCACAATGCATTACTCACATGTTTGTGGTGATGCTGGTGTAAACAAACCTACTGCACTGCCAGTTATGTAAAAGTATAGCACATATAATTATGTAATGCATATAATACTTTGTAATGATAATAAACGACTATGTTACTGGTTTGTGTTGTCAACCGAAGAATGATGAGGTTAATAAATTTGGAAAGCCCACCTTTATTGCTCTTAAAAGGTTGCAGCGTGCAGGTGGCCATTCTGACAAGCTGGGAAGTGTAGCCTCTGGCCAGAAGCCAGAAACCTGCACTTCGAAAGGAGAGGCAAAAGGAACAGGAATGTATGCTGAGTGGGGTGGCTGAATATATGTATTTAACAGGCTATAGGAGGAGTCATGAATATTTATGAAAAGAGAAATGTGCACATGCACAGTTGAGCTTCATGGGTGGCAGGTGTAAAAAAAATGGTGGCGTTAGCATGATCCAAGGTTGGAGTTTTTGGCTCTCTGAACATCAAAAGGGGATGCAGAGGGCATGAAAACCCTCACTGCACCCAACCCCTGTAGACTGGCCAGAACCACTTCATGGTCGGTGGTCTCTTATCAGAAATGCTGGTCAGTTGTGTCAAAACTGCAAAAGGGAGGGGCACCATCAAGCCATTGGTTGACATCAGTGGCGGAGCCTTTTAAAAAGACTGGTTTCTGTTAAGCCTTTAGGGAAGAAAGCCTTAGTGAGAGAGGGGGCGTAACAAGGCATGTCCGGCCTCCCATCTCATCATGGCCAGGAACTCAGTTTTAAGGTTTCTCTGGGGTCCTCTTGGTCAAGGGGGGATCTATTCAGTTGGTTGGGGGGCTTAGAATTTTATTTTTATTTCTCAATAAAAATAAAAAATTACCATACTATACTTTTTATTGTTTTAGAATGTTCTCTACTTTTATAAGTAGAAGTAGCTTAAAAAAAAAAAAGGTTGACCAGGCTCACACCTGTAATCCCACCACTTTGGGAGGCTGAGGCACAAGGATTGCTTGAGCCCTGGAGTTTGAGACCAGTGTGAGCAACAAAGCAAGACCTTGTCTCTATTTTTAAGAATTAAAAAAAAAAAAAAAGTTAACTGTAAGGCAGCCTTAGGCAGTTCCTTCTGGAAGTATTCCAGAAGAAGGCATTGTTATAATAGGAGATGACAGCTCCATGCCTATCATTGCCCCTGAGGACCTTCCAGTGGGATAGGGTGTGGAAGTGGAAGACAATGATATTGATGATACTGAGCCTGTGTAATCTAGGCCAGTGTGTGTGTGTCTTAGTTTTTATCAAAAAAATTTAAAAAGTTAAAAAAATGTTAAATAGAAAAAAGCTTATAGAGTAAGGATATAAAGAAAGAAGAAAAAATTTTTTTTTGAGAGAGTCTCACTCTGCCGCCAGGCTGGAGTGCAGTGGCACAGTCTCGGCTCACTGCAAGCTCTGCCTCCTGGGTTCAAGCAATTCTCCTGCCTCAGCCTCCTGAGTAGCTGGGACTACAGGTGTCCACCACCACGCTCAGCTAATTTTTGTATTTTTAGTAGAGACGGGGTTTCACCATGTTGGCCAGGTTGGTCTGGATCTCCTGACCTCCTGATCTGCCCGCCTAGGCCTCCCAAAGTGCTGGGATTACAGGCATGAGCCACCGTGCCCAGCCAAAAGAAAATATTTTTGTGCAGCTGTACAATGTTTTGTGTTTTTATTTTTATTTATTTATTTGAGACAGGGTCTCACTCTTGTCATCCAGGTTGGAGTGCAGTAGTGTGTCTTGGCTCGCTGTAGCCTCTCCCTCCCAGGTTCAAGTGATCCTTCCACCTCAGTCTCCTGAGTAGTTGGAATTACAGGTGCGTGTCACCATGCTCAGCTAATAATTTTTTAATTTTTTTGTGAAGACAAGGTCTCACTATGTTATCAAGGCTTGTCTCCAATTCCTGAGCTCAAGTGATCTTCTTGTTTTGGCATCCCAAAGTGCTAGGATTATAGATGTGAGCCACTGTGCTTGGCCTTGTGTTTTAAACTAAGCGTTATTACAAGAAAGTCAATAAGTTTAAAAAAATTAAAAGTTTCTGAAGCAAAAAGTTAAGTAAGCTAGTTAATTTATAACTGAAGAAAGAAGAATATTATTTTATAGATTTAGTGTAGCCTAAGGGTACCATGTTTTAATATCTGCAGTAGTGTATTGTAATGGCCTCACCACTGACTCACTGACACAGAGTAACTTCCAGTCCTGCAAGCTTCATTCATGGTGAGTGCCCTATACAGGTGTATCATTTCTTTTATACCATATTTTTAATGTACTTCTATGTTTTGATATGTTTCAATACACAAACACCATTTTCTTCCAATTGCCTACAATATTCAGCACACTGACATGCTGTACAGGTTTGTAGCTTAGGAACAATAAACTCTACCATACAGTCTAGGTGTGTAGGAGGCTCCACCGTATAGGTTTGTGTAAATGCATTCTATGAGTTCATACAATGACAAAATTGCATAATGATGCATTTCTCAGAAGGTATCCCTGTCATTAAGTGACACATGATTGTACTGACTTTCACCAAAATTGAAGAAGGACCAAGTGGTTAGCTGACTGGTCACTAGAAATAATTTTTGATGAAAACATTGTTATATGATTTTTTTGGCAAAATCTTGGAAAAATTCAAAGAATGGAATAACCTTGCTTAATAAACTCCCTCTATTTCCATGTACTTGCTTATGTGGACAAAGAGCATCAGTACTCACATCCATGACAGTGAAAAGTAGGAATAGATTCTGTCTCATTCTAGCAATAAGTAATCGCCAGTGACAGCCCCCATCCATTTCATTAATAGGTGAATTTTTAATAAAAGTTTGCTTTTATGTTTAGTGATTACCAACATTATAATATGTGTACAATGTGTGTTTTATTTTTATATTTGATCAATTAGTACTAATAGTTGTACTGATAATTCAACCCCAAAATATTTTAATACTTAGAAACTTACAGTATAGGGTTACATATAGATATATAGATTTTTTTGGCAAAGCAAAATGTAATTATTTCAAAGAAATATGATTAATCAGAAACACTTTTATAAAAAATAATACATTGGGATAAAATTCTGTGGGGAGGAAGTATATGGAAATAAAAGTTTACAGAAACCAAAAACTGCATAATGTGTAAAAATATGTAAAATGTATTATTTTTTAAAGCTAATTTTTAAAAACAGGCATGGTTAATGTCATCATGAATTAAGCTAAACCAACTTAATTATATACACCTTCTCAGGTTATTTTTAGTAGCTACCAAAGATGTCTTGAAGTCACCAAAACCTAGCTACTCCCCCATAATCTCACTAACAGGTGAAAGTGAGTATCTCAAACATCTCAAATCAAATTCCGCTAAACATACAGACCTTTATTAAACATGTATTAATAAACAGGCACAAAGCAGTTTATAGGGCTGCCTTGTTCCATGAGCTTGCTGACATTGACTTGAGTCAGACACAGTGACCTTCCAGGGGTCTCTCACATTCACAGTGCATCGGGCCTTAGGACTTCTTTGCAAATCAACAGTCTGTGAGAGATGAAGCCACACCACCTTCATACTAGAATAGAGGATACTGCTAAAGTCTTTTAGCCAACCCACATCTTGAATTCCTCTAATTCCCCAGCGAAAGCCCATTATTAATATTTCTTGTGCCAGATAATAGCCCACCATTTTCACCAATAAAAACATACTTCTAATTTTTATGCCAATTAGTAGAGCCTCAGGTATCATGGAAGCTGCTTCTGGACTGTGGCCTTTCAGGTGTTAGCTGACTACCAACTGATATTCTATGTGAACCCTGAAAGAGCCAATCATTCAAGATGGATCTTGAGTAGCTAATTGGGCCAAATTCAAAATGAAGCCAAGTGGCCATTTGCTGACTAGAGGTCACACGTGTACTCTGCGTTCTGGAAACGCCCCATGATCTGGTAACTTAGGGACTCTCCTAGCTATCTGTTCTCCTTTATGCTGCCAGAAGGCACCTGAAACTAACCAATAGACTGTGACCTATGGTAAATCTTTTTTTGTCTCATTTTCTTTCTTCTTTCCTTCCTTTTTTTTTTTTTAATTAGTCAAGTGCAGTAGTGAGAAGGGGGAAAGAGTATAACAAGAGTTTGATCTGTAACTAACCGTGAACAACCAATTGAAATAACTGACCACCTTTGGACTAGCCCAGTCAATCTTAACATCAATGGAATAGAACTAGGAGAACTTTTAAAAAGCCTTTAAAAGAAATATCCAAGGCCAGGCACAGTGGCTCACGCCTGTAATCTCAACACATTGGGAGGCCGAGGCTGGTGGATCACTTGAGGCCCGCAGTTTGAGACCAGCCTAGCCAACATGGCAAAACCCAGGTCCCTACTAAAAATACAAAAAGTAGCTGGGCATGGTGGCGCACACCTATGATCCCAGCTACTCAGGAGGCTGAGGCACAAGAATTGCTTGAACCTGGGAGGCAGAGGTTGCGGTGAGCCGAGATCACACCACTGCACTCCAGCCTGGGCGACAGAGCAAGACTCTGTCTCAAAAAACAAAACAGGCCAGGTGCTCTGGCTCACACCTGTAATCCCAGCACTTTGGGGAGCCGAGGCAGGCAGATGGCCTGAGCTCAGCAGCTCGAGACGAGCCTGGGCAACACGGCAAAACCCCATCTCTACTAAAAATACAAAAAAATAGCCAGGCATGGTGGCACGCTCCTCTAGTCCCGGCTACTCAGGAGGCTGAGGCACGAGAATCGCTTGAACCCGGGAGGTGGAAGTTGCAGTGAGCTGAGATAGCGCCACTGTACTCCAGCCTGGGCGACAGAGCGAGAATCTGTCTCAAAAACAAAGAACAACAATAACAACAAAGAACTAGGAGAGCTTGTATCTATTATTTGCATAACAGACTGGAGTGGGAACCTGGGTGAAATTTTTTCTCTGTTTTTTTTTTTAAGACAGTCTTGCTCTGTCACCCAGGCTGGAATGCAGTGGTGTGATCATAGCTTATTACAGCCTTTACTTCCTCAGCTTCAAGCAATCTTTCCTCAACCTCCCAAGTAGCTAGGACTACAGGCATGCACCACTACACTCAGCTAATTTTTAAAAATTTTATAAAGAGAGGGTCTTGCCATGTTGCCAGGCTGGTCTTGAACTGCGCTTAGGTGATACTCCCACCTCAGCCTCCCAAAGTGCTGGGATTACATGCATGAGCCACCACACCCAGCCAGCAACTTTTTCTATAAAGGACACCCCCTTCCTTTTTTCTGGCAGAGCACATCTTTGTTTTGTATTGAAGGCTGCATCTCCTTGGTTTGCAGACTGCTCAAAGAAATAAGGTCTCTCTTAACCCAATACTTTGTTCTCAGTAGTTTTATTAACATCTAGCTTACCTGGGTTACAGTTTAACCTAAGTAGCACTTGCACAATATCACACTTAGGCTGCAGAATTTTAAATAATGGGCATTTAACAGTGAGTGTCAAATCACTGATGTATTTCTATCCCATTGAGCATCTTCAAAAGTGATGCACATTTTAGTTTAAAATGCCAGTATTTACAACATACCATGAATATAAATCCTTTCTATTTAAATTTATGATGAAAATTTTACATGTCAACTTTAAAATGAGCAAAAGGGTACACAAATTTTTAAAATTATTTGTGAGGTCATCTGAAAAGTTGGAACCTCACTGCACTCAGCAGGGCTCTCTTTGTGGGTGGGGTAAGACATCTCTTTGGACTTTATACACGTTTGCTCAGCCACTTCCCAGAGCCCTCAGAGCTCTGCATTCCAAAAGATTAGGTGGTGCAGCCTAATCAAGCCAAGCCAACCCAGCCTATTTCCCATGACAACTTCTCCTAGGCAGAGGGGGCTTTCTGCGTTTACAGTTTACACAGACAAGAGGGACTTCTCAGGAGATGCTTCCAAAACAAGGAAGATCTGCTCTTAGGTGACCTGGTTGCTTCACTTAAACCAGGAGGTCCCATGTCAAAGCTGAGGATGAAAGAGAAACCAGGCCAGCAGTCATCCAACAAGATCTAGTGGCCCTGATGAAGCCAGACAAAAATGTAATACAGATGACACAGGCCAGCCAGGCAAGGATTCAAGTACAGCACGTCACAGGTCCTGGCAATCATAATGCTGAAGCTAGAAATAAATTTACATGTCTGACTTCTGACATAAATAATAATTTCATTCTACTTGTCTGTAGTTGCTCATGCAGGGCTTCAACGATTTCCTACGAGGACCCTTTCAACTTCTCCCCTTAGCTCTGCCAGCTTATTTTTTATTTATTTTCTTGCTATTTTTATCATGAGTTCTTGCATGTCTTCTTTGTGTTCTTGTTTTGTGGAGGTAATTGCTTTATCAAAATTTTAAATTTCTTGTTTTATATTTAGTGTAATTTTTCATGTGCTCCATGGAAACATATTTCTAGTGAGTATACTTCATCTGCCATTTGTTTTTCCATGTCATGTTTCTAAATCTTTGTCCTCTCCCCTTTTTGTTTAACTATTACTGTATAGACATTTAAGATCGTTACTCATCTTTGGGTAATGGGAGTGCTTCACGGGAAAGATATTTTTAGGAGTTCTATGTGGGGAGAGGACATACCTATGTTCTAGGACATATAGGAATTCTCCTGTGACACTAAGTAAAATGTTATGTGAGTTACTTTTTTGGGGCTTTACTTCTCTCAAGTCAACAAAGATAGTGACAAAGTAGAGATCCTCAGGTGAACACTTCCCTGCAAATATAGCTTGTATATGTGACTTCACATTTGATTCTTCTGCCCTTGCATTATCTTGGAGACAAATCAGGTCCAGAGACACTCTTGATACCAAGGCACTTGCTTCTCATGGACCTAAACATCATCTCTGGATGACAGTGGGGTGTGTCCACAGCTCCCCATTGCCCCTAGGGATCTATGTAGTGGCTCCTGATAAGCTTCTGCTGGCTCAGCTAGGAGGTGTGACCAGGTAGAAAATATAATGGCTTCAGCTAAGAACATACTTTGCTGATAGGCTGGGTGCGTGTCTATCAGATGCTGCTATCTCACTGGTCTGGAGACAGAAAAATAAAATCAACTCATGTTTTTTATATTCTTGCCTAGCCAACTGTGCAGTTTGACTCCAACCAGGACTGAAAGATGGAAAAAAGCATCTTGGAAATAACTGTACAACTTCACAGATCATTAGCAAACCTGACTTCCCATTACAAACCCCAAAGTTGTAATGAGTTTATTTTCATACAATCTTGGACTACCCCAGTTTCCTATACTCTTTACAATCAGGCTTATTTCTCTCAGAATTGAAAGATACCTAAGAAAAGTATCCACTTAAAACACACACTGTAAATATAGATATAGCTGCAGTAAAAGAGAATGTATAAATGTCCAGCCAATGACCTACTATATATGACCTAGTGTTCAGCGACTATATCTCTTAGGAATTTACCTGATGGGGAACCTACCTACCTCTCTCTACATATATATATGAGGTAGGTTCCTCATCAGGTAAATTCTTAGAGACAGTCAGTGGACATTAGGTCAGCCCAAGGCTAGTTATGCCTCTGCTAATCTTCAAGGCGGCTTCCTGGCATTGCCTCTACAAACACTTCCCTAGGAGATTCACAAAAGTTATGTCTGTACAATTTAGCATGTTAGAGCCAATTTTACATTTAGCACTAACCACAGAAGGCAAGCTAAGGTGTTCACATATCCAAATTGGGAATGACCCAACAACAGGCCTGCCCCTCAGAGCTGACCATTTTCTAACTCTTACCAGCCACAGCTAGGATGACTAAGGGTGAGGACTGCCACATTTCTCATGAAATAGCCACTTTGCTAAGTAGTCATTTCACATTTAAAAGATGCCCTTCAACTGTACCCAGTAACAGTGAGCTATGTGTTTAAACCTCATGACTTAGAGAGAGACCTGTGCTTTCAGATGACTGTTAACATTTCTGGAGCCACAAGGGCATAGCCAAACAGCGGTGTTCATGACACCTTTGCTCTTAAACAAGGAAGTGGCTTTTTTTTTTTTTTTTTTTTTTGCAGTTGAAAGGAATAACAATGAGTGGTGGGTTTAAAGTTGCAAAATAACAGAGGATTATAAAAAGCTTACTTAGCTGTGAAGGCAGAGTATACTTGCGTAATAATTTGACATAAATATTTTCAGTTAAAAATCTCCACAGGGCACTGCATGGTACCTATCACCCACAATATCTTGGTGCTTGGCTGGGTGCAGTGGCTCACACCTATAATCCCAGCATTTTGGGAGGCGGAGTGGAGGATTTCTTGAGGCTGAAGTTCAAGACCAGCCTTGACAATATAGTGAGACCTCATCTCTACAAAATATTAAAAAAAACAGCTGGGTGTGGTGGCACACGCCTGTATTCTCAGCTACTCAGGAGGCTAAGGCAGGGGAGAATTGCTTGAGCCTAGGAGTTTGAGGTTACAGTGAGCTGTGATCCACTCTAGGCGGGGCAACGAAGTGAGACTCTGCCTCCAAAACAAAACAAACTTTGGTGCTTAAGAGGCAGAAGCTTATCTGTGGGAGTCAGTCCTACTGGCTGACCAGCACTTTAACGCCTCATTAGAGGAAACATATTCTCCAGAGTTTCTTTTCAGAAGCTAACCTCAAAGACACTAATAATATAGCAGATATCTAGGTATTTTTCCTTGACTGCTCTAAGCCAATTCTAGGTGATGCAGAGGTTTTGCAGTCATTCACATGAAAAAAATAAACAGAGGTTGACATTCACAAGACTTTTATAGCAAAGTAGAAAATATCTGAAAAATTTATTTAAGTCATAAAATATGCATGCTTTGGGACGTTTGAAGGCTACAGTAATTACTGAACTTGAAAATATTTATATTTAAAAATTCCCACATAATATGTGCTGCCCAAAGATTTCAGGAAGCACATAGGTATGTCTTATCTTTCTCATAGTCTGCCTACAAACCAAATTTCTATTTTTAGTAGTTATTAGCAATCTTCTATGTTTCACATTATTTCATATGACTTGTTTTCTTTCAGGAGAAACAAAAATCTGCTCATATATATGAATCTAATTTGTAATGACCTCCCTGCTTTTTAAGCTGATAACAACTTGATCTTATTACATACAAAAAAAAAAAAGGAAATCCATTTTACTCCCAACCCCACATTTTGTTCAATTAAAAAATTACATTTTTTATTGTGTATCCTTTAACAAATTATTTTGGCTATAGTTTTAGCTTTTAACCTTTGTATTAGAGATATACAGTCTGGGACCGCCGTCGTACATGCAGTCCATCATTGTAAGCCCTCTTAAAGAAAACAACTTGCGCTTCTGTTTGACTTTGAAGCCCCCTACATCCTGAAAAACTGGGTAGGAAAGAGGTCATTACTGATCATAGTTACTTTGCAGATGTGTGAAATGTTTAAATTGTGAATTACTCACTGATTTCCTCCTAATGAGCTGGTACTTCGAGGGGACTTTCCCTAATCTGAGTGGGGAGGTGCCTGGGGTCAGAGACCCCAGAACTTCTAAATATTGTGGGTGCCATCAACTCAGATCAAAAAGAAGTAAAGCAAGCAACTGCAATTTTGCACTGACAGGATTATGATTCTGATGTATACAGTCAATCACCAACCTTAAAGGTCACCTTACCTCAAGCAGGTACCCTGGTTGCCTGTCATACTGAAACATGCTTCATGCAAATAGCATGAAGATGGTTTCAAAGTATGCCTTTACACTTCCTGAACAATTTGAAATTCACTCCATAAGTTCCCCAACTAATGGAAATATTTTATTGACAGAAGGTGGAAAAACCAAATAACCTAATCTTTGTTGCAAGCTCATCACTCTTTAGGTTACTCTTTTTGGGAATTTCAATGGTGTAAACAGTCACTATTCATTGAGTATGTGATGACATTAAGGTTCTGAACTTAAAAGGCTCTTAATTTTGCCAAAGGCTAACCTCTGTCACTTCTCTGGATCACATTTTTTTTTCTTTGAGACAGAGCCTTGTTCTGTCACCCAGTCTGTAGTGAAGTGGCATGATCTTGGCTCACTGCAACCTCCACCTCCTGAGTGAAAGTGACTCATGCCTCAGCCTTGGGAGTAGCTGGGACTACAGGCATGTGTCACCACACCCAGCTAGTTTTTTGTATTTTTAGTAGAGAAAGGGTTTCTCCATGTTGGCGAGGCTGGTTTTGAACTCCTGAGCTCCGGCAATCCGCCCACCTCAGCTTCCCAGAGTGCTAGAATTACAGGCGTGAGCTACCGCACCCGGCCGACACTTTTCTTAAGAGAGTAATTTGGGCAAAATATATTCCCAGAAAAAAAAAACAAACTGATCCTGTATCCACTTAGGGAAAACAAAATATGACATTTGGCTTTGAGACCAAAAAGAATAAAAATTAGATCAGCAATCTACTTCATACGTTAACAAACAAAACAAAACAAAACAAACAAAAAACCTGGCTATATTGGTAGGACCACGTAAGGCAAGGCAATAATCAAAATAGGAAGATCCTTATGTGAAGAGATCTTTGTGCATCAACAGAAAGTTCAACTTGCACTCTATGCAACTATTTTCCAAAACATAGTTAGTTTATAATTGTAGATGTAATATGTACTAATTATAAAAAAATTTAGATAACACCTAACATATTGTTAAAAATAAAAATCCCACCACCTATAGATTATAACGGCTTGGTGAATGCTTTTGCAAAAAGTTTTGCTCTAGATGTATGCTTTTTTTTTTTTTTTCCTCACTCTGTCACCCAGGCTGGAATGCAGTGGTGCGATCTCGGCTCACTGCAGCCTCCATCTCGTGGGTTCAAGTGATTCTCCTGCCTCACCTCAGCCTCCCAAGTAACTGGGATTATAGGCATGCGCCACCATGCCTGGCTAATTTTTGTATTTTTGGTAGAGATGGGGTTTCACCATGTTGGCCAGGCTGGTCTTGAACTTGTGACCTCAAATGACCTGCCCGCCTCGGCCTCCCAAAGTGCTGGGATTACAGGCGTGAGCCACTGCGTCTGGCCTGATGTATGCACTTTTAAAAACAAAAATGGCATATTACCTTTTACCATTTAATAATATTGTGGTAATATCTCAATATCAGTGACTGTGGATCTTCACAATTATTTTTAAAAGCCGCATAGTGTATCACTATATGGGAGTTATCAACTCAGCCAACCCTCTCAATTTTGCATACTATAAACAATGTTGCAATAAACATCTTTGCATACATAATTTTGCTTATGTCTCATTATTTTCTTAGGACAAATTCCCAAGTGAATGACTAGTTTACATGATACATAGATTAAAAAAAAATTTTAAAGCCTTTGGATTCAAATCGTCAGAAAGATTATACCAGTTTACTGTTCCTAAAAAGTTGAATACTTAATTAAGTTCATCCTGCTCATTGCTGAGTTCACACTATTTAAAAAATGGGTTAAAAAGTTGATTGGGATAGGTGCAGACTTGCTTGGCAATATGCTATATGGAAACATGCCTGTACCAGCAGAAATTCTGTGTCTGATTGCTGGCCAGCTTACTTCCAGCCATTCCTAGGCCCTTCTCCTTTACCCACCTTCATTATGAAGGCTACTTGTTTTCTCTGCCTGTCTTACATAATTCAGGCCAACAGAACGTAAACAGATACGAGCTGGGAGCTTCTGGAAAAACTTTTACTCTTCGTACAAAAAAAAGACAGACATACTGGAACTGTCCCTCCTAGCTGTGGATGTAAACACATACAGTCTGGAGCTATGGCTGCCATACTCCAACCGTAAAGAAAGGGCGAATGACTTGTTCTGACCAATGCCAACAAGAGGTAACTTGAGCTGTGATATGAAAAAAATGTTTAAACCAGGGGACCCCAACCCCAGACCACAGACTGGTAGTGATCTGTGGCCTGTTAGGAACCACGTTGCACAGCAGGAGGTGAGCAGCAGGTGAGCAAGCATTACTGCCTGAGCTCTGCCTCCTGTCAGATCGGCGGCAGCATTAGATTCTCACAGGAACGGAAGTCCTATGGTGAATTGCGCATGTGAGGGATCTAAGTTGTACGCTCCTTATGAGAATCTAACTAATGACTGATGATCTGAGTGGAACAGTTTCATCCTGAAACTATCTCCCCACACCGCTTCATCCATGGAAAAATTGTCTTCCACAAAACTGGTCCCTGGTGCCAAAAAGGTTGGTACTGCTGGTTTAAACCATTCTTAGTTCTGTTTCTGTTACTTGAGGCTAAAAACATTACTGACAGATAAAACACTCATGCTAAAAAGATAAGCAGTGGTTTCTGAGTTATCACAAATGTTCATTCAGAAACGATCATTAGGAGGCGTATGGAAATAATTATATATATTTAAAAATATGGATAAAATAGCTACATACAGTAAGAAATCATGGAAAAAACCTTTAATACTGAGAGCCACTGAAACCATTAAATGCACATTAGGAAAAAGGAACAAAGAAAATAACAAAATGGAGCAGGGGTGGGGTACATGGCAGAGGTTTACTCTGTGTTTATCAAAACCCCGTTTTCTTCCTGGGCACATAACCAAACTACATTTCCCATCTTTTTTTGCAGTTGGTTGGAGCCACAAGATCAAATCCTGGCTCATGGAATATGGTCAGAAGTGATGATGCCAATTCTTCTGGGCCTGGCCCATAAAAACTCCCATCTAATCTTTGCTTTTTCTTCATCTGCCGGCCAAATGAAGATTTTAAGCAGAATCACAGAATGGGAAGAGCCTGGGCCCCTGAATTACTATATGGAGCAGAACTCCTCCTCAAACCTACTTATGACTGTGATAAGAGCAATGTAGTAAGTATTGTGCTTAGCTATTGCAGCAGCTAGCATCATTTAGTCTAACAGAGGTGGGAATGGGATGAAGAGGAAAAAGGAAGAAAACGATGGGCATATGGTATGAATGGTGAGTGCTATCAGATCTTTCCACAGGTTCCTCTGCCCTGGCCTACCTAGATAAATTAAGCTGTTCCTTTTTTAACACAGATTGGCAACATTTTTTCTTTTTTTCAGACAGGGTCTCACTTGGTCACCCAGGCTGGAGTGCTCTGGCACAATCTTGGCTCACGGCAACCTCCACCTCCCGTGTTCAAGCACTTCTCCTACCTCAGCATCCCGAGTAGCTGGGACTACAGGCATACGTCACCATGCCCAGCTAATTTTTATATTTTTTGGTAGAGTTGGGGTTTCACCATGTTGGCCAGGCTGATCTCGAACTCCTGACCTCATGTGGTCTGCCCACCTCGACCTTCCAAAGTGCTGGGATTACAGTAATGCGCCACTGCACCCAGCCCAAAATTTTCAATAGTTAGGATAAATTCTTTCTTTTCTAATTTCCTTCTTTTGCTCCTTCCTAAATTTACCATTTTGGGAGGCTTGATTGTCTTAACTAATTCTTTGGAACATTATGATTTTTGAACTGTCTGAGACTGTGTTCCTGAGCAACTGGTTAGGAAGAAAGTCTGCAAAAATTTAACATCAATTTAAATATATCTTAAAATATATTAAAAATAATCCCTTGTTAAACAATTTTGACACTTTGGGATATACTCCAAATGAAGCTTTCTATATAACCAATAAATAACAGTTCGATCTGTACGCCTGTTCAAACAGTAGTACAAAGTTAAAAACCAATTACTTGGCCAGCTTGCCTTGTCCTAACATTATGATATAGCTATTACTATCAAGTACAAAGACACATAAACCAATTGATAAATTATATATTACATGTTTATTAAGAGCACAACTTTTATGTAAAATTTACATTTAATGAAAAAAATCAAAAATATTTACAAAATCTTGGAAGACAGATGTGCATTGTTCTAATTACAATCCAAAGTAGTAAATAACAATCCTTTAAAACTCACATTTATTAGAGTTGTGTTTACAAATTCTTGGTTAAAGAGGCAGCTACAAAGTTTATCACTATATATAAGCAAGAACCAGCTTGCTAGGTACATTTCCCATTGAAAATCTACTGGTCTCTTTTACACCATTAGTGGATTTTTAAATGGAAAAAAAAAATCAATATAAACTCATATGGCTTCAAAATTGTAACCTGTACCCAATACTTGGTATGAAGACTGTGGTAACTAAGAAAGTGCAGAAGTTTAACCATTTCACTAATTTGTACATTTTTAGGTAATATTTGATTAAAAACAAACACGGTAAGAACAGTGTCTGAATTCCAATAATAAAATATTGGCTGCCCTAAAAGCAGTTTGATTGCAAAGCAAATTACAGTTAGAATTCCAGTAAGGGACTGTAATTGGCATTTAAAAGAGCACAATATAAGAGTTAGAAATTCTAATTTAGCTCACTATTTAGTAAAGATTAGCATTTTAGCAAATTATCTTATGTGCTGCTTTAGTCAAATGTAAATTCAGACTTGGGCTAACATTGAATATATAAAAAAGCATATACTGTGTTATATATTGCTAAAGAGTAGATTTTCTGCTGTATTTAGTACAGCAAGATGTTACATAAATGTCTAGTAATAGAGGTTTTATTTTCTGTGAAGCTTAACGGAACAATTAGTGGTTTTATATAAATTATCATATATAACACAATTTATCACTTCTACTAGGCAAATAAAGGACACTCATATTTATTATTATAAATGAAATTCCCATTTGTAAATTATGAAACCTTATCCGAAATATTTTATTTCTTCAATTAATCAAGATTTGCTACTAAAGTTAGGTTTCTTACTATTTAGTATTGGTAGTTTATTTTTAGAAATGTTTAACCAAATATATCACTTCAAATAATTTCCCTATTTTTACAAAGTAGAAATTGAATAATTAAAATGTACAAATTGGTAATTTTTCCAATTGTTGAAATAAAAACAAATGGCAGTGCTTCTCCTTCTGTTTCCAAAATTAATCTTTTAAAAAATGCATCCCTCACAAAATACCATAAAACTCATGTTCACAACACAATCAGTAAATAAATGCATAAATTTTCAATGATAAAGTATCAAGGAAAATGCTAAATTGAGAGTTAAAATACCAGTTACCAATTTAGCACTATAGTTTTTTTAGAATTTGTTTTAAAATTCACACACTTTTGATGAGGTTAATGTCAAGTATCTGAAGGTAATCTTTCTTCCTGTAAACACATGCCATTGGGTTTATTTCTCTTTCTAGTGGCTACAGTGTATCACCAAAGAAGTGAGCCAGGATTCTTAAGTTAGGCTTTATGACTCTGAATCCCCTTCCCAGTTGCAGGCCAAAAATATTTACAAAAATTGCAAATATCTTATAAAAATGCTTGATCACTGTAAGATTCTGAACAGAAGATTCAGACTGAGAAAAAAAGTGAGGCACATTAATGAACACAAATTGTATAGGCACATCTCTGGTTTTTGTTATTGTTTTAAAAGGCACACATTATGCAATTCCATATAAAAATAAATTAAATCTACAGCATTAATTCATCAAAAAAATCACAACTCCTATAAAGTTAACTAACTGCAGAAGTAAATGTCTCTGCTGTCATTTGCAAGCTTATTTTAAAACACATTGCACTTGAGAATTTTTTTTAAAAATCATATAAAACATCACTTATACTTTATTAATATGTTTATGAGAATCAAATTATAGATTTTTTGCATACAACTTGGACTCTGGTCTGATTACCTTATGGCACATAGCTCAATTTGATTAAGTGTTCTGAGTTAACATTACCCAAAACTTAGAATTCATGTTCTATTTGTATCCACTGAATATCAAACTTATGAAATTTCAAAGTTATCTCTGACTCTAAAAATGTATGGAAAGCTAAATTACTTTGTGCTTGCTCTTCTGAAACTTTAGGCCTGATATTACACTATAACCCTTTTTTTCAACATAGACACTGGAAATAATTTAAAAATTAATCCTACAAAAACTTCATTTTTACTGAGAATCTGAATAAATGTGCTTCCTGAATATTGTAGTTGATCATTTACAACATAGAGAATCATTTCAGTACTATTTATTTCAATGACTCACTTTAAAAGTGCGATTTAATGTTTGTAGTCAGCTCTCAAATATGTCTAAGTTTGAAAGACATCATACAAGTTAAAATAGTGTTTGGAAAGAACAGATAATGCAGAATGGCAGGTTTGTAATCCCTGAAGCCACATCACTTTCCCAGGTCCATCAACAATCCGCCAGGTATCGTCCTGAAAAACGCCAAGCAGACCTTTGCAATTACAATTTCAAATGCACTCTAAGGACATTTTCCACTGTGGTTACCAATACAAAACTCTAGTTCCCATCTGCTATTTACAGTACATTAGAATCAGATAACAGGTGTTCAGCTATACTGACCGTAAGAACTCTCTCCCAGGTGTGTCTCTACCTGGCACCTTGTACCAAGGGTTAAAGAAAAAATTTCCATGTCTTTAGATTATAAATTGCTTGACAGTTTTTTAATAACTGTTAGAATACAAATGTTTCCCATGTACATTAAAAAGTTTGAAATCTCCTAACTTACCAGTAGCAAACCGCTTCTTTATTAAGGAAAGCCTATAGCCAGTGCCCACAAGTTCGAAATCTACTCCTGAAAGGGTACTTCCCTCGCTGAGGAATTGTACTGCAAGTGTCGTGGGTTTACTAGGTCCTTCTGAAAGATCAAATTTTGCTCGGAGGGACCCAGAACCTACAAAGAAAAGAATAAAGCACTTACACAGGGTAAAATACATTTCAAACAAAATAGAATCAAATGAGCAAGTAAGCTAAACTACATCAGTCCTGTGCTACATTCATTAGATGTGCACAGTAAACAAACTATTATCCTGTTTCCAAATCTCATATTTTTTAGTGAATATCAATTTTCATTAAGTAAATAACCCATGCTTTTCTTTGACTCAATACTAATCTTCAGAGATGTTAACTACTGGACTCCTATGCTATATGCATGTTGAGGCGAGTCAAAAGAGAAGAAGGAAGTAACTGAGGACAGCCCAGAGAAAAACCCTAGGAGGGATATAGGTGGCATAAAGTTAAAAAAGAAATGACTACTGAGTAGTAGAAGAAGTAAAGATGGAAAGGTAACTACGGTTGGGAAGAGTTGTATAACATTGCTATTTTCTATTCACTTTTCTTTTTAAAGTTTTACTGGTCTAACATAATGCCAAGTAGGTATTTCTGAGGTGTTTTGTTTCTAGTATCATCACCATTTATTCAGTATACTTCAGTCTAATGGAATGGCAGGAACAGTAAACCAATAATTATAATGAATATTATAAATGCTGTAAAGGAGCTCTGAGGAGCTACAGGCACAAAAGCACCTATCTCAGCTGAAAATTATAAATGGTGGTGGGGATGATGGTGTGTATTTTAGGCAGAAGTTACCAAAGATACAGAGACAGAGCATGATGCATTTAACGAAATAGCATCTATATCAGATTAGCAGGAGAACAGGATACAGGTAGAGGGGAGTGGCAGATGAGACTAGAGTGGTAGCATGGGCCAGGCCATGGTAAGAAATTCATGATGTAACCATGGGAAGTCACCAAAGATAAGGAAGACAAGAACATTTCAGATTAGTGTCTCAAAAGGGAAGAGAAGCACAAGATGCAAGGTTGGGAGACCAACTGCAAGTCAAAACAGTTTAGGACTCTAGATGATAGGAAAGGGGGATCTGAACTAGGGCTAATAAAAAGGAAAGATATTAAGAAAGTTATTTGAAAGATATTTAGGAGTTGGAATCAAGAAATGAGAAAGGAGGAGTCTAGGAGGGTTCCCAGGTTTCTGGATAGAGCAAATGGACAGAAATGCTAGGTACTAGCAGTAAGATCCTGTGATCCCCTGCACAGAAGCTTAACACTACACAGAGAAATGGAGAATAGGATGTCACAACATTGATCCAACTTGTATTATTATGCCTGGAGGCATAGATCAGTAGTGGAGATGAACTGCTGCCTTATTCTTAATTACTATCCAGGCCCTCAAACTTTTACAATTCTTGATAACCAATTTGGTTGTGCAAAAGTTCTACCATAGACCAAGAGCAACAACCTTGACAATCACCTTAGAAATATTTCCTGTCCCTCTTCTGAGTACACAGTCAGCAACAGAAAACAGATTTCTATTTTACAGAATTTTTTGTGTTTTTTTTTTTTGAGACAGAGTCTCTCACTCTGTTGCCTAGGCTGGAGTGCAGTGGCACGATCTTGGCTCACTGCAACCTCCGCCTCCTGGGTTCAAGCGATTCTCCTGCCTCAGCCTCCTGAGTATCTGGGATTACAGGCGCACACCACCATGCCTGGCTAATTCTGTATTTTTAGTAGAGACAGGGTTTCACCATATTGGCCAGGCTGGTCTTGAATTCCTGACCTCATGATCCACCCGCCTCAGCCTCCCAAAGTGCTGGGATTTCAGGTGTGAGCCACCGTGCCCAGCCTATTTTACAGCATTCTTATTTATTTATTTATTTATTTATTTATTTATTTATTTATTTATTTATTTTTTGAGACAGAGTCTCCCTCTAAGGCCCAAGCTGGAATACAGTGGTGCAATCTTGGCTCACTGAAACCTCTGCCTCCCAGGTTCAAGCTAGACTCGTGCCTCAGCCTCCTGAGTAACTGGGACTACAGGCACGTGCCACCACACTTGGTTAATTTTTGTATTTTTAGTAGAGGCAGGGTTTTGCCACATTGTCTAGGCTGGTCTCCAACTCCTGGCCTCAAGTGATCCACCTGCCTCAGCCTCCCAAAGTGCTGGGATTGCAGGAATGAGCCACCATGCCTGGCCTTGGATATTCTTTTCAAAGGCTTGACTAACCACATCAAAAACCACATTTATAAGATTTTTCCATTTCCTCACAGAAACACCTGATACCTGAATAGCAGAGGGAAACTTAAAATCTGGTTAGAAAATTTGTATCTCATTTTTTTATTTTTTGAGACGGAGTCTCTGCGCCAGGCTGGAGGGCAGTGGTGCGATGTTGGCTCACTGCAACCTCCACCTCCCGTGTTCAAACAATTCTCCTGCCTCAGCCTCCCGAGTAGCTGACACTACAGGCACGTGCCACTACATCCAGCTAATTTTTGTATTTTTAGTAGAGACAGGGTTTCACCATGTTGGCCAGGATGGTCTCGATCTCTTGACCTCACGATCTACCTGCCTTGGCCTCCCAAAGTGCTGGGATTACAGGCATGAGCCACTGCACCCAGCCTGTGTCTTATTTTTGAGAGAACAAATTTCTTTCTTGTTAATTATTTACAATAGTATAGTTTCATTATATTGGGGAAAAAGATCCTTTTGTCCTTCTAAACTGGTTATAAGCCCTTAATGCAAACAGGATTGCTGGTTTACTTCAATTTAAACTAGGAATTTCAGCTTGGCTCACAAAAAGCTATATATTAATAGCTAGGGTTAAAGTCAATGCAGTTGGCCAGCTGAAAGTGGGCAACCTATAAGTACCAAACAGCAAAAAAGAAACTGAAGATTTGCTTGGTTATTTCACCCAATGTATGGCTCTCCAGTAAAAGTCTTATTCTGCATGGCAGGTGTAAATGAATAAACAACACAGACATATTTACGGTCCTTTCTACAGAAATATCTATGAGAAAAGCTACTGATATGTTTTATATTATGCTCAAAATATTCAAAAAGAAAAAGCTCAGCAACATTTGAAAAGCCAAAAAACCTATCAAATAGAGGAGTTATTGGAGACTAGGCTGAGCATGGTGGCTCATGCCTGTAATCCCAGCACTTTGGGAGGCTGAGGCTGGCAGATCAACTGAGGTCAGGAGTTCAAGACCAGCCTGGCCAACATGGCGAAACCCTGTCTCTACTAAAAATACAAAAATTAGCTGGATGTGGTGGTAGGTGCCTGTAATCCCAGCTACTCGGGAGGCTGAGGCAGGAGAATTGCTTGAACCTGGGAGGCAGAGGTTGCAGTGAGCCAAGATCATGCCGCTGCACTCCAGAGTGGGCAACAGAGCAAGGCTCTGTCTCAAAAAAACAAAACAAAACAAAACAAAACCAAACCCTAAAAAAACAAGCAGAAAAGTTATTGTAGACTAAAATTATGCATTCAAAAGAAGGCAGAAGAATTCTCTTTTGATTAAGAGAAAATAAGACTATGTTAAAGACTTGGCTGTCCCAAGAATTACATCCTTATTGTAAGTTGAGTTATAGAAGTGATCAGCTAGGACAGCCTTTTCCTTGGCATTATGAACACAAACAGATGTACTTAGTGAGAGAAGCATAACTTGCTTCTCCTTAAAATAATCATCAGAAAATTGAATGCTGCTGATAGTTAGCTTTAATAGGGGGAAATGGACAGGAAAAAGGTTCTTTTAGAGAACTGCAGAAGGCAAGGGGGCTTTTTTTTTTTTTTTTTTTTGAGACAGAGTCTCACTCTGTCACCCAGGCTGGAGAGCAGGGGCACCATCTCAGCTCACTGCAACCTCCGCCTCCTTGGGTTCAAGTGATTCTCATGCTTAAGTCCCCTGAATAGCTGGAATTACAGGCGTGCACCATGACGCCCAGCTAATTTTTGTATTTTTAAAACAGATGGGGTTTCACCATGTTGGCCAGGCTGGTCTTGAACTCCTGACTTCAAGTGATCCACCCACCTCGGCCTACCAAAGTGCTGGGATTACAAGCGTGAGCCACTGTGCCGGGACGGCAAGGGGCTTTTTAAAGCCTGGAAGCGTCTACATGATTTCTGGGAGGTCAGGAGAATCCCGTTAACAGAATGAACTAAACTGTGTTAAATCAGTTTCAATTAGTTATCAGGTTACCTACATGGAACATAGAGTTCTATTTCTTTAAATTTACTAGGTATAGTTTCTTAATGTTAGCATGTAAATATAAGAAGTATTTACATAATATTTATAAAGTTATGGCAAAATAAATTTTTTCTTATAGAGAACACATACTCAATCTAGATGAACAAATGTGTTCTGAATCTCAGCTGGTCCATTCTAAAGGTATTAACTTCCACCTAGTGGTCATTTCTAGAACTGAGGGCATGAAATTCCAGGAGGAAACTTTACATAAACTTTCCCTTAAAAAAGGTATTGCAGTGCTTCCAGGAACGGTGCACCCATGGCCAGGCGCAGTGGCTCACGCCTGTAATCCCAGCACTTTGGGAGGCCGAGGTGGGCAGATCACGAGGTCAGGAGATCGAGACCATCCTGGGTAACATAGTGAAACCCTGTTTCTACTAAAAAAAAAAACAAACAAACAAAAATTAGTTGGGTGTGGTGGCACGTGCCTGTAATCCCAGCTACTCAGGAGTCTGAGGCAGGAGAATCGCTTGAACCCAGCAGGCGGAGGTTGCAGTGAGCTGAGATTGTGTTACTGCACTCCAGCCTGGCAACAAAGCTAGACTCTGTTTTAAAAAAAAAAAAAAAATCAATTTTCAGTGACATCATTTTATAAATAAAAAAGGACACACACACTTACCTCCATTTTCTGATTTTTCTGAAATACTAGACAATTTCCAAAAGGCTTTCATTTGTTCTGCATTCCTGCAATAAGAACAGATATCTTCAGGTTTTGTGTCTAGTATAGTACCTGATACATGAATGGGACCTCAATAAATAAGTGTATTTTAAATATTTTCACTACAACAAATATATTGCTAAGTTTAAGTAGTATTAACTGGTGAAAATGTGTTTATGATATAGTATAAACATAATGCTGTATCTTTTTCAATTAATGGAAGTTTACCAAATTATGTAATTCTTCTCATTCCTATTGGTCAGAGAAAGTAAAATGGAATGTGTATAGGGATCAGTACCTTCATTAGTCAAGGAAGACACATGTTATTAAATGATGAAGTAACTATAAAGAGCGGTTAGAGTCTATACTAATACTAACAGAGGGGACAGGAGAAGTTGCTAAGAGATGGCAGTAACTAATACTATTAAACACTAATTAGATAGGTGTTCCTGTTCCTATAGACTTGCCAGATGCTATATTTAATCCATAAAATATTTGTATTTTTTAAATGAAAAAAAAAAAAAAAGAAGTTTAGAGAGGTCAAGCACTCTGCCTAATGGTAAAGTTAGTATGGAATCATTGAAGTCTGGGTGGTACTTAGAGCAAAACTAGTTTTGTTTATTTTTGATTAAGGTTACTATGGTTTGACTAGTAAAATGAACTGCATCTTTTACAGCGTGGTTTCTATGGAAAAAGGCACAAAAATTTTTCAAACTTCTAAGAAAACTTACAGAACTTGGGTTCTAGAAGTTGGGGATTGCAACAAAAATTTAGTGGGAATTCAGAAACGTATGTTTAATTTACCATATTGCAGGGGGAAGGGACTGCATGTTCGTTACTCCTCCATCCACTGGTACCACCACCTGTATGTTGGAAAGCACACTAGGTGCCACCATAGCTTCTGGATTGTATTTATAATCCACTCTAAGATCTGTGGTGCTAGCACTACATTTCCAGTATGTTGCAAGATTCAGAGGAGTGGACTGAATACCATTTGATGATACCTTTAAAGAGAAAAGAACAAACAATTGTTTTTGGCCTGAAAAGTTAAGAAGTCATGTTAATGACATGGACACTTGAACATGTAAGTCCACAAAATCAAAAATATCTAATGAGGGGACTATCTGTTGGCAGAGTGAAGCAGACCTATCTCAAAGGAGTAAGGATCATTCTCAATGTGGGGACCTACTACTACTTACATCAAAATTGCTGTGGTGCTTGTTTATAACACACATTCCCTTAGCTCCAACTGCAGAAAATCTGATTCAACAGCTTAGGGACAGGGCCCAGAAATCAGCATTTTATGAAGGAATTCTTAATTATGCGTGTAAAGTTTGCGAATCTTCCAACATTCAACACAGAATTCAAAGATTCTTCATACATTATAAGAATTCAGATTTAGAACACGAGAAAAAAGGTCACCACGTAGTACCACAAGTTGGAATTAGAATGCTTCCAACTTCAAATGTTTAATCACATGACTCACAGTAAATGTTATAATTCCTTCAAATTCTTAAGCTCCTTGTCCAATGGCTCCTTTTTAAGGAGACCTACTCTGACTGCTCTGTTTAAATTTACACTGAAAACTGTATTTTCAATCTTCCTTACCTTAGTCTATACTTTTTCTTTTTTCCATACCACTCATTTTCTAACATAGAATATTATGATTATTATTTTGAGGCAGGGTCTCACTCTGTTGCCCAGGCTGGAGTGTAGTGGCATGCTCATGGCTCACTGCAGCCTCAACCTCCTGGGCTCGAGCAATCCTCCCTCCTCAGCCTCTGTACTAGCTAGGACTACAGGCTTGTGCCATCACACCCAGAGAATTTTACATTTTTTGTAGAGATGGGGTTTCTTTTTATTGCCCAGACTGGTCTTGAACTCCTGGGCTCAAGCAATCTTCTCGCCTCAGCCTCTCAAAGTACTGGGATTATAGACCAGAGCAACAAAGTCCAGCCCATAGAATATTACTGATCTTTACTGTCTCCCTGTCCTACTCCCAGCAATTACATGCACTGAATAATACACATCTGTTGAATAAATGAACACCTGTAAGAAACTTTAAGTCAATTTAAGTGGCAGCACTTTTTTGTTCTTTAAGTATTTTTCTAGAAACAAGCCATTTTAATAAAATTACCCTATTAAAAACTAAAAAAATAGAGAAATATAAAGTAGGAAATTTATCCCTTGGAATCCTGGCATATATCCTTCCAGACTCTTCAGGCATATGCAAACATAGATCCATGTCATTCTTTTTAATGGCTATAGTAATTAATTTCCTCCTCTGCTGATGTGTATGTACTTAGGTGCTTTCTAAACAATGCTACAGCGAATATCCTTTATGCCTTATCTTCATCCAACTGTGTATTTCTGATGATTTCTGGAAGTGGAATTGTTGAATTAAAGGTTACATCTTTCAACAATCTAACAGAATTGCCTTCTAAGAGGTTTTACTTGCATCCTATTAACAAGTGATCATAACCTTCTTAATACTGGATAAAGCGAACTTTCATTTTTGTAAATCTGATGGGCTAAAACTGACACCTCATTGTTATCTTAGTATTGACTGCTCTCATTACTACTGACATGAAGCATCTTTCCATAGGTTATTTGTCTATTGAGTTATTCACATGTTGCTTACAAATTTACAAGGGCTCTTTGGGGTAAGCCCTGTGGTTCATCTTATGTGTCGTAAATACTTTTCCCACAGATTAAATACTGATTGTGTTTAAAGGTTTAACAAAATATTTTATAAACACACACATTTATTTATCAAATATCTCATTCTCTTCTTACATGGCTTCTGGGTTTCATATCATACTTAGGTCTTCTGTACTTCAAGATTAAAATATGTAATAAATATGTATTACATATATACACACACAGAGAAATACATATACAGTTGTTCCTCAGCATACTTGGGAGGGTGGGTTCCAGGACCCCTGTGTATATACTAATCTGTGCATACTCAAGAAACATAGTTGGCCCTGTGGGACCCACATATAGAAAAAGTTGGCCCTCTGTTTATACATGAGTTTTGCATCCACAATCATTGCATTTTCAATTGGTGTTTGGTTAAAAAGAATCCTCGTATAAGTGGACCTGCATAGTTTATAGATCCTTTTTGTTTAAGGGTCAACTGTATCTTCACCCATGCCTTTATTTTAGTACCTTTATGGTATGGTATCTTTTATTATTATTATTAAACCTTTGATACACATGGATTTTACTTTGGCTAAAAGTCTAACAGGGATTCACCTTAATTTTTTTCTCAAGTGTCTAGCTTGCTATCCTCAACATCATTTTTTGAAAAATTCATCACGTCCACATTGCCTTGAAATGCTACTATGTCGTATAAACAATTTTCCATTTATTCTTAGATCTATTTCTGGATACTCTAATCTATTCCTTCATCTGGCCATCTACTGCTGCGTTAGTTCCAAACTATTTTAAATACTGTCTATACTAAGCTTTCCCATTAAAGCTAAAACATTACTCCACTTTACTGTTTAAAACATTTCTTGCCAGGAGCGGTGGTTTGTGCCTTTAGTCCCAGTCACTCGGGAGGCTAAGGCTGGAAGACTGCTTGAGCCCAGGAGTTTGAGGCTGCAGTGAAATGTGATCATGCTACTCTACTCCATTCTGAGCAAGAGAATGGGACTCCATCTCTTTAAAATAAAAAATTCTTGACTTATTCTTGTAAGCTTTATTCTTCTAGAGAAACGTGAAAATGATTGTCAAGCCTCCAAACACAAAGACGTAACTCTACTGGGTTTCTGATCAGTATTATATTAGATGTATAAGTTAACTGAGAAACAGCTAAACTTCTACAGCATGAATCTTTCCATATTCAAGTCACTAGAGATTGTGTTGTGTTTCTTCCTAATTGTTCTTTGTGAATATTTTTCTCCACTAGTTTTTGTAATTGGTTTTGAAAGTTATTAATTTTGGTATTAATTACTAAACTGACCACCTATATTAAATGTCCTTATGTCAAATAGTTCTTCAATTGGTTCTCGTGAGAGGAATATATCACCTGTAAGCAATAATAATTTTGATTCCTCTTTCCCAGTATTTATTAATGCTTATTTTGTTCTCTTACCTGACTGTACTGGCTAACACATCCAGAAAACTCTTATATACTAACAGGATCTACTAATGGGCATCTTTGCCATTCCTAACTTTAATTGATTACTTTGGGAGTTTCATTGTTAAGACTGATACTGCTAGTCTTTTCAGCTTAAGGACAAATTTATGCATTTAAATTTACTCAGTATTTTAATCATGAATAAATGGTGAATTTTACCAAACTGGTCAAAATCTCCACTGGCTTATAAACAGATTTTCTAATTTCAAAACATCCTTGAATTTCTGGGAAAAAACTCACTTGGCTATGACATACTTATTCATTTATATGCTAGATTCCATTTTTTAATATTTTAATTTAGAATTTTTGCAATGTCGTGACACTCACCTGATACTTTAATACATCTACATTATAATAAGAAGCAGCTGGATTTTGCTCTGACAGCTTCTTGAGGTAGACTGTAACAGCTTGCATGTTCATCCAAAAATCTTTTGTGTTGGAATCACATTGTGATGGATCACTACATATATAAAAAATATATTTGTTATTTTATTGACTTATCTTTATGTTTTGCCTCTGTGTAGTAATTTGGTGACACAGGAAAAACTAGTAGAAATAAACCAAGAGGTGGGATGAAGGAAAATTAGATCAGGGGATGAAGAATGGAACACAGGAGAAGCTTGCTTGAAAGATAAGATGGAGAGAGAGAAAAGAATCTTAAAATAACTATTAGCACCACTGAAAACAAAATAAAAAGACAGCAGAAAGGTGTTTAGTAAGAATAATTTTGGTATGGTTTTCAAATTGAATATTATTATTTCAAAGAAGAAGGGGGAAAACATTTTTTTTTGAGACAGGGTCTAGCTCTGTCACCAAGGCTGGAGTGCAGTGACACGATCTTGGCTCACTGCAACCTCTGCCTCCTAGGCTCAAGCGATTCTCCCACCTCAGCCTCCTGAGTAGCTGGGACTACAGGAACGCACCATCATGCCCAGCTAATTTTTGTTCTTGTTTTTTGTTTTTTGTTTTTTTGGTAGAGATGGGGTTTTGCCACATTGCTCAGGCTGGTTTTGAACAACTGGGCTCAAGCAATCCACCTGCCTCAGCCTCCCAAACTGCTGGGATTACAGGCGTGAGCCACTGTGCACAGCAGGAAAGAAAATCTTAAAACGAAATTTCAACCTTCAAAACAAAAAGTACACAAACCTGAACACAAGCTGTGCATTTGGAAGAATCTGCTCTAGTCTGCTGATATTTTTCACCCTGAAGCACAACACAGCTGGAGTTGGATTGCTGGTGAAGACTTTAATAATTCCACTTGGAAATGACATTGTCATATCACCAGTGATCTTCACAATACACCTAAAACAGGGATTTTGAAAAGTGTTTAAATAAAATGCTCTAATCTCTATTTAAAGTATTTGGTTTAAAAAGGCACACGCGTGCACGTGCG
Organism: Homo sapiens; assembly: GCF_000001405.40. Classification (NCBI taxonomy): domain Eukaryota; kingdom Metazoa; phylum Chordata; class Mammalia; order Primates; family Hominidae; genus Homo; species Homo sapiens. The sequence continues at coordinate 73,077,246 of NC_000005.10, read as the reverse complement.
CACACACACACGCACCTATATGTGTGTATATCTATATCCTTTATCATAACTATAGATTATTTTTTCAATTTAATTTTTAAAAATTATATACATGAAATAGTATACTCATCTAGCATCATCTTTTCCTGGAATTAAACTCTAAACACAAATGCAAGCACACTGATAATATTCCTTCACTTTTTTGTGATAACCATTCCCTCCCTGGAAGGATATTGCTTTCCTCATAACGCTATACCTAGTTGTGGCTATTTTTCCCTCCCAAACCCCAAAAAGCACTGGGCCTGGTGATGGTGATGGTAGCAAGGAGGCCCTTGCTCCTCATTGCTTCTTCCAACCCTCTATTCTTTCTTCCTTTGAAACATATAACTACATAGCCAAAACTCTCAACTGGACCCCTTTGGTAATCCTATCACATTTCCCAAGTCTATTTATTCTTCTTTTGGTCTTTTCCTAGCTTCCCCTTTTATCTCTAACCTGCAATAGTCCTTCCCCCAACTCTTAGCTGATGACTGTGCTCTTCATTTCACTGAGGAAATAAAAAAATAACTTCCTCATACTCTCACTAGTAAATCTACCTAACTTTTTATCCATATATTCTGCAGTCCATACTGTTTCAACAGATAATCAATTTCTGCACCTCAGGCCAATCCCAGCAATTCTGCACTGGAACTCATCTGCTCTTATATACTGAAGGACTTCATTCATGTGATTGTTCCCTCTTTTTTCTGCAAGTCCTGTTTTTCCATAAATAATGGATCTTTCCCATCAGCAGGCAGACATGCTGAAATATATATCATCTTTTAAAAAACACAAAAATGAAAATAAATAAAACCCTCCTTTGATTCCACCACCTCACTCCTGCTACCATTCCATTTCTCTGCTCCCACTTAGACCAAAACATCCTGAAATAACTGCATTTGTTCTTTCCAAATATAGTTGTCTAGACTGCATCACCTTCGGCTCCTGAACACTCTCAAAGCATACTTTCATCTCCACTATGCCACTAAAATCCTTCTTGTGAATGTCACCAATTATTGTCAATGGTCAATTTTTCTTGACCTGTCAAGCAGCATCAGATACAGGTTCACACCTGCCTTCAAGAAATGATTTATTCACTTAGTTTCTAGACACGGGTCTATTGGTTCTCTCCTCACCTCTCTTGCTGCTTGCTCTCTCAAATTCCTTTGTTAAATCATTCTCATCTTCCTGTTTTCTAAACACTGGAGGGAATCAAGACTTAGTTTTCAGATCTCTTTTCCATCTATTCCTTAAGGCCACTAATTTTGAGTATTATCTACAAACTAATTACACTACCAAGTATTTTATCTCTAGCCTAGACTTACCCCTTGAACTCCAGAATCATGTATCCAAGTATCAATTCAACATTTCCACTAAGATGTCTTAAACTTCAAACTTAGCATTTTGCCTCCAACAAATCTTGACAATTCTGTTCTCAAAATATATTCAGAATCTCATTACTACTCATCACCTGCTCTGCTAATACCCTTATACAAGCCACCATTATCTCTCACCTGGACTTCTGTAATTAATTTTCTAACTTTCTCTCTGCATCAATTCTGACTGCCCACCGCACCCTCTGCCCCCAGTTTATTCTCCATACAGCAACCAGCGCTCCTCTGAAAACACATGTAATTTCATCATTCCTCTGCTCAAAGCCTCCACTGGCTTTCCATGTTACTCAAAATAAATTCCAAATTCTTTATCATGGCCTACAATGCCTAACCTGGTCTCATACCTCTCCGGACTCATCTTCAAGTACTCTCCTGTTTACTCCTACTCAGTGACATGGTTTTGCTTGCTGTTTCTTGAATATACCAAATATGCTTTTACCTTGGTATCTTACACTCACTGGTTCCCTCTTCCTGGAATACTTTCCTCAGATATCTGCATGGCTTGCTCCTCCATGTCTTTCAACTACCTGCTTAAATTAACCTCAAAAAAGTTTACCCTGATCATTCTATCTAAAATAGTAGCCCTCTATCTAATGTTATTCTCTAGCCTCTAACCCTGGTTTATTTTTCTTCATAGCGTGTATCAATATCCAATACATACAGCTGTTTCTTTGATATTTAGTTTTCCCTCACTATAATGCAAGCTCAGGAGAGAACTCTTTTGTTTACTAAAGTATCCTCAGTGCACATGTAACAGAGTCTTAGAAATAATAGGTGCTCAAGTATTTGATGAATGAATGTACATTGAATGCAATCATCAAATGACTACCTTAGATAGCAAAAAAGCAGGTAAATAAACAACAGAAAACTGTAATCTACACAGAATCAAAATGTAATTCTTAAAATTTACCACCAAGCCCCACCACCTCCTCCACCCAACACACATACATACACATACATGCATATATTTTAAAAACTAACTTGGTGGGATCTGCTCCTTTAAAGTAGGCATTAACAGATTCTGTAAGGGCAACTGCCACAGGTAAGGTATCCTGATTTCCAAGGCTGACAGGGCTGGGACCCCGTGACACACCTAGAATATACACAATTAACTTGTTAAATCCTTCAGAAAGACATAAATTAAATATCAAGATAGTTAGATTCACATTGTTAGGCTGTCACAAACGACCCTACCACTGGTTTCAGTGATGTCCCATGATAAATCTGGGGGCTAAGAAATATAGTATAAAACAAACTGGAGCATTAATACAAAGGACAAAAAAAAACCAGGAAGACATGTCACACAGACATTTCTTTTAAATGGAAAGACAGAATGGTTAAGGAATGTCAGAATAAAAAAGCCCTTGACTAAACAGCTAAAATTTCAAAAATATTGGCTTCAAAAACATTCAAATACCAAATTCCTCCAGGTTCTATCAATCATATACTTCAGGGCATTATTTAAGGCCAATTTAGGATTTTTGTATTTAAGTTTTTCTATCCAAGTAGTAATGTTTCATACACTACTCATTATTATTATAATTCTCTTTAACCTCCTCTTTGTCTGATGCTTGTATTGTATTCCCACATTACTTTGCCTCAATATTTGACTAATAAATACTTGACTAATAACATTATTTAAAAAAAAAAAACCCTGGCCAAAGTTCACTCAGATAAGACACCTTTTAGAGTCAAATCAGAGAAAGATCAGTGTCTACAGAGCAAAATTAAAATGTAAACAAATTTATGCAAGTGTTCAGGTTTCTGTTTATTGTTTTAAATGTAACCTAAGTGAAGTATCCCCTCAAAATAGTGCATTGCCTTTGTTTTTCTTCACAAACGCACTCTTCTTACCACTGCGTGCCTTACTGCTACTGCTACTGATTTTCCAAAGTGGGAGCATTTCATTTAATAAATAAAATGCAATTTTATAAAAATATATGAGAGTTTGTTATAATTATTCATCCTTAGTGAAAAAAATAAATAATCTAGGTCAACACTTATCTCTGAAATTTGAATATATGCTTTCCTTATATGTTACACAACATTAACAGCCATCAGACATTTTTATTTCAGATGCGACTCCTGTAGTGAAACAATGAATTACCTCTGAGATACCGTAAATATTAATTCTGATAAAAATCAGTACTGGCTTTTTCTGCCTCACAACTAAATCTGAGATGCTATAAATAGTGAAAAAAGATACTCTGTTAGCTTGGTATTCTAGATTTTGAAGGAATTTGTATTTAGAAGCTTCTTCACAGTTAAAAAGTTATTCATGAAATCACAACAGCTACTATGTATTAACCACCATGTGCCAGGCACTTTGCTAGGGGGACATTTAAAAAAAATGGTGCCTTTTTGAAGCACAAGTACTAGTTTTGCAAAGCAGAAGCAAAACAAAAAATGTGAGGGAGAGGCTGGAGTGACAAAAAGACACAAAGATGAGGCTGGAAAAGTGCTCATGATCCAGATTAGGGTATGAAAGACCTTTAATTTTATCCTTTTGTCACTAGAAACCACTGATAATGTTTGAGAGAAACATTATTAGGCTTTTATGTAGTAAGATCTCTCTGAACACAGAGTAAATCCTAGATTGAAGGGAAAAATGACTGTTGGCAGGGAATCAAGTTTGGATCAGGTGAGAGCAGTTAGGTGAAAGCTAGTGGCCTGATCAAGTGTCATTAGTTTTGGGATGCAAGAAAATATCAAGTGAAAAAAAGCTGATTAAGTATACATTTACTGATTATAAATATAAAAATATATGTTTGTACACTGGAAAACTTCACTGTAAATCTAACTTAGTTCAATCCACTTTTTTCCCTAATATATTGTTCTAAACAAGAGGGTCATCAGAAATTCAGGAAAACATATTTTCTGAAAAAGACAAAGGCTGTAATAATCTTTTCTCTCCAATTTTGTAACTGTAGTAAAATAAACTTAACATAAAATTTACCATCTTAATCATTCTTAAGCATACAGTTCACCGGTATGAATTATATTCATAACGCTGTGCAACAATCACTATCATCCATCTCCATAACTCTGTTCGTCTTATAAAACGGAAACCCTATACCCATGAAACAACAACTCCCACCAGTTTCCCCAGCCCCTGGCAACCACCATTCTACTTGCTGTCTCTATGAGTTTGACTACTCTTTAAGTACCTCATATAAGTGGAAGCATACAGTATTTAACTTAGCACAATGTCTTCAAGGTTCATCCATGTTATCATAGCATGTTAGAATTTCTTTCCCTTTTAAGGCTGAATAATATTCTATTGTATGCATATACCACATTTTGCTCATCCATTCATCCAACAATGGACATGGCTTGCTTCTACCTTTTGGCTGCTGTGAATAGTGCTGCTACGAACAGGAGTAAACAACTATCTCTTTGAGGTCCTGCTTTCAATTCTTTTGGGTATATACCCAGAAGTAAAATTGCTGGATCATATGTAAATTCCATTTTTCATTTTCCGAGGAACAATCATACTGTTTTCCACAGCAGCTGTACCATTTTACATTCTCACCAACAGTGCACAAGCCTTCCAGTTTCTCCACATCCTCACCAACATTTGTTATTGTAATACTATTTTATTAAAATTATACTCTCTTAAATATGAAATTAATATATTCCCTGACCAGGTGTACTGGCTCATGCCTGTAATTCCAGTACTTTGGGAGGCTGAGGTGGGAGGACTGCTTGAACCCAGGAATTTGAGCTTATAGTGAGCTATGATCATATCCCTGAATTTCAGTCTGGACAATGGAGTGAGACCCTGTCTCATTAAAAAAAAAAAATGTCTCTTGAGTAACTCACACAAATGAATATTTATATAAAGTCAATGGTAACATTAATGTCTACTACTGCTTTGACACTAAAAATTAAAAGAAACCTGCATAAATATTCTTTTCAACAATCTAATCTGGGCACATAACACGACTCTGTAAATTATTATGCCTAGCTTCCCTGTAAATTATGCCATTACTGAAACATTGGCAAGCAGAGAAAAGTATTGGAAAGTTGAAGAAAAACTCAAAACCCACTTAACAGTTGGCATATTCCCTTTCGTATTTTCTATTTTTGTTTTTCTTTCAAGATCGTATTGCACATGGATACTTCAAAAAATGAATAGGAAATATGTACTTAAATAGTCTTTTAAAAAGTCTAAAACTATACTGTATTATTCCAAATAAATAATTTCTTAGAAATAAAAATTTATTCTCTTAATAAGGGTAGATTGTGGTTTCTAATTTTGGTTTGTTACATATTTAGATAATTTTGTTTTGAAAATGTAGAGAGCTTATAAACTTGAGGTATGTAACAGGTATAGGGTACCTTCTTATAACAATCAATGGATATTTATGTAGAATTCCTTTCCGCTCAGAAATAAAACACAGACACCCACTCCCTACTATCTCCTATCATCTCCATGCTTCTAACTTCATCTGTATGGTTTTCGTATATGACAGCCTTTGCCCTACTAATTTAGGTATTAGAGGTTTTTTTTTTAACTGACATATTCCTTTTAATTCTTTTTGGATGACTTCTTACCTGATTTGGATAGCTTTAGAATTAAGATTTATTGACATTTCTTAAAGCTGAGTTGAGGAAAGCAGAGAAGAAAATGCAAAAATATCGTGTTTTTATAGTTGGGGATTTGATATAATGGATCCTATTCAGCAAGTTGGGGATTTGATATAATGGATCCTGTACAGCAATTTGATGGAATTAGCACAAAACTGAAATAGTTAATCTTAGCATAATTCTTGATTTCTGAGACATCATACAATTCTGGAAAAGGAAAAGTTGGATAACGAAATATTTTAGATACACTTAAGGACCATTAGTCAACACATACATTTGCTTCTGATACAATACCTGGTGACGTCTCACAGTGCTTTTCAATTTCAGTGTGTGTCCCAATCAAATTATCATCTTCTATTGTATTTAAATAAAATAATGCAGAAAAAGAAAATATTTTCAAGAAACAAGGAGAATCAGAAACTTAAATCCACACAGCGTTGAAAAATCATGGCAAAGAAAGAGAACTTTTTAGGTAGATTTTAAAAATCTTTGTTGTATAAAATTCACATACAACCTGCCTTGCCTGTATTATCACTGTCACCTGCTTTTGGTTGTCCTATTGCCAGCAATGTCTCAAACCATAAACTAATATGTACCAATTCAATAGAAATTAAAGTTTCCATCACAAACACAAAACCTCCTGAATAATCTAAAGATAACTGGAAAAAAAAAAAAAAAACCTAAAGCGAAAATAAGGTTACCCAGACCACCTGCCTGCTTTCTAGTAGGTCCCAGTTAGGTTTTTTAGGACTAAAATATAGATTCTGTGGGAAAAAATTAAAACCACACAAACAAAAAATAAAAATGAAGTATTCATTAAACCAAAGGGCAAACTTATTAGACATATTCAGTTTATATAAAATTAAAAGATGGGAAAAATGCTGTGTTCACAAAGGTAATAAGATGGTGACATCATGTTTAGACATTTAGAAATCAAGCCATTTTATATTTCATTCTAGCCTATATTACTTATCGTCTTTTTACAATGGCCACACACTAGTTGCATTTCTCCTATGTGAGCCTTGACAAATCAACTGGAATTAAATCAGCTTAATTAGGGCTGTGGTTATCAAACTTAGCATGCATCAGAATCACCTGGAATGCCTATTAAACGACTGCTAGTTCCACTCCCAGGGTTTCTGATTTTAAAAGTCTGCATTTCTAAGAAGTACCCAGGTTATGCAGATGCTGCAGGTCCAAGGACCACACTTTGACTACTACTGAATTAGTGCTCGGTTAGTGAAAATCAGTGATTTGCATTATCAAGAATAAACCCATCACTACTTAAACCAGCAGCAATACGTACAGTTATAATTTTTATGAGAAGTTGTATGTCCTGCAACACAGCTGCTTTGTCTAAGTGGCTTTGTGCTTTATTATCCTAACAATGGGTGAAAAAGGTAGTAAGAATTTGTAGAAAAAACTGAGTAGAAATGATGACAAAAAAACTCTTGAGCAAAGTCTAGATGTAGTAAAATACTGAATTTGTTTGGTGAGGTTTAGGTTCATATAGCTATGCTTCATGGATCCTCAACCCCCAGGCCACAGTCTAGTACCCAGCTGCACAGAAGGAGGAGAATGTGAATGTGAATGTCATCTGTATTTAAAGTAAACCGCCCCCCACCCCATCACTCAAATTACAGCCTGAGCTCTGCCTCCAGTCAGATCAGCAGCGGCATTAGACTCTCATAGGAGCGAGAACCCTATTGTGAACTGTGCATGTGAGGGATCTAGGTTGCGCACTCTTATGAGAATCTAATGCCTGATGATCTGCCATTGTCTCCCATCACCCCCAGATGGGACTGACTAGTTGCAAGACAAAAAGCTCAGGGCTCACACTGATTCTACACTATGGTGAGTTATATAATTATTTCATTATATATTACAATGTAATAATAATAGAAATAAAGTGCACAATAAATGTAATGCACTTGAATCATCCTGAAACCATCCTCTTGACCCCAGTCCATGGAAAAATTGTCTTCCACAAAACCAGTCCCTGGTGCCAAAGGTTGGGGACCACTTCCCTAAGAGCTATTTTTAAGTCTTGAAATTCTTGTGGAAAAATATAATTCACTGCAAGCACAAATTGTTTTCTTTCATTCAATCATTTTCAAAACACTATTGTTTTTAAAACATAAACTTTCTTAGAAACGCAACTATCAGTTCACAGAAGGAAGAACTGCATTTTGTTTTGCCTTCAACTATTTATATTGATCAGCAATTTATAAATTTAACTCATTCTTAACGGTGCTAACCACAGTTAAAATTCTTCTATCCAGATAACATAGACTGTGAAACAGAAAAGCAAAGCATGGACAGTTTAATAAATTCCAGGTGTGTTTCCAGAAAAACAAAATTTATAATGTTAAATTCTTCATTAGCCCATTTAAAAATATATACATATTTAGCATACATATACTTTGTACACTACATTTCACATGTAATTGATGATAATCACTTACCTACTGTTGGAGTATTGGCAGCACTCAATGAAGCAGATGATGAGATAGAAGAAGAACTTTCTGCCCGGGCTAATGGTGCAGCAGGAGGTGGGCTGGTGTTGGAAGTTACAGGTGGGCTGAATGGCCTGGGCTTAAAAACAAAAAGTTATTTATCAAAATGCTAAAACAATACCTCTCTTGTTAGAGAAGATTTTTAAGTATGAGGTAAATTTAACATACCAAACCAAATTTACTGTGTGAGTTTCTTGTAACTTAGTATCAGAGATGCCATATATCATATCATTTTTAAGAACATACTAAAGCCTGAAAAGATTATTTTGAAATAATGCTGTAAAAAAGGTCTTTGTGCATAAAAATTTTTCTGTATTTAAAAAAGTATGTTTAAGACAGATTCTCAGAAGTTAAATTAGTTTAAACAGTATAAACGTTCTTCCCAAACTGCTTCCCAAAAGGGTTATTCACTTTACCTGACTATAAATATAAGAAAATTATTTCTCTACACCCTTGCCAGAAACAAATGGATGAGTCACAGAAGAAGAAAAAGGGATTAAAAATTTTTTCTAGCTAATTTAGAAAATAATAAAACCTTCACTTTTATGAATGGGTTGATGTAATTTGGGGAGGTTTTAGTATTATCTGAGCTTTCACTAAGCCTTTGCCTTATTTTCTTGCAAATATTTTCCTCCTTAAATATTGCTTGTCCTTTACACTTTTGGTGTTTACAAATCTGTTCACATTTTCCTCAGTAATTCCTTGTAATGCTTCCTCACTCAGAAAACTCACTCCATACAAAGGTTTGAGCGACTCAATTCTGTTGTCTTCCCAATTTTCTAATTAAACATAAAACAAATATAAAAAATATAACTCCAATTCATTTATCTTTTACTTTGGTGAACAGATTCTTTTCCTTCCAAATTCCTAACTGTACCAATAATTCAGTAGCAACACTTCCTGAGGTGTTTTGCTTTCTTAAAAAATAGGCGTATTTGTCTTCATTTAAAAAAAAACAAAAACCTTTTCCTGCTTATAAAAGTATTAGGCAAATATATATTTATTTAGTGTCTACTATGTGTCTGACCCTGGATTAGGTACTAGATACAAAGCTGTGAACAAGAAAGATAACTGTCCTCAGTTATTTGAGGAACATGAAAAAAAGGCAAAAACAAAACCCTACTTGCATTCATACACTAGTCAATTCTTCATTGCATGAATATAAACTTAGAGATACACATTTTAATAAAACTGTCATTTTACTGCAAAAAGTGTTTTACAATTTGTAACCCCCTACCCATTTAACTATTTTTTCCAGAGTACAGCTTTTTGATGACTCATTATGATGGACAATAGGTTGAAAAAACTCAGCAGGATGCTAAAAATGCAGCTGTGTATATACGCAGACCAAGGTGGTGCAGGACATTGGGGTGAACAGATACTGATCAACAGCTAGTCTGAAACTTACAAGCTTGGAAAAAGTCTTGAGATCAACTACTGTGGGACATTTCTCCTATGGCAACATAACCTCTAGGCCAACATAATGTGACTGCCTTTTTAATTTTTTTTAGGAAAAGGCAAAAACAGCTCTTTTCTCAAGTGGTTTTCTCTAATTTTAGAATTATGCTATCTACTACAGTGGCCAATAGCACGTGAAATGTGACTAGTCCAAATTGAGATGTGCTACAACATACAGAGCAAATTTTGAAGACACAGCATACACACAAAAGGAATGTAAAATCTCATTAATTTTCATATTGAATGTGTTAAAATAATATTTTTATATAGCAGATAAAATATATTACAATGAATTCCATTGTTTTTCTATGTGGCTACTAGAAAACTTTAAATTATATGTTGCTTATATTATATTTCTATTGGACGGCATTGCTTTAAAACAATGTTTCTGAAACATTAGCAGGCATCAGAATCGCATGGAGGGCTTGTTAATAATACACAGTTGCTTGGCCCCTCCCCTGAATTTCCAATTTGCCTGGGGTGAAGCCAGAGAAACTATTTCTACCAAATTCCCTGGTGATGCTAATGCTACTGATCTGGTACTGCACGTTGGGTGCCCCTGCTCTAGAACAATGAGTGGTTCTTTCAGTGGGTAGGGAGGATGTGGTTATAGACTCCTTTGAGCATCTGGTGAAAGCTATGAGCTCTCTCCAGAAAAATGCACATATGAGCATGCAAAAAAAAAAAAAAAAAAAGAAAAGGCACTCCAATGTACAGCTGGAGAAAATTTAAATCAACATACTCTCTCTGGTGGGTGATACAGAAATAATCATCAAGAGTCTTAAAAATGTACATACAGTTTAGTTCATAAATTGCACTTTTAAAATTTTTTATTAAAAAAGAATGCTAAGAAACCATAAGGACAGTCATTAAGACATTGTTTATAATAACAAAAACATGGAACTAAATGTCAAATAAATTTCTGAAAACATTTAGAAATTTAATTCTGACAACGGTGTAGAAGACAGAGCACTCATATTGAAATACTCTGTAGCCACTTAAAATAGTGCTCCCTGAAGCTCAGAGGGTGGTTTCTAGAAGGCTCTCAAGGATGGGGAGAGGGTAGTGTATGGTGATATGGGGATGATGTGAAGGATTCAACTATGAGTCCCACTTTATTTTAATATATTAATACTTACAATTTAAAGTTATTTGGCAAAAGATTCTATCACTTTAAAGAAGCTTGAAGACTATGAAATAAGAATAATTCATTCAGCAACATGGATAGAACTGGAGGCCATTATCCTGAGTGAAATAACTCAGAAACAGAAAGTCAAATACCTCATGTTCTCACTTATAAGTGGGAGCTAAACAAAGGTTACACATGGACATATACAGTGGAATAACAGAGAGTGAAGACTACAAAAGGTGGGAGGATGGGAAAAGGGTAAGGGTAGAAAAATTACCTGTTGGGTACAATATTCACTACTCAGTTAATGGGTACACCAAAAGCCCAGATTCTGCCGGTATGCAATATATACATGTAAGAAATCTGCACTTGTATCCCCTAATTCTATAAATAAAATTATAATCAAAGAATAATTCATGATATAGAAAGATATTTGCAAGTAGAAAACAAATTAGAAATATGTAAAGTATGACTTTTTATTTAAAAATATGCCTATACAATTAATAATTTTTGAGCAACTATTTGCATTCAACAATATTCTGTTTTACATGTATTAACTCATTTAAGTCTCACAACCTAATATCATTACACATATTTTATCCATGAGGCAACTAAACTCTGATTAAATAACTGTTTAATGTTGCTCAGCTAATACGTGGCTAATAAGCTTGTACTTTTAACTATATTTTACTGCCTCTGGATAAACACTTATGCATTCCAAAAAATGTTAACAGTGGTTATCTTTGGGTGGTGAAATACAGAGGAAATTTATAATTTTCCTTCTCTGCTTTCTCTGTTTTCCAAATTTTATAACACGATCATTTACTGTTTTTACAATCAGGAAAAAAAAATCAATTTATTAGAATGTACTCAAAGTTCTAGTCATAACGATTTAAAAAAGAGAATGAAGTATTTTAAAATGTAGTAATTTCTATATTACTTAAATAATAACCTTCTCCTTGGCAGCTTGTACCTAGTCTTTTATTTTACTTCCACTAAGTCTGTTCATTCGGAAAAGAAAGATATCACCATTTCAATACTTGGTGCCGAAGCTTTTCAATATATTCACTGAAGATTTCATAACTGTGTACCACCCAACAGGCATCATGCAAAGTACTGAGGATATGAGACTGACGAAGGAATAGCCCAGTAAAGGTAACACACACAAAAAAAGTACATACAAGGTGATATATGAACTAACAAAAATATAAGCAAAGTATCTGGGTATAAGGAAGATAAGTGAAGGAATGATCAAAGAGGGTTTTGCCTAGGTGGTGATGTTTAGCTAGGTCTTAAAGAAAGAAGTCAATTTGTGACATAGAAAACTGAGGGGCATTTGAGATACAGCACAGGAAGAAGACATGGACATGTAAAAGACCATGATGTGTTTAAGGAACCCTGAAAAGTTTCAAGTGGCTGGAACCTAGGTTGAAAAGGGGAGAAAGATGGACAGTTAGTCTGGTAATGTAGGTTGTTGAGGCAGCTTTATAAAGACTCTTGTACATTCAGCTAAAACAGTCAACCACACAGACTGAGAAACCACTGGAAATGTGTATCAAGGGAAAAAAGATTAAACTGGACTTAGAAATTTAATTCTGGTAATTAAACTGGCAATTAGTGTAGAAGATGAAGCAAAACAAACCAGATCAAAGGCAAATAGACTGGGAGAGCCTCACTGCATAGAGTCTATAGATTTTCTCTATCTGATGACTTTTAAAAACCAATGCTTTTCCCACCCATGCATGTACTTTTATAAGTCAACTGGATGATGTGGACTCCAGTTTCCTTATGTGTAAAATTTTAAATGCTGAGCTAGATGCCTTCCATAATCCTCCTTGCAGTATACTTTTAAGGTCTAAGAACAAGCCACCATTTATTTCCTTAACATTTGACTTTAAGTAGAATTATATGAAAACCGCTTCTTTATTGTGAGACAATGGATACTGAATGGTATTTTTATAATGTGCCAACTTTCTCAGGAAATCTCTTTCCTCCTGGACAATGTCGTGTCTCACAGGTATGATCACTGTGGTAACAAGGAAGAGTAAAGGAAGCACTAGCTGGGAAAATTTTTCTATACTGTGAGGACATGGGTAGAAAACTTCAAGCAATTAACTGTAAAAGGGCATATAGAAAAATAGCATTTGCATCTTAAATCAAAACAGTTAAATAATTTTTAAAAAACCTGAGTACATACTATTTCATTAATCCCACTGAGTTTGCCTGAAGTAAGCTTTGGTCTGGAAGCAGGCCTCGGAGGTGGGACAATGGTGCCTACAGAAAGAGGAGTTGTGGGCCTGGCTGGTTGAGGGGGAAAAGAGAATTTGAAGAAAATCATTAGTATGTAGCAATCCTTACATAAAGACATTCTATTATAAAGAAACTTTTGGTAATCAAAGCTCATTTTTCAGGAGGCTCTTTTTTTAGATGTAATTATAGATGTTGAAATATTGGGAATCTATCAAATATGCTTTATTTTGAAGTGACCAGTAATATTCCTGAAAAAAAGTTAACCTTTCAATAACTGACACATATAAATTTTATTCCTGTTTCATTATCTATACATATAAAAATTAAATCTGATACATTAGCTGATGAGAACAAATCAATTTAAGGCCAAAGGTCATTTGTTTATTGCCAATACATCTATTTTACAGATAGTAATTCGAGACCAAGCCTTTGAAGCTGTACCTCCAGAATAATATTGTAAACTCTAAATAAAATACTTACCTTAATTAAAATTGTTAAATTTGCCTTTTAAGTTGAACCACATTGTAACATTTTGGGGGGTACATTATTTGAGATAATCAGATATTCTATTAGTTTACTAAAAAAAATTCCCCAAATCATTACAATTAACTTTGGTAAGTGTTCAAAATAATATCTTAACTTGTTCCTAAGTCCTATATAAATTTAGTGTTGAGTTTTTCAATGCCATTTGCTAATTTTACAAATCAGAAATATCAGTATTCTTAATCTCATCACAATGTAAATTACTGGATAAATGTCATGTATACATCATCAAAAGTCACAAATGTATTAGCATAATCAAAGAAGGAGTAAAAAAAATGGAAGTAAATAGGTTTAAACCCTCTTTAAAATCATGTTTAATAATCATTAATAAATTAACTTAAATGATTTTCAAAGCCCTTTGGCTCACACTAAAATACAGGCTATAATTCAGAGACTGAAAAATATAATGGGTGGGAAGAAACATATTCAGCATGTTTTCAAAGTTTAGAGATGTACAAAATTAAAAATATATAAGTGGGCCTAAGTATACACACGGGGAAATAAACTGCAAAGCTAAAGGCCTTTAATCATCAATGGAGGAATCAAGGAGGCATGAAAGGAAGGTGCATAGAGGTAGTAGGAAGAGACCTAAAGAAAAAGGTAGTCACACGGATTGAAAGTTGTACATGCATGGGACGTAGGGAATCACTTAGAAAGCATACCATAATAAGAGATAAAAGATGCAAACGCTGTTCAGGTTGCTTAAGGAAAACAAAAAAGCTAGTAAATCAAGCTTAGATTCTGAGGCCACTGTCTTTTTCCAGTCAGTACCAGTTCTTTCATGCTGCACTCACACTTGAAGCTGTACCCTGGAAGAAATGTGCACCAAAATCTGAAGCCCATAACACTTCCCTGTGTATTACATATCTACTTTAAAGATATGTTCATCATCAATGAAACTAGCACTAGCCTATGTTATTTCAAACTTGTGAGAGAGTTTACACAGCAGAGGCATTTATTACTGATCAAGTGGTCTGTCCAAATGGCATTTAGATTGACTCAAACCAAGCCTGGTAGAAGTATTAAGTTCAGTTCAAAATTTGCTTTTCGAGAAAAGCTAGTAACAATACTTATTAACACCACTGTTTATAAATGAATCTATATTATATCTGCATAGGTCAATTAGGCACTGCTTCTAGAAGCTTCTGAAGGAGATAACTGCAATTGTTTACTTTCTTCAGTGTCCTGTGTTTTATTTTTTGCTGGTGGTGGGGTGGAGATCAGTGCTACAAATTTCTATTAGAAGCAGTGTTTCAAGAAATATAAATTGACCTGTGAAGTATAAAAAAACATAGGCGATAAGGGCTACTCTATATCTGCCCTCAGACATTAACTAAAGCAAATAGACAAAGCATGCTTGTCATACCATTCTTTATCTGAACAAAAGTGGAAACTAATCTAGAATCTAGAAGCAATAATGATGATGTAGAAGAAATAGCAGCAGCACTGTTAGCTGCTTCTGCAGGTACATTTTCAAAACATCTAATATTAGGCAAAGGTCACTGTGATCCTCAGAGATGCAGCTGTCGGAAGAAATCCCATCCAAAGCATTAGGAAACCTAAAAGTATTTTCAGCTTTACAATGCAATCTCTGGAATGCCTTCTGAGCAACACTGGAGCTATTAATTGTAACAAGTTCATCAGTAAAGAAAATCCACTGACTTTGTAGCCATGAAGCAAAAGGAACTTTATCTGTGCTCTCGAGTGGTGCTGTTACAGCAGAATAAAGTAGAGATTTGGGGGACAAGTCTGGTGATGGACTTTCTAGACTCAGAATCTGACTGGGTTTCAAGTAAATTTTCAATTATCACACACCCAGGCAAATCAGTGAGAAAGGAACTGAAGTTCCTACTCTGCTCTACAAGTTCAGATGAAGAAGAAGAAAATAAAAAACTACAAGCAAAAGGAAAATTCTAGAATTAAACATAAATCCATATAACCAAATAGTTACCTTGTTTTAATTATTTGAAACTAGAAAATTTAATAACAATACACGGAAGAAGAGCATAAGTTCAAACTATATTAACTGAAGAAGTATGTACATTAGAAACTTAAAATGCATATGAAAAACTGAAGGTCCAAAATTATACAAAGTCAGAGTTATTCCTGTTTTCCCAGAGGAGCAAAGGTAACTATTTATAGTCAGTACAAGATCTAAAAAGATTCGACAAGGTGGCAAAGCAACAATGCTGTGTATGTGTGGTACTCAACAAAGTTCATCATTGTCCAGTGATAAAACTGCCCCCAGGAAGTACATCGGACTACATCAGGGTTCGAGTTAATATTTAAAAACAGCCCAATATTTTTCAAAAAATCATTTTAAGCGGTTTTTTTTTTTTTTGTGAGCACAAGAGTTCAATTAATTCATAGGCAGAGAAAGTAATCTACATTGGCACTTAACAAAGGGGAGGTAGGCGTAAGATATTTATGTTAAATTTTTAAAAATACACATATCGATGTTTATATATATTCATATCTGACATAAACATGAATGCTTATTTATAGTCTACATGGTATAAGATGCAACTGAAACTACTTTTCAGCCAAGCCCTAATCAACATTTTAAAACATGTAACAACACTGGGATTCTTAACTATCAGTTATTAACTGATTGATTGAAATTATTTTTTAGCCTGCTTTAAGATGAGGTCAGTGATGAATTAAGATTATGAAAGACACACAGGAGAGCACTGAATGATCTCACAACCTGGACCTTGCTAAAATGTTAAAATGGGTACCTGGGTAGAGGATGTTAAGATGGGAGAGAAGTGCATTGCAAAGAATGGGGGACAAAGTTTAAGACTGGTTGTAACTAGCGAGTACCAAGAAAACAATAAAAATAAGTGAAATAAAAATTTAAGATAAAATGCCTATTTCGTAACTTCACTTAGGGCCAGTTCTGTAAAACAGGAGAATCGCAATTATGAATTAATTAGTTTGATCAATTATATTCTGTTCAAGTGAAGACTTAATAGTAACTACTATATAACAAGATAACTATCTCTTTTGAGCATCATTAACTTTTTTTTTGAAAGGCAAAATTTATAACATTACTTTTCATACTATATAGGAAGATTTAAAAATGCATACTGAAGTGAATTTTAAAACCAGCAAGAAGTTAATAAATATTGTATCATTTCCTAATGGCCAAACATCAATGACCACTAAATGAAAACGAACCATTTTTTACCTGAAGTGATGGTGATATGAGCCAAACACTCTTTAGACAGGGAGCAAAAGGAAGAAAGAGTACTTTTATAAAATGAAAGAGACTGTACTAGAGAAAATATCAAGAAACAATGAGCAGAATTATAAAGAAATTTCTATATAAATAAAACCTCTGTGATACCAATTTGAAAACTTTTATTAAAGACTTTAATAATTCATAAGGGGATATTAACAAAATTCGAAAATACTGCTGAGAACTCCTCATTCTAAATACAAAATGCCATTCTGACATTTTTACTAAACAAAAGAGAGATCTGGCAACAACATCAGATTTTCCTGTACAATTACTTTCTTCATATAATATATATATGGTTAATTTTATAATACTAAATAGTAACAAATGCTCAATGAGAAAGGCTATAAAGCCACTTCAGATTATGTTCAACTATCTATTGACTGTTTCTTGCTGTTTTACAAGTATTAAGTACAGATTACCTTCCCTTCAAAAGGTCAAATAGCGTTTAGTGTTTAGGGTTAAGGTTTCTTATAATCCACTTATAGTATCTTTTAAAAATATTTTGTTGCTAAACGGTCTAATTTTAAAAACCAATATTTAATTTTTAATAGTAAGATATTTCAACATGGCTTTTTTGTTGTTGCTGTTAATCTGCCAAAGTGTGACAGATAGAACAATGGCTTTAGAATAAGTAAGAGCCAGGTTTGAAACCTGTCTTCATCATTTACTAGCTATATAATCTTGGAGAAGTTACTTATTATCTCTGAGCTTTACTTTTTTCATCTATAAAACAGGGACAATAAAAACAACTTCATGCTGCTGTTAATGTGGTGAAATTAAATAGAATGTGTGGCACTCCTAACAAAGTTACCTAGCATGAACTAGACAGATTTAAGTTCTTCCCGCATGATTCCAGCGCTTCCTTAACCCCAAATACTGGATGGCAATTCTGAAGTCCCAGAGAAGAGGGTAGAAGATCAACTAAAATTGATTTTATTTTCTTGTTTTGAACAAGCAGTGGTTTTATTAAACATACATTTTTGGTGCCTGCTTTTTGACTAATGAAAAGAGAAACTTCATATATTATTGCCAAAACAACTAAAAAACATTTATCAACTTCTTTTGTAAACTGCTTGGGAAGTGTTAAAGCCTTTCTAGAAAGCAGTTTGGCAATAAGTATCATGGACATCATCTTGTAAGCCATAAATTTTAAATTGATAAATTACTACAAGCATATTATGAGACATATGCACAAAATTTGTTATTTCTATGGATGTTCATAATACTAGAAAATTAGATGCAACTTAAACTTCCAACAAGAAAGAACTGGTTACATTGATATATATTTTGTATTTGAATTATCTATAAACACTAAGAATTATTATTTGGATAATGATATGAAATGCCTAGAAATAACATGCCAATTTAAAAAACCACTTAGTATTTTACCAATTTTTATTGTTTAAGTCATAGAGTATCTAAGAGAACAAAACCAGAATAAAATCACTTTTATTTGGCAATACAGAGGACAAATTTTTAGAAATTTTGATCATTAAGTACAATGCACAAAAAGTGAATGAGAAAAAGCAACTAAAGTATTCTTTATTTAAAAAAATACATATATACATATATATATTTACCTGATGATGATGAAGTTAGTGAAGATGAAGAAGATGAATCAAGAGATGGTCCAAATAGGGGGTCCCAAGCAAGTAAATCACTGGTTCCTTTTCTACCATAATATTTTTAAAAGCAAAAATTTTAACGAGAATATTTTATTAGTATAAAATTTCTAGTCACTTATTTTTATTTCATAGAATTCTAACAGCTCAATATACATAATTAAAAAGTTAGGGCCAGGCACCATGGCTCACACCTGTAATCCCAACACTTCTGGAGGCTCAGGCAGGAGGATCACTTGAGACTAGGAGTTCAAGATCAAGCCTAGGCAACATAGCAAGACCCAATATACACAAAAAAATTTTTTTAAATTAGCCTGGCTTGGTGGTGCATGCCTGTAGTCCTAGCTATCCAGGAGGCTAAGGAAGATCACTTGAGCCCAGGAGTTCTGTGCTGCAGTGAGCTATGATTGCACCACTGTACTCCAGCCTGGGTAACAGAGCAAGACCCCGTCCGTAAAAAAAATAATTTTTTTTAATTTAAAAGTTGGATACTCTATCAGTAGTATATGTGTAGAAATTAATTAACAGATTTAACAGCCAATATTTGTTAGAAGCGTAACCTAAGATAACATGTGAAGTTAGCAGAGGAGAATGGGGAAGATTAATTCCCATTCATCATGCCTTGTTAGATTCAACCACCTTGGGGGCTATCATAATGGGAATAATAATTTCAGCTTTACAAATAAAAAAGAGCAGCACACGTCTAAATGAACTGCCCAAAGACATACAGCTACTTGATTCTAAAACAGGCTCACATCTGCTGGTTCACACATAGCACCCAATCCTGAAAAGAAAATTTAAGTGGTATAAAATTGGGTTAAAATTTTATAAGGCCATACTTATTTTCAAAGATGAAGAAAAAGGGTAAAGTGATTTTTTTAAGCCCTTAAGTACAGAAAGGTGGCTTACATATTTTAATGCATCAAACTGCCATTATTTTAAAAAATTTTAGGAAATCTTACACACACAAAAAAACAGGCCCTCTATAATGAAAGTGCTGTAATTACATAAGAGTACATATCCAGCATCTCAACATGCACCTACATGAAAGCACACTATACCTCGTATGATAAAGCCTAGCATTGCAACTGTATGACTCCTAAAAACAGTTTTAAAACACTCAACAACTTATCTTTAAAAAAATGATACATCCAATAAATACCACCACTATGCTCAATTAGTACCTCAAAAGTATCAAATAATTGTAAACTACCTATTTAACTAAGCCTACTTTTACTTGTATTTTACATTAACTCTGGCCAGGCTTGATGGCTCATGCCTGTAATCACAGTACTTTGAGAGGCTCAGGAGTCTGAGTCCAGGAGTTCGAGACCAGCCTGGGAAATATAGCAAGACCCAGTATCTACCAAAAAAAAAAAATTTTGAAAAAAATTAGCTGGGAGACAGGGGCGGGAGGATCATTTGAGCCTGGGACGTTGAGGCTGCAGAGAGCCATGATCACGCCACTGCACTCCAGCCTGAGAGACAGAGTAAGACCCTGTCTCAAAACAGACAAGCAAAAAACCATTAACTCAAAGAGAGTATTCTTAACTGATAGACACAGAAGTAAAAAGAGACCCATGAAACATTGGCTTAACATTTTTTTTTTTAAGAAGAGCTGGCAACATGCCTTCTAGCCTCTCTCTCCCTTTCCAACTTGACACACTTCTTTTTTTGAAGCTTACGAAGTATATTATTTTATAACGTCACAGTCAAAACTGAAGGAAGAAATGAGAAAATTCCCATGAGAATAACCAGCTGAAATACAGATATGTATGAATTTAGGGTTTCATCATTTATTTAGAAGTAGTGAGGCTACCAAGGCCAACTGTGGTTAAATAGATTTTTTTTATTGTAAAAGGACATATTACCAAGCGAGAAATAATTTTAAACTTCTAAAAACTCCAACATTGCATTTGACAGCTCAGAAAACAGGATGATTAACAGAACTTTACTGGAATTAAAACTATAGAGCTAATAAAACTCTAGAAAAAAAGACAAAAGGATACTTAAAATGTAAGTGTGTGGAAGAAGGGATGAGAAGGTGGAGCACAGAAGATTTTCAGGGCAGCAAAAATACTCTGTATGATACTATAATGACGAATACATGTCCTTACACATTTGTCCAACACCAAGAATGAACCCTAATGTAAACTGTGGACTTTAGGTGATTATGATGTGTCAATGCAGGTTCACTGATTCTAACAAATGTACCACTCTGGTGAGAGAATTTGACTGTGAGAGAGACTGGGCATATGAAGGGGCAGGGAGCATAAAGGGAAATCTCTGTGCTTTCCATTCAATTTTGCCATAAATCAAACACTGCTCTAAAAAATAAAGTCTATTTTTTAACAAAATTAAACATGGAAACTTACTCATTGGGTGGAGCAGATGGCTTTGATTTTGTTAACTCCTCATCTAATTAAAAAATTAAAATATGAAAACTTCATAATCTGAGAAATAAAATATTTTAATGAAAAACAGAAACTCTATACACATATCTCAACACTATAACAATTAAAAATTTTGGAATTGATAATGTAAATACAAACAATATTTTAACAAGTTTTCTATTGTGTACATTAAAATAACTGAAATTACAAAACCCTGGTTCCTTCTAATATCTTTAGTAAGAAATGACTTAAGTCAATTAAACTATGATATTCATTAAAATTGCTGTTTAGAAAAGAGAAACTATGGGTTGCAACTTTAAAAATTAGAAAAATGTTTAAATACATAAATTCTAGTTAAGAATTTTAACTGATGAATCATGAATGCATTTTTCAAGTTCTAAGAATATTATTAGTGATTATTGTATTGACAAAAAGTAGTTATTAACTCTTGAGGATGTCATATTTTGAAAAATTAAGAATCTTACAGCAACCTGGAGCAAGTCTCTTTATAAGATAGTTTGTTTTGCTACCTTTTGGATTTGTAATGTGCCTCATTTCACAAGCAAGTGGTAAACAGGGGAATAGCATCATTAATGAAAAACTCATGTTGGTGCATAAGCAATTTTTGCTGCACCTTCATGTTTTCTTTGCATCACCAAGCAATACCTGATGAATGCAAAGTACATCAATATGAGTAACTTCCACAAACTATGGAGGAGTATCACAGTACATGATAACCATTCACTCTACATTCTTCACTTGGCTCAGTTTGGTTGGTTGTTTTGCCTCAGTGTTTATTGTGCTATTCTTCAATATTTCTGCATTTTGCTCTCATCTCCACAACTCAGCACCCTGCATTTATCCTCATTTTCCTCACACCCCCTATCATTAAGCTACAATCAACATTTCTTTAAAGATAAAATCCTTACTTTTATTTTGGTATTTATTATTCATTTACTAGGTCTCTTAAACTCTGTTAGAATTTTTAATAAAACTGATGTTAAAGTTTCTGTTAAGTCTTCTGTTAACAAAATTACATAGCTTTTGAGTGGGCTGCTTCAACTGTTTTTCCCACAACCCTTGTTATTTTTAATGCATGATTCTGCAAAAGGTATTAGCACCTTAGAAAAGTTTTTAGTATAATTTTTAGTATAATTAAATTATAATAGAATTTGTAATTGTGACACAACTTAAAAATAGGTAAAATTCAATATTACTCATCTTATAAACGCTTTCTGGTTAATAAGACAGAGAATGCCAGTGAAACCGTTTAACATTCTGAATCAGAAGTTACTTTTTGGCTTTGGTGATTTCTGAAAAATGTTGTAGCCATGTATTGAAGTTTAAAGCATGTCTCTCAGCTCTACAGGAAATAATATAGATACGCTGTTTTCTATTTAAAATAATTATCCTTCTAGCCACGCAGTAGGGCTCATGATGAGAAAAGATCATTTATTTCTACAGCTAAAGGTAAAAGACTAACAAATTGCCTTATAAATTTTAATAGACATAAAATAAACAATTCAAATGTCAAACTTACTAGACAAATTCCGATTCATCTGTACCTAAAACAGAGATGCAAAATAGGTACCATAAAACAAATGAATTTGATAATTAAATATTTGGTAAAATGTTAATACTGGGAACCTAATTTTATGTTGTTTTTAGTATATCTGCTCAATTGTAAAGTGTATTTACATAAAAGATATAGAGAAAAAACAGTAGTTTTTGTTTTACAGCAAAAAATAATACATGTAGTTTTAACACCTAATGTTTTTAAAATATTAAAGCAACATCTACAACAAAACACTAAAACTTGCTAATCTAAAAATTTAATACAAATATTTTGAAAGTCAATCTTCCAAAATTACAATGATTTTAAAAGTCAATGGGCAAAAATATAAAATCTTGTACTTACTGGACTGTGTCTCTAGTAGTACATGGAAGAAAAAGAAAATTAGGTTAGAATTCTGAATACTGTATTTTTGTGCTGTAATAATTTATCATTCCCTATTCAATCATATCTAAACTATATACACCTTAAAACACATACACTGTCAGGTGGGAAAAAGTTAAGCAAATGAGGCAGCAAAATATATTCAGATATAATCTTTTCTTATCCAATATTAACTATAAAATTGTTCTGATTATTATTTTCATAGTATGAAATTAATACATGTTCATTGTTTTTTAAAAACAAACTGAAAAGAGAAGAGTACAAAAGAGAAAATTTAAAACTATTCACAATCTCACTACCCATATATTCCTCTAGGCTTTTGTTTTATATATTTAACATACATATTTTATATTAGTTATGCTCTTACATAACACACATTTTTAATGGTTTACAACCTCATACTTCGTATATATTCACCACCTTTTTTTTTTTTTTTTGAGACGAAGTCTCGCTCTGTCACCCAGGCTGGAGTGCAGTGGTGCAATCTCGGCTCACTTCAACCTCCGCCTCATGGTTTTCAAGCAATTCTCCTGCCTCAGCCTCCTGAGTAGCTAGGACCAAAGGCGCATGCCACCACGACCGGCTAATTTTTTGTATTTTTTCAAGAGACGGGGTTTCACTGTGTTAGCCAGGATGGTCTCCATCTCCTGACCTTGTGATCCACCCGCCTCGGCCTCCCAAAGTGCTGGGATTACAGGCGTGAGCCACCATGCCCGGCCCTATATTCACCAACTTTTAAGCAACTCTGTACTTCAACATTAATCTTAACGTTAAATAGTAATGGTACAATAAAACCTCATTTCAGAAATATTTTTGGTAGGAAGAAAATAGTTCTGAAACTAAATTCTGAAGTACATGACTGGGAGAAAACCACCTTTTTTTCCAAACAAATACATGTAACTACATAAAATATGTAATTAGACAACAATATGAAACGGTGAGAACCTTTATTCTTCATTATCAAGAAGAACAGACTTAATGTCAATCATGATGATCACATATAGATATACTTAACTTATCCTAAGAATTGCTTTTTTCACATAGTGTAACATTTTTAAGTTTAAAATTGACATCAATGAGGAAAAAATTTACTGGGATAATGTTTTATTTCTCCCTCAAATCCTATTAAATACGGTATTTTAGAATTGAGGAATTAACTATTACCACTAAGAACTCTTATCTGTGCCTTTCCTTGTATGAAAAGTATGGGAAAATAAATGTTACAGTGACAGACTAAAAAAAATGCAAATATATAATTTAATCTTTAAATTCATTTTTATAAAATTCCCTCCTACATAAGGCTCACAAAACATAGAAGAAACACTTCAAAATTAGATGAGGCAAAAATTAATACTGCCAATTCAAAGAATTCTGCCAGAGACACACAGCACTGTTTATGAAATGCAACAAATGGCAGAAATAGTAAATTTTTGACATTTTCACTTTCTACTTTCAAAAGCAAAATTAAGCCAAATTCACAAGTTTATTTCCCTGTATAAAAATTATAAACTAAGTATTTCCTCAGTCAACATGCTTAACAATTGCTAAGTAATGTTTGACCAGACACAGGTAGGTAAGAAAAATAAAGACTTTTATATAAAGAGTACAAACGTGTTTGTACTTACAGATATTGCTGGGGAGAGTGTTATATTCCCTATAGATACTTTTAATTCATCCAAAGAAGCCATTGTGTGATGTGAGTTATTTGGATGCATAGGCTTAATTTCTATCCGATACTTCTTTGGTTCTTCATCTTCGGAGTCAGAATCACTAGATGAGTAGAAATGGTTCTCTTTGGTATGTGAGTTTCAGTTAAAGAATTGTTTTTAAATTACCTTAGACGTATAACCAGTTTTTCACACATTTATTTTAAAAAAGGAATGAAACCTTTAAGAGTTACACAGACTTTGGGCCGGGTGCGACGGCTCACGCCTGTAATCCCAGGACTTTGGGAGGCTAAGGCAGGTGGATCACGAGGTCAGGAGATCAAGACCATCCTGGCTAACACGGTGAAACTTTGTCTCTACTAAAAATACAAAAAATTAGCTCGGCATGGTGGCATGCACCTGTGGTCCCAGACAATCGGGAGGCTGAGGCATGAGAATCACTTTCACCCAGGAGTAGGAGGCTGCAGTGAGCCGAGATCGCACCACTGCACTCCAGCCTGCGTGACAGAGTGAGACTTCATCTCAAAAAAACCAAAGAGAAAAACAGACCTTAACAGAAATAAGACTACTAACTTTTATTAATAAAAATATGTCAAGGCCAGTCGGGTTAGCTCACACCTGTAATCCCAGCACTTTGGGAGGCCAACGCAGGTGGTTCACTTGAGGTCAGGAGTTCTTCACCAGCCTGGCTGGCCAACATAATGAAACCCTGTCTCTACTAAAAATACAAAAATTAGCCAGGCATGGTGCGCATGCCTGTAATCCAAGCTACTTGGGGGACTGAGGCAGAAGAATCGCTGAAACCCGGGAGGCAGAGGCTGCAGTGAGCTGAGATTGTGCCACTGCACTCCTGCCCGGGCAAGAGAGCGAGACTCTGTCTCAAAAAAAACCCAAAAAAAACAAAAAACAACAACAACAAAAAACATGTCAAATGACAAACAAGGAACCATATTTTATAATTAATAAAAAATTGGAAGAGGCTTTAATACATGATTTTCTTATAACTGCCTACTTATATGCCAACATAATCCTTAAGAATACTAGATGATGAAAGGATATCATTCTGATTTGTTTCTGGTTTAATACTGTAGCCTTCTTCATCTACATCAGGAATGTTCTAAGGGAAAAAGAAAAAAAAATTATAATGACAACTCCAATGTACAAAATTATTAGAGATTATCAAAGTAGCCTCAGGTATTACTTAGGAACCAAACCGCTTCTCAGATATCAACAGGTTAATGAAATGATGAACACCGAAGAAAAATTACACCTTTTTAGTTAATTAGCTTCAAATCACACTCCATGCTCTGGCTACCTGAAAGAGGAAAGACCTGCAAAATGAAACAGGAGAAACACAACTCATAATTTCAGGGCAAGAAATCACTGAGGTGGGGACCAATTCAGATTGCTCAAAATCTACAGTTTCTGTTATAAATGAGGAAGAATAAGTTAGTTTAAAAAGTACATGTGATTTGAAAGCTATTATCAAGCTAAATATTCTTATTGCTATAAGCTGTATGGAAATATAAGATCTAGCACCTCCTTATGCAGTTTAAGTCTGGGTGAACTAGTAAAACTATCTAAGACAAACCATCAATGTCTGCCAACATGCCATAAAGAGTGACAACCAGACACCATGTGTGTCATGAGAGAGGCAGCCCTGACAAAATAAAACAAGACCAAAAAAAACTTGAACCTGGATCTGATCAAGCCTCTAGATCCAAATGCCAATTTAAATAATATAAAGAAGTAAAACATAATACAGTATGGCAATATAATCGGCAAAATCCAGACTAAAGGAAACTATAAAACAAACCACTTAGTCTTGCCAATAAAAACACAGAAAGCGGGCCCGGTGCAGTGGCTCACGCCTGTAGTTCCAGCACTTTTGGAGGCTGAAGCGGGTGGATCATGAGGTCAAGAGATCAAGATCATCCTGGCCAAAATGGTGAAACTCCATCTCTACTAAAAATACAAAAATTAGCTGGGCATGGTGGTGCATGCTTGTAATCCCAGTTACTCTGGAGGCTGAGGCTGGAGAATTGCTTGAACCCAGGAGGCAGAGGTTGCAGTCAGCCGAGATCACGCCACTGCACTCCAGCCTGGCAAAAGAGCGAGCTCTGTCAAAATAAATAAATAAATAAATAAATAAATAAATAAATAAATAAATAGCAGAAAGCTAAACAGAGAGGGAGGGAGGGAAGGGGAACCTGTAGATCAAGAGAGACTTAAGACATATCAACAAATTCAAACAAAGCATAATAAAATGGACATCAAAGATGATAAATACTGAATGGTTATTTCAAAATACTAAGGAGTAATAAATTATTTCTAGATGTGATGATATTGTGATTATGTTTTAAAGATATATATGATGTATCGCTTCTTGGCCTTTTGGCTAAGATCAAGTGTAAAGATATATATAATGTAAATTCAGATGAAATTATAATATTCTAGAATTTGGGCAGAGGAAATGGATGGGCAGGATTGGCTGGGGCAAGCTGCTGGGGCTGACTGATGAGACCCCAAAATGAGAGACCATGATGGTATTTATATGTATATGTATATGTATGTATATATCTATGTGTATATATATGTATATGTGTGTATACACACAGACACACACACACACAATTTGTTTAGAATTCTTCAAAATAAAAAGATAAAAATAATCTAGCTGGGAGTATTAAAAACAGCAGAAGTTGCCTAAATATTATAACTCAGAAATTAGTTTTAATGCATTTTAACAGCTTCAAGAAGGGGTTTTCTGGTCACATCATAAAATTCCCATAAGTTGAAAGAACACTGCAAACAAGGAGAAATAACATACACAAAGTCAAAGAAAGATAAACAAACATTCAGTTCAGGTGTTCAGAAAAAGGTTTTTTTCAAGTTAAAGAAAACTGGGCATGCCTAAAAGCAGAAGAGGAGCCAATAAATACTACAGATATCACAAATATGTGAGATAAAATGAGAACAAGGTACTCTAAGAGTCAAGAAAAAACAGGATAAGACAAAAAGGCCCCTCCCTGTTCCTCAAGGACTAGGAAAAAATAAAAGGAAGAAAACAGGTATTTGGGTAGGAATGCCAGCAGCTTTGTGGACCATAAATTTTTCATTCAAATCCTCAAAGTAAAGAAATAAAAGGTTAAGGCTACGTGTATCTTGGGGTGTGGTGTGGTGAAGCAAAAGGACTGAGAGTGTAAATATAAACCATAAGCAAAAAACAAACAAAATGAGAAATAAAAGACTACCAAGAAAATTAAAACTACATTAAGATAGCAAATTCAGGCCGGGCGCGGTGGCTCACGCCTGTAATCCCAGCACTTTGGGAGGCCGAGGCGGGCGGATCACGAGGTCAGGAGATCGAGACCATCCTGGCTAACACGGTGAAACCCCGTCTCTACTAAAAATACAAAAAATTAGCCGGGCGTGGTAGCGGGCGCCTGTAGTCCCAGCTACTCGGGAGGCTGAGGCAGGAGAATGGCGTGAACCCGGGAGGCGGAGCTTGCAGTGAGCCGAGATCGCGCCACTGCACTCCAGCCTGGGCGACAGAGCGAGACTCCGTCTCAAAAAAAAAAAAAAAAAAAAAAAAGATAGCAAATTCATAAGCTTGAAAATATACTCTGTTAGTGAAGCTGCAGGGGAAAGGCATATTCATACTTTGTGGGTATTAATACAATAATTGGCACAACCCCTACAGAGAAAAACTCAGCAATGTGTAACAAAACTACATATATATTCACTCTTTTACCCAGGAATCCCATTTCTAGAAATTTACCGTGAAGACACAGCTCCAACTATTTAAAAATATATATGCACAAGGTTATTCATCGAAGATTATTTATAACCTGTAATTATTAGAAATTACCTAAATGTCCAAGCACAGCTGAATAAACTATGGTACATACACAAAATGGGTAAAGCCATTCCTCCATATCTGCAGGTTCGGTTTCAGTATTTGCATGTATTCAACCAACCGCAGATTGAAAATATTTTTATTTTATTTATTTAGTTTTTTGAGATGGAGACTCACTCTGTCACCCAGGCTGGAGTGCAGTGGCCCAATCTCAATTTACTGCAACCTCCACCTCCTGCAGTGATTCTCCTTCCTCAGCCTCCCTAACAGCTGGGATTACAGGCGCCTACCACCACACCCAGAAAATTTTTGTATTTTTAATAGACACAGGGTGTCCCTATATTGGCCAGGCTGGTCTCGAACTCCTGGCCTCAGTTGATCTGCTCACCTCGGCCCCCCAAAGTGTTGGGATTACAGGCATGACCCACTGTGCCCGGCAAAAATATTTAAAAAAAATAAAAAATAAGCTGATTGTGGTAGCTCATGACTGTAACCCCAGTTCTTCAGGAGGCTGAGGGCAGGAAGATTGCTTGAGCCCAGGAGTTCGAGACCAGCAGTAGAGCTGGCAATATAGTCATATCTCATCTCTACAAAAAATTAAAACATCAGCTGAGCATGGAGGCATGCACCTGCAGCCCAGCTACTAGGGAGCTGAGGTGGGAGGATCGCTTAAGCCTGGGAGGTAGAGGTTGCAGTGAGCCCAGATGGTGCCAGTGCACTCCAGCCTAGGCAACAGAGCAAGACTCTGTCTCGAAATAAATAAATAAATAAAAAATAAAAATACACAAAACATGAATCTTTAAAAAACACAGTAAAACAACTATTTACAATATCCATTTACATTGTATTAGGTATTATAAGTAGTCTAGAGATGACTTAAAGTATGACTTAAAGGATATGTGTGGGTTATATATAAACACTATGACAGTTTATGTAAGGGACTTGAGCATTCAGTGATTCTGGTATCCTCAGGGGGTTCTAGAACCAATCCTGCAAGGACACTGAGGAACGATTATACTATGTAGCTGTTAAAAAAAAAAAAAAGGAAAAAAGTTTCTATGAACTAATATGGAGTGATTGCCAGGAAATACTGCTAATTTTTAAAAAGCCAAGTAGTAAAGAACATATATAGTATTATAACTTTTAAGTAAGAAGGGCAAATAAGAACACAAACATACATCTGCTTATCTTTGTTTAAAAAAAAAAACTACAGAAAGGATAATTAGAACACAATAAAGTTGGTTACCTACAAGGAAGGGCAATGGGGTAGAAGGACACAGGAAAGACGAACACTTCTCTGAATGTGTTTTTGTGGTTAGATAATGGAATATTTGAAATTTTGGGACAACATATACTTAAGTATTTAGAGACAAAGGGCCAGAATATATTTAATTTGTGCTCAAATGGATCAGAAAAAATATTATACACATATAAACACATGCACAAACAGAGAGAGAATGCAAATGTGACAAAAATAAAGGGCATACAAGTGTTCTTCGTATTATTTCATTCTTGCAATTTTGTAAGTTAGAAATGATTTCCAAATTTCAAAAAAATTTTAATGGAAAGAAAAGGCTGCCAAGGAATTGCAGCAAAAATCCTTTTACTGGTAAGGTATTCTGTTCTTCTAATCACTTTCTAAAGCTCAGCAAGAAAGATATGAAGAACTGTGAAGGCAGGCACAACACAAGGTTAGGGAGAACTGAGGGCAGCATTTATGTGACTATCACTTCCAGACTAAATAAACAGTCTAATGTAGCTAGCAGTGAGTTAACAGATGGAATTAAAAACTAGAAATAAAAAACCTAATGTAGGGTGAAGAGCAGATTCCACGGATAAAAAGATGACAAAGGCCATATTTTTAACACTGAAGGTAGAGCCCTTTCTTTCTACTGCTTGCTAATATGCAAATATCACTTTAAAATACTTTAAAAATAAGGAAACTTTGCTAATTGTGAATCTTTTAGAAATCAGAATGAAAGGTTTTTTTCAAAATACTTTGTCCCCATTCCAAGTACCCTAAAAACACACCAGGTATTTAGTCTCCCAGAGGTTCTATCTCAAATTTAACAATGGACTACTTTAAATTTGTTTAGAATACACCATTTGTTTAGAGAATACACTAAATGCACAATGTAATAATTTAATAATACCAAGCTGTTTTCTATATGGCTGAGTAAGCAGCTTTTGGACCAACCTCCTGTAGACTACAACGATAAATTCTGATCAAAACATCAACAGGCCAGGCACGGTGGCTCAGGCCTATAATCCCAGCATTTTGGGGGGGTCAAACAGGAGGATCACTTGAGGCCGAGAGTTCAAGACCAACCTGCTCAATATAGCAAGACCTTGTCTCTACTCAAAAATAAAAAAATTAGCTGGGTATGGTGGCACATGCCTGTAGTCCTAGCTACTTGGAAGGCTCAGGCAGGAAGGATCACTTGAGCCAAGGAGTTCAAGGCTGTGGTAAGCTAGGATTGTGCTACCGCACTCCAGCCTGGGCCACAGATCAAGAACCTAGCTCTATTAAAAACAAAACAAAAAAACCACCATAAACAACCAGCTGGAGGTAATGGAAAATGACCTAGAGCACCAACTAAAATCACTCTACGAAGTGATTCACTGAAAAACTCTATAAAGTCACAATGTAATTCTAAAAAAGGATTCAAATAAC
This sequence comes from Homo sapiens, assembly GCF_000001405.40. Lineage (NCBI taxonomy): Eukaryota > Metazoa > Chordata > Mammalia > Primates > Hominidae > Homo > Homo sapiens. The sequence goes on along the minus strand of NC_000005.10, from coordinate 73,045,932 downwards.
CTACAGAAAGGCAAGAAAAAAGCAAAATGAAACAAAAACAGAGGAACAAACAAAACAAGAAATGGCAATCTTAAAATCTGACAATATCATTACATATAAATGGTCCAAATATATCAATTAAAAGGCAGAGATTGGCAGAATGGATTTTTAAAAACATAATCAAACTATCTGCTGTCTATAAGAAACTCACTTCAAATATAACAATATAGTTAGGTTGAAAGAAAAAGGATGGAAACAATTATACTAGGCAAACATGAATAATAACAAAGGGGAAAAGAGGCTGTCTTTATGTTAGATAAAGTAGATTTCATAAAGAACATTATCAGGGTCAGAGAGGAACATTATGTCCACACAAAAACCTGTACACAATTGTTCATAGTAACTTTATTTCTAATAGCCAAAAATTGAAAAACAACCAAAATGTCCTACAATGGGTGAGTGGTTAAACAAACTTTAGTACATCCAAAACAGGGACTACTACTCAGCAATAAAAAATAAACTATTCATATGTACCACAACCTGGATACATCTCCAAAGAACTGTGCTGAGTGGAAAAAAGCCAATCTCAAAAGCATACATATTGTATGATTTCACTTACAGAACAACCTTGAATTGACAAAATTATAGGAATGAAGAAAAGGTTAGTGGTTGCCAGAAGTTAAGGAAGGCGTAAGGAAAAGTGGCTGTAAAAGGGCAACCAACATGAGAGATTGTTGTGCTAATGAAAATGTCCTATTTTGATTGAATTAGTGTCAATATTTCAGTTGTGATATTACATGACAGTTTTGTAAAATGTTAGTGTCAGGAAGAAGGGGTAACAAGTACACAGTACTGTTACATACACCATCTTTGCAACCTTCTATGCATCTTTATTTCAAAATAAAAAGTTTTTCTTAAAAGCAGTGATTCTCAGTGTACTATCTTTTTACTGCTAGAACTATGCACAGAAACCTGATATTAATAAAAACGTACCCATTACCTGTGTTCATCTTTACCCATTCAATCCATGATTTCTATATTAGGGCCCATACAGCTGGAGTGAAGCCCTAGGTCAAAAGCAGTATGAACAAGAATAGAACAGGCAACTTCACCCATCAATCTTAAAGGCAGTTGTTTACTCTGGCTAAAGTAGTGGTGGCAATTTAAAAAATATATACCAGAATGGAGCTCAAGAGTCAATGAAATGTTTCTTAATTTCTGTTTGGAATGTGGACATAGGCCAAAACCAAAAAAAAAGAAAGAAAAAGAAAAAGAAAAAAGAAAAAAAGAGCAATTACACTTCCTTGGCCAACTTTCAAAAGATGCAGTTGCTAAAAATAATTTTTTAAATTACATAGACCTTTAAAGAAAGGAATAAGAAATGAACAATAATTTCCCTACCATGATAGCCTATTGATGTTTTAAAAAATAATTAGTAAGAGGAAGCCATGAATAGGCCGTAAGTTATTATTTATAGGCTACAAATAAAAGAAAATAACAAGCCTGGATAACATAGTGAGACATTGCCTCTACTAAAAATGAAAAAACATAGCCAGGCATGGTGGCATATGCCTGTGTTCCCAGCTACTCAGGAGGCTGGAATGGGAGGAATGGCTGAGCCTGGGAGGTCGAGGCTGAAGTGAGCTATGATCGTTGCCACTGCACTCCAGCCTGGGTGACTGTATTCGTCTGTTCTCACATCGCTATCAAGAACTATCTGAGACTGGGTAATTTATAAAGAAAAGAAGTTTAATCGGTTCACAGTTCTACAGGCTGTACAGGAAGCATGGCTAGGGAGGCCTCAGGAAACTTACAATCATGGCGGAAGGCAAAGAGGAAGGAAGCATATCTTACATGGCCAGAGTAAGAGGAAGAGAGTGAAGGGGGAGATGCTACACACTTTCAAACAACAAGTGAGAACTCACTTACTATCACGAGAACAGCGAGGGGGAGATCTATCCCCTGACCCAATTGCCTCCCACCAATCCCTTCCTCCAACACTGGGGATTACAATTTGACAACAGATTTGGGCAGAGACACAAATCCAAGTCACATCAGCCACAGAGCAAGACCCCATCTCAAAATAAAATAAGTAAAAACAAGTCTCCTTTCTCTACTGATCACTGTAATTCTTGGCCCCAAAGGTATCCACAAGTAAAGTACCTTGTAACTCATTCTTCTAAAATAAATATAATACATATATCCACATATTTATCTTATTTTTAAAACAGCAATCACTTAAAATATCATACTTGCTTTTATTAAGTTCTTTCCATATCAGCAGACACAGATCAACTTAATCCTTTATAACATCTATTACCCCACCAATTTATTTAACCAGTTCCCATTTTGATGGATGCTTTGATGTTTCCAGTTTTTTGCTAATATAAACAATGTTGAAATAAATATCTATTTATCACTTTCTATATATGCATGAATCTTGATCAAGTGTGTCTGCATGTGTACAAACATATATACTTTATATATGTGTGTATATGTATACACACACATATACACACTAATACAATGTGTGTGTGTGTGTGTATGTGTGTGTGTAAAGTTTTGTTACTATAACTGTAACAGTAAATTCCTAGCAGGGAGATGGCATGGTCAAAAATGAACTCACATTTCTTTTTTGGGGCAATACTGCCAAACTATCCACAAGACAGACAGTATCAATTTACATTCCTACCAACAGTATGAGCATATCAAAACCTTTGTTGGCCAGGAACAGTGGTTCACACCTGTAATCCCAGCACTCTGGGAGACTGAAGCAGGAAAATGGCTTGAAGCCAGGAGGTCAAGACCAGCCTGGGCAACACAACCCCAACTCTACCAAAAAAAAAAGGTTTAAGAAATCAGCTGGGCATGGTGACATGTGCCTGTAGTCCCAGCTACATGGGAGGCTGAGGCAAGATGATTGCTTGAGCCCAGGAGTTCATGGTTACAGTGAGCTATGATCACACAACGGCACTCAAGCCTGAGCAACAGAGTGAGACCTTGTTTCCAAATTAAAAAACAAAAAATTAAATTGAAAAGAAATTTGCCAATATGATTAGACACTAGACTAAATTCATTCTAATTTCCACCAGAAGAACACCACTATTTTGAGCAATATTTATTATGGTTATCACTTTTATTTCTTTTTATGAAAATTGACCATTTTTATCCTATGCCCTTTTCCTACTAGGCACCCACTTATTTTCTGTATTGATTTGCATATAAACTTTATAAATGAAAGCAATTAACCCCTGTCACGTCTTGCAAAGATGCTCTGCCAGTCTCTGATAATTCAAATCCTTTTATAACGTATTTTTTCTAGTTTTATATATTTTTCATTTCTACACAGTCAAATTCATCAATCACTTCTTATTCAGTATTAGAATTCTGTATTCTTTTGTATTCTGGATAAGTACTAAGTAAAGTTCAAAATTGGATAATATTGATCATTATAAAATAGTATCAGTTACTGAATTAAAAATGTTTTATTTAAAAGGAATATATGTAAACTAAAACATGAAGTATTAAAGTTGTATTTAATTTTACATCATCAATTTAATGCTACAAATAATTCAGAAATAAAATGCATAAAAATAATGCAGAAATAAAATGAGTACTAAAGTTAATGCCAAACACATCTGCTGCTTTTCATTAATTAGTTAACCAAGGGTATCAAACAGAGTAACCAAGTGGTAAGGTAAACATTGTAACTCCAAAAATACACTGATGGTTTTAACCCCGTAACTCATTATAAGTCTATTTCTTATTTTTCATATAAATTTGTTAACAAATCATAATTGTATTTTAAGGCCAAAATATAAAACAAAATACTAATTTTATCTTAGTTAAGTAACATAAAACACAGTGTTTCACAAAATATTTTTAGTTATTTTGTTACACTATGATGCTGTAAAAGATCAAAATGTTTTGGGATCAAAGGAAACAATAGTTACGCAGGTAAGAACAATAAGCAAAGGACAGAGATTGTTTGAAACCCCTATACTTATCAACATGAACGGTATCTAATGAACAGTTTTGAAAAATATGTCTGTCTACACATTACTTAACAGCATTTGGTAAATCTACTCTCTCACTGTAACCAAAGGGAGCTCCATTTGATGTCTTCTTTAATTACACATAAAGAAATACATTTAATCAAGAAATATAAGCAACCCTTCTTTAAAATAAAACAAAAAGCACAGAAAAGTACTGACCATGGTTCTTGTTGCTGTTATTTCTAAAATGACAAGCTCTTAAATGAACTCAAATGCACGCACAATGTTGTATTTTAATAGAGCTAAGAATAAATTAGTAAGAACACCACATTTTAAAATAAAGTATACAGATTTGATTTCTGGCATGTTTCCCAAGAAAAAAACAGAATGATATGGCACCACTCCAATTTTAAAAGTAAAATGTCCACTCTTCAAAGGTGGTTAGAAATACTTTCTATTTAATAGGAAAGCATCTGGCAATGTAAATCCAAAAATGCATCTGTAAAATAATTTTAATAGTGAATTTACAATATGATGGTATTTTTCTTTGAAAGACTGGTAACAACTCAACTCAAATGTGTTAGGTTTGTCCTAATGAAAATAACTAATTTAAATTGTTTATATCAAAGTTAAATCTACTTACCAATGAATCTGCATCAGGACATTCCCTATTAAAACAAAATATCAGAAATACTCAATAATTAGAATTGTCTGCTAATTATGCTTGTTTAAAGTATTTACTTTGGTACTTAAATATAGCTTTTATTTAAACTCTACAAAAAATATTCAGAGAAATCAAACCATGAAGATTAAAACATACCAAATTATTTTAAAATTCAAAAAAGGCATTCTTATACCCATACCACCTGACAAAATAAAAAACAAACAGCTTACAAGTATTCCTTTTTTTCTAACAGCTTACATTATGCTTTGAGAGCTTATAAATATTCAAAAACCTATTTTGAAAAATAATTCTTTTCCATGAATATACTCACACATCAAGAAAGCTGTCAGTCCTACAAGGCTTTCTAATGGCTTTTCATTCAAGTAAAGCAAGTTAAAAAAATGTCCTTAAAGAAGAAAGCTTGACTTTAAAAAAAAGTCAGTATTAAGTAGCAAGTAGTCTGAAAACCCAAAACTACTGGAAAAAATACAATTTTTAAACACTTCAGTTTCATCTGAAGTACTTTCCATAACTTAGTAGATACAAAAGTTAAAGCTAGTTTTTTCCAAATATACTGAGTAGACTTCCAGTTGGATAACTTTCTTATGTAATGTAATATGTAGTTGAGAACTGAAATTCTATCATTTAACTGATAAACAAGTATTGAATTTGCATATACACTAGTGAAAAGTATTATTTAAAATGTAAAACTATGTTTATGTTTATAAAGAAGACCTAAATATGTACAACTAAGGACAGTGAGGTCATTAAAAATGAGGTTAGAAGAATTTCCATGTATGCACTCTAAAATAAATTCACAAACAAAAATTAAGAGCGCAGACTTAAAAGGTTTTTGGACCTCTGACTTGTGACAGTTAATGCACACAAAGCAGGCTGAGCATCCCTAATCCAAAAATCTGAAATCCAAAGTGCTCCAAAATCTGAGAGTTTTTGAACACTAACAGGATGCTCAAACAAAATGTTCATTGGAACATTCTGGCTTTGGGATTTTCGGTTTAGGAATACTCAACTGGATGTATTCTGCAAATATTTCAAAATCCAAAAAAATCTGAAATCCAAAACACTTCTGGTCTCAAGCATTTCAAAGGATACGCAATGTGTGTCAAAATCTTATACAAACAGATAAACGCCATTTATCCAAATACTAAGCAAACACCAGAAGAATCTACAAAATTGAAGAATTTTCTTAAAGGAAAATAGGATAAAACAGACTGAAAAAATTAAAAAGGAGGAAGATGACTACATTGCTCTTAATCCAAAACGAAGTACCAAAGAGACAGGGTAAATGCAAACCCCAGGTGACTTTCTTTCTTCTTCTTTTTTTTTTTTTCTTTTTTTCTCTGACACAGAGTCTTACTCTGTCACCCAGGCTAGATGGAGTTCAGTGGCATCGTCTCGGCTCACTGCAACTTCGGCCTTCCAGGTTCAAGCAATTCTCCAGCCTCAGCCTCTCAAGTAGCCGGGATTACAGGTGTGTACCACCACACCTGGCTAATTTTTGTATTTTTAGTAGAGATAGGGTTTCACAATGTTGGCCAGGCTGGTCTTGAACTCCTGACCTCAAGTAATCCACCCTCCTCGGCCTCCCAAAATGCTGGGTTTACAGGCATGAGCCACCGGGCCTGGCCCCCCAGGTGACTTTCTATCCACTTAAAAGTCATTTAAAATTGCACATTTTGAAATACAGCTTCCTTACTGGTAGATGAGAAACATTATATTTTTCTAAACTTATGCATAATCTGAAGAAATGTTCCAGAAAAGGCATAATAATAATAACCCAATCCTTCTAGAGAATCAAATTAATCAAGATGTTAGAACATTTCTACTTTCTTCTTTTTTTAAAAAAGATGCAGTTTGAACATAAAAGGAAGTGTTAAAGTTCCAAAGAGTTTATTCTCTGGCTTTAGGCCAAAACACTCCAGTCATTGGGGTAAAGTACTTATCTGTTTGCCCTCACAGTGGGCTGTATGACACCTGCAGATGAAGCTCCAGGAAGAGGAAGCTCTGAAAAGGGCCTGTCTCCCACAATTACTAGCATCTCAAAAGCCTTCAGGCTATGAAGAGGCATGCCAAGAGCCTCTGGCATTTCAGGCAAAGTGAATTCTAACATTTTTTCCTGCCAAGAAGTTTGAAAGAAGGTGATGATGGTACAGTGGTTTAAGCAGTGGCTTTCTGCTCTACTATTGCCATTGGTTAAAAAACAAAAACAAAAAACCACCCTAAGTGGCTTAATATCATATTGGGAAATTATTGATAAGGAAAACTGTTTTAAAAACCTGGTTAAAAAATACTATAAGCTCCCTACATGAACAGTAATGAAACCTATACATTATAAAAATAATTTAAGGCCATGATTCTTTACAATATAGCCACTAACAGATGAACTAGATATATTTTAAACATTTACTTACTAATCAATTGATCAGATTTCAATATGTATTGCTAATATTATAAAATAGATTAGGTTTCACCCCCTTAAAAATATACCCTTCATAAATGCTCAAGAAAGACATTTGCAGAAGATTTGATAACTATAGATATAGATGACTTTGCAATTGGTCTTGATTTGTTAACCAAATACTACTTGGGAGAGGGGAAGAGAGTCATTTAAAATGAAAGAAATTCTAGGAAACTCAAATAGAAATATAACTAGGTAGAAAGCAAGAATACCCAAAGCACAAACTGTTCTCTTATGTTAAAAATATGAGTGCCCATCAAATATTAAATCTCATGAGAATTCCTTTGATTATGCTAGGGAAGCTGGGTTTTTAAACTAATTTTCAGTCAATGTTGGTGGGTCAACAAATTTTTTTGTTGTTTTGACTCAAGACTTTTGATCGGTGTCTCTTCAATCTAAATGGACTGAGTAATCATTGAAAGAAAGATTCTTTTAATTCTAGTTTGTCTCTGAATAATCACGGCTCAAAGATTCTTAACCCCAGGTATACATTAGGAATCAAAGGGGCTGCTTAAAACAAAAAAGAGCAAAACCTATGTTGAGGTTTCATGCTTAGAGAATCTGATTTAATTGATCTGAGGTGGGACCTGGCATAGGTGTATTTATTTTAATTTCCCAGGTAGTTCTAATGTGTAGCCAAAGTAAAAAACAAACAAACAAACAAAAACTTTAGTTAGCTAATCTAAACTCAATTTCTTACATGTTTATTACATATTCTTTGTATATTAATTTTTTATTTTTAAAAGAAGGTAAATCAGGCCGGGCGCGTGGCTCAGGCCTGTAATCCCAGCACTTTGGGAAGCTGAGGCGGGTGGTTCACCTGAGGTCAGGAGTTCGCGACCAGCCTGGCCAATATGGTGAAACCCTGTCTCTACTAAAAATACAAAAAATTAGCCAGATGTGGTGGTGGGCGCCGTAATTCCAGCTACTTGGGAGGCTGAGGTAGGAGGAGAATCGCTTGAACCTGGGAGGTGGAGAATGCAGTAAGCCAAGATCGCGCCATTGCATTCCAACCTGGGCAACAACAGTGAAACTCCATCTCAAAAAAAAAAAAAGAAGGTAAATCAGACTTATAAGTGGACCAAATATTCCATCTAAAAATGATGACCTAGTATAAATGGTAAAATGTTAGGGCTTTTCTCTCCCCTATTTAACATTTTCCATCAATGTATGTATAGGTATCACCATGTGCCTGTACACTCAGAATTGTCTAGAAGGATTTTCATCAAATAGTTGACCAGAGATTTTCTCTTAGGCATTAAGACTTTGATGAATTTTTAGTTTTCTTTGCACTTTTAATTTTTTAAAATATGCATTTATCATTTTACAAAAATAAGGATATTTCAAAACTTTCCATTTCTAGACATTAAAGCTTTTGTCTATAATGTCTTAACATTTTCAAATAATTAATAATACTTTGATCTAAAACCAGAGGAATTGGCAAATGTATTTATTAATATTTAGAAAGGCTTGTTTTTCACACCTTACACATATACTTTTGAGTTATTTCCAAAATACTTTTTTCTTTCCAAATTCAAAAGTCTTATTCTTAATCACTTATAAAAACAAAAAGGATTTTGACGATATTTAAAATACTTACACAGATTCTGCATCTTTTTCCTTTTTAATGATTCCTGGCAAAGCAAAGGTCTTTCTTTTCCTTGGTTTTATACCTTTAAAATAAATATATATTGTTACAGAAACATAAACATTCCTGATAAACATATTAAACTTATGGATACATCTTGCATCCTCACACATAATTTGCTCATAACTGCTGATGCTAAATGTGGATGACAGAAATAAAGTTAGCAACCACTCAACCCTATTGGTTAGACTTTTCTTATGTTAATAAAACATAGTCTATTGTTTATCAAAAGATCATAGAACATTTACTTTATAGATAAAATTTTCTTTTCTTTTCCTAAGCCTCCCTTAAGTCACCTTACACATAATAAGCATATGGAGATATCTTAAAACTTCAAAGAAAGTACATTATTCATTATACTAAATTTTGTTATAAACGTCAAATAATGTTATAAAGGTCAAATCATGTTTGCTTTTTAGAGGGCCACAAAATATAATTTTATTGTTTTAGATAAAAAGATGATACAGCAGACCCATTAGAAGTATAATATGGGGCCAGGTGCAGTGATGCATGCCTATAATCCCAGCACTTTGGAAGGCCAAAGCGGACAGATCACTTGAACTCAGAAGTTCAAGACCAGCCTAGGCAACATGGTGAAACCCTGTCTCTACAAAAAAATACAAAAGATTAGCTGGGTGTGGTGGTGCGCGCCTGTGGTCCTAGCTACTCGGGAGGCTGGGGTGAGAGGATTGCTTGAGTCCAGGAGATGGAGGCTGCAGTGAGCTGTGATCACACCACTGCACTCCACCCTGAGTGACAGAGTGAGACCCTACCTCAAAAATTAAAAAGAAAAAAACAGAAACAGAAAAAAACAAAAAAACAAAAAAGAAGTAAGTTTACAATATGGCATTCTTGTGTCCATAATGTTGTCCCTAATACAAACAATGCTATAAATGGATTCTACCATAACCGAGGAGTAAAAATTATCTTTGATTTTCCTAATAAGGCATCCTCTTCTTTCATGACAAATTATTTTTAAAGGCCAGTCATGCTATTAACTTTTGATAGAATTCAGCACTTAAGGCCTGGTGTGGTGGATCTCGCCTATAATCCCAGCACTTTGGAAGGCCGACGTGGGCGGATCACCTAAGGTCAGGAGTTTGAGACCAGCCTGGCCAACATGGTGAAACCCCGTTTCTACTAAAAACACACAAAAAATTAGCCGGGCGTAGTGGCGCACACCTGTAATCCCGGCTACTTGGGAGGCTAAGGGAGGAGAATCATCCGAACCAGAAGGCGGAGGATGCAGTGAGCCAAGATCACGCCAGTGCACTCCAGCCTGGGTGACAGAGCAAGACCCCGTCTCAAAAAAAAGAATTCAGCACTTAAAACTTAGGTGTTTACTCTTTGAGAATTGAGCAGTAGAGACTGGGTGTGGTGGCTCACGCCTGTAATCCTAGCACTTTGGAGGCTAAGGTGGATGGATCACTTGAGCTCAGGAGTTCAAGACCAGCCTAGCCAACATGGTGAAACCCTTTCTCTAAAAAAAATACAAAAGTTAGCTGGGCATGATGGCATATACCTGTAGTCCCAGCTAATTTTGGGGCTGAGGTGCAAGGATCGCTTGGATCTGGGAGGTCGAGGCTGCAGTGAGCAGAGATCGTACCACTGTATTCCAGCCTGGGAAACAAAGTGAGACCCTGTCTCCCAAAAAATAAAAACAGAAGAGAGCAGTAGAGACCTTAGGTTTAAGCTAGCCCCTCATCTTACAGATGAAGAAATTCAAGAAGGGTTTTTGTTGTTGTTTTTGAGACAGGGTCTCACTCTGTCGCCCAGGCTGGAGTGCAGTGGTACAATCACAGCTCACCACAGACTCCTCCTCCCAGGCTCCAGCAATCCTTCTACCTCAGCCTTCCCAGTAGCTGGGACTACAGGTGCACACCACCACACCTGCTAATTTTAAAAGTTTTTTTGTAGAGATGGGGTCTCAACATGTTTCCCAGGCTGGTCTCGAACTCCTGGACTCAAGTAATCCTCCTGCCTCAGCCTCCCAAAGTGCTGAGATTACAAGCATGAGCCACTGTGCCCAGCCAAATGATGGTAATATTAACATAAATTAATGAAATGTTACCCACTGTACAATTAGCACTACACATTACAGAGATGAGTTTCATATTCCTGAATATGGCTTAAACATGGATTAACAAGGCTTAAACATGGAACAAGGCTTAAACATGGATGTCAATGAAGAAAACTATTTCAATGTATATTTAAAAACAAATGCATGTTATACTCAATCTTTAAAAATATATAATCTAACACACTAATATTATTTTGGGAAAATCTGTTATTTATTAAGCAGCAAGTAGCATCTGCAGGCCTTCAAACTAATTTCAGATTTTTACAGCATTCCATTCCATAGGTATGCTGACACCTAGGGATAGCAGTCCCTCCTTATTTGTTCAATGAACAGAAGATACTAGCTAGCTGCCATGTGCATTAACATATTATAACTAATCAACTTACCTTCAACTGCACTAGCAGTGTCACATTCTTCAAATTCAATGAGGCCTGGAAAAAAAGAAATTGAAAAACTTCTAGTAGAAAAAAACTATTAGGTAAATTTTAAAACTTTTTTTTTACATTTTAAATTTTTTATTCTACTTTTAATTGACAACGCATCTTTTTAATTGTTCTGAAATGGTTCTAGTTGTTACCTAATAATTAAAATATCAGCAATAAATTTTAAAAATCAAATAATTCTAACAGTGAAAAATAACAAGACTAGCCCATTATGATCACAATAATTTACTGAAAACCAATTACATATGATGCCACAAAACTAGAGACACAAGAATATGCAGTTTCTGCTTTCAAGAAGCTGGCAGTACTGTTAATGAGAGGAAACAAGCATGGTAAAGGTGGTTGCTGAATCCTCGGTGGTGTTCATGGGAAGAACAGGGCTACCAAGATAGTAAATACTACTAGAACATAAGCTTGGGACCTCATCTGTCCTGTTCATCACTGTATCTTCAATACTTAAAAAATGCCAGGTAAATAATAAGTTGGGTAAATAAGTAAATATTTATTGAATGAATAAATGAACTAATTACAGACTAGTTAAGTGGTGACCTTGGGATTATAATCCAGATCTCTCTAACTGTATAGCAGGTCAAGGAATGTGAACTACAGCTTACAGGAAATAGGAAGAGTTTTCATGTAAGATCATACACATCCACCCACAAAGAGATCTTCAAGGACAATTAATTTAGCATTGCTATGAGAGATAGATTGTAGAAGAGGATGATGATAAAGTGGAAATCATTAGAAAACAATTAAAATAGCCCTGAAATGACTGACTGCTCAGACTAGCCTTAATTGCCATAAAATATGGCATACTTCATATATGTGAAATATCAAATTATTTGGCAGTGTGAGAAAGTAGCAAAACATGAATTACTCTCCTAATGAAATATCCCAGAAGCTAAATATGAGACTAAAAAATTATCTCCCACTAAGCTGTCATTTAGTACTTTTTATATATAAATTCATGAAAGTCTAGCTTTTTTTGTGAAATAATTTTTAATTTATTAATGGTAACTGGTATAACTTGCTATATGAAGAAATTTTAAAATAGAGCTTGAAACAGAGAGTAGATGATAGAGGATTTTGTTACTGGTTCTTCTGAGATGTGAAGCTTAACTATGTACAAATTCATGATCAGCATTATTATTGATCATTCCATTAAAAAAGAAAGCCACTGATTGATTAACAAGAAAGATTTCTCTACAAATAGGGGGATCTAAAAATATTGTCTTAATGTCCCTCTCCCTCCCCCTAAACCTAAGATTTATTTCTGTGTGGTTCTAGTTTCCATTCAAATAAAATAAATTAACATTTACTAATAAGCAGAATAAAACAGTCATAGAAGTGAGTTGATAAACAAGGTCCTAATCAATTATTAGTATGTTCCTTACTAATACATTCTTCTAAATATGAACAAGGACTAAAAAAAATGTTTATCACTTCTATCCAAAAAAGCCTTAAAGAGTCAGAAAATGACCCAATTAAAAATTTAAGGACTTTATTCAAACCCATTCTGCAAATCTGGAAGCTGAGAAATCATTTAATAAAAGGGTACTGAGCTTGTTCTTAGAATCCCTTAGAGGCCTATCGTAACAATTTACAATGAGATGAAGGCAGGCTGAAAAATCAATAAGGGTAAAGAAATTGAGATGTGCAAATTAGCAACTTTTCACTTAGTATAAAAATTATGAATAACAAATCTCTACCTAAATTACCAACAGCTTATTATATATTATTGGCTTTTCCAAGTACTAATAAAGCTTGAGAAAATATAATCGTCTGTTGAGACAAGAAAGGGTTTACCAAAAAAAGGCAATCAGGCATGTGGTTAGTCAAAAATTCTCCTACAGCTACACATCCACATAATTTCTACCCATTAACTATTTACAGAATCTCTAATGCTCAGGCCACACGCTTACTCTAGAGAGTAGAAAAAAGTAAGTACCATAAAAACAAAACACCAATGCCAAATTGCCTTGTTTACAAATACTAAATATATATTATCTAGAAGGACTTTTACATCATCATCTTAGCAAATATGGTACATACAGAAAAAAAGATTTGTAAAATCTTTGGATGACTTCATACATGTGAAAACAGTAAAGACATCTCTTAACTCCATAAAATCAGTCCCTTTAAACAAAATTCTCCTTTTTGTTCTCACAAAACTCTTTTCCTATAGTAAACATATCTTGATTTCTCTTATGTTTTCTAAACATCCTCTTAAAATCCATTTGAAATAGAAAAATGTCCAAAAAAAACACATTTTGAAAGATGCCAAATCACTTCAAATCAAAAAATATATATTAAAAATTTTAAATTGAGTACCATCCACACAAACTTTTCTATTAAAGATAGAAATAATGATTTCTGGCATAATAAAACTAAATACTACCTTTTTAAAAAAACCATTAAATCATGCATGAACAAGATTTTCTTTTACAAATGGCATATGCTCCACATGCCGCTTCACATGGCAAGGCTTTGCGTGCCTGGCTCAGTGCCAGTTGACAACTCAGCTGGATATCAATGCACATTCTGACCCCCCCTGTAGCATGTCACTTCTGAACTGTTTCACAAGTGGAAAGTTTATTCAGCATCTCCTTCAAATGCAGTCCACTGCCCATCATTCTGCTATTTAATCATAAGACAAGTTATTTTTTTTGACAGTACTAAAGCCAGAGTGAGAGTCTTAATGAATAGTTTGCTACAACTGGAATTTTAACTGTTTTAGACTCAATTAATTCTTTTGTCAAAATAAATAACTGCTCTTAGCACTTAAATTTTATGTTGGGTCACAAGGGCAATTTAGTTTGTATAAAAGCAAATAAAACCATTTTGGCTCTGTCTCCTGATGCTCTTTTACACATTATTTTAAAACACCACTATGAGTTCAATTAAACTCATAGAACAGAAGAACAGCTCTAAGAGGTCAATGATTCAAAGCAAAACAATTCTTAAATATGATGCTTTAATCATCAGGTAGGAATAAATAAATGCTATAAGAAAAGCCATCAACCTAAAGAATCCATTCAAACCTAATTTGGATTAAAACTTTGAAAAGATGTTACAAGAAGAAAAGCAACTTACTGAACGGTAATCTTTGATCACCACAAATGTTTTGTGGACTGAGGAAAAGTACAAAATATGTGAAATATTTAATTAATAATCCCTGTTGCTTCGGAATCAATCCTAAATCTCAGGCCATCAACAGGACAAGTTTTTAACATTAGTTAAAAACTGCCCTCAAAACTCAAATAGAAAGTCTGGGCTATTCAAATCAAGCATATTTCTGCTTCTAATCAGAGCTAAACACAAACACTCTCAGACATACACTAAAAGTTTAATAAAAGGAATGATGATAATGAAGGGGTGTGTGCATGTGTGCATGAGCAAGGAAAGAGTTGTGACTCATAACAATGGAAATCAATTACTACATTTTCAAGCTTGCTCCTGGGCCTGTGGAATGCAACACAGTCACATTCCCAGATGCCTGGGATGATAGGCCAGGCAAGCTAACACAAAAAAGAGAATCACACTCCAGTTTGTGGTGATATGCACAGGGTATAGAGGCTCAAATTCTAATTTGGATACTCTTTTTGAACTAGATGCTCTTTTTGAACCTAGGTTGTATCATTTATAAAAGGTAAATGATAACAAATATAGCATTTGCTTTCTCTCTCTCTCCACATAGCCTTATACAATTTTTTTCTTTTGCTAAACCATTTGAAAGTTGCAGACATCAATGACACTTCACTTCAGGAGTATGTGTTTTAAAAAAGGACTTGCTGAATCAATTTCCTCAATTCAGCAGTTTCAAACCTCATGAGAGACTCCTGGCGCAATGCTTCTAAACTATATTATGTATGAGAATCACCTGGAGAACTTGTTAAACCACAGACTACTGGGCTCCACTCCCACAGTGTTCTATTCAGAAGGTCTAGGGTGGAGCTCAAATATTTGCATTTTTAACAAATTCCCAGGTGATGCCACTGGTCCTGGAATCACATTTTGAGAAATACAGCCCTAGTAGACTCTGTGGCCACTGGTAGATATTTAATTAGTCTAGACAGTGCTTCTCCAATTATACTGTGCATACAAAGCCCAGAGCATCTTGGGATCTTATTAAAATACGGATTCTGATTCAGTAGGACTGGGATAGGATTTGAGATTCTCCATTTATAACAAGCATTCATGTAGTGTGATGCTATAGGTTCTCAACAATGGCTGCTAGTTACAATCAGCTGAGGAGTTTTAAAATATAGTGGTATCCACCCTGGACCAATGAAATCAATTTCTTGGCTGGGCATGGTGGCTCATGCCTGTAATCCCAGCACTGTGAAAGGCCGAGGCAGGCAGATCACCTGAGGTCAGGAGTCCAACGCCAGCCTGGCCAACATGGTGAAAACCCATCTCTACTAAAAATACAAAAATTAGCTGGGCATGGTGGAGGACCCCTGTAATCCCAGCTACTTGGGAGGCTGAGGCAGGACAATCACTTGAACCCAGGAGGCGGAGGTTGCAGTGAGCCAAGATCATGTCACTACACTCCAGCTTGGGTGACAGGGCAAGACTCTGTCTCAAAAAAAAAAAAAACAAAAAGAAAGAAAGAAAAGAAATCAATTTCTGTACATAAAAAAAGAAAAATGCAAAGAAAAAAATGTCCAAAAATAATTCTTGTATGTACCTGATACGGTTTGGATGTCTGTACCCTCCAAATCGCATGTGGAAATGCGATTCCCACGTGGGAGGTGGGGCCTAATGGGAGATGACTGGATCATGCAGGAGGATCTTTCATGAATGGCTTAGCATCATCCCCTTGGTAATAAGTGTGTTCTCGCTAAGTTATTTCACACAAGATCTGGTTGTTTAAGAGTGTCTGGGACCTCCCCCATCTGTCTCATGTTCCCACTATTGCCATGTGACATGGTGGCTCTCTGTTGCCTTCCACTATGATTTTAAGTTTCCTAAGGTCTCACCAGAAGCACATGCCAGCACCATGCTTCCTATAAAGCCTGTAGAACCATGCGCCAAGTTAAATATCTTTTCTTTATAAATGACCTAGCCTCAGATTATTTCTTTTTAGCAACACTAGAATGGACGAATACAGTACCCAAGGCTTGAAAACTATGAGAAAAATTTAGAAACTATAGTCTTAAATCAAAGAAATAGGTTTTTAACCACAGATTTCAGTCACTGTGAAACATTCCAAAATTTTATCTAGTTCTCCACAGAATCTTAGTACTGAAATATAATCTCCTCTTACATACACATTTTGACAGTGTCCCCATACTCATAAGGTTGAGTCATGTTTTCATCTTCCATGATCCTGATAAAGCCCTTGTTTCTACTTTCAATTATAGTACTTATGTCTATAAGCATTCTCCATGTTAGTTGCAACCATATCCTTTCAGTTACTCATGCCAAAACCCTTAAAATGATTCTTCCCAACTCCTTTTTAAACAGATTTTCTGAGGTATAATTAACATATGATAAACTACATCTACTTAAATTGTACAGTTTAATGAATTTTGACATTTGTGAGTCTACTACCACAAGATAACATATATAATTATCACCTCATGCTCCTTTGTAACCCATTCCACCCTTCCCAAGGCAATCACTGATCTGCTTTCTGTCACTATAAATTAGTGTACATTTTCTAGAAAGTTATATAAATAGAATCATATAGTATGGGCTGGGCACGGTGGCTCCACCTGTAATCCCAGCACTTTGGGAGGCCGAGGCGGGTGGATCACGAGGTCAGGAGTTCAAGACCACCCTGGCCTATGGTGAAACCCTGTCTCCACTAAAAATACAAAAACTAACTGGGCATAGTGGTGCGTGCCTGTAGTTCTAGCTGCTTGGGAGGCTGAAGCAGGAGAATCACTTGAACCTGGGAGGTGGAGGTTGCAGTGAGCCAAGATCGCGCCACTGCACTCCAGCCTGGGTGACAGAGCGAGACTCTTGTCACAAAAAAAAAAAAAAAAAAAAAGAATCATATAATATGTATTCTTATTTTGGTCTGGCTTCTTTTACTCAGCAAAATTACTTTGAGATTCATCCATGTAATTGCATGTATCAGTAGTTTATTAATTTTTATTGTTGAGTAGTACTTCACTGCATGGAAATACTACAATTTGTTTATCCGTTCATCTGTTAATGGACATTTGGGTTGTTTACAGTTTGGAGCTACTACAAATAAAACTGCCATGAACATTCATATGCAAGTCTTTGCACATATATTTCCTTTTCTCTTGGGTAAATGCCTAGGGGTAGAACAACTGGATCATATGGTAAGTGTACGCTTAAATTTCTAAGAAGCTGCCAAGGTATTTTCCAGAGTGGTTGCACCATTTTATATTTTCACCAGCAGTCTTTGTGAGTTTCAGTTCTTCCACAACCTTGATAGCATTTGGTATACTCAGTCTTTTTTTCTTTTTCCCAGATGGAGTCTCGCCCTGTCACCCAGGCTGGAGTGCTGTGGTACAATCTCAGCTCACAGCAACCTCTCTGCCTCCTGGGCTCAAGCCATACTCCCCTCTCAGCCTCCCAAGTAGCTAAGACTACAGGTGCACAACACCACGCCTAATTTTTGTATTTTTTTGTAGATACAGAGTTTCATCATGTTGCCCAGGCTGGTCTCGACTTCCTGGGCTCAAGGAATCCACACATCTTGGCCTCCTAAAGTGCTGGGATTACAGGTGTGAGCCAGCATGCCTGGCTGGTATAGTCAGCCTTTTAAATTTTTATCACTCTATTAAGTGTCTACTGCTATTTTTCTTGTGGTTTTAATCTGTATTTCCCTAATTACGAATGGGGTATCTTTTCATGTGCTTACTTGACATTCATAAATATATATATTTTTAGGAAGTGTCCAAATCTTTTGGTCACCTTTTGTATTAACATGTATACAAAATTTTGAAATAAATTTTAAATTCTTTACTCATTTATTTTTATCTGTATGGATTAATGGCTATTTATTTTATTCTTTGTGTTATGATCTAATATATTCATTACTTATTACTTGCTCAAGTAATTCCAGCTTTGGCCACTGGGAACTCTTTTCAGGTTATCACCTGTGTCCTTCTAAACTACAAAACTTCAACTAAAGGAAATAGAAAAATTTTTAAAAATCTTTGTGACCTTGGATTAGACAAACGTTTCTTGTATTTGACACAAAAGCATAACACATAAAAAACCAAAATTTGGTAAACTGCACTTCATCAAAATTAACTTTTGCTCTTCAAAAACACCGGAAAAAAAAAAAAAGAACAAGCCAGACTGGGAGAAAATAGTCACTATATGTATATATATAAATGGAAACCTGCTGAACTTTTATGAATTATAAATAGCATAAAGTAAAATTACCAAAATGACTGTAAAATAGAAAACATTGAAAATATGGATTTTACTCTCTTTTAGCAACTGAATTACCTGAGAGTGGTTAGGGTTACAAGGGCAATGTCAATGGAATATAAAAAGATATACAAAATTAGAAAACACCAGTTTATTCATGATCCCTTCAGACCACAGGTGCCTTAATATTCAAAGCATCCTCTTACAGTGACTCAAATTCCAGAGGAACCAGCCATTACTACACTAAAAAAAAAAAAAAAAAAACAAACAAACAAAAAAAAAACAATGACAGGCCAGGTGCCGTGGTTCACACCTGTAATCCCAGCACTTTGGGAGGCTGAGGCAGGTGGACTGCTTCAGGCCAAGAGTTCGAGACCAGCCTAGCCAACATGGTGAAACTATGTCTCTACTAAAAATACAAAAATTAGCCAGGTATGGTGATGCACGCCTGTAAGCCCAGCTGCTTGGGAGGCTGAGGCATGAGAATTGCTTGAACCCGGGAGGTGGAGGTTGCACTGAGCCTGAGATCATGCCACTGCACTCCAGACTGGGCAACAGAATGAGACTCTGTCTCAAAAAAAGCAAAACAAACAAAAAGGCAATGACAAAAAGTGTCAGTACATACAATAAGTAATATAACATTATCATAACGAGTTAGAAAAAAATTTGTAATGCTCTCAGTTTGACTTAAGAACTGAAAACACAAACTGACAGGTTGTATCTTTCAATAGATAACTGACTAAAAATAAAATTGGTGTCATTTTGCAGCATCAGAGAAATAGGTTAACTTATGTATACAATTTTTTTTTTTTGAGACGGAATCTTGCTCTTGTCGTCCAGGCTGGAGTGCAATGATGCAATCTCGGCTCATGGCAACCTCCGCCTCCCAGGTTCAAGCAATTCTCCTGCCTCAGCCTCCCAAGTAGCTGGGATTACAGGCGCCCACCACCACACCCAGCTAAGTTTTGTATTTTTAGTAGAGACAGGGTTTCACCACATTGTCCAGGCTGGTCTCGAACCCCTGACCTCAGGTGTTCCAGGTGATCCACCCACCTTGGCCTCCCAAAGTCCTGGGATTACAGGTGTGAGCCACTGCACTTGGCCTCTTTTCTTCTTAAATTACCCTGGATTATTCCAACAGTCATGCAGTGGTCTCTCTACCTCGATCCTTGCCTTTTTCTGCAGGCGTTCTCAATGGAGTAGTTAGAGTTCAGTCGCCTCGGCCTCCGAAAGTGCTGGGATTACAGGCGTGAGCCACCACATCCAGCTATGTATACAAATTTTTAAAAGAATTGGATCTTTTGTTTTCTTTTAAAGATCTCTATCCCACAGAACTAAAGCTAGTTTAGGGTGGAACTCATCCGCCAGAGGGGCTCCTTACAAAAGAGGAGAAATAAAATGTTAACAGAAATCAATAGTATAAAACAATTGAAGGTTAGAATAGACTTTACAAAACAAAATCCTTTAAGTCCATAAATTCCACACAATCACAAGCAAAATTTTGTCTATGTTATTTTTCTAGGAAGCACAAGTTTTGTTATTGCAGTGAGTCACTAGACTCATTTGCTCAGGTGCCCATAAACTGATCAAAAACATACAAAAGAGGCCAGGCACAGTGGCTCACACCTATAATCACAGCACTTTGGGAGGCCAAGGTGGGAGGATTACCTGAGGTCAGGAGTTTGAGATTAACCTGGCCAACATGGTGAAATCCCATCTCTACTAAAAATACAAAAATTAGCCAGGCAGGGTGGTGGGTGCCTGTAATCCCAGCTATTAGGGAGGATGAGGCAAGAGAATTGCTTGAACCCGGCAGGCGGAGGTTGCAGTGAGCCGAGATCATGCCACTGCACTCCAGCCTGGGCAACAAGAGCGAAACTCCATCTCAAAAAAAAAAAAAAAAAAAATTAGCTGGGTGTGGTGGTGGGCCCCATCAATCCCAGCTACTCGGGAGGCTGAGGCAGTAGAATCGCTTGAACTCGGGAGGCAGAGACTGCAGTGAGCTGAGATTGTGCCATTGCACTCCAGCCTGGGCAACAAGTGTGAAACTCTGTCTCAAAAAAGAAAAAAACAAACAAACAAAAACATATGAAAAAGCTGCAATTAGTCACCCATAGCAACTCAACCAGGGAAATAATATTTATCCCTTCCACTCCACCCCACACTAGTTAGTTTGTTCTAGGACTGTTTAAAAGTCCTAGTTCTATGACTCTTTTTGGGGTCCTGAAACAGCCACCTAATTCTGGGTTTAGTGACTCTACGAAAGCCCATGTCATCACCGTTCTTGGCTTCCCTATTACCTCCTACCATCTAGCTGTAAGTATTTTCTACATGACTTCGTATATCTTAAGGCCAGTAAAATTAAATTTATAATGAAACTACATTAGTGGCTACTTATTCATGAGAAATGTATCATTTTTGAAAACAATATTTATTAATAAATGTAGACTATCTCATGTAAATCTCACAACAGCCCCATGAGGCAGTTACTATTATTATCCCCACTTTACAGATGAGGGCACTGAGGTTTAAAAGTCTCACTGCTAGGCCGCGGGCGGTGGCTCACACCTGTAATCCCAGCACTTTGGGAGGCCGAGGTGGGCGGATCATGAGGTCAGGATTTCGAGACCAACCTGGCTAATATGGTGAAACCCCGTCTCTACTAAAAATACAAAAATTAGCCAGGTGTGGTGGTGGGCACCTGTAATCCCAGCTACTCGGGAGGCTGAGGCAGGAGAATAGCTTGAACCGAGGAGGCAGAGGTTCAGTGAGCCAAGACCATGCCACTGCACTCCAGCCTGGGCGACGGAGCGAGACTCCGACTCCAAAAAAAATAAAACATAAAAAAAAAAAAGTCTCACTGCTAGTAAAGAGCAGGTCACAAACCACTGCACTACACCACAGACAAGAAAATAAACATGAGCCAGGCACAGTGGCTCACACCTGTAATCCCAGCACTTCAGGAGGCTGAGACAGAAGGATTGCTTCAGTCCAGGAGTTCAAGACCAGCCTGAACAACATAGTAAGATTCTGTCTCCACTAAAAATTTTTAAAAATCAGTGGGGTGTACTGGCATATGCCTGTGGTCCCAGCTACTTGGGAAGCTCAGGTGGCAAGATCGCTTGAGCCTGGGAGGTTGAAGCTACAGTGAGCTATGATTGCATCACTGCATTCTAGCCTAGGTGACAGAGCAAGACCATGTCTCAAAAAAAAAAGGAAAAGAAAAGAAAAAAGAAACATGATCTAAATGTCCAGAATTCAAAAGGAATCAAGCAGTGAGCTTAAAGGTAATTCCTAATATACAGTTATTACCTAACCAACAGAAAGGAATTTATAATAACTGTATATTTGTTGAGTTCTTCATAGAGAATAAATGAGTAGGTTGACAAGTAGGACATTATGATGAATAAGGGTTCAGCAATCCCCATATGTTGAGTTAGCAAAATTTCTAAGAACTGACAAAACTTTCATTCACCTGCAAGTCTATATTAAACGAAATTAGTGGCATATATTTGATAAGTTCCAACATATTTCTGTGTGTTAAATAAATGTGTTTGGACTACATTACTTTTTTTTTTTTTTGAGATGGAGTTTCGCTCTTGTTGCCTAGGCTGGAGTGCAATGGCGCAATCTGAGCTCGCTGCAACCTCTGCCTCCCGGGTTCAAGCAATTCTCCTGCCTCAGCCTACCAAGTAGCTGGGATTACAGGTACACATCACCACTCCCAGCTAATTTTTATATTTAGTAGAGATGGAGTTTCACTATGTTGGTCAGGCTGGTCTTGAACTCCTGACCTCAGGTAATACACCTGCCTCAGCCTCCCAAAGTGCTGGGATTACAGGCGTGAGCCACTATGCCCAGCCTTGGACTACATTAATTTTAAGGCCCCCTTATGCAATAAAACTCCATGATTATTAGACAAACCGAATTATGTAACTTTTATCTTCTAGTTTTATCTAATTATAAAGTAAATTCCTGCCTCTTAAACTGTTATTTCTAATTATTTAAACATTAATAACATGATTAAATCCTACACCTGAAATACATATACAACCTATTGTAGTTCTAAAACGTTATATTTTGGGGTTTGGTATCTTTGTACTGTGATTCTACAATGTACTACAGTAGTAATTTTTGTCTGTTCAAAAGATATTTCCATTATCCCTTTCAGAATACAAATCCTGCTCCTCCATGATCTGGGCATGTGACCTATGCTGACCAATTATAATATCCTACTACCCTAAACACAGAGATTTATTCAAAGATAAGCATGTGACAAAAGCAGAACCTTTCCTGAAATTAATATGCTGACACTACAAAAAAAAAATAAGTTCTACTAGGGTTCTAAACAGAATGGATATAGGCTTGGACTGTTGATGTCTTCCTTGCCAGCTATGAGGAAAAAGTCTACAGTAGGAACTTAATAAACTGAAGCCAAGTAAAGACAAGCAAAAATGAAAGAAAAGAGTGAACCAAAGTCCTGATGAAATCCATGTGGACCTTGAATCTATTCCAGCCTTCCAGGTTAAAATAGCCAATGCATGGAATTTTTGCTTAAGCTTGTTTATATGGCTTTCTGACATTCGCAAACAAAAAGTCTCTATTGAACTAAGCTGGAGATGACAGGTTTCAACATGAGTACCAACACTCAATATTGGCAGTGACTGCCTACAGCACTGAGATGAGAGAGACTGAGATCTCCTCCGGGGACGAATGCAATGATCTAGCAACGGTATCTGCCATGAATAAGGCAGCACATGCCACATACTTGTCAGCCTTTGGCTGAGCAGTGTCTTAGGAAATGACACTGGCATATAAAAGCAAAAAGCAGTAAAAAGAGCCCAGGAAGCCAAAGCAGAGTGGGAAAAATTGCATCAGGGAAAAGAAAAAAAGTCACAAAAAAATGGCAAATCAAAATAAAATTGGCTTGATTCAGAACACATTTTAATGTTCCAATTACTCTCTAGTGTAATACTTTAAGAAAAACACTGATCCACTTCAAGCTCATTCTCTGTATTCTTTCTTTTTGCTTAAATATACTCTGGATCATTTGTGACCCAGGGAAAAAAGGTTATCGTTCATCAGTTTAGGTTCACATTTAAGGTCAAGTCCCCCTGGTTTAAAGGCATTCTCAAAATTAAAATTTATGTCAACATATCTACACTTAGTTCTAGTCTAATTTTTCCAAAGCATGTGACTTGATTTGTGATCCAGGATCAAAAATCCCAGAACTGAATCCCATTTCTGCCATGTACTAGCTTAGACAAATCTCTCAACATTACCTCTGAACATTTCCCTCATCTGTAAAATGAGAATAATAGTACATACTTCAAAAAGTTGCTGAAAATCAAAGTGTGCCTACAAAGTGGTTGGCATGGTACATGGCACACAGTAAGAGCTCACTAAACATTAACCATAATTATTTAGCATTCACTTAAAAAATTTTCTAATAGCCACTCCATTCCAACCTTCTTAACACCCTAATCTTGCCATTAAATGCCCATTTGTTCATTCATTTAACAAAAATATATACTGCTTACAAATAGAGAAAATAGATGAATCAAATACAGAACTTTTTCACAAGTACAAACTATTAAGATTTAATGGTAGACAGCAACAAGGCAAGAAAGAAATATATAAGTTCTCTGGCACTTTTGATGGAGAAAGATATCATTAAAGATAATAACCGGGCTCTTTAAAGAGTTCATTCATTCAACACATGATGAATGAATGTGGTAAAGATGTGGTGTAGGAAAGTAGTGGAATACAGCATTTTCTAGAGTAAGGATTAAGGACAACTAAAGTACTAAAGGAAAAAAGGAAGCATGTATGTGAAACAGCAAGCAGTTCAGGTTGGCCTCAGTGAAGGTACTTGAATAGGAGTAAAAGAAAGTTAAGACTGCCCTCTCCCTTCTTGACCCCTATCCTTTCTCACCCTCCCTCCTTCCCTCCTGTCGCCATCACTTCTGGCACCGCTGCACCCATAGGAGCTCCCCAGTGGTGATGGGTTCTCAGCCCTCCATGTTACTGTGGGATGAAGAGCTTGAGGAGATAAAGAAGATCAGTTTTTCCCACAGTCAAATCACTTGCTCTACAGC
Organism: Homo sapiens; assembly: GCF_000001405.40. Lineage (NCBI taxonomy): Eukaryota > Metazoa > Chordata > Mammalia > Primates > Hominidae > Homo > Homo sapiens. The sequence goes on along the minus strand of NC_000005.10, from coordinate 73,021,184 downwards.
CGGTTCACCAGCCTGGACAAAGGAGAGATGGCATTCTCAGCCATGAAGATTTCCTGAGGATTCCAGAACTTGTCATCAACCCACTGGGGGACCGAATCATCAATGTCTTCTTTCCAGAGGGAGAGGACCAGGTAAACTTCCATGGATTCATGTGAACTTTGGCTCATTTCCACCCCATTGAGGATAATGAAAAGAGCAAAGATGTGAATGGACCCGAACCACTCAACAGCCGAAGCAACAAACTGCAGTTTGCTTTTCGACTATATGATTTCGATAAAGATGATAAGCTCTCCCGTGGTGAGCTGATACAGGTGCTACACTTAATGGTCAGAGTAAATATCTCAGATGAGCAGCTCGGCAGCATCGCAGACAGGACCATTCAAGAGGCTGATCAGGATGGGGACAGTGCCATATCTCTCACAGAATTTGTTAAGGTTTTGGAGAAGGTGGATGTAGAACAGAAAATGAGCATCCAATTTCTTCACTAAAGGACAGAGACCAAACTGTTCCTTGCGGTCTAGTATTTAATAACTGGAACTTGAAAGTCCTCCTTCTACCAACCCCACCTCCAACCCATCATTCCCCTTCTCCCAAAGTACTACTGCTGTTGCACGACAACCCCAAATATGTTCTGTCAACACAAACCTGCCTTTGATGCATAAACAGGGCATTACAGAATGGTACACCCAGTCTATTTCTGTTCAGTATCCAGTCACTAGTTCTTCATTTATAAGTATCTTTTTCCCCATTCTGCTGCTGAATGCATATCCATACAGTCTGAGAAAGTGAGAGACGGAATCATGCCAAGAACAAGCCAGCAAAGCTCTTTCACCAGATGTAGACTGTAGCCCTACTGCCTTCCCTCTAGCAAGTATGCCACCATGCTTCTTCATCCTTTTCATATGTCCTTTGCTTCCTACTTCTGTGTCATCCAACATACTGTTTGCTTAGTCTGGCAGTCTTTCTGCTTTTCAGTAAGCCTCAAAATCTAATCTGTTCTACTTGGCACTGCTATGCCCTATGTATTCCTGACTTGACAGGATAGTTCAGGGGTCTGGCAGTTTTTATTTACCTTCATTATTAAATGGGCCTCTGGGATGTTGCCTCTCCAGGAGCTTTTTGGTAACCAACACTTCTCTGAGAAGTATGACACTATCCTCTGCATTCTACTCTGTCATCAAAGGGCTGCTGGGTGGAGATACTCATCTTGAAAGGTGGCCTTGGTGAGAGGTGTGGAGACAAGTCTTCTGGGTTGCTTGCCCACATCACTCTACCTCTGGCCTCTGATTCTCAACTTTTACCTACATGGCTCCTCGTTAGTGCAGTGTTGACTGTTCAAAAAATAGCAATATGCCTATGGGTTTGTTTAGTTTGGGGACACCGTTACCACCAGAATGACTGCTCTGGCAATATGCCTGGGGACTTTTTCATGGCTTTTTATCAAGGCAGCTGGACACCCTATAAAGCCTCACGCATTCACACCTTTGCAGCATGGTTTATGACTTAGTGTTACGTGCACTGGAATGTTTTTCACTTCACATTTCCAAGTAGAAAGATTAGCGTTAACTTATCCCAGTCCAAAACATTTAAAGATTGTTTCCTCCGTATCTTGAAGTTTTGCACAAAATTCTTTTTTATTTTTTTAAGACGGAGTCTTACTCTGTCACCCAGGCTGGAGTGCAATGGCGCAATCTTGGCTCACTGCAACCTCCGCCTCTGGGTTCAAGCAATTCTCCCGCCTCAGCCTCCCAAGTAGCTGGGATTACAGATGTGCACCACCAAACCTGGCTAATTTTTGTATTTTCAGTAGAGGGTTTCACCATGTTGGCCAGGTTGGTCTTGAACTCCTGACCTCAGGTGATCCTCCTGCCTCAGCGTCCCAAAGTGCTGGGATTACAGGTGTGAACCACCATGCTCAGTCACAAAATTCTTTATGAATTTTACACTTGGCAAATGTTAATGATGGAAGCCATAGTCAGCTCCTAATACATGTCCAAAGCATTGACTATTGTATCATTAGCTGCCTGGTTACACTAGCTTCCTACTTCCTTGTATAGACCACTGCTAATCCCTTAAAAATGAGGTCTGGCACTAGTAGCACAACCTAAGGTGGCATTACAGGTCTTCGAACAAGCCACAGCAACTTTTCTGCCAAAGTCAGCTTAGTTTAGACTTCAGTGAATCAAGCTATTGCCATCCTAATGTATGTCCCTATGAGTCTATTTATCCAAACATCTGCCCTTGGCTGACTTTCTCTGATTCACTGCTTGCGTGCTTGTTTCCTTGCTTTGGAAAACTATTGAAGATGTGTACATAATTATTTAGGAAGGGGATTGCTAAAAAAAATACCACTGCAAAGTGATGGAAAAGGGTAGAGAACAGGGAAGTAGCTGGGCTGGATGGCTCAAATATAAATGAATGAGAAATTCTTCATGAAGTATCAGTCAGACTTTGTGATCAAGTGAAAACGGAAGAATGTCTGACACTGATCTATAGAGAGGTACTTCAGAGGCTCCTTGATTTGCATATCTAAAGTTCCTAAGGTTATAGCTTTCCCCTCTTTTGGCTGTATAGCAAACTGTTTTAATCCACGGTTGTGCCTTATTGTTCCATTAAAATATATCAATAAACACTTGTGGTTGAAACAAAAAAAAAAAAAAAGAAGAAAGTTAAGACTAAAATCTGGTCAGCTCGAGATCCTTAAAGGCTCTGAAACCAAGTCCAGAATCCCACTTTCATTCTGTCAACGTGAAAATTTAAAGATTTGTAAGTGGTACAATTATAAGTTCATAACTGTATAGGCAAAAGATGAGTGTGCTATAACATGTAAAATAGATTGGAGAAGAAACGTCTGCTGTACCAGTATGAAATCTGCAAATTAATTAGGCAGCTAGAGAAAACATGAAAAGAAAGTCTGAAGGGAAAAATACTAATACAATTGAATCAGTAAGATTAAAAATTTAATGAAATTTGGGAAGAAGAAATTAAAGATGATTTAGGTTTCAAGCCTTAGGTCTATGAACTGCACTGAGGAAATATGGTTCCCAAACTTCACAGATCTCTTACCCATTTTCTGGAATGCCATATCATATTTTAACTTCTTTAATGCACTAAATTATTTTTACTTATGGAGTGAAACATGTATCTTGCAAGAACATGATATAGTAACTAATAAATAGATTAAAGAAATCTGGAGGACTGTAAGTATGCTGAGCAGGGAAGGGAATGGGGTACTTATTACATTTGATACATCATAACATGCCAATTAAAAGTAGAATTTGAACTTCTGTAATCATTTTTTCATAAAAATAGGAGCCAGGATTCCTATATCCATTTGTTCACTGGTGTATCCCCAAATTTCTAGAATGGGGTCTGGTATATTGTTAGAACTCAATAAATATATTTGTTAAATGTATATATAAATGAGAAAAGAAAGAAGTTATTAAATTTTAAGAAAGGTTCTACGTTGGTCTCAATGTTCTGAGCGTTCAATATTCTCTCCCAATCTTTCTTTTATTAAAATAGCCTTCTGTAGGTGACTCTATTTTGAAAAATCTAAAACTGTGACAGATTTAGTAAAATGTTATAATAACCACTTTAAATAATACTAAATTATTGTATTAACCACTAAAAGCCAAAACAAAAATCTTAATGTATCATCAGACATAAAAATAGTAATATCTGAGATTTTATACAAATTTTTAGGTATACTCCATTTTTTGGGTTGGCTCCATTTCACAGTTTGGAAATATTTTTAACTTCAGATATGTGATATAAAGTTAAAATTACCCCTTACCCACATGATCTTCAAGGCAAATATGTTAGTTACTATATGGGAAAATTTAAAATGTTTCCTTGCAGAGTTTATCATCTTACCAGGTCTTTCCTTCCCAGTGCCTTTTGACTCAGCAAATTTTTGTATCAAACTTTCAACTGTAGTATTAGCCATGTTATTTATAAATTCTTCATGGACCTATTAAAATGAAATAAAGATAACTTTTTCTTTTTCCACATTCTTAGTGTATTTCAGATAAAACTTACACAAGACAATTAAAATTAATTATATCAAAATATGTATTTTTGACCCAAGGCCCTTTGAGGACTTTAATTTACCTAACTTCCAGCATTACTGGATCTGTAGGGACCAACCATGACTTACATTAACCCCTTAACACATAGCCTCACGCCCCTAGAAGTCAAAGCAGTTTTCTGTTCCCATCTTTGAGCGTTCTAGAGACATCATTCTTATGATAAGACTTATACAGACAACAAAAATACTTTTGGCTTAAAAAAAACACACACACAGTCTGACTCTGTCACCCAGATGGCTGGGTGTCACGGCTCACTGCAGCCTCAACCTCCTGGACTCAAGTGATCCTCCCACCTCAGCCTCCCAAGTAGCTGGGACTATAGGCATGCACCACCACACCCAAAAATTTTTTAATATTTAAACAATTTAAAATCTTTTTTAATATTTAAACAATTTAAAATCTTTTTTAATATTTAAACAATTTAAAATCTTTTTTAATATTTAAACAATTTAAAATCTTTTTTAATATTTAAACAATTTAAAATCTTTTTTAATATTTAAACAATTTAAAATCTTTTTTAATATTTAAACAATTTAAAATCTTTTTTAATATTTAAACAATTTAAAATCTTTTTTAATATTTAAACTATTTAAAATCTTTTTTAATATTTAAACAATTTAAAATCTTTTTTAATATTTAAACAATTTAAAATCTTTTTTAATATTTAAACAATTTAAAATCTTTTTTAATATTTAAACAATTTAAAATCTTTTTTAATATTTAAACAATTTAAAATCTTTTTTAATATTTAAACAATTTAAAATATTTTTTAATATTTAAACAATTTAAAATATTTTTTAAATTTTGTGTAGAGATGAGGTCTCCCTATGTTGCCCAGGCTGGTCTCAAACTTCTGGGCTCAAGTAATCTTCCTGCCTTGGCCTCCCAAACTGCTGAGATTACAGGTATGAGCCACCGTGCCTGGCTAGTTTGAAGAATAACAGACTTCATCTTTCTCTACTATATTTCAGTATACCCCAAATTGTCATCATTAAACCTTTTATATTTGTGGAACACTTCTAAGTAAAAGTTCTATAGTTTAATAAAGTTGCTGCTTTAAATTTAAAAATAGTAAAGCTTGAAAAAAGAAATATTCAAAAGTTGATAGCTTTAGAAATTCAATATAAAGAAAACTGAATATAGTTAATTTAAAAAATTAATTTGAATTATCATCCTCGGTGGCCAAATGATAAAATATCCAGTTTATTTTCTATTTACTACATGTAAATATATTATCTTTACATATTCTTTATTTGGAAAAATTCGGTATTATACTTATGAACTTTGAACAGAGTGAGAAAATATTTTTAAAGAGCTATAAATAAACAAATTTTTCATGAATAGTTCAACATAAAGTAAAAAAACTTACCTGGCCTATCTGCAAATGAATTTCCTTTATAGCATTTGACAAGGATCCTATAATTTCCTTTATGTGAATGAGATGAGTTTCTTCAATATCTTGAAATTTCTGGGTAACATATACAAAGTTATAGATTTATAACATATACAGGTACATACATATATATTCTGGAATCAAAAGAGCTTTCAGAAATCATCTCTCCCAGCACTTTGGGAGGCTGAGGCAGGTGGATCACTTGAGGTCAGAAGTTCAAGACCAGCCTGGCCAACATGGTGAAACCCTGTCTCTACTAAAAATACAAAAATTAGCCAGGCATGGTGGCAGATGCCTGTAATCCCAGCAATTCAGGAGGCTGAGGCAGGAGAATCATTTGAACCTGGGAGGCAGAGGTTCCAGTGAGCCCAGATCACGCCACTGCACTGGAGCCTGGGCGACAGAGCGAGACTCCGTCTCCAAAAAAAAAAAAGAAATCAACTCAATATAACCAAATTTTCCAAGTTACCACTTTTACACAATGTTTAACCAAGCCTCAAGACAGACAGATCTAGCAGGTAAACTGAAATATGGCACTGCAAAAAGTTAACTTTTTGTTATGTCATTTCTTAGGTAAATACAAACTTTTCTAGAATTTGGAGCTTTTTTTTTTTTTTTTTTTTTTGAGACGGAGTCTTGCTCTGTCACCCAGGCTGGAGTGCAGTGGCACCATCTTGGCTCACTGGAAGCTCCGCCTCCCAGGTTCACATCATTCTCCTGCTTCAGCCACCCGAGTAGCTTGGACTACAGGTGCCCACCACCATGCTGGCTAATTTTTTGTATTTTTAGTAGAGACGGGTTTCACCGTGTTAGCCAGGAAAGTCTCGATCTCCTGACCTCATGATCCACCTGCCTCAGCCTCCAAAAGTGCTGGGATACAGGCGTGAGCCACCGCACCCAGCCGAATTTGGAGCCATTACACATTAAAATCTATAATCGTGATCAGAAAATTAGGAGACCCAGAAGAGAATAATGTTACAAAAAAAACAAAGAGTTTTAAAAACTGAAAAACAATCAGTTGGCAAAGCAAAAACTACAGTTTACTTTCAAATGCTTTATAATCTAGCCCATAGATTTTCAAAATGTCTTTCTAATCCTTGAAATAATAATATACACCGGGCACGGTGGCTCACACCTATAATCCCAGCACTATGGGAGGCAGAGGTGGGCAGATCACAAGGTCAGGAGTTTGAGATCAGCCTGACAAACGTGGTGAAACCTCGTCTCTACTCAAAATACAAAAAATTAGCCAGGCGTGGTGGCGCGTGCCTGTAATCCCAGCTACTTGGCAGGCTGAGGCAGGAGAATCGCTTGAACCCGGGAGGCAGGGGTTGCAGTGAGCCGAGATCACGCCATTGCACTCCAGCTTGGGCGACAGAGTGAGACTCCATCTCAAAAAAAAAAAAAGAAAAAGAAAAAAAAGAAAAAAGAAATAATAATATACAATCCCCAAAAGAGATGGCTGTCATCAAAGAAATCTGGGAAAGCCTATATACTCTATTTCAGCAGTTCTCAACCAAAAGTGAGGATGTGTTAGATCACCTGGAGAACCTTTTCAAACTTCAAAACAAATAGATCCTCCAGTACTGCCTGGGTAATGGGGGTTGAAAGAGATGAGAAAGTTGTTTGGAAAAAATTTCCAAGTTACTCTGATATCCCCAGAGAGGAAACCACTGCTTGCCTTGCCTTCACAATAAATATATCAAAAGCTCTGAGAGGCCAGGCACGGTGGCTCACACCTGTAATTCCAGCACTTTGGGAGGCCGAGGCCAGCTGATCATGAGATGAGGAGTTCAAGACCAGCCTGGCCAACATGGTGAAACCCCGTCTCTACTAAAAATACAAAAATTAGCCAGGCATGGTGGCGCATGCCTGTAATCCCAGCTACTAAGGAGGTTCAGGCAGAGAATAGCTTGAACCCAGGAGAATTCCTTAAACTTGAGAGGTGGAGATTGCAGTGAGCCAAGATCGCGCCTCTGCACTCCAGCCTGGGCGACAGAGTGAGACTCCATCTTGGAGAAAAAAAAGAAGGTCTGAGAAATACTGAAATAATGACACGTTTCACTTTGCTTAACCCGGCATTTTCTAAATTTCTTTGACCTTACAACACTTTTGTTTTTCTTCTTCCCTGAACATCTATTAATATCTCACAGAGCAATAATAGTCCTCAAAACAGGCTTTGGGAAATGCTGAGCTACCCATTTTCAAACAAAATACATTTGTCATTTCTATTGTACAAACCTGGTTATCTATTTTTTTCCAAATTAAATCAGTTCTAAGGAATGGGCCTAAGCCTTACTATTTTTATCTTGTTAGTTTATGAAATTTAATTCCCTGACCCTATATTTAATGTCTAAATTTCTTCAGTCACTTTGGTGACCAGAAATCACCAAATGATATCTAATGTGTAAATGGTAAGAACCTCTAAAAAAAAAAAAATCCAGAATGGTGAAATTACAGTTTCGGCAGTATTGCAACAGCCCAAAAACTTGAATCAATTTGATTTATGAGGAATGGCAGAGTTAAAGTGGAATACTTGTCATTGATTAATTTTGACCAAGTCAACGAGAATACAGTACCAGTATTTCAAGATCCTGAATTACTCTCAAGAACTGAGGAGCATTTACTAGAAGGATGGCCCTTAACTTAAATTTCAGCAATTTAATAAACAAGATATTTTCTCAGACAGGTAGCCATTAATTTCATTTGAATGACCCTTAATTCCGAGGAAACTGTCTTCATTCCCTTTTGAAAAAGCTACACTCAACAAGGCAGATCTTTATTTATTTAGAAATATCTTAAAATATGAATCCACAGAGAAACTCAAGGCATGAATCAGATGCAATTTTGAAACTGTGGGGTTTTGGGGGTAGGGGCACACTGCTAACTATCACAATTCCTCAAAATTAGTGACTACTAAGCTCAGAGTAATTCAGCAATGGGAAATGGATATAGTCTCAAATGCTTGAGTATACATAAATGAACTTTCCTGAACAAATTAGATAGGCACTTTACTCCCTGCAACTTCAAATTCACTGTGTTCACATGTATTGTTACATTAATTTTTTTTTTTTTTTTTTTTTGAGACGGAGTCTCGCTCTGTCGCCAGGCTGGAGTGCAGTGGCGTGATCTCGGCTCACTGCAACCTCTGCCTCATGGGTTCAAGCAACTCTCCTGCCTCAGGCTCCCGAGTAGCTGGGACTACAGGCATGTGCCACCACACCCAGCTAATTTTTGTATTTTTAGTAGACAGAGTTTCACCACGTTGGCCAGTATAGTCTCAATCTCTTGACCTCGTGATCCACCTGCCGCGGCCTCCCAAAGCGCTGGGATTACAGGCGTGAGCCACCAAACCCAGCCTGTTACATTAATTTTTAAAAGTATAGTCATGAGCCACATAATGACATTTCTGTCAACAACTAATGCCATATATGACAGTGGTACCAGAAGATTATAATAGATATGAAAACTTTCTATTGCCTAGTGACATCATAGCTGCCATAACGTAGTGCAACGCATTACTCACGTTTGTGGTGATGCTGATACAAACAAACCTACTGTGCTGCCTGTCACATAAAAGTACCGCATAGCACATAATATACAGCACATAATACTTGATAATAAATGATGTTACTGGTAAATGTATTTACTAAACTACACTTTTTATTATTAGAGTGTAATCCTTCTACTTATTAGAAAAAACAATAACTGTAAAACAGCCTCCAGCAGGTCCTTCAGGAGGTATTCTAGAAGGCTTTGTTACCATAGGCGATACTTTTTTTTTTTTTCCTGAGATGGAGTCTCGCTCTGTTGCCCAGGCTGGAGGGCAGTGGCGCAATCTCAGCTCACTGCAACCACCACCTCTCAGCTTCAAGTGATTTCATGCCTGAGCCTCCCACGCAGCTAGGATTACAGGCGCGTACCACCACGCCCAGCTAATTTCTGTATTTTTATTAAAGATGAGGTTTCATCATGTTGGCCAGGCTGGTCTCAAACTCGTGACCTCAAGTGATCTGCCCACCTCGCCCTCCCAAAGTGCTGGGATTACAAGTGTGAGCCACCAAGTCCAGCCAGAGATGATAGTTCTATGCATGCTACTGCCCCTGAAGACCTTCCAGTAGTACAAGATGTGGAGATAAAAGAGCAATCCTAATGATACTAAGCCTATGTAGGCACATGTTTACTGTGTGCGTTTGTGTCTTAGTTTTTAGGAAAAAGATTTAAAAAGTTAAAAAAAAATAAAAATTTTAAAACAGAAAAAAAGCTGATCGAGTAAGGATATAAAGAAAATACTATTGTACAACTGTACAATGTGTTTCTACTTTAAGATGTCATCCCAAAAGAGTCAAAATGTTTAAAATTTTTTTAAGTTTCTAAAGAAGTTACAATAAGCTAAGGTTAATTTATTATTGAAGGAAGAAAACAATTTTTAATAAAATTTAATGTAACCTAAATCTACAGTGCTTATAAAATCTACAGTAGTGTACAGTAATGTCCTAGGCCTTCACATTTACTCACTACTCATTCACTAACTCAACCAGAGCAACTTCCAGTCCTGCAATCTCCATTCAACATAAGTGTTCTACTCAGATGCAGCATTTTTAATCTTTTATACTGATTTTTACTATATCTTTTCTATGTTTAAAGACACAAATACCATTTTGTTATAACTGCCTACAGTATTCAGTACAGTAACAGGCTGTACAGGTTTGTAGCTTACAAGCAACAGACTAAACCATATAGCCAGGTCTGTAGCAGTCTACACCATCTAGGTATGTGTAAGTAAGTACATTCTCTCTTTTTTTTTTTTTTTTTTTTTTTTTTTGAGACAGAGTCTCACTCTGTCACCCAGGCTGGAGTGCAGTGGCACAATCTCGGCTCACCACAACCTCTGCTTCCCATTTCAAGCAATTCTGGTGCCTTAGCCTCCCAAATAACTGGGATTATAGGCGTGCACCACCACACCTGGCTAAGTTTTGTATTTTTAGTAGAGACAGGATTTCAACATATTAGCAAGTCTAGTCTTGAACTCCTGACTTCAGGTGATCTGTCCACCTCAGCCTCCAAAAGTGCTGGGATTACAGGCGTGAGCCACCATGCCTGGCCAGGCATAAGTACATTCTATGATGTTCACACAATGACAAAATTGCCTAACGACATTTCTTAAAGTGTATCCCTGTTGTTAAGCGACACAGGGCTACACTATCTTCTCAGCCACTAAAGATATATAAAAGTACGCTAATCCTAATAATCTTTAATCTGAGGGTACTGCTTAACAAATCTCAAAGTTTCCATAAACTAGCCATCTCACTGCTTTAAAGTAAACAAAATCTCCATATTCTGTTTCAAGTGTCTCATTAATTAATAGTGGTAAAAGCATGAGCATAAAAAGTCACAATTTCAATCATTTTTATCCTAAACCTAAATTTTAAAAACTTAAATCACAAATACTCTAAATTCTAACCTCTTTCACCCTAGAGACTCAATGATCTTCTCCCACTAGTAAATATAGGTCCTACCACCCAAATTTGATTCTCACTATACTGTCAGGTTCTTTCTTTCCCACTGAGACTGGTCAACCCAGCTGGCCTGGAAAAACAGTTAAGTGGAGAAGTAAAAGGATTACTTTCCCTTCTAAACTAACCCAAATTAAAGTCTATTCTCTATGAAGAAACAATAATTAACCTATTCTGCAGCTGTAGAGTATGACAGAAAGAGAGGGTGAGACAGAAACAGAGATCTCTAAGATCTTGAGAAAGAACAAATACACACACATTAGTAAAGTATGCCATCATCTTTATTTAAAAGCAGCATGGTCACACATTTGCTCAAATAAATTAATGTTCCCATCTTAAAAAGGGCAGAATGGGCTGGCACGGTGCCTGTGATCCCAGCCAGCATTTTGGGAGGCCGAGTTGGACAGATCACTTGAGCCCAAGAGTTCAAGACCACCCTGGGCAACATGGTGAAACCCTGTCTCTACTAAAAATACAAAAATTAGCTGGACATGATGGTGCACACCTGCAGTCCCAGTTACTCAGGAGGCTGAGGTGGGAAGGTCACTAGCCTGGGAGGCAAAAAGGCTGCAGTAAGCCAAGATCGTGCCATTGCACTCGAGCCTGGTTGACAGAGTGAGACCCTGTCTCAAAAAACAACAAAAAACAAACAAAAAAACCAGAAAGGCAGGATGAACAATTAAAATGCCATTTTGGAAAAAAATGTAATGAGGAAGCAGAACATGAAAAGGAAATGGAAAGATGTGCTGAACGCTCTTTTTTATAAAGTAACATCAACAAACAAAAAACTCTGACTATAGCAAACTCTGTTTATTCCAATTTTAAAAATTAATGAAACGGCAAATGCTTAGCTGATAAAGACTAACCATTTAATGTGAAATTAACATATCAACAATAACTCCCTTATAAATGTGTGCTCCTAATGATTTAAAAGACAAAACAGCACTTGCTGAAGCCTGCAATGACCTCAGTTGCTACAGAAATTGCAACTTTCTATCTCACTAGACTTGAAGCCTTATTTAAGACAACTACCTAAACCCTTCCTTCTTGAAGCTTCTTTTTCCAGCTACCATGACATTACACTTCCAGTTTTCTTCTTTCTTCTTTGGCTTCCTCTATTAAAATCTCAATAATGAGTCTCTCAGAGCTTGGCCCTGAGGCCCTTTCTTCCCCACACTCTAAAAGTGCTGTCATCATGGCTTTGTGTACTGACAAAACCCTATTTTATATGGTCTGATAATCCTTATTCAAAACTTTTGGGACCAGGCGAGTTTTGGAATTCCTTTTCTTCCCTTGTTTTTTAAATAAAGATATATAGTATTATTTAGAATGCCATATACCTCATTCATAATACTACCAGCAGGATCTGTAGTGGCATCTGTTTATCAAACACATTAATATTTCTAAAGGAAAATATACGTAGGATAAAGACTATAGACAGCCTCGTATCAGTTCAAGTCAAGTTTTGTTGTCAAATAAATCACAGAAAAAAAAATACTTGGTTTTCAGAGCTCTTCGGATTCGGAATTGTGGATAAGGAACTGTGGACATTATGTCCAGCCCAGATTACTTGGCTCCTCCAAAACTGCCCTCCTGATGTCACCAATTATGTATCTCATAGGCGTCTTAAAATTAACATGTTCAAAATTGAACATTGATCCCTTCCTTCCATCAAACTAACAGTTCTTCATCTAATCTTCCCCATTCATCTCTCTCCACATAGATTTAACAAGCTAAAACCTGGAAGGGATCCTAATCTTCCGAAGAATTCCTCAACCCATCCTATCCCTGCCATCTCCAATGCATTCACTTGTCTCCTTCTCCAAGACCACTACGCTGGCCCTCATCCTTCTCACCTGACTACTATACTGACTTCCAAACTGGACTCTTGATTCTCCTTTAGACATACTCTAATCAATTCTTCCCAAAACTGCCAGAATTATCTTTAAATGTAGATCAGATCATGTCACATCCCTGCCTAAAACCCTTAGGCGGCTTCTAGTTGCTCTTAGAAGAAAACCTAAATTCTTTTGCCATTAAAAGTAACGGTAAAAACTACAATTACTTTTGCACCAACCTAATGTAACCTAGTCCTTGTGTATCAATTCAACTTCATTTCTCACTACCATTTTCCCTTACTCAGGTTTAGTAAGCATTTTTTACTTTCCAGAATGTAAGTTCTTTTATACCCTCTGGGCCTTCATACTCATGATCCCCAAAGCCTGTAACGCTCTTGCCCTATTAATTTCTTACTCACTCTTCAAGTTCCAGTTTTAAACATCACTTATCTTAAAAGGCCTTTCCTGACTCCCTAATCCAAATTAAGTCACTGCTATTATTCTATCTCATGGAAGCCTATTATTTTCCTTTGCAATACTTATAATAATTTATAACTTTATATTTAAGCATGTATTTAATGTCTGCCTCCCTCCTCTATACTGTAAACACCATCTCAAGCACGGAGATATTTGTCTTATTTACAGATGTACTGTATACACACCAGCACCTAACAGAGTCTATGCCATTGTAGGTAAAGATGGATATGCACATACATGCACACAAGTATGCAAGACTTCGCTTTCTAAGATATGAGCTGTTCACTACTTCAAATGGGAAGACATAATGAAGACATAGAGTCCAAAAATTCAGATTCACAAAGTCCTTCTTTCATATTAACTGAGTGCCTACTATGATCTGGGAACTATTCTAAAAGCTGAGGATATAGCAGTAAACAAAACAAATCCATCCTTGCTCTCATAAACTTAAATTTTAGTGGAGAAAAACAGACAAAAAATATAGGTAAAAGAACTCATGTGCTTCACTGTTTCTGGCCCCTTAGACATAACTAAGAACATTCCAAAAAGGAGTTCATCCACCAGCCTCAGGACTACAGTGAAGACGATGTAAAACAGCTGCAGCCAACCCATAATGAACACGCAGCATGAGAAAGTAATAAACCCTTGATATTGTAAGCCACTGAGATTTCTGGGGCCTTGTGTCACCACAGCATACTTACTCTGACCTGAATGATACAGGAATAAAATTCTTGGTATGTAAGATCACGATAGGTGCTAAGCAGGAAAATAAAACAAGGAAAAGGACAAGAAGCAGGGGCAGCGGAGAGTGGAAATGTTAGGTATGATTCCTAAAAGGCAGCCACCTTAAACGAGGCCTTTAATTAAGGTTCTAAGAACACTACACCAAATATAATTTATCCCAAGCTAATGGATGGCAGACATTTGTGTCTGTCTTCCCTCACTAATATGTAAGTTCTTTGAGACCAGGGATTTTTTGGGTTGTATTGACTGCCGTAGCCTCACTACTAAGTCACTTCCAGTTTTCTTATTAATGCTTCTTAAGCACTGTCTTCATCATGTACCAATGCCCTCAGTTTCCCCAATTACCTTTAAACAGGCTCTTCTGATCTACCTGTATAATTCCTTATGACATTATAATTATTGCATCTTGGTCCTCAATCTCCAAAACGCGACATGTATTTTTAAAACAGCATCATTAACAAATTGAGATTGTGCATTTTAAAACTTCCAACACTAAAAAATTATATGAGAGAAAAATTAATCAATATACACAAATATAAATGCCCTGTTTTCAATCTGAAGCCTTAAAATACCAACCTGAGCTGTTTCTGTCATTTTCTGTTCGAAATCAGCTTTTGCTAATGCATATTTTTCCACATAGAGTTTATAGGTATCTGTAGCTTTCTTAGATTTAACAGCTGCCTGTAATAAAATAAAATAAAAAACTTTTAACTGTGCATTGACCTTTTTTCTTTCCTAATGTAAGTTAATATGAATAACAAATTAAAATACATTTTAAGAGTTCAATATGACATATAACTAACTTTGATACTTGTTGTGAGGCCCTCTTTAGTCTTTTTTTATTGTTGTTGTTACAGTCAGCCAAGAAGTCAGGAAGTAAACACTGATTCTCTTTTCTGTTTGATGGAATGTGCTTTGAAAAGTTAAAATACTCTCATTTTAAATCCCAGACTAAGATTGCATAATTACATTATAATGCTACAGTGTTACTAAGATATGTTAACACACTGTTGGAGAGAAACTTCCAGACAATATACAAAAATGTCACAATACCACCAGAACGTGCTTGACACTCCTTTTCGCAGCTGTGAATTTTCCTCCACCACAGCATACATATATTTCATTCAATGTCTGATTAAACCTATCTATAAACTATAAACCTATCTCGAAAGTTGTGAAGGCTGGTTTCCTTGATGTTTCTCAGCTTCCATTATGCTCCAGCAAATACAGAAACTTGTTTTCAATCTTTGCCTATTTTTTCAAGACTTAAAAAACGAAACTGTTACCATAATAGTATAGTTCTGGTTTTATAAGTTACTTATTTAATTAAAAAAACATATTAAGCAGTACTGTACAACCTATACATAAACAGAAATTGCAATAAAGTAACACAGCCACAGAAGTTAAGGTAAATTATAAGAAGATAGGCATTTGAGAAAGGAAAAGATTATGTGTAGTTTGTAGGTTGAAGCAGATACACAGCTATCAAGAAGCTTGATATTCTCAAAGGCCTGATCAACTTGGATACAGGAAGATGGAGTGATGTGGTTGGACTAAAAAAGAGTTTAAAGGAGATCAAAGAAAGACAAGCTATAGGATTTCAAGATATAAAAATCCCCATTTTCTTGACGAGGTAACAGATGGGTCTGGTATGAGTGAGAAACAGTAGGGTAGGTTGGGAGCTTAAGGAGAACAAAAAAAGTTTCAAACCATAATTGTGGAGGATGCAAGAGCTCATGACTAGATGAATAAAAGTGTTGCTAAGTGCCACTGAAGTCCAAGGAAAGCTGTAAAATACTTAATTTGTTTAAAGCCGATCAGTACCAATATGTAATTATCTTTAGCCATGATCAGGAATCTAAAAACAAAAAACTACAAAGAGAAAACTGGGTTTACCCTGAGGTTTGGGTTTGGTAAGAGGTACATATAGTCCTACTCCCTAAACAAGCAACTTTGTACTCTCTCTAAAATGTAATTGTTTATACTATATTAAGTATATATGTTATGTACTTTCCTGCCTTCTTAAAGAATATAGGATGCCACTTTACCATGAAACATAAACAAAGCTGATTTTGGAGCCAGAAGAAATTCAACTGAAATTCTGGCTCTACCGTTTACACTACTGCCCCTTTATCCATGGGGAATACATTCTAAGATCCCAGTAGATGTCTGAAGCCATGGATGGTACAGACTCTGTATTATATACTATGTTTTTTCCTATACATACATAACTATGATAAAGTTTAATTTATAAATTAGGCACAGTAAGAGATTAACAACTAATAAAATATAACAATTATAACAACATACTGTAATAACATCATATGTGAATACGGTCTCTCTCTCTCTAAATATTCTACTGTACTGGACAGTAGGTAACTGAAACCAAGGAAAGTGAAATCTCAGCACTGCACTACCCATCTGACCTTGTCTTAGAAATTTATACAGTTCTCTCATTACTAAAAAGGGAACAATATCACCTTTTTTTTAAAAAAAGCTGTAGTAGTAATGTAGTTATACAAAATGCTTGGAATAGGGTCTGGCATACAGTTAAATTTAAAAATAAATAGTGCCTGCTTTTATTATGGTTTCTAACAAGAAATATCATCAAGAAAACACATCATGATATTTTGCTGTAATATAAAGATATATCCGAGTTACTGAGTTGTATTGAGCTGCCTATCCCTAGCGAAAGTGACTAAAACCCGTAACAATTTTCTAGTTTGCTCCTATAGATTTTTTTTGTTTTACTCTTCTCCCAGTTCCACACAGCTGACATTATTTTATACCAGTTACTGGAATCCTCTAATATCCTGCCCCTGTTCAAATACGTAACAGCTAAATGAAATGGATAGTTTACCAAGTACCTTCGCAAGAAACCCAGATAACCAAGTTTGCTAGAATTTATTTTAAAAACAATTATAATGGCATGCTTAATCCGGGTTTCCTTTTGGATTTTTTTAATGCAAATAAATTTTAGTTTGTTCTTCTAATACCTGTATTTTCAGTGAGTATAAGAGCAATCAAACGACCTACAGTCCTTCAGAGTGAATTTTTTTTTTTTTTTTTTTTTTTTTTGAGATGGAGTCTCACTCTGTGGCCCAGGCTGGAGTGCAATGGTGCAATCTTGGCTCACTGCAACCTCCGCCTCCCGGATTCAAGCGCTTCTCCTGCCTCGGTCTCCCAAGTAGCTGGAATTACAGGTGCAAGCCACCACGCCCAGCTAATTTTTGTATTTTTAGTAGAGATGGGGTCTCACTCACCATGTTGGCCAAGCTGATCTCGAACTCCTGAACTCAAATGATCCACACGCCTAGGCCTCCCAAAGTGCTGGGATTACAGGCATGAGCCACCACACTGGGCCTTCAGAGTGATTTTTAATGACACAGCCTAGCATAATGATGTAACCCTACTGAAAGCCCCTTCTTTGCTTGTTCCTAATACCTCATCCTGATACCTACTTTTTTCTTTTTCTCTGCTGCTCACTAAATTATTGCTTAATAATTTATATGCCAGCTATTGATAAAGACAAGTTGTGATCATTCCTAATACAGATATTTACAAGTCAAAAGGAGACCCATAAAACTGGAAAATTCCAAAAATACCTAATTATAATGACTGTGCATACACTTTTACAAGTAATTTACTGGGCGGGCATGGTGGCACATGCCTATAATCCCAGCACTTTGGGAGGCCAAGGCAGGAGGAATCACTTGAGGCTAGGAGTTCAAGACCAGACTGGGCAACAAAGTGAGACCCTGTCTCTACAAAAATTTTAAAAAAATAAAATACAATAAAAATTTTTAAAAAATAAGCCAGGTGCAGTGGCTCATGCCTGTAACCCCAGCTCTTAGGGAGGCAGAGGCAGAGAATAGTTTGAGCCCAGGAGTTCGAGACCTGCCTGGGCAACATAGCAAGACCCCATTCTCCAAAAATAAAATAAAATAAAATAAATTATCCAGGCACAGTGACACACACCTGTGGTCCCAGCTACTCAAGAAGCTGAGGTGGAATCACTTGAGCCCCAGAGTTCAAGGCTGCAGTGAGCTATGATAATACCACCACACTCCAGCCCAGACAACAGAGACCCTGACTCAAAAAACAAAAAAACAAATATCATAAAAATAAAACGGGAAAGATTGTGTGAAATAAATTACTTTTTTAAAAATAAATTTCTTTTAATAGCAATTTCTTTTGAGACAAACACCTAGCAGGTTTTCTTTTTATAGACTGTGTACAAAATAAGATACCACACCTTCTCAACTTACCATTCAACCCTCTCTCTAACTTCTTGTTCTGTACTATTTAATATGTCTTGGCTCTCCAAGAAAAAGAAAGCTTCTTGAAGACAGAAACAATAACATGTATTTAGCCTTAAAAACATTCATAGTTCCCAGCGTGGTGATAGGCTAGGAACTAAACATTTATTTACTGTTGCATGCAAATTATCACTTCATGATATAATGGCAAATCAGAAAAATATTTGAATAAATCATTTTAAAAAGTAAGCATCTATTCTAAAGCCTATAGCTAAAATAAACTCAAACTAATTTTATTATATTAATGAAGTGGAAGAATTCAAATAATATTTTGCTATGATTATTTTCCAAGTAAATATATATGCTGTGTTATGGACAATGCAATGATAGCTTCTCACTAACAAGAAATTTATAACCTAATAGAAATAAAGGATGACTACATGGAGGAACATTACTACTTATAAAAGACATGTATTTCTAAAGTATAAACAAAGAAATTATTTTATAACACTATGCATCAAACATTATAGGCCTTTAAGACATGGAGGGAAGATCCTGAATCATTTCATCTTCCTATACTCACGTAGTCTCTAGAATTCTAACTAATTTTGCTACTCAAATCTCTACTGAGTCAAGAGGGATAAAACCATTAAGGCTTTTACACCAGCATATTTTCATAAATTTCTTTTTTTCCTCTCATGATATTCTCACTATAAATCCTGGTCTATACATTCAGCACTTATTTGTTCACTACTTCTGGCTATAAAACTATTATCTTTATCTCAAAGGTTAACGGCTGGATCTAAATCAAAATTTTAAACAAAGAAGTTTTATGAAGCGTACCCTCTGATATCAGGAAATTATAAAATTTTATTTATCTTATTTGAAAGCATGAAGAAAGAAGGTACTCTTTTTAAGTTCTGACTTATATTTTTTCAATCAGCTCTTTTTTTTTTTTTTTGAGACAGGGTATCACTCTGTCACCCAGGCTAGAGTGTAGCCTCAAACTACTGGGCTCAAGTACTTTAGCCTCCCAAGTACCTAGGACCATAGGCACATGCCACTACGCCTGGCTAATTTTTTTTCTTTTTTTGTAGAGATGGGCTCTCACTGTGTTGCCCAGGCTGGTTTTGAACTCCTGGGCTCCTGCCTTGGCCTCCCAAAGTGCTGGGATTACCAGCATAAGCCACCACCATGCCCAGCCTAGCTCTCACTCTTGAAAGGTAAAATTGATATGCCACAGTCAGAATCCTAAGGAAATTACAAATCAACTTTAAGAAGCATCTTTAATACAAGATGATAGGGAGAAAAAAAATGAAAGAAAAAAGAAATAGAGAAGCATCTAGAAAACTGACAAGAGAAGCACTAACTAATAAAGAAATTTCTTTTCATTTCTTTTTTTTTTTTTTTTTTTTTTTGAGACAGGATCTCGCTCTGTCATCTGGGCTGTAGTGCAGTGGTGCAATCATGGCTCACTGCAGCCTCAACCTCCTGGCCTCAAGCAATCCTCCTCCTGCCTCAGCCTCCTGAGTAGTTAGGACTACAGGTATGTGCCACCAGTCTTGCTGTTGTAGGCCTGGGCCGGAATGCAATGGTGCGATCTCACACTGACTAATTTTTTTAAAAACTTTTTGTAGAGATGGGGTCTCCCTACGTTGCCCAGGCTGGTCCCAAACTCCCAGCCTCAAGTTATCCCTCCACCCTGGCCTCCCAAAGCACTGGGATTACAGGCATGAGCCACCATGCCCCACCAGAAACATGTATATTTTCTGAAAGCAAGAAACATCTTTCATAAGAAACAGCTACACAATACTAAATTATTAAGTCAAAACAACTTTCTAAATAACATATTATGCTTAGTTAGGAATGCTATAAATTCTTAAGGTAGAATTATAGAAACTGAATGGCCTCATCATAAAAAAGTGACAATCTTTATAGTCATTATTAAAAGGGAAGTTGGGCCAGGTGTGGTGGCTCATGCCTGTAATCCCACCACTTTGGGAAGCCGAAGCAGGAAGATGGCTTGAGACTAGGAATTTGAGACCAGCCTGTGCAACATGAGACCTTGTGTCTACAATTTTTTTTTTAATTGAGACAGCGTTTCACTCTTGTTGCCCAGACTGGAGTGCAATGCCACAATCTCGGCTCACCACAACCTCTGCCTCCTGGGTTCAAGAGATTCTCCTGCCTCAGCCTCCCGAGTAGCTGGGATTACAGGCATGTACCACCACGCCTGGCTAATTTTGTATTTTTAGCAGAAATGGGGTTTCTCCATGTTGGTCAGGCTGGTCTCAAACTCCCAATCTCAAGTGATCCGCCCGCTTTGGCCTCCTAAAGTGCTGGGATTACAGGCGTGAGCCACTGCCCCCAGCTTTTTTTTTTTTTTTTTTTTTTTAAGACTGAGTTTCACTCTTGTTGCCCAGGCTGGAATGCAGTGGCGTGATCTTTGTTCACTGAAACCTCCACCTCCCCGGTTCAAGAGATTCTCCTGCCTCAGCCTCCTGAGTAGCTGGGATTATAGGCACACACCACCATACTCGGCTAATTTTGTATTTTAGTAGAGACAGGGTTTCACTACGTTGGCCAGGCTGGTCTCAAACTGCTGACATCAGGTAATCCACCTGCCTCGGCCTCTCTAAGTGCTGGGATTACAGGAATGAGCCACCGTGCCTGGCCTGCAAAATTTTTTTTTTTATTGGCTGTGCATGGTGGCACATGCCTGTAGTCCCAGCTACTCTGGAAGCTGAGGTGAAGGATTGCTTAAGTCTGGGAGTTCAAGGTTACAGTGAGCCGTGATTGTGCCAATGCACTCCAGCCTGGAAAACAGAGGGAGAACCTGTCTTGAAAAATTAATTCACTAGTTAATTAATTCACTAATTAATTAAAATAAAAGGGAAGCTGGAGCATTTGTTCTTAAGAGGAAACTGTGCTTTACAAGTAATAGCTACATTTCTTCTCATAAGCAAGAGTGGCTTTAATACATTACCTATGATAATAAAACAAATCTAAGTTTTATTCATTTCCTTAGCATTATAAATTAATATACTACCAAAAACATTTTAAGTGCCTATGACTTTTATAGTACAATCCATGAAGCCAGCATATACATATAAAATGAGTACTTAGTCAATAGTCCACAAACATGAGTACCTACTAAGTGGTGTTTTATAAAAATGAAGGCTTGTGGTTGGGTGTGGTGGCTCACACCTGTGATCTCAGACTTTGGAAGGCTGAGACGGGCATATCACCTGAGGTCAGAAGTTCAAGATCAGGCTGGCCAACAAGGTGAAATCCCATCTCTACTAAAAATACAAAAATTAGCTGGGCGTGGTGACGCATGCCTGTAATCCCAGGTACTTGGGAGGCTGAGGCAAGAGAATGGCTTGAATCCAGGAGGCAGAGATTGCAGTGAGCCAAGATCGTGCCACTGCACTCCAGCCTGGGTAACAGAGCGAGACTCCATCTTAAAAAAAAAAAAAAAAAAAAAAGGCCTGTGAATGAGTGAATGAGATAACCAAATTATGTTATAACACCTATAGTATTTATGTTTTTAAGTCACAAAAAAATTATTCAAAGATCTATGACTTTTAAAAAAAATCTACATTCTTGTTAATAAAAACCTTACGATAGGCCAAAATAACTGACTTGGATTAAAATATATTACAAATCAGAGAACCCACTATCTAATATCACAAGCAGAGATGCCACCTCTGAGGAGACCAATTAGAAAAAAGCACCCCTTCCTCTGAGTAGTCCATCCCACTGAAGTCCATCCCTGTGAAGCACAGGGTGAATTTTAGCCAACTCACAACCCTTGGACACAACTACATGCTCCACTCCTGCTCAATATTTTAATAAAAAAGAAATCATGAGCCGGGCCTGATGATTCACACCTGTGATCCCAGCTATTCGAGAGGCTGAGGCAGTGAGGTGATCGCTTGCACCCAGCAGTTCCAGGCTGCAGTGAGCTATGATCATACCACCACTGCACTCCAGCCTGGGTGACACAGTGAGACCTCATCTCTAGACAAAAAAAAAAAAAATCCTTTAATTGCATCTAAATCATTACATTAAACTTGTTTTGGTTTACATGAAAAGACTCAGAATCATTTATTTATGTGTAATCGCTAGTCATCATATATTTTTTGAGTGGTCACGGCATACTAGGTACTATGGTGAGCCCACTGGGGTTCACAAAAAAGAAGACAACGGTATTTAACCCAGCAGTACTTTAATCCTCTGGATAGTTTTAACTAATTTAGATCATAGACATTTGCATTAATGATATGAAACCCATACCAATTCACTGTTGGGCATGAATGTTATAGTATCTACCAAGAGTAAACTGCTCCTGTGACTTACATTTTTTTTTTCTTTTTTGAGACGGAGTTTCGCTCTGTTGCCCAGACTGGAGTGCAGTGGCTCGATCTCGGCTCACTGCAAGCTCTGCCTCCCAGGTTCACGCCATTCTCCTGCCTCAGCCTCCAGAGTAGCTGGGACTACAGGCGCCCGCCACCACGCCTGGCTAATTTGTTGTATTTTTAGTAGAGATGGGGTTTCACCGTGTTAGCCAGGATGGTCTCGATCTCCTGACCTCGTGATCCACCCACCTCAGCCTCCCAAAGTGCTGGGATTACAGGTGTGAGCCACCGCGCCTGACCACATTTTTTAAAGTAATTATTTTATTTTGAATAAAGTCAGCTCCTGTCCCATTCCCCTTACATTCTCATCACAAGTAATTTCCATCATGTGCTTATTGTTTACTGTCCCCATACATGTCCCTAATACTTTACCTGTATATAAATAGCATTTTTTTTTTCAGTTTTGTACAAGAGTTTAGAAAAAAAAAAATCAAATCACAACAAAGCTGACTTGGCTTCTCTTTGAGCCTCCTGGATCACCATATATCTGTGGCTCTGGCGGGTCCTGCCGCTCCACCACAAACACTGTTTTAGTTCTCCTAGGCCTCTGCCTGTCTCCCAGCCTGAACTCCATTCACACATGGAGTGTGAACACGAAGTTAGAGTGAGGCTGCTTCAGGGTCCCAGGCCCATGCGTCCATCCAGACTCCAAGTGGAGTGTAGGGCTTCCAGGGCAGAGAGGGGTTGGAGGGGCAGACCCTGCCCAGGCAGTCCTCACA
This sequence comes from Homo sapiens, assembly GCF_000001405.40. NCBI lineage: Eukaryota > Metazoa > Chordata > Mammalia > Primates > Hominidae > Homo > Homo sapiens. The sequence continues at coordinate 72,997,726 of NC_000005.10, read as the reverse complement.
TTGGACAGGGCATCAAACGGTATCCCAAGGGCTCGCCCTCCCTTTCCCCCAACCCCAACTCAGGTGAAGGGGGAGCAGCTGTCACCAGAACCTATACTGGTGAAGGTTGCGGCTCAGCACGGAACGAACATCAGCGGTGAACCTGAGGGCATCCAGCATCGGGAGCAGGTTGAGAAGGGTTGTGTCACTGGGGTCACTGAACCAGGATTTGATGGTGATGGCCTTGTCTGGATGGCTCCTGTAAACCCCTGGAGAGTTAGCCAGGATCACAATGCTGGAGAGGTCACTGTGGACCAAAGAGAGGTCCTTGATGTAGCTGCCCAACTCCAAAGTGCAGTGCTGTCCGTAGTATCTCGTCTTAAGAATGCTTCTGCTATTGTCCAGTTTATCTGCCACAGCAGAGCCATAGATCTCCATGCTTGCTATAAACACTACCAGCTCCCACCACTCGCTCACGACTTCCAAAAAGAAATCCACATGGGGCCTCTAATGTACAAAGAAACGGACAGGATGTTTGTCTATTACCACCTTGAGGATGAAGTCAGGAGGCGTTCCAGGCCAGACTGTGAGCCTCAGGACCCCATCATGGTGGGAGTGAATAAGTATCTCATCCGGATCCAGCACCATGATCTTCCTCTTCACCTAGCTGATTCCAGGACAAGAAGATAAGGGGATGATATCATATCGAACAGTTTGGTGCTGAATTACCATGCAGATCTGCCACCGCAAAAGGGCGGAGAAGCTCCAGAGCTTGGCGGCGAAGGCCACGAACGTGCGCAGCCCCAGCAGACACTGCGTCCGCATCATCCTGATGACCCTGGCACTGCCTGCTCTGCCGGCCCCGCCGGCCCCGGGGGCCCCCGTGGCACAGCTCCGCCAGCCCCCCGTTGCCGGGAGGGGGAACGGCAGCCCTAAGTGGCAGGAGAGGCTGCAGAGAGGGGTATGGAGCAAGCGGCTCAGAAAGTCACCCCTGGCGAGGTTTTGGAAAGCCCAGCGGAACGGGGAGCTGGCGGACAGGCGTTGGCAGCCTGCGGGGGCCCACATGGGCTGGGAGTGGCACCAACAGCTTCGGGGAAGTTGCGGGCCGAGACAGGTCGGGCTAGGATTGGGTCCTCCGAGACCAGGAGGGAAGGGGAAGGATTAATTGGGGAAGGGGACAGTGGGGGAGGGAGCAAGGATGAAGGGGTAAGGGAGGGGGGTAAGCAGAGAGTCAATAGCTTTTTTCTGTTTTTACAGAGAATTAAAGGTTATATAAAAGGCATCAAATTCTACACATCCTTTTGAAACTTTTTCTTGCTCAATATTATGCTTTTTACATTTACTCACGTTAATACATGTCATTCTTTTTTAACATGAATCCATCACCTAGCTTCAAGACTCAATCTATTCTTTCCCCTTTTCTTTGCAAGAGTAATATTTATTTAAACTACTGTATTGTATCCCATTATATGAAATACATAACAGGATTTTTTTTTTTTTTTTTGAGACAGAGTTTCGTTCTTGTTGCCCAGGCTGGACTGCAGTGGTGCGATCTTGGCTCACTGCAACCTCTAACTCCCGGGTTCAAGTGATTCTCCTGCCTTAGCCTCCCGAGTAGCTGGGATTACAAGCGCCCGCTACCACGCCCGGCTAATTTTTGTCTTTTTAGCAGAGAAGGGGTTTTGCCATGTTGGCCAGGCTAGTCTTGAATTCCTGACCTCAGGTGATCCACCCACCGTGGCCTCCCAAAGTGCTGGGATTACAAGTGTGAGCCACCATGCCTTGCCAACAGGATTTTTTTTTTCAATTTGACAATTGATCTATGATTAGAGGAGCTGCTATGGTTTGAATGCTTGTGAAACTTAATCCCCAATGTGACGGTATTGAGAGGTGGGACCTTTAATAGATGAGTCGGTCATGAAGGCTCTGCCCTCATAAATAGATTAATCTATTAATGTATTAATCGGTTCATGAATCAATGGATTATCATGGAAATAGGACTGACAGCTTTATAAGGAGCAAAGAGAGACCTAAACACACTCAGCCCCCTCATATGAGGTCCTGCACCTTCTGAGAATTCGGCAGACTCCCCACAAGCAAGAAGGCTCTCACTAGATGTGGCCCCTCAACCTCGGACGTCCTTCTCATCCTCCATAATTGTAAAAAATAAATTCCTTTCTTTATAAATTATCCAGTTTCAAGCCAGGCATGGTGGCTCACACCCAGCACTTTGGGAGGCCAAGGCAGGCAGATCGCTTGAGGTCAGGAGTTCAAGACCAGCCTGGCCAACATGGTGAAACCCCATCTCTACTAAAAACACAAAAATTAGCCAGGCGAGGTGGCACATGACTGTAATCCCAACTACTCGGGAGGCTGAGTCACCAGAATTGCTTGAACTCGGGAGGCGGAGGTTGCAGTGAGCTGAGATGCGGCTACTGCACCCTAGCCTGGGTAACAGAGTGAGACTCTGTCTCAAAAAAAAAAAAAATTACCCAGTTTCAGGTATTCTGTCATAAGCAACAGAAAACAAACCACACCAGGAGTCCAAGACATTTATATGTATTATGATTATTTCTTTCAAATTATTTTCAGTTTTCTGTTTACTGACAAAGCATTTCCTTTTTTAACTTTTATTTTAGGTTCAGGGGAACATGTGAAGGTTTCTTATATAGGTAAACTGTGTGTCACGGGGGTGTGGTGCACAGCTTATGCGTCATCCAGGTAATAAGCACAGTAACTGACAGGTATTTTTTCTGATCCTCTCCTTCTTCCCTTCTCCCCACCCTCTCTCCTCCAGTAGGCCCCAGTGTCTGTTGTTCCTCTCTATGTGTTCTCATTGTTTAGTTCCCACTTATAAGTGAGAACATGCAATATTTGGTTTTCTGTTCCTGCATTAGTTTGCTAAGAATAATGGGCTCCAGCTCCACCCATGTTCCCACAAAAGATATAATCTCATTCTTTTTTATGGCTGCATAGTATTCCACAATGAATATGTACCACATTTTCTTTATCAAATGTCACTGATGGGCATTTAGATATTGTGAATAGTGCTGCAATTAATATTCACATGCATGTGTCTTTATGGTACAACGATTTATATTCCTTTGGGGATATATCCAGTAATGGGACTGCTGGGGTGAATGGTAGTTCTGTTTTTAGCTCTTTGAAGAATCGCCACACACTGCTTTCCACAATGGCTGAATTAATTTACACTCCCACCAACAGTGTATAAGCATTCCCTTTTCTCCACAACCTTGCCAGCATCTGTTATTTGACTTTTTAATAATAGTCATTCTGACTAGTGTGAGATGGTATCTCATTGTGGTTTTGATTTGCATTTCTCTGATCATCAGTGATGTTGAGCTTTTTTTCATATGCTTGTTGGCTGCATGTATGTCTTCTTTTGAGAAGTGTCTGTTCATGTCCTTTGCCCACTTTTTAATAGGGTTGTTTTTCTCTTGTAAATTTGTTTAAGTGCCTTATAGATGCTGGATGTCAGACCTTTGTCAGATGCATAGTTTGCAAACATTTTCTCCCATTCTACAGGTTGTCTATTTACTCTTTTGATAGTTTCTTTTGCTGTGCAGAAACCATTACGTTTAATTAGATCCTATTTGTCAATTTTTGTTTTTGTTGCAATTGCTTTTGGTGTCTTTGCCATGAAATCTTTGCCCATTCCTATGTCCAGAATGGTATTGCCTCAGGTGTCTTCCAGAGTTTTTATAGTTTTGGGTTTTACATTTAAGTCTTTAATCCATCTGGAGATGATTTTTGTATATGGTGTAAAAAAGGGGTCCAGTTTCAATTTTCTGCATATGGCTAGCCAGTTATCCCAGAACCATTTATTGAATAGGGAATCCTTTCCCCATTGCTTGTTTTTGTCAGTTGACAGACCATTTCTTTCAAGTGCTCCATTATTATCTTCAGGTTTTCTTCCAAGCACTTGATCTTACCAAAAGGTATCACTAAAAGATTTTCAGAAAATAATCAAAGCCATTACTTCCTCAAATGGTCCTTAAAAGGTCTGTTAACTGAAATATCAAAGCATTGTAGCTGTCCAATCATGCAACGAAGTTTGTACAGGCAATTCAACTACACCATAAAAGCTATCTTACCAACCATGACTATACAATACCATCAATTGAAAATGCATTCTGATTTCATATGAGGAAAAAAAAATACCCATTTTCTTTTTCTCTGGGGTCTAGGTCTGAATTTATTTAACCTGCTTAATACCTATAATGTACTTTCAATATGAGGGCTCTTGAATTTCTTCAATTCTGAAACATTTTGAGCTGTTAACTCTTCAAATATTACTTGTCCTTCCATTTCCTCCATTTTTTCCTTCTGAAATTAGTATTAGATGAATGTTGGTAACGTTTGCTTCTCCTACTATGTTCTGGATAAGGTCCCTCCATACTATCTTCAAAACTCATTCTTTGACTATATCAAGTCTAAAGTTTCTTTTCTCTATTGCTTTTTAAAAAGTTCAATAACTCTATTTTTCATTTCCAAGTTTTCTAATTAGCTGTTTTTTTCTATCTAGTAGATCTTGTTTCATTACGTTTAATTTCTTAATCTTCTTTAATGTAAGTTTATGTTTATTTATTTGAACATCCTCAAGACACATCGTTTTTGTTCATTTTTTATAAATTTAAATTTCATCTGGAGTAAATTCTTATTCCAATTATTGAATTTATTGGTTGTTCTAGTATTAGATTTCTTAGGTGTGTGCTACAATTTTGGTTGTTTGCTCATTCAGAATAGGAGTTTTTTTTTTTTATTTTGCCCTCTTTTCTCTTCTTCTCTCTCGCCCTTCATCAGTACTGCTGGACATTCATAGAATAAAACATAAATGGTACCTCCTAGAATTGTGTTATGCTTTATACTTTATGCTCACCCATCCCCAAGCAGTTTTCAGGTTATCTCCTGCCACCCCTCCAAGGCCCCAATTTCATTTCAGTCTTATGAAAGTAATTTTTAATTACTTCCCTGCAAGAATATTGTAGATATGGCCAAAATAGTCATGAAATGATTCCTTGGCTTGATTTCAAGTCAGGATTGTGTCTCTGTATCTGTGTCCCTAAATCCCCAACTTTCAATAAGGCTTTAGTTCTTGTCAGCAACCCAAGAGCCTTCTTTTCTCCCTATCTATAGTTTCAGGCAATGAGCCAGGCTCTTTGTACCTCATCCTAAGAGGGGAGCTTTTAGTCCCTTTTGCCACGTAAGAGCCAAATCCCACTGCCTACTTTAGGACTTTTGAGTTCAACAGCTTGCATAATCAATCTCTACGTGCCATTTTGGATTTCTGTTCTATTCTGGCCCACAGAGATAAAATATTATTCTTTTTGGACCCTGTTATTTCGTTTTCCCTTTTTATATTTTATTCATAATTGCTATGTCTGAAGCAGAGGGTGTTTTCAAACCATGAATTTACTGTGTCTCATTTTGGCCCCTCCCAATTTTTATTATACAAATCCAATTTTTATTTATTATACAAACACAATATATTGCTCCAAATTCATTTTTTTCATCTGTGACACAGTCCCCAGAAGGTCCTGAGATTATGTGCCTTATTGCTCCAAATTCTAAATCACCTATTTTCATTTTTCCACATTCTCTTCTAGTTTTTTGCCCATGTATAGTCATATATCATATTTCATTGGTTAGTTGTTTAAAATATTTTGGACCTCAGGTATATAGAAATGGATTAATTACATTATCACAAGTCTTGTAACAGCCCCTCTTATTTAATTATATGATATTAATTTCTGAGTTGATTTGGTTATTCAGACTTGTAACAGAAGACTTTCTATCATCATCTGTTGTTAAAAATTAACTCTTATCAAACTTCAATGTAAAACTAGTATTCCGTTTAATATGCTTCATCAAAAATAAAGTATCTGTGCATTTAAACATGTAAAAGTATATAAATACACAGCTGTTTTATAGTCATAATCATACAATTGGTACAATTTGGTTTCCTTTTTTACTGGATATTTCAAACATTTTACAAAGCTTTCAAAATTATCACTCCACATGGCTCATTCTTAAGTGAGATATACCACATCAAATAAGTAAATGGTTAAACTGTTTTGAAAGGAGAAAAAAAAAGCTACTTTCCATTAAAACATAAATGGAAGAAAAGGTTGTGGTTTACCACAATGCTACATAAATGTGCTCAAAGTCAGCAATAAATCACCACAACACACATTTAAAGCTTATGTGCAAGTACCTACCTGTATCTTTCTAAATATACCAAAATCTTGTTTCAAAACAATTTTACCTCATGGTTAAATTTTACACAAAGTAATTACCTCAATTATGTTACTACAAAAATATCCTGAAAATGTGTCACTGACATTTAAAAAATCATTGTTTTTTGGTTGGGTGTAGTGGCTCATGCCTGTAATCCCAGCACTTGGGGAGGCCAAGGTGGGCGGATCACCTGAGGTCAGGAGTTCGAGACCAACCTGACTAACATGGCGAAACCCCATCTCTACTAAAAATACAAAATTAGCCGGATGTGGTGTCATGCGCCTGTAATCCCAGCTATTTGGGAGGCTGAGGCAGGAGAATCACTTCAACCCAGGAGGCAGAGGCTGCAGTGAGCCAAGATCGCGCCACTGCACTCCAGCCTAGGCAACAAGAGCAAAACTCCGTCTCAAATCAATCATTGTTTTTTAGTGCTCGCTAACCTATTTACCACAGATAACATACTTTACAAATCTCCTGTGTTTTACTTGGGTAATCACTAGGACTGTAAGGCACAGTGTCTTCATCTTTAAAATGAGATAATTTTCAGTTTGATCTAAATGTTAAATGCAATTTTGTATGTCAAGGTGCTTTGAAACCACAGATATGTAATTTTTATTATGATTACCTTTTCTATTTCTCTTTGTGTAGCTCCTTCCTTTTTCAAACGCTCCTGTTCTACACACTTGGCATTGTAATTTTCCTTGGATTTCTGGAGGGCCTGAGTTATGCTCTGAATGGTTTGGACAGCTTCCAGAGTTCCTGCAACTTCTTCTTTAGTCTGTTTAGTATGAAATGATCCATCAAAATGACTGAACTATAAAGTATTCAATATCTGACCAATCAATTATTTAACAAGAAAAAAACTGATACCTTTTTATGAGACTTTACTTGTTCTTCTCCATACTTCTGAACTTCCTTTATTAATTCTTGTAATTTTCTAACAAGATCCAAGTGACAATTTGCTAATTTCTCTGTAGATGTTTTGAATACATCCCATACTGGTGCAAATGTTCTAAGAAAATAAAAAATATGGGAATAACTTATTAAAAGTAAAAAAGAAAATTAAGGTTCTAACAAGGAACCAGTGGAAATAATAGTGGTATATATGGCAACTTTATTTAGGCAAAAGATGAAATTAAAATAATGAATAAAATGATTGACAGACTGACCTTGAATTTTTTTTGTCATTGGTTATTTAAAATATTTTTGGACCTCAGGAATATAGAAATGGGTTAATTACATTATCACAAGTCTTAACCCTCTTAATTATATTAATTTCTGAATTGATTTAGTATTTATACTTGTATCAGAAGCCTTTCTATCACTGTCTATTGTTAAAAATTAACTATTATCAAACTTCAATTTAAAACAAGTATTCCATTTAAAATACTTCATCAAAAATAAAGTTTCTGTGAATTTAAACATGCAAAAGCCCAATTTTTAGATAATTATTCTTTCCATAATTGTTATGGCAATGAGCACATCTCATTTTAAATGTATTCTTTTCATTATTTTCATTTTTCAAGGAACACATTTTTAATACAAATTTTTAAAAGGAAGATTTAATGACAGTCTATAAAATCACAGGAGACATTTTTAATGCATCTTAATCATTTCAATAAAGTTTATCTTAAGTGAGTTTTTAAAGATCACTGTTAAACTACAACAGAATTTAAATAGGAACTTACAGACAACTAGAATAAATACATTGCATGTGCATAAGATAACATTTATAATCTCAAACACTATTGAATGACTAGTTTTTAAAAAGGGAAAAAATAAATTTCATTTAGTTTTGACTGCATTGACTGATTCAGCAAGTTCAATTATATTTTCTATCAAGTGAAGAATATATTAATATTTACAGATACTTTTAAATAAGCATATATTTTACTATGCTTTTGAACTGTTATGTCCTCAAAAGGAACCTAGAATCCTTAAGAACTTTGCCTAAATAAACACTGAAAAAGAGGAAGAAATTAACTCACCCAAGTTGTGAATAATTGCTTGCAGATTTTGCTAGTTTTGTCATTGACCTGGAGTATGCCTCCTCTATGGTAGCTCTGTTAAATCAAATATCCACATCATAATACTTCTTATTTAGTGACCAAAAACAGCAAAGTTATCAAAATACAATTAAAAGTGCAAAACAAAAAGATACCTCAAAAATTACATGTTAAAAATAAGTACATATATGTAGTCATGAATTTCCGGCCTATCTTCAAATGTCCTTTCTGGTATAGAACTAAAATAATTTATATCACACACACAAATTTTTTTTTAAAACAGTCTTGCTCTGTCACCCAGGCTGGAGTACAGTGGTATGATCATAGCTCACTGCAGCTTTGACCTCCTAGGCTTAAGCAATCCTCCCACCTCAGCCTCCTGAGTAGCTCACACTACAAGCATGCCCCACAACACCCAGCTAAGTTTTGTATTTTTTTGTAGAGATGGGGCCTTGCTATGTTGCCCAGGCTAATCTGGAATTCCAGGGCTCAAGCAATCCTCCCACCTAGGCCTCCCAAAGTGCTGAGATCATAGGCATGAGCCACCACGCTCAGCCACAGAAAAAATTTTAATGGAATCACAACTCTTTTTATCTTTAGTACCAATGCTTATCTGAACAGGAAATACATGAGTGCTACTTCTTGTATTCTCTCTGTCTCTGTAAGCTGGTTCACTGTGATAAGTGTGTCATTTGTATTTAATAATTCTTTGTTGTACTTAGTTTTATTATTCTTCAACACTGTGATGCACATTTAATAGAACAAGAGATTAATGACAGTCATTTGCACAAAACTAAATATATCATCAAGTCTGAAATCCTGAACTTCATTCATGGCTTAATTTATTTTGTGATCAGATCTAAAATATTAGCAAATATTTCACACTAGAAAACTGTGTTTTATATAACTACTGTTTAGCATATGAGATTTTATTCCGTAAAAAACATCCACAGCCATTAAATATAGAATTCTAAAAGACACAAATTATCCTACAGACATGTAACCTATAAATACAGAATACACATTTTGTATGGCCTTCTTTTTTTGAGACGGAATATGGCTCTGTCACCCAGGCTGGAGTACAGTGGTGCAATCTTGGCTCACTGCAACCTCCGCCTCCCGGATTCAAGCGATTCTCCTGCCTCAGCCTCCCGAGTAGCTGGGACTACAGGCACCCGCCACCACACCCAGCTAATTTTTGTATTTTTAGTAGAGACAGGATTTCACCATATTGGTCAGGCTGGTCTCAAACTCCTGACCTTGTGATCCGCCCCACTCAGCCTCCCAAAGTGCTGGGATTACAGGCATGAGCCACTGCGCCCGGCCTGTTTGGCCTTCTTAACACTACAAAACTTATAGTTTTACCTTTTGCCTGGCTCTTCTCAATGTGTGCTACCCTTAATAGGGGAACATTCTACAACCACCATCATCCCTCCATTTACTTTGATTGGTCCAACCAACTTTCTGCTTCTAATGTCTAAATCCAGATCTTCACACTACTCTTGCACTGACCCACCTGTTCAATATCTAACTGCCCCAAACATAATTAAGATATGTGAACCACCTCAAACTCAGAATATCTAAACTAATCTCCAAACTCTTTCCCAACCAAATTTGCACAAAAACCAGCTCTCTAACAAAAAGGAAATATTAACAGTAACTGCCTCTCGCTGATAGTACTGTGACTCTTTCCTGCTCCTTTAAGTTCTTCTGTCATTTTAAAATACTATTACTACAAGAGTAATACTTTGTTCACCCAAAAAAGTTAATATTAGTATATCAATGTGTGAGTTTAACAGCAAGGTAAAGAAGTTCAATTTCCAGTACAGATTAAACATCCCTAATCAGCCAGGCACGGTGGCTCACGCCTGTAATCCCAGTACTTTGGGAGGCCGAGGCTGGCAGATCACCTGAGGTCAGGAGTTCAAGACCAGCCTGGCTAACATGGTGAAACCCCGTCTGTACTAAAAATACAAAAATTAGCTGAGCATGGTGGTGGGTGCCTGTAATCCCAGCTACTTGGAAGGCTGAGGCAGGAGAATCGCTTGAATCCGGGAGGCGGAGGCTGCAGTGAGCCAAGATCATGCCACCGCACTCCAGCCTGGGCAACAAGAGCGAAACTCTGTCTCAAATAAATAAATAAACAAACAAACATCCCTAATCAAAATATCAGAAATGCTCCAAAATCTATATATTTTTTGAGGACCAACATGATGCCAAAAGCAGAAAATTCCACACCTGACCTCATGACAGGTCATGGTCAAAATTCAGTCAAAACTTTGTTTCATGTAGAAAAATAGTTAAAATAGGCCGGGCACGGTGGCTCACGCCGGTAATCCCAGCACTTTGGGAGGCTGAGGCAGGTGGATCACGAGGTCAGGAGATCGAGACCATCCTGGCTAACACGGTGAAACCCCATCTCTACTAAAAATACAAAAAAATTAGCTGGGCTTGGTGACACACGCCTGTAATCCCAGCTACTCGGGAGGCTGAGGCAGAATGGTGTGAACCCGGGAGGCAGAGGTTGCAGTGAGCCGAGATGGTGCCACTGCACTCCAGCTGGGCGACAGAGTGAGACTCCGTCTCAAAAAAAAAAAAGAAAAAAAAAAGAAAGAAAAAGAAAAATAGTTAAAATATTGTATAAAATTACCTTCAGGCTATGAGTATATGGTGTGTATAAAACATAAACAAATTTCAAGTTTAGACTTGGGTCTCACCTTCAAGATTTCTTGCTATGTATATGCAAATACTCCAAAATCTGAAAAAAATCCTAATTCTAAAAGACTTCTGCTCCCAAGCATTTCAAATAAGGGATACTTAACCTGTAATAGTGAATAAGATTATTGACACAAAAACTTTTCTCACTGAGGAAAATTTAGAAAACATGGTAAGTTGAGGGTGGGGGCAAGGTAACTGAAAAGCATTAGAAAACTTAAGGGGCAGTTAAGAATCAAGATCCAAGAGAAGGGCATCCAGACAAGTCAGTCAGGTATGTCGGGCAGCTTCTTCCTTGGGGGTATCCAGAAGAGGTAGCTGATCAGTTGAGAAGTGAAACAGAGCTTTTCTCAGCCTCACAGGTTAAGGGAGCCAAAAGAAAAAGAGTTCAGGTCCACTAAAGGTAGAAAGCAGAGAAAAATCCCACGCCCTTCAAGTAAAGACTCCAAAAGAAGAATTTCATTAGAGATCTGGTCATTTTAAGAAGTGGAGGAAAGCACACCAAATTTGCAAAAAAGAAAAAAAAAATGCAAATTACAGATCTAGAAAATACAACAACCAAAATTAATATCTCCTTGGATGGGGTTTAGCAGCTGATTAGATATACTATATTGAGATTTATACCATAAAAAGGAGATGGAGAAAAAAAAGGAAAATTTAAAAAATAAAGAGATCTAGTTAATTAAAAGATAGATGAGAATAATTTATCCAACATTGAAGTTCAGAAAGACAAAAAAGAATGAAAAACAGAGAAGAGATGTAAAGGACAAAGCAAGAAAAGTCAGATAAATGAGTAAAGAGAAAGAATGAGTTAGAGAAAATATTTGAAGAAATAATAATGGGGAATTTTCCAAAACTGATAAAAGATATTAACCACAGATCCAAGCAGCCCAACAAACTTTAAGAGGATAAATTGTTTAAAAACAATTACATCTGGTTCTAGTCACATTAGAGTAAAAACCGCTGAAAATTAAAAAGAGAAAGAACAAAATAAATCTTGAAAGCAACCAAACTCTTCCCACCACCAAATGTTACCTTCAAAGAACCAATAACTAGACTGATAGCTAACATCTCAACTATAGATAATGGAACGATCTTCAAAAAAAATTAATTAAAAAAATCTACCAACTGGAATTCCATACCCAGCAAAAATATAAATGAAAGCAAATCCTTAATAAAATAACAGATCTAGGTGATTATCACCAATGGCCACTAACATCATGAAACAGTTATATTTGGATAATATATGCCTCTGGTGGAAGTACACACCACCACCTAAGAAGTATTCTTTCCAAAATACTGAATAGAGGCGGGCGTGGTGGCTCATGTCTGTAATCCCAGCACTTTGGGAGGCCGAGGTGGGTGGATCACCTGAGGTCAGGAGTCCGAGATCAGCCTGGCCAACATGGTGAAACCCTGCCTCTACTAAAAATACAAAAATTAGATGGGCGTGGGGGCATGCATCTGCAATCCCAGCTACTCGGGGAGGCAGAGGAAGGAGAATCACTTGAACCTGGGAGGTGGAGGTTGCAGTGAGTCAAGATCATGCCACTGTACTCCAGCCTGGGTGACAGAGTGAGACTCAGTCCAAAAAAAAAAAAGTACTGAATAGAATTTGATCATGCTGCTAGATTTAAATGACAATTTTTAAGAAATTCAGGGATAAAGGAAGATATTTAATAAACTATGCATATGCAATTAGCATATTCCAGGATATGGGGCCCTATTAGAACAAATACTCTGGTTTCTTCAACAACAAAAGGTAAGGAGGTGGGTGGCTATAGATTAAGAGACTCAAAAGGCATATCAACCAAGTGTAACATATAGAAATTAGGACAGGTGCAACAGCTCATGCCTGTAATCCCGACTCTTTGGGAGGCCGAGGCAGAAGGATCGCTTGAGCTCTGGTGTTTGAGACCAGCCTGGGCAACCTGGTGAACCCTCATCTCTACAAAAAAAAATACAAAAATTAGCTGGGCATGGTGGTGCATCCCTATAGCCCCAGCTACTTGGGAGGCTGGAGTGGGAGGATCATTTGAGACCAGGAGGTCAAGGCTGCAGCCTGGATGACAGTGAGACCCTGTCTCAAAAATAATAATAATAATAAATTTTTGCAACAAACCTTAAAGTGTGGATAAAATTAAGACATTCATAGAAAAACATAACTTTTCAAACTCACAGAACTAAAAAATGTGAATGGTCCTATAATGATTAAAGAAATTAAATATGTAATTTAAAACTTTCCTATAAAGACAGTTTCAAGCCCAGAGGGCTTTACCAGAAAATTCTATTAAGCACATAAGGAAAAAACAATAATCTTTCAAAAATTTTTCCAGAAAATACAACAATAGGATATACTCCCCAATTCATTTTATGAAGCCAACAAACTTTGATACCAAAACCTAACAAGTACACTTAGAGAAAGAAAATGTTCAGGCCAATCTCACTCACAAGTATAGATGTAAAAATTGCATATAAAATAGCAGCAAATTGATCCACTAACACATAAAATGATCAACTACATTCCCACCAAATTGTGTTTAGACCAAGAATGGGAAGTTGATTTAACACACAAATTTCAATAATTCACATAAATGACAAGTTGTGAGGAGAGAAAAAGAAAAATATATCATCCCATTATTCACCAGAGAAATGCAAATTAAGGTCACAATAAGATAGATACTACTATTAGCAAGCTAAAATTAAAAAACTGACGATACCAAGAATTGATGAGAACATAAAGCAACTGGAACTCTCAAATAAGGATGGAAGGTGGTGTAAACTGATACAACCACCTTGGAAAATTCTTTGCTATTAGTCACTCGAGTTGAACACACGTATACCTTATGGCCTCACAATTCTACTCCAGAGTATATACCCAATATAAATGTATATATATATATATGCATACCAGGACATATGTGCAAAACTATTCAAGGCAACATTACTTGGTAATAGAAAAAAAACCGAAAACAGCAAAAGATCTAGAAGAGCCAAAAAAATACTGAAGGAGCAGAACAAAGTTGGAAGACTGATACTACCCAACTTCAAGACTTATTATGAAGCTACAATAAATCAGGTGGGGCACAGTGGCTCATGCTTGTAAAATCCCGGCACTTTGGGATGCAGAGGTGGGCAGATCATTTGAGCACAGGAGTTTGAGACCAGTCTAGGCAACATGGTGAAACCTTGTCTCTCCAAAAAAAAAAAAAAAAAAAAAAGTATTGTCACTTTGAAAGACACTGGGCATGGTGCCACATATGTATAGTCCCAACTATTCAGTAGGCTGAGGCAGAAGAATTGATTGAGCCCAAGACGTGGAGGCTGCACTGCACTCCAGCCTGAGTGACAGAACAAGACACTGTCTCAAAAAAAATAAATAAATAAAAATAAAAAAATAAAGCTAGGGGAGGGATAGCATTAGGAGAAATACCTAATGTAGATATGTAGATGACAGGTTGATGGGTGTAGCAAACCACCACGGCACATGTATACCTATGGAACAAACCTGCACATTCTGCACATGTATCCCGGAACTTAAAAGTATTTTAAAAAGGCCGGGCATGGTGGCTCACACCTGTAATCCCAGCACTTTGGGAGGCTGAGGCTGGCCGATCACCTGAGGTCAAGAGATCGAGACCATCCTGGATAACATGATGAAACCCCGTCTCTACTAAAAATACAAAAATTAGCCGGGTGTGGTGGCGGGTGCCTGTAGTCCCAGCTACTCGGGAGGCTGAGGCAGGAAAATGGCATGAACCCGGGAAGCGGAGCTTGCGGTGAGCAGAGATCGCGCCACTGCACTCCAGCCTCGGCGACAGAGAGATACTCTGTCTGAAAAAAAAAAGGAACAAATGCAATACGATGGAACAAAGATAGTATTTTCAATAAATGGTACTGGAACAACTGGACACCTATATGCAAAAAAAAAAAAAAAAAAAATGAATCCAGACACAGACCTTACACCCTTCACAAAAATTAACTCAAAATGTATTACAGACCTAAATGTAAAACATAAAACTACAAAACCCCTAGAAGATAACATAGGAGAAAACCTAGACAACATTGGGTATGGTGACGACTTTTTAGAACAGTATCTAAACGCATTCCAATATCTAAAGGCACTCCAATACACCAGACCTTGGCTATGGTGATGACTTTTTAGACACAATATCTAAAGGCATTCCAATACCTAAAGGTATTCCAAACCCAAAATCCATAAAATAAATAATGGATATGTTGGACTTTCTTAAAATTAAATACTTTTGTTCTTTGAAAGACAAATTCAAAAGAATGAGAAAACAAATCAGACTGTGAGAAAATATTTGCAAATGACACATCTGATAAAAGACCATTATCCAAAATATATAAAGAACTCTTAAAACCCAATAAGGGGGCAGCTGGCAAGATGGCTGAATAGGAACAGCTCCAGTCTGCAGCTCCCAGTGAGATCAATGCAGAAGGCAGGTGATTTCAGCATTTCTAACTGAGGTACCCGGCTCATCTCACTGGGGCTAGTTAGACAGTGGGTGCAGCCCACAGAGAGCGAGCAGAAGCAGGACGGGGCATCACCCTATCCAGGAAGCACAAGGGGTCAGGAACTCTCTCCCCTAGCCAAGGGAAGGCATGAGGGACTGTGCTGTGAGGAATGGTGCATTCCAGCCCAGATACTACGCTTTTCCCACAGTCTTTGCAACCCGCAGACCAGGAGATTCCCTCGGGTGCCTACACCACCAGGGCCCTGGGTTTCAAGCACAAAGGACCACAACTCCTCACCAGCAAGAGAACAAAACTGGATGGAGAATGAGTTTGACAAACTGACAGAAGTAGGCTTCAGAAGGTGGGTAATAACAAACTCCCCTAAGCTAAAGGAGCATGTTCTAACCAAATGCAAGGAAGCTAAGTACCTTGAAAAAAGGTTAGACGAATTGCTAACTAGAATAACCAGTTTAGAGAAGAACATAGATGACCTGATGGAGATGAAAAACACAGCATGAGAACTTTGTGAAGCATACACAAGTATCAATAGCCAAATCGATCAAGTGGAAGAAAGGATATCATAGACTGAAGATCAACTTAATGAAATAAAGCATGAAGACAAGAATTAGAGAAAAAAGAATGAAAAGGAACAAACAAAGCCTCCAAGAAATATGGGACTATGTGAAACCACGAAACCTACATTTGATTGGTGTACCTGAAAGTGATGGGGAGAATGGAACCAAGTTGGAAAACACTCTTCAGGATATCATCCAGGAGAACTTCCCCAACCTAGCAAGACAGGCCAACATTCAAATTCAGGAAATATAGAGAACACCACAAAGATACTCCTCGAGAAGAGCAACCCCAAGACACGTAATTGTCAGATTCACCAAGGTTGAAATGAAGGAAAAAATGTTAAGGGCAGCCAGAGAGAAAGGTCGGGTTACCCACAAAGGGAAGCCTATCAGACTAACAGTGGATATCTCTGCAGAAACCCTACAAGCCAGAAGACAGTGGGGGCCAATTTTCAACATTCTTAAAGAGAAGACTTTTCAACCCAGAATTTCATGTCTAGCCAAACAAAGCTTCATAAACAAAGGAGAAATAAAATCCTTTACAGACAAGCAAATGCTGAGAGATTTCATCACCACCAGGCCAGTCTTACAAGAGCTCCTGAAGGAAACACTAAACATGGAAAGAAACAACCAACACCAGCAACTGCAAAAACATACCAAATTGTAAAGACCACCGACATTATGAAGAAACTGTACCAACTAATGGGCAAAATAACCAGCTAGCATCATAATGACAGGAGCAAATTCACACATAACAATATTAACCTTAAATGTAAACAGGCTAAATGCCCCAATTAAAAGACAAAGACTCGCAAATTGGATGAAGAGTCAAGACTCACTGGTGTGCTGTATTCAGGACACCCATCTCACATGCAAAGACACACATAAGCACAAAATAAAGGGATGGAGGAATATTTACCAAGCAAATGGAAAGCAAAAAAAAGCAGGGGTTGCAATCCTAGTCTTCGATAAAACAGACTTTAAATCAAGAAAGATCAAAAGAGACAAAGGCCATTACATAACAGTAAAGGTATCAATGCATCAAGATGAGCTAACTATCCTAAATATATATGCACCTAATACAGGAGCACCCAGATTCATAAAGCAAGTTCTTTGAGACCTACAAAAAGAATTAGACTCCCACACAATAATAGTGGGAGACTTTAACACCCCGCTGTCAATATTAGACAGGTAAACAAGAGAGAAAATTAACAAAGATATTCAGGAATTGAACTCAGCTCTGGACCAAGCAGACCTAATAGACATCTACAGAACCCTCCCCGCAAAATCAACAGAATATACATTCTTCTCAGCACCACATCACACTTATTCTAAAACTGACCACATAATTGGAAGTAAAACACTCCTCAGCAAATGCAAAAGAACGGAAATCATAACAAACAGTCTCTCAGACCACAGTGCAACCAAATTAGAACTCAGGAATAAGAAACTCACTGAAAACTGCACAACTACACGGAAACTGAACAACCTGCTCCTGAATGACTACTGGGTACATAACGAAATGAAGGCAGAAATAAGTAAGTTCTTTGAAACCAATGAGAACAAAGACACAACATACCAGGATCTCTGGGACACAGCTGAAACAGTGTTTAGAGGGAAATTTATAGCACTAAATGCCCACAAGAGAAAGCAGGAAAGATCTAAAATTGACACCCTAACATCACAATTAAAAGAACTAGAGAAGCAAGAGCAAACAAATTCAAAAGCTAGCAGAAGACAAGAAATAACTAAGATCAGAGCAGAACTGAAGGAGATAGAGACATGAAACAGCGTTCAAAAAAATCAATGAATCCAGGAGCTGGTTTTTTGAAAAGATCAACAAAATAGATAGACCGCTAGCCAGAATAACAAACAAGAAAAGAGAGAAGAATCAAATAGACACAATAAAAAATGATAAAGGGGATATCACCACTGATCCAATAGAATTACAAACTACCATCAGAGAATACTAGAAACACCACTATGCAAATAAACTAGAAAATCTATTAGAAATTGATAAATTCGGCCGGGCGCGGTGGCTCACGCCTGTAATCCCAGCACTTTGGGAGGCCGAGGCGGGCGGATCACGAGGTCAGGAGATCGAGACCATCCTGGCTAACACGGTGAAACCCCGTCTCTACTAAAAATACAAAAAATTAGCCGGGCGTGGTAGCGGGCGCCTGTAGTCCCAGCTACTCGGGAGGCTGAGGCAGGAGAATGGCGTGAACCCGGGAGGCGGAGCTTGCAGTGAGCCGAGATCGCGCCACTGCACTCCAGCCTGGGCGACAGAGCGAGACTCCGTCTCAAAAAAAAAAAAAAAAAAAAAAAAAAAAAAAGAAATTGATAAATTCCTGGACACATACACATACACCCTCCCAGGTCTAAACCAGGAAGAGGTAGAATCCCTGGACAGATCGATAACAAGCTCTGAAATTGAGGCAGTAATTAATAGCCTACCAACCAAAAACAGCTCAGGACAAGACGGATTCACAGCCAAAATCTACCAGAGGTACAAAGAGGAGCTGGTACCATTCATTCTGAAACTATTCCAAACAATAGAAAAAGAGGGACTCCTCCCTAACTCATTTTATGAGGCCAGCATCATCCTAATATCAAAACCTGGCAAAGACACACACACACAAAAGAAAATTTCAGGCCAATATCTCTGATGAACATCAGTGCGAAAATCCTCAATAAAATACAGGCAAACCGAATCCAGCAACACATCAAAAAGCTTATCCACCACTATCAACTCAGCTTCATCCCTGGGATGCAAGGCTGGTTCAACATACGCAAATCAATAAATGTAATCCATCACATAAACAGAATCAATGACAAAAACCACATGATTATCTCAATACATGCAGAAAAGGCCTTCAACAAAATTCAGCACCACTTCACGCAAAAAACGCTCAATAAACTAGGTATTGGTGGAATGTATCTCAAAACAATAAGAGCTATTTATGACAAACCCACAGCCAATATCATACTGAATGGGCAATAACTGGAAGCATTCCCTTTGAAATCCATCACAAAACAAGGATGCCCTCTCTCACCACTCTTATTCAACATAGTATTGGAAGTTCTAGCCAGGGCAATCAGGAAAGAGAAAAAAATAAAGGGTATTCAAATAGGAAAAGGGGATGTCAAATTGTCTCTGTTTGAAGATGACATGATTGTATATTTAGAAAACCCCATCGTCTCAGCCCAAAATCTCCTTAAGCTGGTAAGCAACTTCAGTAAATTCTCAGGATACAAAATCAATGTGCAAAAATCACAAGCATTCCTATACACCAATAATAGACAAACAGAGAGCTAAATCATGAGTGAACTCCCATTCACAATTGCCACAAAAAGAATAAAATACCTAGAAATACAACTTACAAGAGATGTGAAGAACCTCTTCAAGGAGAACTATGAACCACTGCTAAAGGAAATAATAGAGGACACAAACAAATGGAAAAACATTCCATGCTCATGCATAGGAAGAATCATATTGTGAAAATGGCCATACTGCCCAAAGTAATTTATAGATTCAATGCTATCCTCATCAAGCAATCATTGACTTTCTTCACAGAATTAGAAAAAACTACTTTGAATTTCATATGGAACCAAAAAACAGCCTGTATAGCCAAGACAATCCTAGGCAAAAAGAACAAAGCTGGAGGCATCACTTCAAACTACACTACAATGCTTCAGTAACCAAAACAGCATGGTACTGGTACCAAAACAGAGATATAGACCAATGGAACAGAAGAGAGTCCTCAAAAATAACACCACAAATCTACAACCATCTGATCTTCGACAAACCTGACAAAAACAAGCAATGGGAAAAGATTCCCTATTTAATAAATGGTGTTGGGAAAACTGGCTAACCATATGCAGAAAACTGAAACTGGACCCCTTCCTTACACCTTATACAAAAAATTAACTCAAGATGGGCTAAACACTTCAACGTAAGACCTAAAACCATAAAAACCCTAGAAGAAAACCTAAGCAATTCCATTCAGAACATAGGCATAGGCAAAGACTTCATGACTAAAACACCACAAGCAATGGCAACAAAAGCCAGAATTAACAAATGGGATCTAATTAAACTAAAGAGCTTCTGCACAGCAAAAGAAACTATCATCAGAGTGAACAGGCAACCTACAGAATGGGAGAAAATTTTTACAACCTATCCATCTGACAAAGGGCTAATATCCAGAATCCACAAAGAACTTAAATTTACAAGAAAAAAACAACCCCATCAAAAAGTGGGCAAAGTATATGAACAGACACTTCTCAAAAGAAGACATTTATGCAGCCAACGAACATAAGAGAAAATGCTCATCATCACTGGTCATTAGAGAAATGCAAATCAAAACCACAATGAGATACCATCTCATGACAGTCAGAATGCCCATCATTAAAAAGTCAGGAAACAACAGATGCTGGAGAGAATGTGGAGAAACAGGAATGCTTTTACACTGCTGGTGGGAGTGTAAATTAGTTCAACCATTGTGGAAGACAGTGTGGCAATTCCTCAAGGATCTAGAACCAGAAATATCATTTGACCCAGCAATCCCATTACTGGCTATATACCCAAAGGATTATAAATCATTCTACTATAAAGACACATGCACACATATGTTTATTGCAGCACTGTTCACAATAGCAAAGACTTGGAACCAACCCAAATGCACATCAATCACAGACTGGATAAAGAAAATGTGGCACATATACACCATGGAATCTACGCAGCCATAAAAAAGCATGAGTTCATGTCCTTTGCAGGGATATGGTTGAAGCTGGAAAGTATCATTCTCAGCAAACACAAGAACAGAAAACCAAACACCACATGTCCTCACTCATTAGTGGGAGTTAAACAATGAGAACACATGGACACAGGGAGGGGAACATCACACACCAGGGCCTGTTTGGGGGTTGGGGGCTGGGGGGCTGGGGGAGGGATAGCATTAGGAGAAAGACCTAATGTGGATGACAGGTTCATGGGTGCAGCAAACCACCATGGCACATGTATACCTATGTAACAACCCTGCACGTTCGCACCTATATCCCAGGGCTTAAAGTATAATAAAAAAATTTTAAAAAAAATAGTAAGAACACAAACAACCATATTAAAAACAAAAATGAGCCAAAGACCTTAACAGATACCTCACTAAAGAAGATACACAGCTGGCAAATAAGCATATGAAAAGATGGAGGAAAGGTGTGCTGGTTCCCTCCTGTAATCGCAGAGCTTTGGGAGACTGTGGCGGGAGGACTGCTTGAGACCAGGAGTTCAAGACCAGCCTGGGCAACATGCTGAGACCACATCTTGACAACAACAAAAAAGCCAGGTGCAGTGGCTCACACCTATAATCTCAGCACTTTGCAAGGCTGGGCAAGGAGGATCACTTGAGGCCAGGAGTTCGAGACTAGCCTGGGAAACATAGCAAGACCTTGCCTCTACAAAAAAAAATTAAAAGCAAAGATGCTCCACATCATATGTCATCAGGAAAATGCTAATTAAAACAATGATAAGATACCACTATATACTTATTGGAACAGCCAAAATCTAGAATACTGACCACTCCAAATGCTGGCAAGGATGTGGGGCAATAAGAACTCTAATTCATTGCTAGTTAAAATGCAAAATGGTATTGTCACTTTGGAAGATGGGTTTCTTACAAAATTAAACATATTCTTTCCATATAATCAAGTAACTGCGTTCCTTGGTATTTAAATTTTAATTAATTAAATTAAAACTTATGTTCACACGAAAACCTGCACACAGATGTTTACTGCAGCTGTATTCATAATTGCCAAAACTTGGAAGCAACCAAGATGTCCCTGAGTAAGTCAGTGGATAAAATGTAGTACATCCAGACAACAAAATATTATTCAGCACTAAAATGAAATGAGCCTGGCCAGGCACAGTGGCTCATGCCTGTAATCCCAACACACTGGGAGGCCGAGATGGGTGGATCACCTGAGGTCAGGAGTTCCAGACCAGCCTGGCTGACATGGCAAAACCCCGTCTCTATAAAAAATACAAAAATTAGCCAGGCATGGTGGTGCATGCCTGTGGTCCCAGCTACTCAAGAGGCTGAGGCACAAGAATTGCTTGAACTTAGGACAGGGAGGTTGCAGTTAGCCATGATCGCACCTCTGCACTCCAGCCTGGGCTGGGTAACAGAGCGAGACTCTGTCTCAAAAAAAAAAGAATAATACAAAAATCAGCCGAACATGATGGCGCAGGGCTATAATCCCAGCTACTTGGGAGGCTGAGGCACAAGAATCGCTTGAATCCAGGGGGCAGAAGTTACAGTGAGCATTGACTGAGCCACTGCACTCCAGCCTGGGTGACAGAGCTAGACCCTGTCTCAAATCAATCAATCAATCAATCAGATAATGTATACAAAGTTTACGTTTTTTCCTTTCTCATTGGGTCCTTCAAGAAATATGATTATCCTATTGTTCCAGGCTTTGTGCTAGCCACTGGGATACAAACAAATACTGTTTCACAGAGGAACATAAAAACAAATAAAAATAAATAATTACCAAATTTTATAAATACTACAAAGAGATAGGTGATGTAACAAAAGATTATATTAGGTGTTTTTGACCTAGTCAGAGAGATTAGGAAAGGCATCCTTAGAGCAGTGACCACTTTGCTGAGCTCTAAAGAATAAGTAGGCATTCAATATTCAACATTCTTAAAGAAAAGAATTTTCAACCCCGAATTTCATATCCAGTCAAACTAAGCTTCATAAGTGAAGGAGAAATAAAATACTTTACAGACAAGCAAATGCTGAGAGATTTTGTCACCAGCAGGCCTGCCCTACAAGAGCTCCCGAAGGAAGCGCTAAACATGGAAAGGAACAACCAGTACCAGCCGCTGCAAAATCATGCCAAAATGTAAAGACCATCAAGACTAGGAAGAAACTGCATCAACTAACGAGCAAAATCACCAGCTAACATCATAATGACAGGATCAAATTCACACATAACAACATTAACTTTAAATGTAAATGGACTAAATGCTCCAATTAAAAGACACAGACTGGCAAACTCGATAAAGAGTCAAGACCCATCAGTGTGCTGTATTCAGGAAACCCATCTCACATGCAGAGACACACATAGGCTCAAAATAAAGGGATGGAGGAAGATCTACCAAGCAAATGGAAAACAAAAAAAGGCAGGGGTTGCAATCTTAGTCTCTGATAAAACAGACTTTAAACCAACAAAGATCAAAAGAGACAAAGAAGGCCATTACATAATAGTAAAGGGATCAATTCAACAAGAAGAGTTAACTATCCTAAATATATATGCACCCAATACAGGAGCACCCAGATTCATAAAGCAAGTCCTGAGTGACCTACAAAGAGACTTAGACTCCCACACATTAATAATGGGAGACTTTAACACCCCACTGTCAACATTAGAAAGATCAACGAGACAGAAAGTCAACAAGGATACCCAGGAATTGAACTCAGCTCTGCACCAAGTGGACCTAATAGACATCTACAGAACTCTCCACCCCAAATCAACAGAATATACATTTTTTTCAGCACCACACCACACCTATTCCAAAACTGACCACATACTTGGAAGTAAAGCTCTCCTCAGCAAATGTAAAAGAACAGAAATTATAACAAACTATCTCTCAGACCACAGTGCAATCAAACTAGAACTCAGGATTAAGAATCTCACTCAAAACCGCTCAACTACATAGAAACTGAACAACCTGCTCCTGAATGACTACTGGGTACATAACGAAATGAAGGCAGAAATAAAGATGTTCTTTGAAACCAACGAGAACAAAGACACAACATACCAGAATCTCTGGGACGCATTCAAAGCAGTGTGTAGAGGGAAATTTATAGCACTACATGCCCACAAGAGAAAGCAGGAAAGATCCAAAATTGACACCCTAACATCACAATTAAAAGAACTAGAAAAGCAAGAGCAAACACATTCGAAAGCTAGCAGAAGGCAAGAAATAACTAAAATCAGAGCAGAACTGAAGGAAATAGAGACACAAAAAACCCTTCAAAAAATTAATGAATCCAGGAGCTGGTTTTTTGAAAGGATCAACAAAATTGATAGACCACTAGCAAGACTAATAAAGAAAAAAAGAGAGAAGAATCAAATAGACGCAATAAAAAATGATAAAGGGGATATCACCACCGATCCCACAGAAATACAAACTACCATCAGAGAATACTACCAACACCTCTACGCAAATAAACTAGAAAATCTAGAAGAAATGGATAAATTCCTCAACACATACACTCTCCCAAGACTAAACCAGGAAGAAGTTGAATCTCTGAATAGACCAATAACAGGATCTGAAATTGTGGCAATATTCAATAGCTTACCAACCAAAAAGAGTACAGGACCAGATGGATTCACAGCCAAATTCTACCAGAGGTACAAGGAGGAACTGGTACCATTCCTTCTGAAACTATTCCAATCAATAGAAAAAGAGGGAATCCTCCCTAACTCATTTTATGAGGCCAGCATCATCCTGATACCAAAGCTGGGCAGAGACACAACCAAAAAAGAGAATTTTAGACCAATAGCCTTGATGAACATTGATGCAAAAATCCTCAATAAAATACTGGCAAACCGAATCCAGCAACACATCAAAAAGCTTATCCACCATGATCAAGTGGGCTTCATCCCTGGGATGCAAGGCTGGTTCAATATACGCAAATCAATAAATGTAATCCAGCATATAAACAGAACAAAAGACAAAAACCACATGATTATCTCAATACATGCAGAAAAGGCCTTTGACAAAATTCAACAGCCCTTCATGCTAAAAACTCTCAATAAATTAGGCATTGATGGGACGTATTTCAAAATAATAAGAGCTATCTATGACAAACCCACAGCCAATATCATACTGAATGGGCAAAAACTGGAAGCATTCCCTTTGAAAACTGGCACAAGACAGGGATGCCCTCTCTCACCACTCCTAGTCAACATAGTGTTGGAAGTTCTAGCCAGGGCAATTAGGCAGGAGAAGGAAATAAAGGGCATTCAACTAGGAAAAGAGGAAGTCAAATTGTCCTTGTTTGCAGATGGCATGATTGTATATCTAGAAAACCCCATTGTCTCAGCCCAAAATCTCCTCAAGCTGATAAGCAACTTCAGCAAAGTCTCAGGATACAAAATCAATGTACAAAAATCACAAGCATTCTTATACACCAACAACAGACAAACAGAGAGCCAAATCATGAGTGAACTCCCACTCACAATTGCTTCAAAGAGAATAAGATACCTAGGAATCCAACTTACAAGGGATGGGAAGGACCTCTTCAAGGAGAACTACAAACCACTGCTCAAGGAAATAAAAGAGGATACAAACAAATGGAAGAACATTCCATGCTCATGGGTAGGAAGAATCAATATCGTGAAAATGGCCATACTGCCCAAGGTAATTTACAGATTCAATGCCATCCCCATCAAGCTACTAATGACTTTCTTCACAGAATTGGAAAAAACTACTTTAAAGTTCATATGGAACCAAAAAAGAGCCCGCATC
This sequence comes from Homo sapiens, assembly GCF_000001405.40. Classification (NCBI taxonomy): domain Eukaryota; kingdom Metazoa; phylum Chordata; class Mammalia; order Primates; family Hominidae; genus Homo; species Homo sapiens. The sequence goes on along the minus strand of NC_000005.10, from coordinate 72,972,176 downwards.
GCCAAGTCAATCCTAAGCCAAAAGAACAAAGGTGGAGGCATCACACTACCTGACTTCAAACTATACTACAAGGCTACAGTAACCAAAACAGCATGGTACTGCTACCAAAACAGAGATATAGATCAATGGAACAGAACAGAGCCCTCAGAAATAATGCCACATATCTACAACTATCTGATCTTTGACAAACCTGAGAAAAACAAGCAATGGGGAAAGGATTCCCTATTTAATAAATGGTGCTGGGAAAACTGGCTAGCCATATGTAGAAAGCTGAAACTGGATCCCTTCCTTACACCTTATACAAAAATCAATTCACGATGGATTAAAGACTTAAATGTTCGACCTAAAACCATAAAAACCCTAGAAGAAAACCTAGGCATTACTATTCAGGACATAGGCATGGGCAAGGACTTCATGTCTAAAACACCAAAAGCAATGGCAACAAAAGCCAAAATTGACAAATGGGACTAATTAAACTCAAGAGCTTCTGCACAGCAAAAGAAACTACCATTAGAGTGAACAGGCAACCTACAAAATGGGAGAAAATTTTCACAACCTACTCATCTGACAAAGGGCTAATATCCAGAATCTACAATGAACTCAAACAAATTTACAAGAAAAAAACAAACAACCCCATCCAAAAGTGGGCGAAGGACATGAACAGATACTTCTCAAAAGAAGACATTTATGCAGCCAAAAAACACATGAAAAAATGCTCACCATCGCTGGCCATCAGATAAATGCAAATCAAAACCACAATGAGATACCATCTCACACCAGTTAGAATGGCAATCATTAAAAAGTCAGGAAACAACAGGTGCTGGAGAGGATGTGGAGAAATAGGAACACTTTTACACTGTTGGTGGGACTGTAAACTAGTTCAACCACTGTGGAAGTCAGTGTGGCGATTCCTCAGGGATCTAGAACTAGAAATACCATTTGACCCAGCCATCCCATTACTGGGTATATACCCAAAGGACTATAAATCATGCTGCTATAAAGACACATGCATATGTATGTTTATTGCGGCATTATTCACAATAGCAAAGACTTGGAACCAACCCAAATGTCCAACAATCATAGACTGGATTAAGAAAATGTGGCACATATACACCATGGAATACTATGCAGCCATAAAAAATGATGAGTTCATGTCCTTTGTAGGGACATGGATGAAACTGGAAATCATCATTCTCAGTAAACTATCACAAGAACAAAAAACCAAACACCGCATATTCTCACTCATAGGTGGGAATTGAACAATGAGAACACATGGACACAGGAAGGGGAACATCACACTCTGGGGACTGTTGTGGGTTGCGGGGAGGGGAGAGGGATAGCATTGGGAGATATACCTAATGCTAGATGACGAGTTAGTGGGTGCAGCGCACCAGCACGGCACATGTATACATATGTAACTAACCTGCACATTGTGCACGTGTACCCTAAAACTTAAAGTATAATAATAAAAAATAAAAAATAAAAAAAAAGAAAAAGAAAGAAAAATAAAAAGAAATGCTGCATTATTGATGATCTTGATGGTCCAGAGACTGATACCCTGTGAAAAAGATAGGATTTTGACATGTAATTCAGAGGGATAAAATATAAATGTGGAGTCATTTTAGGAATATTTTAACCAACTTATTGAATTTATATTTTACTTCTTTTGAATGGAAATTAAAGTTCTAAATAAAAAAAAAAAAGAATAAGTAGGCATTAACTAGGTGAAGAGAAGAATAAGTATTTACAAAGCCTGGACTAGACAGAGGAAGCCTGTCTATAAGATACCCAGTATCTCTGGAGTGGAAAGAATAAGGAGCAGCCTGTAATTCATGTATCTCTTTGTACTATGTATGCAGTTTTGTTATTACTCATTTTTGTTAATTGTTTCTATGTTCTCCTGTGAGACAATATTCTGTTGTATCCCATGCCTAGCATAGAGCCTAGAACAATAAGACCTGAAAGGTAGTTTTAGGGTCAGAATATGCAGGCCTATCTTAAGAGCAATGGGAAGCCCTTGAGATGGCTGAAAGAGAAGAGGTAACAACTGATCTGTACTATATTTCAAAAAAACCACTCCAACTACAGTAGACAGAGTAAGTTGCAGGAAAACAAGAACAACTGTAGATAGAGCAGTTACGAGCTACTGCTGAAGTTCAGGCAAAAATAATGATAGCTGGGATCAGCATAATGAAGTTACAGATTCATTCTATGGAAAAACCTTTACTGAGGGCCTACCAAGTGACAAGCACTATCACAAGTGCATAAATAGAGCAAAAAGACAAAATAAGCAAAAAAAGACAAAAATCCCTGCCCTTGTTGGGTTTATATTCTAGTGGGAAGAGACAGAAAAATAAATAAATGAAATATCACTTTTATCAGACAGTTATACATACTATGGAGAAAAATAAAGTAGTAAAGGGGAAGTATGACGGATTGTCTCACTACCCAAAGAATCAGAAAGGGATAGATTCTGGGCAAAGGAAGGATAACCCAGGAGTCCTGGACTTCTTAAGGTGACTAACATAAACAGGGCTCAAAGGCATAATATCTGCCCTGATGGTTGCAAAGTAGACAGTGATAGTAGTGAAGTGTAGGGGAAGAGGGAAGGCTAAGGAACATGCCAAGAGATGCAGAGTTCTGCGGCCTTTCCTTTGCTCCTGCCAATGATAATGTAGAAGCCCGGAGGAAGGAGAGCCTTACCCAGAGCACTTGAGCTTTTGCATTCCTTGTTGATTCCAGTAGAGAGGAGGGAGTAAGAAAAGAACCGAACTTATAGAATAGTTTATTCCCCAATTCCTATCAGTCTGTAAACTCCATGAAGGGAGAAGCTGTTATCTTAACCACTATATTCCCATAATCCAGACAAGTAGCTGGTACACAGCACTGATGGGATATACATTGTTGAAAGAATACATGAATAAATGGAGTATTAAATTTAAAGCCAAAGTATCCCTATATTATCAAGGTAAAGATTTTAAATGTGTTCATATAAATAATTACAAAGTTGGGGTAGCCACAAAATAGCTTTAAGTTAGTAGGATAGCAGCTTTTGAGTTGTTTGATTTTGAATCATAATCAAATTATATTTATTCTTAATAGCTTTTAAATTCGCTATATTCTAAGAGTCTTAACAACAATCACATTTTATAAATTTGCAAGATTTTAAAATATATACTTAGGACTTTTAAAAATAAAAGTTACAAAAACACAAAATTAAACTGAAGTTCAGAAAAGTTAGTCTTTTCTAATTATTTTAGCATGGTTAACAAATGTTAATGTTTTATCCTACAAACTTCTCAACTGTATTATATCACCTTGCTAGCATATCCAGTGAAAAATATGTAGATAATATTTTCAAGAAGGAATCCACAAACCAGGGGTATTAAACTTTGAGCCACTTTGAGCCACTATACAGCCCTCAGCTGTGTAGATGATAGATACAAATAGATAGATATAATTACAGTACATATTTTAAAACAATTACTTTATTCCAAATCCAAATAAAGTTTTCTCCATTATTTATATTCTAAAATTTAAATTGCTATTAAGTTGTTAAACAAATTACTTATTTAAAAAATACATACCGTTCCCTTACAAAATCTGCTAGTTCTTTTGTTGATATCTGTCCATGTTTCATATTATGGTAGAGGACATCAAAGCCACTATTTTTTTCCCCCTAAAATTTAAAAAGATTTTTAGTTTCATAAAAAAACAGATAAAAATGACTTGAGAATATAAAAAGCCAACATTAACTAATATGCAATCCTGTGCTCAGGTGAGGTGTTTTCATAAATTTTTCTCATTTATTGTATGATTTTAAACAGTATAAAGCAATATTATATGCTTTAATAAAGTTTACAATTAACTATATATACATATACCTACATACAAACATATATGCATACACTTTGTAATCACCCATAAAGGTACAATTAATAAAATTAAGTTGTGACCGGGTGTGGTGGCTCACACCTGTAATCCCAGCACTTTGGGAGGCCGAGGTGGGCGGATCACGAGGTCAGGAGGTCGAGACTATCCTGGCTAACATGGTGAAACCCCGTCTCTACTTAAAATACAAAAAATTAGCCGGGCGTGGTGGTGGGCACCTGTAGTCCCAGCTACTTGGGAGGCCGAGGCAGGAGAACGGCGTGAACCCGGGAGGCAGAGCTTGCAGTGAGCCGGGATTGTGCCACTGCGCCCCAGCCTGGGTGACAGAGCAAGACTCCATCTCAAAAAAAAAAAAATTAAGTATGAGGCCAGGCGTGGTGGCTCACGCCTGTAATCCCAGCATTTTGGGAGGCGGAGGCAGGCGGATCACTTGAGGTCAGGAGTTCTAGATCAGCCTGGCCAACATGGTGAAACCCCATCTCAGCTAAAAATACAAAAATTAGCCGGGCATGGTGGCATGCACCCATAATCCCAGCTACTTGGGAGGGTGAAACAGGAGAATCGCTTGAACCCGGGAGGTGGAGGTTGCAGTGAGCTGAAATCACACCACTGCACTCCAGCCTGGGAGACAGGGTGAGACTCTGGCAAAAACAACAACAAAAAATTAAGTATGAAATTTTAAGGAATATGCAGCATAATTAAGAAAAGATAAACATGGACCTTTCAAAACATATTACCAAATCCCATTTCAATCTCTTTAACACACAGTAAGAAATTCCTGATTATTTAATTTGGAGTTTGTGCTTTAAAATAACTAAATCTTGATTTCTGAGTTAAGACAGTAAAGTACTTAAGTCACATCAGCATTGAGTATCACAAAATACTTAGATCTTTCAGTAAACTTAACCTGAGAAGGGAGAAAATAGACAAAATTTAACAAAAGAGAAGAGGCTATGTGCTAGTCTTTAATTAATGGGATTTTCGTTTGTTTGTTTTTGTTTTTGAGACAGTCTCACTCTATCATCCAGGCTGGAGTGCAGACGTGCAATTATGGCTCACTGCTACCTCCCCATCCGGGTTCAAGCGATTCTTGTGCTTCAGCCCCCTGAGTAGCTGGGATTACAGGTGTGCACCACCACATCTGGCTAATTTTTGTATTTTTAGAAGAGACAGGGTTTTGCCATGTTGGCCAGGCAGGTCTCGAACTCCTGGCCTCAAACGATACACCTGCCTTGGCTTCCCAATGTGCTGGGATTACAGGTGTGAGCTACTATGCCCAGCCTAATTAATGAGATATTAATAGAACTAGATCACTACACAATCCTGGAAAACCTCTACTGTTGTTTAATCCTATGAATCCTTAATTAGTAAATCATAAAGATAACATTAGAAATGTCAATTTATTCGATGAAATAAAAGACAGCTGATACACTAGGTTTAACAACTCTCTTTACAGGCAGCAGTTTTTATTCTTCTTTAGTGAAAATGGAAAAATGGAATATATTTGTTGGAAAGTGTTATACCATAAGCAAGTGTTACATAATACAAAACTTGATTTTTCCACAGTCCACTGAAAACAGAAAGCATAAAAACTTCCAGCTATGTTGAAGTGATTCCTGATAAACTCATCAGCTAATGTAGCTAGTAATTACTTTGCCTACATATCACAAATTAAAATGTCACATCTGTAACAAGATAATATGAACAATATCCTTAGCATTTTGAATAACCATTTCCATTTATTAAGAAGAATATAACATAAAACCACAGCCTCTTGTGAATCCAAACATTTCCATTTGGCTTCTGCAACTTTACATGTTTAAGATTTTTTTAAAAATTTATTGTCAGAGGCTTGTGCCTGTAATCCCAGCTACTCCAGAGGCTGAGCAAGGAGGCTTGCTTGATGCCAGGTGTTCAAGACCAGCCTGGCCAAAGTGAGAACCTGTCTCTAAAAAAACAAAAAGATAAGGGTTTGAAACTTCTCCTTCGGTGAACTTTTTAAGAGTAACAGTAAATTAGACACTAAAAATAAAAAACCTGGATAGCATTCAGTTTTTTAAAAAAAGTTTATGTAGAAACAGGGTCTCGCTATGTTGCTCAAGCCAGTCTCCCAACTCCTAGCCTCAAGCAATCCTCCCACCTTGGCCTCCCAAAGTGCTGGGATTACAGGTGTGAGCCACTGCATGTGGCGAGCATTCACTTTTGGTGAGTCCAAGATTTGAAAAATAGGCAGAAGATAGATTGTATATTGTATAATCACATTACTGATTAAAAAATTGGTTTTACCAAGTTTCCTTTTTTTCAAAAAGTTCTTTGGAGGGGTAAGAGAAGGGTCAGGAGGTACTATCCTGCAAACACCAATAACATGCCTAACCTCCCTCTCAACTCTAAACCACCTCAAAAATAAATAAATACTATAACTTCCCACCCTGTCTACATTTTCCTTTTAATTTAGCTCTTATGGACATTTAATAGACAACCCTGGACAAGTCAATGCACAATATAACATTCATATTTTTGATACAGTCTCACTTTATCTTGACTTCTCTGAAACACACCAAAAAACATTTTACTAATCCTAAAGATTTTTTTCTTTGAAGAACAGCCCCTTTAGTGAAGAACCTACAGATACGCTTTGATGAGAACTCAATAGACATGCAATGACAGCTCTCCAGTGCCACTCTGGCCTTGAAAACTGCTAGGGAGCTGGAGGTAAAATACAGGCACACTTCATTTTACTGTACTTTCTTTTATTGAGCATTGCTTTACTGCACTTTGAAAATACTGCATTTTTACAAATTGAAGGTTTGTGGCAATCGTGTCAAGCAAGTCTATCAGTATCTTTTTTCCAACTGCATGTGCTCACTTCTTCCCTGTTAGCATTAGCAATAAAGTATTTTTTAATTAAGGTATATACATTTTTAGATAAAATGCTATTGCACATTTAATACACCAGTATAGTGTAAATAATATAGTGTAAACATAACTTTTATATGCACTGAAAAACCAGGAGTTTGTGACTTGCTTCACTGTGGTTGTTTGAATTCAATACACAATATCTCTAAGGTATGCCTTTGTATGCAAGCAATTTTTCTACAGGTATACGGGACGTTCAACCACAAGTTACAACCTCTTCTCATCAATACTCTTATTTGTACAGTAGTCCCCTCTTCTCCACAGGGGATATGTTTCAAAACCCCCAGTGGATGCCTGAAACCATGGATAGTCACGAACCCTTTATATACTGGTCATGAACCCTTTATACACTGTTTTTTTTTTTTAATCTGATAACCAAGATGGCTGCTAAGTGATTAATGGGCAGGAAGGGTATATACTATGGATGCACTGGACAAAGGGATGATTCGCATACCAAACAGGACACAGTGAGATTTCAATGCTTATGAATTATTTCTGGAATTTTCCATTTAATATTTTCAGACTGCAGTTGACCTCAGATCTGAAACTGTGGAAAGTGAAATTATGGATGGGGAGACAACCGTACATTGACATTTTTAGTCATGATCATTAAAAGTACTCTGCAGAGCTACTGGCAAGAGATACTGCTAATGGAGAAAATAGTGACTAAAATATATAGAATGCTCAGGCGCGGTAGCTCACACCTGTAATCCCAGCACTTTGGGAGGCCAAGGTGGGTGGATCACCTGAGGTCAGGAGTTTGAGACCAGCCTGGCCAACATGGTGAAACCCCGTCCCTACTAAAAATATTTTACAAATTTGCCAGGTGTGGTGGCGTGCCCCTGTAATCCCAGCTATATTGGGAGGCTGAGCCAGGAGAATCACTTGAACCCGGGAGGCAGAGGTTGCAGAGCTGAGATCATGCCACTGCACTCCAGCCTGAGCAATACAGCGAAACTCAGTCTCTAAATAAATAAAAATGAAATAAAGTATGTAGAATAGGCAGTCAGAACGATTTGATGCAGGTACAAAAGTGACTCAAACATATTTGTTGGTTGATTGAAGGAAAGAAATCTTACTACCTTTCAAAAAATTGTTTTTCTCACCTCTCAGATATTCTTCCCTAATCTTTTATATTATAGTTCACCTCTGCCAGTTAGTTGAATCCTTAAAGCTATCTAAATAAATATTATATGGGTTGAGAAAAAACTACAGAAGCAAACAGTAGTTAATTTTTTAATTTTTATATATTTTGCGTTTTCTGTAATGTTCTATAAATGAAAGTATTTTTCATTACTTTCAAAATAAAAAAACTAAACCAACAATTTCAGTTTTCTCAGCTCTTCAATCTATGCCTACAAAGAGACAGAAGGCTACTTTCTTAAACTGGCATCTTGTTCACATCAGTACTTAAATCTCCAGTCCTTGTAATTCATAAACAAAAAAAAAAAAAAAAAAAAAAAAAAACTGAAAGTTCCCATACAAAATGGGAATGATTAAAGAAAATTACAGCCTATCTGGCCAGGTGTGGTGGCTCACACTTGGAATCCCAGCACTTTGGGAGGCTGAGGCAGGAGGATCCCTTGAGGCTAAGAGTTTGAGACCAGCCTAAATAACATAGCAAGACCTCGTCCCTACAAATTTTTTTTAAAAATTAGCTGGGTGTGGTGGCATGCGCCTGTAGTTCTAGCCACTCCAAAGGCTAAGGCAAGAGGATCCCTGGAGCCCAGGAGTTCAAGGCTGCAGTGAGCTATGATGGTGATGGGGCCACTGCACTCCAGCCTGGGCGACAGAGGAAGACCCTGTCTAAAAAAAAAAATTTACAGCCTATCCATTCCATGGAAACCTATTAAAGAATACTTATTCACATGAGAAAAATGCTTGATGGTAATATCAACTGAAAATACCAAGACACACAACCATATAGTAGAATCTATCTTGAATTTTGTATTTCTAAAGAAAATTATAAGGGTAGAGGGAGAGGCTATAGGCAATTTGTGTTCTGTATTCTTCTGTGTTTTACCTATCCCATAATAATGGTTTTAATTAAAAAGGAAAACCATGCAGACTTGTGGCTGTTGCTTCAACCAACTGAAAACTCACTCCCCTTGGTTTTAAGGCTCCACCACCACCACTAATTTGCTTTACTTATATTATACTTTCCAATCTTTTCCCTAAAGTCAAGCAAACGTGCTTGATATATCTTCCATAATCTTCACTCCTTCAAATACATCAGGGAGCATGACTATCTCCTCAACTTTATCACACACTGTAACACTTTCCAGTTTAATTATCTCTGACTCTGGCCATTCCAGCAACATCCTCTTGCACATTTATCAATATAGTAGATATCATTACAGGTCTCAGTTGCTGTCATGCTGTTGTTTTTGTTTCTCCCCACATCACAACAATTTATACTTATCTTTTTGGACCAGATTGCTACTAAAATTCTTCCAATTCTAATACTTTTTTTTTTTTGAGACAGAGTCTTGCTCTGTCGCCCAACTGGAGTACAGTGGCGTGATCTCGGCTCACTACAACCTCTGCCACCCGGGTTCAAGCAATCCTCCTGCCTCAGCCTCCTGAGTAGCTGGGACTACAGGTTCGCACCATCACGCCCAGCTAATTTTTGTATTTTTAGTAGAGACGGGGTTTCACCATGTTGGCTAGGATGGTCTTGATCTCTTGACCTCATGGTCCGCCCACCTCAGCTTCCCAAAGTGCTGGGATTACAGGCGTGAGCCACTGCACCTGCCCCAACTCTAATATTCTTTAATTTTTCCACACTAAGAAAACTGAAACCCAAGTCCTTATTCCCTTCCTTTTTAAGTTTCCATGGGATCCTATTTCCATTTGAATTTCTAAGGGTGCTTCCGTTAACTATTCTAGAATTATGACATCAGGATGGATAATCTCAGGAGATACCTCAGTGACTCAAAAAACTACTTTCAAAGGGCTTATATTAGCCACATGTGCAGGATGATTTAAAGCATAACTGTTCCCTCATCCTTTGCTTAAATAATTTAAGTAGTTCTGAAAGGACTACAGCATTTAGGATTTAGTGTGTAGAGCTAAAAAAGAACGCAGACATCAAATTTATATCCTTTCAAATGTCAAAGTTCTAAAATCCTCCCCCTGAACTGAACATATATACACACTAAATCAGTACCAATTTTCACTTCCAAATTTCTCCTATAATTAAGGTTAAAAAATAAAACAAATCACACCCCTTAAAAAATTCTAAGGGCCTCTCAAATTTTAGTGCAATCTAAAACACTATAATTTTATAATGTCTACTGTCAAGTCTTCTGCATCAAGTTAAATGAATCTGTAGTCTTCATTTTCACAGCTTGTTGCAATGGGAACAAGTTGGGCCTGGCTAACTTGCTAAAAGTTATACAATAATAATTTTAACCTAGTGGAGTGTATGTTATTTGGTCTCATCTGTGGAAAACCATATAAGAAATTGGTAATGGTGAAGCCGGGCATGGTGGCTCATGCCTGTAATCCCAGCACTTTGGGAGGCCGAGGCAGGCGGATCACCTGAGGTCAGGAGTTCGAGACCAGCCTCAACATGGAGAATCCCCATCTCTACTAAAAATACAAAATTAGCCAGGCATGGTGGTGCATGCCGGTAATCCCAGCTACCAGGGAGGCTAAGGCAGGAGAATTGCTTGAACCTGGGAGGCAGAGGTTGCAGCGAGCTGAGATCGCGCCATTGCACTCCAGCCTGGGCAACAAGAGCGAAACTCCGTCTCAAAAAAAAAAAAGAAAGAAATTGGTAATGGTGATTGCCTTTAGGGACATCTTGATTACCAGAGAAAAAGAAGATTTACTCCCTCTTATACCTTTTAAATATTAAACCATGTAAAATTTGCAAATCTCTTAATGTATAAAGTAAATATATACAGATATATAGATTTTGTTTTGGTATGTCATCTGATGGGATCATATCCTAAAAACAGGTATCCCAAACTACAATATTTGGAAATTTCAAGTAATGAAAAGCCTTTATTCTGGGTTTCAAATATGGTCACCTAAACTAATTTGCTAAAGATATATATTTTAAAATTTCATATGGATACATAACCCCAAAGAATGTGTGTTAGTCTCTCATCTAGGATACTAAGTTTAGATTAATCAAGCAAAAATATAATAATGTTTTTTATCCCAAAGACCTATTAATAGCAATTCCAGAATTTTAAAATACATTTTAATTCTCTTAGCTTATCCAAGTAATGATAAATCAAATTTTGGGTATATAACCAATGTTTCAATTTAATTTTAAATCAAAATGTAACAAAACCAATAAAATCAAGTGAAATGAGACTTCTGTACAGTTAATCAGTAAAAGAAATAAGGAAAAACTTCAGGATAAAAATACCTAATTGTTGTTTGTTCATTTTTTATGTGCTGACTATAGATAACCTCTGGAAAAAGTCACCTAACTAAAAATCTCAGCTCATTACAATGTGATATATACTAAAGAATACTACTTAGTGTCTTTGGGTGAATGCTTCATATCGTATATAGATTGGGATTACTCTGTAAAATGAAGATTATAAGCTATTCAACTCAGGTATGTTTTACATACTTATTTGTCCCCCATTAATAATTACCTATGAAATGCATTAAGGTTTTTTTGCTGAATAATCTGGGTTTACATAAAAATATAATGCCATTTTAATTATTACATAGCAATGTTGTTATAATCTCAAGACTATTATAAACTTGTACTCAATTATTCCTTTGAGAAAGCAGCGGCTTAGACACTTCCTCACTGTAATACTGATCAATATCTTTTTAAAGTTACATAATCTTTTATAATATCTTTTTAAAGTTACATAATGTTTAATATGTAAAAATAAAGATAAAAAACAATTGTTTTTACATATTAAAAGCAATGGTGTGAATTTCTACTAGTAAAATTATTTTTGCGTCCAATTTTAATTTTGCTGTCCAATTTCAGCTTGATTATCAATGGTGCTATACTTCGTGGCAAAAACTGACTTATCAATAACAAAACACCTGTTCTGTAAAAGGTTTTGAATAATTTTTCCTTCAAAGTACAGTATTAAGTAAAGGAATTTTCAATTTAGCATATAGTTTCAATTGAGAAAACCTATACTTTAAAGAAAAAGGAAGAATGTGCTGCTTTCAAAAGAGCTTGAAGAGAGTTTCAACGATTCAAACTTTCTTCTAATGAAATGTCACAACAAAAAAGGTTTGTCTTTATACATGTAGGGGAGAAAACAATTAATAGGTTGTTTGATTAGAAACCTAAAACTTTGGCTGGGCACAGTGGCTCAGCCTTTTAATCCCAGCACTTTGGGAAGCTGAGGCGGAAACATGGCTTGAGCCCAGGAGTTCGAGACCAGCCTGGGCAACATAGCGAGATCTCATCTCCACAAATAATTTAAAAACCAGCTGGTCATGGTGGCCTGTACCTGTGGTCGCACCTACTTGGAAGGCTGAGGTGGGAGGATCATTTGAGCTTGGGTGGTTGAAGCTGCAGCGAGCCATGCTCGTGCCACTGCGTGCCAGCCCAGGCAACACGGTGAGACTGCAATTCAGAAAAAAAAAAAAAAAAGAAAGAAGAGAAGAGAGAGAAGAGAAGACAAGACAAGACAGACCTAAAACATCAAAGGTTCTCACTACCTCACTTTGACAAGTTTTTATCTTTTAATTGATGAAAAACATATATATTTATCATATAGAGCACGATGTTTTGAATTTTGACAATTTTATTTCCTTTTAATAGTTCCACTTTAAATGCTAGAGGGAAGAGTTAAATTAATATCTATTTTAAGGGATTATTTTATAAATGATCCTGAAATATGTGAATTTTTAGTTTTCTGTTTTTGAGACAGGGTCTCACTCTGTTGCCCAGGCTGGAGTACAGTGACCAATCATAACCTACTGCAACCTTGAACTCCTGGGCTCAAGCAATCCTCCTACCTTAGCCTTCCAAGTAGCTGGGACTACAGGCATATGCCACCACACTTGGCTAATTTTTTAAAATTTTTTGTAGAGACAAGGTCTACTGTGTTGCCCAGGCTGGTCTCCAATTCTTGGGCTCAATCCATTCCCCTGCCTCAGCCTCCCAAAGTGCTGGGATTACAGGAGTGAACCACCATGCCCAGCCTAAAATGACAACTATAAATTCTCGGAAGTTAATTATTTAGTTAATTCCTAGACCTTCCTAGCTCACTGAGCCTCCTCACAGCCCCAATTCCAAGCCAGGAAATAAAATAAAATGCAGTCTATTAACTATTTGTTTTCAATAGTGAAAGTGAAGGCAAAAACTAAAACATAAATTAGATTTGGAGGTCTCTCCAGAATTCAAATATTGAAGTTTATTCCCATCCCTCTTGTAACAAGAATACCCAAGAAGCACATAAAAATGTGTAGAAAGATATTCAGAGAAGTATTATTCATATTAGCCAAAAACATCAAACAAAGCTATGCTCAAAGCTCAATTAACAGAAAACGAAACATAACTTTTAATGTGAAGATGCAATTTGGAATTAAGTTAGCAACTTAAAAAACATTCATGCATCAAAAATATGCATAACATTTACAAGAGCATCAATTTTTAAATGCTCTTTAAAACATTTTATAAATTGCCATTGTAAAACCTAATGCCTAAAATTGACAGGCTAATCCTAAAATTCATCTGGAAATGCAAGGAACCCAGGGCAGTCAAAATAATCCTGAAAAAGAAGGAAAAAGCTAGAGGACTCATACTTCCTGATTCCAAATTTGCTATACAAAACAAATTTGTAATCCAAACAACAGCAATCCAAACTGTGTGTTACTGGCTGTCGTAAGGGAAGACAATGGAATAGAATTGAAAATACAGAAATGAATCCATACATTTCTGGTCGATTGATATTTGACAATGGTACCACAATTCAACGGGGAAAGATGAACCTTTTCAACAAATGGTACTGGGACAACTGGATACACAATTGCAAAAGAATGAAGTTATACCTTTCCCTTGCACCATACACAAAAATTAACTTCAAATGGATCATAGAACTAAACAGAAGAAGTAAAACTATAAAACCCTTACAAGAAAACAAGAAAAAAGGCGTAATTTTTGGGTTAGGCAAATAATTTTTGGGTTAGATGCAATAAAAGCACAAGTAATAGAAAAAAATAGATAAGATGGACTTCACCAAGACTTCACGAGAAATAAAAACTTATGAGTTACTTCAAAGAGCAGCATCAAGAAAATGAAAAGGCAGGCCACAGAATGGGAGAAAATGTTTGCACATTATGTATCAGATAAGGTGTGTATCCAGAATATTAAAAAAAAAAAAACTCTTACAACTCAATTATAAAAAAAGACAACCCAATTTTTAAATGGGCAATTAATCTAAATAGACATTTCTCCAAAGAAAATATAAAAATAGGCAATAAGCACATTAACTGTGATGTTAAGCATCAAAGAAACGCAAATCGAACCACAATAAAATATTAATACTACTTCACGTTCACTCACTATATTATAATAAAAAGGACAAATAAGTGTTCGTGAGCATGTGGAGAGGAACCCTCAGATATTGCTGGTGGGATTGTAAAATGCTACAACCACTTCAGAATAGTATGGCAGTTCCTCAAAATGTTAAACATAGAGCTACGATTTGACCCAGGAATCCCATTCCCAAAAGAAATGAAAACATATGTTCACACAAAAACTTGTACAAAAATGTTCATGCAGCATTATTCATAACCCAAAAGTGGGAACAACCAGATGTCCATCACTGATTGGATAAATATTAATAAAATGTGGAATGGAATATTATTTGACCATAAAAAGGAATTAGTAGTGATACATGCTACATCATGGATAAACTTTGAGAACATTATGCTAAGTGAAAGAAACTGGTCACCATGGCCCCATTTATAGGATATGTCCAGACTAGACAAATGCAGAGAGGCAGAAAATACATTAGTTGCCTAGGCCTGGGGCAGGGGGAAAATGGGGAGTGACTGCTAATGGGTCTAGGGATTCTTTCTGGGATAACGAAATTGTTGTAAAACTGATATGGTGATGTTTACACAACTCTATGAACATATGAAAAAACCTCTGAATTGTACTACACTTTAAATGAGTGTATTGGTACGGAAATGTGAACTCAATAAAGCTGTTTAAAAAACAAAACACCTAAGGTCTAGTATATACGTTCTTTGTGGAAAACAAGGTACATTCAAGACAAATAAATAACTATGAACTGATCTGATTACTAACCAAGACCATGCTTGAGGCACTTAGAATTAAGAATTTAACATACATTCCTTACTAGCTAAAAGATTACCCCTTTAAATATGTCTAAATCTCAACGAAAATGGACCTGCAGTACTTGCAACTGTCAGGGCATAAAATGGGATTCACGAAAGATACCTGAGTAAACACGTTCCTTTCCTGTACATGGCTGAACTGTACTTCCCATTACAAAAAAAAAAACAATAACTGCAGAAAAATACTCCACCGGGAGCCGGAGAAATTCTCAAAGAAGAATCTAATACTGAGCTAAGACAAGGGGTGGAAAGAATGAGGAAGGGGAAGGAGCACAGAGTAGGGGGAGGTCTCCATGCATTTAAGCCCAAGGAGTCCAGTTACATTAAATCCAACTTTTAAACGCTTTGTGAACAGGCCCAGAGGCAAAGTCCTGGGCGCAAACCCACGAGCCGAGCTGCGAGGCTGAGAGGAAGTGCTAGTCCAGCCCAACCCCGCACTGGATTTGGTGTGGAAACCGTCAGAGGTAAAAGGGATCGCTCAGATGGGGGGCCCGCGGTGAGGGCAGGAGGCAAAACCCCACCGCCCGGCGCTCCCAGCCAGCGCGCAGCGGGAGGCGGCTGTGCCGCGGGCCCGTCCTTCGCGTCCGAGCTGCCGCGCACGCCCCGCGCGGAGCGCGGCACCGGGAGCCTCCGGTGGGGCTGGGTCCCGTCTCCCGCCCCATCCGGCGCTTTGTCCCAGCCCCGGTGGCCGGCGGCCCCGCTGCGGGCCCCCGGGCCGCGGTGACAGCCCCCGTCCCCATAGGGCTGCGAGCCCGGGAGTCCCTATAGGCTGGCGACCGGTCGCCCGCCGGACCTCACCCAGGCGGGACGCGGCAGGAGGACGCTCGCCCTGCCGGAGGGGCCGCCGCCGCCGCCCGAAGCGCACGCAGGCCAAGCTCAGGCGCCAAAAGCCTTGGACTTCGAAACACACGACTTCCAACATCCTAAGCTTACCCAAAAATTCTCGACGAAATACGCCATGACCATCGTGCCGCCGCCGCGCCGGGTTCCGCGTCCGCGCCCGCCCGCCGCTGTGTAAACACGGCCCGGCCCCCACAGCACCCCCGCCTTTCGCCGCCGCCGCCTTCTTCCCAGAGACCGGCCCGCACCTTCCAGGGCGCATGCGCCACCTAGCGGCTGCCGCAGCTGGGCGAGCACTTAGACGCCACGGCCACGGTGTGCGCATGCGCCCTGTCCCCATTCTCGGGTGTTGGTAGATCTCTCTGCATCCCGGGCGCGGCTGGGTTGAGTGTTCTCTTAGGAATGGTGGAGAACTGGGTCCTTGAGGAGTCACCGGGGAGACTGCTCGCACTGTTTGTGGTGCGACGGGCACTGGCCCAGGGACAGAGGGAAGAGAAGGGCCAGCCAGCGGCAGTGGAGTCGGCAGGCTGGCTGCCCACTCGCTTTCTCTCCTCACAAGACTCGCTTCCCCGGCCTTCGAGGATCTCGAACGGACTATAGTCTGGACTCGCTGGGCTGGAGGAAACTTGGCCGCTGGCCACCCGGAGGAGACTGAGAAGCCTTTGGTCAACAGGGCGCCTTTCCTTGAACCAAAACAAAACTTTCCGAAGCCGGAAAGGAAACGCCCAGTGTCGCCTGAGAGCCCTGGAGCTGCGCGAGACCCAGGCACTGAGTGCGGCCTCGGCCTCTGACCTCTAACACGCCGGGAACAAACCAGCTGGGGCGGCCCGCAGGCCTGCGGGAGCGGAATGTGACCCGAAACCGACGGACTTCCTGACCCATAGTCCATAGTTCTCTTCAGCAACTTGAACATTTTGGAAAAAGAAACAAGTCTTAACATGCCACGACCTAATGGAAAAACTAAATCCCCTTCCTACACCTTGCTTTCCAAAAGTTAAAAAAAAATAGTTAAACGCTATTAGAGGTCTCAAGTTCACTGTCACCAGATCAGCTAGGTCCAGAATCTTCAGTTCTTGAAGCCAAGCCCTACAAATAGATTTATTGTAGCATATCACACCTCTTCAGGTGACTTAAAACAATGAGAATTCATGAGAAATTATCTTCATCCTCAAGTAAAAATCATGAGGTGCCTTTCACATGGATGAAATTGTAAGTGCTTGTTGAACAAGGAATAATTGGATAATGGTATTGTGGTCATACTTTTTAAGAATATCTGTTAGAAAGATATAGGATGCAGAACATCTAGGATTTGCTGAAAGTCATTTATTATGGATAGGGGTATGAGTAAGGTCATAGATGAAAAGGGATGAAACAAGATTGGCCATAGTTGCTCTATTTTTGTGTATCTTGTTTCTTTATTTTGTTTCTTTAAAAAGTCCTCATATCACTGACATTTACACTTAGTTTTAGGGAAAGTCAAATTTAGAAATAAGCTACAGCTCTCTAAGCTATCGGTCTAACTGGATTTTTCTCGATGCTGAAGAACTTTTTAAAAAATTCAGCCATCTAGGTCACACAGCAAATACATTTGGCATTAAATTCCTAGTATCACTAAAGTACTCCCTCCCACCGCCGCGCCCCCCCCCTTCCCCCCGCACCCTTAGACCTGGGCAAGAGAGACTTCTATCCTGGACTCCATGCTTTAAAGGAACTTACATATCACACACACACATTAATTTAAAAAAAAATAGGTGCCCCTGCCGCTTGTGATCTGATACTGAACACTGGCTCATAACCATAAATTCCCTCTCCCAGTGAAGAACACTATTCAGGCCCCAGGAAAACTCTTCTTCCTATCTTTTGTCTTCTGTCCTCAAAACAAACGGTGAACTCCAAAAGCAGTGAAAATTTGTACATAGCATGGCTGCCCATTTCAGAGACTGCTTTGGAGTCAGAATTTGAGCAGCAGAAATGCTTAGGTAAGAGAGAAGACAAATTAACTTGTCAAATCCTTCATCTCAGCTTGAATGCTATAGATTCCTGCATGACAAAGTATTGTTTCTCAGTAGTATCAAGCATACATTTTCCTTTTGTTAGTGTTCCAATGTGTGGCTATTACCTACAGACAATTTAGTATAGTATTCACAATAGTTACTGGCCTTCATTCGCATTCTTCTGCTCCCCTTAAATTTAGGAGTAGATCTGGAATGAAAATAAGTATTCTGAGTATTTCAGGTATTTGCAAGGTTCATTAGGGCCGAAACACCATATCCTGTAATTGCCTGATGTTTAAGTTGTGGAACTTTATAGTAAACAGTGATTAAGGTGACTAAATTTCAGACAAGACTGTGTAGTATAGGAAGAGCGTGGATGGTATCAGCCTCCTTCTGCACTCTCAAGTGAGGTTTCCAGGGATGAACATACATTCTGGCAGAGCATAGATAAGCTCCTGAGTGGGTAGTGCTGGGTGGGGTTACAGGCATGAGCCACCGAGCTTATATGCGTTAAAGTGTTTGTGCCACACTCTCTTAGACTTTGCTTATCAAAATGTATTTCATTTTGAAATTATTAAAAACCAACATAGATAACAACAGTGTACAAGTCACTGCCTATAATACCTGTCACTTAAGAGTCAGTAAATGTTCAGTGAATGAATGAATGATGACATCTATCATAGAAATGTCAAGGTAGATGAGACCTTGAATATGTAATAATTCCATTATCTTTTACACATTCTCTTTTTTTTTTTTTTTTTTGAGACAGAGTCTCGCTTGGTTGCCCAGACTGGAGTGCAGTGGTGCGATCTCAGCTCACTGCAACCTCCACCTCCCAGGTTCAAGCGATTCTCATGCCTCAGCCTCTCAAGCAGCTGGGACTACACATGCCCACCACCACGCCTGACTAATTTGTGTATTTTTAGTAGACACGGGGTTTCACCACGTTGGCCAGGCTGGTCTCGAACTCCTGACCTCAAGTGATCCGCCTGTGTGGGCCTCCCAAAGTGCTGGGGTTACAGGCATAAGCCACCGCGCCCAGCCTACTCATCCTCTTTAATTGGTGCTTGATCCTAGAGTTTGTAGAAAATATCATTATTTAAGTTTTTTATTTAATTTTCTCATGTTACTTTAAATATATTCAAAAGAATTCTTGTGGGCTTGAGTGTACTTCTTAAAGGATAGAGTACTTTTTTTTTTTTTTTTTTTTGAGACAGAGTCTTGCTCTGTCACCCAGGCTGGAGTGCAGTGGTGCAATCTTGACTCACTGCAACCTCCGCCTCCCAGGTTCAAGTGATTCTCCTGCGTCAGCCTCCAGAGTAACTGGAACTACAGGCATGCGCCACCACACCTGGCTAAGTTTTGTATTTTCAGTAGAGACGGGATTTCACCATGTTGGCTAGGCTGGTCTTGAACTCCTGACCTCAGGTGATCCACCCACCTCGGTCTCCCAAAGTGCTGGGATTACAGGCATGAGCCACCACACCTGGCCTTAGTGTACTTTGTGAAATAAAAATAAAATAAAATTTAAATAACATCCAAGATTTACTGTAGCAAGAGATTGCCTGTTGGAAAGGAGCCCCTACTCAATTTGGACTTTGATTTTTGGGTGTCACCGCTACCAGAATCATCTTTCTCTTAGGATCTCTCTCGATACCTGCTGAAGAGATATAGGCTTCCAGGGATGCTGTTGATCCCCATTAAACTCTGGCCTAAGCATATATGTTATAGCCCAAAGCTATAGACTTTTAAAACATAACTTGATAAATGATACCAAATAAGAGACACACAAAATAACCTAAGTCTAAATTATCTGGTTTACAAAATATGGTTTATTTCCAAGATTTGAGGGTTCAGTCTCTTAGGCAAGGCACCCAGAGCACTTCCCCCTTTCCATTCCTTAGTTTGATTTCCTCCCATTTCTCATCCTGGGTTCACAGCTCACAGCACATGAATCAACATTTAGTCATAAGGGCCATTTCCTCATAACTTCATTTGAAACTAGGTCCATGTCAGAAGGGTTGACTATAAAGAAAAATGCATTTTCTCATTTTTTTCAATATAATTTTGCAAATGTACTTCCACTTGTTTCCAAGATGGGAGTGGCAGAAGAGAAGATCCTATAAACCTCTTCTGTTTCCTGCCAATTTCTTCAAGGCGTGGCATCCATCCCCGGTCAGGTGCAGTATTCTTTCTCTGAACTCATGTTGTACTTGACAATAACAAGTGGCAAAAGAGCTAAGCTCTATTAAAAGGCAGAAAAGAAACAGGCAGATCCCTGAAGTCTGGTACGCTCTTGTTTTTCTGTACTCAGTAGCAGCATATTAAAAGCAAAAGCCTTATGCAAAACAGAAAGGAAAGCAAAAGCTTGGCAGATGGCAGCCAGGCAGGCTGCTATGTGAGGGCCGAGAGGTAGAAGCATGTTGATCGAACTGCAGAATAGAGCTCAACATCACCCTGCACGCTACTCATTTCAGAGCGGCTTACCAGGTGGATGTGCCTTTCTTCTCTCCTAAGTGCACCTGGGATTGACTCCCTGCCTGCTCCTCATGTGGTGCCATCTCTTCCTCCAGAATGAGATGTACTTTCCCGGGTGCTCCTTCATTTTGTCATTTGTGGAAGAAGCACAAACACCTGACCAGTTGTTCCAGGGTCTGCATTGCTAGTGACCACAGGGAACCCAACAATGCTTCAAAAATAAGAGAAATTACTAAATTACAGAAAGCCATGAAGATAATGATAATGTAGAAACACTCAGGGCTGGGCACAGTGGCTCACGCCTGTGATTCCAGCACTTTGGGAGGTCAGGGCAGGTGGATCACCTGAGGTCAGGAGTTTGAGACCAGCCTGGCTAACATGGCAAAACCCCATCTCTACTACAAATACAAAAGATTAGCCAGGCGTGGTGGCAGGCGCCTGTAATCCCAGCTACTTGGGAGGCTGAGGCAGGAGAATTGCTTGAACCCGGGAGGTGGAGGTTGCAGTGAGATGAGATCGTGCCATTGCACTCCAGCCTGGGCAAGAGAGCGAGACACTGTCTCAAAACAAACAAACAAACAAAAACCAAAATCAAAACAAACACTAAAAAATGTTTGTCATTAATGTTAAGTAGAAAGACAGAAGGTGTCAAATTACAAATATGTTGAGTCATACATTTTATTTGTAAAATTACAAATATGGGCCAGGTGTGGTGGCTCACGTCTGTAATCCCAGCACTTTGGGAGACCGAGGTGGGCGGATCACAGGGTCAGGAGTTTGAGACCAGCCTGACCAACATGGTGTAACCCCATCTCTACTAAAAATACAAAAATTAGCTGGGCGTGGTGGTGCCTGCGTGTAATCCCAGCTACTCAGGAGGCTGAGGCAAGAGAATTGCTTGAACCTGGGAGGAGGAGATTGCAATGAGCCGACATCATGCCACTGCACTCCAGCCTGGGCAATGGAGCAAGACTTCATCTCAAAAAAAAAAAAAAGAAAGAAAAATTACAAATATGTAAAAAAAAAAAAAAAAAGTATGTTAAATAGACAAATGTAAAACATGGAAGACATTTAAAATTTAATATAATAACATTGTACAATTTAAAGAACAATCGTTCTATGTTTTTGTCTGAATATAAATGTAACTGGGCCTAATCTTCTTTAATGTCTTTCATTAACTCTCTCCTCTGTTTCATTCATTCAGGCAGTAGACATTTACTATGCACTTGTTACAATGAAAAGATTGTCTCTGCTTGCTTTTTTTTTTTGAGACAGGGTCTTGCTGTGTTGTCCAGGCTGGAGTACAGTGGCGCAATCGTAAGTCACTGCAACTTCAACCTCCTGGTCTCAAGCAAGCCTTCCTACTTATGCTTCCCTAATAGCTGGGACCACAGGCGCACACCACCATGCCCACCTAATTTTTTATTTTTTGTAGAGATGGCATCCCCCTATGTTGTCAGGCTGGTCTTGAACTCCTGGGCTCAAGTAATCCTCTCGTCTTGGCCTCCTAAAATGCTGGAATTACAGGTGTGAGCCACCATGCCTGGCCATCTCTGCCTTTGAGAAATTCACAGTCTAATATAGACGTATGATGAAGATGATAGAGATCATGGCAATTATAGCAATAATGTGCATAGAAGAGTGCCTGACGCATAGTTGGCAAGCAATACACATTTGTTAAATGCATTAATTAATGAATCACTGTTCCAAAACGTAACCACAAAGAAATGTAATTTGTATTTTTATTGTATTTTCCTTCTTTCTTTCCTTCTCTCCTTTTCCCTTCAACTCCCTCCTTTCTTTCTGCAAGGAAAGTGACAGGAAACTGCCTTGGATTCACCCAGGGTATCCTCCATTAGCACACTGATTTGGGGGTCCATGGAATAGTAGAGTCCAGAGCAACTTCTGAAACTCAGTCCTGGAGCCAGCTAGCTCCCTAGGAGATGGATGCTTATGAAGAACAGGGCACTAGAAATTGTAATAATAGGAGCCCAAGCAAGAAGCACCCTTGGCTTAGCTAAGAATGGAGGAAGTGGACTTGAAGAGCTACTCCCCTGAAGAGCCACTGAATATGAGTCACCAATGGACCAGCACTTTCTGTACACCTTGTAGCACCAGATTTCAACAGAACACAGTGTACCAGTGGTCCTATTCACTGTTTATCTAACAAACATTTATTGAACACCTGTATTGAGCTAGGCCCTCTTCTAGACACTGGTGATACAATGGTGAATGAGACAAATAATTGTGCTGCTTTCATGGCACTTAAGTGTACAGAGACAGACCAAAAGGATTTAAATAAATGATATCTTTTGGGATAGTGATACATGCCTTGCAGTATAATTGACATAGGTTGTAGTAGGGAGAGGGGGCTTCTTCTTTACCTAGAATGGTCAAAAAGGCCTCCCTGAGGACATGACATTTGAGCAGAGACCTGAATGAGCTAAAGGAAGTAGCCATGCAAAGATCTGCAGAGTAGTCCACATTAAAGCAACAACAATAAGGTCCAGAAGTAGCAGTGAGCTTGATTTGTTCAAGTAAATGAAAAGGGGGCCAGTTTGGCTGGAGTGCAGTGATCAAACGGAAGAAGAACAGAAATGAAATCAGACAGGAAAGCAGAGTCAAGTCAGAGAGAGGCTAGTTTGTAATCTAAGCACCATAGGAAGCCAATGGAGGATTTGAAAGCAGCAGAATGATATCTGATTTATGTTTTAAGGAAGATCACATTCAGGCCGGGCACGGTGGCTCACACCTGTAATCCCAGCACATTGGGAGGCCGAGGCTGGCGGATCACTTGAGACCAGGAGCTTGAGACCAGCCTGGGCAACATGATGAAACCCCGTCTCTACTGAAAATACAAAACTTAGCAAGGCGTGGTGGCACACACCTGTAATCCCAGCTACTCAGGAGGCTGAGGCAGGAGAATTGCTTGAATCCAGGAGGCAGAGGTTGTGGTGAGCCGAGATCGTGCCACTGCACTCCAGCCTGGGCAACAGAGCAAGACTCCATCTCAAAAAAAAAAAAAATCACATTGACTGCTCTCTGAAAGGAAGGGTAGTGGAAAAAATATTTGAGAGGCCACTCCAAAGATGGATATAATAGACCTGGCAAGGGAAGGTGATGGCAGGGACTGGGTGACAACTGTGGAAATGTAAGAAGTTATCAGGCTCAAGCTCTACTTGGAAGGTAAAGCTGACAGAGCTTGCTAATGGATTGGATTTAGGGCGGGAAGGAAAGAAATCAAAGATGATCCTAGAAGTTGTGCCTGAACAACTAGGTGTATAGTGAATGGTGCCACAACGATAGAAAAATGTAGAGAAGAGCTGGTTTGGAGAAAGAGAGAACTCAGTGGTTTTATTTATTTATTTATTTTTGAGACAGAGTCTCACTCTGTCGCCCAGGCTGGAGTGCAGTGGTGTGATCTCAGCTCACTGCAACCTCTGCTTCCTAGATTCAAGTGATTCTCCTGCCTCAGCCTCCCAGGTAGCTGGGATTACAGTCATGCGCCACGATGCCCAGCTAATTTTTTTTGTATTTTTAGTAGAGACGGGTTTCGCCATGTTGGCCAGGCTGGTCTCAAACTCCTGACATCAAGTGATCCACCTGCCTCGGGCTCCTAAAGTGCTGGGGTTACAGGTGTGGGCCACCACGTCTGGCCAGAACTCAGTGGTTCTACTTTGGACTTGTTAAATTTGAAGGGCCTAATGGAAATACAAGTAGAAATGTCTATCAGGCAATTGGATATATGATTCTGGAGCCCAGGACAGAGGTTGGATTCAAGACGTAAACTGGAGGGTCATTGGCATGAATAGAGGAGATTTGATGAGATCACATAGAAAGAAAGGGGAGAGAGGAAGGGAGGGAGATAGAGAGCCTGTGGAACTGAGGAAAAAGCCCTGGGGCACTCCTACATTTAGAGGTTAGGAGAAGTGGATAAGCCAGGAAAAGAGATTAATGTAAAGTAGAACACCAAGAAAAAGAGATGACATTCAAGCCAAGAGTAGAGAGTGTTTTAAGAAGTGATTGATGCATGACAAATACTGAGAAATGACCATTGGATTTAGCCAGTTGGAAGTGGCCTTGGCAAGTGTTGATTCTTTGAAGGGGTGGAGACATAAATCTGAATGAAGTGGGTTGAAGAGAGAAGAGGAAGTAAGGACAAAAAGTATAAACAATTCCTTCAAGAAGTTTTGCTATGAAATGAAGCAGCAAAATAGGCAGGTATTGAAGAGAACAAGTGATAAAAGGGAGGGAGTAAGCATTAAGATGAGATGTAATAAAGCAATTTGAGTTCCAGAGAGGATGAACCAAAGAGGGGGGAAAAGAGAGAGAATTATAGAGATGAAGTCCTTGAGTAGAGGAAAGAATATGAGATCCAGAATAAAAGTGGAGTTCTAAGAGGGTGTTTCTGGATTTCTAGTAAGTCTAATAGGTTATTGGTCAATTGGTTGGAAAAAATAAGAACTATAGGTTATTGTAGTTCTGCATATTAAAAGCATCCTTCATGTATTATCTCATTGAATCATCATACTAACCCTGTGAGGTCACAACGATTACCCCAATTTTACAAATGAGAAAATATGATCTAGGAGATTAGATGAGTTGCTCAAGGTCATACAACAAGTAAATGGGAAACTACTGTTAATTTAGGAGTACAAGAGAGGTATGAATAAAGTGTTATGGAGGAAGCGATGCCTCAAGCAACAAAACAGGTCAAAAGACGAGGAATGGTGAAGGGTGAAAGTTAAACTCATCCACCCAGGGATTTATTTTTTATTTTATTTTATTTTATTTTATTTTTGAGACGGAGTCTGGCCCTGGTGCCCCGGCTGGAGTGCAATGGCATGATCTTGGCTCACTGCAACCTCCACCTCCCAGGTTCAAGCAATTCTCCTGCCTCAGCCTCCCGAGTAGCTAGGATTACAGGCACCCGCCACCACGTCCAGCTAATTTTTTGTATCTTTAGTAGAGACAGGGTTTCACCATGTTGGTCAGGCTGGTCTTGAACTCCTGACCTCGTGATCCACCCACCTCAGCCTCCCAAAGTGCTGGGATTACAGGCATGAGCCACCGCACCCGGCCACCCAGGGATTTTATTTACAGGTTTTTGTTTTTAACTGGTGGATCTGGTCTTCCTCAGTTTCCACATTCTTTCCATAAAGAGGTCCCTTTCTTGGTTACCTTCTCCCTAACTAGGTGCTTTAGGTAAATATAAATGCTAACTAGTAAGAATCCTATAAAAATGTCAAGGAGGCCGGGCACGTTGGCTCACGCCTGTAATCCCAGCAGGCTGAGGCGGGCAGATTACCTGAGGTCAGGAGTTTGAGACCAGCCTGACTAACATGGTGAAACCCCATCTCTACTAAAAATACAAAAAATTAGCCAGGCATAGTGGCGGGCACCTGGAATCCCAGCTACTCAGTAGGCTGAGGCAGGAGAATCACTTGAACCCGGGAGGCAGAGGTTGCAGTGAGCCGAGATTGTGCCACTGCACTCCAGCCTGGTGACAAAGAGAGACTCCGTTTCCAAAAAAAAAAAAAAAAATTAAGGAAATATATTTACATCTTACTGTTTAAAAAGTCTCTTCTCTCTTCATTGTTAATCCTGAAACACGCAAGAAATATAACTGTTCAAAATTTCAGATTCTAATCAAAATCTAAGGCTGACCTACCTTAAACAGGACATTTGGTAATTGTATTAAAAACCACTCCCTTTTGTAGACAGAAGGAAACAGAAAACCATATCAGCCTGTAGAAATGGTTGTAATGTTCTTTATAAAAATCCTTAAGGCCACAGAGTTCTCATTAACTATTTGCAGGGAGGAGGCAACTGGGCTGGGTCAAACAGGCTAGATCCAAAGGTAATAAAATCAAATTTTTGTTTCCAGGCCAGGCACAGTGTCTCAGGCCTATAATCCCAGCACTTTGGGAGGCCAAGGCGGGCAGATCATTTGAGGTCAGGAGTTCAAGACCAGCCTGACCAAAATGGTGAAACCCCGTCTCTATTAAAAATACAAAAAAATTAGCCGGACATGGTGGCACATGCCTGTAGTCCCAGCTACTCAGGAGGCTGAGGCAAGAAAATCGCTTGAACCCGGGAGGCGGAGGTTTCAGTGAGCCGAGATCATGCCACTGCACTCCAGTCTGGGCGACAGAGCGAAACTCCATCTCAAAAAAAAAAAAAAATTGTTTCCAGCCTTAAAATCCCACTGGATGTTATCTGCCTTTATACACTTTTCTTTATAGTGTTTCAAGAACAAACTGTCACCAACTAGTTATTTTTTTCATTTAGGTCCAGAAAATGTATGTTATTTTTTCCTTCCTACTTCCCACATGCCAGCTAAAACCACTTATTTCCATTTATTCAAAGCTGTCTTCAAATATATCTCCTCCAAAAAAAGAAAGTTGCAAAACCATTACCTTCTGTATAATCTCATATTTCTTTTTTCCGACATATTTCCTGAGTGATACATCCTTCAAATTGAGTAATTTATATCTTGTCCAAAGAGCTTTGTACTGTTCTTTGTAGATGCTTTCTTGTTTTTTTCTTTTTTTCTCTTTTTTGCAGGTGCATGTGTTTGTGTTGGTGATCATAGTCGGAGGAAGAATTCATCATTCTTTCTTTACTCTTAAAAATACATCATCTCTTACTTTTCAGTTTATACAGGGGCTTCCATATTGGTGGGGGGAGTATGTATAGCTTTACAGATATAGATGTCCATTCATTCATCCATTCAACAAGCACCTATAGTGTTTTGGCACTGTTTTAGGTGTGTGATAGACAGCAGTGAAGAAAAGTTGAATTCTGCTCTCAGAGATCTTAAATCCCAGTAGGGATGATAGGCAAAAATAACACAAACAAGTAGACACATAGTATAATATCTGAAATGTCAGTAGATACATAGCATAGTGGTAAGTGCTATGTTACAAAAATAAAGCAGGGCAAGAGCAGTATAATGTCTTGTTTAAAAATAGCAGATGAGATCAGAAAATCTATGACACAATATGGTGACTATAGTTAAAACCAAGGTATTGTATTCTTAAAATTTGTTGAGAGTAGATTTTAAGTTTTCTTACCACAAAAAAATTATAAGTATGTGAGGTAATGTATTAATTAGCTCGATTTAGCTATTTCACAATGTATACTTATTTCGAAATAACATGTTGCACATGATAAATATATAAGATTTTTATTTGCCAATTTAACAACTACTTTTTAAAAAATATATAGCAGATGAGATGACCATATAGAATATGGCTCTGGAATTAAACTGCCTGGATTTTAATCCTGGCTCTGATACTTATGAGCTTTGTAACCTTAGGGAGGTTATTTAATCATTTGTATGACTCAGTTTGCACGTCTGTAAAGTGGGGATAATATAGTATCTACCTCAAAGAGTTGCTGTAAAGACTAAATGAGTTAAAATATGTAAAACAATGGCAGGGCACCATTGCTTACACCTGTAATCCCAGCACTTTGGGAGGCTGAGGCGGGCAGATCACTTGAGCTCAGGAGTTCCAGACCAGCCTGGGCAACATGGCAAAACCCCATCTCTACTAAAAATACAAAGAAAATTAGCTGGGCATGGTGGTGCACCCCTGTAGTCCCAGCTACTCAGGAGGCTGAGGTGGGAGGATCACCTGAGCCCAGGAGGTAGTGGCTGCAGTGAGCTGTCATTGCACCACTGCACTCCAGAGCCTGGGCGACAGAGTGAAACCCTGTCTCAAAAAATAATTATAATAAGGCCGGGCGCGGTGGCTCATGTCTGTAATCCTAGCACTTTGGGAGGCCGAGGTGGGTGGATCACCTGAGGTCAGGAGTTCAAGACCAGCCTGGCTGACATGCCGAAACCCTGTCTCTACTAAAAATACAAAAATTAGCCAGGTGTGGTGGCGGGCGCCTATAATCCCAGCTACTCAGGAGGCTGAGGCAGGAGAATCCCTTGAACCTAGGGGGGGAGGTTCCAGTGAGCCAACATTGCATCACTTCATTCCAACCTGGGCAAAAATAGTGAAACTCCATCTCAAAAAATAATAATAACAATTATTATTATAAACTATTAATATTAAGAAGAACTGGAAGTGATGGGGGTCCTATTAAAGTTTAATGAAAATCAATCTGAGGAGGTGAATGAAATGAAGGAAACAAATCTTGTGATGTCTACCAGACAAAACCTACCAGGCAGAAGAAAAAGCACACAGAAAAACAGATGAGGTTGGTATGGCTTGAGCAGAATGAGTGGGTAATAGTTGTAGGGAATGTGGTAAAAGAATGGAGTTGGAGTTGGGCCAAATCAGCTAGGGCCTTATAGGTCATAGAAAAACCTCAGGTGGTATTCTAAGAGTGATGGGAAGTCATCAGAGGGCTTTTAGCTGAGCAGTGTCATAACCTAATGTTTAGGATTATCCTGGCTGCTATGTGGAGAATAGGCTAAAAGGGGCAAGACAGCTGGTTGTTAAAAACATGTACCACACTACTGGATTCAAGATATACTAATAAATAGAAAAAGGCAAGGTGTGGGACAAAATGCGTGATATACTGCCATTGGCATTTTAAAAATCTCTATATATGTGTATTTGTAACATATATGTGTATGCATACACATATATACATTTTACACCTATACGTAAACATTACATATATACATATACACAATGTATATTAGATATGTATTTTCTTCATATACATATCCTATCTCTGGAAGGAAGGATATGTAAGAGACTGGTAACAGTGATACTTTGGAGAAGGGAACTAGATTACAGGATTTAAAAGATTATCTTTTGCAATTTTTGAATTTTGTTATTTGAGACAGAGTCTCGCCTGTCGCCAGGCTGGAGTGCAGTGGCGCGATCTCGGCTCACTGCAACCTCTGCCTCCCGGGTTCAAGGATTCTGATGCCTCAGCCTCCCGAGTAGCGGGTCTACAGGTGTGCACCACCATGCCCAGCTAATTTTTGTAATTTTTAGTAGAGACGGAGTTTCACCATGTTGGCCAGGATGGTCTTGACCTCTTGTCCTCGTGATCTGCCTGCTTCAGCCTCCCAAAGTGCTGGGATTACAGGCATGAGCCACCGCGGCTGGCCTTGGATTTTGTTCTATGTGAATGTATTACCTATTTAAAAAAAGATAAATATTGTTGGAAACATGAAAAACAGAAAAATAAAAAAAACAAATAAATATACATTAAAAGGAAAAAAAAATCAGAATCATTTTACCCAAATGTTAAAAGGTGGTAGTGAAATCAAGGTTGAGGGACAGGGCTATAACTAAAGGTACCATGATGGATTGGATATGCTCGATAGGAAAAAACATGAACATCACCCCCAAAGGTCCTAGTATGTGTAAAATAAAGTAAAACATGGCATGGTTTCCTGATGCCTTTTTATTTCAATGATAATTTGACTAGTGTCAATTGGGTGTACAATTATTGTGTCATACTTTATTTCCTTGATTTTTTTTTTTTTTTTTTGAGACAGAGTCTCGCTCTGTCTCCCAGGCTGGAGTACAGCTGTGCAATCTCGTTTCAATGCAACCTCCACCTGCTGGGTTCAAGCAATTCTCATGCCTCAGCCACCTGTGTAGCTGGAATTACAGGTGCGTGCAACCGCGCCCAGCTAATTTTTGTAGTTTTAGTAGAGACGGGGTTTTGCCATGCTGGCCAGGCCAGTCTCGAACTCTGGACCTCAAGTGATCTGCCCGCTTCAGCCTTCCAAAGTGTTGGGATTACAGGCATGAGGCACCATGCCCAGCTTTCAATTCTTTCTAACTTTAAAAAATTTTGGTCATGTGTGATGACTCATTCCTGTATTCTCAACACTTTAAGAGATTGAGGCAGGAGGTTCGTTTGACCCCAGGAGTTGGAGACAAGCCTGGGCAACATAGGGAGACCCCATCTCTATTAAAAAAAAAAAAATTAGCCAGAGGTGGTGGTGTGGACTACCTGTGGTCCCAGCTACTTGGGAGGATGAGGCAGGAGGATCACCTGAGCCTGGGGGGATTAAGGTTACAGTGAGCTATGATGGTGCCACTGCACTCCAGCCTGGGAGACAGGGTGAGACCCTGTTTCAAAAAAATTGTTTCTGTCGGCCGGACGCGGTGGCTCCCGCCTGTAATCCCAGCACTTTGGGAGGCCAAGGCGGGCGGATCACGAGGTCAGGAGATCGAGACCATCCTGGCTAACACGATGAAACCCCGTCTCTACTACAAAAATACAAAAAAAAAATTAGCCTGGCATGGTAGCAGGCGCCTGTAGTCCCAGCTACTCGGGAGGCTGAGGCAGGAGAATGGCGTGAACCCAGGAGGCAGAGCTTGCAGTGAGCCGAGATTGTGCCACTGCACTCCAGCCTGGACAACAGAGCAAGACTCCGTCTCAAAAAAAAAAAAAAAAATTAGCCGGGTGTGTGGCGGGCGCCGGTAGTCCCAGCTACTCGGGAGGCTGAGGCAGGAGAATGTCGTGAACTCGGGAGGCGGAGCTTGCAGTAAGCCAGGAACGCGCCACTGCACCTGGACGACAGAGCAAGACTCCATCTCAAAAACAAAAAAAAAGTTTCTGTCACTTAAAAAATGTTTTTCTTTTTAAAAAAGAAAAATCCTGCCCTCTGTGTACATCACTGTGTTTTCAACAATGTCTGTTTTCCTTTGTGCTGCTTGTACATCATGTTCACTTTCGCTAATTTTAACATTCTTTTCACTTCTCTCTAGGCCCTGCTGTCTCATGTTTCGTCAACAGGAAGAAAAATACGTCTTCAAGTTTGTTTTGTTTGTTTGAGATGGAATCTCGCTATGTCGCCCAGGCTGGAGGTGCAGTGGCGCGATCTCGGCTCACTGCAACCTCCGCCTCCTGGATTCAAGCGATTCTCCTGCCTCAGCCTCCCGAGTAGCTGGGACTACAGACGCCCGCCACCATGCCCGGCTAATTTTTTTGTATTTTTAGTAGAGACGGGGTTTCACTGTGTTAGCCAGGATGGTCTGGATCTCCTGACCTCATGATCCGCCTGCCTTGGTCTTCCAAAGTGCTGGGATTACAGGCATGAGCCACCGCACTCGGCTGTCTTCATGTTTTATCTTATCTTCCCTGACGCCTATATTTCTGATTTGTGTTCTTTTAATTCATGACAATTTGTTTAGTCTCAACTTTTATTTGCTCTATGGTGAGAATGCTTTATCTACTATTTGTTTTGCGGGGGCGGGGGCTGGGTATTCCCATCTTTTCTTTTTTTTACAGTTCCTATGCTAGTTTTTATTTTATTTTAGGTCAACTTTAAATAAGGTGAGTTCTTATCTATTTACTGGAGTTTTGTATGAGAGAGGCCAAGATGGTATTCATGGTCAGCAGAAACTCTCCTCATGAGACAGGGTTATGTGCTACGTGTGTGAATAAACTTTATGTTTTGCTTCTCTGCAGCCTCCTTGAGATCAGCACCAATGGGATGTCACAATGCAGACTCTCTCCCCCACTCTTTCCTCAACTACAGACTACTTCCTGAAAAATATGATTAGTTTATGATATTTCTTGCTCAAATCCGCTTCCTCAGCTTTTTCTCAGTACCAAACTGTCCAGAAAAGTTCCCACCACCGGAACCTCATTCCATTGTTGCAAACAAAGAGATTATTGATTTTTCATCTTAGGCTATGCACTTCACGTTAGAGTCATGGATTCTGCTGGCTCTGTACATTTCTGTTTGATCTTCACTGCTTTTGGCAGACTTTTTTTCTGTTTTAGTTTCAAATATCTTCTAGTTGCATCAGATATAGAGTTGACATTACCGTTTCTTATTCTTCTTATTACTTTTGGGTGGCTAGGCAGTAAAGACCTATGTTCTTTGCCATATTAATACCTAGATAAGATCAGAAGATGATTTTGCATTAATTCTGCCTGGCATTTAGTAGACTCTTCCAATCCAAGTCTGGGAAATGTTCTTTTTTTATTTCTTTGATAATTGTCTCCCTTTTATTCTTACAGTCCTATAGCTGTATAATTTTAGTTATATTTATCTTCTGTATCTCTTAATATTGCTGTACTTTTTCTTTTTCTTTTTTTCTTTGAGACAGAGTCTTGCTCTGTTGCCCAGGCTGGAGTGCAGTGGCACAATCTCGGCTCACTGCCCAGCTCTGCCTCCCGGGTTCACACCATTCTTCCCCCTCAGCCTCTGAGTATCTGGGACTGCAGACGCCCGCCACCATGCCCAGATAATTTTTTTATATTTTTAGTAGAGACGGGGTTTCACCATGTTAGCCAGGATGGTCTCGATCTCCTGACCTCATGATCCGCCCGTCTCTGCCTCCCAAAGTGCTGGGATTACAGGCATGAGCCACCACGCCTGGCCTATTGCTGTACTTTTTCTTTTGTTCTTTTTTTTTCTTTTTTGCATAAATTTTGGAAAAGTCTCTCAGCTCAATTTTCCAACTCATTAATTGTATATTCAGGTTAGGGTAAGGGTTATTGTATATTTAGCCCAATTATTGGATTTAGTCATTTTTTTTTTTCTTTGAGAAGGATTCTCACTCCATCACCCAGACTGGAGTGCAGTGGCGCAATATCGGCTCACTGCAATCTCTGCCTCCTGGGTTCAAGCAATTCTCTTGCCTCAGCCTCCTGAGTAGCTGGGATTACAGGCACCTGCCACCACGCCTAAGTTTTGTATTTTTAGTAGAGACGGGGTTTCACCATGTTGGCCAGGCTAGTCTTGAACTCCTGACCTCAGATGATCCACCCGCCTCAGCCTCCAAAAGTGCTGGGATTACAGGCATGAGCCACCATGCCTGGCCGCAATAATATTTTAAAATTTCCATGAATTCTGGTTGTGTTTCATAGCAGCTGTCTCTTGTTTCAATGTGATTTACTTTAAAGCAACTCTGAGGATCTGAACTATGTTTAATTTCAAGTTTTTATCTGTTTCTATTGACTATTCTTTTTAAGTGGGCTAGTTCTATTTGTTAAATTTGGTGCTCTCTTTAGTGCTCTTGGTTTCTCCAAATGTTTGTTGGTTCTTTTGTTGTTGTTGTTCCATTTGTAGGAACAGAATTTCAGTCTAGACTGAAATTCATAGCTGGACGCATTTCCTCACTTCAAATGAGAACTCATGTTTACCTGGCAGTGAATGCAAGTTTTGATTACAAGAATCTGCCTCATGGGATTTGGTAGGGATAGGCAGACTCTGTAGGTAACGTCTCTTCTTAGAATAGTTTCCTGACCCTCCAGGGTATTGTCCTTTTCCTCTGACCTTAGCTTACTCTGGAACAGTAATATGTTGGTAAATGTTTGACAGCCAGCTCTGGGTGGAGTGGGGGAAGTCCTAGTTTGCAGCATTTCCTGATTTCCATGCAATGTAAAATCTCCCACCCTAGCCAATTTTCAAGCTAGCAACATAACAGTCACTGAATGGGGAGTTGAGAAGAGATGTGCAAACTAGATTCTTAAGAGACTGACTTCATTTAGCATACCATTGCTGTGGGGCTGCTGTACTATGTCAGAAAACTATACCCATGACTCTCATCTAAGCCCAAACAATGGAGCCAGCTGCTCCAAGAGCAACTCCAGGAATTGATGGGGACTTAGGGGTATGGCTCCGTTATTTCTTCAGTTAACAAAGTACTTTGTTCCTTTGAATGGTTTTAGGTTCTTATGCCCTGCTAGATTTCTCTACTGATTCCCACGTTTCTTATTTTTTTCAAAAATTCCTTTCTATATTGTTTGCTGGAAGCACCTTTTCTGGTTTTCCTGTGCTGCTTTGAATTTATTTTTCTATTTCTTTGTGATTTCAGTGGAATTTGGAGAAGGAATGGCAAAGCGGAAGTCCTTCTCCTATTTGATGTCTTAACTTGTTTTTACTGGAAGTCACTTCCTCTTTTGTCTCAGAGGCTGATTCGCCTCCCATAACCAGTGATTTTCCTGTAAGCTCATTATCCTGGATGATGGCTTGACTAACCAAGGCTACTGGCTGCTGAGGGGTTTCTGAGGAAACTTTGGTAGCCTGATTGAGGCCATCTGCCTCTCCACCTGCACTGTAGTTGTGGAGTACACCACTCTGTTCATGGAGGCCATGCACACTGGCCAGAGAAGAGCAGCCCATGTGCAAAAGGATCCAAGTAAGCATTTTCCATTCTCACAGGTCAAATAAGAGGACTTCCCACATTTATTCAGAAGGTAGTTGAAAGTGGTCAGCCCCAGATCTCCCCTATGTGACTCTTTGGTTGATGCTACTTGTACCTCAACACTTGGAAGGCCCGTTCTGGACAGGAGCAACTTTCACTTTACTCTGGAAACGTGGGCA
Organism: Homo sapiens; assembly: GCF_000001405.40. Taxonomy (NCBI): domain Eukaryota; kingdom Metazoa; phylum Chordata; class Mammalia; order Primates; family Hominidae; genus Homo; species Homo sapiens. The sequence continues at coordinate 72,937,478 of NC_000005.10, read as the reverse complement.
GGTGGGCACAGAATAGAGTGAATCTGAGGCAGAAACTCCTTCAGGCTAACTTTGTGACGGACACTGTTCTAAGTCTTCAGGTGAGTTAACTCATTTAGTCTTCAAGACAATCCTCTGAAGTAGGTATTTTTATCATCCTCAGTTTACAGACACAGAAACTGAGACACAGAAAGGCCATTCAGCCACTCAGTGGTTGAGGCAGGACTGACACTCAAGAAGTCTTGTGACAGTTGTAATGAGTTAGTCGTGATGGTGGCTACCAGGTAGGTGTGTGGATAGATATGTAGTGGCCTCTCCTCCGATGGAAAACTCCCAAAGCACTGAAACAGTCTGGTAGCTGTAGTTGCCGAGGTGTGTAGGGGCATCGGTGAGCTCAGCAGACTGTGTTCCAAGTCACATTAAAGAGGCAGATTTATTGCAAGCCTATCTCCTAGAGACAGAATGTATTTTCCAAAAATGGGCAACACACTGTGTCCCATCTCACATGCTGTTCTTATAATATAACTTTGATACTACATTCTTATTTAGAAATGGAAGCCCATGTTTCCTCCCTTTGATGCTGGGCAGAATTGTGACTACAATGAAAATAATGCTATATGGCTTTTGAGGCTAGGTCCTAAAAGGTAATGCAATATACGTACAGTTCTCTTGGAATATTTAATATTGAAATCCGACCACCACGCTGTAAAGAAGACTGCAGCCCATGGAGAAGTCCACACAGCCAGAAACTGAGGCCCAAGGCTCACATCCCCAGCTGAGCTCCTGGCCTACAGCCAGCCCCAAGGTGCCGTCATGTGAATGAGACATTTTGAAAGTGGATCCCCCAGGCCCAGGCAAGCCATTCCTGACAATAAAATGTGGAACAGAGATGTGATTCCTTTTTAAGACCTCCCCAAATAACAGATTCCTAAGCAAAAATAAAGGACTGTTGTTGTTTTAAGCCACTAGGTTTTGGAGTGGTTTGTTATGTGCCATAGATACATTCCTGCATATTACCTGCTTGTCTCCAAAAAATTCAAAACTCAGTCTAATAGGTGGGACTTCCCCTGAGGGCTCTGGCAATTATCAAACTTTCCCCATAACTTTCACCAAATTATTGAGCTGCTCCAGGAGAGGAAGAATATAAAGAGTATATTTACAATTTTGTCTGGAATTGGTGGGTTCTTGGTCTCGCTGACTTCAAGAATGAAGCCACAAACCCTTGTGGTGAGTGTTACAGTTCTTAAAGATGGTGTGTCTGCAGTTTATTCCTTCAGATGTTCAGATGTGTCTGGAGTTTCTTCCTTCTCGTGGATTCATGGTCTCGCTGACTTCAGGAGTGAAGCTGCAGACCTTCGCGGTGAGTGTCACAGCTCTTAAAGGCGGCGCATCTGGAGTTGTTCATTCTTTCCCATGGGTTCGTGGTCTTGCTGGCCTCAGGAGTGAAGCTGCAGACCTTCACGGTGAATGTTATAGCTCTTAAAGGTGGTGCGGACCCAAAGAGTGAGCAGCAGCAAAATTTATTGTGAAGAGCGAAAGAACAAAGTTTCCACAGCATGGAAGGGGACCCAAGCATGTTGACACTGTTGGCTCAGACAGCCTGCTTCTATTCCCTAATCTGGCCCCACCCACATCCTGATGATTGGTCCATTTTACAGAGAGCTGATCGGTCCATTTTGACAGAGTGCTGATTGGTGCATTTACAATCCCTGAGCTAGACACAGAGTACTGATTGGTGCATATACAATCCTCCAGCTAGACATGAAAGTTCTCTAAGTCCCCACCCAACTCAGGAGCCCAGCTGGCTTCGCCTAGTGGATCCCACGCTGGGGCCATGGGTGGAGCTGCTCATCAGTCCCACACCACGTGCCTGCACTCCTCAGCCCTTGGGCGGTCGATGGGACTGGGCACCGTGGAGCAGGGGCAGGGGGTGGTGCCCGTCGGGGAGGCTCTGGCTGCACGGGAGCCCACTGGTGTTGAGGGAGCTCAGGCATGGTGGGCTGCAGGTCCTGAGCACTGCCCCGCAGGGAGGCGGCTGAGGCCCTGTGAGAATTTGAGTGCAGCGCGGGCAGGCCAGCAGTGCTGGGGGACCCAGTGCACCCTCCACAGCTGCTGGCCCGGGTGCTAAGCCCCTCACTGCCCGGGGCCGGCAGCGCCAGCCAGCCACTCTGAGTGCAGGGCCCGCTGAGCCCACGCCCACCCGGAACTCACGCTGGCCCGCGAGCACCGTGTGCAGCCCCGGTTCCCGCCCCCGCCTCTCCCTCCACACCTCCCCGCAAGCAGAGGGAGCCAGCTCCAGCCTCGGCCAGCCCAGAGAGGGGCTCCCACAGTGCAGCAGTGGGTTGAAGGGCTCCTCAAGTGCAGCCAGAGTGGACACCGAGGCCGAGGAGGCCTCTCAATCCCCCCTCTAAACAGGACACCCCAACTGCTGTTGGGAATTTGGCCAATGACCGCTCTAGCTACTTCCTGCTGGATAGGGATGATGAAGGGGTCCTGCAGTTGTAGTGTCCTCCAGAGGGGAACTCTCTAGGCCAGTGAAAGTGCCAGCAGGTTGGTTCAGGGATCCTCGGTAGAAGTTGTTAGTTGAACTCATTTGGGGTTCCATTTGTAAGACCATCTGTAGCTTGATGGCCTCGATTCTAGAGGAAACAAATTTAACAAGGATGTTAAAAATACAGGGTCCATAGGCAAGTAACAGCAAGATGGCTGCCACGGGATCTAGAAAGGGGAGAAGCCATGTTGCCCAACTCCAGAGGTTGGTATAAGAATTTGACAGGCGTTGCCTGATTTCAGGAGCCTTTTCCTGTAAACGCCAGGTGGCATCTTGTACTATCCCTGACTGGTTAGTGTAAAAACAACACTCTTCCCCTAAGAAGGTACAGAGTCCTCCTTTCTCAGCAGTGAGGAGGTCTATGCCTCAGTGGTTTTGGAGAGTCACTGCTGCCAAAGAGTCTATTTGGGATTGTAGAGTAAGCATAGATTTCGTTATTTCTTGCAAACTATCTGAGAAAGCCTTTGAGAGTGTGTGGTAGGTAGTAGGGTAATGAAATAGATAAACTGGCTATTTCGGTTCCTGTAGCAGTAGCCATTCCTAACCCTATAAGTAGGGGTATTAGTTGTATGGCTCTGTGCTGATGGACTTGAGCTTTGAGGGATACTGATAAGGTCTGGTTTCCTGGGGCAATGTTAATGTTGGGACTTAGAAAGACTAAGGTGCAGGTCCTGTCCAGTTAGTGGGGAGGCAAATATAGGTTGATGTTCCACATAAGAAGAATATACCTTGCTGGGTAGACAGAACTGGTTGTGTATGTTAAAAAGGTGTGTGTATTTGTTGTTTTCATTTTCCCATACTCCTAGAGTACTTGCCAAGGTAGCTCCAGTGAGTGGCTGGAAAGGGGTGTTGGGAGCAAACTGAGTGGCTCCCTGTGTTCTATTTTCCCATTGGAGAAAAAAACGTTTTGTATCCACTAGGAACCATTCGAGACAGTGATTGAAATAGGGGATTAGAAGGCATTCACTAGTGGTGGGGGAGCTGCTATGGGGGGTCCAGGGGTGAATGGTCATGCAGGGAGTATGTTTGCCATTACCAAACTTGGACTGTTCATTAAGCAGGGAGGAGGTGATGATTTTTGGGGGCCCTGAGAAGTGGACAAGCCATCTGAATGGAGCTGTCTGGGTGACTCGGAAGTTACTATGATCAGCTGGGGCTTGAAGTTGTAGGGTGTAATTACACTGATGCGTTAGTAGGTGCCCCAGGGGCAGGCCTGATAACAGGTTGCGTTGGATGCATAAAGGGGCTTGGAAAGTTAAGATGGTATTCATAGTTACCAGGCCATGTATGGGCTTTTCATTGCTTGTGTAATAGGTGAGGTTGGAAATGTAAGAACGTAAAAGTTGGATTGCACGTCCTGTTAGGGTATTCTTGGTCCTATCAGGGATGGAGAAGTTGGCTAATGATTGTATTTTTAGAAGTCAGAAAGAGTCTTTTCCTTCATAACAAGGGTGGTAGGTTAAATTGGTAAAGAAAGACCCAGTTTTTTGCGGGAATGGGAGTGGCAACATAAGCAGAGGTTGATAGAGAGATACAAAGCCAACAGTCATTTGCCAGGGAAGGATTGGACTGGTTTAACAGACAGTGGGTTAAATTGATAGTCTTTTAGAGGTAATTAGGAGCTAGTGGAAGGGGAGGGGTGATTGTATGAGGTATCCAAGGAAGCAGGAGGGATACATAGGCAATGAGCAAATAGGAAGATAAAGGGGGTGCTCTGGAAGAAGAGATCATTTTATCAAGTCTGAGTTAAAAGTAGGAGTAAACTGCTGTCAAAAGGAAGGAAGATAGAAAGAAGGTTGATGTGATTAGGATTTTTGTCCAGGCAGGAGCTACAGTATATAGTCCTATCGCAAAGAGTATGGTTAAAGCTGTTTTCACTTATCTTTTTTAAGGAGGAAGGGGTTTTTCCTCAGGATCAGTGGTAGGAGCCTTTTTAGTCTGGGATGTTTCCTTCTAAAATAGGAGATGCAAATCCTCCAATGGTTCGCAGGTGTATCGAGGCTGGTCTGGCTGATCTTGGGACTCCTAAGCTGATAGTCCTGCAGGTTCCTCAGGGGGTGTTCAAAGTTTAACTTGGGTGTGGTGAATCCAAGATTCCACTCCTGCCACCTTAAGTGCAGTGAGTAGAGAGGATTAGCAAGTGTGGTCCTTCCCACAAAGAGTCCATAGATGGGGAGGTAGAGGGGAGAGATTTGACCAACACTAGATCTCCTAGTTGAAACAACTCTGTTCCCTTTTCTCTGTGACATCCTGCAGGTAGGTTTTTAAGGTTTTGTTGATATTTTGCCAAAGAAGCTATATCTTTGATCAAGTTGGCCATTTCCTGATCAAGTAGGAGGTCATTTGTGAGAAAAGGTCGTCCATACCGCATTTCATATGGACTGAGCCCTATTTTGTGGGGAGAATTTCAGATTCCCAACAGGGCCATGGGCAAAAGAGTAGGCCATGGGCGATGAGTTTCTTGTGTTAGTTTCCTTAAGTGCCTCTTGAGTGTTTCATTTGCCTTCTCGACCTTTCCTGAGGATTGTGGCCTCCAGGAGCAGTGAAGGTGATATTGTATCCCTAGCACCCTGGAAATTCCCTGAGTTATCGTGGCTTTAAAAGCTGGACCATTGTCACTCTGTAAGCTTTGGGGAAGCCCAAATCTAGGAATTATTTCATGAATTAGGACTTTAGTCACTTCCTGAGCCTTCTCTGTCTTGCAGGGGAAAGCTTCTATCCAATTTGTAAAGGTATCAACACAGACCAACAAGTATTGAAATCCCTTTGACTTAGGCATATGGGTGAAGTCTAACTGCCAGTCCTCTCCAGGATAGTGACCTATTCTTTGCTCCCCCAAAGGGGCCTTATGATGGACCAAGGGATTATTCCTTTGGCACATCTCACAGGCTTTGACTACTTGTTGGATGGTTTGGAGGAGATTTGGCCCTGTTAATAGGGATTTGGCCATTTGATGAGTGTTTTCAATACCCATATGAAAAGTTTGGTGGAGGGTTTTAAGTATTTTCCACTGGCTGGCTTCGGGTATAAGTACCTTTCCTTCTTCTGTCGCCAACCACCCTGAGGGGAGAAAACTATGCCCCCATGAAAGTCACCACTCTGCTTCAGTTGGGGAATACTGGGGCTTAATCTCTTGGAGGGGGTTGTTCCATACCGAGGGTCCTTCCGTAGGTATTTCTAGTGGGAGGTTCTGCCTGGCAGCAATTTTGGCCTCAGCTTCTGCCTGACAGTTTCCTCCTGCCTTTTCTCCTTCACCTTTCTGGTGGCTTTGGCAATGTAAGACTGTCACCTCCTTGGGTTTTTGCACTGTGTGCAATAACTCTATAATTTCCTTGTGGTATTTAATAGGGGTTCCCCCAGAGGTTAGGAATTCCCTTTCTTTCCATATTGCAGCATGGGCATGTAGGATTAGATAAGCATACTTGCTATCTGTATACACATTTATTCTTTTTCCCTTTCCCAGTTCTAAAGCTCGGGTAAATGCCACTAGTTCTGGTAACTGGGCACTGGTCCCTGGGGGAAGAGGCTTACTTTCAAGTATGGTTACATCACTAACTATGGCATAACCGGCCCTTCGTATCCCATTCTCCACAAATGAACTTCCATTGGTATATAGGTTAAAGTCAGGATTAGCTAAGGAGACTTCTAAGAGATCATCTCGGGCAGCATAAGTCTGGACTATAATTTGTTGGCAGCCATGCTCGATTGGATCCCCATCTTTTGGGAGAAAAGTGGCAGGGTTGAGGGCCATGCATGTACATTTTTGAAGCACCAGTCCCTCAAGGAGTAGCACCTGGTATCTAAGTAGGCAGTTGTCTGATAGCCGTAAACTTCCTTTGGCACCTAGTATGCCATTTACATCATGAGTAGTCCAGACAGTGAGATCCTTTCCTTTTATTATTTTGATAGCCTCTGACACTAAGACAGCCACCGCCGCAACTACCCGTAAACAGTGAGGCCAGCCTTTCGCTACTACATCAGTTTCCTTACTTAGGTATGCCACTGGTGTGGGGTTTTCCCACGAGTCTGGGTAAGGACTCCAAGAGCTATCTCTGCTCTCTCTGTGACGTATAAAGATAAGTTTTGTCCTGTGGGAAGGCTTAAGGCTGGAGCTTGTACTAGGGCCTGCTGTTAGGTTTTGAAGGCTGTTTCTGCCTCTGGTTCCCATTCTACTAGATGTGTATTTGTCCTCTGGGTTTCCTTGATTAGAGTATAGAGGGGCCTGGCTTTCTCACTGTATCAGGGGATCCATAGTCAGCAAAAGCCGGTGATTCCAAGGAAGCCCCACAACTGTTTTAATGTCTTCGGGCAAGGATAAGCCAGTATAGGCTGTATTCATTCCTTGCTGAGGGCCTTGGTCCCTCTGGGCCTAGATATTTGACCTGCTGTAGGCAAAGCTGGGCCTTCGACCTAGATACCTTGTACCCTTGATTAGCTAGAAAGTTCAAGAGATCTAGAGTAGCCTGCTGGCATGAGGCTTCTGAACTGGTAGCCAAAAGCAAATCATCCACATACTGAAGGAACAGAGGGCCTGGACTTGAGAAGTGGCCTAGATCTTTGGCCAGTGCCTGACCAAACAGGAGAGGGCTATCCCTGAACCCTTGGGGCAAGACTGTCCACGTAAGTTGGGATGTGTGGTCTGTGGGATCCTCAAAGGCAAAGAGAAACTGGGAGTCAAAGTGCAGGGGAATACAGAAGAAGGCAACCTTGAGGTCCAGCACTGTGAACCATTCTGCTTCCTCTGGTATTTGAGAGAGGAGGGTATAGGAGTTGGGTACAACTGGATATAAAGGAATTACTACCTCATTGATGAGTCTAAGATCTTGCACTAGTCTCCACTGAACATTCGGTTTTTGTACTCCTAGAATTAGGGTGTTGCAGGGACTGCTGCATTTCCTTGCTAAACCTTGAGCTTTTAAATGTTTAACAATATCCTGTAATCCTTTATGAGCTTCAGGCCTTAAGGGATATTGCCTTTAATAAGGAAAAGTGGTGGGGTCTTCTAGCCTGATTTGGACTGGGCAGGCATTTTTTGCCCTTCCAAATTGTCCTTCCAATACCCAGACTTCAGGGTTGATTCCCTCCTCAAGTAGGGGACAACAAATGGGTAACTTGTTCCCCATATTCATGTAGATAATAGCTCCAGCTTTGGCTAATATATCCCTCCCTAATAAGGGTGTGGGACTTTCAGGCATAACAAGAAAGGCATGTGAAAAGAGCAAAGTGTCCCGATTACAACTGAGGAGATGGGAGAAATACCTGGTTACAGGCTGTCCCAGGATTCCTCGGATGGTAATGGACCTTGAGGACAGTCGTCCAGGACAGGAGATTAGCACTGAGAAGGCCGCGCCAGTGTCCAGGAGGAAGTCAATTTCCTGGCCGTCAATGGTTAAATGTACCCGGGGCTCAGTGAGGGTGATGACATGAGCTGGCACTTGCCCCAGGCACCCTCAATCCTGTTGCTGGATCATCTGGTTGGGGGCTTCTGACCCAGAGAACCTTTGTCCTCTGGGGCAGTGCACCTTCCAGTGATTGCCTTGGCATAGCAGACATGGACGAGGGGGCGGCTTGTTTCTCACTGGACAATCTTTTTAAAAGTGTCCTTGCAAACCACACTGGTAACAAGTCCTACTGGGTGATTGGCCTGCTCCACCCTCTGTCCTCTCTGAACCACCAAGGCTTGCTTGTGTGGGGGCCAAGACTAAGGCTGCAGCCTTTTTCTGATCTTGCTTTTCCTTTTGGGCTTGTTCCTCTTGGTCCCTATTATAGAACACTGAGGTTGCCAGGTTTAGTAATGCCTCCAAATTTTGTTCAGGGACCAGGGATTGCTTTTGGAGCTTTCCCCTGATATCTGCAGCTGACTGGGTAATAAACTTATCTTTTAGAATCAATTGACCCTCGAGTGATTTGGGTGACAGGGGAATATATTTCCTTAAGGCCTCCCATAGCTGCTCAAGGAAGGCAGGATTTTCTTCCTTTCCTTGAGTTATGGTGGACATCATTGAATAATTCATGGGCTTTTTCCTAATTCTCCTTAGTCCTTCAAGAACACAGGTCAACAGATATTTATGACTCCAGTCCCCATAATCTGAGTCAAGGTCCCAGTGGGGATCCATACTGGGGACAGCTTGCTGACCAGAAGGGAATTTATCCCTTTCTTCGGCTGTCATTCTATCATTCACTTGACTAAGATACCAAGTATCTTTAAACTCTCGGGCTGCAGCTAAAGCTGCATTCTTTTCATTAAAGGCCAGGGTTTGATCTAACAGTAGCATGACATCTCTCCAAGTGAGATCAAAGGTTTGCCCTAGACCCTGTAGGACATCTATGTACCTATCAGGATCATCTGAAAACTTCCCCAGTCTGCTTTGATCTGCTTTAAATCAGACAGGGAGAAGGGGACATGTACCCGGGTTGGGCCAAATTCCCCTCCCCCTACAGCTTGAAGGGGACATAACCGATAGCCTGGGGGTTTTTGTGGTCCTTTGGAGATTTCTTTGCTTATTTCCTTCTGGGCAGGGAAGATTAGAAGAAGATTATCATTAATAGGAAGGGTAGCTATAGGGATGCTAGGATATGGGGGTAAGCTGAGAGGTCCTCCTGTGGGATGTAAATTGCAAGCTTTGCATAGTTGTGTATTCTCTTTCAATGAAAAGAAAGCTTGGACATAAGGTATTTCACTCGATTTGCCTTCTCTCTTACAGAAAAGGTCAAGCTGCAGAATAGTATTATAATTTATACTTCCCTCAGGTGGCCATTTTTCCCCATCAGAGAGAGAATATTGGGGCCAAGCCATAGTGCAGAAAAAAATGAGCCACCTCTTTTTCAGGGTTTGTGGGTCAAATTGGTCCCAATGGCTTAGGATGCATTTCAAGGGTGAGCCTGTTGATGCCTGTTTCCTATCTGAAAGACAAAACCACCCACGGTTTTGGTTTGTTTTGTTTCTCCCCCTGCCCAAGAACCCACAACAGTCCCTGGACCCTGCTGATCAGAACAGTTGCACTCACCAACGCAGCAGCAGAAACAACCCCTGCCCAAGAACCCGCAAAAGTCCCTGGACTCTGCTGATCGGAATAGTTGCACTCACCAATGTAGCAGCAGAAATGCTAGTTTTCCTCCCAGGCCACAAGGAGGACTGAGGAAGGTCGGATTTAGTGGCCCTTATTGATGCATTCTCGAAAACCTGCACCCTTGCCTGTCCTCCTAGTCCACAAGGAGGACCCAGAAAAATCGGATTTAGTGGCCCCTTACCGACACATTCTCAAAAACCTGTTAGAGTCCTAAGCATTCTCCTATTAGTATTGGGACCTTACCCATGTCCTATAAAGATGTTATGCCCCAAAAATGAAATGGAGGGCCATACCCTGAGGGAGGGAAGAGATTCTCCAGGGTTGGAAGAGTGACACCTTTTGTCCTCACTTATATGAATAGAAAGGACACAATTTCTGAGGCTCCCCATATCCTAGCTTCAGGAATAGCTTTTGTTAGGCCTGCTAGTCTGAGGAGGGATCCTACAATTCCAGGTAGTCCCCACTATGATGGGGCTTTGGGCAAAAATTATGTCTTTCTGATTGGTGAGCCTAGGTGCCTAAAGAAGGGAACAGAGTCCTAGAGTTTATACTAGCAGTCATTCTTATAGGAGAAACTAGAAAAGCACCAGAGACAGGGAGTGATGTTTAGAAGTGGGACTAGCCTCGGAGAAGAGAGGCGAGAGGAGGTTTGTTTGGCAGGCATTAGGACCCAGGGGGCAAGGGTCAGGGTAGATAGAATAGATGGGCGAGTCTCGCTTGGGCGACATGACTTTGAGAGTTCTGCTCATGGCTGCAGGGTCAATCAACTTGTTTTCGGGACCCTGGAGCTGAATGGCTTTCCTCTCTGTCAACCCTTGGCTCAGCCCAGAAGTACAGGAAAAGGAGAAGCTGGTTCCAGGCAAACCAATGCTCCCAACTCTGAAGAGTTGGGGGTTGTTAGCCCTCTCCCAGAAAGCCTGACACCTGTGTCTTTAGTCTGGCGGCCGCACTAGTCACTTTTAACTGGCCGACAGGTGCCCAGTATTTAGCCCCCGAATTCTAAGGAAAAATAGGACAGAATAGCAAGCAAAAGGGGTCCAATGGTTCTCACTGCTTGGTGATAGGCAATAGTCTCACTGCTTGGCAATAGGCAACAGTCTCACTGCTCAGCGATAGGCAATAGTCTCACCACTTGGCGATAGGTGATAGTCCCATCTGGGTCACCAAAATGTGTCTGAAATTGGTCTCGCTGACTTCAAGAATGAAGCTGCAGACGCTTGTGGTGAGTGTTATAGTTCTTAAAGATGGTGTGTCCGGAGTTTGTTCCTTCAGATGTTCAGATGTGTCCAGAGTTTCTTCCTTCTGGTGGGTTCGTGGTCTCGCTGATTCAGGAGTGAAGCTGCAGACCTTTGCGGTGAGTGTTACAGCTCTTAAAGACAGTGCATCTGGAGTTGTTCGTTCCTTCTGGTGGGTTCATGGTCTTGCTGCCTTCAGGAGTGAAGCTGCAGACCCTCACGGTGTTACAGCCCTTAAAGGCAGTGCGGACTCAAAGAATGAGCAGCAGCAAGATTTATTGCGAAGAGCGAAAGAACAAAGTTTCCACAGCGTGGAAGGGGACCTGAGCAGGTTGCCACTGCTGGCTTGGGCAGTCTGCTTTTATTCCTTTATCTGGCCCCACCCACATCCTGCTGATTGGTCCATTTTACAGAGAGAGCTGATTGGTCCGTTTTACAGAGAGCTGATTGCTCCATTTTGACAGAGTGCTGATTGGTGCATATACAATCCCTGAGCTAGACACAGAGTGCTGATTGATGCATTTACAATCCTCTAGCTAGACATAAAAGTTCACCAAGTCCCCACCAGATTAGCTAGATACAGAGTGCTGATTGGTGCATCCACAAACCCTGAGCTACACACAGAGTACTGATGGGTGCGTATACAATCCTCCAGTTAGACATAAAAGTTCTCCAAGTCCCCACAGGACTCAGGAGCCCAGCTGGCTTGGCCTAGTGGATCCCACGCCGGGGCCGTGGGCAGAGCTGCCCATCAATCCCACACGGCGCACCCACACTCAGCCCTTGGGCAGTCAATGGGACTGGGCGCCGCGGAGCAGGGGGCGGCACCCGTCGAGGAGGCTCAGGCCACGTGGGAGCCCACTGGGGGTGGGGAGGCTCCGGCATGGTGGGCTGCAGGTCCTGAGCCCTGCCCCACGGGGAGGTGGCTGAGGCCCGGTGAGAATTCGAGCACAGCGCAGGCCGGCCAGCAGTGCTGGGGGACCCAGCGCACCCTCCACATCTGCTGGCCCGGGTACTAAGCCCCTCACTGCCCAGGGCCAGCAGTGCTGGCTGGCCACTCTGAGTGTGAGGCCCGTGGACCCTGTGCCCACCCAGAACTCGCACTGGCCCGCGAGTGCCACACACAGCCCTAGTTCCCGCCCATGCCTCTCCCTCCACACCTCCCCACAAGCAGAGGGAGCCGGCTCCGGCCTCAGGCAGCCCAGAGAGGGGCTCCCACAGTGCAGTGGCGGGCTGAAGGGCTCCTCAAGCACGGCCAGAGTGGAGGCAGAGGCCGAGGAGGCGCCGAGAGTGAGGGAGGGCTGCTAGCACGTTGTCACCTCTCACAATCTTCCTTTATTTCATTTATTTTTAAATCTTTTTTTTTTTTTTTTTGAGATGAAGTCTCACTCTGTTGCCCAGGCTGGAGTGCAGTGGCACAATCTTGGCTCACTGCAACCTCCACCTTGGATTCAAGCGATTCTCCTGTATCAGCCTCCCAAGTAGCTGGAATTTACAAGCATGCGCCACCACACCTGGCTAATTTTTTTTTGTATTTTAGTAGAGATGGGATTTCACCATGTTTGCCAGGCTGGTCTCGAACTCCTAACCTCAAGTGATCCGCCCACCTCAGCCTCCCAAAGTGCTGGGATTACAGGTGTGAGCCACTGCACCCAGCTTACCTTTAAATCTTTAACCTATTTAGAATATAGTTTAGATGGAGTCATAACATAGGAATCTAACTTTGTTTCTAGTTATAACACAACAGTTAATTAAATTTTTCATCATTTTGCTATTGATTTAAAATATCACCTTTATCATAAATTGGGCCCCTAAAGGCAATATTATCAAGGTAAAGTTGAGCACAAAATAAACCTACACACAGAAGGGGATAGAAAGGAAATTTGCTAATTTGACCTTCACACTAGATGGAGATAATCTCTGCTAAAAAATCATAACCACAAAGCAGGACTTACATGAATGTGTAGCCTGAGTTCATGGTACTTAAAAAAAATCAACCAACTCTCAAGCAGAAAATGTATTTCAGAGTGGCCCTGCATTACTTGTATGCCAAGTAAGTAGCAGAGGCAAACATAAATTTTCTCTGGACAACAATAATTTCAACTCATGCCTCAAGAACTTCCACAAATAAAGTTCTAAGAAACATGAAATAAGCAAATTTAAAAATCACAAAACACAAGGAAATCAGGTGCCATAAATAAGAGAGAATCACACATACAAAGAATTCAGATATTGAAATTATCAGACACAGAGTATAAACAACTATGTTGGCTGGGGGCAGTGGCTCATGCCTGTAATCCCAGCACTTTGGGAGGCCAAGGTGGGAGGATCACTTGAGGCCAGGAGTTCAAGACCAGCTTGGGCAACATGGTGCGATCCTGTCTCAAACTAAAATAAAAAACTTACCCAGGCATGATGGCATGTGCCTGCAGTCCTAGCTACTCAGGAGGCTCTCTTGAGCCCAGGAGTTTGAGGCTGCAGTGAGCTATAATCATACCACCACACTCCAGCTCAGGCAACAGGGTGAGACCCTGTCTCTAAAAAGAAAAAAAAATTATGTTTAATATGTTTACACACAAAAAAGACATTGAAAATAATAAGCAAGAAAATAAGAGACTATATAAAGTAACCAGATTTGAAAAAGCATTAACTAGAACTTTTAGTTCAATACAATAAATAAAATTAAAAATTCAATGGAAAAATTAAGTGGAGGATTAAATAGAACCGAAGACAGAATTAGTGAACTGGAAGATTAGATATCTGAAGACAGTGAGAAAGAGATAAAAATATTAAAAAGTGGCCAGGCCCGGTGGCTCATGCCTCTAATCCCAGCACTTTGGGAGGCCGAGGTGGGTGGATCACTGGAGGTCAGGAGTTCAAGACTAGCCTGGCCAACGTGGCGAAACCCTATCTCTACTAAAAATACAAAAAAATTAGCAGGGTGTGGTGGTAGGCGCCTGTAATCCCAGCCACTCGGGAGGCTGAGACAGGAGAATCGCTTGAACCCAGGAGGTGAAGGTTGCACTGAGCCAAGATCGCACCACTGCACTCCAGCCTGGGTGACAGAGCAAGACTCTATCTATCTATCTATCTATCTATCTATCTATCTATCTATCTATCTATCTATGTATCTAAAAGTTATTAAAAGACAACAGAGTGAGGTCTAACAAACATTTTATGATATTCCACAAGTAGACAAGAAAATATTCAATGTTTTAGAAGTGAACTGGTAAAAGTTATTAATAGGTATTAATCTGCATACCTAGCAAGACCAATGTCTCCCAAGCAGGATAAATTAGAAATATTTCCACAAACAGGATAAATTAGAAGGATTTCCACACTATTTTAAGATCTTAGAAACAAAGAGAAAAGCAGATGACCTATCAAAAAAATGAAAAAAAAAATGGTAATTCTCTGGGCATGGTGGCTCACACCTATAATCCCAGCACTTTGGGAGGCCGAGGCAGGCAGATCACCTGAGGTCAGGAGTTCGAGACCAGCCTGACCAACATGGAGAAATCCCGTCTCTACTAAAAATACAAAAAACTTAGCCGGGCGTGGTGGCACATGCCTGTAATCCCAGCTACTCAGGAGGCTGAGGCAAGAGAATCGCTTGAACCCGGGAGGCGGAGGTTGCGGTAAGCCAAGATCGTGCCATTGCACTCTAGCCTGGGCAACAAGAGTGAAACTCAGTCTCAAAAATAAAATAAAATAAAATAAAATAAAATAAAATAAAATAAAATAAGGTAATTAGACTGAGGACTTACTTGTCAACAACAACAATTTAAGGCTCAAGACAGTGGAATGATATCTTCAATGTGCTAAAAGAAAAAAAATATCAACCTAGAATTATCTGCCCAGTGAAAAGATCTTTCAAGAAAGAAAGCAGAATTAAAAAAAAAATTAGGCAAGCAAAAATAGAATTTACTACAAATGGTAATATGATTAGGCTGTGTCCCCACTGAAATCTCATCTTGAACTGTAGTTTCCATAATCCTCATGTGTCGTGGGAGGGACCCAGTGTGAGGTAATTTAATCATGGGGGTGGTTATTCTTATGCTGTTCTTGTGATAGTTGTCATGAGATCTGATGGTTTTATAAGGTTCTTTTCCCCCTTTTGCTTGGCACTTCTCCTTCCAAATTGCAAAATCAACAAAAAAATTTTTTTTAATTGGGACATTATTATTCAATATTAAATACAAAACTACAGGAATTTAACTTTCAGCCGCAAAACAAATTTGCTGTGGACAGAAAACGGATTAATTGAACAGTAAATGTATTTATTAATACCACACATCCCACCATTTATGTGCAAACTTCTGGTAGATAGAAAAATTTGAAATAGTCGTCTATTTTTTTTTGGCCAGATTTGCAAGTAAGATTAAATTGGTGGCTTTGGAAGATTAGAAAAAGTAACAACGCCAAATAAAACTTTCTTCTGATAATATGAAGATTAACTGGAATGGCAATTCCTATCAGAAAGTCACAGAAGATAGCTTAGTACTGATCTCTGGTGCAGCAGAAACCCTGAAAAATAGATATTAAATAACTCCATTTGGCTGGTTGCCAACAAACACTTGAGGAGCTCCTGTCTTTATTAATCATCTTTAATTTGGGATTATGACAATTCATTCCTTTGGCTGATGAAACTATAAGACTTAACCACATTAGATAATGGGTTAAGGACTAGTGGGCCCCTTGTTCCTTCATTAACCCTGAGTGACTGAATGTCTCTCTTGTTTCTTTCCCACTCCCGATGTGTGAGCCCAATCAGAGTGGGGAAATGCTCCGCACACCAACAGTGTGCAGTCTTGACTACCATCATCAGGACTCTATGTTGTGGCATAGCAAACCTCACAATCAGACAGAAACAAGCAACCATAAACAGATATATCAGGCCTTTGGACAATAATGACCTGTATCAGTCTGATACTTGAGCTCTGTGTTGGTAACAACTTACCTAAAAACGGGTGGCAGTGACAGTAGAGTATTTTTGTTAAAGCATGGGCTCTTGAGTCACACTGATCAATTATTTGGGTTCAAATCCTGGTTTCACTACATATGACTTATTTGCTTCTCTGTGAGCCAGGAATAATAGAACTTACCTCAGAGGCTGTCAAGATTAAATGAGTTAATATACATAAAACAATTAGACATGTCCTCATTCATTCAACAAATATTTACTGAGCATTTACTCTGTTTCAGGAATTGTTCAGGGCACTGGAGATACTTAAGCAAACAAAATACACAAAGCCTCTGACATCTTGTGAAGTGTACATGCTATTTTGTTATTGTTGTTAAAAGGGAACTTCAATTTCCCAAGAACTCTCTGGGTCCTTGCTAACTCAAAGTGAGTGAGGTCCATAAACAAACAATGAGGCATCACCTGGGAGCCTGTGAGAAACGCACAATCTCAGGACCAATCCAGACTTAATGAATCAAGAGATGCATTTTAACAAGATTCTCAGGAGACACACATGTACATTAACGTTTGAAATGTCCTGTCTATATCATAAACACTGTACTTGGACTTAAGGAAATATCTTGAAGGTTTCCTGCATTCCAAGGTGAGAATGGCATTGAAATTTTAAAACTGCTCTAAAAAATGTTTTCAAGATTATTTTCATGTAAAAATGCATGTTGAAGTAAGTGACCTTAAGGGGTGGAAATATGCTTATTATATGTATATGCCTTACATTCCTACAAAATACTGTTCTGATACTAACATTCCAGGGTTAATCTAGGTAAACGGCTCCCTCTAATGGAAATATTTTGATTTATACATCACTGGGTATAGCTTCAGCTTAGAGTCCTAAGAGAATCTCAAGAAAAATAAAACTCATTCTAAGAATCTTAAGGAAAATGTGCATGCCTACAAAGGACAAATAAACGATGAGGTTTAACAAAAACAGAAATGCTTGTAAAATCCTAGCATACATGGGAAAGATTTAGTAACCTTCAATTCCTTTCTTTTCACATATAAAGAGTGGGCCTTCCAACAAGTGCTAACTTTTAAACTGTAAGGAAGTGTTAAGAAGAGAGCATCTCAGATATACTTTCCTAGTTGGGAATATGTGCCTTCAAAGTGAAAAAGTGAAAGTACTTAAGGAATTTTGTCAGTAAAGATGACAAAATTTCAATGGTAAGAACGTCAATTACTTTTGCATCAATCTAATGTATTATCTGTCCTTGTAGAAAATATTGAATACTTGAGTTTAACAACAAAAGCTCTTATACTCTTTAGTTCCCAAGAATACTGGATTAGAAATGATCTTGAGTTAACACATCATATAATAAGTGTTGTTATAAATTTGCCTTTTTAGGATGGGCATGGTGGCTCATGCCTGTAATCCCAGCACTTTGGGAGACCGAGGCGGGTCAATCACCTGAGGTCAGGAGTTCGAGACTAGCCTGGCCAACGTGGTGAAACACTGTCTCTACTATTAAAAAAAAAAAATTAGCTGGGCATGGTGGCGGGCACCTGTAATTCCAGCTACTCAGGAGGCTGAGGCAGGAGAATCGCTTGAACCGAGGAGGCGGAGGTTGCAGTGAGCCAAGATTGTGCCACTGCACTCCAGCCTGGGCGACAAGAGCAAAACTCCATCTCAAAAAACAAAAACACACACAAAAAACAAAAAACTGCCTTTTTTCCCAGTCCTAGTTCTATTGTAAAAGGCAAACTTGCTAAAAAAAAATAAAATAAAATAAAAATAAAGATATGCTGCCATTGCATAGTAAGCAAATAGGTCTTCTCTGGTGCAACGAAGTTATGTGTGAAATGAGTATGTACCATTTAAAGAATATCCATGTGCCCACCACCCAGGTACACAGATGTTCATGATTGTATTCTCAGCTCTGCTTCAAAGATGTAACCATCTTAATTTTGTATTATACATGTATACATGCATCACTATGTATTTTTTGTTTTTAAACTTCGATATAAATGGCTTCTCTTTAGTTACAGAATTGAGACTGGCTTTTTTGGCCAAGCTCTATTTTAAAAATTTGCCCATTCTTTCGGGCATTTGGGTTATTCCTTTTTTTTTGCTATTACAATGCTGATATACATTGTTTCCTGGCACATATGTCAAGTTATTCTAAGGCATATATACACTGTACATACACCTTGGGGGTAGAACATAGGTCTAGGGGTAGGCATAGGTTTTAGCCTACGCAAGTGTTCAACTTTACTGGGTAATGGCAAATTGGTTTCCAAAGTAGTTGGACTAAATCATCACTGTAAATTCCTATTCCTCCATCATTCATCCTAACAATTGATAGAGACTGAGTTTTCAATTTTTGCCAATTCAGTGAATGTGAAGATATTTAGCACCTTTCCATTTGTTTATGGGCTATCATGCAGGTTACTTAGGGGATGATTTATAGGTCAAACTATACACACACACACACACACATAAATGTATTTTAAATATATTAGTAATTTGTAAGTTCCCTTCATGTTGTACTAATTTACTCCCACTAGCGATGTGTGAATGTCTGTTTTTGTATTCCCTAGATAAGAGTATGTCCTCAAACCTCTTTCACCTTTAATGTGTGTGTGACCTTTTAAATTTCAGTTGATTGGAGTGACTATCTTTAAATCTTAAATTCAAACTAATGAACTATACATACCCATTGCCTACTTTTCTATTGGGCCATCCTGACTTGTAGTGCTTTATAGATTAGAACATTACCATTTTCTGTGAAAGGAGTCTGTCAAGTTTTTCCCAAGCTTTACTGTCATGCAGACTTTTGTTGCTGTTGTTTTTGAGACAGGGTATCATTCTGCTGCCCAGTCTGGAGTGCAGTGGCATGATCATAGCTCAGTGCAATCTTCAACTCCTAGGCTCAAGTGATCCTCGCGAACCAGCCTCCCAAAAGTAGCTAGGACCCCAAGTGTGCGATACTATGCTCGGCTAATTTTATTTTTTGTAGAGATGGGCATCTCCCTAAGTTGCCCAGGCTGGTCTTGAACTCCTGGGCTTAAGCAGTCCTCCCAACTTGTCCAACCAAAGTGCCACAACGCCCAGGTAATTTTTGTACTTTTTGTAGAGATTGGGTTTCACCATGTTGCTCAGGCTAGTCTCGAACTCCTGAGCTCAAGATCCACCTGCCTTGGCCTCCCAAGGTGCTGAGATTATAGGCATGAGCCACCACACCTGGCCTTTTAAAAATTATACTTTGAAGTGCCATAAAATAGTTTCCAAATATACTAGTGTATTTAGATGTTTAGATCTAAACTTAGTTCTTCTAAGCTGCCTATTCATGCATCAGTTTTAATTCCTGAAGCCACAATTTAAAAGAATGTCAAACTGGCATTGTCCCACACTAATTATTGTTTTAACAATTTTTCTGCCTTATCTTACTTTTTCATATGAACTCTAAAATAATCTCATCTAATTACAAAAACTTGTTGCTCATCTTTTTTTGGGGATGGTGTTTTATTTTGAATGTAGACACTACAAGCTGGTAATATTCAGGGTTGTAATCTGGCCACTTTGGCCTGTTTATTCACTCTTCATAAGCTTCCAAATTTTTTGAACAACTCAGTTTTAAAGAAACAAAGCCACTGAACTTGGCCTTGAGGAAAACAGAAGCCCAAGCTTTGTAGAACCCTAGAAGAGAGGAAGGAGATGGCCCTCATTCTACGTCTCCCATAGCCATACAGAAATCTGCCAAAATAATGACCTTCATGCTATAAATGTAATTCTCACTGCAGACAATATACATCACAATACTACGCTCCTTTGATTTTTAGTCAGCTCTCAGACTTTAATGTTGAGTGCTACAGGGTTAGTCCCTACCATCTTTAATTGTTCCAGTCCTCAGATGATGTTCTTGTCCAATGATTTGAAACAGTATTTATACACCAACTTCCAGCTTTCCATCTTCAGCCAGGTTATCTCCCTGAACTCCAACTGCCTACTCTACTTCTCATGGATGTCTCCAACCAAATGCCAGATCTTCCCTACTCTGGTTAAGGTAAACTGCACCCTTCCAGCTGCTCAAGTCAGACCAAAAGTCTTAAGAGCCATCTGTGATTCTTCTCTCCACAACCCAAATTCAGTATGTTGACAAATGTTGATTCCTCCTTAAAACATATCCAGATATCCAGCCACTTTTCACCTTCCCCACTACCACCCTGATTCAAGCCACTGATAACTCTTCCCTGTTCATAGTAGCATCCCCAAAAGGGTCTACTTGCTTCGACTCTTGTGCTATAGTCTATTCTCAATTACATCACTTTTCTAACCCAAAACCCTACAATGACCCTTTACTTCATTCAGATATAACAACTATACCATCTGGCCTTCCAGTTATCTCTTAGATCTAATCTACTCTTCTCCCTTACTCTGGGTGCTCAAATTAGAACCCTCTCATTTGTTTTACACAAACGCATTATGGTTCTTGGGACATCTGTCCTTATTGTTCCCTTTACCTGAAGTATTCTTCCTCAGACATCCATCATTTCTTCAGCTTTTTGCTCATATGACAACACCCTCTCAGACCTACCTGCTTACTCCATTTGAAAAAGCAACCTCCCCCACTCTATCATCACCTTCCATCTCCTTCTTTCCTTATGGGCACTTGCCACCATTAACACACTACTGTCTTCCTAAAAGAGAATGTTAAGCTCCATGAGATCACGGAACACTGCCTGCAATATAAGACTCAAATAACTGTTAAATATGTAATATAAAAACCTAGATTTTGTATATAAAATTTCCTAAAGTTAGAAAATCATGCTATTAAATCACAACTTACAGCACACATGACAGAATCCACTGGAGTTGGTGCTGGATATGAAAATGAGTACAATTTAACTGAAAGGTAATCTGACTAGACCAACTACCTTTGACCTGCTAGTTTCACTAAGAAATCGCTACAGATGTTTGCAAACATTTAAGCATTGCGACTCTCACTAAAACTTTATTTCTAAGAGTGAAAAATTAGAAAAAACTTCTGAATGTCCAACAACAGTAAGACAGTTGCATAAATTGCTTATAGAATAATATGTAGGTATGTCCATGTATATTAACAAACAATTCTGGATATAACTAAAAACACAAATTCACCATATATTTATATATGTGCACAGGATATTAACAGCAGTTATCACTAGGTAGTTGTATTACAATTCATTTAACTGTTCACTTGTCTTTCTTAAAATTGTTTCAAGTTCTTCAAGAAGTAACACAAAGCTTGAAAAGAATACTTAAGATTTAAATCATCAGAGTGAGACTGCCATAACATGCATGTAAGAATTGACTGGTACAAAAACCTAAAGGGTCTCAGTATAACAACTCTTCTCTGTATTGTTCTTGCCAATGGTTTAGAAATTGCGTTAAATTTACAAATTGTCGCCAGGGGCGGTGGCTCACAACTGTAATCCCAGCAATTTGGGAGGCAAAGGTGGGCGTACCACTCGAGGTGTTCACTCGAGGTCAGGAGTTCGAGACCAGCCTGGCCAACACGGCCAAACTCTCTCCTAAAAAAAAAAAAAAAAAAAAAAAAAAAAAAAAATTAGCCAGGCCTGGTGGCGTGCGCCTGTAATCCCAGCTACTTGGGAGGCTGAGATGGGAGAATTGCTTGAACCTAGGAGGCGGAAGTTGCAGGGAGCAGATATCGTGCCACTGAAGACTGGGAGACAGAGCCAGAGTCCTCTCAATTAAAAAAAATATATACTAATTGTGATGTGTACATTATTTGTGTCTATCTGAATAATGGAGATGTTTCGGGGGTTCTTACACTTTTACATCAAATTAACAACTCAGAAATAAAGAATTTTTAAAATGACAGAGCTTTGGTAATTCCATATTCAACTGTATAGAACACAAAGGAAATTCAAGTTAGCTCTGTAGTTCCTGCTGCCACTTTTCCAATCATTCTTAAAGAATCACGTGAAATTGTGGAGTCATACTGATTATGAACTCATTACAAGAATGCCCGCCAGTCCAAGAATTGTTAAGCCAGCCTTACTCATTTATCATTACGATGGTTTCATCACCTGAACTGAGAAGAAAAAGATCATTTGCATAAAATGGATAGGGCTTTAGTATCACTAAAATATTGACGACTTAGAAAAGACTTTTGGTTCCTAATCTTGAACAAGAATTAGGATGACTTTAATTATCTTTTCCCCACAACCTAAGTCCTAAAATTCTGGAATATTAAACTCTTGAGGCTGTGTTTTAGAACATGATGTCCAAGTTTCAATTTTATTTTCTTGTTAACACAAGAGAACTCTCTCTTCTCAAATATTTTCTTGGCCAGGTAACAAAGAAAAAGAAACCCAAGCCTCACCTCTCTTAAAAGTTTTGGAATTGTACTGATTTAATTTTAGGCTCTTTCCTGTTCTAAATCTCAAAAGGCTGTATGACAAGGCCAGGCATGGTGGCTCACAGCTGTAATCCCAACACTTTGAGAGGCCGAGACAGGTGGATCACCTGAGGCCAGGAGTTCGAGACTAGCCTGGCCAACATGGTGAACCCCCATCTTTACTGAAAATATAAAAGTTAGCCGGGTGTGACGGCACATGCCTTAATCCCAACTACTTGGGAAGCTGAGGCAGGAGAGTCGTTTGAACCCGGGAGGCAGAGGTTGCAGTGAGACAAGACTGTGCCACTGCACTCCAGCCTGGGCAACAGAGCAAGACTCCATCTCAAAAACAAGACAAAAAACAAAAAAAACCATGACAGTTATGCACACATACTCCCTGAAATGTGTTAATACATTTAATTAGTAACATGCAACTATATTAATGCCTTACAACCTGAAGAAAAAATTACTCTTATAAATGTTAATTCCCCAAATTACAAATCTTAACTGTTTGAAGGATAAAGAGGAAGCCTTAATAGGACATACATTCATACACACTCATGCAATCTCTCCTTACATCAACTTTTTATATTCACAATTTCGCCTTTAATTCCTTTTACAGAATAGTATGTCCCCTATCCTCAAACAGCAGAACCTATAATCAACTGTTTAAAACACATCAAGGAGTTAAGTTAAAATGTGGAAAAACAGGTTTTTACTATACTATACAAATAAGAAAACACTTGTTTTAAGAAATAAATGATGTTCAACAACAAAAGTGTACTAATGTGTAAGCTAAGGAAAAAACAAAACAAAACCTCAAACTAAAAACAAGGAAAAAAATCCCAAAAAACATAAGGCTTATCTAGATCCAAAATGGGGTAAGAGGGAAAAAGAAAACTCATTTCCTTTCATTAAAAATCAGAGTGCAACATCTATAGTTAAACAACTTTATTAACATAGTCAAGCAGTGATTAACATTCACATCTATTATGTCACATCATACAAATGTAAATACAAAATTACTACAGTACAATATATATTCTCTGCATGATCCAAAATATTTGGTGGCCCCAAAAAACTCTCTTTAAAATTCAGCAGCTTATCAAAAATTAAAACCGTATTCTATTTAAAATGGAGATCTGTTAGCACAGAGTTAGACTTCAAGAAATATCAATTTAGTACAGTTTGAGAAGTTGCAGGAGGATATGTTTGAAGGACACATTCTAACATAGTGTGGCAGGTACAGGAAACATCAGATTTAAAGCTTTTAAGCATAACTCATACAACCTAAGTTGTCAGCAGAAAGATCCAGTTATATTTGTAACTAAAGCTAATGCTACTAAATTATTGCACCCAATGTTAACATATTAAGTGTAAAACTGTTTTGTAATATGAAGTGATTTACCACGTTTAAACATCTCTTCTCACAAGATGATAATCTATTAAGTAAAACTAATTATACAGTATTGTCTAATTATTGTCTCCATAAAAATCACCCAAGCTCAATTTGCTTATATATCCACAAAGGAAAACAACAACACAGTAATATGCGGAAAGTACAGTGGAACCCCTTTATGAGGCCAATATTAGAAGGGGACCAACACTGCCTTATAGGCTAACCATGTTATAATAGGCTTTTAAAAAGATGTAATACCAGCGAAATAGCTAATCTTGAATAATACCAAGCCACAGTATAAGGAAATTCTATGGCAGATAAACAAAAACTGCAATAAAAGGAAAAACTGCTTTTCTTATTAGTGATACACTGCTTGGCAAATAGATTTGGCCTGGTTTTAAAATGTACAAGAGGTGAAAAAAAATCACCATTTTAACTTCTTTCAAAGTCATGCATACATTCAGCTATTATGCATCTTTTAAAAAACACAACACATTCTGGGATACAAACCACAATGAACAATTGTGTAATTTAAATGTATACCTTAAAAATTAATATGTATAATAACTAGGCATAAAGAATTATCTACGTAAGTAATGCTAATGGGTGAAAGATCTATGTAAGATTGAAAAAATTAGTCACAATTCACTTGGAAAGCCTAAAGGTGAATAAAACTAACTTTTATGTAAAATTTAATTTTAGAGAGGCATTAGAAGTATCTCCATATTTAATACAGTATAAAATGCACTAAGTTGGTATACAACGCTATATTGCATGGTATTATTACCAGATAATATTGTTAACAACACAGCTCATTACTGATCTCACTTTTCACTTAAATTATCCCAAGCCCTTAACTATCTGAAGACCAGTTTTCTTAAATGTTCCAAGGCCTATACTTCATTAACAACACTAGTAGCAAGTTAGTTTCCCCTCCTTGTATTATTTGCAAAAATAATTCAGTAAGCAAAGCTGTGTATGTTTTGAAGTATTATCAAAGGAAGGACTTAAATTGCAGTTATGCATGATACACTCTTCCCCTGGGAAGAATGCTTTTGCACCATTATCTGTTAATACATTCAATATGAATAATATAGATTTACCATATGAAGCAAAAAACCACTTTTTCCTCATGGCAAAGGACTTAAATTTAGACTAAGATGCAATTAATTTATTTCTGGCATTTCTGCTAGGCAGAATAATTTTATATAGGGGAGAAAAATTTCCACTTTCCTATTTTGAGAGTTTGAAGAAAATGACGACCATATGTAGCTCATTTTCAGGTAAACCTGTAGGCAAAAGGCTTGTCAGGAGGGCTTTATACCACCCCAGCCTGCTAGAATATTAGGAAAAAAATCAGACTAAATGGAAAGATTCTCAATGAAATACACTTAAAAAACAAAGAATGTAACTAGGATGACCCTTTATAAGCATGTCACCAAAGCAAAAACAATACAAGAGTATTCACCTGAGATAAAACTTGTATCTGAATATTTTATAACTGAGTAGACAAAGCATTTCAAGAGGAAAATCCATTGAAATTAGTTTAAAATATACATCTGATCCTATTTTACAATATATGCAATTTAAGCAATTCAGATCAATGAAAAAGTCTTAACCAAAAAAATCACAGTGTTTATCAATGTTAATTACAAAATGTATGCTACTTGTTTTGTTTTTAAGATGTAATGGCTTGGTTAAGTGTTTTAAAATCTATTCTTCTGAAATCTAACTTGCATAACAAAATCAAGTAGCAATAATGTAAAGCATCAGAACTGGCTCTTAAAAGATTATTTACATGTTGATTATTTGGGAAATAACCAACCAAAAAATATTAAAAAGTGATTTTTTTTTACACAGTATGAAGTCATTGAAGAGATTAGACAATACAAAAAGCAAAATTCTTTCCTGAATAAATGAATACCTGTGGCACTAAGTTCACTCGCTAATGGACTGTAACATGGAACTGCCAAACATGCATTTAAGTTATATTAATTACACTTTCTGTTTCCAACTTAGGTTGATCAGCAGCTTTGTTCTGTTAGAATCCTTCAAAGAGAGAAGCTCAAACAGGAAAAAGAAGGCATATATAAAACAGTAAACACTGACCTCCTGAGGTTCCTACAACATAAAAATATTCAAGTAGAAAATCTACATCACTTAGCAGCGGCTATTTCTGTAGTTGAGCACACTAACAGCATTTTAGTGTGTAAGGAGCAGATGAAGTAAGCCGTGCTTTAAGCATGCCAAGAGGCAGAAACACTGGAATGTAACAAAGACAAACTCACAATTTTATAGACATTCAGTCAACATTCAAAACTATTAAGACTACACCACAAGAATTAAGTTGCTTTATATATATCCCATGATGTATTAGATTTTATCAGAATAAATGCTAAATCAGAGCTTACCTCAAAAGATAACTTAAATGGCTTCTGCAAATTCCTGTTCTACACTATGTATCTGAAATATAAATTAGGAAGAAACAATAACCTCAAGGGGGAAAAATACACAAAGAATCCCAACTCAAATTCAGGTTGCCAGTCATATTTACCTAATTTTATTTTCTATTTTCAAATTAAATTTCATTTAAATAAAAAAAAAAAGTCAAGTGACTACAAAACTGGGTGCATTTTTAATAGTGTTATTCATCTGCCTAACTGGAAACTAATTTTTAATGAGACAGGTGACAATATTGCCTTTAGTCAATACAGAATTGTCAACCACAGGTTCAAATAACTTTACTGAAGATTGTTATGTGTTTGTTTTAAATCGAATTTGGTCATTTCAATTTAAAATACTCTCTATTCCAGAATATTAAACTATCTCTCATATTAGAATTCTAAGTATTTGAAGCACTACAGAATATCACTATAATCTAAGAATAAAAAAGCTACTCTACTCAGTTATTAAAGACTAACAGGGAGGCAAATTTTGAGCTCCCAGTGAAGCAATGGTACTAGAAAACAAAATGCTGTATACCCTTTGAATCCAACTTATAATATTAAAAATATCAGGCACTATAAAATAATTTAATTTCAGGCTCTACAGACTGAAATTTGCAAAGCCAAAGTAGAGGAAAGGTGAAAGAACGTTAAAAAACAGAACAAAACAAAACAAAACACACACACACACATAGTAACAAAAACCTTTCTACATGCTACCATGCATTTGAAATTTTTGAAACAGTATAAATTCACACGCACACAGCTCAAACTTCAGTGCAATGGCTGTATCATTCAACACTTTTAGAGAATAGAACCATGCAAAGAGGAGCAACTGCTTATAAAAATGGTTATTCAGTATTTATTCTGCAATGCAAAGGTGACAAACTAAAATATAAAAAGGCTGTTATGGCTTAACATTTTTGTTGCAGATTAAATATGCAGCATTGAAAAATGGAAAGGCGTGGCTTCATCTCTGACCAGCAGAGTTAAAAAGAAAAATCTCTCCATTTTCCTTCATCATCATGGGATACACTGTTCAGGCAATCCAAATTAATAAAGACTTGCACTTTCATATGAACACAAGATCAAGTGTACCAGTTAGGTTTTCACATTCACAGTATATAAGAAAATACACATGGAAGGAAAAGTAAAGGGTTAACTTAACAAGGATTTATTCACAGGAATACATGTAAGTAGAGAAAAATAACAGAAAAGCTAAACAAATGAAATGAAGAGGATCCAAACCAACTTTCACTCTGTAGCTTTTAACTTGCACCCTGTGTGCATATATCTAGGGCACAGAGGGCCACCAACATGCGCCAAAATACAGTGTAGGAACCCTGCATTACATCCATTAACTTAAACATATCTTTAAGATCATGCTTTGAACAAAAAAAGGGAAGCTTAGAAGGCAGTATGTTGAGTGGGAATAAACATTGAAATATAGCAATCATTTTTCAACTTCTACAATTGTCTTTATGTGCCAACTAACATTTATGCAGCCTTTTACAGATCTTTTACCACGTAATTTAAATTTTAGAAGTTTTGATAAAATCACTAGTAGTATATAACCATGCAGAAAGCACATCACACTGACAGCACAGAGGCAAAGATTTTGCACAGGTATATCAGCTTTCCACATTGTGCAGGTTACACACAATACAATATCAATCTTATTCCTAACAGATCCTAAAAAAGATATTTCAAGGCCTACCTGTAAACTACAGTACTTTATATATCTATGTTCTTAATAAAAATAAAATCCACAAATCTTAAAAAGGAACTTTAAATGCAGGGCTATATTGAATTGGTAAACTGCAACACAAACTGGCGCAACATAGGTAAATGAATACCAATCTCACTCTATGTGATGCAAGCATGCTACTTTCCCACTAATTTAAATTACTTTCAACCACTATGAGCCAGAATGCATGCCTGAACCTTAAACTGCACTTTAAAAAGTAACATCTTGGCCTAGAAATTAAATCTAATGAAGTATAATCATCAAATTATATCCGCTACATTAATGTTCAATGCAAAATTAAGATGTCATCTTTAGTTTGATATGCCCAACCCCATTTATTCCTCCCTCCCTGCCCACCCCAAAAAAGGTAAAAGGAGTGACTCATTTGGCATTTCACAGGGTGCTTCATTGTTTATGTTTGTTTTGTTTTATTTCCAACTTTTTTGGGGTACCTTAAATTGTAACTTCCAAGAACCTGCTTCTACTACGGGAAGGCAAGCTGACTTTTAACTATATTAGTTTTCTTTGTGTAGTTCTTCATCAACATGCAAAACAAGGCCCCATCATGTGGGAAAACTTACATAAAAAAACTTTAAATTAAAAAAAAAAAAAAAGCTTCTTTACTATTTGTAACTCCCATTCTTAGGTTTCCTTTATTGTGCGCTATAGAATTGTTCCTCTTTCTTGTCCCTAGGCATCATTTATATGGTTCTTGTTTTGGTACAATTCCCCATAATATTCCACAATGTACTGTTTTGTGAGTAGACTGAATAGATTTTTTTTTTTTTGCTTCTTCACATCCACTGCGGAGTTGTAACTGGAGACATATTTCCACCCACAAAGGCTCCAGATGTTAAAACGTTTCCCAACATCGACTTAATACAGTGACGGCAACACCTCCCTCCCGCCCCTCCCAGTAGGGTTGGGATTGTACTGTATTCCCTACTGGTTTACCCTTCCCCCCTGTAAAGGGTAACATTTTCCCTGGGTGCAGAGGCTCCCTTATAGTCTCCAAGACTGAAGGACCTATAAGAAAAAGAACAAAAACAATTTTATCTTTAACAATCGTTTGTCTTTCAAAGCCAGTGGAACAAAAAATTAATCAAATAAGAATGCTATCTTTACCTATAAAGAAAATGAGAAATTTGGACAAATTGCCTAATATCGTGTTAGTCACTTATAACCATGCTGCTTCCTTCTCCTATGGCACTGAATTGTTTGCTGCATCAGGTATGAAAAGTGAGGTCAAGCTGGGTAGGAGAGTTGTATAGACAGGTGTACAACACTTTGTATAGTGAAATATGCCTCGTATGATGCTATCAGTCTAATTCTTTATCCCCTTTTGCAAAATGGGACCCAATGGGAACTTGTTATTTCTTATATAACAAGTGGCCTTACTTTCTTAAAAATAAAGTAGCACTTTCTTTAGGACAATCCTTAGAATGAAAACACCATCTTTTTTTCCCCCAGTATTCCCAATATTAAGCAAACAGAAATCCAACCTATCAAAACACAAAAGAGCATTTGTTATTTGGGGTTGTCTGGTATTTTAAGCCTAGAAGGCACTAGAAGTGTTCATTACCACAGCAGGGTCACTACATTCAGTAAGTATCAACAAACAAATTCTACATAAAAAAAGAGAGAGAGAAAAAAGCAAATTTAACATTTATTTATTTATTTTGGAGATAGCACCTTGCTCTGTCACCCAGGCTGGAACGCAGTGGTGTGAATATGGCTCACTGAAGCCCCAACCTCCTGGGCTCAAGCAATCCTCCTGCCCAGTCTCCTGAGTAGCTGGGACCATAGGTACATACCACCATGCCCAGCTCATTTTTTTCTTTTTAATTTTTTTCATAGAGATGGAGATCTCATCATGTTGCCCAGGCAGGTCTCAAACTCCTGGGCTCAAGCAATGCTCCCACCTCAGCCTCCCAAAATGCTAGGATTATAGATGTGGGCCATCACACCCTGCCTACACTTGCCTTCTTGATGTTCCTAATTAGTTCCCATTCTGATCCTATTTCACTTGGTCATTTCCACTATCTTCCAGTCACTTGGTTTTTCTGGTAGGAACTTTTTTCTATGCTAAACAGTTTTAATGATAAAAAGGATATTAAGAAATAAGGTAAGATTACTGGGAGATTTAAACTGTTACCTGATAGTGGTCCTTTTACAAACAGAACTCTACTACCCAATCATGCCAAGTTTTGGCCATTTATGAACGTTCATGTGAATTCACAGAGGGCAGTTAATCCATCTGTGTAGAAATATAAGCAATCCCTTTTCTCCTGCCTCTGAAGAAAAGGAAGAGGAGTACAAAAAGGCAGGAATAAAAGATACTGATCTACTTTTAGCTCTAATTACAAAACCGAGAACTATTTCATACCTTGTCTTAGAACAGTTAATTCATGATTGGTGATGAGACCACAGAGGTAATAAATCTGAAAGTGCTCAAGACTTGT
Source organism: Homo sapiens (assembly GCF_000001405.40). Classification (NCBI taxonomy): domain Eukaryota; kingdom Metazoa; phylum Chordata; class Mammalia; order Primates; family Hominidae; genus Homo; species Homo sapiens. The sequence continues at coordinate 72,907,272 of NC_000005.10, read as the reverse complement.
TAGTAGCTCATTGAAGCTTTGAAGCTACAAGTCATTCTCATCTTTTGCATTCTCATAATTTAACATAAGGTGAATCCAGCACTTTTCCAAAATGCCAAAGCCATTTTGGAAAACAGCTCTTGAGGACTCAAGACTGAAGTAGGACAACACATATGAAGGGCTCTGACACATTCTGGAAGCTTTGAGTCCATTTCTACTACCTTCTAGGTTAGACAGCTTGGATGGTGAAATCTTTCCAGATTTAAATTTTAGCTTGGAGTAAACAAGCAAGCAAGCAAGCCAAAAAAACTCCTCCAATTCAATCTAAAGTGTAATTCAACTTGGTGTACATCTTCTGTACATGCTCATTCAGCACATCTTCTGGCTTCCAGTCAGATATGTCTTAATTCATGTTGAAAATCTAAAGATGAATGTCAAAACCCTGATATTTATTGTACTGGCCCAGTTCCTAACCTTTACTGAGTCAACTTAGTGTGCCAGGCAACATACTAAGTTCTGGCATCACATACAGTATAGTATTTAATCCTCAACATAACTCAATGACAAAACCGAAGCTCAGAGATGAGAACTGCTAGTCCCATTTAAGTACAGAAGAGCTCAAGGAGCAAGAGTCCAAATGAATATAGTCCATCCCAAATTAAAACAGAATCTTTCATTGCTTATTTTAAAATATAGTCCTAGGCACTGGGCTCAGTGGCTTACGCCTGTAAATCCCAGCACTTTGGGAGGCCGAGGTGGGTGCATCACAAGGTCAGGAGTTCGAGACCAGCCCGGCCAACATGGTGAAACCCCATCTCTACTAAAAATACAAAAATTAGCCAGGCATGGTGGCATGTGCCTGTAATGCCAGCTACTTGGGAGGCTCGGGCAGGAGAATTGCTTGAACCCAAGAGGCGGAGATTACAGTGAACTCAGATTGCGCCACTGCACTCCAGCCTGGGCGAAAGAGTCTCTGTCTCAAAAAAAAAAAAAAAAAAAAAAAAAAAAAAAAAAAAAAGAAAAAAAAAAGTGATGGGCACATGGTAGGTACTCAGTGAAACATACAGTGAAAAACAAAAACAGTGGGCCAAAACCCAACTGAGTTTTCTTTCAAAGCACGTGAAATGAAAAGTCCTTGTTACAGCAGAGACTATAAATTCATGCTCCAAAATGAAATCAATTTTACCCCATCACTATGAGTGCCGATGTCTTCTTGCAGGAAAAAAGAAAGAAAAAAGGAATAGTTGAAGCAATGTTGAGAAATCCAACCAGTGTACCAACGTGGATTTCTTTATACCTACGATTCAAACTGGAGCTAATCGTTTTTCTGGGCTTGTTGGTTCTATTAAGAAAATTTCTTTAGCCTTCACTTGAGTAATTTTATTTTCTATTTATTTGAGATGGAGTCTTGCTCTGTCCCCTAGGCTGGAGTGCACTGGCAAGATCTTGGCTCACTGCAACCCCCATCTCCCAGGTTCAAACAATATTCCCACCTCAGCCTCCTGAGTAGCAGGGACTACAAAAGCACGTCCCACCACACGTGGCTAATTTTTGTATTTTTAGTAGAGATGGGTTTTCACCATGTTGGCCAGGCTGGTTTCAAACTCCTGACCTCAAATGACCTGCCCACCTTGGCCTCCCCAAGTGCTGGGATTACAGACATGAGCCACCACACCTGGCCCACTTAAGTAATTTTAAATTTAAAGCCCAAGATAGAATGATATGAGGCTATGTTTTATTCAACCTCTATAGAAAACAAATAGCTTTTTATTCTATTTAGTAGTTTGAAATGACAGCCCTAACAAAATTTTCTTCATCCTGAAAATTTCCAAACTTCTTATAACTTACCCCTAATTTTGGGACTGCAGCTTAAGTGTATTAGATTAAACACCATAAAAAGCTGCAAGACGCTCTTTTAAGGGAAGAGGAAACTGGTCAGAGAAACGCCTCCAATTTTCATCGCCAACTTGATTTTTAAATCCATGAAGGATCTGTAAGAGTGAAAAACCATTAATTTATCAATAACAAGAGAAAAATTCAGATCAGCATAGCTTCTGAAATCCAACACAGCTGATTTTTTTATAAATTTTATCCATTTTAAAGTAGCAATTCTCAAACTTCGTAGGATTCTACACCATTCCCTGCTAATATGGTCTGGCTCTGTGTCCCCACCCAAATCTCATCTTGAATTGTACTCCCATAATTCCCACGTGTTGTGGGAGGGACCCAGTGGGAGATAACTGAATCATAGGGGTAGTTTTTCCTATACTCTTCTGGTGGTAGTGAATAAGTCTCATGAGATCTGACGGTTTGATAAGGGGAAACCCGTTTCACTTGATTCTCATTCTCTTTCTTGCCTGCTGCGATTTAAGACTTGTCTTTCACCTTCCACCATGACAGTGAGGCCTCCCCAACCACATGGAACTGTGAGTCGAATTAAACCTCTTTCTTTTGTAAATTACCCAGTCTTGGGCATATCTTTTTGTGTGTGTGGCGGGGACAGAGTTTCACTCTTATTGCTCATGCTGGAGTGCAACGGCATGATCTTGGCTCACTGCAACCTCCACTTCCTGGGTTCAAGCGATTCTCCTGCCTCAGCCTCCTGAGTAGCTGGGATTACAGGCATCCGCCACCACCCCTAGCTAATTTTTTGTATTTTTAGTAGAGATGGCGTTTCACCATGTTGGCCAGGCTGGTCTTGAACTCCTGACCTCAGGTGATCCACCTGCCTCGGCCTCCCAAAGTGCTGGGATTACAAGTGTGAGCCACTGAGCCCGGCCCTTGGGCATATCTTTATCAGCAGCGTGAATATGGACTAATACACGTGCCTTGCCTAAAAGTACCTCATAGCATATGCTTAAACTCTGCTTTGAGAAGTTTAGACTTTGGCAAGTGTTCCAGTAACAGATATACTCTAAGCAATCTCTGATACCATACTAACGAAAAGATAAAGTAGAGAAGTCATCCAAGCAATACAATTTTTATGTCGTATTTTTTCAAACTGCAAATACACAAGCTTTGAGTTCACGACAAACTATAGTTCACTAACTTTAATCTTGGGTGATTCAAATGTGTAACTGCATTTTATTTTTTACTGTGGTTGAGTACTGACGAGTTAATCAAAAGAGGGTATTAACAAAGCAAATAATGACATGGGCTTACTCCTGTGGCAGCCATTTAGATTTACTCTTTTTCAGATTATACTCCAAGTCTCCATTTCCATCTTGAAAAACATATACTATTTTCCTTAAATGGAATAATGGGACCACCTAAACTAGTGGTACACTTGGGAAAATACTTTCAAAGTGCATCCTCTACAGATAAGAGTCACTGCTGTATTTTAAGAAAAGATCAAGCCAACTTTGTTACCAAGAATAAAGGTTATATATGTAAACTATCAATACTGACTTGAAGAGCCTAACTTTCACAAAAAATGTAAACATAATTTAAAGTTTTCCACTAGGATATTAACAGTCTCAAGATGATGCATTATAAAGACTTATTAGTTACCTTACAGAACATGTCTCTGAGATCATCTTTTGGGTTAATCCATGATGCAACGGCATCACAAAAAAATATAAAATCCTGTAACAAGCAAGAAATACATCTTAGGTTGATATTGTATTTGTCAAACTCAGCAAAAGATATATGTAAACCTCAGAGTTTATGTCACAATAGAATCTAGCTTAAAAAAGGAAACATTTAAAAATTAACTATGATCATAAGGAATTAGAAGAGATTACCTTAATGGCTGTCCCTATTAGCCCACAGTCAAGGAACCTCAACTCATTCAGTTTATACTGGACTTTAATGTCCTGCATCACACAACAAAATAACCCCCTGTGCAATAAATGTTCAGCATCAGAAATGAACTGAAAGCACCAAATCGACACCCATAAAAATACTCTTTCATTTACCGGATTAAAGAAAAACATAAAACCAATGATCTTACAGTTTTGACTGGCCTAGAAAGAAATTAAAGCTAGCTAAATATATATTAAATGACCTTGATTTGAAATAGAGAAATTAGTAATTTCAAGGTCCATTTTCAGACATAACTTAGTTGAAACAACCAAAAAATTGAAGAAAAACTAATTATGTAATTACAAATACCCAATCCAAACAAGAACAAAAAACCCAACTTTTGGACAATTACTTAAAAGATAATCAGGCTATTCTGACTATAAGAACAAGATAATAATATGCTTTAAGCATTTCATTAAAATATTCTCAATCTTGCCTATCATACTGAAACACTAACAGTTCAACAAACAGCATTCAACATATTGCTGATTTTCTGACATGTCAACTATAAATTTTACTATTATATTCAGAAAACTTCACTAATTTCAAAAAATTTGGTAATACTACAGTGTGTGTATGTTTATTTAAGCAAAAAAGATTTGCTTAACACAATTTATTCAAATTATGTCTTCCAAATACCAAATCTGATGTTAAAAATTTAAATGCACAGATACCCAGAATTTGTGATTAAAAAATTTAAATGTAAATAAACCTATGACATTTTATTTTAACCATATCCAAAATAAGGTATGTGAATAAAAGTTATAAAACAGAAATTTCTACCAACTCTTAAGTTGGTAACAATTTTATGATCATACATGTGCTACTTTTATCATCTTAAAACATTAATTCAAAAACAAAGAAACAATAAAATCTTGGTCGGAAGATACTTTTGAAAAAGATGGTACATGTCATATCAGATACCTCTAGCACACATTTGAGATCACACAAAGTTCTTAAGTATTAAAAAAAAAAACAAAAACCCAGAAAATGTCAAAAGCTTATTTTGTAACTAGAAACCTCTCAAGATGGCACTGGCTTGTTCTAACAGTAAGTTATGAATATTTTATGAGTGTGAAATCAGTCAGAAGTTATTTTCTAATTCTAACTTGTAGGTTTTCAACGTCTATCACCTGTATCAATTTGAATTTTATAAAACAGAATTAACGTTTCTAAAACCGAGTTAAGAAAAACCACAATACGAGCTAGGAAACATCAAAAGGTCACAATTTAAAAATGTTCAAAACACCCCTCTCGGAGTGGAAAGTTTCAATTTTCTTGAAAATTAAGAAATGTGAGAAAGTTATTGCTATAAAAGCATTTTTTTGGGGCAGTTTTATAACTCTTGTGTGCATTCCTGGAAACCAAAATTTAGTTCTTTGCTTCCCTCCCTCAACTACATTTTTTTTTTTTCCAGATGAAGTCTCGCTCTTGTCCCCCAGACTGGAGTGCCATAGCGCGATCTCGGCTCATTGCAACCTCTGCCTCCCGGGTTCAAGCAATTCTCCTGCCTCAACCTCCCGAGAGCTGGGATTACAGGCACCTGCCACCAAGCCTGGCTAATTTTTTATCTGAAGTAGAGATGGGGTTTCACCATGTTGACCAGGCTGGTCTCGAACTCCTGACCTCGTGATCTGCCTGCCTCGGCCTCAACTACGTTTTTCAATTGATTTGATGTATCTTGGGTCTCTTGTCTACAGGATTCCTTCCACGCTTTCTTTTCCTTAAACGTGTCTGCTGAAGAATCCAGGTATTTAACCTAGAGTCCCACAGTTAGCATTTTGTTCACTGAATATACATGGTGTAATTCAACATGTTTTTGTTTTGTGTGTCTAGAAAATTGGCAGTTGGATCCAGATGCTTAACTGGACTCATGTTCAATACTACTGCCGAATAATTAAAATGTCTACATATAACTTGAACTTGGAAAACAAAGATGAATAAATCATAAGCTCTCAAAATTAGAGCAATTTCAATGGCTGATTTGTATTTTATTCATTATTTCTAAATCTGATTCAAAGTATTTTATTCAGAATAGAGAGACAGTATTCCTACTATTTGGTCACTCTATTAACTGTAGATATCCACAAACTGATATCCAGGGATGGGAGGCAGGGACAAAGTAAATAAATGAGGTCTGAAATTTGGATGAAAGAAGCCATGGCCTGATTCAAGACAAGAATATAACCTTGTTGTCCCAATCTGCTGTTACTATCTCATTTCATGACAAAAAAAATTTAGGAAAAAAAAAAGGCATTACAATTTCAAGATATTAAGAAATATACATTTTAAAGGTTTAACTGTATTTTGATACCTTTGAAAATAGTTAACTTTTTATAATTAAAGTATTAGAATGTTTCTTCCTTTAAAATTTTATTAATTAGACATTAAAAACAAATCTTTGTGAACATCTTACTTGGATTACGCCACTGGGATTCACACTGATCATGGTACAAATTCCACGGAATGCTGAATCCTTTTCCTCATTGTCTCTTATGTTTCTCAGAGAGGTGCACCTATTGAATTACAGAATTGAGTTTAGCATTTAAGTAACAAGCAGATTCAATGACAATACTAATGGACAGTATTTAATGGAATAAGCACCACAGTATAGATAATGATTATATTAAAAGAGTTTTTCGGAAAGCTTTAGTTTCGTTTACTCATACTTCCTGTTTGTTGGGCCCATCTTATCTCAATACAGTAGAAACAGTGAAATCCACATTTTCTTAATAAATTGCATTTATAAAGTAGATAACTAATTTGAATCTCCCATTTAAACTATTAATGAGCCTGAGCCAAGAAGAACAAATTACCAAATTAACTTTTAAAATTGTACTCATGACTTGTATTCCATTAAACACTACTAAAATGATTTGAATTGAAAGATTATCAATTGAAAGAAGCAAAACATAGGATATAGTGCCACAATATAAACTATTACTATATAGCTTATGGTGTAGATGTTTAACTTTTACATTAACAAGCAAATAATATTTTTATACATAACAAATTTAAACATGTATTTCTTAATGCAATCCAAGTTTCCAAATTAATTCTAAAAAAGAAACGTAATGCAAAAACCTAAATTTATAGAATTTGCATGCATCTTTATTTTTCTGGTGGATATTTAAATGCTTTTTATGTATAATCAAGCTTTTTTAACACAGCAAGCATGTGACAATCTTATCCCATGCATCAATTAGTCGTTAGCCACAACATAAAATAAATATACATGACGATGCTATTGAAAAACCTCACAAACCTGATAGGACAAGATTAGTCACATGGTTGGCAATGATAAAGGATTGTGATTTTTGTAACCAACTGAAAATATATCTAAAAGTGAGATAGAGAAAGAAAGAGTGAAGAAAAATGAATTAAAAAAAAAGATTGAATAATACACACCAGGGTCTTATAAACTGCTGTAGCATGGGGGCCACCTCTTGAGGACAAACGTAACCAAGACGACCAATTGTTATTGCTAAGGTAACGCAATCACGGTTATACACCACCAAACGCCAACCAAGACATGAGCAAATGAGGGGGAAGGAGAAAAAATAAAGAAAAAACAACAAATAACTCAGAAACAGAAACCAACAGAATTTGTGTATGATAATAAACATAAGATTTCACCAGTGCTGTTTATTACCACCCCCTAAAATAAGGGGCAGCAACATATATGGCATACTCTTGGAAAAAGAAAAACAAAAGGAATTAAAAAAATCTAAAGATTGAGAGAACACCAAAAACCATGATGAAATTGCTTTTCTCGCTCAATCGAGTGTCAAGGTATCATTCTGTTAATAAGATGAGCAGTTAAATGGACAAATTTAGAGAACCTTCATTCAAAAGCCAGCCAAAATTTCAGAATTTAATAATAAAATCTATAGTTTTTTTCATGAGAAAATATCAGTAAATGTGATTATATTTCTCAAGCATCTCAAACTAATACAGGTGAAAGTGATTTCCATTCCTTGGAAATTATCTAGGGAATTTAAACCAAATTTTTGGTAGTTTCAAAAATTTTTTCTTTGATTAACATTTGCCAAACCAACCAGTGGAAATTTGTTACCTTACATCAAAATCAACTGTCAGATTTTAAGTCTCATGGTACTCACTGAATGAATGGATTAGAATATTGCTATGCTACAATGTCAAATCTCATGTTGTCAAACCTCTGATAACTCAGGTAACAGTCCACTAACTTTAAGCCATGTTTGAAATAAAATTCTAATAAAGGAAATTTACAGTCCACTGCAATGACATATGATATGTGGACCACAGGAAAAAATAAATATTCTGTTTCTGCTATTAAAGGTATAGCACAAAATAGATAATACATTATACTAATTACACACTATTTTTTTTTACAATTTTGAAGTGGGCAAACATATATTCACCATAAAAATTGAGGAAGTCTTTAAACTTACAAAGAGCTAAAATAAGTGCAACTCGGAACTGCATTCTGCAATTCAAAGGTACGTACATGTAAATACATTCATACACAACAGGAAAAAATACAAACAGAAAACAAACCATGAAGTGCTTTAATGGTGTTCTCTCAAAAACTTACAGGTTAACCTTTCATAAAAAAAGGGTGGGGGGTAAAGAAAAATGTTTAAGGATTACTTGAAGCAAACTACACAGATAATACTAAAATCCAGCAGATTCATATGAAGCAAGAGAAAGAAAACCTATGTTCAAAAGACACAAACTATGCAACATTCTCATTAAACAGGCAAGTATGAACAATCCAATGAAACATGCGATAAAGCAGATGATGGTCCATTGAAAAAGTTCAGTGCAGGATATACTAATCGGAAAAAAGCAAATTAACGGCAGACTAAGGAATTGGCTTTATGAAATATTGAGATAATGGTAATTAAAAGCTGCTAAAATCTAGATATTAGCCATTGACAATGATTTTAATAATTAAAAAACCCCACTTTTTTGGGTAAGAAATAAAGAAAACAATACTTTATGCAGCCACTTGTGATAAGAGGTAATCTAATGAATCCCAAGTGTGTTTCTCAATAATATCAATTTAATCCATCAACTTTAGGGCATTATGACTTATTTATGTAGGATATAATCATACTTAAAATATAATCTTATAAATAAAGCCAATTTGTTAAACAAACTATGTAACAAATTCACCAGCTGATATCCCACAAGAAACTTTCATATACATTACACTCAACATTTATTTGCAGTTAAGCATTCACATTTAAAAATAAATAGAAGTTTCTTTAGGTTCCACAATAATTTTATAATGGCAAGTCTTTCAAATCTGAATGTCATGTATAGGTACTGCATTCTGAAAAGATAAAATCCTAACAAGATTTCATAACCCATCCTATACATAGATTTTTGTACTTTTCAGCAAGAAAATCTAATTCACTTTGTGAAATAAACAGTACCCATACAGCCAAACAGCCAGATAACTGCTTCATAATTAAAAGATTTCCTTCCATACCAATAAACATTATCAATTTTAATAGCATTAGAATAAAATGAACTTTCTATAATTTAAAAATACCAAATAAAAATGCCTTTGAAAAGTAACTTTCTTATTTGGAAAACCTTATTTTAATCTTTGTCTAGTATTTTGGTAGAATACTCATTGAATTATAAATAAATTATGGGAATCATCTTAGTATGTAAAGAAAGGAATGTGCCTGAATGAAAACAAAATTTCTGTCTTTCTGGATTGTTAGCAGCAATCAGGGAGGGTAGAAAGAAAAGGACCGAATCCACCCACAAATGTGTTCTATAGTATGGAAGGTACTCTTTAATATAAACATGCTCTCTATAAATGCAAAAGAGAAACAAGCTTCCTAAAAAAAAAAAAATAAATTAAAAAAAAAATCCCATAACATACTGCCTAAATTCCCAATTCGAAGAAAATTATATGATGAAATACAAACTACAAATGCCACTGTTAACCAATTTGCCACTGAATCTTTTTGACTACATTTGGACAGATTAAAAAAAAAAATTACTTCCCAGCTCCCAGTTACTCTCCGAATTAATTTAAAAGCAAAATTCAGGTGGTTCAATAGTTATCTTTGCTGGGATCCATTGCAGGAAGTATTAAAACACTGGAATAGGGGAAAAAAGTGTTTTTCTGGTTATACCACTGAATATATAACCACTGAAAACTGGTTATAGAATGTAGCTGCAACAGTCTATTTCATTACTGAAAATCCGAAATAGCAATTAAATACAAAATAAGCTCGATTTTAAAAGCTAGTTTTGCTTTGGTTTCTCTACGCATATTAAAATTAAAAGGCAACAAATTTTCTCTTCACTGAAACAGTTCAGTCATATGGTACCTGTATTCTCTAACAACGTCTTTGGTGTGTTGGGTCTGTTAATGATTTCTACAAGCTGGTGCAACACCATAGGAATATAAGGCTGCATCTCTATACCTAGAGATCATCCCAAAAAGAAAAAAACAAAAAAGAAAAAATTGAACGTTAAAATATCAATGTGAAATATTTTGCTTCCCGTATTAACTCTGACATGTCATATAAATATAGAAATACAAATAATTAAAATTAAAGCAATTACAAAAATATCAAGGCACCTAAAAATTTATATTTTATTTATTTATTTTGAGACAAAGTTTCGCTCCGTCACCAGGCTGGAGTGCAGTGGTGCAATCTCAGCTCACTGAAACCTCTGCCTCCCAGGTTCAAGTGATTCTCCTGACTCAGCCTCCCAAATAGTTGGGATTATAGGCACCCGCTACCACGCCAGCTAATTTTTGTATTTTTAGTAGAGACGGGGTTTCACCATGTCAACCAGGCTGGTCTCAAACTCCTGACCTCAGGTGATCTGCCCGCCTCAGCCTCCCGAAGTGCTGGGATTACAGGCGTGAGCCACCGCGCCAGGCCTTATGCTTTTAAATAGGGAAAAACATCTTACCCATTTGAATGGAGATTTCTCCAATTGCCCATGTGGCATTGTTGCAGACTGAAATGAATTCTGGATTTAGGTTGGTTCCCAATATTGGCATGAAATCAGCTAGAAAAAAAATTTAAACTATGTAGTAAACTTTTCAATAGCAGTATATTGTACTTTAAAGGAAATCTACTAGGTGGAAACAGAAATCTAAGCAAGAAATAACAAGTTTCACCATTAAAAAAATTACTGCAACATCAATTTTAAAATTGGTGGAAATAAACTAGGCAACTGTATTTAAAAATATTTTTTAAAGGAGTTGGTAATGTTTATCTTAAGAAACTGAAGAAAACAGTATCTGGCCAATGAACTTTCAAATAATGTGGAACAGGAAATACAAGTTTGGGTATATTTTACATACCACTAAAAAGAGTTGGTCAGAGTAATCTCTTGTAATTAGACTAAAAAAAAAAAATCAATGATTTTGGCTTTTAAAGCAATTTTCACTCTTGTGCTCTGATTGTGGTCTCTGAATAACATTTTCCACTAAAAAAAAATGGACTCTCAGAAAACGTCACATTACAGGCAAAGGCAGGAAATGTGCAAAATAAGTGGACTATCTTGTCATAATGAAAGGACTCGGGAGCCAACTTAAGTTCTCACTGCAAGCAGTACAACAGCTTGAACATCATGAAGTCACACTAGCACTAAAAACAATCAAACAAAAACAAAACTCTGAAACATCAAAGATACCTTTGGAGGATGATAGGAATCAATTCATTATTTTGAAAATTGGTAAATAAAAAAAAGAATCAAGTATTTATCTTGCCTCTGCTATATGATTTTACCTCAGGATAGTAATTTATTGATATGGGAAATGTCTCCCTATATAAGTATCTTCATTATTAAATGAAGAATTAGAATATCATAATTTTTTAAACTCCTAATAAATCAGGAGATGTAAGCCAGGGTTTCTTGATCTCAGCAATATTGACAGTTTGGGCCAGATCATTTTTTTGTTGGGGGGAAGGGGAGCTGTCTCCTGTATTATAAGATGTTTAGCAACATCCTTTGCTTCTACCCACTAGACATCAATGGCACCTCTCCAGCATCAAACAAAATGTCTCCAGACACTGGCAAATGTTCCCCGAATGGCAAAATTGCCCCTAGTTGAGAACCACTAATTGAGACAATCATCAAGATTGGTAACATTAAAAAAAAAAAAAGGAGGGACAACTAGACACTATGTACACTAAGTACACAATACCATCTATAAAGTCTTAAAAACAAAACAACGTAAATCTCATTAAACCTCAGTCTCTGTATCCAAACAATTTACAGTAAATACAACGGACAGAGGAACATGTTAAAGACAACAAAGATGCAATCAGTAAAATCCACAGTAAAGGAAACTCTTTAGAATAAAAAACATGGTTTCTTTAACAAAAAACAATTGTAAGAAGAGATAGTATAGTATGTACTAAAATATTAAGACTTCAAATGCTGTGTTTGAGATTTGCTCCAAAATATCTGAGATCTATGTGTCTCACCACTGACAACAGTATATAGGAAACAGGACTGGACAGTTGAAGCTGGGTGATAGGAGGTTTGTTACATTTTTTCTACTTTTGTACGTCTTAAACACTTTATAATAAAAAAATTAAATCCTTTCATATAAGTTTCAACTAAAAAACTAAATTAGGTGGTAAATATGAGAATGATAAGCTTCCCATAAGAATTCATTACACTGTTAGGTTTAAACTTGATGGTTCTTAATATATCATAATTAATGTTAATTATGTTAGTTTTTTGAGAAATGGTTATCCAAAAGCACAATTATATCAGATGACAAAACATTCAATTAATATTTTAAATTAAGGTTTAAATGAAGTATTAAAATAATTTTTTTTGAGACGGAGTCTTGCTCTGTTGCCCAGGCTGGAGTGTAGTGGTACAGTATCAGCTCACTGCAGACTCTGCCTCCCGGGTTCAAGCGATTTTCCTGCCTCAGTTTCCCAAGTAGCTAGAACTACAGGCACAAGCCACCACGCCTGGCTAAGTTTTTGTATTTTTAGTAGAAGCGGGGTTTCACCGTGTTAGCCAGGATGGTCTTGATCTCCTGACTTCGTGACCTGCCCGCCTTGGCCTTCCAAAGTGCTGGCATTACAGGTCTGAGCCGCCGTGCCCGGCTGTATTAAAATAATTGTTACCCAACATGCTGAGATGCAGAAAAGGGGGAAAAAAATCCCATAACTCATTTATAACCCATAGGTTTAAGAACAATTCCGGGTACAACATTCAAGGAATTTCTTATCATTGTCACAGAAGGCCAAGACAAATGCTATGCTAGTCTCGAATCTCGCACTCCTGACCTCAAGTGATCTGCCTGCCTTGGCTTCCCAAAGTGCTGGCATTACAGGTGTGAGCCCCCAGGCCCAGTCTCAGTTAAAGTGACATTTGTTGGAAGTTTTCTGCAATATCTGAAAAAGTATGCTGGTTTGCTAGAGAAGAAAACCTGATTATTACTATTTCTGTGTACCTCTACCAAAAAGGTGGCTACTCAAAAAAGAATCTATTAACTAGTCCATGGTACCAAGGCTTCCCTGGTGGGCATGTCCTTTACTCTAAAGTATATTACTAAGCTTTCCTCCAGTCACAGGAGTACCTAAAAAGCTGAGATGATGGCAAGCTCAAGGAAATATTAGGGGTTCCTGCCATCTTGCCTGTTTCAATCACAGCAAGTTTACTTTAACCAATAAAGTGTACATTTATAAATGTTGGGATTCCATGCAATTTCAGTTTAATAATAAAAAAACAAAGCTGATGTAAATGTTAACTTTAAAAAACCATATTCATAGCAGTAGAAAATATTCATACCTATACAAGGCTTAACATGCTGAAAGCAAGCTTTTGTGAGGTCACCTAACAGGGCAAAAGAACTCTGTCGAACTTCTGGCATTTTATCCTACAAGAAATAAGAAGAAATTAACCCCAATGTGACACAGAGAAACAGGCTTCAATTCATTTTCACCTTTCAAGTCTCACCTGCATGCACTGATACATTAGTGTCAGGATGTTACTTCGGGCTACCAGCTGTTCAATGTTGCCTCCAAGTCCTTCAGCCAGGCCACTCAGTAAATCAAGAGCCACTATCATAAAATCTTTATCTGGAGCTTCATATTGATCTGGTTGAGCATTGTTTAGCTGAAATTAGACACAATGTTTTTTGTAAGTTTGGTTTTAATTAACTACTTAAAAAGTCTGTATACATTATACCTATCTTTAGAAAAATGTCCACCATGTCAAGAAGAGGAAGACATTTTAAAAAAATTACCATGGCTTGTGCAAGAGTCTTCTGTACTAGGTTTACACAACGCTGATACACAGGTTCACAGTACGGAAGGAATCCAGACTGCAGTGCTGTGGCAACTGAAGATAGGCACTAGGAAGAATAAAGTACACATGCTAAACTTTCTGGGTATACTGAAGATTATGATGAATGCTTGAAACTGCGCTCAACAGGATCCTGATCATTTATGAGCTTGCTCTACTAGTTTCTACAGTAGCAGGTTCCCCTCCCCCCACCCCAACCCTCTCTTTTGGAAGCCATTCATTGTTGTTAGTTTGCCAGCCAATCAGGTCAGGTTTACTCAGAGGAAGCGTTTCTACAAGAAACATTATCTTTAAAGGACAGATTGAGTATTATGTGTTCATATTTTTCCCTCAAATTGAAGAGATTCATTTCATGCTCCCATCCTGGTCAATGTTGTGAATGGACTTTACTGGGCACATTCTGAGATCCTGCCGGAAAGTAATATATATACAGTTGGCCCTCTGTATCTATGGATTCAACCAATCTTGAATCAAAAGTATTTAGAAAAACAATTAAAATGATTTAAAGTATATTGGGAGGAGGTGCATAGGCCATATGCAAATACCACATCATTTTATATAAGGGACTTGAGCATCGCTGGATTTCTGTATCCAAGGGGAGTCCTGGAAACAATCCCCTGCAGATACTGAGGGACGACTGCATACAAAAAATGAACCATAATGATTCTTCTTGTTTTGCTGGGCCCAGAATTGCTCTTGGTCATAGAAAATTTAACTTCTTTGGCTAAGAACAATCCACGGTAGAAGATGGTGAACCTTGAAATAACAGGGAGCAAGAATGAAAAGGCCTGAACTGGTTCTATCAATGTCAATTCAACTAAGTTTAAGTGACTACATTTCACAGTGTGTTCAGTTACGAGAACATCATATAAAAGTTTGCAATGAAAGGGGTGTTAAAAAAAAAAGTAGTTAAGTACACATGGAAACATTTTCAAATTTGAAAATAAGTACCTCCTTACTGGCACCAAATCCCACTACTCAACATATATGTATGAGTGAAAAGATATATATATATATCCCGGTATATATATCCTCCCAGTATGTTATCTACTCTATACTATATAGAGTAGTATGCTATCTACTCTATATAGAGAGTAGATAACATAAGAGAACTTAAAACTCTAATTTATTATCAATTAAGTAAAGCAGGTTAGAGAACAGTATGTATCATATAATTTCCTCCGTCTACTTCAGAATATAAATTTATTAACACTTTTCTTATCATATATACCCATTTTGGATTTGAACATGTGTTCTTGGCAACAGATTAAATATTACTAGCCCTGCATACCTCAAGTAAAGGGAAGAGATCTTTATCTTCATCCTTTAACATGTTCCATTTCTGGATCAGTGGAGGCATTAGCATCTGAATATATTCCTATTTACAATGATGAAAAACATATAAAATTCCACTATCACATGTCAACAAGACCATTTTGAGTCTTTGAAAATTAAAATCCATTTTGAGCAATTGTGTAAAATCATTACAAAAGGCATTTTAAGAGTCATTCTTCACTCTGCACAGTCCCTTTTAAAGTTTTCCTTTCTGTTGCCTACCTTTATACTTACATGACCGTGTTCTAGTTTTAGATCTAGAACTAGTGATCTACTGATCTTTTATCCTTGTTGAAAAAAAGAGTCTATCAATAAACACACAGCTAATCAAAATCTATTACTTAAAAAAGTCACAATCAAGGAAGATCTAAGTTTTTCTCTTTTTTTTGAGACGGAGTCTTGCTCTGTCGTCCAGGCTAGAGTGCAGCGGCGTGATCTCAGCTCACTGCAAGCTCCGCCTCCCAGGTCCACGCCATTCTCCTGCCTCAGCCTCCCGAGTAGCTGGGACTACAGGCACCCCCCACCACACCCGGCTAATTTTTTGTAGTTTTAAAGAGACAGGGTTTCACCGTGTTAGCCAGGATGGTGTCGATCTCCTGACCTTTTGATCTGCCCACCTCAGCCTCCCAAAGTGCTGGGATTACAGGTGTGAGCCACTGTGCCCAGACCTAAGTTTTTCTCTTTAAGTTACAGAATATTTTTAGTTCTGGGGCTGGGCATGGTGGCTCACACCTGTAATTCCAGCACTTTGAGAGGCTGAGGCAGGCAGATCACTTGAACCCAGGAGTTTGGGCCAGCCTGGGCAACATGGCAAAACTATCTCTACAAAAAGTTGGCCAGGAATGGTGGTACACGCCTGTGGTCTCAGCTACAGGGGAGGCTGAAATGGGAGGATCGCTTGAGCCCGGGAGGTGGAGGTTGCAATGAGCTGTGATCACACCACTGCACTCTAGCCTAGGTGACAGAGTGAGACCTTGTCACACACAAAAAAATTCCTTTTAGTCATGGAACTGTAACGTGTAATATGGCTGTTACTATATAGTACATTTTTAAATCAACAGGTAAACTTACACAGATGCTTTTGTAGAAAAACAAACTTAAAATCATTTAAGTGTCAAACTAAAGAATGATCCATAAAACGACTAAACATAGTGATCATGTAAACAGGGGCACAGACTCTAAAGACATTCAGAAAACAAACCCCCACAAAAGCCAAACCAAACAACCAACAGCAAAGCAAACCTATAAACTGCCCTGTACCAAATCTTAAGTGTAACTTAAAAATAAAACAATTTCTTAAGACTTTGGATATAGCAATCATATAGAAGTCTATTCAGCAGGGTATGTGGAGCTATATTAAAATTCTACTATCACTTAAATCCTCATTAGACAAATCCATCCTCCTCTTCTACTAACACTACTGGAAACAAGGCACTTTTGCATTACTATTTAGCATTTTTAAACCTACTACCCCAATTTCTATTTGTTTTATACAGTATACTCCCCGTACCTGCTGAAAAAACAAAGATGTCTAGATATGGTACTCTAAAGCTACAGTGTTTATGAAGTGGTAGATTCAAAAACATTAGGAATTAAGTAAAAGCAGATATCCAGATTATAAAAACTTTTTTATCCCTTTGCTTTAGTCATTCTAAAAAGTATCAGAGCATTCATGTGAAATGCTGCTGTAGTTTCCACACCAAGTATGTATTTACTTTAAGAATACCACATGAAAGGGGATATACTTGCTGCCTTTGTAAGATCTATACTCTTAAAGTAGCTAACGCTAACTATTCACATCTCCCAAAACATCTTAATTTCCAAATATATGCTAATCTATTAATTGTAACTATGCTACACATTATTTTCCCTAATAGTTCTTAACAGATACTTACTGGTTTGTTTAAATGATGTCCTACTGAATCTGCTAATGTTCCTATGGCATCGTAAAGAATGAGCAGGTTCTTATGCTGGTATTTACTAAATGCAAAGACCAGGGTATCAAGTATATAAGCAAGGTAAGGAACAAGTTCTGTACAAGCCTCCTCTTCTAGGGTAGCAAAGGCACTGTTTAAAAAAAAAAAAAAAGAATACTTATTGACTGTAAGATATATCTAACTCTTAATTGCTAAAATGTTTATGTTCTGTTTTACCCAATCAGGAATTTCCTAAAATGGTCTAAGCCATCTGTTAATGAAAGCCCTGGTCATCAGCACTGTGAATTATTTACCGATTTCTTCCATAGCACTTGCCATAAATGATAATTATGTTGCTGCTTTGTATTTCCTACTAACCTGTAAGTCTCAAGATGGCAGGGACTTTATGTAAACTCAGCATTTAGTATATGCTTAACAATTAATAGCTAAAAAAAAAAACCGAGGTACTGAATGAATAAATTATAGGATCTCAAACATAATCTATATCCTCCCTCCCTTAATATCTTCCAGATATGACTGCTTCAGATGGATTAAGGTCAAACTCAAATTTACTATCCCTGCCAGGCGCGGTGGCTCACGCCTGCAATCCCAGCACTTTGGGAGGCCAAGATGGGTGGATCACTTGAGGTCAGGAGTTCAAGACCAGCCTGGCCAACATGACAAAACCCCATCTCTACTAAAAATACAAAAATTAGCTGGGCATGGTGTCGCACACCTGTAGTCCCAGCTACTCAGGAGGCAGAGGCAGGAGAATTGCTTGAACCCGAGAGGCGGAGGTTACAGTAAGCCAAGATCACACCACTGCACTCCAGCCTGGGCGACAGAGCAAGACTCCATCTAAAAAAAATAAAATAAAATTTTCCTTTTTTTTGTTCAACAGTTATTTTTTCCTACTATCAAGGTCAATGGTAAAAGCAAACCTACTCGAAAAATTAAGAACTATAAACATAAGCAGAAGGCCCTTTTAAAATATAAAGGTATATTGCAGGAAACTGGAATATTTGTAGTAATAAAAGCAACTGCTGGCTTGATATAAAGAGACAGCCACCAAACCAACCAATAGAATGGCTACTAGAGCAGAACTACTAAGCACTCAAAGACCTTTAACTGGTAAGTGACAGACCACAGGTCCCTGTGGGACTTTCTGAGTTATGGTGGTTGACCTGTAGTCTAAGGATGTCAATCTGCTCAAACGTTGTTATTCCTTCAAGAGTAGGAGTCCTGCCATCACTAGTTCAGATGTCTGAGGGAATTAGGGTGTAAGATAGTTCTGTTATAATAACCACTGAGTGGGAAAAATGAGCCAAAGAAGAAACAGCTAAGATCGATGTTGTCACATTTAGATCTACAAAATCATCAGGTAAAACCCACATGACAAAATTCTCCTGGCCAAACAAAATGTATAAAATACGCTAATATGCAAACCCAAAAGCTACAGATCCTGCAAAACACTTCACCAAGAAGAAAAAAGAAAACTAAGCTTTCTGATATAACTGGAAAATTTTCAATTACGAAACACTTCATTATAGGTTTAACACCAACACTCCATCAGAAGGTTGAAAATTAAGTTTTTCACTGCCACAAAGAACACTGTGTTATGAATCTGTCCCACCTGCAGGCAGCTTCTTGTACTCTCTTGTTGCTGTCCAGGATGCGCTTTAGCAATTCTGTCATTAATGGCTTCAGGTACGTGTCTGGCGGCTGGCTGACCACCCAGTGTGCATAGCGGCTAAGAGTCCAGCATGTTATGGAACGCACAAGAGCCTTTTTATCAGAGAGGCACTGAATAAGGTGAGGAATAAGCTCAGGCAAGTATGGAATCATGCCCTGCATGCAACCTAGAAAAAAAATAAATCTTTCAAAATGCTAAAATTTAGTTAACATTATTTTGGTTGATTATGAAAATAAAACACGTATCTATGAAAAAATTCAGAATATTTCTACTGCTATACACATACTACAATAACCTATACCAAAATTATTTTTAAAACCCTGAAGTTAGAGCTACCTGCTCCCAAGCATCTTACAGTGTTTCAATTTCTTCTAATAGATGTTTACTGCCAGGACAAAATCAATAATAACCCTTCATAGAGAATGAAGAGAGTCTTGCCTTATTGTGTTTCCTATACTTACCTAAAGAATCAAGGATTTTTTTTTAAAGCAATGGGGATGCTTCAGACATCAGAGCCTTTCATTCTGTTCCCTTAATTTTTTTGTTTTTATTTTTTATTGAGATGGAGTCTTGCTCTGTCACCCAGGCTGGAGTGCAATCGCACGAATTCAGCTCACTGCAACTACCACTTCCCAGGTCCAAGCAATTCTCCTGCCTCAGCCTTCCAAGTAGCTGGGACTACAGGCACATGCCACCACGCCCAGCTAATTTTTGTATTTTTAGCAGACGTGGTTTCGCCATGTTAACCAGGCTGGTCTTGAAACCATCTCAGGTAATCCACCCGCCTAAGCCTCCCAAAGTGCTGAGATTATAGGCGTGAGCCACCATGCCTGGCCTCTGTTACCTTTATTATAACAAAAACATTTTGCAAAATATCTAGCTGGGGTTAGAAGACGGCCTATGGCTGTTTAATACTAGTTATCTGGTTCAAAATAGAAATTCCTTAAAGTAGCCTAGCCTTATTAGTACCTAATAGTAGTAAGAAGCCAACTTACATAATTCAAACTGGACTTAGGCTTACCTTCAGCAATTGCTCCTAAAACCAAAATGCCTGATTCTTTAACAACCCATTCATGATGAAAAAGTAATTCTTTCAAAAGGGGCAAAATATGTGGCAGCAGTTCATCACGATACACATTTGCAAGAACATCCAGGGCAGCAGCAGAACATTTTCCTAAGGAAATATTTAATTCAAAAATATTACATTAACCTCTTATTACTTATATATTATTTATTGTATATGTAACATTTTATTCGTATCTCTAATACGGAGTTTTAAAATAAGAATTCAATTGAATAGGAGGTAGTTTGTCACGTGAAAACATTTTGTGGTTTTTTTTTTTTTTTTTTTTTTTGAGATGGAGTCTTGTTCTGTCGCTCAGGCTGGAGTGCAGTGGTGCGATCTTGGCTCACTGCAACCTCTGCCTCCCAGGTTCAAGTGATTCTCCCGCTTTAGCCCCCTGAGTAGCTGGGATTACAGGTGTGTGCCAGTACGCACAGCTGATTTTTAGGAGAGACGGGGTTTCACCATGTTGGCCAGGATGGTCTCAAACTCCTGACCTCGTGATCCACCCTCCTCAGCCTCCCAAAGTGCTGGGATTACAGGTGTGAGCCACCATGCCCAGCCAAAAACATTTTCTATTAAGATGAATATTTTTTATGACAAGAACTTACTTGGCAAATTAATTGTGAACACATTGTATTCTGTACATAACTGTCATACTAGAATTCTGTCTATACAGTAAAACAAATACTGTGCCACTCAATTCAGTGCTTCTAACATAACCATTCAATATGATACACTCATATTACAATCATGATTACAATCACTGTTACAATCACGCAAAAAACATACATTATTAACTCTACTTAACATTTCCAGCAGTATATCATCTAGAATTAAACAGACAATTACTTAGCTGGACTTTAGACACAAAAACTGGAAGAAAAGTCACTGGCACATGAAACATAACGCATGCTAGAAAATACTCTTTACAAAGAATTAACTATGGGACTATAAATCAACCCAGATTTTATTATAATAATAATTTAGACAAGAGCAACAAAATCAAAAAGAACAACAAAAATATCATTTAACTGTTATGGGTAGGAACGTGTTCCTGAAGTTCATGTATTAGAAACCTAATCCCTAAAGCAACGAAGATGGGAGGTGGGGCCTATCAAGAGATGATTAGGTCTTAAGGGTTCTGCCCTCATAAATGGGTTAATGTCGTTACTGTAGGAGTGGGTTAGTTATCAAGAGAGTTGGCTTATTATAAGCGTGAATTGAGCTCTTAAGTGTGTCCTTCTGTCATCAGATGATGTTGCAAGGAGGTTCTCACCAGATGCAGCCCCTCCATTCTGAACTTCAGGTATCCTGTTATAGTAGTACAAAATGGACTAAGAAAATATCAGAAATTTCCAACGTGAACTAGGCATAGTAAATGGCTAATCACAAACTACTAGACAATAATAAAATCCTCAAAAAAAAAAAAAAAAACCAAACCAAACCAAAACAAAACCATTACATTGGCCAGAAATTAACACCTTACCCATCAATAAGGATCTTAGTTATACCACATGGTAGAGCCATACAACTAAACAGTACACTGACATGCAACAAAAGGAAATCTAAATCTGTATGTACTGAGGAAGAATGAGGCATACGATACACAGAAAGAAAGCAGCAGAGTACATATAATCTGATTTCACTTTTAGAAAACTGGCTTCTCCTCTAAAAAAGATGCCTGTATGTTTTCCCAAGCACGCACAGAAAAGCTTTTGGAAGGATACAAAGAATGGGATGTGAAGAGGAAGTGTTCCCCCATCCATGTATGTATATTATTTTGTAGAGTTTTCTGTGTAATGATCTTGAGCCATCCTGCTCCCCTAATCTGAAAGTAGGGATACACTGGGAAGTAATTTGTAATAGTAGTAAACACCATGTGTTGTCTTAACAAGTGAGACTTGGGTCCCAGTACTAGATGTGCTATCAGTACTAGCTATGCTAACCTTGGGTATATCTCTCTTTCTGCAGTTTTCTTGCCTATTCAAGGTTGTTGGAAATGTTAAATATGACTTTATTCTTACTTATGATTAAACAGACTTTGATATGCATGCAAAGTCCTTGGCCTAGTGCCTGGCACATTAGGCACTCTAAATAGAATGTTAGTTACAGGAAACTGAAGAGGCAACAGAGAAATTAGCATTATCTAACCAAATGAAGAACACAGCCCAGACTGATAATGTCTGTTCTTAACTGCTTTAATCATAGTTATTAGAAATCCCAACACTTTGAACTAGAGTAGTGGCTCTAAACTGGGGTTGATTTTGTTCCCCCAGGAGATAACGGTTGTCACAACTGTGTTTGTGCTGCTGGCATCTTTGGGTAGAGGCCAGGGATGCTGCTTAACATCCCACAACGTGCAGGACAGCCTCCGCAACAAAGAATTACATGCATGATGTGGCATTCACATGTAGAAAAAAAAAAAGAATTATGTGGCCCAAAATGCCAATAGTGCCAAGGCTGAGAAACCCTGAACTAGAGCAGTAGAGGTTTAAAATCCAGCAAACAAGCAAGCAAAATCAGAACACAGGTGTTTAGGTTCATCCCCAATTAGGAAGCGTGGGCCAGAATGCTAGCTCCACAGGTGATATGATTTGCAGCTAAGGTTGGAAATTAACATATTTTAAGAAGCATATTTCATAAATTTTGACTATAACAAAGCAACTTATAATAAATTTGAATATAATAAAGCAACTTATATTATTTTAGAATTACCTATGATAGCCAATTTTCATGCAAATTACCAGACAGAAAACACTCATGTTAGAAAAACCAAAAAAGCTTGTGGCAATGTTCTTACAGTATTAAAACAAACAGCCTTTTGAGAAATGGTAGTTTAAGAATATAATAATGATAAAATAAGAGCAGGTCCACCAGGAAAATGCAAACCAAAACCACAAAATACCACTTCACGTCCACTAGAATGACTATAATAATAAAGAGATAATAAAGCAAGTGAGCATGTGAAGAAACTGGAACCCTCCAGACAATGCTGCTAGGAAAGCAGAATGGTGCAGTCACTTTGGAAAACATCCTGGTTATTTCTCAAAAGGTTAAACATACAGTTACCATATGACCCCAACAATCCTTCTCCTGAGTGTTTACCCAAGAGAACTGAATACACATTGGGCCAGACACAGTGGCTTACGCCTGTAATCCTAGCACTTTGGGAGGGCAAGGCGGGTGGATCGCTTGAGCCCAACAGTTCAAGACCAGCCTGGGCAACATGGCAAAACTGTCTCTACCAAAAAAAAAAAAACAAAAATTCATCCAGGTGTATTGGTGAGCACCTGTAGTCCCAGCTACTTGGGGAGCTGAGGTGGGAGGATCACCAGAGCCCAGGGAGGTCAAGGCTGCGGTGGGCCATGACTGCGCCACTGCATAATCATGCTAGCCTGGGTGACAGAGACCCTGCCTCAAAACAAAAAAACAAACAAACAAACAAAAAAAGTCTACACACAAAAATTATACATGAGTATTTATAGCATCACAACTCAACAGCTACAAAAAGAGAAACACAAATGTCCACCAACCAATGAATGGAGAATATGTGGCATATTACAATGAAATATTATTTCACAATACAAGTGAATGCTACAAAATGAACCGTGAAAACTTTATGCTAAGTTAAAGAAGATGGTCACAAAGGACAATGCATTGTATGACTCCATTTACATGAAATGTCTAGAATAGGCAAACCCAGAGACAGAATATTGACTAGTAGTTGCCCAGAGCCAGTGAACAATAGGGAGTTACTGCTAAAGGGTATGGGTGATGAAAACATAGTCTACAACTGATTGTGGTAATGGTTGAACAGCTCTCTGAATATACTAAAAACCAATGAAATGTATACTTTAATGGGTAGTAAACTGTACAGTAGATGAATTATACCCCAATAAAGTTATCATCAAAGTAGGCAACTGTGCTTTTCCCTTTCTGACTTACTTAGATTCCAGTCAGAAATTGTATCATCATCATCAATTTCATCATCATCATCATCTTCCTCTTCAATTCCATCTTCATCATGCTGCTGAGCCACCGTCCTCGATCGGTGAAAACGTGGCCGTATATCCTGTTCACTATCAGGAATCGTTTCGTCTTCTTCAACATCACCCTGTTGTTTTTTTAAGAGAAATTTTTGGTGGCATTCATTATAGGCTAATAGTATGTACATGAGTAAGAGAAACAGAATATCCAGAGATGGGGTCATGCACAGAATTCTGAAATATACTTCCAGAGTGATTAAGAACCACGCCCATGTACAGAACATATTCCTTATGGAGGGGCGAATAGACTGACCTAACACACCTGTTAGGTTATACGGCCCTTTCAGCCA
This sequence comes from Homo sapiens, assembly GCF_000001405.40. NCBI lineage: Eukaryota > Metazoa > Chordata > Mammalia > Primates > Hominidae > Homo > Homo sapiens. Next base: position 72,882,841 of record NC_000005.10, on the reverse strand, counting down.
ACTACATGGCCTCCACTGGCTGGTATAATCTAAGTTACCTGAATCAAATTCAGAGCAGCATATATAAGAATGTTTTTAAAATAACTCCAAGTAATTAAGGGGAAATTAATAATAACCCTACCAATGTCACCATCTAGTACCAAATTAAGCAAGAATTTATCATTACTTAAACTTATGCTTCTATCCTATTATGGATAATAGGAAGTCTATTTACAGGAGATCTATTCTCAATGAATGTTTTATTGGCCAAATCCAAAGATGTACTAAGTCAATATAAAAATCTTGTTCCCTATTCATCAAAAAAGCTTCCTTACCTTAAGTAGGATAATATCTATGTCTGAGTACTTCATGCCATTCACTAACACAGGAATCAACCTATAAAGAAAGAAATTCATGAAACAAAGACCTTAAGATCTCAAGAGAATAATTAATAAGTCTTAACCTTACATGTACTAATAAAACCAATGAGATAATCAATGGTAATATTGTCTTTGAACTTATTCAGTGATATATGTCTGCTCTCATTAACTGAAGAAACGCTAATAGAGAAAAGGAAGCAGTCAAATATAAAATCCCCTGGATAGGTTTAAGAAATGTGGGCCAGCCAAACTTTCATGCTCAAAGTCCTTCTAAATTCTAAAATAGAAAGATTAGTAGTAATTAAACATTAGAGCTAGCATAATTTAACTAGGTAAGACTTACAATACATAGAGCTATATTTTGTAAGATACAGGTATTTTGCAGGAGAACCAGGTGTATCTGGATCACTAACAGTTAATCACTGATGATCTTTATCAACAATTTCAAGGAAATGGTGAGGACAGACATCAGAATGTTAAGATAATGAAGAGTTAACAAGATGTGGGTTAAAGAAGTGAAGACAGTAAGTCCCACTCAAAAAAAGTTTGAGTTTTTTTGTTTTTTGAAGACAAAAAACTGCAGCAAGTTATAAAGTTATGGAAAATGAGGCAACAAGGAGAAGCTAAGAGTGAATATTTATCTGGTACGGTGAGGGTCTCTGGGTATAAGAAAAATTTATACTATACAGACCTTAAGGAGAAAATTGGTTAGGAGAGAACAGCTCATATGAAATTACTATCTGTAAGTTTTGGGGCAAGATAAAGGGTCACCTGCTTTCTTTACGAGCCTAAGTGCTCAAAGTGAATTAAGAGAATATCAAAAGAGTAATAAAGGTTTCAAACAGTTGCTCTTGGTGAATAAAAGATAAAAGCTGATCTGGAACATGAATTAGCAGATTGTGAAGAGACCACTTGCGGTTGAAGACCACAGATTTCTATAGCCAACAATCCCCCTAGGGGAGTGTAAATTTCCCCAAAGGCATTCAACAACCTGGTTAAAGAAAAGACTTCAGAGTTCAATTAGTCTAGAGCAGGGTAGATAGAAGTTTTGGGTTAGTATGGTTTATTCGTGGCTCTGATGTTTGTCAGATAAACAGAGAATAAAAAGAATCAGATTAGGTCGAGGCGAGCGGATCACGAGGTCAGGAGTTCGAGACCAGCCCGGCCAACATAGTGAAATCCAGTCTCTACTAAAAATACAAAAATTAGCTGGACGTGGTGGCACACGCCTGTAGTCCCAGCTACTCAGGAGGCTGAGGCAGGAGAATCACTTGAACCCGGGTGGTGGAGCTTGTAGTGAGCTGAGATCGCGCCACTGCACTCCAGCCTGGGAAACAGAGTGCGACTCCATCTCAAAATAATAATAATAAAAAAAAGAATCAGATTAGAACACAAAGAGGTCAAGGGCCTTGGAATGGGGTGGCAGATGGGCCTAGTAAGGTTTGCAAGAAATAAAGGACTGGCTGGTAAAGCTGGGCAAATAAGAAAAAATGAGGTCAGAAAATAAGACATGGAAATTAACCGTGACCATGTGGCAATTTGGCATGTGCCTGCCCAAGTCTAATCATGCTAGGCAAACTCTTATTTTTGAGCAGGTCTAATTGTGAAGATTTCTCCTGAAGCCCCCATGTAGCCATTAAAAATGAGGTTTTTTTTTTTTTTTTTTGAGATGGAGTCTTGCTCTTGTCACCCAGGCTGGAGTGCAATGGCACGATCTTGGCTCACTGCAATCTCCACTTCCCGGGTTCAAGCTATTCTCCTGCCTCAGCCACCCAAGTAGCTGGGACTACAAGCATACGCCACCATGCCTGGCTAATTTTTTATATTTTTAGTAGAGATGGGGTTTCACCATGTTGGCCAAGCTGGTCTTGAACTCTAGACCTCAGGTGATACACCCGCCTTGGACTCCCAAAGTGCTGGGATTACAGGCATAAGCCACTGCACCCAGTCAAAAATGAGTTTTTTAATGCAACATCACATAAAGTAATAACATAGACAATAAACGTTTACTGAATACTTAAATATGGGCTGAGCATTGGGTTGTTTCACATGGAAAATCCACACAACAGCCCTATAAGACATTAATGTACAAGAATAAAGGTGGGAAAAAGCCAAAACAATTTTGTAAAAACGAGAGAAATCAAGAGCTGCTATACCAGATCACAAAATACATTAATGTTCAATAATAAAAATAGTACTAGTTAAAAAAATAAAAAAAGGGAGACTATATAGCCCAGAATGATAATAGAACTTAATATCCTCCTTGTTACACTGGTGCTTTTTTTTTCTGAGAAAGGGTCTCACTCTGTTGCCTAGGCTGGAGTGCAGTGGTGCCATTTCGGCTCATAGCTCACTGCAGTCTCTGCCTCCTGGGTTCAAGTGACTCTCCTGCCTCAGCCACACAAGTAGCTGGAATTACAGGCATGTGCTGCCACGCCCAGCTAATTTTTGTATTTTTGGTAGAGACGGGTTTCACCATGTTGTCCAGGCTGGTCTTGAACTCCTGAGCTCAAGCGATCTGCCTGCCTCAGGCTCCCAAAGTGCTGAGGTTACAGGCATGAGTCACTGTGCCCAGCCTACAATGGTGCTTTCTAAATGAGTTTATATTTATGAGTGATCTTGTAACACACACAATTTTAATTCCTATGCAAACACTTTTTGCTCGTATTATACTAGGCAAGTGTGGTTAATAAATAGGAAAAACAAGTTATTTCACTGTGCTTTTTAATCTCAGCATCAGATTGATGTTGATATTCTGCTATCCTGTCAATACATTATCTAAAACAATAAAAACAGCTGCGTTTTATATATAAAAGTGGCTCCCACTGGGTACCGTGGCCCATGGCTGTAATCCCAAAGTTTTGGGAGGCCAAGCAGTATGAATTGCTTGAGGCAAGAGGATCAAGACCAGCTTGGGCAATACAGTGAGACCGCCTCTCACAGTAGTAGGGAAGACATAAGTAAAACTCAGTCATGACTGGCTTGAGTTGTTTAATGTTGGCACTAATTAGCACAGCAAAATGGGTGGTGCTAATCTTTTAATTTCCTGCTTGGTTTACGAATATTTGGATTATATTAGTGCAGTAATAGAGTTAGAGTACCTAGTTATAATTCCATATTTTTAACATCATCTCTAATGTTATAGCCTAGGTTTTCATTAGCATAGGTTTGTTATAGCATAGGTTTATGTTATAGCCTAGGTTTTCATTAATAAAATCTCTGGAGTGAAGCAGCTGCTGCTGAAATTTGGGGGCAAATAACTGCAGCCTGCTGGGAATAGGACTTCTAAAAGGAAGTATGTCTGGAAGGCTGTGGCCCAAGGCCTTTTCTGCTGGCTAAAAGCAGGGTCTCCAGAACCAAAGGAAACACACAGCTCTTGTTAAAATTGAAGATGTTGACGCATGAGGTGAAACAGAATTCTCTTTGGGCAAGAGATGTGCTTATGTACATAAAACAAAGAACAACACAGAGACTCCTGGCGGCAAACTAAACAAAGCCAGAGTAATCTGGGCCCATGGAAACAGTGGCATGGTTCGTGCCAAATTTCAAAGCAATCTTCCTGCTGAGACCATTGGACACAAAATCTGAGTGATGCTGTACCCCTCAAGGATTTAAACTAACGAAAAGTCAATAAATAAAAGCGGATTTCTGCTCTTGAAGAAAAAAAGAAAATCTCTGCAGTTTTTATAAAAATTAGTATCTATGACATTTAAAATTATATGACCCCACAGAAACTCAAACGTATCATTAAAGTGGCATTACAAAGTAAAGAGAAAAGGAAGAACAATTAATAGATTTCCTAAAGAGAAAAAAATCCAGTCAGTGTATTTCGAGGGCAAGGTTAAGCAAGATACGACGCACCTTGCTTAACCTTACCGTCCAAATACACTGACTGGAATCGTTGCTTTCTTGATGGAAAGAAAAAACTCAGTTGACCATATGAAAATAGGAACATTCAAGTACCATAAACATCTGGGGAAAAAAAAAAACCCTTTACTATGAAGACATATTAAAAACTTTTTTTTTTTTTGCTTATCCAGATGGCTAAGATTTGAGAAATTAAAATTCATGGCTGGCAAAGTTGTGACAGAATAGACACACAGTGGGGTATACGGTTCTATAAATTTCCTAGAGAACTATTTGGAATATTGTGAAAAAACATTAAAATGCTCATATACTTTGAGGAAAAAAATCACTCCTAGTAATTATAACAAAAAGAAACAACCTTTTATTGACAAAGAAAGATATTCACTCCAGGATTATTTATGAGGGGAAAAAAAGCCAAAACAACCTAAATATTCAATGGCAGAGAACAGTCTCTCTCTCTCTCTCTATAGCGTACACATATATAATCGTCATTTATGTAAATATGGTTATGTATACCATGATGGAATAGCATACCTCCACTGAAGTTTTAAAGACTAATGACATGGAGGAAAGCACACAGCATACAATAACTGAAAAGAACAAACCATTAAATAGTATATTTAAAATTTTAAGCACTAACTATAGGCAAGATGTCATGTTAATGTATTATATATTATTAAATCAAATTCCTTCTCAAACCCCCTGAATACATGCTATTTAGTATACGGTACTTTCACAGAAAAGAACATTAAAAGATGACATAAAAAATACTACCAGTGATTACTCAGGGTGGTGAAAATGCGGAAAATATAAAATTTTCTGCAATTTAGTTTTTTCCCACGAGCTTATATTACTTTACTTTTAGAAAAATGGGCTTAACATTAAGTTAACTAAATTCTGTTGCATCACAACTAGTGGGAAATTATTTTTTGGAAAAAAAACAAAACTTCACAATAGAGTCTGTGGTTAAATAACAAGGATTGTTTTTTAAAAACAAAACAAAACAAAAAACAAAAAAACCCCACAAAAATACTGTGCTGTAAATTATCCGAAATCAATTATAATTTAGAACAAACCATACTCACATAATTTTTTTTAAAATAGGCAATTGCTTTTTGAAAAATCTCTTTACCAACAATAAAATTAAGTCTGGCTTCTTTAGAATCTCACTCCCTGATGGCAAAAGAATGAATTTTATAAAAATATGAAAATGAAGAATCACTTAAGAAATTAAAGAACAAGGCAGCATTTATAAGAGGGAACACTTACTTAGGAAGATGCCTTACGAGTACATCTTTGCATATTGGCTGTTCAGCTAAAGTTAGCCAAAATTCACAGGCTTCTAAAGCCACATTTTCATCTTGATCTTGAGTCCTCTGTAGCATGTACTGGAAACACAATATCCTTAATATTAGTCAGTTTAAAAATCACACCATTAGTATCAATTCAGTCCTATTATCAAGCAAGCTTTTGACCTTATGGTTTTCAACCTAGGCAATTTTTTTTTTTTTTTTTTTTTTTGAGATGCAGTCTCACTCTGTCGCCCAGGCTGGAATGCAGTGGCGTGAACTCGGCTCACTGCAAGCTCTGCCTCCTGGGTTCATGCCATTCTCCTGCCTCAGCCTCCCGAATAGATGGGACTACAGGCGCCTGCCACCACACCCGGCTAATTTTTTTGTATTTTTAGTAGAGACAGGGTTTCACCGTGTTAGCCAGGATGGTCTCGATCTCCTGACCTCGTGATCTGCCCACCTCGGCCTCCCAAAGTGTTGGGATTACAGGTGTGAGCCACCGCACCCGGCCAGAATTTGAATTTTTAAAGTTTCCTAGGTGACTATAAAATACAGTTAAATTTAAGAAACACTGATTTAAACTGCTACTCAATGAAAAGTGTTCAGTGAATGTATTGTTTCTGTGTAGTTTTTTTATGATACTACTGAGATTTTTGAAATGTGAATGTTAATCAAATATTAAGCCTTCTTAGAAACATAAAAATTAAGAACTCATTATATATTTCTTAAAATGAAGACTCTACAACTACTCAAGCTGTCTCTTGTATATAGACTTTCACGTATTTAAAGTGACATATACATACTGAAATTATAAAGATAATTTTTCATTTGGGAAGTAGTAGTGACATCTCTTAGTGCGAATATAATTTGTAATTCTCAACAAAATAGATTTCTCATGTCCTCTGGAACACACCAAGCCAAATTCACTCACGTGATTTTCACAACGTACCTGAGGGTAGAAGTGCCAACTAATAGACTGTACACATCCTCTTACGGACTGAAACATCTCACCTAACAAAATATGCCCACACAACAGTGTCATAGGCCAACCCCTATTACATGATACATCATGTCCTACTCTTTTGCTACTGAGTATTGTGGAAGAAAGAACTGTAACATTATAAATTAGGCTCCCCAGCTGTGACCAAGCAACTGATAAAATTTCTTCACTTTAGTTAACACTAAACTTTCAATCAGTCCCGCCTGACTTTTCAAAGAAAAAACAGGCCTACCTCATGCAGCCATGTGTAAAGTTTTAGAACAGGAGTTGCTGCATACCACGAATGCTAGCCTTTTAACAGATCTTAGACTGCAACCTTTAAAAAAGATCCTCTCTTCTCTCCACCATATGGAACTTTGGAAGTGAAAAGGAGGCTCTAGATAACATACTACTTAAAACACTTCCAAAGTTATACAGTATGTACAACTATACCCAGAAATACAAAACTCCCCACAAAGATAACTTATAATTTTAAGACAATTATAACTATTTTATAGTCCCCTTCCCATCCGGTATGTTGTATTTTCTATCTAGTATTTCTCTTAGGGGAAAGATGATGAAAGAGCCTTTAAATTGCCAGTGTTACCTCAACTATATTATGCATGTGAGGAAGCAGGCGATCCATTCGAACTTCGAGCAACATCACAAGTGCTCGGCACACATTTTTCCGTACCTCTGGTTCTTCATCACCAGCTAATGCAAAGAGATTCTGTTGCACAAGAAATAATTTTTTCTAGTTTTAGAAAGGCTTACACACAAGTAATAAGTAATCTGCAAGTTGGTGACATTTAAAGAAACCCTACAAAGGTACCAAAAACTGACTGAATTGGCCTACAATATTAGATTACAAGAATTAAATGTGGAATAACTGACAAAGATTATGATTTTGATAAAAGATGAAGAGCTATTCTTTTCTGATAGAGTACAATCAGCTGTACTTTGAGGAAATTTTTAGTTTTTAAGAAACCATGTCATTAGGACATAGGAGCATTTGTTTGCTCACCCAGAAGCAGAGACAAAAGACTATTCCCTACCAACCCTGATTTTTAAGGTGAGAGGTGGTAATAGATTCAAGATTTATAAAAAGGTGATACAGATTCAATAATCGACAAATATTAGTATACACTGATTTTCTAACTTAACCCTAAACTGATGTTGTTCCATAAAATTAGTAATAAATATTATGCTGTTCCCTACGTCTGCAAGTAAAAAGCAATGTCTGAATGGACAACAGACTATTTTATCTTCAAAACTCTAAGACGTTATTATTCAATTTTACAAATAAGGAAATAAATTAATAGAAGTTAAGTAACTTGATAACCAGCAGAAGATCTGAATCTGGCTTTCATGGAATCAGAGTTCACACACTCATTTCCCTACACCAACAAGCTTCCACTAGAAGAAAAAGACATCTCTCAGAGTGGGGATGTGAGAGGAAAACACAATGAAGCCTTCCTCATGTCACACATAAAGTCTTACTTTATTTACACATACATGTATTAAAAGCAGTAAAACAAGCATTTAAAAAGTTAAGTAACATCCAATGTGTCCCACTGTCTTTTTCCAGGAAATCACAGAAATCCTCTACAAAATGAACCTAAAATCTCATTATAAGAAAGAGGAGAAATTCAACGATCAAATGGGACACTGTGTGAAGTACTATTGCAGCATTTTTAAAATGTTGATTTCCCCAAGTCCTGCTTCCACATTTGACACTCTCAAAACTACGTAGTTCCTGTTTTAATTGTATTTTACATACAAAAGAGCACTATTTTCCCAGCAGGCATTGCCATTAACAGTACATCCTCCATTAAATTTTATTAAAAGATTTCATTAATTTACTCTAGAGAACAGCAACTGGGTTGGGGGTGGGGATACCCAATGCCATCATCTTGCATTTGTCACTTTTGTTACTACTGTCAATGAATACCCAGCTTTGCCAAGGTTATACATTATAGCCATGTACTGGTAACCAATAAACTTTTCATCAATATGTTAGACTTAGCAGACATGATACCATGAAAACAATGGCAAGTGAAGAAAATCAGTTTACTTATTCACTTGGCAAATTGCTATTGAGGGCCTACTATATGTTAGAGGCACTTCCTCCAGAGGTTTACTGTTTTTGTAGGGTAGAGAATTGGCTAAATCCTGTAGGACTATCAAGTAGTAAACAAATATTAACATATTTAATAGTAAAGCAAAATATTTTAAAATGTTAGAAAATGTTTCTGCCTCACTTGCTGAGTACCGTCCTATGAAATTTTTATTTTCAGAGATAATTCAATTTCATTTATTTTAGATTATATTTCCTTATAAGGTGCTGGTATGTCTATCATTGTCCCCTTTATTAAACTGTGAAAGAGTAATACTAAAAGAAAACACCAGGATAATTGCAACAGAAATACTACTATTAATACTTTAATAGCTAACATGAAGTGCCTGCTTACTCTGTGGCAGCCATTGTTCCAATTTACTTATATCAACTAGGTTTATAACAATCCAACAAGGTAGGTCAATTATTGACTCATTTTACAGATGATATAAAGAAAACATCAGTTAAATAAAGCATCTAAGGTTAAAAGCTACTAAACTGAGACGCTGGATTTGAACACCAATAGTCTACTCCAGACCTCTAGTATTATCCACTACATTATACTACCTCTAGACTAGACTGAAAGAAAACACCTTGCAGGCATAAAATTTAAGTATCCCTAGTATCAAACACAGTATCTGTTCCATAGTAGGTAGTAGTCAGTAAAACTATTTAAGACACATTTTGGTTTTAACTTGTAAATGGCTAAAGGATCTTTATGGCTACTACTCTTAGTTTATTGGTAAAAGATGCTCAGAAAGAAGCTGGTCAATTTAAGTGACGAGAAAAAAAGTAACGTAACCCCCCCTACTCTTCCTTATAATTTCCCAACAGTAGTATCAGCAGTCTGACTTCTAAGGGACTTTTAAAATTCCATTTCATGAAAATAAAAGTGAAGGTGCTTAAGGAACTTTAACAATCCTTTTAATTGTTATCAAGTAGCAGAGATTTTGAGAAGAAATTGTGGTGCTTATGGTTCCTGGCCAGAAAATTATGCTCTTTTCTTTCCACTTTTATCAGAAAGTTCAAAATGCCTAAAGAGTCTATTTTTCCTGATGCCTCTAATTTTACAATGGAAACCAATGGAAAATACTGTCCTTGTAGTCTGTGCCTTCAGATTCTACCAAATGAACTTAATCTAACCTCACCAATTTTTCACATTTCAAAAACTGCATGAGCTGAGGGACTTGGTTTCCATATGCAATTTGAACAGTATATTGAAGGAAAAATTTTTAAAGTAGTCAAGATACTAAACATACCCCGCCACCAAAATCAGTGTTTGTAGAATGATACAAGTAGAAAAATTAGTAAAAGTGCCTTCTCAGCTAACAAAAGTTAGTCTATCCCATATCCAGTTTTAATACTATCAGAAATAATTTAATTAAATATTGAGTTTAGAATTATAAATGATTCTTGTTTTAAAGCAAAACTACATGCAGTTAGCATCACCTAACCTTCTCAAAAAAAAAAAGCTGGGGGGTTGGGAGGGAGACAAGAACAAGTCTTACCTCAATAAAAGAATCAATGTGCAACATTAGAGCTTGAGTCCTACTGATGATAAACTGATTGACACATGCAACAGCGTGAGACCTAGAAACAAAGTTTAAAATTTAACATATGCTCATTGTAACTTTGTTCTATCTATAGAAAATTGGTAAAAACATTCCTCCATAAAAATATTATGATATGTCTATCAATATACCCACTAAAAAGAATACGTCAAACTTCTGTATCAACAAGGAAAGAATTTGAATGATATACTAAGTGCAAAACGCAAGCTGCAGAGCAATATGTATTTCTAAGCAACTGAAAAATGTTAGAAAGGACATGTGCAAATTTTTAATAGTGCATACCCATAAAGAGTGGAGGTTGGGGAGGGGCAAAATTTTTTTTTTTAGATGCCTACAGATTTAAAAATGATAGGTAAACATTCCTTTTGAAACTAAAAATGGAGAATAGTCCATGTGTTCTGGCATATGCAATTCAATTGCTCAGCAGTTCTTATTGACACCAACTTTAAAAATTTACTCTTAATCTAATCATTTCTCACTGCTTTCATTTCTCTCAACCAAGCCATGATCTCTGATCTCTTACCAGGGTTAATGAAATAGGCTGTACTTGGTTTCCTGACTTCCATTGTGCCAAACCCCACTACAGCCTGTTTGACACACACAGACCACACTATACTCTCATTCAGATTGCTGCAATAAAACTTAATCTACTTTTTCTACAAAAGGTCAAACAGTAAATATTTTAAGCTTTATGGGCCACATGAAGACCTTTGTTGTCATTTTTTTCCCTCTTAATTACAACCTCTTAAATTTAAAAATCATCCTTACCTTGCAGGTCATGGGCTAAATTTGGCTCCATGGGACATAGTTTGCTGACTACTTGCCTAGACATTCCTTTATACTGTGGCTCCTCCCTTACCCCCTAACTTCAATTCCCATTATGCTGCTACAACCCAAAGTTTCTTTCTTTTGTCACTCTAAAAGGCTGATTCCTAATTCCAGAGACTTCTCACTTGCTGTTCTGTCTTAAACATCCTTCACCATCTTTCATAGACTCACTTCCTTACTTTGTTCAGTCTTTGCACAAACGTTTCCTTTACAGACAGCCATTTACATAAAGTATCTCTGAATCACTGTCTATCCCTGATCTCATTATTTTTCCATTGTACTCATGACTGTATGAAATCATATTACTTATTCATTATCTGTCCTGTCTCCTCTTCTGAAATATAACCCCATGAAAACCTTTCTTTGTCTTAACCACTGTGCCAAAAACAGTTGATTTTTGGTTCTGCAGTTACAGCAAAGCACATAAACATTTACCAAGATAACATTAAGTGAAAAAAGCATACTATGGGGAGCTCAACCCCTTAAATGTTCAACACAGGGTAAGCTACCTATGCTTTAAAGTGTGTTTTTCTCATTCTATAAAACTACTACTGGCTGGGCGCAGTGACTCACGCCTGTAATCCTAGCACTTTGGGAGGCCGAGGCGGGCGGATCACTTGAGGTCAGGAGTTCTAGACCAGCCTGGCCAACATGGTGAAACCCTGCCTCTACTAAAAATACAAAAATTAGCCGGGCCTGGTGGTGCATGCCTGTAATCCCAGCTATTCGGGAGGCTGAGGCAGGAGGCAGGAGAATCGCTTGAACCCGGGCAGCGGAGGTTGCAGTGAGCCGAGATCGCGCCACTGTACTCTAGCCTGGGCGATGGAGAGAGACTCAGTCTCAAAAAAAACCAACTCTGTCTCAAAAACAACAGCAACCTACAATTCATTCATTTGTTGGGGGGATTAAACTACATGAGCTAATATATATGTTAAGTACTTGGCATAGTAAACAAATGGAAAAAAAATACAATAAAGTCTTTTAAAGGGCCTTTAAATCAAGAACAGAAATCTTTTAACTTGCATTTTTTTTGTGTGCATGTAAGGCAAAATTTAAAGGCAGAAATCTCTCCTATCCCCAACCTCCAGAGGCACCTACTACTAGCCTCCCCAAACCATTTTTAGAAACTTGGGAACAGTTAGGACTTACATTTTAAATTAAAAGAAACAGTGTGACGTGCTTTCTTTGGAAGTTTAATATAGTTTCTATACATCAGCAATGAAGGAAAAAACTAGAAAGTGTAACTTAAATGCTACCATTTACAATAGTATCATAAGACCAAGTAAGTGCCTGGGAATACATTTAATATGTAATATGTTCAAGGCCTCTAAAAAGAAAAGTAGAAAACTTCATTAAAAACAAGCAATTGGCTGGGCACGGTGGCTCACGCCTGTAATCCCAGCACTCTGGGAGGCTACGGTGGGCGGATCACCTGAGGTCAGGAGTTGGAGACCAGGCTGGCCAACATGGTGAAACCCCATCTCCACCAAAAATAAAAAATTAGCTGGGAGTGATGGCATGCGCCTGTAATTCCAGCTATACTTGGGAGGCTGAGGCAGGAGAATCGCTTGAACCTGGGAGGTGGAGGTTGCAGTGAGCAGGGATAATGCCATTGCACTCTAGTGTGGGAGACAAGAGTGAAACTCCGTCTCAAAAAAAAAAAAAAAAAAAGCAATTAGTATTGTGAAAATGACTATTTCTTCTAAATTGATCCACAGATTTAATGTTATTCCAACGTAAATTCCAACAAGGCTTTTCATAAAACTTGACAACTGTAGAATTTATAAGGAAGAGAAAAGGCATTCCTACTGTCCTACTGAAAGCTCTAAATATCATTTCCCAATAAAAGGAATCAGATCTAGGCCAGAAATACAGATGATAAACTTGGAATGCTATGGATATCTGTGTATATAAAAATAAAACTTCCTTGTATTGATTTCTGGTGATCAAAGGCAATAACAAAGGCAGAATAATTACTCATGTCACATATTCATAATCAATATCAATTTGTTAATTAGATCTGTCTGATACTATATAAATGGCATTTGTTTGTGAAGAATGAATTTTTCTCCAATATGATCTCTTCCTTATAGATTATAAGAAAATATTCCCCCAGAAGCATCTGAGGTATTTAGTAAGCTCAGAGTAATTCTGTTAAATCATGTATATTTTCAATTCTAATTTCTCATCCTGAAAGTCTGCATATTCCAGGTCAAATTCTGATTTTTAGCCTTTCTTCAACTCATATTTTTATAAGGTAAAACTGTCTTTATTTATTTTTTTGAGATGGAGTCTCACTCTGTCACCCAGGAGGGAGTGCAGTGGCGCAATGTCAGCTCACCACAACCTCCGCCTCCTGGGTTCAAGTGATTCTCGTGCCTCAGCCTCCCAAGTAACTGGGATTACAGGTGCATGCCACCATGCCAGGCTAACTTTTGTATTTTTAATGGAGGTAGGATTTTGCCATGTTGGCCGGGCTGGTCTCAAACTCCTGACCTCAGGTGATCCACTCGCCTCAGCCTCCCAAAGTGCTGGGATTACAGGTGTGAGCCACTACGCCCTGCCATTTATTATTTTAAAAGTTCTGCCAATTTTATATGTTGTAAAACTGTAGGCCTTATTTTCATTCCATTCTGGGACATAATATAAATTTACCTTATAAATAGGAGTAACGTTACCCAAAATTTTTTTCAAGTTGAGATAAGCCAGAACACAATAAAAATACGGAAAAATTATCTTAATATAGTTTGAGCTGTTTGTACAACTCTTTCCTTGCTGTGTAGAAATTCATTGCAATATGTTATAAACTTTTTTTATTTTGAGATGGAGTTTTGCTCTTGTTGCCCATGCTGGAGTTGCAATGGCACGATCTCGGCTCACTGCAACCTCCGCCTCCCGGGTTCAAGTGATTCTCATGCCTCAGCCTCCCGAGTAGCTAGGATTACAAGCACCCGCCACCACGTCCAGCTAATTTTTTGTATCTTTAGTAGAGACAGGGTTTCACCATGTTGGCCAGGCTAGTCTTGAACCCCTGACTTCAGGTGATCCACCGCGCCCAGCCTAAACTTTAAGTAACTGCAACTTGTTAAAAAAAGAAAAAAGCCTCAAACACTCCAATTTTTGCTCTAAGATATATCAGAATTCAATTTGAAGCTTTAGTCATGAAACAGCAATAGAATAAAATAGAGGGCCCATTAATACACCTATGCACGCATATAACTAAGCATATAACAGAGGTGACATTTTAAACTGATGGGGAGAAGGGACTATAAAATAAATGTGACAGCAAGAAAAAGTTACATAAATGGAAAAGACAGAATGTTTATCTACCCCATAACACACCCACAAATGCCTGATATATTATTTTGTGTTTTTTTTTTTTTTTTTTTTTTTTTTTTGAGACGGAGTCTTGCTCTGTCATCCAGGCTGGAGTGCAGTGGCACAATCTCAGCTCACTGCAAGCTCCGTCTCCCAGGTTCATGCCATTCTCCTGCCTCAGCCTCCCGAGTTGCTGGGACTACAGGTGCCCGCCACCATGCCCGGCTAATTTTTTGTATTTTTAGCAGAGGCGGGGTTTCACCATGTTAGCAAGGATGGTCTCGATCTCCTGACCTCGTGATCCGCCTGCCTCGGCCTCCCAAAGTGCTGGGATTACAGGCGTGAGCCACCGCGCCCGGCCATATTAAGCTCTTAAATGTCAAAAAGCCCTTAACATTTTAAACTCTTAGTAAAGACAAAAAAGGATTAAGATATTCTCTACACACATAACTGATAAAGGATGAGAATTCCTGTAAATCAATGGAGTACAAATAACCTAGTAGAAAAAAGGAAGAGACAACAACAAGATAAAGGCAATAAACATACAAGATCTTCAACATCATTAATGATAGCAAAGTATTATCAAGACCATAATGAAACACCAAATATCTATTTGATTGGCAACACTTAAAAAATATGCTAATTGTCATGCAATGGAATATTACAGAGGAGTCAAAATGAGCTATAGTGATTCAGTACAGATGAATGCAACATAACATTAAAGTTGCCTATGTCTACATTCAGTACTGTGCAGTTCTTACAATGCTAAAAACTAAGATATATCTCACCCTTTGCATATGCATGCAATAAAATTATCTATCAAGAAATGTAAGGGAAGTATGAAATTGTGACTTAGATGTAGACTGTTGTCAAGGTCTTCATTTTGTTTCAGGTGGTGGATCTGATTGCTTATGTTATTAAAAATAATATATAACTAAAGGCTAAATACGAGTAGGCCATGATGAGAATGTCATCAACTAAGAATAATTCAATTCTGAGTACCTCAAGTCTGATAAAATGGTTCTTATTTTTAAATTGCTTAGTCACTGCCTATAGAACTAGGCAATATAGTTTCCTATACTCTAATTTTATATTCTTGAAGTCCAACAGTTACGTTGAGAGAGAACGCTTAAGAGTACATAGTAAATGTCAGTTAAACTACATTAATAAGGTATTAAATAATGTAGAATATCATATTAAAGATGGATGATACATTTAGTATATATTTACAGTAGATAGTTATTACCCAAATATACATTAAAGAGAAAAATGCTAAAAGTATGTACAACAGAATCTCAAATGGGTATTAATCAACATTCATGGAAAGGAATTTTTTTTTTTCAGGCAGGGTCTTATTCCATCACTCAGGCTAGAGCACAGTGGCTCACTGCAGCCTTGAATTCCTGGGTTCAACTGATTCTCCTGCTTGAGCCTCCAGAGTAGCTAGGACTATAGGCACATACACCACTACACTCAGCTAATTTTTTAAACTTATTTTTTGTAGAGAAAGGGTCTTGCTATGTTGCGTAGGCTGGTCTCTAACTCCTGGCCTCAAGCAATCCTCCTGCCTCAGCCTCCCAAAGCGCTGTGATTTTAGGTGAAATATTTCTGAATTGCTCTACTTTACCTAACATTTTAATCAAATGACCATCTACAAAATAAAAATCGTGAAAAAATATTTATTAATATTTAATATCCAGCAATGGTGTATCGATTACCAGAAATATGATTTTTGAATTTTTTCTGTTTTTCTTTTTTGAGACAAGGTCTCATTCTGTCGCCCAGGCTGGAGTGCAGTGGTACAATCTCAGTCCACTGCAACCTCCTTCTTCTGGGCTTAAGCAATCCTCCCACCTTGACCCTTCAAGTAGCTCGGACCACAGGTGTGTGACACCATGCCCAGCTAATTTTTATATTTTTTGTACAGATGGGGTCTCATCACGTTGCCCAGGCTAGTCTTGAACTCCTGAGCTCAAGCGATCCACCCACCTGGGCCTCCCAAAGTGTTAGGATTACAGGTATGAGCCACCAGGCCCAGCTGTTTTTTTATTACTGAGAATCAGTCACAAAAAGTGAAGTATGTATATTGCCACATTTTCATTATCTTAGTTAAAATGTTAAAAGGGGGAAACTTCCTGGAAACGTGAACTCCTATCCAGTTAACTATGCCAGAAATAACAACATTATTATAATGTTGTAATAATGGAAAACCAAATACCTGCATGTTCTCACTTATAAGTGGGAGCTAAACATATGGTACACCTCGACATAAAGATGGGAACAACAGCCACTGGGGAATATAAGAAGAGGGAGGGAGAGGGCCAAACTAGCTAATGGGTACTATGGTTACCACCTAGGTGATGGATTCATTTGTACTCTAAACCCCCAGCATCCACGCAATACGCCTTTGTAACAAACCTGCACATGTATCCCGATTCTAAAATCAAAGCTAAAAAAACAAAAACAAAAACAAAAAACCCACAACTAATCCTGGCCTTAAATAAAGGAAGTTAGAAGATGCCTGTTAACTATCATGAATATAATTAACCACTGTAAAAGGCACAAAACTTTTATCATGTTTAACAAAAATTTCCTCACAAAGAGTCAACATTTCACAGGTTTTGTTACTGAAGTAGTCAATTTCAATTACATAAGTTCACCTCTCTGGAACATCCAATATCTTTTGATCTTTTGCTAATGTCAAAAATATTAGGTAATGAAAACTAAGATAATGGTCAGGTTTATATCACAGTTAATCAATTAGTACTGGCAATATAAGTACCTTATTTTTGGACTACTATGCTTGAAGAACTGTAAAAATTTGGGAATCATGATGTTGAGAGGACGATCTAAAACATCACTGTCTAAAATCTCAGCAGAATCTTCACAAATCTTCTGAAGGGCACCAAATGCTCCCTGTAAGAGACACATTTAAATTATCAGAATTTGTTAAAAATGAAGCCATTTGAAAACAAACTGAAGAATGCTGATTAATTTGTATGGACTAATGTTCTCAGCCCACATAAAATGCCTTCTAAAATCCATAAATTTAATCCTTCAATTTTTTTTTTTTTGAGACGGAGTCTTGGTGTGTCGCCCAGGCTGGCAGTGGCACCATCTCGGGTCACTGCAACTTCTGCCTCCCGGGTTCAAGTGACTCTCCTGCCTCAGCCTCCCGAGTAGCTGGGATTACAGGTGCCTGCCATTGTGCCCGGCTAAGTTTTGTATTTTTTGTAGAGATGGGGTTTCACTGTGTTGGCCAGGCTGGTCTCAAACTCCTGACCTCAGCTGGTCCGCCTGCCTCAGCCTCCCAAAGTGCTGGGATTACAGGCATGGGCCACCATGCCCGCTCTAATATTCAATTTTAAAACAAATTATTATATCATCGAGTATGTAAAAATCTCAGTTAAAATACAAGGGTATATTTTAGTTTTAGCATTAAATGACTTAGAAGTGGAGGATATTTTGGTTGGCAGGAATTAAATATCAGTTTGTTTAAATTAAATATAAAACTCTACATTTACATAGAAGAGTAGTTAACCACTGTAATACTTTTCTTTTTGAAGCACAGAGAGGTCATTAATACCATTAAAAAGTTACTTAGGCCAGGTGTGGTGGCTCAAGCCTGTAATCCCAGCACTTTGGGAGGCCGACGCGGGTGGATTACCTGAGGTCAGGAGTTCAAGACCAGCCTAGCCAACATGGTGAAACCCTGTCTCTACTAAAAACAAAAAAATTAGCTGGGCGTGGTGGTGCATGCCTGTAATCCCAGCTACTCTGGAGGCTGAGGCATGAGAATCACTTGAACCTGGGAGGCAGAGGGTGCAGTGGGCCGAGATGGCACCACTGCACTCCAGCCTGGGTGACAAAGCAAAACTCTGTCTCAAAAAAAGGAAAAAAAAGTTACTTACATATAGAAAAAAAAAGTTACTTACATATAAAAGTATTCACTGGGTAACTGGTGACAAAATCTGTTGCAAGGGCAGGCAGTGCAAATTGGCAACCATTTTCCTATAATCATTTTAATACTAAAGGGGATAATCCAGAGACTTTGTACATAACATGTAACCTACTAGTTACCCACCCACCTACTTTACTGTTTATACTATATAATTCCATCAGCGGCAACTTGATGCTTATTCTCCATAGTACAGTTTTAAAGTGTCCAACAGAAGGTAAAATCCTTTAAGGAAACTACCCAACATCCTTTTAGATTTTATAATATCTTAAAAATATTAAATCTGAAAATATTTTTAAGTCTAAAATTTAATCAATATATTAAATTTCAAACTTCAATTTAATATGCATTAAATATCAGGAATTTTAATTAACATGCTAAAATAGTCATATTCAATTGTTAAGGTTTTTTTTTTAAAAAAGCTTTACTTCTGAAAGCCTATTACATCAAATTAAATGTGAACTTGTTACCCATGTGGCAATTAAAAATTTCAAATAAGAACAAACATTTAGCTATCACTCCATACCAACATCTGGAAAACCACTATCTTTAGTTCAGATGGATGGGAATATTGTTTATTTACAGTATGACTTCTATGTAGTACACTAGCTCAACAATTTCACAATTACTGCAGCTTAAATTTTTTATTCTTGGAAAGCACTTGCTTAAAATTTTGATCTTCTTTTATGTTATTACCATCACACCAAAGCACTATTTAAATGCAATCAACTGTCACATGATGACTTATTATTTAGCTTTTCTGTAATCTGTAATCTTATCAGTGTATTTCCAAAGCCTTTTTTTTTTTTTTTTTGAGATGGCTGGAGTGCAGTGGTGCAATCTCAGTCCACTGCAATCTTCGCCTCCTGGGTTCAAGCAATTCTCCTGCCTCAGCCTCCAGAGTAGCTGAGATTACAGGCATTCGACACCATGCCTGGCTAATTTTTGTATTTCAGTAGAGATGGGGTTTTACCATGTTGGCCAGGCTGGTCTCTCAAACTCCTGACCTCAAATGATCCACCTGCCTCAGTCTCCCAAAGTGCTGGGATTACAGGTGTGAGCCACCACAGCCTCCTGAGTAGCTGGGACCACAGGCACACATCACACCTGGCCAATTTCTTCTAATAGGGTTTTACCATATTGCCCAGGCTGGTCTTGAACTCATGCAATCCACCCACCTAGGCCTTGGGATTACAGGTGTGAGCCACCATGGCGGATAGTTTCTTTTTTCCCTTTTAGGTTAGGTTATTCCTGTGGGGTTTTTTTGTTGTTGACAGGTTATTCCTGTGCCTGCCCTGCCTTCAACCTCCGCTCTTTGAGAGGTATAGGAGTCGATGCTTTACAGAGTCAAAACACCAAATATGGTTTCCACAAAAAATAGATTTCTACCCAAATTGGAAGCCTGCTAATTAAAGAGATACTTACTGTATCCACTAACCATGAGAAATCATCCTCTCTCCCCAAACAAAAAGGATGCTAGTGATCTAATCAGTGGCAAAAAAACCCCAAAAAAACAACAAAAAAAACCACACACACACACACACACACACACACACACACAAAAACCCACAGGTCAGAGTTAATGTATGATTACAACGAAGACAATGGTCCGGCGCAGTGGCTCACACCTGTAATCCTAACACTTTGGGAGGTTGAGACAGGTGGATCATTTGAGTCCAGGAGTTCAAGACCAGCCTGTCCAACATGGTGAAACTCTGTCTCTACTAAAAATACAAAAAAATTAGGCGGGCGTGGTGGCTCATGCCTGTAATCGCAGCTACTCGGGAGGCTGAGGTGGGAGAATCACTTGATTCTGGGAGGCAGAGGTTGCAGTGAGCTGAGATTGCACCACTGCACTTCAGCCTGGGCAACAGAGCGAGACCCTGTTTGAAACAAACAAACAAACAAAAAAAACGAAGACAAGTTTAGTGAAGTGCAGTGGCTCATGCCTGTAATCCCAGCACTTTGGGAGGCTGAGGCTGGAAGATTTCTTGAGCTCAGGAGTTCAGGGTCAGCCTGAACAACAGCGCGACCCCATCTCTACCAAAAAAAAAAAGAAAAAATTAGTCTAGCATGGTAGTACATGCCTGTAGTCCCCACTACTTTGGGAGGCTGACGTAGGAGGATTGTTTGAGCCCAGGAGGTTGAGGTGAGCTATGATGGTGCCACTGCACTCCAGCCTGGGAAACAGAGTGAGACCCTGTCTCAAAAAACAAAAACAAAAACAAAAAACACAAGTTCAGCATCCCTTAGATATCTCATATAAGAGGCATAAAAACAATTTAGAGAAGCTAAAAAAGTACTCATGGTCCAGGAATTTGGTAAATTTCATTCTATCTTTAACTGATTAGGCTTGACAAAAACTGTATATTACATACATATACATCCAAGAATAATTTTAGAACAGAAAAGCAAGATACGTCCTTGTGTGAAATACAGTAAAAGAGGTTTATAATGTAACAGTTTTTATAGAAAAATAAATGATTTACAAATGTAATATAACACAAAGGTAACTTTAGGTTTCTAAGTTTTGAGAAGCTGTATGTTTCAGAGGAACTATTTTTCCCAAAAGCTGCTAATACACAACATGACAAGAAAAACAGAAAACACCCAATTATGTATGAAACAAATATCCTTACCTCACAGGTATTATAATCTTCAGAATCCAACAGGCTACAGAGTTTTGGTAAGAGGTCAGGCCAATTCTGCAATTCTCCCTTGGAGGCTATAGTTGTGATCAAAATACCTTGAACAAAAACACACTTCTTTAGGAAATCCAACAGCATTATGTCAGGCATTGCCATGTGAGCAACTGTGTGCACAAACACATTTTATGTAAATAATAACATTTGGCCAGGCATGGTGGCTCATGCTGTAATCCCAGCATTCTGGGAGGCCGAGGCGGGCAGATCTCTTGAGCCCAGGAATTCCAGACCAGCCTGGGCAACATGATGAAACCCTCTCACTACTAAAAATACAAGAAAATCAGCTGGGCGTGATGGTATGCGCCTGTGATCCCAGCTATTCAGGAGGCTGAAGTGAGAGGATCACCTGAGTCAAGGAGGTCGAGGCTGCAGTGAGCCATGACTATGAGACCACACTCATGCCTGGGCAGAGTGAGACCCTGTCTCAAAAAATTAGTAACACTCACCACCAACACCCATATCACCATTCCGTACCTTGTGGAAAAAAAACCTCACATAAACCAGATCTGTTTCTAATAGTGTTTTTCAACATTTCACCCTCTAAGGTTTTTTGAGTTAAATTTACCAAGTATAAGAATGCAACTTCTTTTTCTGCCATAATACCAAGAATAGCTCCACCAATTAAAATTAATTCTAATGGCTGGGCACGGTGGCTCACACCTGTAATCCCAGCACTTTGGGAGGCCGAGGTGGGTGGATCACATGAGGTTGGGAGTTCAAGACCAGCCTGACCAACATGGAGAAACCCCATCTCTACTAAAAATACATAACTAGCCGGGCATGTGGTGCATGCCTGTAATCTCAGCTACTCAGGAGGCTGAGGCAGGAGAATCGCTTGAACCCGGGAGGCGGAGGTTGCAGTGAGCCGAGATCACGCCACTGCACTCCAGTCTGGGCAACAAGAACGAAATTCTGTCTCAAAAAAAAAAAAAAATTCTAATTTATCCATACAAAAGAGTAGAAAGAAAATATGCCAAAACGTTAGCAGCACTTAACACTGGGTGATAAACTTATGAGTCTGTTAGGTTCAAATAAAAGACACATTAAGAAGCTAAAAATAGCTCCCTGACTTAATCTGGAACCAGAGCCAAGGACCATGGTAGGAAAAACTTAAGCAGATGAGTATCACTTGAGAATAATCCTGTATGTTTCACTGCTTACAACACTCTCCCTCATGTAGGCAGGCTACATACTCCTACAACAGTTCCCACTTACTGGATCAAGAATGAGTCGCCAGAAAGGCGATCTTCGAGGCTGGGTGGCCCATGCTCACTGATCATGTTGTTCTGACTGAATGGATTATCTCAACTGTGTTATGCAGTAGAGTTGTGATAGTCAATGAATTATGCAAATACACACAAATGTAAGGAAAGTTTTGTGTTAACACAAACACAAGGACAACAGAAAGGTTTCGTGTTAATATTTTTTTCTGCCTTAGTAAACATATTAGTGATATAATATGCTTAGTGATTATGGATCTTTTAGTGCCAGAAGAGTATAAGCTCTGACAATAGGCAAATTATATGCATTCTAAGCTGCAAAATATGAGTGTACAAAAATGAAAAAAGAAAACTCTTCATAGGGTTATTTTGAAAATTCAATTGGATATATAGAAAATGCCTGGCATCTAGTAAACACTCAATGACTATCACTGAACAGCAAATATCACCATGTGTATAAATTTTCTACCTTTAGTTCTGAGAAGGTTGCTCTCAATGATAAAGAACTAAAAAAGAATCTAGAAAGTAAAGCTCCCGGCAAATTTATTCTCCACACACAAAAAAATTAAATTGTATAGTAAGAATTAATGTACTGATAGCATTTTCAAGATATAGCCCTTACAATAAAATAGCCTTCCATTAAGATCCAAAAGCAGCAAGATCTGATCGTTCCTGCAAATTAGTCTTTCCTAAAGTTAAAATATAAAAGAAATAAGGGAATGAGCAAGATCTGGATCTGTCTAAAAGAAACCAAGCATAACTTAATATTTCTCAGTATTTATAACAAATACGGGAATGAAATCAGTGTGCTTGGCAACACCTATTAAAATCTTAAAAATGTTTAAACACACTTTGACCCAATAATGCCAAATACACAAATTAATCCTATAGAAATCTTCCTGTAATTGTACAAACATACACAAGAGAATATTCATTGAAATAATAAAATTACAAACAAACTGTATACTCTCTAAACAAGAGAAACATCTTTACTTCATCTGATGAATTACCCCACAGTCATTCAGATGTGGTCCCTTCCAAATAGACTTCCTTGATAAGATTCCCAACATGTATTGTTAAGGTTAATAAAAATTTTAAAAGCCAAAGCTGCTAGTCTATTTTTATAATCAGTAATCTTTTAATTAAAATATTTAAATATTGTATATATTATTAGTAGATGCTAAGAAATACAAAAATAACACATGGTCCTTTCCCTCAAGGAGCTCAGTCAGGCACTCCCTGACCCCAACACGTGGCATGGTCTAGAGACATTTTTGGTTGCTACAGCAGGGTATGTGGCTGCTGCTGGTATCCAGTGGGTAGAGGTCAGGTGTGCTGATTAACATCCTGTAGTGCACAGACAAAATAGCCCAACAACAAAGAATTATCCAGTCCAAAATGTCAAGTGCTGAGGTTGGAAAACTCTGGTCTAGAGGAACAGAGTCCTACATCAACTGATAATGTAGAGTCAGAGTACTTGCACTACTATACATATACCAAGAATTTTCTGTGAAGGTTAGTAAGTGATGAAGAGTCTGTTGCCAATTCTTAGAGATGATTTTCAGAAACTCCAAAAAATTATTTCACTTAAAAATATGTTCCTAGAAGTGTTTTAAATCTTTTTCTCATGTAAACTAAGATTAGGCAATTTGGGTGATTAAAAAAAAAAAAAAAACCTTCCCAGATTTGTTGGAAAGCACCAATGTGTTTAAATAACTCATCAATTTTCCTGAAGCAAAACAAACAAAACAACAACAAAACTATAAAATACTTTAGAGTCTTTTTTTTTTTTGAGACGGAGTCTCACTCTGTCATCCAGGCTGGAGTGCAATGGCGCGATCCTGGCTCACTGCAAGCTCCGCCTCCCGGGTTCATGCCATTCTCCTGCCTCAGCCTCCAGAGTAGCTGGGACTACAGGTGCCCACCACCACACCCGGATAATTTTTTGTATTTTTAGTAGAGACGGGGTTTCACCATGTTAGCCAGGATGGTTTCGATCTCCTGACCTCGTGATCCGCCCACCTTGGCCTCCCAAAGTGCTGGGATTACAGGCATGAGCCACCGCACCTGGCCAATACTTTAGTCTTAATGCTGTGCCCCCAAAATAATTTCTCCCCTCTTTGGGAAGAATCTGTCAATCATACTTTCCACCACCTTCACTAATACATATCAAAAAGTGGGGTGGAGGTGGGTGTGAAGGCAGGAGGGACAAAAACGAACTCATTTTTAGCTAACTTATTTCAAGCTCATAGCTGTTTTATCTAGTTAATATTACAGACTTTTTAAAATAGAAAATTTCACATACATATATAAAAATAGAAAAATATAATGAACTAAATGTATCCATTAACTAGCTTCAGCAGTCATTAATACATGGTCAATCTTGTTTCATCCATACTTCTACCCACAACCACCTTCACATTCCTAATTGCTTTTTTATCAAATCCTAGACATCATGTCATTTGAAAATACACTGCAGTTATGTTTGAAGCTCCTTCATCTGTAGTAAAGCAACTAAATAAAAGCTGTTTCTATACTGAAAACTGCAGTGGTCCCTCACAATTAGAATACTTAAGTATCTACTTAACATAAACTAAAATGAAAGACCTTTCGTATTCTACTAATACACAGCAAGAAATAAAAATGCCTACATAAGTCAATTTCACCAATCTCTGTTTTAAAATAAGTCAGATGATACCTAAGTGCTTAAATAATTCCAAAGATAAAGTCAGCTCCTAAACATGTTCAAAAACCTTATGGAAGGTGAAAGTACTCATTAGGAGATAAAACCAATTCTTCTCTCCCTAGTATTATTACTTCTAACCTTTCAAATTTAAAGACACAGAGTATTGTAGTTTGAACCAAATGGCACTTAAAGATAGGTTTATAATGAAATACAGTTTAGGAAGAAACAATCTCATAACTCGTTTCTATATCCTCTCCTTTCCTTTCAGCTGAGTTGCCAACACTCAGAGGAAACCCACCTTCCTTCTAAATTCCATTCCACTTACGTATGGAGATTTCTCTCCTGGATCCGAAATGGAAAAGGCTGGCACACGCTCACCATTCTTTTTAACAGTGTCAAGAGTAGGTAAAGCCTTAAGGTACGTAAGAGTACATTAGAGTAATCTAGGGAGTTCTTTTTCTCAAACCACAAATGTCCTCTACCCATCAAATGTAAAATCAGTGTCAATGATGGCACTGTTTAATACAAGAATATCTGCAGGGAGGTCATAGAGCCAATGCTTTGTAAGTAAGAGATAAATATTTTTCAAACCCACAAGACAAAACAGGAACTCTTTTTTTTTTTTTGAGACAGATTTTCGCTCGTCACCCAGGCTGCAGTGCAATGGCGTGATCTCAGCTTACTGCAACCTGCACCTCCCGGGTTCAAGCAATTTTCCTGCCTCAGGCTCCCAAGTAGCTGGGATTACAAGCACACGCCACCACACCTGGCTAATTTTTTTGTATTTTTAGTAGAGACAGGGTTTTACCATGTCAGGCTGGTCTCGAACTCCTGACCTCAGGTGATCCATCCGCCTCAGCCTCCCAAAGTGCTGGGATTACAGCGTGAGCCATCGTGCCCAGTCAGGAACTCTTAATGAAAGCATCTGACTCATTTAACGGACTTTCATTTAACCAGCCTGGGTAGATTAACAGAAGCTTTCCAGGTCCTTGTAGAAGTTAGCTGCTTAAGCCCATGGTATACTAAAGGCTGCCCATTAGTACGCTCCTCTTCAGTATGGCTATTTATTACTGCTTCCATTGGTTGGCAAATTGTGTTAACCAATAGCCAGTTGTGTGTGTTTCCAAATAGATTTATACGAGTTACTATAATTAAGCATGTTAATTCAGTATTACATAAGCTAACAGAAAGTTGTACTGCCCCTGAAAATAAGCTGAACGCTCTGAAAAGACTAAAAAGTTGCTGCTGAATTACTGACAAGGCTTATATTTAAAAACAAGGGAGAAAATAGTAAAAATCTAGAATCCTATATACACTTAGGTTTTTCATAAGCAATTAAAAAGTATTTCTTCACATGTAAAAGTGAAACAAGAAATTATGCATCATGCTAGGCAGAAAATAGGAACTCCAAGCCAGGCGCCATGGCTCAGGCCTGTAATCTCAGCACTTTGGGAGGCTGAGGCAGGCGGATCACCTGAGGTCAGGAGTTATAGACCAGCCTGGCCAACATGGTAAAACCCTGTCTCTACTAAAAAGTACAAAAATTAGCCAGGCATGGTGGCGGGTGCCTGTAATCACAGCTACTCGGGAGGCTGAGGCAGGAGAATCGCTTGAATCCAGGAGGCAGAGGTTGCAGTGAGTCAAGATTGTGCCACTGTACCCCAGCCTGGGCAACAGAGACTGCTTCAAAAAAAAACAAAAAAACAAACAGAACTCTAATCTGCATGCTCAAGAAAAAGTAGTGTCCGCAAATTAATATCACTTGTTGATGCCCCATTTTAACCAACTCTGATTAGGCTAAGTTTGATCAGGCTCTCCTCTTATCCAGGGTCACTAGTTTCACTGGATGAGAGCGCTTTTACCATGATTACACCATTTCAAAAGCATTTAAAGGCAATGAAAGTTTCCCCAACACAATTTAACATGAAACAGACAAAAATTCCTAAGGAAATAATCTGTCATCTCTAAAAATGACCCAGTTACAAACAAAGTAAGCAAAACTGTTGTAATATAACTTACCAACAGTGGCTCTAATCAGAGGAGAGGAGTCACCAATATTATTTAAACATTCACTTTTAATAAAGTCTGTTACACCATTTGGGAAGTTCTGAAAGTGTGCTTTCACATTATTCTTCAAGATAAGACCACTCAATGATCTTGTGGGTTCATCTGTAATAAAATAGTAATAGTAATGAGTTTTGAAGTAGTCTTAATTTCAAAATGTGCCGATAAGTTTTAAAAACATTTATATTCAAAAGTTGATTGACATTCAAACTTGCTATAACCAGTTAAAATAATTATAACTGATTAACAAAAGATTAGCTCTATCATTTATAGCTCAGGGTTTTTCAACCTTGACATACTGACAATTATTTGTTGGAGGGTGCTGTCCTGTGCATTTTAAGATGTTAAGTAGCATCATCAGCCACAGATGCCAGCAGCACCCCTCCAAGTTGTGTTAACCAAAAATGTTTCCAGATAATGTCAAATGTTTTCTGGGGGTTAAAATTGCCAGTGGTTGAGAACCACTGATTTAAGAGTTAATTTCGTTTATATATATGGCCACTGTGCTCAAGCTTTATTGTTTCCTGATATACACATCATTATAGAGCTGGAAGTACTAGTCTTAAACATATCCTATTAAAATTTTGTTGCTGGTTTTTTTTTTTAAGGCTGGGCGTGGTGGTTCATGCCTGTAATCCCAGCACTTTGGAAGGCCAGGAGTTCGAGACCAGACCGGCCTACATGGTGAAACCCCGTATCTACTAAAAACCCCCAAATTAGCCAGGCATGGTGGTGTGTGCCTTTAATCCAAGCTGCTTGGGAGGCGGAGGCAGGAGAATCACTTGAACTCAGAAGGCAGAGGCTGCAAGCAGAGAAGCCAAGATCATGCCACTACACTCCAGCCCAGGCGACAGAGTGAGACTGTCTCAAAAACAAAAAAAAAATTTTTTGAAATCATTTTCCTCCAGTGTCAAAAAAATATAATATTGAAAAATTAAGTGGACAAAGAATATATAAGACCTTCATGTAACAAATATAATTGCTGTTAATTTATATCATGTTTTTCATTTGCCTCTGAACTTAAAAGCAAAAAAATACCTCCAAAAACATTTAAAAAGAGTTTTCTTAAAATAAGTTTAATCCATAGATAGTATTTACAAATTTTCAAAAAGCTACTTAATACTAGTAGAACATAACTGACGGCTTTACCAGTTGGCATCAACACCAACAATATTAGCAATAGTTAACATCTTCGAAATGCTTATGATTTATTAAACATTGCTAAGTGCTTTCCAAGTGGCACTGCACTTAATCCTTACAACTTCATGAGGCAGGTATTATTCACCCCATTGCACAAGTGAAGAAACTAAGGACTTTGAATCATTCTTCAGTATTACCCCCACTCAAAGGGCTATAAGATGAAGAGCTGGCATGTTGAACAGAATGTTATTGTAAAACCATTGTTTTACCCGTCTTATTAAAAAATAATATATCCCAAGCTTGTTCTAGTTAGTATGATGTTCCCAAACTCTGAATGGCACTGAAATCTTCAAGAGTGAAGCAACATGTAGAGGCAAAAAGAGCAGTTTCTCTGCACACAAACTTCATTCAGGTCATCACAGCACTATAAAACCTTGTATGTCATCATTTAAAAACTACTTTCCATTTTCAATTACAACCCATTGCGAGACTCCGTCTCAAACCAAAACAAAACAAACAAAAATACCTTTAAATTCTCTTAAAAGTTAAAAACTGCCATGAAATAAATGAAGCCAGATATTTAACTTCTTTAAGCAATAAACTTGCCTTAAATTACCTGTTAATAATTCAGCCATATAATTATTTTAAATGGCATGACTTTGTTTACGAGAAATATAGTATATTGTTTTTACCATAAAGGTTACAAGATGAAGAATTTTAATAAACCACAACATGAGGTGAAACAATTCAATATTAAAAGTATATACTCTCTTAAAATCCATTTAAAAAATTCAACGACTAACGATTTCCTTTGTTTTACAAAAATTAAGACTACTTCAGTGTACCCTCAATTTGTTCATTTGTAAAGTGAGATAATTAGAGCAGCTGATCTGAGATCTCTTACAGATCAAAAATTTTACTCTACAATTCAGTGATAAGATTACTACATAAGCATTTTCATTTAAGATGTTACTTGTATTGCTGCTTTAATATGAACAGCCATGATGCAAAGATTTTTTTAAAATGGAAAACTACATGCAGCAAACTTGTGTCCCAATCTTCCCAGGGAAAAAAAAAAATGCATAAACACAAGAAGAAATATCAAGTGTTACACCAACGTAAAACTACTGCATCCTCAGAGAAACTGCATAATGAACATAAGAAACACATTTTAGGGTCAAGAAAATCTGAATAAAATCCTTTCCAACATTTTATGGTTTTGTAATTAATGTCTTTGTGGAAGCAATGACTTCCAAACCCTCTTGCCACTACTTAACAAGTTGTGTGTTTGTGTTTTTTTAAGTACTTCTGAAGCACTTAAGTACACTGGAGTGCAGTGGCACGATCACAGCTCACTGTAGCCTTGACCTCCTGAGCTCAGGTGATCCTCCCACCTCAGCCTCCTGAGTAGCGGGACCACAGGTGTGTGCCACTATGCCAGCTAATTTTTACAGAGATGGAGTTTCACCATTCACTATGTTGCTGATCTTG
This sequence comes from Homo sapiens, assembly GCF_000001405.40. Classification (NCBI taxonomy): domain Eukaryota; kingdom Metazoa; phylum Chordata; class Mammalia; order Primates; family Hominidae; genus Homo; species Homo sapiens. The sequence goes on along the minus strand of NC_000005.10, from coordinate 72,853,247 downwards.
AACTCCTTGCCTGAAGCAATCTTCCTGCTTTGGCCTCTCAAAGTGCTGGGATTACAGGCGTGAGCCACCTTGCCTGGCCTGAGGTATCCTTATATCCCAAGAAAGAGCCACCTTGCCTGGCCTGAAGGAAGTATCCTTATATCCCAAGAAAGCTGTACTCAAGAGTATAATATTGTAACAATCCTAATATTTGGAATGTAGGATAAGAACATGAGAGTGGACAGCTTAGTGAAAATAAATTTAAAAATTTCAAATAAAACAATTAGATTTAAAAAATCCATTTATAAATATCTTAGTATAAGAAACAAACAGGTTGATCACAAACTGTCAGAAAAATTTCTATATTAAGAAGCAATGTATCGCAAATATCAAACTAGGAATATTAATTGTTGAAATAATTCTTAGTTTCTTAAAACCTAGACTTAAGAGTTCTAAATTTTCTATTGTGTCCTTCATTCACAAATTAAAATCCCCCAAATTAACTACAAAATCAACTGAAAATAATTCAAAAGAAATCACCGTGCAAGAATTATGAAAATCTGAATACAAATCAGTGAGTTTTTACTACACAATAACACTATTAACCTGTCAGAATTTGGAGCTGAAACTTTACAGATGGTCTGGTTGTCTAAACCTTGTTATTTCCCAATTCCAAGTGCAGTGATTTTATTAATTGCACCATGGCTTCTAAAACACTAATCACTGAATAGGGTACAGCGCTTTCATTTAGAGGCCAATCAGTTGCGCAATAAATATTTAATTGACTTCTATGTGTCCACAATGTTTCAGGGAGGGAATACCCAAATAATGCTATGAGAAACAACTCTCACTACAACGTAAGCTCCTTGAGGGCAGTGATTTTTGTCTGTTTTGTTCACCTTTCTCTCCTGAGCCTGTAAATTGCATGGCAGAGATGGCGCTCCATAAATATTTATGAAATAATGTCTAGTGGGATGCGTTACATATTATTAGAAATAATCAAATGACCATGTTATTTAAAAATCAGACTACTCAGGCTTTAAACTGTCATAGAAATCATTTAAATTTAAAATTAAGAGTCATGAAAAAGTTTCATGTAGACTTTTAGAAGTTTTTTAAAAAGTTACAAAAGTCTACTTATCAATAGAATGATCCCACTTTTTGCTAAATAATTTTAAAATAGTATGTGACCATATAAGAGCAGAGAAGGATATAATTGAAGAGATCAACAATAATCATCTCTGGAAGATGGGATAAATAATTTTTCATTTTGATTATATGACCTTTCAATTTTTTTCTACAAAAAACACACATATTCAGTTATTAAAACCTACATTCAATCTTTGTATTACAACCTTTGTTATATCCATCTATATGCATGAAAGCAAAACATTAAAGTAGACTTTGCAACAAGTTTTTCATCTGCAAAGAATTAAGTAACTTATTATACAAACACCCTATTAAAAATGAATGCTGGCTGGGCACAGTGGCTCACACCTGCAATCCGAGCACTTTGGGAGACTGCGGCAGGCGAATCCCCAGAGGCCAGGAGTTCAAGGTTAGCCTGGCCAACAAGGCAAAACTCTGTCTCTACTAAAAATACAAAAAAATTAGCTGGATGTGATGGCGCATGCCTGTAATCCCGGCTACTAGGGAGGTTTGGCATGAGCATTGCTTGAACCCGGGAGGCAGATATTGTAGTGAGCCAAGATCGCACCACTGCACTCCAGCCTGGGTGATAGAGTGAGACTCTGTCTGTATATACATTAAAAAAAAGGAATTCTTATTAAACATGTAAATACTGAGTGGTATTAACTAAGACTGTTTATCCCACATCTATAAAGCACAAGGTTACTACAAAATGAAATCCTTTGAAATGAATAATTCTCAGTACATTTAAACAGGTCTTAAAGAAACTTTAAATAGTTATCAATACAAATCCTACTTACCTTCAGATTTTAATTTTGTAAGAACAAAAATCAAGTAGTTGTTAAAGTCTGGATACTGATTAAGTTGTTCCAGTTTCTAGAACAAACAGTAGTTAAGGAAACTTCTCTGTGTAATCTCAGGAAGAAATTAAGCATTTTAAATCTAAAAATCAAGGATCTCTTTGGTGGTATTTTCAGTCCTGCGTTTTTTTTTTAAACTAAGAATAAGGATATCTTACTAAATCTATCAACATCTATTTCAAAAACACGCTAGTGCTTGCTAAACCTCTTAGGTGCTTTATGGCTGAAATGTATCAATTACATGCAATACAACATAAGAAAGTTCCAGCTTCAGCATGCTCAATATAGCAAAAAATATTCAAAAAAATTCTTGGATTTCAACTTTAAACCATTCTAAATAGAAAGGTATTTAAGCATAAAATGACAAAAATAAAAGCATTCCAAATGAAAACAAGTCTTTCAGAGTTGAAGATCATTTAGAGAAATTAACTTTATAGAATAACTTTTAAAAAAAAGATACTTCTCAGACTCATTTGTTCTTTAGAATCCAAAAAGATAAAGTGCCATTTATGCACAAGGCTATATATCTTATTATAAAGTCAGCATTATGAGATTATTGCACTACAGCTGTACAATTCTTCCCCTCATCCCCAAGATGCAACATTTTTAGTGATACCAATTTGCAGGTATTTCATCGCTGTCGGGAGGCAGCTGTGACAAAATGCTCTATTACATCTTTCTTCAAGCCCTGACTCCCAACCCCTAACTAACATGCTTCCCAATTGTGTTTTACTACACAGAAAGATTAAAATGTTTTGTCACCCAACAAATCTAAATTTCTGATTAAATCCATGAATCAAACTCCAGTAACACTTTATTAGCTATTTATTACATATTTGAATACCCTCAATGTTTATGGGTCAGAAAGTAAACGAACCAACAACATAGTCTCTAGTAAAACTGCAAGGTGTAACTACTTTCTCCAACCAAGACAGTAATTCTTGTTTTAGTGAATGGCCCAGATTAACAACAAGCTGATATGCCAATGAATTTTTCAAAACTATTTCCTGATAAAGTTTACCTTTTTACAACTTAAGCTACATCTCTTTATCCTATTATAGCGGTCTTTCAAAAAGTACTCAAAAGCCTATACAAAATAATAATTAAATATATTATCTTCTTAGGAGAAACAAAATAAGGCACTCTGAAACAGCAGTATGTATTCTTAGCTAAAGTAGTTTTCCTCTCACAGCAACAGAAAGTTGTTCTTTCTCAGAGGACATACTAAGTTCCAGGCACACAGAATAAACTGTAAATTGACTACTTGCCCAAGCACGGTACTAAGCATTTATGAGGTACCTAATAAATGTAGACTAAAACAAGAAATTATGATATATGGTGCCACAGAATAACTACAATGCAGGATTGGGCTTAGCTAATTTAAGAAACTAGTAACTGTATCATATAATACCTGCAATTAATCAACTATCAACTTCTATCATCCCTAGAACTATGACAACACAAATTAAGACTGAGCCATAGCACTGTTTACAAGATACAAACGGCAATACATTCCAAAAGTGTTCTTTCCTCAGTACTAGAAGTATCCAAACAAAATGGCTTTAAAAAATCCAAGCAGATCTAAATCATTATCCCTTCCACTTTTAAATGGGAAGTACTACATTAACCAAGAAGGTAAGTACTAATTTTGTCATCTATTGAAGGTTTTAAATTACGGCAATGCAGTATTTCTGCGAAACCCTCGGGGTAAATAACTTCATCTTTACAGATGTTTTAAATGTAAATAAACTCAAACACGAAGAGCTTACTTACCAAACTCCATATTAAGTAATTTTGCTGCTTTTTGACAATAAAAATCAAGAGGCTTTTCTGCAAAAAATAGTAGACTTAACTAACTTCTTTAGGCTTAAAACGGGGGTTAAAAGGTTATTCATGATATAGAGTGAATGTTTCCTTTACTGCATCCAGTAAGAGCTCTCCATTTGAGCACGGTTTAGGGCACTACAGAAAGCATACGTGGTAGAGTTTTGGTTCTCTTAACCTTTCCTGTCTCTAAAACCGTAGCAACAGGATCACTACACCAGCACACTCGGTAAAGACCTACATAATTGTGCAGTCAGCCTTGAGCCAAAGCTTTAAAAAGAAAATCTCACTTGGGTGACAAGGAGTTCGCAACAGGTGTTAACACCAGTAACCCCAGGGTGAGGCACAGAGACCCCTTTCCCCCACCTGTAGGTCCCCAGCCTTTTTAGGGCAAGGACGTGGAAAAACCCCCAAGACCCACACAGCTGCAGTTCAAACCCCGCGCCAGCTCCACCCATTTCTGGCCAGTCAGGCGGCGAGCTCCGCCGCGCACAGAGCGCCCTCCACCCGGCCTCCCGCTCGGCCTGCCACCCCCACCCACGGGGCGCATTGTGTGGGCCCGGGCCGCTCCCGCCCGCCCGCTCCCTACCCCCGCGGCAGGTCAGCGGCGGGCGGGGACGTGGCGGCCCGGCCCGCGCACATGTCGCGATCCCGGGCGGCGGCCGGGGGCCCCCGCCTCCTGCGCGCCGGAAGCCGGTGGCCTTGGCGGCGTGAGCCCCACGCGGCGGCGCCCCCGGCCCAGGCACCAGGGCCGCGTGCGCGAGTCGCCCGGCAGGGGCAGCGGCGGCTTCCCCCGCGCCCGGACCCAGGGAGGAGGCCGGTCTCGGAGGATGGGGGAGGGGCAGAGGCGGAGGCGACGGGAGCCCCCGGCCGCCGGGGGCTGGGCCGCAGCGCGGGGCGAGCTGCGCGGGTGGCGGCCAGGCCTCGGAAAGGATACTTGTTGCACGGTTCTCTGGATGGTGGTGTCTGGGGACTGGGACTCCTTCAACAGCTGCAGGATTTGCTGAAGCCCTTGCTCGTCAGGTTTCCACTCATACTCCATCTTGGTTTGCTGCAAATAAAGCCAGACACAGGAAGAGACGGAGCAACTGTTACTCCCGGTGCACAGGCCCAGAGGCTTCCCGCGCGCAGCTGACCCGTTCTCCCCGCCACCACAACCCCAGCGCTCCCCAAACGCCGCGGACCTGCCTGAGGTGCCCCGAAGGAAGTCACGGACAGTGAAACCCGGCGGAACTGCTCCTGGCAGCCCGGCCGCCAGCGTCTGCTGCTGCTGCCGCCGCGGCCGCCGAGCGCAAGGAGCCGACCAGACTGAGTCACCGCGAATTTGCAATCTGGCCCCAAGATCCGCTCACGGGAGCCCCCTGGGTCCTAGTGCCACGCAGTTTTCTCCAACCCAACCCATCTCTAATTCCGTCCAGATTACTACTGACTTAAGGGCTAATAAAAAGTCAAGTCCTTATCAAAACCCCTGCGAAACACCTGAAGAGATCTGTTTTGGGTATATTATTTTACATACACATGGTGAATTAACGAAAAATGATTGAAATAGGGTAAAAAGGTTGTTAATTTCCCTGACAGTTCAGCAATAATTAGAAGCAATAAAAATGTTTACATTTCAATTTGATATATAAGGCACTAAAAAGTCTAAAATATTGATGCAGTCGCAACCCAGACCTCGAAAACCATTATATGCAACATTTGCAGAACTTGACTTAAAAAAAATTGCATTTCTGCATAAACTTCAACTTTTGAACTCCTATTAAGGGAAATAAATTCCATTATGAAATAACTACATTCCAAAAGTAAGGACTTTGGGTCGAAGGAAACACAATAAAAATGATGTAATTTTACAACTGGGTAGTGTTTAATTCCATTAAAGTATTTTCACATACTACATTTTCTCATTTGATTTTCATTACAACCTAGTGAGGTATTATTTGCCTCCATGTGGCAACTAAAGCTAAAAAAGATCTGAGCAAACAACCACACTTAATCAGTGAAGACTGAGACACGAATATAGGTTTTTAAAGCTACTATGAGTTGCATCTGCTACAGTCAACTGAAGCTATTAATGACATTTTTCACTAAAACTAAATGCTTAAACAAAAACAACAAAATGTAAGTATCAAGCATGACTTATTTGTAAAAACCAAACAGTTTGATAAAGGAGAGGATTTTTAACATGAAAAGTCCCTTGCTAGTAGGGGCTTAAAAAAACTACTACCTTTCCACCTCTCTAGTTAGCTTTTTCTTTCTTTTTAAAAATGCCTTTTCCTCTCTCTTTCACTCTTATTTTTCTGCTTAATAGCCTGTAATCTGACTTTGCTCACCAAGTTCTAATGACTTCGTAAATGGCCCAATCTAATAAACTGTTCTTAAACAAAAAAAAACTCAAAACAAAATCACCACCATCTGGACATAAAATGTATTAATACTGTAGTGCTTTTATTCTAGTCTTCATTCTATGTGTTTTTATGCACATTATATTTTATAATAATGGGATTGTCCTGTTTCTTGCCTGACTTCGTATATCATTAAATATTTATTGAAAATATTTCAATAAAAAGTGAATAGTATTCCATTGTACCACTGTCATTTTTATACACTTTTATTTGATACAATATAGACACAACATTGTACAAATGATAAGCATATGATCCATAGATGGATTTTTACAAAGTGAACCCATCTGTGTAACCAACACCCAGCTCAAGATAGAGATCGCTGAGTATGAAGAGGTTTCTTTTGTGTCCAATCCCAGCCATCAACCCTTCCTAAAGTAATCCCCAGTATAATTTCTATCACTATAGATTTCTCCCCTTCCCTCTCTTAACTTCAGAAACTTTTAAAAAACTACAAATATTATAATAAATCAAACAACATGGTTGTATAAGACAAGTTAATTCAATCCTATCTCCAGGCTCCCTAGAGAACCCGTTTTAACAGTTTTATGTGAATCTTTCTACATTCTAATCTCACATATATTTTTCCTCTTTTTTTAAGATCATCCTCCATACTACACTAATACTAACTCTACAACGTTTTTTACACATTAATATGACATGGCCATAATTCCGGGCCAATACATACCAATTTAACTCACCTTTTAATAGATGCACATTGGTCTTGAGAATGGATAGAGCATAATTTGTTCAACCATCTCCTGATTGGCTTCCAGATTGCTTCTACTTTTTTGCCACTACCAACAACACAGCAAAAAAATTCTTGTACCAATGTCCCTACATAATAGTGGCAACCTGGTGGGGTTATTAGGCCAAAAAGTATGTGAATTTAAAAACTTTAAACAGTTATTACCAAATTACTTTCCAAAAAGTTACGCAATTCACACACGCCAACAATATGAATGTTTCCTTTATCTCCACCAGCACATTCTTTTAATTTTCATGAAGCTAAACAATGCCAATTTAATTTCCCCTGATACCAGTGGGGATGGGGAACTTAAAGTCTGAGCCTTAGTAATATTAGAGTTGGAGCTGCTACCAGGCATACCCTACCTGCTGAGGTGACATTCAGATAGCCCACTCAACCCCCTAGCTGCCCTTTTAAACAAGAAACTAAAGCAAGGGACCAATAGCAGTCAAGTCTGAAAGGCATCTTCATTATCACATCCATCCTGAGGATGGCTGTACCATAATATCAGGCCAATAGCATGCTTCCTTCTTTATTTCTGTCGTCAACTAGGGTTTTCTTTTCAAACAGCTTAGTATTAAGGACATTTAATTTGATCAGCCTATGATGACAGAATAGGTGTTTCCCCACACCTTACTCAAATTATCTGTAACAAAGGGCTCTCAAGAATATTTGATTCAGATAACTGCTTGATAAGAGATCTTAAGCCACTTTGAACTTTTCTATCACATCTTTTTAAAAAGTGTGATAAAATCTACATACATAACATTTATCATTTTAAGTATACAGTTCAGTGGCATCCATCTCCAAAACTTACCATATTTTAAAAGCCATTAAAATAAGGAAGAATCTTATACCCTGGGGTAGCCAGACATTGCAGGGTTAATTAGATAACATCTGAAGTACTTCAAGCTAACCAAGCACATCAGGATTATTATATGAGGTAGAAATCATTTATTTAAATAGTAAACTACATTTATATTAATTAAATAGAATATCAAGATCAATATTGGATTTTCTTATAAAATTTAAATATTACCTGGAGTATTCTTTTTGCATGTTGAAGGCTCAGCTTTCTAAATGTCTCAAAAAAAGGAAGTAGTACTTCAAATTTCGCTCCCTTAGATGATACTCCATACTACACTAATATTAACTTTACAACTTATGCCTGATTGGCCCATGACATTCAATGGTGACCAAAAAAAAAAAAAGGCATTTCAACAAGCCAAAATACAGTTATTTGAAAAACAAGATAGAAGACAGCCCCAGAATAAAAAGTAGCCTGCAAGTGGTGAGTTACTGTGATACCATTTTGGACTTTCAGAAGACTAGAGCTTACTCATGAGTAAGTTTTTAACTTAAATTTACATAAAAATTTTGAATTTGCTACAGTTGAGAATCATGTGAAGTAAAGAAGCCAGACTGGCTGAAGAGAAAGTAAAAATATATAGCTTCTTCCTTGTTGGATAGTCTGTAAAATATAGTTTAAAAAGCAGACTGGAGATATGGACTCAACTGACCACGTTTGAATTCTAGTTCTTCCACTTAGTAGCAGTGAAAACCTGGGCAAGTTAATTAATCTAAGTCTTAGTTTCCCAACCCTAAAATGGGAATATACTAACTCTGTATGCAGATCATAGGTCCCTGGCACACAATATGTGTAATTTGAAAAATAGTAGTTTTATAGTTAAATGAATGGCTTTCTAGCATCTGCAAGATAAAATCTAACTTCTTTTCATGGAAGAAGTCTCTTCATCATCTGGTTCATCACCTTCAAAGACAATTTTATCTATGACTCAACTTCCAACTTTATGCTCCATCATCTTTTCCTGCACCTCTCCTACCTCTGAGCCTTTGCATAGGGATTTCCTGCTGGGAATGCCCTCCTTAAACCTGACCAATTGGCAAACTCCTTCTCACTCTTTAGAGCTACCCTCATTCACTGATTTTCCAAATATTTATTGAGAGTCTTTCTTGGCACTATGATTGATACTGGATACTATTTCTCTTCTGTGTCATTATTCCAAGATCTCCTCACAAGACTTAAGTGTATTTTTCATTACAGATCTATGGTTTATAGCTATTTCCATTCTAGAAACTGTCATATTGTATTATAATTATTTCTAGGTCTGTCCTGGCAATAGATCACAAGTTCCTTGAGAGCAGGGACAGTGTCTTTTCACTCTCTTTGCCTGGCAGAGTCCGATTCAACAAATACTTGTTGAATAAACGCTATTGTTGTTGCTATTAATTCAACTGAGTAACTATTAAGTAGAACTACCATGTGCTCAGTGAATTTTGGAGATTCAAAGATAAGTAAAATATAGTTTGTTTTTATCCTCACTAAGTTCTCATTTGGTGAGAGAGGCAGATGACCTGTCAATGAATAAAGTATATGGTAAAGTACAATAGGAAAAGAGAGAAAAGCAAATACATTCCACCAGGAGACAGAGATGCATTTTCCCCCCATCTGGTTCAATTAAAATTTTTTCCATCTAATTTCAACTAAATTCAAAGTTAGATGTTTCTATCTATATGCTGAATCACTATGAATGTGAGAAATGTTGCTATTAGTGACGTCATTTCCCAAAATGGTAAACAACTCTTGGTAGAGATCCAAACAAAACAAGGTACAATTGTCCTTCAATAACATAGTAGTTTTTTGTTTTTTGGGTTTGTTTTTTTTTTTTTTGAGACGGAATCTTGCTCTGTCACCCAGGCTGGAGTGCAGTGGTGCGATCTCGGCTCACTGCAACGTCCGCCTCTCAGGTTCAAACAATTCTCCTGCCTCAGCCTCCCGAGTAGCTGGGATTACAGGTGTGTGCTAGCACGCTCGGTTAATTTTTGAATTTTTAGCAGAGACAGGGTTTCACCATGTTGTCCAGGCTGGTCTGGAACTCCTGACCTCAAGTGATCTGCCCGCCTCAGCCTCCTAAAGTGCTGGGATTACAGGCGTGAGCCACCCTGCCTGGCCATAGTTTTTATTCCTAGAAAATTCAACATATATTAAAACTCTGCAAAAAGTTCCACATGTATATGTAAAATTGAGTTAGGCTCTTGGCTCTGATATCTATAAACAGATTTCTTACACCTTTGTGACTATCTAACAAGACATTTACAAGTCATACAAAGCTAGGACAATTCTTCATGGTGAACATCTAGCACTCTCAGCCCTGCCCAGTAAATGACAAGAGCACCTCCCAGTCACTAGGACACCTCCAGAGAGCAGCACTGCCTCAGTGGAGAATGACTATGGTAAATGACTAAGGGCTGTGAAAACATTATGCTAACCCAGTTAGGAGGTCAAGAAAGGACTTCCTTGAGGAAGTGACTCTTTATCAGAAATCTAACAGGAATTATCAAAAAGCAAAAGTGAGGCTAGGAGGACCTCATAGATGATGTTAAGAAGCTTGGACTATCTTAAGGATAATACAAAGCTTGTGAAAGGGGTTTAAATTGATAAAAAACATGATCAAAGTCTGGAAAAGAATTAATCCTCCTAGACATGGGGAAGGAGAGGTTCATCTTTTGTTCTATAGCTTTAATATTAGGTTAATTTTTAGAATGTGTCATATTTCAATAAAAATGATTTTTAAAACCCATCAGTTTGCAATGAGGGCAGGAGGAGCCATAGGAAGACCTAACTGTCCAATCTGCATATAAAATGGAATTCCAGTTTGTTAGGGGAAGGGCAGTCCTGTTTCACAGAGAGCCAAGATGCTACCAAAAACTCTGGTACTTAAATATTGAAGACTTAAACACATGCACTATTTTGTTAGTAATAGTGATAGCTAATATTTTTGAGTGCCAAGCAGTGTTCTAAGCACTTCACAACTCTATGATGCTGCTCTATTAATTACATTTTACAAATAAGTACATTGAGGCACAGAGAAGTTACTTGCCTAAGGTTGGTCAGCTAGTAAATGCCAAAGCCATGATTCAAACCCAACTAATCTGGCTCCAGTGTCCAGTCTGGAAGCCCCTGATATACTGCCTTTCCAAAAGAAACATCAATCTCCATAAACTGGGAAACTACTCATAAATACAACCATGTGCATACGAAAGAACATATATTTTGATACCTTTGTGGTGAGGTAAAAGAGAAAAGTAAAATCACACTTCACCATCATAAAAGTCATAATAGATCTAAAAAACCAGTAGTATGTATATAGTATGACAATATAATAAAAATGAGGTATTCTCATAGCATTGAGTAAATGAGTTAAAAACATTCTAAATATAATCTTCACAACACCCCTCTGTTGTAAGTAGGTAGCAAGTATTATTTTTATTTGACAAGCAGATAAATCAAAACAGCTTAAGAAATTTGCTGAATCATTTGCTGAATGTGAATCAGATATGTAGACTTCCACAGAAAATCTCTCTTATACTGTTTTTTTTTTTTACAGAAAAATGCTATGATGAGCAAGGAGAAAAAAAATCAGAGCTATCCAATGATCTAAAAAGAGCATGCTATTTAAAGAATACAATTATTTAATAAAACTTTCATGAGAAATTGAACCAAAGTTCAGGTATGAAGGGAAAGAAGGAAAAGTTTACAGGCACCTAATGATGAATCAAAACGTTGACAAACTTGTTAAATTATAGCTATCAGTGGAACTAGAAAGTCCTTTAAGAAAGTCTATAGGCTGGGCGCGGTGGCTCATTCCTGTAATCCCAGCACTTTGGGAAGCCGAGGCGGGCGGATCACAAGGTCATGAGTTCGAGACCTGGTGAAACCCCGTCTCTACTAAAAAAATACAAAAATTAGCCAGGCGTGGTGGCATGCCCCTGTAATCTCAGCTACTTAGGAGGCTGAGGCATGAGAATTGCTTGAACCTGGGAGGTGGAAAAAAAAGTCTATAATGAGCCGGGCGCGGTGGCTCACGCCTGTATTCCAGCACTTTGGGAGGCTGAGGCGGGTGGATCGCCTGAGGTCAGGAGTTCGAGACCAGCCTGGCCAACATGGTGAAACCCCATCTCTACTAAAAATACAAAACATTAGCTGGGTGTGGTAGCGGGCGCCTGTAATCCCTACTAGGGAGGCTGAGGCAGGAGAATCTCTTGAACCAAGGAGGTGGAGCTTGCAGTGAGCCAAGATTGTGCCATTGCACTCCAGCCTGGGCAACAAGAGGGAAATTCGGTCTCCAAAAAAAAAAAAAAAAAGAGAGAGAGTCTAAAACCAGAGGTTATGGATCAAGAAGGAAGAGAAAAAAATGCAAAACTAACTGTTGAGCTCATATTAGTTACGGAAATGAGCTCAACTAGATTAGAAGGACAGGGACCATAACTCATGTTACACAGTGCTAGGCACATGGGGTTTAAATCATCCTCGATTGAGACTGATGGGTAAATCATCTAGTTCACCACTTGAAAATAGGCTAAGACGTTAAAATTTTAACTTTCTGGCATTACAAAGTTATTGTCATCTAGGAGTTTAGAGATTAACAGAACACAGAAAATGGAAAATAGGTACTAAGGAAAGTTTGAATAAATGTATGCTTAGAGTGTCTTTTCTGGAAGAACTTTGAAGATGACTAGACATGCTTACTAAATGCTAGTTAAAGTTTACAAATCAACATTAAAAAAAAGAGTGTGGTATCAAATTGAGTGATAAGAAGGAAAGCTTGATCTCAAAATTTGACCCAATCTATAACCAGACACTTCCTATACTTTAGCCCATTTAATATTCACAACAGCACTATGAGGTAGATGTTAACTCCATTTTATATTAACCGAGGTTCAGAGAGGTTAAGTAGCTTGCCCAGCTAGTATGTGGCAGATTAGGCATTCAAAACCAAACCTGTGTGATTCCAAAGTCTGAACCATGCCTACTAATAACAGCAACCCTGTTATCATTAATGGGTCCTTCCATGTGCCAGTTATTATGTTAAATTCTTTAAATACATGATCTCATTTAATTCCATGAATATGTACTATAATTATCTCCATTTTACAGAAGAGGAACAGGCTTAAGAGAACTTAAGCAATGTGTCCAAGATCACACAGTAATGAACAAAGCGAGGACTCAAGCCCAGATGCACCCAACTCCAGAGCCCATGCACTGAACTACTACTCTGCCATATTATTCTCATTCTGCCACCCCACGAACATGTGACTAACCCTTAGAGAACTTAACAGTGGGCAGACTATGAGCGGTCTGCGTTATACAACTCTTTCCCTTTCTATTCCATGCATCACCAATAATTCAACGGCTCTCTTGATGAATGTCTACTTCAGGTCAATCACTTCAGATATGATAACTGCACCTTGCTTTTCAGAGCACAAATTTTTCATTTTTAATGAAAACAAAAGGCTGATAGGAGTAACACCTCCCAGATATTTAACTTTTAGTTATCTCATTGTCACCCTCAAAACATCAACTCCTTGTTGAGTTCTAAAACAGATTTAACGGTTGGTCTCACTCTCCATGTATGTTTAAGCAACTTAAATCAGTGGTTCTCAACCCTAACTACACATTATAATTACTGGGAACTTATAGCCAGTTGAGAACCATTATATTAAATTAATATATCTGCTCCTGGCAATTTCCATTATTTCTTACTCTAATAAGCAGCGGTGTTCTAGCTGTATTAGAAATAACAGAAAACAGAAAAAGACAACAGAATACAGACTGCACCGATTAATATGGGAAACATTACTAATCACTAAAAAAGTCTTTAATGAAAACCAAAACATAAGAACATACTATTTAAAGTTACATAATAATTTGTACTTCTTAGTAAGGACTAGTAAGTACAATGTTTATTTACTTTGTAATTTAACAGTGACAGAAAATGGGTAAGAAGTTCCACTTAAGTTGTAAGACAGAAATGAGAACTTGGGAAAAGTAAGTTTTGGGGGAAGTTTATCTCCAGTAAATAATAACAACACACACTAGAAAATTATGATCCTTAACTGGCAAAATATGATTTACATTTGTATATCAAATCAACTTATGAGTAACTAGATCTTTCTTCAAATGGCAATATTAAGTCATTCATAAAAGTAAACTCTTCTAATAAGCCTACACATTAAAAACCAATTAATCAAAATAATTAGGTCCGATTCTCTTAGTATCATAGGATTTATTAATGTGCTTTACTAGGGATTGTCCCACTGCTACATTCAACTGGAGAGTTAGTTTTTAAGTAGTTCAATGGACTACTGTCACTGCCTATTGTTAACCCTAGTCCAATAGTTTTCATTTCTGTGACACAGATTTAAGAAAAAAAGCTTTTTAAAAGCCTTACGTATTATAACATGATTATAAATTTCCTTTCAGAACATTGACTTATCACTGCCAAGTGGTTTTAAGTAAACACAGTGCTTAAAAAGTTTCAAAGTACTTTCATATTTTACCTCATTTAATTTTCAAAACTACCCTGTGAGTTAAGGAAACTGTCTCAGTGATATTAAGTCACTTGCCAAAAATTGCTCAGCTAGTAAATGTTAAGAATTGGGTTGGAATGAATGTCTATTTCTGGTCGAATGTTTCTACTACTCCAAACTATTCCTTTAATTCATAGTTCATTAAATATGTAAGTACCATCAATTAAAAGAGTAGCTTGTCTTCAAGTAACACTGCTCTACGCTGATTATACATTTGCTGATTTATATGATGACATGCATAAAAGATGGAGACAAGCTGTAGTACTCTAGGTAAAATAATGGCACTGAATGACAAAATATGAGCACCAGGAAAGTTACTAATTATAGCTATACTTACTGAATTTAAGGAGCTGGTAAAAAAAGGCTATGATGCAAATAGCCAAATATTTTCCTGTGAAACACATCTGAAATTGTTAAGTTAATAAAAGGTATGATTCAATATTTTAGAATCCACTTTACAAATTAATAAAGTGAGACATACCTAAACAGTTGATAAGCCAAGCTGATAATTAAAAAAAAATTAGCACACTGGGATAACCATTATAGCTCATTTTGATAACTGCAAGTATACTGTTTTATTGCCGTTCGATTGCTCCTGAAGTTCTGAAGTGAGAAGGATCCAGGAATGTCTTATTTATGTCCAAAGCTATCCTTTATTAAGTATAATGTATGGATTCAGTATTTCACATTTTCAAGTGTATGCAGAAAAAGGAACACAGCACTGTATTTATTGGTAAGGGCTGAATGAGAAAAGGATCAGAGCAGTTTAGATAGCAAAATAGAAAGGTTAAAAAAAAGTTAAGTGGTTAGTAGGCTGATTAGCATTAGGTTTTACCTAACCATACATTTCTTCATAGAAATCTCACACACAACAGGGGCATATATTAGTCAGATCTCAGTTATGAAAAGAGACATAGCAGAAAAAACTTTTGAAAGGGAATCAATTTTTACAAGTTTAGTTCCTGATGGAGTAGAGGAAGCATGGGTTCTGGAGTCATACACTCATTGGCTCAAATCCCAGTTCTGTTAATTATTGACGCTGTCTTTTTTAGGAAAATTGTCCAATCTTCTAAGCCACAGTTTAGTCATCTGTGAAATGGCGTTGATGAGAAGATTAACTGAGAACGTAAAGTACCACAATAGTCAGTACTTAATGTTTGTTCCCTGCACACTACACTCCCAACTAAAATTGTCATTGAGACCCAGGTTTACTGATGGCAGTTCGTACCATCAGATAACAATAGGATGAAGATTTCTTAGATTATTTTTGTACAATCAAAGAATATGTATCAAAATGGACTGTTTAACTTGTCATTTAAATGAAGTGATGCTATGGTTTGAATGTTTGTATCCCTCCAAAATTCATGTTGAAACTTAATTCCAAATGCGATAGTATTAAGAGGTGGGGACTTTGGAAGGCACTTTGGACTGCCATTGTCATGAAGGCTCTGCCCTCGTGAATGGAATTAATGCCCTTATAAAAGGGCTTGAGGGCATCTATTTGGCCCTGCTGCTCCCCTTCAGCCATGTGAGAAAATAGTGTTTGTTCCTTCCTCCATGTGAGGATGCTGTAAGGTTTCACTTACAAAGCAGAAAGCCAGATTTCATAGCACACCTAATTCACTGGTGCCTTGAACTTGAACTTCCCAGCTTCCAGAAGTGTGAGAAATATATTATACTACTTACAAATTACCCAATCTAAAATATTTTGTTATAGCACAGGAATGGACTAAGACAGAAATTGGCACCAAGAAGTGGGGTGCTACTATAAGAAATACCTAAAAATGTGGAAGTGGCTTTGCAATTGGGTAATGGGTAAAGGTTGGATGGTAAAGGGCTATTCTGGTAAGGGCTCAGAAGAGGAGAGCTGCATGACATGCCTCAATCCTCTTAAGAGATTTCTTAAGTGGTCCTCTCTGTACTGGTAGAAATACAGACAGTAAAGGCCATTCTGATGAGGTCTCTGAGACAGAAACGAGGAATATGTTATTGGAAACTAGAGGAAAGGCCATTCTTGTTGCAAAGGGGCAAAGAACTTTGCTGAATTGTGTTCATGTCCTAGCATTGTGTGGAAGGCAGGACTTAAGAGTGATGAAATAGGATATTTGGCAAAGTGTTCAAGGTGTGGCATGGCTTCTCTTGACTGCTTATAGTAAGATGCAGGAAGAGAGAAACAAATTAAAGATGGAATTTGTAACTAAAAGGAAGGCAGAACTTAAAGATTTGAAAAATTCTGAACCTGACTGTTTGATAAGGAGATTAGTATGGACAGAAGGAAGCTAGGTGCTATTCATCAAGACAATGAACAAATGAACCAAAAGGCATTTCAGAGATGGTTGGGACTATCTTGCCTATTATAAGCCCAGAATGTCAGTGCCTTGGGAACAGAATGATTTCAAAGCTCTGCTACCCACATTATAGTGCAGCATTCCCTGGCTACCCTAGCTGTGGCACAGCCACACCCAGGTGCAGCTCAGACCACCCCTCCAGAAAGCACAGGTGGTAAACCTTGGTGGTGTCTACATGGTGCTAACTCTGCAGGTGCACAGAATGCATAAGCTGTGGGGAGCACTGTTACCTCACCTAGATTTGAAAGAACACCCTGAAAAACCCTGGGGCTCAGGCAGAGCACCATCACAGGGTGGGGCCACCGCAGAGGCCCCACTAGGGCACGCCTAGTGGAGCTGTGGTAGCGGGGATACAGCAGAGAGCCTACACAAGGGCAATAACTAATGGAGCTGTTGGAGTGGATCCCCTTAGACTGAAAGAGCCACTGGAGTGCAATTCCAGCTTGGGAGAACCACAGGCAGTAGACTAACTCATGAGAGCTGCAGCATAGGCTGTGCCCAGCAAAGCCATGGGGACAGGGTGACCTGGAGACTTGGGGGCCCAACCCCTACCCAACTGTATCTGGAAGGCAATACATAAAAGTCAAAGAAGATTATTCTGGAGCCTTAAGATTTAATCTTGTTTGCCTTCGTGGGTCTTGGGCTTACTTGGTTTTGCAGGCTCATAGCTGGAGAGCAATTTGCCTCAAGATGAATCATACTTTGGGCCTCACTCATATCTGATTTAGATGAGATTCTCGGCTTCAGACTTTTGAATTAATGCTGGAACGAGTTAAGACTTCTGGGGCTCTTGGGATAGAATAAATGTATTTTGACAGAAGCACATAAATTTTGGGGGGCCAGGGGCAGAATGCTATGATTTGAATGTGTCCTACCAAAATTCATCTTGAAACTTAACCCTCAATGCAACAATATTAACAGGTGGAGTCTTTAGGAAGTGATTACGTCATGAGAGTTCTGTCCTCATTAATGGGATTAATACCCTTATCAAATGGCTTAAGGGAGCCAGTTTGGCCTTTCTGCTCCCCTTCCACCATGTGAGGGCACATCCCTTCGTCCATGTGGGGATGCAGCAAGAAGGCTCCATTTATGAAGCAGAGGGCAAGCCTTCACTAGATATCAAATTGGCTGGACTTCCCAGGCTGTGTACTACTATGAGAAATACATTTTTATTATTTTGTAAATTACCCAGTCTAAGGTATTTTGCAACAGCAACAGACAAAGGCAGGTGATATTCTAAAGTAGAAAAATCAAAACAGAAATATTGGAAGAATAAGAACAAAGAAAAAAATGGAAACCAAGTGGTGGACATTAAAGCAGACATGAATTAAATCAGTACAAAAATTGTATACGGGCAAAAACTTAGTCATGTGTCAGTTAAGGACAGGGATACGGTCTAAGAAATGCATTGTTAGGCAATTTCCTTGTTGTTGTAACATCATAGAGTGTGCTTACATGAACTTAGATGGTATAGCCTACTACACACCTAGGCTATATGGTATAGCTTGTGGCTCCTAGGCCACAAACCTGTATAGCATGTTGCTGTACTGAATACTGCAGGCAATGGTAACACAATGGTAAGTACTTGTGTATCTACACATATGTAAACATACAAAAGGTATGGTAAAAAAGCATAAAAAGATAAAAGGCATAAAAATAAAAAATAAAGTATAAAAAGCATGAAAAATAAAAAAATGGTTTATCAATATAAGGGACTTAACATGAATGGAGCTTATAGGACTAGAAGTTGCCCTGGGTGAGTCAGAGAGTAAGCGGTGAGTGAATGCAAAGGCCTAGGACAATACTGTACACTACTGTACTTAAACAACAATTTCTTTCTTCAATAATAAATTAACCTCAGCTGTTACTGTAACTTTTTATTTTATGAACTTTAGATTTTAAAAGTTTTGACTCTTTTAATACTTAGCTTATAACACAAACACACTGTACAGCTATACAAAAATATTTTCTCCTTATAGCTGTATTCTACACACTTTTTTATATTAATTTTTGTTTTACTTTTTAAACTTTTTTGTTAAAAATGAAGACACGAACACACACATTGGCCTAGGCCTGCACAGGGTCAGTGTCATCAATGCCACTGTCTTCCACCTCTGTATCCTGTCCCACTGGAAGGTCTTCAGCAGCAATAACAAGCATGGAGCTGTCATCTCCCATGATAACAATGCCTTCTTCTAGAATACCTCCTGAAGGACCTGGCTGAGGTGGTTTTACAGTGGACTTTTTAAAAAATAAGTAGAAGTACACTAAAAATAACAATAATATAGTAAATACATGAACCAATAATAGTTATTTACTATCATTATCAAGTATTATGTATTGTGCATAATCATATGTGCTATATTTTTATATAACTGGCAGTGCAGGTTTATTTACACCAGGGCCACCGCAGACATATGAGTGAGTAATGCATTGCATTACAGCATCAAGACGCAATAGAAGCTTTTCAGCTCTCTATCATAATCTTATGGGACCACCATGGTATATGTAGTCCATCGTTGACTGAAATGCATGAGTGTAGTTAATGGAGGGTGCACCTCATATTATGCAAAGGGATAGGACAAGAAAATTCTATAGAGATGGTCCAAAAGTGGGAAAAAATCAGTAGGAACTAATGTCATATGATAGACTACCGTACAACTAAAAGTTTAGTACAAAAAACAGCAGCATATATTCTGTAAGTGTTCACATTATTTTTCTGTTACTGTGATAAAGAAACACTGAGGCTCAACCAGGATTAATGAGACGTATAAAAATTCATGAGTATAAAAAACAGAATGAAATGTGAGATGGGAAGGAAATCTGAAATGACACTGGACACAAAAGATAATGTTAATCTGTACACATTAAGAAAGTGTTCAGTTTATAAGCATGGACCCTTAAAACTGAATCTTAGGTTAAAAAGCTTATTTTAGTCTTACAAATAGAGATATTAAGTTGTTGGCCAATTGAATATCATGTCCATTCATTCCCCTCAGCCCACAAAATAAAAATTTATTAACTTTAACTGTAATTAGAGAATGGCAATCATAGCATCTAAGCTTCAGAATGTAATGAGTACTAGACAACATCTATCCAATCCTCTTATTTTAAAAATGGGGAAATCAAGACCCAGAAACCAACATTACAGATTAAGAGGGGCTGTGTGCAGTGGCTCATGCCTGTAATACCAGCACTTAGGGAGGTAGAGGTGGACGAACTCCCTAAAACATTCAAATTCTTCCACTTAAAGCAAAAACATCTTGGGACTAGTTTGTCATAATACATAACATTATATAATTATGTAATATATATAATCATGTGGTATATATTTGAATTTTTATCTAATATTGCTATCCTGATTAAGCTCTTTTATTTTCAAGAGGGGGAATAACTCAAATTCGGATTGTCTAAGAGAAAAGGGGAGGTTTATTTTAAGTCATTCATGGATTAGAAATAGAAAGCCATCAGGAAGAAGGCAGTTTTCAGCAGCAGGGAGTTCTCTAGGAATTGCAGGGTTGGTACAATGAAGGCTGATGACTGCCATGGGAATTAATTTCCTTTGATTTGAACACCAATGTAAATCTGAGAGCTGACATGCAAGTCTCTGAAAGGTAGGAAGTCTAATGAATATACCCAGATGGGTGGAGAGTAAACTGAGTGGGAAGAGTAGAGAAAACCCAGAATAAAGTCATCTGCCAATTCAGGTGTACACCTCTTTACGGACAACAGAATTCATTCCCCATCTACTTCTATCCCTCTCCTCTCCTCTCTTCCCCTATCTTTTCCAAATTACACTATTTTGTTTCTGAGCACTGACAATCACTGCCACTGATGCCATCAAGGGAAAAAACACCTCACAATATTCATTTTACTAACACTTTACAACAGGAGAAGATGTAGGGACAGTGGCAATTTACTCTCACTATGATGCTAGCTTTCAGGTAGTACTTGGTTCTCAAGACTCAGACACTCCATATCTCAAAGGACCTACAACATCTCTTAGGCATTTCCAGGAGGTACCACTGTTGACAAATATAGCAGATGAATATCTGCTTTGTATGAACAAGCATAAAAGAGAGCTCCTAAAATATTCCAACAAGAAAGCAATATATTAGTAACTTTTCTGGGAAGCTAATATAGAACGAATAGTAGCACATGAAAGAAAATTCACAGGAGGAAATACAACATTAAACAAACATGAGAAAATGCTGAACCTTACTAGTAATCAAATAAATGTAATAATAAAGTAATGGTTTTAGTCCAATTAGCAAAGATAATTTTGGAATGATAATATCCTATGCTGCTGAGGAGATGATGATTCAACTTTTAACAAATTACTGATGGTAGTGTAAAACTAGTATGACCTATAAGAAATAACTCAACAATCTATATTGAGCCATATACATTTTCATACACTTTGTCCTCATGATTACACTTCTGAGCCTATATCCTAAGAATCCTAAATACACAAAAGAGAGTATTATACTCAAAGATTTTATCCCAGGGTTATTTCTAGTATCAATAGTAAATATATGGCAAATAATATAACCTTCAACTGATGGGGCTATTATGCAACAATCAAAAAAAGAAGGTTAATTTCTGTAATGACGTGAAAAGTATTTATGCTTAAAAAGTGAGAAAAAAAGATAAAATACTTAAGTTACGGTACTTGAACGGTTACGTTTTAGTTACCTAGACAATTAATGTACTTAGAGCAACTTTTTCCCAGATTAAGCTATTAAAATAAGTAGGCATACTATGAAGAAAACACTGAAAACAAAAAATCTTCATAGTTATAAAAAAAATGGATTCAACTTTTGCAAAGCTCAAGCATTATACCAGAAAAATTGTTTAATAATCCAAGAGACTTAGTTTCAGAGAAAGGCTTTCTTGAATATTAGAGAACAGAAGTTTTACTTAGATAACAGGAGTTATTACATATTCTATACTTGTGATTACTGTTCTGATACCTTGTGTATACAAAATAATTTTTAATATGTTAATAATATGAAATTCATGTTGACATTTAAATGCTACAAAATACTAAGTAAAAAATACAGAAACAGTAATAGTACAAAATTTAGAAGAACAAATCCCCAAATTTTATTTTATATCAGACATAATAATACAAGGATCTTTCACTAATTTCCTAATTTTTCAAATGCTGATACAAAATTCTGGAAATATAAGAAAAAACAATATATATAGCTCAAACAATATGTTGAACTAGAAGAACTAAGAAAAAAACCCTACTAAATATGTAAAAGCCAAAAGCAAATGAAAATGAATTTTAGCTTAGAAAAGAGGGCCTATATTCTTCTACAATGGTTCTTGAGACTTCTGCAGAAATAAGTTCTACAGACTGTCTCAATAATCATAACTAAAATATGTTAAGTAAAAAACTAATTCATAATAAAATCTCTACTGCAAAAATAAATAAATCTAAAGTACTTATGTTAGAATCATCAATAAGAGTCTTCTTAATACATTTTTCTGCCGAAGAAAACTAATGTGGTAAGTAAGAAGGGATGGAAAGAACATGAATGCTTACAAATATCTTGACTAACGAGCTAATGGCATAATTCTGCGTGCCTGTTTAGTCTTTAAGGTAGATACCATTCATGACTATACACTTACAAGTGGTAGACCTAAGAGTCTAATTACTATTTCAAAAACACATACTATTTCCATTATGGCAAACTGATTCTTAGAAAAAAACATAAATTCATTTATTATAAACTTGTCCTAAATCCTGGAGGAGGGTTGAGAGACACAAAAAGAAAATCTTTGTCTTGAGTCACATGAAACGATACCTCAATTTAAAAAATAATTTCATGTAGTAACTGATCCATATTATTTACAGTTAATAAAATACATAATCTTCAGTTAACTCTTGGTCATACATTATTATAAGCATACTGTGCATCTTCCAGAAGGAAGGAATGCCAGCTATTAAATCAAAAGCAAACATTTCTTAAGTGCTTGTATGTGCAGGATCTCACAGCTGGAAACTACCAATATAATAATAAAACATCTGAAATGAGAGGATGAACTCAGAAATTCCTAAGATTTCTTAACCTATTAATTTAAATTGTTATTAAATTCAATAATTCGATATGTGGGTAGGCATTTGATGAACTTGCCCAAAAACATTTGAGATGTTCAGGAGTTTGTATTTCCCAGAATCAGAATACAATAATTTTATCTAAAATGACAATTTTGCCCTAGCTGCTGAGCAATTTAAACTCTACGGGAATCACACTCCAGTGAGTGTGTGTATATTCTGCTTTACAAATAAAAATTGCCTGCCACGTACCTAACAAAAGTCTCTAGCCCATTAGGATGTAAGGTTAAAACAAAGCTAGAATTTTTATTAGCACCTTATCCTTTTTATGTCTCATCCTTTTATTTCTCTACTCACTCTTAAGCTTCTCCATCAAATTCCTACATTAAATATTAAACTACTATACCACTCTCTTGATTCAGAGCTTATTATCTATGCTAAAATCAGACTCCAGGAAAATCTCCTACCTTCACAATCCCTTTATGGTTTTATTGTTTCCTACTTGGGCAGGGGTATCAGGCCAAGGGAAGGATGACACAGACACTTAAACTCACAGCCACAACCTGTCTAGAGCTAACAGCCCAGGGTAACTGCATGGGGCTTTAGGACTAACTGCCTTCCTCTAAGGGTGTTTAAGTCTTCAGTGCCAAGAAGAGCCAAAATAACATCAGAAAAAAAGAAGGGGCATCAGGAATCTGGGGCTCTTGTCTCAATTCTCTGCATAAGAACAGCCAGCTGGGAAATCCTACACCAATCACATACTCTCATTTGGTTTAGTTCCTCACCTATAAAGTAACTAAAGACCATGTTCCTTTCAGCTTCTAGAAGTAAAACATTTAGACACCTATAAACAAGGAATAGTCATACTTCACATACAAAAGCTGGCATTACTTCTTATACTTGCTACTGAAATTCTCCAAGCCACTCCTATCCTTGAGGGAAACTTGTATTCAACTCGATTGTTCAACGGTAGTTCTGGGTCTAAGTTACCTGATTGAAAGCTACATGTCACTTGAATCTTTCAGCAAATACTTGGGCTCCTGTGAAAGAGCACAGTACTGTGCCAGCCTTAGGTGACTTCTTGCAGAAGTCATATTCAATAGCAGGAACAATCTTTGGTTGAAAATGTTGGAGACAAATTTTCATCATAACTTGTGCTTCTATCCAACGGAAGTCTTTACTCACTAACCCTCAAAACTGTGTAACAGAAAACTGTGTTCATCACTGAACCAAAAATCCAATGGAGCATTCTAATGCCTATTCTGAAGCACTTGTGGTTCCAATGTTTCACTCTTTAATGCTCTTTTCCTAAATTAAGTCTCACAATATTTTCTAATAAAGGTTTGACATGCAGGATTTTATGAGCTGAAACAAACTCTTTTTGAAAAACTCTTAAACCATGTCCATATAATACTGCCAACTCAACCCTATCACAAAAGAATCCAAGTTGTTTTACCTTTCTAAACAATGAGTACCAATAACTCTGAAAACACATCATTTATTTATGCCAAAGTCTGATAAATTTACATATAAAGTATCTTTACTTTTCTTGCTCTTCCTTCTGTCCTAATGTTTATCAGGATGACATATTAAACTGATCTACCATTATGAAGAGTTATAATACACATCTAGAAATTTTTAAATTATCCTTCTGATATAACGATCATTGCAAATACCTCTCCATCTAAAAAGACATGACAACTAAATATAGCATAAAATCCTAGACACCAGATCAGGTACTGGTAGAAAAAAAATGCTACAAAAGATGTTACTGGGACAACTGGCAAAATTGTAATGTGGGCTGTAAAAAACTAAATATCCTGAATTTGCTCACGTATGCAGTTTCATAAGATAATATCCTGGCTCTCAGGATATGCACATTAAAGTATTAAGGGCTAAAGAGGCACAGATGTATGCAGCCTACTCTCAAATGACCCCCCAAAAATTTGTGTGTGTATGTGTGTGTAGAGACAGCGAGAGAAGCAAACAAATGTAGCAAAATGTTAAAAATTGGTGAATCCATGTAAAGTAAATATGGGAGTTTTCTGAATTATTTGTACTACTTTTCTATAGTTCAAAATTAATTTAAAATAATATCTTTAAAAACCAGCTTAGACTCCGTTCATCCCCCACAACTAAATTTCTCCACTACCCACCATTCACAGAAACATCTTGAAAGTTGTAAATAGTCACTGTCTCCCATTGTACTCCACTCCACTGAGAGATTTCCATGGTGCCAAACCCAACAACTTCTTCTTGGCCTCATCTTAATTTCTTCACAGTGCTCAATGCAGGTGACCACTGTTTCACCTCTTATGGCACCACATCTCACTGGTTCTCCTCGTATCTCACTGGCTGCTCTTTGTCTCCTTCGCTGGCTCCCCTCAATATCCTAGACCCCCTTCTATTCACTATCTATATAATCTCATCAGTCTGCAACATTAAAAGCACCCTGAATTCCAGATTCAAGTATCCAACGTCTGACAAGACATATCTGCTTGTTTGTCAAATGGGCATCTCAAACTTTGCTGGTTGAAAGAAAACTCTTTTTTTTTTTTTTTGGCAGGATCTCCCTCTGTTGCCCAGCCTGGAGTGCAGTGGCATGACCACAGATCACTGCAACCTTGACCTCCCAGCCTCAAGTAATCCTCTCACCTCAGCATCCTGAGTAGCTGGGACTATAGGCACATGCCACCATGCCCAGCTAATTTAAAAAAAAAATTTTTTTGTGGAGACAGGGTCTCCCTATGCTGCCCAGGCTTGAAACAAAACTCTTGATTCCCTTCTCCAACCCATTCCAATCTCCTCCTCCAGTTGCCTAATACCACTAAATACTACTAGTTTTCACTCAGTTGTTCAGGCCAATTATGGAGATCAGAAGCAATGATCCTTATTTCCCTTGATTTCCTTCATATCCCAAATCCTAACCATCAGCCAAGACTCTTAAAATACACCATCAAAATATACTCTGAATTGACCACTTCTCACCCCCTCTGCTGTCTACCCTAGTCCATGGTTTAGGCAGATTTGCTTGCCTCCTCTTTTGTTCCCTTATAACCCATTGTCTGAGACAAAGCAGCAAAAATGATCTGTAATTATTAAATCTGTAATTAAATCATGTATTCCCCCCATCAAAATCTTCCAGTGGTTTCCTATCACACAGATCTTATATCCTCATCACAGCCTGCAAAGCTGTACCTAACATGGGTGCCTGCCCATCTCTCTGAACTTATCACCTAGTAGTCTCTGTCCCCTTTTTCACTATGTTCATCACACTGGTTTTCTTACAGTGCCCAGATCATGCTAAGTTTGTTCCCACCTAAGGGCCTTTACTTTTGCATGCTCTTTCCCCCATATTCACATTGCTCACTCCTTCCCCTCTTTCAGATTGACTGCTGGCCAAATACGACATTTAAGAAAGGCAATGTCCTCTTCCTTTTCTCTCTACCCTACCCTTTACTCTCCATTTCCTCTCACTGCTTTATTTTCTTAATATGTATTTGTTTTTTCTCATCTCTTCATTAAAAAAACTTAATGTAAAACATTAACATGTGACTGTTTCTCATTGCTAAAAAAAAGAAAAGCAAACAATACATATGAAATTCAAGCTCCTTTCAACTATCTCTCTTAATCTCGGTCCCCTCCCCAGAAGTACTTTAGTATGCATTTGGTTATGTATCCTTGTAGCGTTCTTCTCTATGGAATTAAATACACAGGTATCTGTAGAAACAAAAAGTGTTTTAGGCCTGTTCTGTAACAAACTTCAAAATACGCCTTAACTTTCCTAGTCATTATACAGATTTTGTTACTCATTGTGATATATAGGTCTATTGGTGAACATTTAACATAATTACCATTTTGCACCATCACGAACAATTCATTTAACAAATACTTACTAAGTGTCTACTACATTCTAGGCTCTGTATCTGTATCTTGCAGATACAGCAAAAAATAAAACAAAGATCTTGCCCTCTTGGAGCTTGTATTCTTGCAGGAGGAGGAGGACAATAAACAGAATAAAATACATAGTGTAAACTTTTTTTGAAAAGGGACAGAGAGTAAATATTTTAGGCTTTGCAGGCCACATATATATGTCACGTATTTTTTGCTTTGTTTCATAACCGTTTAAAAATGTAAAAACCATTCTTTTGCTTATAGGATGTACAAAAACAGGGCAGAAGCTCATGGAGCTGTGGCTTGCTGACCCCTAATATAGTATGTTAGAAGGTTGTATGTGCTATGCAAAAAATAAAAAGGAGTCCAGGATAAGAGTGGGTGGGGAAGGGCAGGATAGAATATAGTATTAAACAGGGTATTCATAGATGGTAAGATCTGAGCAAAGACTGGGAGGTAAGTCCATTGAGCCAAGCAGATATGTGGAAGAAGTACATTTCAGAGAGTGGAGCCAGCAAGAGTCCTAAAGTAGGAACAGGACAGACATAGCAAGCAGGCCAGTGAGTAAGGGGAGAACAGTGGTAACAGTAAATGAGGTCAGGAAGGTAAGGAGAAAGTGGAGTGGATTGGGCAGATCATGTAGAGCCTCACAGGACCAGCTTTTCTCTGAGTGAATGAAAGGGAATGTCTTAGTCCATTCGGGTTGCTATAACAAAATACCATAAATGAGATAGCTTATAAATGACAGAAATTGATTGCTTACCATTCTGTAGGATGGGAAGTCCAAGAGCAAGGCATATTCAGTATCTGGTGAGGGCTGCTTTCTAGCTCACAGACTTCTTGCTGTGTCCTCAAGAGACAAAGGGCAAGGGATCTCTCTAGAGTTTTGTTTTGTTTTGAGACAGAGTCTCACCCTGTCACCCAGGCTGGAGTGCAGTGGCGTGACCTCAGCTCACTGCAACTTCCGCCTCCTGGGTTCAAGCGATTCTCCTGCCTCAGCCTCCCGAGTAGCTGGGACTACAGGCACGTGCCACCACGCCCGGCTAATTTTTTGTATTTTTAGTAGAGACAGGGTTTCACGGTTTTAGCCAGGATGGTCTCGATCTCCTGACCTCATGATCCGCCCACCTCAGCCTCCCAAAGTGCTGGGATTACGGACATAAGCCACCGCACCTGGCCTCTAGGACTTTTTAAGGGCACCAATCCTATTCATGAGGACTCCACTCCCATTTCCTAATACCTTGGGAGTTAGGATTTCAACAGTTTGGGAGGACACATACATTCAGATCGTAACAGGAGCCATTGCAGGAGAAGTGACAGGGACTGTCTTAATTTGCGAAAGGTTTATTCTGGCTACTGTATTGAGAAAATACTGTTGGAAGGGGATAGGGCAGAAGGGGCAGACCAGGTAGTAACCTATTTCAGTAATCCAACAAGATGTGATGGTAGTGGCTTGGACAAGGGTGGTGGCAGTGGAGGAAGCAGTGAGGCATGATAGGATTTTCGATGTATTTTGACGATACAGAAAACAGATTGTCCTGAAAGAACAGATCTGAAGAGTAAAAGAAAAAGTGAAGTAAAAAAATAAGGCCAAGATTTTGGTCTGAGCTACAGGAGGACGGAGTTGCCACTGACAGAAATGGGAGAGTCTGTGGGTAAAGCAGGCATTGGGGAGAAAGTTTAGGAGTTTAGTTTTGGATATGCTGACTTTGATGTCTATTATTAAACATTTAGGGGAGATGTTGAATAGGTAGTTGCACATGTAAGACTGGAATTGAGGAGGGGGCTAAAGATCTAAATTTGGGTATTGTTGATATTTACATGGTATTTCAAGCCATGAGACTAAATGAGATTACCAATAAAGTGAGCATAGATAGAAACAAATAAACAAACAATTAAGACTTGGGGCTCTCCAACATTAAGAGGTCAGTGAAAATAAAGGAAAAGGAGAATTACAAGGACCAGCACTGAGACAGCAGATAACCAGGAACGTGTGACGTCCTCGAAGGCAAAGAAGAAATGGTTTCAAGGCTAAGGGAAGCAAACAGCTGTGTCAAATGCTGCTGACAGGTCACATAGGATGAGAATCAATAACACAGGGCATTTAACAATATGGGGGCTACTGAAGAACCAGAGGAGCTGTTTCTGTGGGAGTGGTGCAGACAAAGACCTCACTAGAGTGGGTTTAACAGAGTACTAGAGGAGAGAACTTGGCAATAGCAAGTACAGACAACTATTTTGAGAAATACTGCTCCCAAAGGAAACAAAAAATTGGGGTAATGTGGTGAAGTGGGACAAGATTTTTTCCTAAGAGGGGAGAAATAATAGCATATCTGTTTGCTGATAGAAATGATTCAATAAAAAGAACAAAATTGATGATGTGGAAGAAGAGAACCTGAAGCAAAGTCCTTGAGCAGATGAGAGAGAATGGGGCCTAGTACAAAGGCAGACAAGAATATGAACAGTTAATCTAAGGTAACAGGCAGGAAGACAGCCATGTACTGAGCAGATGCTGCGCAGACCCTTTCATAAATAGAGTGCCAGAGGTATGTGGAGTGGTGGCAATCTATGGAAGTTCTGATTACTTCAATTTTCTCAGCAAAGTGGGAAGCAAGGTCATGAGCTGAAGGTGAGGATGGGAAAAGAGATATAGAAGGTTTGGGGAAAATAAGATATGAAATAGTCATTTAGAGGAGTGGAAGAGTAAGCAGACTAGGAAAATACAGTACAACCATCAGGCAGCATTACAGACCCACTTAAGGTTTGTGGCCATGTGTGGTTGTGTGGTTTTTTTTCTGGCCATGCTCAGTTACATAGGGGCAAGTGCAAAAAAAACCCCAGAGTTTGTTTTAACTAGAGCTCTGGTTTTGCCAAACAAGCAAAGAGCAAGGAAAGGGATCCAAAGAAGTAATTAAACTGATTAATCATGAAATTTAGATGAGTAAATTCCACATAAAAGGGAGTGAAAACATCAAGAGGGTAAGGGGCAGGGGAGCAGTAATAGGATCAATGGGTTGGAGATTCCATTGGGGTCAGAAGATGGTTAGGGCTGAGGCACTAGGAGTGAGCTGCAAAAATAGGAAGAAGCGGTAACAGAGCAGAACACATGAAATGGCAACTATGGAGGGACTGCAGTTATTGACAGTGCACGAGGGTATCACTGTGGAATGAGTGGCTGATATAGCATAGATGGGAAGAGCACTGGAAGAGAGGTCTAGGAAGTGAGAGGCCAGGGTTTGGGTGGATCAGTTATGTACATTCTTATCAATTTCAATATAAAGACTGGAGAGTGGGACAGTGGGCCTTTATGACATAATTCAAAACTGAAGATTATAGGGAGAAAGGAGGAAGCATAGTCTGAAAGAAGTAAGAAGACTCATGACAGATATCTTTCCCACCTCTAGAAACAGTGGGAGGAAAGTTACGGAGCAAACAAACAAAAACAGCCACAACTGCACAGTGGAAGAGAGTCCGGTTTCCATTACAGCAAGAAAGTGAAAGCAACATCTAAGAATGGTTCAGACTGGATTTTGCAGATGATGGATAGTTAATTTCACAAAGTACAGTAGAAGGGTATGAAAAGTTGAGAAGAGGTTTAAGAAAAAGCATAGACCCCACTCCAGCCTGGACAAGAGAGCTAGACTGTGTCTCCAAAAAAAAAAAAAAAAAAAAAAAAGTGTAGACCCAGGCCAGGCCGGGCGCAGTGGCTCACACCTGTAATCCCAGCACTTTGGGAAGCCAAGGTGGGCGGATTGCCTGAGGTCAGAAGTTGGAGACACGCCTGCACAGCACAGTGAAACCCCATCTCTACTAAAATACAAAAAATCAGCTGGGCATGGCGATGTGTGCCTGTAGTACCAGCTACTCGGGAGGCTGAGGCAGGAGAATTGCTTGAACCCAGGAGGCAGAGGTTGCAGTGAGCCGAAATCATGCCACTGCACTCCAGCCTGGGCAACAGAGCGAGACTCCATCTCCAAAAAAAAAAAAAAAAAAAGTGTAGAACTTTTTATGAATGGAATGCCAGAGACAAAATGTGAACAGGAAGTCTGGAGTTTCTGTGGTTACTAACAAGGACTAATCCTAGCACACATGACTCCTGATATACTCACGTGTTTCTCTAAGAAATGGAAACT
Source organism: Homo sapiens (assembly GCF_000001405.40). Taxonomy (NCBI): domain Eukaryota; kingdom Metazoa; phylum Chordata; class Mammalia; order Primates; family Hominidae; genus Homo; species Homo sapiens. The sequence continues at coordinate 72,822,451 of NC_000005.10, read as the reverse complement.
GCTGGGTCAAAGATATTTTTACTTTAAAATAGCCGTACCGATATATTCAATGTTATCCCTACAACCTTCTCAATACATACTAACAAAACTTTTTTCTCTTTGGCCAGTATAATGAGAAAAAAAAAAAAGTCACTGCTTTACTTTGCATTTTTCTGCTGGTGAGGTAAATCATTATTCCATGTTTACCTGCTAGCCATATTTCCTCTTCTGTGGAACTTGCCCACTTAAAAAACTGAGTTGTTTTCCCTTTTAAATCGATGTAGAGTGCTTTAAAAATCTATTTTATTCTGCTCTTAATGATTCATACAAATCAATCTTCTAGATTCGTTTCATATCTTTCAATGGCTCATGATAGGGTGACATAAGGCTCAGTAGGTTCTCTCTCTTCAACATCCCTCTCTACTATATATTAGAGTTTGTCTAATTAAGACCTTAGTCAAATCTGGCCATACCATTGGTTTCATAACTGTTTTTGCACTACAGTGGTAGAGATGGTATGGCCCACAAAGCAGAAAATATTTGCTACCTGGCCCTTTACAGAAAGTTTGTGGACCCCTGCTATATACCTTTCAGGGCCCCTGAACCGCTTAAGAGTTCCAAGAACACAGCAGATCTTTATGTTTACTGACACACTCACTGAAATGCTGTTCCTAGTTCCCAAAATGCTCCAGACATTCCCCCTAATCTATTCAACGAATCTATTACTGGCCTTTCTTGGTGTTTTTACAGATTTATATCACAAAAGCTGTAAATACACTTATTGAACTTGTTTATTTACATATCTCTTTCTCCACTAGTATGTAAATCTCTCGACAAGAGATAATCCCAGCACTAATAAATGGCACAAAAGTCCTTCATGGTTTGCTAGCTCTCTCATCATTTCCTAGTTCTGCTATGCTCCAGTCAAAATATATATTTAATTTCATTAAATATTTTTCAAAAACACAATTTCAAATGGTAGCATAATAATCAATAGTTCTGTACTTTTATATTCTTATCTTTAAAATCTTGTTGGATACCACCTATTCCTAATAATTTATTTGCATTTATTTAGTATATTCATGATTTGCTGAAATACTTCTCTTCCTTAATTCCTTTCTTAGTAAAAACAAAAGTGGTGGAATCTTATCCTTCCTAGCATTAACTTTTTCATTTGTGGTAGAAACATATGCATCTAGGATAAAGGGGCTCCACTAATAAATTATTTTACTAATGGCTTCGGAGTCATCTATAAAATGCAACTCAAATATGAATTTTTCTCTAATTTTCAGTATAAATTTAACTTCCTACACCTTGTAGGCAGTTCTATTCTCCTTATGTGAAACACATATTTTTTTGCTTGTTTCCCCAGTAAAACCTTCATTTACTTTACCAGGAGTTTTACTAAACGTATATTTCAATTTTAGCACTTACGGGCCTTTTCATTTCTCTTATTCCCCAAATTTAATCAAATTTGAGATTTCTTTGGTTTTCTCTCACCTATTTGTGTTAAGATCATTAAGAATTGCACCCACAGATATTTGGTGCATTCACTTTAGAACCCGGTTTTATATAGTTGTTACCAATTATATCTCATCCAGGTAAAGATTTTCTTTTTCTAAAATGTGGAAAGTTAAGCCCTGTCTTGTTTAACTTTGCAACTTACCCATTCATTATTCCCAGCTCAGTTTAGCTATCTTAAAAATGTGGTCTGTGATCTATAGTTAGTTATAGTATAAAATTCTGAATATGTATATGATATAAAAGTATACAAATAAAACAGCATGATGAGCTTTGCAGTCAAGCAGATCTAGATTCAGATTCAGGCTCGAACGCTCTGAGCCCTTGGACAAAGTACTTACCTATTTACACTTTGTTTTCTCATCAGTAAAATAGAAGTAACTTCCATGTATAACACAGAGCCAACATAATAAATGAGAAAAATGTACATGAAAGTGACAATGTATGTTAAATGCCTACAAATGATGTCTAGTACATTACAAGGAAAACGTTAATCCACTCTCTATTCCTCCAATCCCAAAGCAACAGGAACAATACTGTGTAGTCTCAATTTATTATATTAATAAGTTCATTATTAAATTCCCTTAAGTAAAAGCAATTTGCAGTATGGACCATGAGCTTTGGATGTTTACTTTGACTCAGTATTTTTGCTTTGGGGACTCTAAATAATCCAGAATGCAGAAATTGATTTTTGTATGAGGATGTTCATTGCAGTGTTTCTTATAACTGCAAAAAAATTAGAAACTGTTTAATAATGAGAAATCCACACAAACATGCAAACATTAAATATGGTGACAAAATAATTAAGTAGCATAAGAAAATGCTTATGGTGAGAATACAAAATTACTCACATAGTAAAGTCTCAACTGTGAAAAAAATCCAATAAACTCAGAAAAAAACATTGGAAGGAAATGCGCAAAAGGGCTTACAGTAGTTACTACGTAGTACTGATATTTGTAATTTTTATTTTATGGTTTTCTATAGTTTTCTGAAATAATTAACAGTGATAATGACATTGATGATAACAGCAGTTATTATTTATAGAAAAGTTAATACATGTCAGGCCCAGTTTTAAGAGCTTAGTGTATTAACTCATTTAATCCTCATAACATAAGATGAAAAAGTGAGATTAAATAACTTGCCCAAGGTCACACAGATAATTACAGAAGGTGCCAAAATCTGAATCCAAATAGTGTGGCTCCAAAGCGCCTGTTCTCTACACTACATTGAAAAGTTTTGCTTTGTTTTAAAAATTTAACCATTAAAAAGGCATATATCAATCCCAACTTTATGGTCTCACGGTTATCAGCTTTTTTTCAGTACTGAGTTGTAATATTCGCTCTGGCATGGAGTGTCTTTTTGGATTAAGATGTAGCCACTATTCCTATATGTATTCTATCTACTCCAGAAAATTCCAGGACAAATCCACCTCCCTATTTCCCATTTCAATATCTCATTTGACCATTCAGACTCTAGAACTCTAATATTCCTACTTACTACAGCAACTTACAGTACTTCAAAGGACCCTTCAAAGCAACCCAATCAAACTTGCTTTTGAAAACCTCTCCTAACTAACATCCACGCATACAACTACAAATCAGTTACCACTTGCTGTGGTTTGAATATGGTGTGTCTGTCTCCATCAAAATTCATGTTGAAATCTGATCATGATCTGGTGGACATGATTTAGTTCCCTGAGGGTGAGTTGTTAGAAAGCCAGGCCCTTCCCTCAGATTTCCCCCTCTTTGCCTGGGGTGGCTTCCCCTTTGACCTTCTCTAGCAGGTTATGATGCAGCACAACAAGCTGACCAGATGGCGGCGCCTTGCTTCTTATACTTCCCAGCCTGCAGAACCGTGAGCTAAATAATAAACCTCTTCTCTTTATAAATGACCCAGTCTCAGGTATTCTTTTACAGCAACACAATACGGATTAAGGCACCACTCTTGCAAACATCTGTCTTCCATTGTGAAGCTCATCCCTTGTACAACCCAGAAGACTCCTTCACCTGCCAACACTCAACAGATTTACCATGGCAATGGCTGAATAGGGTCAACTAAGAAAAATCCTCAACCTCCAGGGGAATTTCACTGTTTCTGATCCTTCCTCTTTGAGGATGGCATTGTTCGCCATTGTTTTTGAAAACCTCATCAGTTTCTTTGATTCTCTCAGCTTTCTCATCCTTTTGCTGGTAAACCAAACTGTTTTGAGGGGGGAAGATATCTTTTTAGCACCAATATGTATTCAAATATCAATCTCAGGAAAAAATATCACAATTTATACCCTGGCCAATAAAAAGAACTCCCCCACTTACTGCTGTGCTCCTCTCTGCAGTTTATATTTGATAAATTCATTTATTTCATTACCTATGTCACTTGGTTTGACGTCACTTTATAACCAGGTTTCTTTTCTTAAAAAAACATTTGCAGAATCCAACATGGTTAAAATTCAAGAAATTCTTCTAAATACAGATGTTTACATTTCAATGTAGTAGCTCATTTACAACATTTAGAAAAACTGAGTTCATGGAATGGCTTTAAAATTATAAATAAGCAAAACTACAGTCATAAAAACAATGAATACAATAAGAAATGTTGATATTGGAAAAGCTTACAACTAGAATCATGTATTTTTACAAAAATCTTATTCTGCTCACATTATATAATGGTAATAAAGCCACTGAGAGTTGAGGTAGAAGTGCAAACAAGATTTTTATAGATATTTCAGTGGGAGGAATTTAATAATTCCTGACTAGGAGAAAGATGCAGCCACATCAAGGGTGGCGGCCCCTTTTAGGAAAAAGAAAACAGAACACTAGTACTTCATTAGGCTCACGTTAAATTGCATGAAGTAAAAATCGTACTGCCAAGCTAGTATAAATTTATGCACTGCATAGCTAGAGACTAAAAAAGATATCTGCACCTACAAACTATTGTTTCCCTTTTGTGGTTGCTAATTTTCATCCTGGCACAGCCTTCTCTAGGAACAACTACGGTGCCAGGTAAGGTGAAAGTGGAAAACAGATCCTTTCCCAAAAAACGGAACTTTCCCCTTTTCCACTAAACATAGCTTCTTCACCACTCTAACATGAAAGCTTTGATATAACAGGGAAACTTAAAAAGCTGCAGGAACTTTTGTTATTCTAAAAGTGAGTAGTACGTCAGGACAGCCATTTTACAACCTTCATTTCCAAACACCTATTACACCATACATCTTGCAATTTTAAAAGTATCTTTTCTTTAGGGTAAAAAAAGTACCACTTACACATTCATCATTTAAGTCATTACTGTTTCAAAGGACAGTTATTAAGCTTCTTAATACAGCTGTCAAAATCAATTTGTAGATAGCCTCCAATTTCAAATTTCTACATTTACATCTACTGATAGACCATCCTGATTAGCGATTAAGATAACAGACTTAAACTCTAAGCAATCCTTGCAAAATCCAGTTGATTTTTAAAATCAGTAAGCAACACGCGATCATTTTTAAAGAAAGTCATTCCGAAAATAGCTTGATTGTGGTGGCCAATCTGCTCCTCAGCAGCTGTTCCCTGTTGCTTGTACGCATGGGAGTGGAGGTAGAAGGGCAAAACCCACAAGCCCACGCAAAACTCGTACAGTCACAAACATTATGTAAACATGTCGTGAGGCCAAGAGGCCCCAAGGAGAAAGAACCGCCGGGAGGAAGAGAACGGCAAGCTGCATGTAAGGACGATGGGCGCTGTGTGCGGACGCAGGAGACCCGGGCAGAGGGGCCCAGGGCGGGACAAAGACTGGCCCATCTCGGGCAGCGCCGGCCAGCGCCCAGAACCAGTGAAAGGCAGCCGTCCCGGGGCAGCCGACTGCAGCACTCAAGGGCCCTCAAACGCCACAGCTTAACAGGCGAGGCAAACGCTCCCCTGAATGTAAGACCCTTCCCTTCCCGCCCCTTGTAACGGGCTCCTGCCGCCCCTAACGGGATCCTCGGACGCTTGAGGAGCCGCCGTCGCCTGCTCCCTACCCGGGTCCCGCAGGGCGCCTGGGCGGGCAGCTGTTGGGGTTAGAACCGCGCCGCCGCTGCCTCTCGGCTTCAAACGGCCGGGCAGGCGCCGAGAGAGCGGGCGAGCCCGGCGTCTCTCCCGTAGGCGCGTCAGGCAGCTCGGCGCTCCCAGCCTCCGTTCCCGCCCCTGCAGTTCGGGGCCGCGCACCCTCACGCCACCTACCCGGTCCCACACCATCCCAGACGCCTCGGGCGCTCGGGCCTTCGGCCGAAGCGGCACTGCCTCCTGTCCGGGGCCTGAAATGGCTGCGGAACAAAGAGAATCTGGGCTTCACCGAGCGCCGGTCCGATTGGCCGGGGGGCGGAGCCCGCGGCGGGAACATTCGGCGGCGGTCGCCTTGGCAACGGCGGCGGGGCTAGGAAAATTGCTGCCTGGGTCGGCTGGGCCTGTGGGCCTGCGTCCGACAGCGCGCGGCCGTGCTTTCTAAGCGGGCTCGGCAGCACCAGACTTCACCGGCCCGGCGCGGGGCTCACAAGTGCTCGCACTCCCTGCGGCCGGCGCGCTGACCGGAGCCTCTGGGTCTCGCACGCAGCAGCTGCAGACGCTGCCCGGCGCGGTGGGGCTGTGAGCAAAACGGCCCGCCGGTGTGGTTGCCCAGACTGTGCTGGGCCCTCCTAGGTGGATGGCCCTGCCCCAGCCTAACTTCTGTACCCCAGCATAACCTCCAAAGTAACAGCCGTGCCCTGGGAGCCTGTTCAACACTGAACATATCCCACAATAACACTGTTCCAGCGTCGCTGGTAAAAAGCAGAAATGGCTTCGGTAGGTAGACGCCGGTGGATGGCTGCCCGCTTAGAACAAGATAGGCTTTTGACGTATGTTGTATCTGGCGTATAAACTACTATGTAATTAGAATTCAGTGATTTATAAAATGTTTACGCCTCCAGGTGTTCAATCCTATAAAACTGTAGTTTCTTGCTCTTAGAAATAACAAGCCTTTCTCTCCCTAACCTGCCATCATGAGAAATTAAAATGTCCTGTATTTTCTGTACGGCAAATGATTCAAAATGGGAGTGGTGGACGTTTTTATACCCAACTGCAACAAGGGTAATGAGATAAATATCAGTTTCCTTCCCTCAGATTATTCTTATATGTAAAATTTACTGTATAAAAATACTTAAAATTTGCATAGCTAGCTGATTTTTATTTTCTAAGGTGATGATGCCCGTGATAATATTCCTCACATGATCAGTGTGAGTAGAAATACCAGCAGTTCCGACTATCTTACTGGAAGTGCTGTATATATTTTGAAAATGTGTGACAGTTGTTGCCTTCCTGTCATAGTTTAGGTAAAATTACAGTACATAATACTAGAAAATGTCTAAATTTTTACTAAGGTAATTTATTTGTTCTTCTAAACGTGTTAACAATTTTCATTTGAATTACAGTCATTTTGCAGGAACAACTAGTTTATTTAACTTAAAATTTGAGACTAAAAGTACCATTTTTTAATCATTGGGAAATTGAACTTAGCAAGGGAAAATATAGATAACTAAAATATTCATGATTTCAACATGTTATAATATTAATTTGATAGTAATTGGATACAGTAGTGTATATCAAAAAGAGCCCCCCCCCCCAAATAGGAGTAGATTACCAAGAAAAAAATGTAATATAAACTTTTCTGAATGGTAGTTTATCTGCAGGAAAATATACCCAGAAAAAGTATATTTATCCAAATAACAAATGGCTTATTTCTGCATTTGAAAAGTTACATCGTGGACTAGGATCTATACAAATCAGAAGATGTGTAGTATTTGCATTCTACTTTGCTAAAGGAAAAAACACAAATATTTCTAAAATCCAAAAGATTAGCAAATAATGACAGATGTAAATACTACTGACTAAGCAATTAGTAGGAGTTCACTTGATTAATAGTTTGGAAATAGCTGAAATGAATTGAAGAAAAAGTAACATATTATTTAGCATAAGAGGATTTATTGGCCAAAACATTTTGAAAGAAAAAAATGTTGATTATCAGATGTTGTAAAATTGAGATTAAGCAAATTAAATATGTATTCTTTTGTAAAAATTAAAGTGAATGAAAATACTAATATAAAATAGTTCTGTTGAATAGAGATTCTTACACATGTAGCCTTTTTGTCTCTTCTAGGTCAAATTAAAAAAACATGTTTTAAACAGTAAATCTTATTAACAAGGATTTATTAACATGGCTTATTTTATTTTTCTTTGACAGTTTGCACATATAATAGCAGCTATCCAGTAGTATTTTCTCTTTATACCTAAATATGCTCATGTGGTAAAACTTTGAAGAATTATTAATAATTTTTAAATGACAAAAATGAAGTTAAAATTTATAAACTTTGTTTTTACCTTTAAAACATAGATATATTTAAAATTTCTGTATTAATTTTATTTTCTTAGGTGAAAAATTTACCAAGATAAAAATAAAAACATGTTAGAAGTTACAAAATAGCATCTGAGGGAGAAAACATACCTATAAGCTTTCACCTAGGAATGACAAGATGCTTATTTTGTCAGGTGTAGCATTGTTAAAACAAGTGTGGAGCTTGCAGGCAGAGGACCTATATGCAGATGCTGGCTTTACCATTTATGAATGCTTTTGGCTCAGTCTTTCTGAGCTTCACTTTCTTTTGTCTGAAACAAGATTAAGTAAGATAAGTTACATAAAGAACTCATTAGCAGAGTGCAGGGCAGGTTGTTAGAGGGCAATGAATGAAAGTATTACTAGACATTAATATAAATCAAAGATGTTTGAGAAGGAGGAATATTATTGAAAAAGTAAGTCTGGAAATTCAAAAATTGTTAAATAAATGTCTTTAATAGGCAATTGTTGGTGAGTATATGGAAACCTAGTAAGATAAGTAATTTTTTATATACAGGCAAGCTTCTAAAATAGAATAAGCCTGGGCGCAGTGGCTCACGCCTGTAATCCCAGCACTTTGGGAGGCCGAGATGGGCGGATTACCTGAGGTCAGGAGTTTGAGGCCAGCCTGGCCAACATGGTGAAACCTCGTCTCTACTAAAAATACAAAAATTAGCTGGGCATGGTGGCGGGCACCTGTAATTCTAGCTACTCAGCAGGCTGAGGCAGGAGAATTGCTTGAACCTGGGAGGCAGAGGTTGCGGTGAGCCAAGATCAGGCCATTCATTTGCACTCCAGCCTGGGTGACAGAGGAAGACTTCGTCTCAAAAATAAATGAAAAAATAAAAATAAACAAATAAAATAGAATAGGATCTTCTAAAATATTGTCACCATTTATACTTCTGGAAGACAATTATTTCACATTAGGTAGTTTAAAGAATTGCCTTACACTGAAACATCTTCAGGTTGACATTATGAAAAAAAGTTTCAGTAATTATTTGGAAGAATTTAATTAAAATATTGAAGAGGACAATTGTAGTCAATATTCAGAAATGTGTAAATAATCTACAGGCATTTCTCATTTAAAGTAAACCCAATATATAAAGTTTGAATTCTTAAAAATATAAATTAGGGAGTTATTAACTGGGAAAAATTAACTTCAAATCTCCTTTAAGTATTAATATGTCCTAGTGATTATAATATGATTCTGCTTATAAAAAGGTCTACTTAGATTTCCACTTTTGGGAAGTTGGAATAGATATGCTTGTCCCTATTCCTCCCACTAAGTATAATTAAAACTTCTGAACATTATGTATAAAACAAACATAAAGGTCTCCAAATGGTGGAAAGAAGACAGATCAACTAGAGACCTTGGAACCCAAGGAACAACATGATGGTTAATTGCCTGTGTTTTCTTTTTGCTTTAGAGTCTTTAGAGACTTGAAACTTTACACATCAGCAACCTAGAAACACCAATGGCACAGACTAAAAAGGCCCCATCAAAACACTGCTCCAGCTGAAGGGCCAGAAAAGGAGTATGGCAGACAGAAAACTTTTTGACAATAATTGCATACTCTAGGCAAAACTACAGACAGAATTGTGACCCCATCCTACTCATGTCAGCAAAGTCCTAGTGGATAGCCTAGATCCCCACCCTCACCAGACTATTAGGTAGTTTAAAGAATTGCCTTACACTGAAACATCTTCAGGTTAGCATTATGGAAAAATATTTAAATAATTATTTAGAGGTGCCCTAAGCCCTCCTTCCCAGGGTGGTGTCAGAGAAGGTCAAATAAAGAACCAGTACTTTCATCATCACAAGCCAGTAACAAGGAGTCTCCCATCCTGGGTGTCAGTGGAGGCCAAATGAGGAACTTGGATGTCTCCTCCAACTTGGCAACAATGAGGTGGTGCCTGTTCCCCATACCCACTTCCCCTGCCAGTACCATGTTAGAAAAAGCCAGCTAAAAGAGATTTTCATAAGATTCAAAACCTCATAAATATCCCATACGTCCAGGTTTTATGAAAATCACTCATTATATCATGAACTAGGAAGATCTCAAACTGTATGAAAAAAGACCATTAATAAATGACAAAACCAAGAAGACAAAGATGTTAGAATTATCTGACAAAGATGTTAAAGCAGACATCATAAAAATGCTTCAGTGAGCAACTACAAAAACACTTGAAACAAATGAAAAAAATAGAAAGTCTCATTAAATAAGCAGAAGACATAAAGAAAAACCAAATGGAAATTTTAGAACTGAGAAATACAATAATCAAAATAAAAAACTAAATGAATTGAGTAACAGAACGAAGGAGACAAAGGAATGAATCAAGGAACTTGAAGACAGAACAACAGAAATTATCCACTCTAAAAAAGAGATAAAATAGACTAAAAAGAACAGAGTCTCATGGAACTAAGTGACTACAACAAAAGATGTAACATTCATGAAATCAGAGTCCTAGAGGGAGAAAAGAAAAAGGGTGAGGCTAAAAATACTCAAATAAATAATGTCTGAAAACTTCTGAAATTTGGTGAAAGAGATAAACCTACAGATTCAAGAAGCTGAGTGAATTTTCAACAAAGGAGCCAAAACAGTTAAATGGGAAGAAGGTAGTTATTTTTTAACAAATAGTGCTGAAACAACAGGGTATCCACATGTAAAAGAACAAAATTGGACGTCTGCTTCACACTGTATACAAAAATTAACTTAAAATGGATCATAGAACAAAATATAAGCACTAAAACTATAAAATTATCAGAAGTAAACATGGAATTAAATTTTTGTGACCTGGAGTTAGGAAAAGACCTCCTACATATGACACCAAAAACGCAAGCAATAAAAGAAAAAGTAAACAGGTTGGATTTCATCAAAATTTCAAACTTTCATGCTTCAAATGGCACCACCAAGAAAGAAAATGAAAAGACAGCACACAGAATGGGAGAAAATATTTGCAAATTACATATCCAATAAGAGATTTATATTTAGTATAGATAAAAAACTCTTACACCTCAATAATAAAAAACAACCTAATTAAAAATGGAGAAAGGATCTGTATAGACATTTCTTCAAATAAGATATACAAATGACCAATAGGCTTATGAGAAGAAGCTCAAGATCATTAGCTATTAGGGAAATGCAAATCAAAACAAGGAGATACCACTTCACACTCATTAGAGTATCTATAATATGAAGTACAGATAACAAGTATTGGGGAGGATATGGAGGAATTGGAACCCCTGTACATTGCTGGTGGGAATGTAAAATGCTATAGCTGCTCTGGAAAACACTGTGGCAGTTCCTCAAACAATTAAATATAGAGTTACCCTATGACTCAGGAATTCTACTCCAAATAAAAATGAAAACATATGTCTACACAAAAAGTGGTACAAAAAGCAGGATTATTTGTAATTATTTGTAATGTCCAAAAAGTGGAACAACTCAAATGTCCATCAATTGATTAATGAATAAACAAAATATAGTATATATATACAATGGACTATTAATTGATACTAAAAAGGAATAAAGTGCTAATACATGCTACAGTATGAATCAACCTTGAAAGCATTATGCTTTCTTTAAGTGAAAGAAGCCAGTTACAAAAGCCACATGTTACATGATTATGTGAAAGTCTAAAATAAGCAGATATATAGAGACAAAGCATATTAGTGGTTTCCAAGGGTCAAGGAGGGAAATAGTGATTACTAATAAGTATAGGGTTTCTTTTCTAGGTGATTAAAGTGTTCTAAAGTTAGATAGTGGAGGTTACATAATGTTGTGAATCTAAAAACCACTGAATTATAAACTTTAAAAGGGTGAGTTTTATGGTTAAAAATTATATCTCAATAAAGCTGTTACTAAAAAAAAGACAAATGAAACCTAATAGGATAAACTCAAAGAGAGTCATGCCAGGATATATCATTCAACTTTTGAAAACTAAGAACATAGAAAAAATTGTTAAAAGCAGAGAGCAAGAAATGACACCTTACTTGTAAGGGAAAAGCAATTTGAATGACAGTGGATCTTACATCAGAAACCATGGACTCCATAAGGAAGTGACACAACATCTTTCAAGTGTTGAGAGGAAAAAATTGTCAACCCAAATCCAATATCCAGCAAAAATATCCTTTAGGAATGGAGGGGAAATCATGACATTCTCAGATGAAGGGAAACTAAGAGATTTTGTCACTAGCAGTTTTTTTTCTAAAAGCATGGCTACAGAAAGGAAATTATGAAAGAAAGAATATTGGAACATTAAGAACCAAGAAAACACTAAGTAAAAATATGAGTAAATATAATAGGCTTCCCTTCTCCTCTTGAGTTTTCTAAATTATATTTGAAGGTTAAAGCAGAAATTTTAACATCTGATTTGGTAGAGAGAATACTTGAGCAATCATATTATAAAAGGAAAAAGGTAAGGAGCTATAAAGGGAAATAAGGTTTCTACACTTCACTTGAACTGGCAAAATTACACCACAAGTACACTAGGATAGGTTTGATATCGATATTGACTTAGTCTGCTTATGCTGTTATATCACAGTACCTGAGACTGAGTAATTTAGAATAAACTGAAATTTATTTTCTCACAGTTCTGGAAACTGGGAAGTCCTAGATCAAGGCATTGGCATCTGGTATCTGCTGAGGACCATCTTGTTGCATGAAGCCTCTTTCATAAGGGCCTTAATAACATTAATGAGGAAGAACTTTCATGACTTAATTACCTCTTAAAGACTTTACTACCTAATACCGTCACATTGGCAACGCCTGAATTTTGGAAGGGACACATTTAAACCATAGCAAATATATGAAAAAATTTAAGTTATAAAAATATGTATACTTTTAATACCTAAAGCAACTAGTGAAAAAGAAATAGATACACTCAAAAACAAAAATTAATATGGAATTCTAAAAAGTAACCCACCGGAAGTAACCCACAAGAAGATAAGGAAAAGAAAACAGAGAAATGAACAACAGAGAGAATAGACAGAAAACAAAATACAAAATAACTGACTTAAGCTCTAACATATCTGTAATTACATTCAACATAAATGGAATAAAGGATTGTTGGAGGTGGGTGGCAAGATGGCTGAATAGGAACAGCTCCAGTCTGCAGCTCCCAGTGAGATCAATGCAGAAGGGTGAGTGATTTCTGCATTTCCACCTGAGGTACTTGGCTCATCTCATTGGGACTGGTTAGATAGTGGGTTCAGCCCACGGAGGGCGAGTCGAAGCAGGGTGGGGTGTTACCTCACCCGGGAAGCACAGCGGGTCGGGGAACTCCCTCCCCTAGTCAAGGGAAGCCGTGAGGGACTGTGCCATGAGGAATGGTGCATTCTGGCCCAGATACTATGCTTTTCCCACAGTCTTTGCAACCTGCAGACCAGGAGATTCCCTTGGGTCTCTACTCCACCAGGGCCCTGGGTTTCATGCATAAAACTGGGCAGCCATTTGGGCAGACACAGAGCTAGCTGCAGGAGTTTTTTTTCATACCTCAGTGGCGCCTGGAACGCCAGCAAGACAGAAGCGTGCACTCCCCTGGAAAGGGGGCTGAAGCCAGGGAGTCAAGTGGTCCAGCTCAGTGGATCCCACCCCCACAGAACCCAGAAAGCTAATACCCACTGGCTTGAAACTTTGCTGCCAGCACAGCAGTCTGAAGTTGACCTGGGATGCTCAAGCTTGCTGGGGGGAGGAGTATCTGCCATTACTGAGGCTTGAGTACACGGTTTTCCCCTCACAGTGTAAACAAAGCCTCCGGGGAGGTTCGAACTCAGTGGAGCCTACCAAAGCTTGGCAAAGCCGCTGTAGCCAGACTGTCTCTCTAGATTCCTCCTCTCTGGGCAGGGCATCTATGAAAGAAAGGCAGTAGCCCCAGTCAGGGGCTTATAGATAAAACTCCCATCTCCCTGGGACAGAGCACCTGGGGGAAGGGGCGGCTGTGGGTGCAGCTTTAGCAGACTTAAACCTTCCTGCCTGCCAGCTCTGAAGAGAGGAGTGGATCTTTCAGCACAGTGCTTGAGCTCTGCTACGGGACAGACTGCCTCCTCAAGTGGGTTCCTGACCCTCCTGCCTCTTGACTGGGGGACATCTCCCAGCAGGGGTCAACAGACACCTCATGCAGGAGAGCTCTGGCTGGCATATGGCAGGTGCCCCTCTGGGATGAAGCTTCCAGAGGAAGGAAAAGGCAGCAATCTTTGCTGTTCTGCAGTCTCTGCTGGTGATACCCAGGCACACAGAATCTGGAGTGGACTTCCAGCAAACTCCAGCAAACCTGCAGCAGAGGGGCCTGACTGTAACAAACAGAAAGAAATAGCATCAACATCAAGAAAAAGGAGGTCCACACAAAAACCCCATCTGAAGGTCACCAACATCAAAGACCAAAGGTAGATAAATCCACAAAGGTGAGGAAAAACCAGCGCAAAAGCCTGAAAATTCCAAAAATCAGAATGCTTCTTCTCTTCCAAAGGATCACACCTCCTTGCCAGCAAGGGAACAAAACTGGACACAGAATGAATTTGACAAATTGAACAGAAGTAGGCTTCAGAGGGTGGGTAATAACAAACTCCTCTGAGCTAAAGGAGCATGTTCTAATCCAATGCAAGGAAGCTAAGAACCTTGAAAAAAGGTTAGACGAATTGCTAACTAGAATAACCAGTTTAGAGAAGAACATAAATTACCTGATGGAGCTGAAAAACACAGCATGAGAACTTCGTGAAGCGTACACAAGTATCAATAGCCGAATCAATCAAGCAGAAGAAAGGCTATCAAAGATTGAAGATCAACTTAATGAAATAAAGTGTGAAGACAAGATTAGAGAAAAAAAAATGAAAAGTAATGAACAAAGCCTCCAAGAAATGTGGGACTATGTGAAAAGACCAAACCTACATTTGATTGGTGTACCTGGAAGTGACAGGGAGAATGGAACCAAGCTGGAAAACACTCTTCAGGATATTATCCAGGAGAACTTCCCCAGCCTAGCAAGACAGGCCAACATTCAAATTCAGGAAATACAGAGAACAGAGAACACCATGAAGATACTCCTCAAGAAGAGCAACCCCAAGACACTTAATTGTCGGATTCACTAAGGTTGAAATGAAGGTAAAAATGTTAAGGGCAGCCAGAGAGAAAGGTCAGGTTACCCCCAAAGGGAAGCCCATCAGACTAACAGTGGACCTCTCTGCAGAAACCCTACAAGCCAGAAGAGACTGGAGACTAATATTCAACATTCTTAAAGAAAAGAATTTTCAACCCAGAATTTCATATCCAGCCAAACTAAGCTTCATAAGCAAAGGAGAAATAAAATCCTTTACAGACAAGCAAATGCTGAGAGATTTTGTCACCACCAGGCCTACCTTACAAGAACTCCTGAAAGAAGCACTAAATATGGAAAGGAACAACTGGTACCAGCCACTGCAAAAACATACCAAATTGTAAAGACTATCAACACTATGAAGAAACTGCATCAACTTACAGGCAAAATAAACAGCTAGCATCATAATGACAGGATCAAATTCACACATAACAATATTAACCTTAAATGTAAACGGGCTAACTGCCCCAATTAAAAGACGCAGACTGGCAAATTGGATAAAGAGTCAAGACCCATTGGTGTGCTGTATTGAGGAGACCCATCTCACGTGCAAAGACACACATAGTCTGGGGATCAATGCAACAAGAAGAGCTAACTATCCTAAATATATATGCACCCAATACAGGAGCACCCAGATTCATAAAGCAAATTCTTAGAGACCTCCAAAGAGGCTTAGACTCCCACACAATAATAGTGGGAGACTTTAACATCCCACTGTCAATGTTACACAGATCAACAAGACAGAAAATTAACAAGGATATTCAGGACTTGAACTCAGCTGTGGACCAAGCAGAGCTAATAGACATCTACAGAACTCTTCACCCCAAATCAACAGAATATACATTCTTCTCAGCACCACATCACACTTATTCTAAAATCGACCACGTAATTGGAAGTAAAACACTCCTCAGCAAATGCAAAAGAACAGAAATCATGACAAACAGTCTCTCAGACCACAGTGCAATCATATTAGAACTCAGGATTAAGAAACTCACTCAAAATCACACAACTACACGGAAACTGAACAACCTGCTCCTGAATGACTACTGGATAAATAATGAAATTAAGGCAGAAATAAGTTCTTGGAGACCAATGAGAACAAAGACACAATGTACCAGAATCTCTGGAATGCAGCTGAAGCAGTGTTTAGAGGGAAATTTATAGCACCAAATGCCCACAGAAGAAAGTGGGAAAGGTCTAAAATCAACACTCTAACATCACAATTAAAAAAGTTAGAGAAGCGGGGGCAGGCAGATTCAAAAGCTAGCTGAAGACAAGAAATAACTAGGATCAGAGCGGAAGTGAGGGAGATAAAAACACGAAAAACCCTTCAAAAAGTCAGTGAATCCAGGAGCTGGTTTTTTGAAAAGACTAACAAAATAGATGGACCGCTAGCTGGATTAATAGGGAACACAGGAGAGAAGAATCAAATGGACACAATAGAGAATGATGGAGGGGATGTCACCATTGATCTCACAGAGATACGAACTACCGTCAGAGAATACTATAAACACCTCTGTGCAAATAAACTGGAAAGTCTGGAAGAGGTGGATACATTCCTGGATGCATGCACCCTCCGAGGACTAAACTGGGAGGAGGTTGAATCCCTGAATAGATCAATGACAAGTTCTGAAATTGAGGTCGTAATTAATAGCCTGCCAACCAAGGAAAGCCCAGGACCAGACAGATTCACAGCCAAATTCTACCAGGGATGCAGAGAGGAGCTGGTACCATTCCTTCTGAAACTGTTCCGAACAATGGAAAAAGAGGGACTCCTCCCTAGCTCATTTTATGAGGCTAGAATCGTCCTGGTGCCAAGACCTAGCAGAGACACAACAGAAAAAGGAAATTTTGGGCCAGTGTCTCTGGTGAACATTGATTTGAAAATCTTCAGTAAAATGCTGGTGGGCCGAGTTCAGCAGCACATCAAGAAGCTTATCCACCATGATTGGGTCAGCTTCATCCCTGGGGTGCAAGGCTGGTTCAACATAAGCAGATCGATGAACGTGGTCCATCACATGGGCAGAGCCAGTGACAAAGGCCACATGATCGTCTTAGTGGATGCGGAGAGGGCCTTTGATGGAGTTTGGCACCCCTTCATGCAGGAAACTCTCAATAAACTAGGTATTGATCATATGTATCTCAAAATAAAGGGTGCTGTTTATGACAAACCCACAGCCAATGTCATGCTGAATGGTCAGGGGCTTTGAAAACCAGCACAAGACAGGGGTGCTCTCTCTCACCACTCCTACTCAACATAGTATTGGAAGTTCTGCCCAGGGCAATCAGGTAGGAGAAAGAAATGGGGGGTGTTCAGACAGGAAGAGAGGAAGTCAAATTGTCTCTGTTTGCAGATGACATGATTGTGTATTTGGAAAACCCCATTGTCTCAACCCGAGATCTCCTTAGGCTGGTGAGCAATTTCGGCAAAGTCTTGGGATACAAAATCAATGTGCAAGAATTGCAGGCATTCCTATACACCAATAATAGACAAACAGTGAGCCAATTCGTGAGTGAACGCCCATTCACAATTGCTACAAGGAGAATAGAATATCTAGGAATACAATTTACAGGGGATGTGAAGGACCTTTTCGAGGAGAGCTGCAGGCCACTGCTCAATGGAGATAGGAGAGGACACAAATGGAGTGTTTCAGGCTCATGGATGGGAAGAATCAATATTGTAGAAATGGCCGTACTGCCCAAAGTGATTTATAGATTCAATGCTGTCCCCATCAAGCTACCGTTGACTTTATTCACAGAATTAGAAAAAACTACTTTAAATTTCATATGGAACCAAAAAGGAGCCTGTATAGCCAAGACAATCCCAAGCAAAAAGAGCAAAGCTAGAGGCATCATGCTACCTGACTTCAAACTATACTACAAGGCCACAGTAACCAAAACTGCATGGTACTGGTACCAAAATAGATATATAGGCCAATGGAACAGAACAGAGGCCTCAGAAATAATGCCACATATCTACAACCATCTGATCTTTGACAAACCTGACAAAAACAAGCAATGGGGAAAGGATTCCCTATTTCATAAATGGTGTTGGGAAAACTGGCTAGCCATATGTAGAAAACTGAAACTGGACCCCTTCCTTACACCTTATACAAAAATTAACTGAAGATGGATTAAAGACTTAAATGTAAGACCAAAAACCGTAAAAACTCTGGAAGAAAACCTAGGCAATACTATTTAGGACATAGGTATGGGAGAAGACTTCATGACTAAAACACCAAAAGCCATGGCAACAAAAGCCAAAATTGCCAGATGGGATCTAATTAAACTAACGAGCTTCTGCACAGCAAAAGAAACTATCATCAGAGTGAACAGGCAGCCTACAGAATGGGAAAAAATTTTTGCAATCCATCTGACAAAGGGTAATATCCAGAATCTACAAAGAACTTAAACAAATTTACAAGAAAAAAATCAAACAACCCCATCAAAAAGTGGGCAAAGTATATGAACAGACACTTCTCAAAAGAAGACATTTATGCAGCTAACAAGCATATGAAAAAAAGCTCATCATCACTGATCATTAGAGAAATGCAAATCAAAACCACAGTGAGATAGCATCTCATGCCAGTTAGAATGGTGATTATTAAAAAGTTAGGAAACAACAGATGCTGGAGAGGATGTGGAGAAAAAGGAACACTTTTACGCTGTTGGTGGGAGTGTAAATTAGTTCAACCATTGTGGAAGACAGTGTGGCAATTCCTCAAGGATGTAGAACCAGAAATACCATTTGACCTAGCAATCCCATTACTGGGCATATACCCAAAGGATATAAATCATTCTACTGTAAAGACACATGCTCACGTATGTTTATTGCAGCACTATTCATGATAGCAAAGACTTGGAGCTGATTCAAATGCCCATCAATGATAGACTGGATAAAGAAAATATGGCACCTATACACCATGTAATACTATGCAGCCATTAAAAAGGATGAGTTCATGTCCTTTGCAGGGACATGGATGAAGCTGGAAACTATCATTCTCAGCAAACTAACACAGGAACAGAAAACCAAACACTGCATGTTCTCACTCATAAGTGGGAGTCGAACAATGAGAACACATGGACACAGGGAGGGGAACATCACACACTGGGGTCTGTCTGGGGGTGGGGGGCTGGGGGAGGGATAGCATTAGGAGAAATACCTAATGTAGATGATGGGTTGATGGGTGCAGCAAACCACCATGGCATGTGTATACCTATGTAACAAACCTGCACATTCTGCACATGTATCCCAGAACGTAAAGTATAGTAAAAACAAACAAACAAAATAACAAAACATAAATATCTACAACATTGTATTTTGACTGGCAGAATGGATTAGAAAATATGAACTGCGTATATGCTTTCTACAAGAAACTCACTTCAAGTATAATAATAGGCAAGTTGAAAATAAAAGAATGAAAAAAGATATATGATGTAATAATTAACCAAAAGAAAGTAGGAGTGGCTATATTGATATCACATAAAGCATACTTCAGAGCAAAGAAAAGTACCAGAGTCAAGGAGAGATATTATGTAATAATATAGGGTCAGTCCACCAAAAAGACACAGCAATTGTAAATGTGTCTGCACCAAATAACAGCTGCAAACTAGTGAAACAGGAAAAGTTCCGTTGTCCCCCTCTCAGGTCATGCAATGTGGGTGTGGCTTGCTTCTTCATTCCCTGCTGATCAAACCTCTAGAGGAGCATACAAATGGGCAAGCTGTGGGCCTCCGACCCCATGGCAGTGTCTAGGGGTGAATGTTTATAGCTGAACCCCCAGTGGGCATGTGTTACAGGGTGCTTTTTTAGTTTAGCCATCCATAGGTGGCTTGTATTAGCTCAATTAGGCTCCTGCCTTATCGCAAAGACAGAGGGCTTTCTGTATCCCAGGGTTCTTGCCTTGGTGTACCAGAAGAATCAGATCACACACGGGCTTGGAGAATGTGTGGAAGGTTTTATTGAGTGGGAAGTAGCTCTCAGCAGATGGGGGAGCCAGAAGGGAGATAGTTTTCTCTTGAAGTTGGGGTGCTCGGCAGCCCAGGGTCTCCATTGATTGCCACGGCCAAACTCTGCCTTGTTCTGCTGGTCGATGGCATGCTGGTGCCTGTCATGTGCTCTTCTGCCAGTGTGCTCCCTCGCATTCCTCTTGCCGTCCAGCTGCTTGTGTGCCTCCCTGCTCGAATCTCGAGAGTTTTTATAGGCACAAGATGGGGGTGTGGTGGGCCAGGGTGGTCTTGGGAAATGCAACATTTGGGTATGGAGTCAGGAGTGCCTGTCCTCACCTAGGTCCACAGGGACAGGGCCAGCAACTAAGCCCTTGCCAGGGACCTGCCCTTCCCTTCCCAGCACTTCCTTGCCCACTTCTGTATCACTAGGTGAACTGATAGTACTAATAGGAGAGATAGGCAAATCCACAATTATAGTTAGAGACTTCAGCACCTCTTAATAGTTTATAGAACAACTAGATGAAAAATCAGCAAGAATACATAAGAACTCAACAATACCACCAGCCAAAAGGATTTAATCAACATTTATAAAATACTCTACCCAACAACAGCAGACTTAACATTCTTTTCAAGTGTTTATAGAACAAATGTCAAGATAGACCATATCCTTGTTATAAAACAAAGCTCAATAAATTTCAAAGAATTGAAATTATATAGTGTTTTTTTACCATAACAAAATCAAACTAGAAATCAGTAACTGCAAAATGTTCTCCAAACATTTGTAAACTAAACAACACACTTCCAAATAACCTATGGGCCAGATAATTCTGAAGGGAAATTTAAAAATATATTGAACTGAATCAAAATGAAAATATAACATATAAAATTTTATGACACAGCTAAAACAGGGCTATAAGGGAAAGTTATAGCATATGTTAGGTTAAATTTAAGTGCATTTATTAGAAATGATGAAAAGTCTCAAATCAATAATCTAAGACAATAAATGTAATTTACTCTTATATCTCTTTACTGTCTCCTTTTTATAATTGTCTTAAATGTTTCCTCTAAATACATTTAGAATCACATCAGATAATGTGATTTTTCAGCCATCAAACGTAATTTAGAAAACTCAAGGGCCAGGCGTGGTGGCTCATGCCTGTAATCCCAGCACTTTGGGAGGCTGAGGCGGGAGGATCACGAGGTCAGGAGTTCAAGACCAGCCTGGCCAACATGGCGAACCCTGTCTCTACTAAAAATACAAAAATTAGTCGGGCGTGGTGGCGGGTGCCTGTAATCCCAGCTAGTCAGGAGGCTGAGGCAGCAGAATTGCTTGAACCTGGGAGGTGGAGGTTGCAGTGAGCCAAGATCATGACATTGCACTCTAGCCTGGGTGACAAGAGCAAGACTCCATCTCAAAAAAAAAAAAAAAAAAGAAAAAGAAAAAAAAAAGAAAAGAAAACTCAAGAGAAGGAAGCTTGTTGTATTTAGGCATATTTTTGAGTAAAGTATTTTTTCTTAGTTATCAAAGTTCCTAAATTGCTTCTTTTGTAATGTACTTTCTGTTTAGATTTTTTTTAGTCATTCTTTTAAAAGAAGTCTGCTAGTGACAAAATCTCTTAGTTTCCTTTCATCTGAGAATGCCATTATTTCCCCCTTCCCACCCCAAGAACCTAGAAAAAGAAAGAAAAACCAAAAGCAAGTGAAGAAACAGAATTAATAAAGGTAGAAACAGAAATTAATGAAGTTAAAAACAGAATAGAGAAAAATCAATGAAACAAAAAGCTTCTTTGGAAAAAAATTAAAATCAACAAACGTCCATCTCTTTTTCTTATGAACAAGAAAGAAGAGAGGAGACATGAATTACCAAACTCAAGAATGAAACAGAGGATATCACTACAAACCCTGCAGATATAAAAAAGATGATAAGGGAATAGTAAAAACAATTCTGCACGCAAAAATCTGACAACTTAGATGAAATGGATCAATTCCTTAAAAAGCACGAATGACTATAGTTTGCCCAAAATGAAATAGATAATTTGAATTATATAACTATTATATAAATGTAACTATTAAGAGAATTGAATTTATAATTTTAAAACTTCTTGGAAATAAATATCAAGGCCCAGGTGGTTTCACTGGACAATTCTACCAAACATTTAAAGAATTAACATCAATTACATATCTTTTCCAGAAAAAAAAGAGAGGAGGGAGCATTTCCCAATTCATTTTATGTAGCTACTCTCACCCTGTTATCAAAACCATACAAAGACAACATAAAAAGGAAATCTTCAGGCCAATATTTAATGAACATGAACTCAAAAATTCTTAACAAGATGTTAGCAAACAGAATTCAACAATATATAAAAAAAATTACATACCATGAAAAAGTGATTTTTTTTAATGGATGCAAGTCTAATCCAATATTCAAAAATCAGTCAACATCATTAGCCATTAGAGAAATGCAAATTAAGCCACAATAAGACATCACTACACACCTATCTGAATGTCTGGAATTTAAAAAATAAGTGACAGCACAATATCTGGCAAGAACTCAGAGAAACTGAATCACTTATACATTGCTGTTGGGAAAAAAACGAAACATGTGATTACCCTTTGACCTAGCCATTGTTAGAAGAGTTATCAAAGAAATGAAAGCTTATTTTCACAGAAAACCTGTACATGAGTGTTTATAGCAGTTTTATTTGTAATATCTAAAAACTGGAAACAACCCAGATGTTTTTCAATGAATGAAGAAAGAAAGTGTGGTACTTCCATAACCAAGGAATATTACTCAGAAATAAAAAACAGACAAACAATTGATACAAACAACAACCGGATAAGTCTCTAGAGAATTTTAAGGGAAAAAGAGCCAATCCATGGTTCCCCTAGCAAAGGCCATTCCCTGTACATTATGTCCCTCCAGCCTTCTCTCTCCTGACTTCTTCAACCTCAAGTGACACATATTACCAATTTACCATTTAATCTCCTTCCTTTTGCATCTTCACAATGCAACTCTGATTTTCTTTTTTCTTCTTTAAGAAGTAGTGAGCACAAGAGTTAAAGGCAAAGCATTAATGCCAGGTGTATCTAGGCTCAAATCTTGGCTTTGCCATCATGGAGACATCAATTGGCCTTTGGAAGCCTTGGTTTCCTCATCTGTCTGATAAGAATAAAAATAGTACCTATCTTCTAAGGTTGTTGAGAGGATTAAATGAGCCTGTGCATGTAATGGACTTGTCACAGTGCCTAGCTCAAAGTAAGCACTCAACTAAATGCCAACTATGATTATTTTTATTCCTTGGGGTGAATAATAATTTGTTCTAGGTGAATTGAAAATAATGCCAATTCTACTAACATTATTAACAGTATAGCCAAAATGGAGGAATGCAAACTTTTTTCTTTAGAAATGTCTCAGTATTGATAAATGTTTTGAGTGAAAACATTAAATAAAGATGAGTTGGGCATATTGTTTAATCCCAACAAAGCAAAACTAGTGGCAAATAATGGCAAAACTTAATGAGAATGCTATCTAAAGGTATCTCAATTTTAGATCTTTTGTTGAAAGGCATGGGGGTAAAAGACTGAGTTAGTCTTCTCTTATATCTTGCATGATACTAATCCGGGTTAAAAATCAGTTTTCTTCTATTGCCTGCATTCTTCACCCACCCCCCCGCCAAGTTCTTTTTCTTCTGATCATTTTTGTTTATGCCTTTGATTTTGGAGGCTTTCTTTAAGTATCTGGTGAGGCTCGGTTCTCCATTCAGAAATATTTAAGAGTAAGGCACCGAAAAGCTGTTTGGAAGCTGTGTTGTAATGAGGAACTTGTAGACAGGTGGGCATCTCTTGAGGGATGTGGGACATTAAGACAGCTTTTGTGTTGAGGGACTTTCTGGGTCTCCATAGAAGGCTCCTCTGATGTCTTGATTGGGAGGAATAAGAATGATTCCTTGTGTCGTGGCACCTGGAAGGAGTTATAGGGCTAGAAGTGGAAGGTTGATTATGACTAATTAGTCCCTTATTTTCTGGCTGGTGCCTCATCCCTGCTCTCTGTGTTCCTGGAGCCCTCAAATCTGGGGCCTCACTGGTTCAAATGCCATAGAAAATAAACCTCCTCCTTCCCGAAGGGTGAGACAAGAGTAGTTAGCTGGCTTCATAAGGTAGGGCTCCAGTGCTCTTTTCAACTGGTTCTCCCTCTGTCAGTCCCACCCTGCATCTCTGCCTTTTCTGTACCTCCAATTCCTGAGCCCTTCTCGAGCTTTATGGAGAGAATCAGCGTACTTCAGTATGGTATTAGGAACTTTGATTTCAGGTTTCTCTGCTCTTCTAAGAGCAGAATTTGGAAAAAATAGAAGAGTTCCATTTCCAAAATTTAGAAAAAATGGAAGACATTTACTCTCAGTTTTAGGTGCTTTCAGAAGAGAGAAGTGACAAAAATATATGTAGTAGCTTAAACCAAAATATTTGATACTACTCTAAAAATACTTTTTAATTTTTTTTTTTTTTTTGAGACGGAGTTTCGCTCTTGTTGCCCAGGCTGGAGTGCAATGGCGCAATCTCGGCTCACTGCAACCTCTGCCTCCCGGATTCTCCTGCCTCAGCCTCCCGAGTAGCTGGGATTATAGGCATGTGCCATCACGCCTGGCTAATTTTGTATTTTTAGTAGAGACAGGGTTTCTGTATGTTGGTCAGGCTGGTCTTGAACTCCCGACCTCAGGTGATCCACCCCCCTCAGCCTCCCAAAGTGCTGGGATTACAGGTGTAAGCCACCGTGCCCAGCCTAAATTCATTTTATTTTTTAAGAGACCAGATAGGCTGGGCGCCATGGCTCATGCCTGTAATCCTAGCACTTTGGGAAGCCAAGGCCAGTGGATGGCGTGAGCTCCGGAGTGAGACCAGCCTGGGCAACATAGTGAACCCTACCCCTACAGAAAAAAACGTACAAAAAATTAGCCCAACTTGGTAGTGCGACTGTGGTCCCAGCTACTCAGGAGGCTGAGTTGGAGGATCACCTGAGCCAGGCAGGCCAAGGCTGCAGTGAGCCAAGATTGTGCTACTGCACTCCAGCCTGGGCAACAGAGCAAGACCTGGTTTCTATTCCTGGTTTGTTTGTTTTTTTTTTGAGAGACAGGGTTTTCTCTGTTGCCCAGACTGGAGTGCAGTGGCACAATCATAGCTCACTGTAGCCTCAAACTTCTGGATTCAAGCGATCCTTCTGCCTCAGCTTCTCAAGTAGCTGGGACTACAGGCACACATCACCATGTCTGGCTAATTAAAAACATTCTTTTTTTTTCATTTTTGTAGGGACTGTGGTGGAAGGTTGTGGAGAGTGTCCCACTTTATTGCCCAGACTGGTCTAGAGTTCCTGGGCTCAAATGATCCTCTCACTTCCAAAAATGTTGAGATTACAGGTATAACCCACAGTGCCCAGCCTGATACTACTTTTTAGAGCCATTAAATGATATTCTAAACATGGTTTCATTTTTAATTTTGATTGTAAGAAAAAAAGTAGTTCCGTGTGTGACTATATGTAATTTTGAGTTAGCAGGTTTACAACTAGAATTAAATATTTTAAACATTTAGTTTCAATTTCATTAATAATTTAGAAGTCACTTATAATTTTATTATAATTACATGTGGAATAACATGTAATTGGTCCAAATAATCTGCCATATCATTTTTCATGTTTTGTATGTCATGAAAATTCTGCACAAAATTAATTTATACATGAATTCACAGCTTTCATAAAAAGAGACATTCTATCCAGAAAAGTGTATGTTCTCAAACCTAGATTGTTATAGCAAAATTTACAGATTAAAAAGTCAAGATTCCTATATACATATCTCTTAAATTATCCCTGGAGATAGAAACCAAATAAGGGCAATAGGAAAGTCTGTTTATAATTTTTAATTTCTGTACCAGAAATTCTGGAGTCATAATATCCAAGCATCAATGCTTTCCACCAAACCATGGAGCCTTTCTGCTATGAAGATGACTTCCAAACTTTTAAAGTAACGAAAGATTTCCTTATGAAGTTTTCCCTTGGGGTCTGAAGTCATACCTATGCTGGACTGGCTTCTTTTTCTCTTCCTCTGCATTTTTAGTTCAATTTCAACTGCACTTCTCAGCTATTACCTCTGTTTTGTCCTTAGTATTCACTGTTTTTCTTCCTTTAAGAGTCAATAGATTGGCAGTTTGTCAAAAGACCAATTTGTGATTCCGTATGTTATGCTTTTCTAGCACTCCTGTCAGGGAAGATTTAAAGAATTCTAAAATGAGAACTGTCTCTTTTCTAGTTGGCCTGAAGTGTAAGTGGTAATTTGGATTTGCTTTGCCCATACTGGTAATGATTGTACAGTTAGAGAAATGAATTTTAAAGCATGAAAGCTCTGCCTCCATTTCACAGGGCTTGTGTTGCCCGTGGGGAAAAACATATCTCACGGTCCCTTAGGACTAAACAGAAGGAAGGCTTTCTAATCTGGGAAGTGGATTTTTTCTGAAGGCATACATATTTGCATAAATTACAAAGAAAAATCATTAGGCATTTTATTATGAAGAATATATAAGTTGATAAGACATCTACAAAAATCAAAACAAAGGAAAATTTCAACAATAGTTGTGGATAAGCTATTAATTTCTGTCCCTTAACACCTTTCCCACTTCCTCATTAACTCTTTTCTCTATGCTGGTTAGTCATATTTATGACTTTTTGCTCAAATAATTTGTATTCTTTCCTCAGAAGTGTGTTCTGATATATGGAGTGCATAATTACTTTGTAATTCTTGTGGATATAATACTGGAATTTGACTGCTGAGGAAGTAGGAGGCCATCACATTGCTATGTCAAGGATTTACCATGATTCTAGTATATCTTAAGTTGTTTTAATCTAAAAGATTATTTCTCTCAAATTATCACACATCTTTTATTTTTTCTCTCACTTCAAGATCTGAGAAGCTGAAATTAAGGCCCATCTTACAGGTGCAACAAAAATCTATATATAGTTTACATAGTGTCTAAGATCCTGTAAAATCTTCTTTAACAGACAACTGTACTACTCTGTGCAATGGAATCTGAAGGAGAAGGGCTCAGAAGTGACAGATTCAAGGTGAAAATATCTCTAAGCCACACAGATCAATTTTTGCTAGAGAAAGTACATCTTATACTAGTTAAGCTAATGGGAAAATTTCAATTTAAAAGGAAGGAGTAATGTGAGCAGATAACTCAAGGCACTCTCATAGAAGTCACAGAGATGAACAGGGCTATGGGAAAAGTAATCATACCTGCTGGGAAGATTACCTGAAGATGAGAGATTTCATCTTATTAGAAGTTGCATTCTTTTAGATTTATTTATTTTTATTTATTTATTTTTTTTTCGGGGGAGAAGGCACCAAACAAGACTCTGACCAGCTTAGGCAAAAGGAAGAACTTATATAAAGTATACTGAGACGAGTTGAACAAACTGCTCTACAGATAAGAAGCCAGCTAGCCTAGGGACCAGCAATATTAGATTCTCTGCTTGCTTCTTTTTTCTGTAGACCATCTTTTCCATGGGAACATATCTGCCTAGCACACCAAGGTTTTCACTTTATGGCTTCAAGAATGAGAGACCAACTTGCTTTCCATATTTTTTCCTATCCAAGACCCAAATTCCTGAGGATGGGACTCACTGGCTCTGATTAGGTGAGGTATCCACACCTGGATCACACAGATGATTAGCTGTGGCCAGGAGGAAGGGTCACATTATAGCTGCACTATGATGGGAGGATGAAAAAGAGAGGGAGGAGCAGTTCCTAGAACAAGCAGAGAAGCTAGAGAGACTACCCCAGAGTTTTCCATTGCAGAGGTACTACTCCAAATCATATGATTTGTGAGATTTAATTGGAAGAAATGACTTGATGTTTGGATACAAAAATTCCACTATCCCATCATCATATTTTGATAAGATAGCAGTACCTAAAGGTTTACTTTAACAATTTAGATATGAGTAGTTTATTAATATTAATTTTATATATTTCTCTAATAGGTTATTCATTTTAAATTGCAGCTGGAGGCATCGACAAATCTAATGCAGTAACCTCATTTTACAGAAGAGAACTCTAAGAGGATAACTAACTTGGCCAAGATCACATGGTAAATAGTGAAAACATCTGGGCTGGAATCCAGGTGTTATTTTTTATCTAGTGCTACTATCTTGATCTCATTATTTGTTTAGAAATACTTTATCTTTTGCCAAAAATATATAACAATTATGGGTTCTTATATGTACAATCTTTGAATCGAAGTATACATAAATCCCAGGTCTCCCAGTGTCCATTAGCAGCAAGACTTAGAGGAGGTCAGAACGTTAGCTCAGAAACTGAGGAACGTGAATTCTATGTAGTACTCTGTGCTGAGTGAAAGGCCACTTCTGCACAGAGATGACTTGCAAAGAAATCTGCAGGAAAAGCCAGGATTTAGGAAGCAGCTTTGGATTCTATTAGCTCCAGGATAGTACTGTAATGCTAGATCAGGGTGTATCACAATTTAATATTGCAAAGATGATCTGACCAATAAAGATTTCAAAGCAAGCATTACCAGTAAGGGTGCCATGCATAGAAGACGGACAATAACATGTAAACCAGTGGCCCCCAACCTTTTTGGCACTAGGGACCGATTTTGTGGAGGACAGTTTTTCCAGGGACTGGAGTGGGGGCTGTGTAGGGGGGTGTGGGGGTATTGGGGGTGTGGGAGTGTATGGGTGAGGTGGGTAGGAGGGTGGTTTTGGGATGAAACTGTTCCACCTCAGATTATCAGGCATTTGATTCTTATAAAGAGTGTGCAACCTAGATCCCTCATGGTTTTGGGATGAAATTGTTCCACCTCAGATCATCAGGCCTTAGATTCTTACAAAGAGTATGCAACCTAGATCCCTCACATATGCAATTCACAATAGGATTCGTGCTTCTATGAGAATCTGATGCCGCTGCTGATCTGACAGTAGGCAGAGCTCAGGCAGTAATGCTTGCTTGCCTCCTGCTGTGCAGCCCAGTTCCTAACAGGCCACGAACCAGTACCAGTCTTCGGCCAGGGAGTGGGGGACCCCTGATGTAAACAAACAAGTTAATTCAAAATAACAATAATAACTGCCATGAACAGAGCAAAATGAAGGATGTGATAAAGAGTGAGAGGGGAGGCTACTCAAGATTGGGGAATCAGGGAAATTCTCTCTCTAAATCAGTGAATGATTCAATGAAAAGGAAACTCAAAAATCACAGATCAGTAACTTCAATAATAAAGCCATATGTCAATAAAAGCCTCTAACAACATTTGATAAAATTCAAAAATCCAGTTTTAAAATACGTTAAGTTAGAATATAGTTTTGCTATTTTATTACATCAAAAAAGGAAAAACTAAGAGTTTAAAGTTTTATAAAGGGTAGAACAAATCTAGAAACATTTTCCTTTAAAAAATGAACAAAGCAGCTGGGTACAGTGACTCACGCTTGTAATCCCAGCACGTTGTGAGGCAAAGGCGGGAGGATCACTTAAGGCCAGGAGTTTGAGACCAGCCTGGGCAACACAGTGAGACCCCTGTGTCTGCAAAAAATTAAAAAACTAGCTGGGCGTGGTGATGCATACCTATAGTCCCAGCTACTTGGGAGGCTGATGTGGGAGGATCACTTGAGCCCAGGAGGTCAAGGCTGCAATGAGCTGTGATCGTGCCTCTGCATTCCAGCTTGGGCAACACAGCAAGACCCTGTCTCAAAAAAGGAAAAAAAAAAAAAAGTAAACAAAGCAAAAGGCTGTTTGTTATCATTATTTTCCAATTTAATGCTGAAAATTCTTTTAATCATGGTAGGTCCTCCAAAAGCAATGAGAATTAAATATTGGGAAAAGAGGAAACAAAGTTATTTGAAGAAATAGAAGACCCAAATTAAGCCATCCCCACTTGCAACAAAACTATTAGCAAAATCAAAAACATTCAGTGAAACGGGCAAATACAAGATAAATCTGCAAACACCTGTATCTTCCCTAAATATCAGGAATAGCCAACTAGAAAAGTTAATTGAAAGGAGATCTTATTCACAATGTCAGCAAATGATAAAATATATGGAAATTAATGTGGAATGTTGAAAGCTATAAACTGTGAAAGGAAAATAATCTTGGGACCCTCAAATCACTAAGCTAAAGGGAAAAGCCAAGCTGGAAACTGCTTAGGGCAAACCGGCCTCCCATTTTTATTCAAAGTCACCCCCTCTGCTCACTGAGATAAATGCATATCTGATTGCCTCCTTTGGAGAGACTAATCAGAAACTCAAAAGAATGCAAACATTTTTCTCTTATCTACCTATGACCTGGAAGCTTCCTCCGTGCTTCGAGTTGTCCTGCCTTTTCTAGATGGAACCAATGTTCATCTTACCTATGTTGATTGATGTCTCATGTCTTCCTAAAATGTATAAAACCAAACTGTACTCTGACCACCTTGGGCACATGTCATCAGGACCTCCTGAGGCTGTGTCACGGGCATGTGTCCTCAGCCTTGGCAAAATAAACTTTCTAAGTTAACTGAGACCTGTCTCAGATTTTTGGGGTTCACAAAAATGTAAAAACTTAAATGAAATAATTTTTAAAAACCCAAATGAAAGCAAAGACATAGTATGACTATGAATAGTAAAGAAAATATTTCCCAAATTAATGTATAGATTTACCATATTCCTATTAAAAACCAAAGAATACTTTATAGAACTCAATAAAATGATTCCAAAACTGTTTTCCAAAATAAATGGGCAGAATTTTCATATAGTACTCTAAGAGAAGAAAAATTATAAGGAAGAACTATTCTTGTTAGATACTAGGATTTTAAAAGAAATGAGTGGAAATGATATGGAATGAGTTTAAAAAATGAAGAGGTAATTGAACAGATAGATAGCCTAGTTTACATAGATGTTAAAGATATGATGAAGTCAGCTTATGCAAGTAATGAAGTAATTAAGAAAAGAACCATGATTTAAGAACTAGTAAGAAAACCAACAGGGCATGGTAGCTCATACCTGTCATCCCAGCTGTTTGGGAGGCTGAGGCAGGAGGATTGCTTGAGCCTAGAGCTTAAGGGTTCAGTGAGCCACTGCACTCCAGCCTGGGTGACAGTGAGACGCTGACTCTAAAAACAACAACAACAACAACAACAACAAACAGCATGGGTTGGAAACTTAATCCTCAATGCAGTAATGTTGGGAGATAAGACCTAATGGGAGATGTTTATTTTCCACCCTCATGAATGGATTACTGCTGAATAAAAAGGAGTTGAGGCTTCAAGTTTGATCTCTTGCTTGCTAACATGCTCTCTTATCTTTCTGCCCTCTACCATGGGATAACACAGAAAGAAGGCCCTTGACAGATGCTGGCCTCTCAACCTTGGACTTCATATCTTCCAGAAATGTAAGAAATACACTTTTTTTTGGTTTTTTTTTTTTTGAGACAGGGTCACTCTGTCACCCAGGCTGAAGTGCAGTGGCACGATCATGGCTCACTGCAGCCTCAACTCCTGGGCTCAAGTGATCCTCCCACATCAGCCTCCCAAGGAGCTAGGACTACCTGGCTAATTTTTCTTTATGGTAGAGGTGGGGTCTCACTATGTTGCCCAGGCTGGTCTCAAATTCCTGGGCTCAAGTGATCCTCCCAACCTTCGCCTCCCAAAGTGCTGGGATTACAGCATGAGCCACTGTGTCCAGCCAAATTTCTTTTCTTTATAAATTACCCAGTTTGTGGTATTTTTCTATAGCAACAGAAAATGGACTAAGACAACCAGATATTAATATGCAAAAACTTTAACTTGGACCTTCACCTCACACTACTTTATTCATTCTGCAAGAGGCTGCACATCAGGACTTTACTTTTTTGGAAACCTGGCATTAAATCATTTAAAAGTTGCCAGATATTTTTTTTAATAAAGATGGAGTCATTGATTCATCTTTGGAGCAGGCTTTCTTTGTTTTGGGAGAATTACCAGAATAGGCCTTTTGAATTACACACATCTAGAGCAAGTACTCACTTGTTGCTTTTTGAGGAGATTGAAGTTTCTAGTAAGCTGACAAGTTTCGTTTAGAAGTATAAATTGGGTTTAGTGGCTTGTGTATATCCTTTCAAAATCAGAGGGGGAAAATATGTAGCCTTAGAATTGGATTTTGGCTGAATTGTCCTTGCAAAGTACTGTTTGTTTATTTATTTTGGAAGAGAGAGTCAGAGAGAGAGAGAGAGAGAGAGTTTTGTCTAAGTAATTGGTAACAGGAGATTGTCTCACTGGACCATGCCAAGAGTGTTGTGTAGATCTCAGCTCTTTATTATGGAGATAAAAATTGTGAAAGGGAATCAGGGGACTAGGATTGGTATAATACCACCTGGATTTGGAGCACTGGTGCCTTTCACATAGTGGTATTTAAGACAGAATAACTCAGACTTGTAAAATGTACTGCTGACCTTTATCATTGCCTGTCTGGCCATAGGAGCCAGACCGTACTCTGCATTAGTGGGTGCTCCCACTGTCAATTATTTAATTTAACTCATTTAATCTTCGCAACAGCCAAAAGAAGCAGGGCATGGATTTGAAGAGGAAAGATATCTCTCTGAATCTCTTCGTCTGTCTCTACATCTCTTTCTCCTCTCTGCACACACACACATACTCCCACCACAGCGGTTCTTAGGGCCAGTGTTTCAGTGTGTGGAGATGCCTGGCGATTTTCTGTTGGTGGGGTGAGCTGGCCATTGCCACATTGTGTTCCCAAAGTAACTCCTTCCAGTAGTTGTTGGAATCTATACTGCATTGAGAGTTTCACTCTGTCACCCAGGCTGGCGTGCAGTGGTGCGATTTCGGCTCACTGCAGTCTCCACCTCCCAGGTTCAAGCGATTCTTGTGCCTCAACCTTCCAAGTAGCTGGGACTACAGGTGTGCACTGACATGTCTAGCTGATTTTTGTATTTTTAGTAGAGACAGAGTTTTGCCATGTTGGCCAGGCTGGTCTTCAACTCCTGGCCTCATGTGATCCACCTGCCTTGGCCTCCCAAAATGCTGGGATTATAGGCATGAGCCACTGTGCCCAGCCTGCATTGTACTTCTTTCATACCCAAGTTTGCAGTACATTTTTGTTAATTGTTTTATTCATGTGTTACCTGTGCTTTAGATAATTAAGGGAGGGATCAGAGTCTATGCTTGGAGAATAACTCATAGGGCGAGTAGTATTCTAGAGAAGCTGGTTATCTGATGGCAGAAGTGACTTGCTGGACTCTAATAGCGGTGACAAATGTAGTACTGATTTAGTGGAACATTTAACAGATCCATGGGAAGGAAATCCTCCGGAAGAATAGTTTTTTTGTAGCCTATGGAATGCAAGTTCATAGTTTTTATAAGTTGGCTATTAAAGAAAAAGTGACCTTATTATGTAATCTCAAGTGGGTGTGGTCTGTGGACTGCTGGGGCCAATTCAGTTGTTCCTTCACTTACTCATTCATTCCACAAATATTTATTGGTAGTTCATTACATGCTGGGACTGGGCTAGGCATATAGATACAATGATGATTAACAGAGTCTCTGCCCTTTAGGAGAAAACTACAGGAAGTTAAATATTAACAAACCAAATTGTAACAAAATAAGAAGATAAGAGGAGAGCAATCAGAAATGAAAAAATAGAAGATGGACACACATAACTATACAAACATTTAAAATATCTATAATGTGAAAAACAATAAAAGGAGCTTAAAAAGAAAACAAGAGACTGAGAGAATTACTTGTACTAAATATGACAGATGAAGTAACGAAATTTTGAATATGTCAGTCTTTAGTCAAAACTAAAGCCTGGCCGGGCATGTTTACTTATGCCTGTAATCCCAGCACTTTGGGAGGCCAAGGCAGGAGGATCACTTGAGGCCAGGAGTTCGAGACCAGCCTGGCCAACATGGAAAGACCCTGTATTTACTAAAAATACAAAAAAAATTAGCCAGGTGTGGTGGTGAGTGCCTGTAGTCCCAGCTACTCAGGAGGCTGAGGCATGGATCGCTTGAACCCAGGAGGTGGAGGTTTCAGTGAGCTGAGATTGTGCCAATGCACTCCAGACTGGGCAGCAGAGCGAGACTCTGTCTCAAAACAAACAAATAAGAAAACAACAACAAAAAACAAAACAAAACAAAACAAAAACTAAAGCCTAACACCAAACCCCTAAAAACAAAAGGGCACTAACAGCATTCAAATAAGAGGAAATAGTCACTTAACTTACGAAACACCTTCAGTAGCAATTAAATAAATTCACTTTAAAAACAATAAGGTAATGAATTAGAAAATTCATAAAGTATAAAAATAAAAATTCATTCTGGGCAACAGAAACAAGTGGAAACTCGCAGTTACACACTTTCAACCATGGAGATTTCTAATTTATGATGGATTTATCAGGATGTAACCCCATAGTAAGTGTCAAGGAGCATCTCTAGGTACCACCTAGATGCTGAATCCTACATGCTGAATTAATGCCAGACACTTTTCTAAGTGCCTTTCATATGTTAACTGATTTAATCTTCATAGCAGCCATATGAACTGGGAATTTTATTATCTCCATTTTACACATGAGGAAACTGAGGGAAACAAAGATTAAACAAATTGCTTAAGATCACATGGTTGGTTAATGGCAGAGCTGGGATTTGAGGCTAGAGAGTATGGCTCCAGGGTGTGGCCTCACTATCATTGCAGCATGCTGCTTCAGTGGAGGAAAAGAGCTCTATATACAAAGATGATGCTTGTGGCATCATCATTTATGAGGTAAAAGGAAAAAATATGGGGGAAAACTACATGTTCCACAGTAGGAGAATGGTTAAATATATTATGGCATATTCATTCAATAGGTAATTGCTCAACAGAATTGTTCAGAACTTTTCTTTCCTTTTCCCAGGGTGCAATGAATGGTATGGGTCACAGACTTCATAAAAGTATTACTTGTCCTTTTGCAGTCCTATGTCCCCACATATTTGAGCAATTCATGAGAATAAGGAGGCCCTGTCCCAAATGGACACTTCATCATTTTCTCCCACAGCGGTCCGTGTCTCCATATATTATGTCATTAGATGTACTGAGAGTTGCTGGAGTATGAACTCTTTAGGAGTATAAATAACCACCTTCCCTGGATACTTAAGCCACACTTAATGAACTCATACATTTCTTTGACCTCACAGGTCCATCCTTGTTACCTTATCCAAGTAAAGCTGTTTCTTATCATAAATATATTAACACAATTATCAACCTTTTTTTATCATAAAGGGCTGTGAAGCGCTAAGATTTTTTGTGTTGTAAATGTTTTCAAAATATTAAAAATAATTTTTATTTATGCAGAAACAAATTGAAACAAGGAAAGAAAGGCATATTATGTATTTTAGCATAAAGTCTTTTCATACTTAAAAAAATTAGTTACAAAAGTGGTATATCACATTTATTAGTTGTATACCATGTGCCAGGAACTATGCTAAGCTCTTTACGTAATTTATTGCTTTTAATCCTCTCAATAGCCATATAAAGTAGATATTATTTATTATCATCATTTTACAGATGAGAACACAGAAGCTTAGAGAAGTTTAGTCGCTTGCCCTAGGTCACACAGCTCATAAGTGGAGGAGCCAGGAACTGTCTGAATCCAGAGATCAAGCTGTTAATCATACTGATACTATCTTTTTCTTCCTCTTCTTTTCCAAAAATAAACTTGGAGTTACTGTCTCTAATGCTTAGTTCTATGATGAAGTTCTATGTCTGTGGTCACAAATAACATTTTAACCAGTTACCTTGGAAATGAAGACGATTTAATAAATTACCACTAGAAGTGGCTTACCATATTGAATACGAAGTTCTTTGAGGAGAACCCTGCCATAATCATCAAATAAAGAAGAAAAACAAGTAAGGGAACATAAAAGCAGAATACAGAATATTCTGTTAACAAAGTTACATAT
The DNA here is from genome assembly GCF_000001405.40 of Homo sapiens. NCBI lineage: Eukaryota > Metazoa > Chordata > Mammalia > Primates > Hominidae > Homo > Homo sapiens. Next base: position 72,786,572 of record NC_000005.10, on the reverse strand, counting down.
ATGGTTTACAAATATGTTTTCTAAAAGGAATATTGTATACAATAAGTGATAGTCTTAATAGGGAATGAAGTTTTGAAATTGCCTAAATATGTATTGATTTCAACTATAACTCTTTCAGAAGAATCTCTTCCTTCTTCTACTGGTTCATCCATACAAAGTACAACCTACCCACAGGAATCTCACTCATACCAAACATTTTCCATCTGACTGGAAGGCTGACACCTGTTCCTGAGTGGTAAGGTGTACCATTTTTGACAGAGCTCCACCATGCTGAGCCATGAATAGCCTCCAATATTTCTATTGCTTTTTCTTTCTTCCTTGATCATATTGTTGAACTTGAGAATAAAGAAGGTTGTTACAAACATAGGAAAAGATTGATAATTCTGAAGTCATGATAACAAGTAGCCACTATAACTTGTTTTAAATCTGTTTTATCAAACAATTCACCTCAGTAAACACAATTTTGCAATCCAACTACTCTGTCAATCTCACTTCTGAAGGTCAGCCAATCAGGGACAAACTCACTCCAACAAGCATGTCTCTGAGTGCTACCCAATCAGTAATAGTCTCACCTGAGTAATCACACTTCTACAGATGATGTCAACCTACTTATGTTTCTGAGAGTCAACAAATTCCTGAATGCTATGCTTTCTTGAAACACTATATAAGATCAGCCATTTGTTCTGCTTGAAAAGGCTGTGCCTGACCCACATCTCTTACTGTAACAAGCAATAAGTTAACTTTGTCTTTGTATGTTAGATATTGAATGGTGGTCTTTTGACAATTATGGAGGTTCTACCAAGATTGTTGTAAAGCCCCTCATTTGGCAACCTTCTAGAGGACCATTAGGCCAACAGATGCACTCATTGGACACCTTGTACCAAAATTCTACTTACCCTTCAGATATGTTGCCAAGTTAGTTAATCTCAACAACAATGTGATCTCTAGCTAGTTTCATTGAGTCTTGGTGCTGAATTTATTTTGTTATTCCAGAATTTGTGGCCAAATAGGTCTTTGTTTAGGCCTAGGTCATTGCAAAAAGCAATTAGGCCTTTTTTGGTTATTAATATAAACCATACAATAAACAATTAGACTTAGGACTTTGTATAAGACAACAACTAGACCTTTTGTTTTGGAGGTATGCCATTTGATATATATATATTTTTTACTATTAACATGCTTATTCTTTTGCTCCTTGCTTTAATTTTGATTTTGTTTGTCTGTATGTACAAAGTCTTGTTTCATGTGTTTTGTTTTATCCTGGATTGTCTGTTTCTATTGAGTGTATAAAGGAGTGTTTCATAGAGAACATGTGGGAGTATAGGCCAGATAAGTTTCCAAAACAATGAAGGTGGCCTTAAGAACTAATGGCTGGAGGTCCATTAGACCAGCAATCACTTGGTGAAAAAAGGGTTAGTCAAACATTGTCTAGGGACTCCTATAAATCCTTTATGAGGGTACCCTTTTTCTTGTTAATTTGGAAAAGAAGCTTACTTTTTTTTTGTCCCTTCTACGGAGTCAAGAATTGTCAGGTTGTTGACTGTGTGGCTCTTGTACAGTTTCTTCTTGGTTGGGGAAACCTAACACCCTTCAAAACCTCACAATGTAAACTGACTGTAGTGGCTTCTTTCTCTTGTGTGTTATGGGTTTGTCCATGTGAATGCCTCATCCTTCTCCTGAAATAACTTCTATTTCCTTTAAGAAGCACCATAATTTTAACTTTTCATTTTTATTGAAAAACGGCAAAAAGAAAAATTGTCTTGGAATAACAATGTCATGTTTTGACATGTCCAAATCTTTAAATTAATACCTTTAAGAGAAATGCTAAAAAGTTAGGAGACAAAATACCAAATAGTCAATAGTCTCCTCTAATTGATATTCCAAAGCCTTGAAAAATAATTCTAACTCCAAGAGAGTCTCTCTCAAAGACTTTGTAAACTTTTGAGACCTATCCTCTTTGCATTTTTCTCTTTTTCTACTCAGCTTCACCTGACCTTCTAAATGAGCTACTCTTTTGTCAGGGCAATAATAATTAAGTCATAAAATTTCTAGGCCATAAGGATGAATTACAAATTCTGGTCTACAGACAAGTTAAGGGCCATGATAAAGGATTATGCTAAATTTTCAGAATATTGGTAGATCATTGTTATGGAAGTCAAAATTTTATTACATACTTGGTTTCTTCTACCACAGATCTGTACCAACTAGTTCAGCTAAGTGTTAGCCTCTTAGTTACAGAAAATGCTTAGTAAGCAGAAAGATAGGAAAGATTTGTCAACCAATTATGTAAAATTTTTAAACATTGTCTTAAAACAGCAATAAAAATTTAAAATTAACTACAATAAGGAAACTTAAGAAAACATTTTGATAGAAAAATTTAAAAGGTTCAAATTATAAACAAAGCAAAGATGAAAAATAGACTTCACGAAATACTCAAGAAGCTACCATAAAACTATAGCTGAAGTAGAGAACTGTATCTTCTCTTATTGTAAATTGGATCCATCCCGAAATAGAGAATTTAATAATGAAAATTAAGTTGAAATGTAAAATTGCCAATTTAGAAAGTATTCAATATGTGTCAGACATTTCCAGAGCCTTAGAAAGTAAATAAGCTAAAACTCAATATAGTGTTTGGCTCTTCAGTTAAAAAACAACCAAAAAAACCTCTATTCTCTAAAAATTAGAAGCCTATGGATAAGGATACCTGTAGCTGTTGCAAGTACAATAGTAATTTAAAGACTCAATGTTCCATACTGGCTAAGAAACAGAAGGACAATTATTCGAAGTCTGTCCATTTTATTCATTGATCAATTAATCCATTAATGAGGGCAGAGCCCTCATTATCCAGTCACTTCTTAAAGGTCCCACCTCTCAATACTGTCACATTTGGGATTAAATTTCAACATGGGTTTTGGAGGGGGCATTCAAATCAAAGCATTCTGTCCCTGGCTCCTCAAAACTCATGTCCTTCTCACGTACAAATACATTTATTATATCCTTATAGCCCTAAAGTCTTTCCTCATTCCAGCACTAACTCAAAAATCCAAAGTCTAAAGTCTCATCTGTGAGCCTGTGAAATAAAAATGTTATTTGCTTTTAAAATATAATGGTGGGACAAGCATGGGGTACACATTCTCATTCAAAAAGAGAGGAATAGGTAAGAAGAAAGGGGTAACAGGGCCCAAGCAAGTATGAAACTCAAGAGAGCAAATATTGGGTCCGGAGACTTCAAAATAATCTCCTTTGACTCCCTGTTGGGCATCCTCTGCACACTGGTGGAAGGGTTGGGCCCCCAGGGCACTGGGAAGCTCTGTCCTTTTGACTTGGCTGGGCTCAGTACACCCAGCTCTCCCAAGCTGGCATTGCATGCTGGCAGCTCTACAGTTCTGGGGTCTCAGTGGCAGTCCCACTACCATGGCTTCAGAAGGCCTTGCCCTCTTGGGAACTCTCTGCAGTGACCTCACTTCCACAATGCCACTAGGCATTGCCCTGGTGGGGACTTTGCAGTGGCCGAGCTCCCTTGACTAGATATTACTGTAGTGGGACTCTCTGTGATGGCCTCACTTCCATAGCTCCACTAGGAATTGCCTTGATGGGGGCTCTCTGCAGCAGCTACAATCCTGTATTTCTGCTTGGCATTGGTCTAGTGAGACTTCTCTGCAGTGGTTCTGCCCCTGTAATTAGTCTCTGCCTAGGCCCCCAGGCTTTTAACAATAGGAATATCTTTTTAAGTCCAGTTAGGGGCTGCCAAGCCTCCACAGCTCTTGCTTTCTGTAAGCCTGCAGAATTAGCACCATGTGGATGCCACCAAGGTTTATGACTTGTACTTTCCTGAGCTGCAGCATAAGCCATACCTGAGGCTTAGAAGTGCTGTGCTGGGATGCAAATAGCACTCTGGGTCTGTCCCCTGAAATATTCTGCCCTCCTGTGCCCTTGAGCCTATGATGGGAGTGGTAGCATTGAAGGTCCCTGAAATGCCTTCCATTGTCTTTTTTTCCACTGTCTTGAGGAATAGCACCTGACTCCCTTCTATCTGTGCTAATCTCTTTAGCAAATGGTTTGTAGGCGTATTATACCCTTGGTTTCCTCTCCTGAACATGCTTTTTCACTCTTTACTTTCCTAGGCTGAGGGTTTTCCAAATCTTTCCATTATGCTTTCATTTTAGTTATAAATTCTGTCTTTAAATTATTGTTTTTCTCCAAAATCTCAGCATAAGCAGCTAAAATTAACCATCGGCTCCTTCTATATTTTGCTTAGAAATTTCTTCTGCTATATACCCTAGTTCATTACTCTCAATTTTGGCCTTCCACAAAGTTCTCAGGCATGGGCACCGTTCAGCCACGTTCTTTGCCAATTAGTAACAAGGATAGCCTTTACTCCAGTTTCCAATACCTTTGTCCTCAGTTCCATCTGAAACCTCATCAGAACGGCCTTTATTATCCATATTTTTTTCTTAAAAAATTTTTATTGATGCATAATAATTGTAAAGATTTGTGTGGTCCATTTAATATTTGATACATTCATACAATGATTAAATCAGAGTAGGATATCCATCACTTCAAACATTTATCATTTTTCTGTGTTGGGAACATTTCAAATCTTTTCTAGCTATTTTGAAATATACGATAAATTATGGTTAACTATAGTCACTCTACTATGTTATCAAACACTGGAAATTATTCCTTCTGTTAGCTGTATTTTTGTACCTATTAACCAACCTCTTTTCACCCCCAATTCTCCCCTACTCTTCTCAGCCTCTGGTAATCATCATTCTACTCTGACCAAGAGACCAACTTTTTTACCTACCACATTTGAGTGAGAACATGTGATATTTGTGTTTCTGTGCCTGGCTTACGTCACATAACATAATGTCCTCCAGTTCCATCCTTGTTGCTGAGAATGACAGAATTTCATTTTTTTCATGGCTGAACAATATTCCATTGTGTATATATGCTACATTTTCCTTATCCATTCATTTTTGGACACTTAGATTGATTATATATGTTGGCTATTGTGAATAGTGCTGCAATAAATATGGAGTGCAGATATCTCTTCTGTATACTGATTTTCTTTCTTTTAGCTATATACCCAGCAGTGTGATTGCTGGATTATATGACAGATCTATTTTTAGTTATTTGTGAAACCTCCATACTGTTTTTCACAGTGCCTACACTAATTTACATTCTCACCAACAATGTACAAGCATTCCCCTTTCTCCACATTCCACAAGCATTTGTTATTTTTTGTCTTTTCAATAATAGCCATTTTAACTGAGGTGAGATGATATTACATTGTGTTTTTGATTGGCATCGCCCTGATGATTAGTGATATTGAACATTTTTCATATACCTGTTGGCAATTTGTGTGTCTTCTGAGAAAGGTCTACTCATATCATTTGCCCATTTTAAAATCAGATTTTTTTTTTTTTTGCTGTTGAGTCCTTGTATATTCTTTTTATTAATCCCTTGTCAGATGGATAGTTTGCAAATATTTTATCCCATTCAACAGTCTCTTCAGTCTACTGATCATTTCCTTTGCTGCACAGAAGCTTTTTAGTTTGCTGTAATCCCATTTGTCCATTTTTGCTTCTGTTGCTTTTGAGGTCTCACCCAAAAAATCTTTGCCCAGACCAATGTCCTAAAGCATTCTCCAATTTTTTTCTTCTAGCAGCTTCAGGATTTTTAGGTCTTACATTTAAGTCTTTAATCTATTTTCATTTGATTTTTGTATATGTTGAGAGATAGGGGTCTGGTTTTACTCTTCTGCATGAGTATATCCAGTTTTCCTGGCACCATTTATTGAAGAAACTGTCCTTTACCCAATGTATATTCTTGGCACCTTTGTCAAAAAATAGTTGGCTATAAATGTGTGAATTTATTTCTGGGTTCTATTCTGTTTTATTGGTCTATATGTCTGTTTTTATGCCAGTACCATGCTGTTTAGGTTACTATAGCAGCTCTTTAGTATAATTTGAAATCAGGTAGTGTGATGTCTCCAGCATTGTTCCTTTTGTTCAAGATCGCCTTGGCTAATCATGGTCTTCTGTGGTTCTATGCAAACTTTAGGATTTTTTTTTCTATTTCTGTGAAGGATATCATTGGTACTTTGAGAGGAGTTGCATTGAATTTGTAGATCACTTTGGATAGTATGGACATTTTAAAAACATTAGTTCCTCCAGTCCATGAGCATAGCATATCTTTCCATTTGTTTGAGCCCTCTTCCATTTCTTAGTTCAAGTGTTTAATCGATTTCATCATAGAGATCTTTCACTTCTTTGGTTACATTTATTCCTAGTTTCTTTTTTTCATAACCATAGTAAATGGGATTGCTTTATTGGTTAGTTTTTCAGATTGTTGGTTGTTAGTGTATAGAAATGCTGCTGATTTTTGTATGTTGATTTTGTATTCTGCAACTTTACTGAATTTATTGACCAGCTCTAACAATTTTTTTGGTGGCATCTTTTTCTAAATATAGGATCATGTTATCTGTGAGCAAGGATAATTTGATTTTCTCCTTTCCAATTTGGATGCCCTTTATTTTGTTCTCTTGCCTAATTGCCCTGGCTAGGACTTCCAGTACTATATTGAATAAATATGATGAAAGTGGGCATCCTTGTCTTAGTCCAGATATTAGAGGAAAGACTTTCAATTTTTCTCCATTTAGTATGATGTTAGCTGTGGATTTGTTATATATGTCTTTTATTGTTTTGAGGTATGTCAGTTCTATATCTAGTTTTTTGAGAGATTTTATCATAAAGGCATGTTGAATATTGTTGAATGATTTTTTAGCATTTATTGCAACTATCGCATGGTTTTTGTTCTTAATTCTGCTAATGTGATGTATCTGTTTATTGATTTGCATATGTTGAACCATCCTTGCATTCCTGGGATGAATCCCACTTGATCACAATGAATGAGGTTTTTAATGTGTTGCTGAATTCAGTTTACTAGTATTTTGCTGAGAAATTTTGCATCTATGTTCATCAGGGATATTTGCCTGTAGTTTTCTTTTGTGTGTGTGTCCTCGTCTGATTTTGGTATCAGGGTAATGTTGACCTCATAGAATGAGTTTAAAAGTATTCCCTCCTCTTCAACTTTTTGGGATAGTTTGAGTAGAATTGGTGTTATTTCTTCTTTAAATGCTTGGTAGAATTTAGCAGTGAAGCCATCAGGTTCTGGGCTTTGATGGGAGACTTTTTTTACTGCTTCAATCTTGTTACTTGTTATTGATCAGTTCTGATTTTCTACTTCTTTGTGGTTCAGTCTTGGTAGATTGTATGTGTACAGGAGTTTTATCCATATCTTCTAGACTTTCCAATTTGTTGGCATATTTGTTCAGAATAACCTCTAATGATTCTTTATGTTTCTGTGGTATCAGTTATAATGTCTCCTTTTTCAACTCTGATTTCATTTATTTGGGTATTCTCTCTTTTTCTTAGTCTAGCTAAAGATTTGTCAATTTTGCTTATCTTTTTTTAAAAATCTACTTTTTATTTTGTTAATCTTCTTTTTTTGTCTCAGTTTCATTTATTTCTGCCCTGATCTTTATTATTTCTTTTCTTCTGCTGATTTTGGGTTTGGTTTGTTCTTGCTTTTCTAGTTCCTTGAGATGCATCATTAAGTTGTTTATTTGAAGTCTTTCTACTTTTTTGATGTAGATATTTAATGCTATACCCTTCTCTCTTTGCACTACTTTTGCCATATCCCATAGGTTTTGGTACTTTGTGTTTCCATTTTAATTTGTCTTGAGGAATTTTAAGTTTTCTTTTAAATTTCTTCATCAGTCCCACCATTTTTCAGGAGCATGTTGTTTTATTTCCATTAATTTGTACAGTTTTCAACATTCTTTCCATTATTGATTTCCAGGTTTATTCCAGAAAAAAATACATTGTTATTATTTTGATTTTTAAAAAATTATTAAGATATATTGTCTCTCCTGGAGAATGTTTTGTGGAAACATTCCATGTGTTGTGGAAAAATATGTGTATTCTGCAGCTGTTAAATGGAATGTTCTGCAAATATCTGTTAGGTTCATTTGGTCTAGAGTACAGTTGAACTCTCATGTTTCTTTGCTGATTTTCTGTCTTCACAATCTGTCCATTGCTGAAAGTGGGGTGCTGAAGTCCCTTACTATTACTGCAATGTAATAATACATGGTATTATAATCTCTCCCTTTAGGTCAATTAATATTTGTTTTAAATGTTTGGGTGTTTTGGTGTTGAGTGTATATGTATTTGTTGTATCCTCTTGCTGTATTGACCCTTTTATCATTATATAATATCCTTCTTTTCCTTTTTTTTTAAACCGTTCTTGACTTAAAGTCTATTTTCTCTACTGTAAGTATAGCTACTCCTGCTCTTTTTTGGTTTCCAGTTGCATGGAATATCTGTTTTAATTCTGCCACTTTCAGTCTGTGCATGTCTTTATAGGTGAAGTGGGTTTCTTAAAGACAGCATATAATTGGGTCTTTTAAAAAATCTGAACCCATTTAGCCACTCTATGTCTTTTATTTGGAGAATTTAATACATTTACATTCAAAGGTATTATTGATAGGTAAGGATTTATTACTGCCATTTTGTTACTTGTTTTCTGATTGCTTTGTGGGTCCTTCCCTCCACCTTCCCTCTCTTACTGTCTTCTTTCTGGTTAAGCAATTTTCTCTAGTGATACATGTTGATTCCATGCTATTTATTTTAAGTGTCTCAATTATATATTGTTACTTTCTGGTTACTATAAAGCTTACAGAATCCTCTTATAGTTATAACAGGTTATCTCAAACTGATATTGACTTGACTTTGATTGCAAAGTAAAGAAAGTAACAAAACAAACTCTACAATTTAGCACCCTTCTTTTTGATTTTTGATTTTTCAGTTTACATCTTTTTACATTGCTTATTTCTTAACCAATTGTTGTCATTATTTTTATAAAATAGTTTTGTCTTTTAGTCTTCTTACTTAAGCCATTAGTGGTTTCTTTATCTCAATTACAGCATTAAACTATTCTAAATTTGTCTGTTTTCTTTCTTTTACCAGTAAGTTTAATATATTTAGATGTTTTCATGTTACACATTAGCATCCATTTCTTTCAGATTGAAGAACTCCCTTCAGTATTTCTTGTAAGGCAGGTCTGGTGTTGATGATTTCCTCAGCTTTTATTTGCCTGGGAAAGTCTTTATCTCTCTTTTGTGTTTGAAGGATAGCTTTTCTAGGTACAATATGCATGGCTGGAAGTTTATTTTCCTTCAGCACTTTGAATATAGCATCCTTATCTCTCTTGGCCTACAGGGTTTCTGCTGAGAAATCCATTGCATATCATATTGGAGCTCCATCAAATGTGATATTTTTTTCTTTCCTTTTGCTGTATTGAGTATCCTTTTTTGTCTTTGATTTTTGCTAATTTGAGTATGATGTGTCTTGAAGAATTCCTCTTTGGACTGAGTTTGGTTGATAACTTCTGAGCTGCTTGTACCTGGATGCTGTCATCCTTCTTCATTGTTTCCTTAAGTATGCTTTCTAAGCTCTTTTCTCTCTTGTTTCCTTCAGGAATTCCTATTATGCAGAGGTCAGTTCATTTAATGGTGTCCCGCAATTCTCATAGGCCTTCCTCATTCTTTTTAATTCTTTTGTTTTCTCCCTTGATTGGGTAATTTCATATGTTTTGTCTTCAGGCTCATTAATTCTTTCCTCTGTTTGATCAAGTCTGCTCTTGAAGCTTTCTAATGAGTTTTTCAGTTCAGTTATTGTATTCTTTATTTGTAGGTTTTCTATTATTTTAAAAATTGTTTTCATTTCTTTGTCAAATTTCTTATTTTGTTCCTGGATAGTTTTCCAAATTTCATTTAGTTTTCTATCCATATTTGCTTGTGATCTCTGAACTTGTTTAACAGGATTATTTTGAATTCTCTCTCAGACATTTCATGGATATTCAATTCTTCTGGGTTCATTGCTGTAGCTTTGTTGGTTTCTCTTGGTCATGTCATATTTCTCTGAGTTTTCACAATCTTTGTGTCTTTACATTGATGCCTGAGAATTTGAGGAGACTGCCACCTCTTCCAGTGTTTGCAGATATTCATTGGTAGTGTTAGACATTTACTACTTACTCTCAGAACTTAAATGCTGTTCTGTTGTTGCTTCTCATTTTGGGGAGGACTTATGGTGAACTGAACTGACACACTGCAGTGGAACTAACTTGTTGCCCTATTGTTGTTTCCTGGCCTGTGGGAAGACTCATATTGAACACTGGAATTTAAATGCTTCTCCATAACTAAATTGTTGCCCTCATATTGTTTTTGAGTCTGTGGAAAACTTACAGTGATCACTGGAACTTAGATGTTGCCCCAGAAATATATTGCTGCCCTGCAAATATTTCCCATTCTGAGGAAGACTTAAGTTGGCACTGTAACTTAATTTTGACCTTTTAGTTGTTTCTGGGAAGGGAATGCTCCACACAAGCACCTGGGCTTTGTGGAACATCCAGCCAAGGATTTGGGCTTTCCTGTGGGTTGTGACCCTTGCAGTGCTATGGTGCTAATCAGTCTCTTCAACTTGGGATCTCCACTTATTGGAGTGCAGAGAAGCTCTCAAGATCTACTTTCCAGTCATCGTGATTAATGCCCTGCTTTTTGTCCCCAATTCACTGCAGGTGGTTTAGCCCTCCTGGAACTCCTGATGATTCCTGTGGGACAGGAGAGGAGTAGGCTTCCATAAAGATTTGAAGATCAATGGAGAGATAGAACATGCACCTCCAATTCCCTCCACTCACCACAGAAACCATGAGTTTAAAGAAATTCTCTATGAGTGGTATTTTGCTGGCTTGGGAAAGGCAATGGCACAGTCTGAAATGAACATTTCTTTTACCAGTTGTGACTTCTCTCAATTCTGTGGATGCAGGGGAGGTCTCCATTTCTCCCCCAAGTTCTGGAGAATTCAGGGTGATATTCTTGCCTTTGAATATTTTCCAGTTGTATTTTTGTTGTGGAACTGATACTGGGGAATCTTCTACTCCACAATCTTGCTGATGTCACTGTACTGTTCATATTTCTATCAGCATCCTAATCACAACCACTTAGGCAATAACTAAGGAGTTGCAAACTTTCTTTAGTCTTCTTGTCTGCTAAGCCCTCAAAATCTAGGCTTTTTCTAGCTTGTTTCTACAAATTCTTCCAAACTTTTTCCATTACCCAGTTCCAAAGCCACTTCCACATTTTCAGGTATTTGTTATCAGCAACACCCCACTTCTCTGTACCAGTTTTCTGTATTAGCTTGTTTTCTGTTGCTTGTAACAGAATATTTGAAAATGCATAATTTAAAAGAAAAAGAATTTGTTTCATACAATTATGGAGGCTAAGGAGTCTCAAGTTGAGGGGCGATAGCTGGTGAGAGCCTTCTTGCTGGTGGGGCCTCTTTGAAGAGTCCCAAGGCAGTTCAAGGCATCACATGATGAGGGGGCTGAACATGTTAGCTCAGATTTCTAGTCCTTGTCTTATAAATCCACCAGTCCGACTCCCATGATAACCCATGAATCCATTAACCATTTAATCTATTAATTCATGAATGGATTAATCTGTTCATTATGGCTAAACCCTCATGATCCAATTACCTCTTAAAGGCCTCACCTCTCAAAGTTGCCACATTGGGGAGTAAGTTTCAAAATGAATTTTTTGAGGGGACATTTAAACCATGGCAGGGTATAGGGTTTCAGATTTGCAAGATAGAAAGTCTGGAGATCTGTTTCACAACATGTGAACATACTTAACACTATTAAACTGTATGCTTAATGGTTAAGATGATAAATTACAGGTTATGTGTTTTTTACTACAATTTAAAAAAACTATGCCTGTTTTAAATAAGTAGCTCACTCTCTTGTAAAATTTACTACCTTATCAAATTTTTCAAATTGAACCAGTGACTAAACTGTGGTCTTCTCTAGGGTACTTAAAATTACTAAAATAAAAGAATAAGTATATAAACCAACAGCTGGTAATGCTTTTAAAATAATTCACTTATTTAAACTGTGACACAAAAAAGAGGTTTTAAAATCTTACTCAAGTACTCTTTAAATATAACAAATATATTAATTACTTGATGTCTTTACTATATCTAAAATAATTGCTGTAACAGAGGTAGGGACACAGTAAAAGAGGTACTATTGAAGCTAGTATACTATACTGTGGATACTATTGAAATACGTTAGAAGTACTATTGAAATATTTTAACAGAATAGCACACTAAACAGACTGACTGGAGTTCTTATACAAAGATCTCATGTAAATAACAACAAAATAATAATAAGTCCATCAATTCCATAAGAGATATATACAAAATTTGGATGCCAAAATTCTTTTTTTTTTTTTTTTTGAGATGGAGTCTCATTCTGTCATCCAGGCTGGAGTGCAGTGGCATGATCTCGACTCATTACAACCTCTGCCTCCCATGTTCAAGTGATTCTCCTGTGTCAGCCTCCTGAGTAGCTGGGATTACAGGCATGTGCCACCATGCCCGGCTAATTTTTGTACTTTTAGTAGAGACGGGGTTTCACCATGTTGGCCAGGCTGGTCTCGAACTCCTGACCTCAGGTGGTCCACCTGCCTCAGCCTCCCAAAGTGCTGGGATTACAGGCATGAGCCATCGTGCCTGGCCTGGTTGCCAAACTGCTTAAAAGAAACATGGGAAGTTATCTCATTATAAGCTCCATAAGACTAAGATCTGGCAAAACCAGATCTTGAAGTATGCGATGAAACCTCAAATTGACAATTGCCAAAATTCTCCATTAAACACCCCATCACAGTAGGGATAAATTTGCCATAGTATTAAACACTGACTAGAAAACTTCTGTAGTATAGCAGAGGATATGTCCAGTTCATGCATTATCTATACTAAATTAAGCTCAGTATGGTTTTGGGATGATTCAAGCACATTACATTTATTGTGCACTTTATTTCTGTTATTATTACATTGTAATATATAATGAAGTAATTATACAACTCACCATAATGTTGAATTAGCGGGAGCCCTGAGCTTGTTTTCCTGCAACTAGAAGGTCTTATCTGGAGGTGATGGGAAACAGTGGCAGATAATCCTCACAAGGAGTAAGCCACCTAGATTTCTTGCATGTGCAGTTCACAATAAGATTCACACTTCTGTGAGAATCTAATGCCACCGCTGATCTGACAGGAGGCAGAGCTCAGGTGGTAATGTGAGCGATAGAGGACAGCTGGAAACACAGATGAAGCTTCGCTTGCTTGCCCACCACTCACCTCTGTGTGGCCCAGTTCTTAACAGGCCATGAACCGGTGCCAGGGGTTGTGGACCCCTGCTCTAAGTAATAGTTTTAGCATCCCCAAATAGATTTATATAATTTATACAATTGTGTTTATTAATGTGTACTAATAGGTACAGTTATTTTCTGGGTAAGTTGAAGTATTTGCCTATCAAAAATCCACAGCCCTTACTATAGCAGAAAACAAAATAAAAACAAAACAAAGCAACAAAATAAAAGCACAATTAGATTTTGTGTTACTAACTTAGAATATTCCAATTATCTAATACAGACATATTTAATTAGAATGCTTATTTATAGAATGCTTACATAAAAGCTATGTAAGTCTTTTTCCATTAGTCATAAACTTTATTATCCTTATCACTCTAAATCCTCTGAAAAAACGAAAAGGTCCTTGACCAAACTGAAAAGTTACATCTGCTAGATATGTTAAATTGAGGTTCTCCAGAGCCTTCAGCAGATGGTTCACAGAAGTTGACTGCTAACCCAAGAGCCTCAGAATAAGCTAATGATTACATGGAGTAGATAATTTTGGCTCAAGATCATTGGAAGAAGATTCTTCTATATATTACACTCTCTATTGCATATTCTTATATATTATGTTTGTGGTAATACTATTCTCCTTTATTGCCTTAAAGTATTCTACTTCTGACTTAGCTTATCATATTCACTTTACTAGTGACAATGAGTTACTATGTCTAGACCAGAGTTGACAAACTATGGCTTACAGACCTAATCTGGCCTGCCACCTGTTTTTGTAAATAAAATTTTTTTGGAACACAGCCACAGCCATTTTTTTAACATGTTGCCTATGGCTGCTCTTGTGCTACAACAGCAGAGCTGAGTTGTGACCAAAAAACAATATATGGCTCACAAAGCCAAAAATATTTAATATCCAGTTTTTTACAGAGAAAGTTTGCTGATCCTTGATCTAGATAATTATCATCATAACTCTATAATTCAGCTATTCCAAGCTATTTTTAGCTCAGCCATTTAAATAAATGATGTTAAGGTATGTTACTCTGACTTTCCAATAGCAATACTCTTTGTCCAAGAAGCATAATGAGGAGGAAAACAACAACAACAACAACAAACAGAAAAAGCCAAACAAACAATACTCTGCATGCAATATATAAATGAAATAAAATGTCCTTGCACCAGGGAAATTACAAAATACAGACAACAACTATTTGTCAACAGTACTCAGAAACAGTATATCTGGAGTTCCATCAATGTTGAATTATCTCTTGTATATCTTTTTGTTAATTTTTTTCTATAAAACAATGAGACTCTTTAGTGCCAATGTAGGACCAAGATTAATTGTTCTGTTGAATTATTAGTTAGGCCATTCCAACAGTGTAATTTCTATGGTAGTCAGTCTCCAAGATAATACCTAATGATTTTCGCTTCTTGGTGTCCATGCACTTGTACACTGTACCTCTCCCACACTGTGCTGAGGTTGATATATGTGACCTCTATGGCAACAGTGATGGTATGTCACTTCCAATGTTAGGTAATAAAAGACAGTGTATTTTCTGCCTTATTCTCTATCATACAATTCACTCTAGGGAAAGTTAGCTGCCATGTTGGCAGCAGCTCTGTGGAAAGGCCCATGTGGCAAGGAATTGAGAAATCTTGCCAACAGCCCATGAGAAACTGAGGCCTCAAGTCCACAGCCAGGTGAGTGAGCCTTCTCGGAAGTACGTGGATCCTATACTCTATTTCAGCCTTCAGAGAACTGCAGCCTTAGCTGACATCCTGGCTGCAACTTTGTAGGAGACACTAATCCAGAACCACTCAGATAAGATGCTCCAAAACTTATAAACCCTCAGGAACTATATGACATAATTTTCTTGTTTTCAAGCTTCTAAATTTGGAATCATTTGTTATAGAGCAAAAGATAATTGATACAATTTAGCTCCCCAACTAAATTCCCCAACATCCCGAATGAATTATGTATCATTTCAAAGAGTACATAAAACCCTTTATGGAGAGAGAATTCTGAGAATAATGATCCTATCCACAGGAGTGAAGCTACTAGAAGCTTTCATAAAAAAATTACTTTGGTTGACATAGTAAATACTACGTCCCAAACTGTGAGGCACAGCAAACACAACAAACCAGTTTAAATTCCTTAAACCAAGTAGTTATAAATAATAGAATTGTCTTGGATTTTATTTTGGCCAACCAGGGAAGATTCTTTACCATTGCTAACATTGTGTATTATACCTAAACACTTCCAGTGAATTGGAATAATCTACCTCAAAGCTAAAAGAAAAGGCAACCTGGCTATCTAAAATAAACTTGGAAAATCTTTGAGACTTATTTTTGTGATCAGGTCTGGGAAATTTGGGGTCATGGTTCTGAAATATCTCCCGGGCCTTTCCAGTTATACTTATCTCACTGGTGTTCAATGTCTATGTTCCAGAATCTTAAATGCTTGTGTGCAGCCACCATCCTGACAAATGATTCAACAAATGATTCAAAGAGAAAAACCAGAATACAATTATTTTGATAGACACGTAAAACTGAAAATCAAATATCCACAGATGAAACTTCACCTTCAAGGAAAATCGCCAACAGTGGTAAAGAGCTGCACAACACTTGAAGTTTTCTCCTGCAGCTTTGATTGAACAAGCACCAGTAGGAGGGACTAAAAATAAAGAGGTTCCTACAAACATAGAAAAAGACTTTTTTTTTTTTCTGTAGCAATGGAAACAAAATAGCCACAAGAACCAGTTTTAAACCCATTCAGTTGGTCAAGAATAACCTGCATCAGTGAGCCCCTCTCGCTTGAGTCAGCTCACGGGGAAAGATTCACTCCAATAAACACCCCTCTCAGTGCCAGCTAATCAGCAGCAGTCTCACCTGAGTAACTGAGCTGCCGCAGATGATGTCCAACCACTCATACCCCTGAAAGTCTGTCAATTCCTAGCACTTCATGCTTCCCCTAAAGAAAAATCTGATATAAGGCTGTCTGCTGTGCCTGACTGGCATAGCCCTCCCTGATTATAGGAAGCAACGCATTCAGCTTTGTCTTGTCAATATTTTTGATGTTGAGTGCTCGTCTCATCATCTTCTGACCAATTCCCCTGATTCTTTTATCATTTTTTTAACCTCTTCCTGTTTAATACTACTAAGAGTAATAGTAATGATGATGTGATTTTGTAACTGCTACTCACCATATGCCATGCACTGTGCCAAGGGCTTTCATTATCTTAATATCTGGCTACCAGCACTTTTTAGATTTTCAGGTAGCACTCACACCTGAGGCTATCCCTGGCTTATTCCATGTGTCAGTCATTTGCTGGTTGCCTTCGATTCATTCCTCACCCTTTCTCTGTTCTGTCACGGAAGGCTGACTCCTGCCGATGGAGTTTGCCAGGCTCTTCTGTCAGCTGGCTTCCAGCTCATTTCTGCTAATGGGAATATGTGGTGAAAGATGAAAGGCTGGAAGGGAGAAAGGAAGAATATTTCTTCCCTCTCTGCTTCTGGAGGTGGCTTGGCCAATATCTGTGTTTCTTCCCATTGCTCCAGCTCCTTTGAACATGCCTTATTTCTTTTGGTGATGAAGGCATGATGCTGTAGATATCTAGGTTGTTTGGCAATCCTGTTTGGATTCTCAGCTTTTACAACACCCAATAATAAATTATTTTTAAAACAGCTTCAGTCTTTGTAATTTCCTAGAACATTGACAGAATGAGCAAGAATAGGTGGTAGAATTTATACCAGGTAGAATTGAGAGTCTTGAGATTTAGTCCCAAGTCTGTCTCTGAATCACGTGTGACCTTGAAACAATTACAGGTTGGTGCCTTAGTTTTGCTATCTATATAATGGAATTACTGATCTTTAAAGGTTCCCCTCCTGGCCCTCCGCCACTACCCTGCCCAATTAGAAACTTCTATAATGCTGGGATTGCAAGAATTAGTTTAACATTTATAAGAGTTATAACTGTTCTATTCTCTCATGTAAGAGTTCAAAAATTGCTTTAAAATGAAAATGCAGAGCCCTCATTTAAAGAGCAGGAAAAAAGTGTCATTAAAAGTGTTATAAATAAAGATTTTCCTTTAAAATTTGTATTATTTATAAAATGCTATAGAGGTAATAGTGATATATGAGCAACAATTAACTTAAAAAGTACAAAAAATTTTCTGGCATTATAATATTATACAATACAATATATAATACTACTTTATTAATGTCATATCTTGATTAATGTTAAGATTTTTCAGGCTTGCTTTTCCACAAACTCATTTAATGGATCATCAAAATTTAAACTTTTAGAAATTTTATTTTCAATTGATGCAATTGAAAGTGACATTAGTTTCTCTTGGAAAATGTCAGATTGCAAATAATTTTTGATAATTTTAAATTTTGACGAGGATCTTACTGCTGATGCAATTGTTATTGGAGCTGTTAAGAGTATTTTGTAGCCTGTTACATTTGGGATACATTTCTGATAAATTATTATTGCTACTATATTTTAAGACTAGTTAAGTATAGTAGTGAGAAGGCGGAAAGAGTAGAACAAAGAGTTTGATCTGTAACTGACTGAATAATCAATTGAGATAACTCACTACTCTCAGGTCAGCCTGATAAATTGTTTTGAAATAAAAATTTTAGCATATGTAGAGCTGATGATTCTCTTGGAGCAATTTTTCTAAAAATATTTAATTCTTTATACAAATTAATTTTGTATAAGACTAAATTTAATTTTAAATGTAAATTTATACAGTGGTTTCTTAATGTTTCCTTTGACATTTCCTATAACTTGTAGAGGCTGTACAAGAAATTAAATGTGGCTTCTTGATTTGTATAAAATTCAAAATGATGGTTTATGCAGTCTACCAATGTATCTTCAATTATAAGGAAAAAACTAATTTAAACATGGTCTCAGCTGCCATGATGGCACCTACCTGCAGTCCTAGCTCCTTCGGAGCCTGAGGCAGAAGGATCCCTTGAATCCAGGAGTTGAAGGCAGAATCCCTTAAGTCCAGGAGTTCAAAGCTATAGTGTGCCATGATCATGTCTGTGACTAGCCACTGCTCTCCAGCCTGGGCAACACAGCAAAAGCCTGTCTCAAAAATAAATAAATAAATGTGAAATTGTTTTACTCATTAATAGTTTGCTCATTTGAAGCTTCATATGAAACTAGTGTATTTTTCTATCAAATGCCACCATCTTTAAATTTGTTTTATATTTTTAAGCCACGATCTTTAAATTTCTTTTCCATTCCCAAGCCTATTTCTCTTTCTAAGCAGCTTTGTAATGTTGAGGCTATTTTCAAAATGTAAGATTCTAAACTCTTTAGAGAATTTTAATGACTCCCTGATATGCTTTCTCGCAATGTCCGTGTGTGCAGTTTTATTTTGTAATAATCTACTGAGAGTTTACTGCCTGTGTCCTGGCAGTTCCTATCTTGGCCTCAGGCCAGAATTAATATTTGTACAGACACCACAAGGTTAGGCTCCAGGGACTGATGGCCAAGCCCGTCTCCCTCTATGGGTCCCAGTGATGCCTACACGCAGAATCCCTTCTTTCTCCCTTGGCTGCAGCCACTGCTGCTCTTGCGGCTGCTGTCACTCTCCCTGCTGCCATCCTGGTCCCATGTCCAGGTCCAGCAGCCTTAGTCAGTTAAATATAATCTTTTTGTGTACTTAAGACCTTGAAAGATGAGCAGAATACTGCACAAGAGGAGCCAGGGGTGTTTATCTTCTTTGTACAAGAAATTTTTGTAGCCTCAAATGTGAGGGACCTCAGTCATTGAGACTTACTGGCACCAGTAAGTCTAAAATCAGGGGCCCAGACACAGAGCCACAGATGCTCAGGAAAAGCCTTAGCATTGCCAGGGGACCCAGGGGATTGAGTACAATTGTTTCCGAGATGTTCAACAACATATTCAGTATTATAGGTGACTGAGAATCTTCCAGAAGTGGTGTTACATGAAGATCGGTGTGTTGGAGCAAACAGTATCTGACCACCTTGAGGAAACTTGACAAGTTTACTTACATGCCAGCATGTTATCTTTAGCACTTCTTGAATATTCTACATGATTCATTCACTGTAGGTGTGAGATATATTGTACTGTTTTTTTTTTTTTTTACAATGATACTGTAAAAAATTTAATGGAAACATGTTTTAAAACAAGTTTTGAAAACTTTTTGTTATGGAAAATTTCAAACATATTCAAAAGTAGAGTGAATAGATAGTATAATGAACCCCGCTTTAGGTACCCGTTAATTCAGCTTCAGTGATTTCTTGACTGAATTTTATCTACGTCTCCATTCCCTTCCCTCAGTCCTGGGTTATTTTGAAACAAATCCTGAACATCCTATCATTTTATCAGCAAATATTTTAATAATATCTTTAAAAGATTAAGTACTATTATTTCACCTAAAAAATGAATGATTCTTAATACTATAAAATAGTTATTAGTTAAATTTCTCTAATTAACTCAATTTTTTTTCAGAGTTTGTTTGAACCATGATCTAAACACACACTGCATACTGCTATTAGTTGGTATGCTTCTTAAGTCTCTTTTAATATATAATTGTTGGCTGGGTGCCATGGCTAATGCCTGTAATCCTGGCACTTTGGGAGGTTGAGGTGGCCAGATCACTTGAGCTCAGAAGTTCGAGACTAGCCTAGGCAAAATAGAGAAACCCTGTCTCTACAAAAAAGTACATAAAAAAAATTAGTTGGGCACGGTGGCGTGTGCCTGTGGTCCCAGCAACTTGGCAGGCTAAGACAGGAGGATTGCTTGAGCCTGTGAGGTGGAGGTTGCAGTGAGCTGAGATTGCACCACTGCAATCCAGCTTGGGTGACAGGAGTAAAACTCTGTCTGAAAAACAAAAAACAAATCAAAAAACAAAAAAGAAAACCCTGTCTCAAAAAAAAAAAAAACACAAACAAACCCAGATGTATGTGTGTGTGTGTGTATATATATATATATATATATATATATTTGCCCCATCTCCTCTTTTTTCCTTTGTAATTTCTTTGTTGAAGAAACTGGCTCATTTTGTCCTGTAGAATGAATCATGGTATGGATTCTGCTTCTTGCATCCTGCTGTGGTCTGAATGTTTGTGTCCCTGCAAAACTCATATGCTGAAATTCCAGTCTCTAAGGGAATGGTATTAGGAGATGAGGTTTTTGGGAGGTAATTAGGTCATGAGGGTGGAGCCCTCATGAATGGCATTAGTGCCCTTCATCAAAGAGATCCAAGAGAGACCTTGTGTGCCTTCCACCATGTGGGGACATGGTAAAAATATGGTTGTCCATGAACTATAAGTGGGCCCTTGCTAGACATCAAAGCCTTGATCTTGGAGTTCTTAGCCTCCAGAATTTGAGAAATAAATTTCTGTTTTTTATAAGCCATTCAGTTTATTGTATATTTTTTAGAGCAGCCTGAATGGGCAAAGACACACCTCTAGGTGATTGCTTAACACATTCTGCTGTTCTTTGTATTTCTGTAACTTGTTCCTTGTATTTTTGTAGGCTTAAGAGATTTCTCTTTGATTATTTGGTGTGTGGCTACTTCATAGGTGGTCTTGTGTACTTCTATCCAGACACAATAATGTTACTTTTTTGTGATGTTAGCAGCCACACACAATAATGGATTTTTTCAGATCCATTATTTCATGAGGGTTTACAAAAGGATTATATTTAAATTGTATCATTATTTATTAGCTGGGCTATTTCTATAAAGATAAACCTCTCTGTATAAAATATGGTTATTATGGTCTGAAGTATAGTATGCATAAAAAAAAGACTTATGCTTATGCTTGATTCTTTCTCTTTATTTATCAGTTTTCAAAATAGTGAATTGCTTCTCCAGCATCCTCCATATGTGACCAATGAGTTTTTAAAAGAATAATTATGAATTCATGAGTTTAAATTTATTTGATGTGTTTTAATCCCTACTAATGCCCACATTGTCTCATCTTTGGCCAGTGAGAGAATTGCTTGGCTCTTGAGTCCTTTGACAGGCTCACACTAGTCTTTTATAGTTTCCTTGCTTTTTGGTATAGTCTGATATTCCAGCTTCATTTGGCACATTTTCTGTCCCAGGTTTGGAAACAGCTATTTCTCCAATGTATCCTGTGTTTTTTAGTGGAAATGATGTTTTCAAACTACAGTCAAGTTTATAGGTGTTTCCAGTAGACAGAGCCAGGAATTTTAAAAAATAAAATAAATGATGAATTCATACTGATACTTCTAATTCAAACTCAGGATCACAGGGTTTTTGTTTAACATTATCAATCTTATGTCATCTGTATCTTCTTTCTCCATGAAGAAACTGGTTGCTTCTCAAGGACACCAACATAATTATTCATTTGCTTTGTCCCACAGAACATAACCCCCAAAAATAACTGTATCAACACTATACCAACAATGTGTTTACTGCAGACAATTTATAATTATTTTATTTTATTTTTAGAGAACAAGGTCTCACTTTGACACCCAGGCTGGAATGCAATGGCATGATTACTGTAATCTTGAGCCCAGAATAGCTGGGACTACAGGAGCACTCCTTTACACCCAGCTAATTTAAAAATTATTTGTACAGGCAGGGCCTCACTATGTTGCCCAGGCTAGTCTTGAACTCCTGGGCGTAAATGACCCTCCTACCTCAGGCTTCTAGAGCCCTGGGATTACAGGTGTGAGTCACTGCACTGGCCCAATTTATTGTTATTTATATAGTACTTTTTGTCTTTAGGTTTAATCTTACTAGGATTAAACAACCAAATTATTGTGTTATAAAGTCATTGGAAATAATTTGTGTGATCTATTTTTAAAATTTTGTTTTTGTTTTATAGAATTTAATTTTTAAATTTAATTTTGTTTTATAATTATGTAAAATATTTATGTGTCCTCAAAGTCAAATATACAAAATGAAATATATTCAGAGTAGTGTAACTTTTGCCTCTGCCCCTACTCTATTCTCTCTCTCTCTCCCATAGTTTTTTTAAAATTAAATTTTTGGTTTAGTATTCTATTTTTTATAGTTATTATAGTGTGTCAAGAAGATATATAAAGTTGGTCAGGGTCATTAGCAAACTAGGTATCTTTCACAACCTGAAGTTGTAGAGTCTGGGGGTGAGGAGGGAAAAGGAGGATGGAGGTAGGCATTGGGCTTCTGATGGGCACAGCAAGAGTAAATATGACCTGGAGATTGAAGAGTCTGCTGTTGCTTGCTCAAGTAAACAAAGGAAAATGCTATAAATACCTGGGAGATATTAGAAAAACTAGAATGATAGTGAGAAGCAAGGTAAAGATTCATTCAACACTTATCAAGAACTCATTGTTTTCTAGGAATGGTGACAAGGCAAGACTGATCAAGTTTCAGGGAAGGTCTAATTTCTTAGTCAGTATACATGTTCATTTGTGATTCCTTGGGTTCTCTTATTTTATTCATATAGTAATGAAGTAGTTGAGAAGAAGTTGACTTTGAATTGGGCATATCAGGAAATGTTTCTAAGGTTCTATAGTGTCTTGTTTCAGTAGCTGGCTCTTGGTAGATAGACAGCCAAAGAGATAGATAGAGAGGCAAAGAGAATAGATTGAGAGGCAAAAGCTAGACAGGGAGACAAAGAGAAAGGGCATCCCAGGAAGAAGGGGACAGGTGACCTAGGTGTGTTTGTGAGCATTCATTCATGGCTGTTCTCATATGAATCATTTATTTTTCTTTTTTGTGTGATGAAGTCTTGTTCTGTTGCCCACGCTGGAGTGCAGTGGCGTGATCTTGGCTCACTGCAACCTCTGCCTCCTGGATTCAAGCGATTCTCCTGTCTCAGCCTCCAGAGTAGTTGTGATTACAGGCACGTGCCACTACACCCAGCTAATTTTTGTAGTTTTATAGAAACAAGTTTTCACCATGTTGTTCTTGAACTCCTGACCTCAAGTGATCTGCCCACCTCGGCTTCCCAAAGCGCTGGGAATACAGGTGTGAGCCATTGCCCCTGGCCAGGTAACTATGGAAGGTGATGGATATATATATATATATATATATATATATATATATATGTATTTTTAAGAGATCGGGCCTTGCTATGTTGCAGGCTGGTCTTGAACTCCTGGGCTCAAACAATCCTTGCACCTTGGCCTCCCAAAATGCTAGGATTACAGGTGAATCATATGAATCATTTCTAAAACCAGGACTTGGGCCAAAATAACTTAACATGCCTAAAAATACTAGATGATTTGGCAGAACCAACAAGTATAGGATAAATGGAACATTTTAAAATAAGGATAATTTATTTTCTCTCATAGAATTATGTTATCTAGAGTAAGATGATTAATTGTGTGTGTCCACTTGACTGGCCACAGGGTGCCTAGACTAAATATGATTTCTGTTGTGTCTTTCTAGATGTTTCTGGATGAGATTAGCATTCAAATTCGTGGACTCATTAAAGTAGATGGCTCTCTCCAATATGGGTGGGCATCATCCAATCTGTTGAAGGCGTGAAGAGAACAAGAGAAGGAGGAAGGAAGAATTCACCTTTTTTCTTGCTGCCCACCTGCTTGGGCTGGGACATTGCATCTCACCTTCTCCAGCCTTTGGATGAGGATTTACACCCTGGTTCTCAGGCCTTCAGGCTCTAACTGGAGCTACACTATCAACTTTCCTGGGCCTCCAGATTGCAGATGGTGGATCACGGTACTTTTTAGCCTCCATCATAATGTAAGCCAATTCCTAATAATAAATCTCTTTCTCTCTCTATCTATATATCTATCTCCTCTCTAGTTCCGTTTCTCTGGAGAACCCTGACACATAGAGTTAGAAATTAGGTTTTTTGCTTTTTGCTTTTTTTGAGATGGAGTTTCACTCTTGTTGCCCAGGTTGGAGTGCAATGGCGTGATCTTGGCTTACTGCAACTCCAGTTCTCATGCTTCAGCTTCCTGAATAGCTGGGACTACAGGTGCATGCCAGTATTCTTAGTAGAGACGGAGTTTCACCATGTTGACCAGTCTGGTCTTGAACTCCTGACCTCAGGTGATCCACCCACCTCAGCCTCCCAAAGTGCTGGGATTACAGGCGTAAGCCACCGCGCCTGGTTGAAATTAGTTAGTTTTTTTTTTTTAATTTAAATAAGGCCCGTCTGTGAAAAAGGCAAAAAGAGCCCTTTTAAACAATCCTGTTATTTCACAAAAATCTCAGTTGCTCTTATCACAGCTCTAAAAGTGAAATAGTCAGGTGAAATGGGAAAAAATAGTTCTCGATTATTCTAAATGGTTGTAAGGCACCCCTTGTTATAGTGCTCCTTTTATTTTTTGTGTTACTTGTCAGGTTTGTGAGGAAGTAAAATACATTCTTGGATACAGTAGTAAGAGAGAGAAGAAATTACTGCATTTCATCAACTTAAGATGCCATGGACTATAAGATGTACTGTTATTTTATGAACATTAAGAAAGAGAAAAAAACTGTCATTAAACCATAACACAATATAAGATCCATTTCAATTTCAGAGATGTTAAAATGTGAAAATAAGTGTGCATTTTAGAATCAATATGATATAGTAATTGTTGACTGCCTACTGTGTACCAGGCTTTGTTGCTGATCCTTGACAAACACTATCTTCATTAACCTAGTGATGTGTGTACCCCTGGCCCTATTTTACAGATGAGAAAAAAGAGGCACAGTGAAGCTAAATATATTGGCTAAAGATCACAAAGCTAGTAAGTAGAACAAGCTACTTACCTACTTGAACAAGAAACTTCCTCTTTTCAAACCTCTGTTCTGTTCTTTTTTTTTGTTTTTTTTGAAACTACGACAGTCATTTATTCTCTCTAACAGTTACTATTGGTGAGGAATTTTGGAGTAATTTGATTGGGTGTTCTGGCTCAAGGGTCTCTTATGAGTTTGCAGTCAGATGTCAGCTGTGGCTACATCATCTGGACACATGACTGAGGGTGGAACATTCAATTTCAAGGTATCTCACTCATATGGCTGGTAAGTTGGTTCTGGCTGTTGGCTAAGAGTCTCAATTTCTGGCCACATGGGCCACTCCATGAGGCTGCTTGAGTGTCCTCTCAACATGGTGTCTGGATCTTTGGATTACAAAAGACTAATGTGGAATCTGCAATGCCATTTATAATTTATCCTTGAAAGTTCACACACTTCTGCTGTACAAACTTCTGTTCTTACCCGTGACTCTTTTGTCAAGCTGTGTCTTGATAAATTGTAACACTTTTGAGTCTTTGAAGAAAGTGATCTGTTTTTAGTGTGGGTACTTTATATTGATCTCAAACACTTGTAGCATAATACTGGGAAGATAATGAGTCACTGAGTTTTAAATCATTACTTGAGTAATGTTAATGAACATCTTTTGGGGTATGTATTTGAATGCCAACTAGTTATTGACTATCCAAAAAGTGGTTTTCCTTGGTCTCTAGACAGGGACTTTGCATTTGTCAAGAGTTCTTAAGTAGATAGAAAGAAAGCAAGATAAATCAATAGATAGATTTAGATACAGCCATATGAGAGGGGATTTAGTAGGGGAATTGGCTTACATGATTATGGAGGCTGAGAAGCCCCACAACAGGCCATCTGCAAGCTAGAGACCCCAGGATACCTGTAGCATGTCTCAGTCTAAGTCCGAAGCCCTCAGAACCAGGGAGGCTGCTGTTTAACTCTCAGTCTGAAGCTGAAGGCCTGAGAACCTGGGGGGCCACTGGTATAAGCCCTGAAGTTTAAAAGCCAGAGAGCCTGGAGTTCTGATATCCAAGGACAGGAGAAGAATGTATCTCAGCTCTAGAAGAGAGGAAATTTATTTTTGTTCTATCTGGATCCCCAGCCAATTGGGTGGTGCCAGCTCACATTGAGGGCAGATCTTCACTGGTCAGTCTACTGACTCACACACCAGTCTCCTCCAGAATCACCCTCACAGACACACCAAGAAATGATCCATTACCAGTTCTCTAGATATTCCTTAATCCGGTCAGGTTGGCACCTAAAATTAACCACCACAGGGCTTTACTTTATATGTCTAACATTCCTCAAAGAGTTCCTGGCCAAGGGATATTGTTGTGTTCAATGGTAGAATGCTAAAATGCCTTTTATCAAGACAGTTCCATACTGCTTTTAAAATGCTCTGGGCTATTTCCATTCTAAACTACTGAAGCATACACTTGTGGAAAAGCAGCAAGAATCCTAACACATAATCTAGTTGAGAGCAGAACTCAGAAAATGAGACACTTAACAGGTAAGCATTTGTCTTTGGGGTGAAACTTCCCTTTGTTTTAGTGTGGACAACTTGAGTGAATTATTTTAGTAATGTATTTGTAGAGCAAACACCTATCCATTTTTCTGGGGGAAGCCCAAGATGTAAAGTAATAATCTCAAATGCAAAAGTTTTAGAGTAAGATATTAAGTGTTTGTTTAATAATATAAATGTAGTGTATTAGCAAGTTAATGAAAAAAAATCCTAAATCTGGATTTAGACTATCCTTTACATGAAAATTATTGTGTTAGTGGAATTACATGTCTTTTTGTTCAAGCAGCATCGTTTCAAGGTTGGGAACCATGGCAGGAAGATCATGCAGGTCTGGACTTCCTTTCCCCTCAAGGCAAATAGAATTCTGTGATAAGGATATAGAGCGGCTTGAAGCTAGATGAACTGGACCATTGGTGTCCTACACAGAAGCTATTTAAGAAGGAACAGCCCTGATTTGGAAAAATGTTTAACGACTCACTCTAGTGATTGTCCCGGGTGTGTCTTTGAGATGAGGGCAGCCTCAACCTGAAGGAACTGGGTTCTCATATTCCTGCCATCCTGAGGTGAAAAAGAAAAGGGTCTTGGACAATGGAGTGAAGGCAATCAATCCTTGTTTCTTGGGAGCAAAGAGGGAATTGAGATTGTCCTCTGGTATATGGAAGTGTCTGAAGATTTCTGTGGATGGGGGTGCAGCTGACTCCCACTCCTATTAGAAAAAATACCTGTGGGAGTCGGGTAGAGAGAGTCAACTTGTGTTTGGTCTGTGGCTTTCAAAGTAACCACCTTTAGTCATGCTATAGGTTGCCTTCTAGGGGTATTCTATTCTTTCAAATCTTTTAGTGAAGCCTTATTTAAAGGGATAGCCCCTTCCTAGATGTGCCTTGGGGGCATTAATGAAAGGATCTATGTCCATGCTTGGGGTCTACATGATGCTGGGGAGGCAGAAAGAGTCTAGGGCAGGGGTTAGGTCTGAGCGGAGATGCTGTGCATGGAGTAGCCCAATAATCCAGAAACAGCATCTGTCTGGGGGATCCCAAGAATTTGCAGAACTTGCCATCATTCCTCAGGTTTTCACTGCTATACTTGAGAAAGTAACCAAATGAAAGATGTGACTTTCTGCTTTTACAGGGATGTAGGTCAGGCTATTGTCATTTGGGCATTGAAGAGAAGGTTGCCTTTGGAAAGCAGGAGAACTTGGGGGGAATAGCTGACTTGCACATCCTTCAATACTCCACTTAGCTATCATTCCTTCTAACGTCTCCTCAGCTTCATGTCTGAGTTCAGTGTCTTTTCTAGTGTTCCTTTAGTCCCCGGATGCTATCATTTACACAAGCAAATAATAATTACAACAGACTCTTATTGAGTACTTACATTGTGCCAAACACTAAGTTAAGTGCTTTACATGGATTATCTCATTCAGTAATTTGGTAATCTCTATTTTTCAGCAGAGGACACTGAAACCTAGAGAAATTATGTGATTTGCTTCAAGTCCTACAGAGGGACACTCATAGAGCCAGATTTTAAACCAAGATGGTCTAGTCCAGAGCCAGTACATGCAGGATTTAGAATATACTCATTTTATTTTTCCCCTTTTCCAGTTTTTTTTTTTAAGTACTATGAGCTTTCTTAGAATAGTCTCTTTCCTTTATATCTGCATCCTTATCTTTTAGTATAGGGCTAGGCACCTTAGTAAGTGTTTGACAAATGTTTGTGAAAAGGATAAATGAAAGACAGAGCCTAAGGCATAAAATTTTAAGACAATACACTGAAGCTGTTACAGTTTATGATTGAATAAATAAAGTACTCAGCTCTCCTCTTGGTACATAATCATCATTTAATAAGTGTTAATTGTTTGTTATCATTAAGTTAGTTATTTTATTATCATTTAAGCCCGGAGGATCACTTGAGGCCAGGATTTCAAGACCAGCCTGGGCAACATAGTGAGACCCCTGGATCTCTGCAAAAAAAAAAAAAAAGTTATATTTATTTAGAAAAACAATTATTTTTGCATAGGAATGCATCATATGTCTTAATTTTTCAAAATTTCCTTCGCTTTAATCACATATTTCCATATGATTTTAGAAAGAGGTGAATGGTTAGTTTCTATGCAGTATTTTGAATGTATAGGAGTTAAATGTCACTTTTGATAGTTTTCCCTTGAAATTTGAGCTGTGCTTGCTTGAAATATGAATATAGTTAAGTAGAAAAGCAGGCTGCTACAAGTTCAATTTAAGAAATCTGTAGTGTAACAATTTGGGAATGAAGATGACAGTAAATGTAAAAGGTTTCTTATCATGTGTGTCCAGCTACACAGCCTGAGGACAAAAGCCAACCACCAGATTAGAGGAATATTATGATTTTGGTATACAAAACTTAGCTTTCTCATTTTTTGCTTCACAGCCAATCTATTCCCATTATTCTTACTACAAAAGTTCCTAAATTGATTTTACATTAAAAATTTTATAAATCTAAAATGTATTATGATACCTACTTATGGTATTGGAATATCCTGATGTGGATGTCTTTGAGGAGGTATCTCAAGTAAATTATTATATCTCATTATTGTTATATTTACCCTTTACCCATTTGTGGCAGAGCCTGGTGGTTGGACATTCAAATATCCATTCTCTCTCCTCCTTACGAACAGAATCTTGCATTTATATGGCGGCAATACACCCAAATAATGGACTTAAGCCTTCCTTGCAACTAGGTGTGGGTGGATTATCTGCTCAAAAAGATAAAAATGCAAGTGTTGTGAGTTATTTTGGGAAAATCTCTTTTAAAAGGAGAGAGTAGACCCTTCTTTCCCCCTTCTTTTTTCCCATTGCCTGGAATGTATACCTAATGCCTGGAGCTCCAGCAGCTATTCTGGAACATGAGGTGACATCAGGAATAGAAGCCATAAATGGCAAACAATAATGTAGAAAGATCCTGGGCCTCTAACACCACGAAGCCTTAACACTAGCATTGAACTACCAATTTCTGGCCTTCTGTTATGTGAAAGAGGTATAAACTTTCATCTTATTTCCACTGTTACTTCGGGTCTTTCTGTTATATATGGCCAAACCCAATCCTACTAAATAAACCATTATTTTAATAAAGTATCAGAAACTTTTCAAGAGAACTTTCTTTGTATTTCTATCAGTGTGTCAAGGTGCCTTCACTATGTGGTGTTTTGTTTTTGTTCATCTCTAGCCTCCTGGTCCTATCTTCCCTTCTCTAACACTCTTGTTAGTTTCCCTTGAAGACGTCAGCTATTTTGAGGACCCTTATTGCCATACTCCTGTTTTCAGTATTACTGTAAGGATCTTATCATTTTCTCAGATATCGCTCTTTTCTCTGAAATTTGCCTGGGGCCGCAGCATAAATCTACAGTTACAACCATGAAGGTAGAAGTTGCTCATTAATTCAGAGGGCAGGAACTTGTGAACATAACTGTTGTAAGTGATATTTTATTTAATAGGATTTGTGGATACTAATTTTTAGATGATGTTTCTAGGATGATAGATTAGCAAATAATGAGTTGAATACAGATAGTCTTGATTTCAACCAAGCATTTGATAGTCTCTAATGAGAAACAGTGCATACAAAGAACCCTGACCAAGGAGTCTAGAGCTTTGACTCCCATCTCTGACATTCATTAGCTATAAGAAAATATATCTTTTGACTTGGAAAAGACATCTAAACTCCTTGACCCTCTGTTTCCATATCTGTAAAATGAGCTGTGATAATGATAAAATGAGTTGTGATAAATATTAAATGAGTTAATGCACATGTACAAACATTTTTGTTTTTAGTTCTAACGTACTTTGCAAATATAATGTACTATGCAAACATAACGTACTTTGGGCCAATGGTAAAAAATCTGAGTCCAGAACTAAGTATAGTCTTGCTAGCTATGTGATTTGGGCCAAATTATTTAATGTCTCTGAGCCTCAGCTTTCCTATCTATAAAATGAAAATGATGATAGTACAGCCTTACATGGCTGTTATGAGAATTAAATGAAATAATATATGTGAAGACTCCAAGGCAGTACCAGGTACTCAAAAAGTGAAAAATATTAGTATTCTTATGGTTATTGCCATTATTACTTTCTTGGAGATAAATGGTGAACTTGGAGATAAATGTCTTGCTGACATTTAGAGTAGATAAATGGATGTGTAGTTGACCCATACTATAAAAAGAATATCTATTACTAGCTTAAAATCAACTTAAAGGAACAAATTGGGTAGAATATTGCAGGCTCAGCCAATGTTTTTATTAATGTGATGTGTGAAGATCAAGTTTGCTTATTACATGTGATCATAACACCAAGTTGATAGGAATGGAACCATGGATGTAACATAATGGAAAAGACTTGGAGTTTGAACACTTTGGCTTTGAGACCCAAAATTCAACCGTATGACTCAGTTTCTTCATCTGTAAAATGATATTAACACTAGCAAAATTCCAGGAAGATGCATTGTGAGTATATGTTTTAAAGTATCTCACATAATTCATGACTCATTCTGAAAAATGACAGTAGGTTTGCTTGTTTACCATTTAAAGTAGATCCAATAAATGGCAATAATATAAATACCATTTACAAGCTTCAAACTTATGCAATTTCTTTTAAAAAATAGGGAATTTGAATTATTTCAAATTTTATGCACAAAATATACCTTTACTAGTATTTCCAATTCATGTACTAAAAATTTGCATAAAATGAATCAACCTGGGCTGCTACTCAGGATATGGCTGGATTTTTTGGATTCTGAAACCAGCCTGAAACATTGGGAAGATTTGAGAAGAGCAATTTGACCAAAACCTGATGGTTGTTCCTAGAAAGATCAATTTTGATAGAAGACTGACAATATGACAATACATTTTTTTGTCTCTCAGCTGTATCTCGAAGACAATGATGCCCTGCTGGTATGGGGTAAAAGCTGGCTGAAGCTGACTAGATAAGCTAGATTTATGTATTAAGTTGGATAAAACTGAAATTTGAAGCTATACTGGGTACCTGTTATTTTCCTGTTTGTCGTTCAGACTACAAGAAGGGTCTAGCCACAGATATCTACCAACAATGGCTATATCAAATGCAGTCTTTCAGTCTTACTTGACTTCTAAAGCCTTGTGTTTTTATGGCTTTGCCATAGCTACTGTGGTGAAGAGCTCTACGTGGGCCCATGCATTTCTCTTACCTGAGGCTAACACTCAGAATCTCTGGCCTATCTTACCATTACTAGATTTCTATGAAGTTCTACATAGAAGACTAGCTGCTAGTGGCTGCCGAAGTGGCCACCGCCTGGGTGTTCAGAGGAATCCACTCTTCATAGAGCAAATTTTGATTAGGGGGAAATAGGAATCAGGATGGAGCTAGCAGAAAAATTCTCTCCCTACTTCTCCCTGTAGTGGACTGTTCTGAGTTATGATTTTTCCATATAGCCTGCCCAGACAGGTCCTGCATGGCCAAGTGGGAGTCAAGCAATGCTTGTTTTGGAATAGTAGCCAGTGTGATCAATGCATTACCTTACATTTGCTTCCCATATTCTGCTGCTTCAATTTTCTTTTCCTTTTCTCTTGCTGCCCTGGGATTACACTTGTCCATAAGCCTGGCCTCACACTCATTTTTTTTTTTTTCTAGAGAACTCAGACTAGAGCACTTACTATGAGCAGTAAATTCAGCTAGGTACTGAGTCCGTACTTTCTAAAAGCTACAATTTAGGTTAAGAGACAGACACATGAAGCGTACAATACAAAACCACACATGATGACAACACATGATCTCATCTTTGAGATCCTCCAAAACTTGGGTAGTTATCTCGGGTTCTGGTGATTTCTTTTTGCACTACTTATCACATCCTAATTTGCCTCTAACATTGCAGTTAGTCCTCTGAGATTTATTTAAGCTCTTCACCTTATGTGAAGGCCAGCATTTTCCTTGGAGTTTCAATAAAATATTTTGAATGTGTTTGTTTCTGTGGATATTTTGCTTTAGAAAATATACCACTTAGTTTTTCTTTAATAATAGCATTTTATCATAGTTCTCTTTTAAAATCAAATTACTGTCAGATTTTTTGGCTATTCTTCTGAGTCAGATAATTGAGTATAATGATGTTGTTTACCCATAGATACTATTTAGACTAATTTTTGTTCTGCTTTGTTAAATTAATTTAGCAGTCCTTGCAGCCTAGCTAGCTGCCTGTATGGTACTATAGTGGGTGTTTTGGACCCAGACTTTATATTTTTGAACACAGTTGTCTCTAAGTGGAGACAAAAATGTGACTCAATTTGAAAAGTGCCAGAAATTTGCTTTAGTTGACTAAAGGTAGAAGATAAAATGTGTTGTGGGGGAAGTCTTTTTCTTCATTTGGGAGGATTACTTTGTTGTCTTATTCATGTAGATATAAATTAGGTATATAGGTTAAATATTGCTGCTTAGCAAATCATCCTAAAACTTGCAACAAGAACAGTAATTTATTTTTCACAAAGTTTCTGAGGGTCATTAACTCAGGAATAGCTTAGCTGCATAGTTCTGGCTCAGGGTCTGCCATGAGATTTGCTAATCCATCACTTGGCAGTTATGATGTTGATCAGGGCTGTAGTCTTCAAAAGGCTTTACTGGGGCGGGAAGATCCATTTCCAAACGGGCTCACTCATAGGGTTAGCCAAGTTGATGCTGGCAGTTGGAGGAGGCCTCAGTTCCTCACCACTTGGATATCTCCATGGGGCTGTTTTGGTATTCTCATGACATGGTAGCTGGTTTCCCCAGCATGAATGATCAAAGAGAAAACAAGGAGGGGGTAGAATGTTTTAAATGACATAGCCTTGATAGTCGCACATTGTCACTTCCATTGGATTCTGTTGGTTGCACAGACCAACCCTGATACACTGTAGGAGGGAACTATACAAGGAAGGTAATGAGCACCAGGAGGCAAGAGTCATTAGGGAGCCATCTGGAGGCTGGCTACCACATTAAATTATATCTGTTATTTTTCTTGAAAGCCTTTTAACTGTGGAGTAATCCAAATGCAAATCTTATCAGACAGGGATGAGAGGTATTTTGTTTGATAATAACATTCTCAAAGGCTGACCTGATGGGAGATCAGCATGCATCTCTGCAGAGATTAATTTAATGGTAAGTGATTTTTCTTCCTCCTCTGCTGGAGAGGCCACCAGTGGTAGTGAGAAGGGAAAAAACGAGATGCCCATTGGAAGGACTCACGGGGATGGGGTAAAATCTTAAGTTTTTGCAGTTTTAACTTTAGTAACTCAAAGTTCCTGTAGCTCACACTTCTGGCAAAATTCCCACAGAAAGTTCTGTGATTCTTCAAAGGGCCCCTGGCTTCATGCATGCCCACAGTCCAGCCTGTTAGGAGCAATCATCACATGGGACTGCTGTGTTCTCTCTCATGTTCCAGCTTCCCTGAGTCCATGTCTGCAGCCTCCATTTATTTTTTCTGGAATATACTTTTTTCCCTGAAGCTACAAATCCCCTAGGAGCCAAAGGGATGCTGGATCCAGTGCAGCTGATTTCTCACAGGGAAATCAGCCCTTTCTCTAACTTTTGGGTCCTACGTCATTGCCAGGGCCCTGAAGCTGCACCACTTATGCCCAGACCATCGCAAGGTGTTTCATGAAAACAGGTCCTTTATATCTTTGATTAACTATCCACCAAAAATGCGCAAGGACCAATAGTAGCGTTTAGGCACAGTTAGTCTAAAACCACAATCCAAAAGGAAACATGCCTCCAAAGGAAATGGTGTTTGCAGAAAATCAGCTCGTCCTATAACATAGATAACATTTTCTTATCTCAGCTTGAGCATTCTTTTTTCCTTGAGAGGTACTCTCTTAACTATTTCTTTTTTCATTATGGCCTGTGACTTGCATACCCAAAGACCCTTTCTGGTAGGCTTTCCTAGAACAAAGAGTGAGGCTTCTGTAATGCCTTATCAAAATCTCTACTTCTTAGGCTAGCAGGGTGGCTCATGCCTGTAATACCAGCACTCTGAGAGACTGAGGAGGGAGGATCACTTGAGCCCAGGAATTCGAGACCACCTTGACAACATAGCAAGACCCCCCATCTCTAAAAAAATTAAAAATTAATCGGACACGGTGCTTCAGTGAGCCATGATCACACCACTGCACTCCAGCCTGGTGACAGGGTGAGATCCTGTTTCAAAAAAACAAAAACAAAAACTCTACTTCTTGCATATCAAAAGCTCTTGCATAGCTGGACTAAATCCTTCTTGGTCATGGTGTATAATTCTTTTTACACATTGTGGGGTTTGATTTCCTAATATCTTAGAGGATTTTGTGGCTGAGTTCATGAAAGATGCTAGTCTGTAGTTTTCTGTTTTCTGGAAGAGATTGTGTAAAATTGGTGTTAAATTTTTGGTAGAATTCTACAGTGAAACCATCTGACAATTGATCGGCTTCTCCTTCCCTCTTTCCTTCCCTCCCTCCTCCCTTCCTTCGTCTTTCTCTTCCTTCCTTTCTTTTAATAGACTTTATTTTTTAGAGCAGTTTTAGGTTCACAGCAAAATCGAGCAGAAGGTACAGATATTTTCCACATGCTCTCTTGTCCCCACGCATGGGTACCCTTCCCCATTATCTACTTCCTTCACCAGAGTGGTGCATTTGTTACAACTGATGAACCCACATTAACACATTATTATCACCCAAAGTCTGTGGTTTACATTAGGCTCTACTCTTGGTGTTATACCTTCCATGGATTTACACAAATGTATAATGACATGTATGCGCCATTATAGTACTGCACAGAGTTGTTTCACTGCCCTGCGAATCCTCAGCCTATTCATTCCTCTCTCCCCTGGCAACCACTCATCTTTTCACTGTCTCTGTAGTTTCGCTTTTTCCAGAATGTCATATACTGTAGTATGTGACACACAGCACAGCACATAGCTACGCACAGCACGTAGCTTTTTCAGGTTGGCTTCTTTCACTTAATAATAAGCATTTAGGTTTCCTCTATGTCTTTTTATGGCTTGACAGTCATTTCTTTTTAGTGCTGAATAATATTCTATTGTTTGGATATACCACACTTTATCTATTCATCTACTGAAGGACATCTTGTTTTTTTCCAAGTTTTGGTAACTGTGAATAAAGCTACTATAAACATCTGTGTGCAGGTTTTTGTCAATTATATCCAGTTGATTGATGGGTCACTGAGTTCAACTATGTCCTTATTGATTTTCTGCCTAATGGATCTGTCCATTTCTGACAGAGGGATATTGAAGCCTCTAACTACAGTAGTGGATTCATCTCTTTCTCTTTGCAGTTCTATTAGTTTTTGCCTACTTTATTTTGATGTGTGCTTGTCAGGTGACAGGTTGTTATGTGTTCTTGGAGAATTAGGCCTTTTATCATTATGTAATAATGCTCCTCTCTATCCCTGAGAAATTTCCTTGCTCTGAAGTTTGCTCTAACATTAATATAGCTAGTCCTGCTTTGTTTTGGTTAGTGTTAGCATAGTATATCTTTCTTTATTCATTAACTTTTAATCTATGTGTGTCTTTATATTTAAAGTGGGTTTCTTGCAGACAATGTAGAGTTGGGTGGTTTTTTGATCAATTTGGATAATCTGTCTTTTCATTGGTACACTTACACCACTGACATTTAAAGTGATTAGTAATATATTTGGATTAATATCTAGCATATTTATTACTGCTATTTGTTCCTCCTTTTTCTTATTCCCTTTTTGTCTTCCACTCTTTTTCTATCTTTTGTGGTTTTGATTGAATATTTTATGATTCCTTTTTTCTCCTTTCTTCACATATCAGTTGTATTTTTTTTTTTTACCTTTTTTTCAGTGGCTGCCCTAGAGTTTGCAATATATATTCACAACTAATCCACGTTCAAATAACACTATACTGCTTCACAATTAGTGCAAGTACCTTATAATTAAAAAATAATCACAATTCCTCCCTGCCATCCTCTGTGTATCACTGCTTGCATTCATTTCACTAACACAGAAGGATACATAATCAAATACAGTAGTCCCCCCTTATCTTCAGTGGATACCTTCCAAGACCCCTAGTTGATGCCTGAAATCAAAGATAGTACTGACACTGATTGGCATCAAGTGGAACACACTTCTGTTCACATCTTCCACCCACAAATTTAATGCCTTTTTCATCTTAACAAAGCACTTATCATGCACTGTGACTGTAACTTTTGCAGTCTGAGGTCTGACAGCAAAACTAGCATGCATTTGTTTTTCTTTCTGCACAGTTCATGGATTGAAATTCATTCTTATTGTAGAATTTAGCAACCTCAGCATTTGGTTTTTTCCCCTTTCCCTATTAAGTAAAAAAACTCACCTTTTCATTTAAAGGGAGCACTTTAAGGCTTCCCTTTGGCCTATTCAAACTGCCACCATCACTACTCTTGTGCTTTGGGGCCCAGCACAAGGACTGCGATACTGAGGCAGCTGATTTGATTACCAAAATGGCTGCTAAGTGACTGACATGTGGTTAGGGTACACAGCAGAGGTCCCCCACCCCCGTCGGTCGCGGACCTGGACCTGTTTGTAGCTTGTTAGGAACGGGCCGCAGAGCAGGAGGTGAGCACCCGGCAAGCATTACCGCCTGAGCTCCACCTCCTGTCAGATCAGCAGCGGCATTAGATTCTCATAGGAGCTCTAATCCTATTGTGAACCGGTATGCGAGGGATCTAGATTGAGTGTTCCTTATGAGAATCTAATGCCTGATGCTCTGAGGTGGAACAGTTCCATCCAGAAAGCATCCCCTCACCACCCTGCCGTCCGTGGAAAAATTGTCTTCCACAAATCTGGTCTCTGGTGCCAAAAAAGTTGGGGACCGCTAGTATACAGCATAGATACGCTGGATGAAGGGATGATTCACGCCCCAGGCAGGATGGCATGAGTTCATCACATTGCTCAGAACGGCGGACAATTCAAAACTTACGAATTGTTTATTTCTAGAATTTTCCATTTGGTACTGGTATTGTATTGTATTGTATTGTATTGTATTGTATTGTATTGTATTGTATTGTATTGTATTGTATTGTATTGTAATTATTTTTTGAGACAGTGTCTCTCACTCTGTTGCCCAGGCTGGAGTGCGGTGGCGCCATCTCGGCTCACTGCAACCTCCGCCTCCCGGGTTCAAGTGATTTTCCTGCCTCAGCCTCCCGAGTTTAGCTGGGATTACAGGCATGCGCCACCAGGCCCAGCTAATTTTTGCGTTTTTAGTAGAGATAGGTTTTGCCACGTTGGCCAGACTGGCCTCAAACTCCTGGCCTCAAGCAATCCACCTGTCTTGGTCTCCCAAAATGCTGGGATTACAGGTGTGAGCCACCGCGCCTAGCCTCCCTGTAATATTTTCGACCTTGGTTGACCATAGGTAAATGAAACCAAAGAAACCGGAACTGCAGATAAATGGGAACTATTGTACATTGTTGTTATTATTTTTTTGAACAAACTCTTCTCTGTGGGATTAATTAAAATAAGAACAAATAAAACTTTTAATTTTACCTTCACTTATTCATTCTTTCTTGTTCTTCCTTTATGTAGATATGAGTTTCTGACTTATATATTTTCCCTTCTCTCTAAAGAACTTACAACATTTCTTGCAAGGCAAATCTATTGGCAATCCATTCCATCCATTTTTATTTGTCTGAGAAAGTCTTTATTTCTCCTTCAGTTTTGAAATATAATTTTGCAGAATTTTAGGTTGGCTTTTTTTCTTTTTATCTCAACACTTTGAATGTTTCACTCCATTCTTTTCCAGCTTGCATGGTTTCTGAGAAGCTGGATGTAATTCTTATCTTTGCTTCTCTGTAAGTTAGGTGTTTTTTTCCCCTGTGGCTTTTTTCCTGATTTTTGGTTTATCTTTAGTTTTCTGTAGTTTGAATATGCTGAGGCATAGTTTTTTGACATTTATCCTGCTTGGTGTTCTCTGAGCTTCCTAGATCTGTGGTTTGGCATCTGACATTAATTTGGTAAGGTTCCCAGTTATTATCATTTCAGATATTTTTCTTCCCTTCCTTTTGTCTCTTTCTTGTATTGTCATTGTATGTGTGTTATACCTTTTATATAGTTGTCCCACAGTTCTTGAATATTCTGGGGGGTTTTCAGTCTTTTTTTCTCTTTGTTTTTCAGTCTTAGCAGTTTCTGTTGAGATATCCTCAAGTTCAGAGATTCCTTCCTCAGCCATGTCCAATGTGCCAATAAGCTCATTATTCTGTAGTTCTGTGTTTTCGATTTCTAGCATTTCTTTTGGGTTTCTACTTAGAATTTCACCTCTCTGCTTACATTGCCCATCTGTATGCATAGTGTTTACTTTACACATTAAAGCCCTTATCATCTTAATCATAGTTGTTTTAAATTCCCAATTTGGTAATTCCAACATCCCTGCTATATCTGGGTCTGGTTCTGATACTTAACTCTGTTTTTTCACATTATGTTTTTCACCTTTTAGTATACCTTGTAGTTTTTTCTTTTTTGATGTCATCTGAAATAAAGATAACTTATTTTTCACTTTTCAAACTGAAGGTCTTTTTTTTCTTGCATAATTTTCCTGGCATCACCAGAACAATGTTTAGAGGAAATAATAAAAGTGAACATTCTTATCTGGTTCTCAATCTTCTGAGGAAAATATTCAGTGTTCAGTCTTTCATCATTAAAACTGAGGCTGAAGCTGGCCACCGTGGCTCACGCCTGTAATCCCAGCACTTTGGGAGGCCGAGGCAGATGTATCATTTGAGGTCAGGAGTTCAAGATCAGGCATGCCAACATGGTGAAACCCTGTCTCTATTAAAAATACAAAAATTAGCTGAGTAGTAGTGCGTGCTCCTGTAATCCCAGCTACTCTGGAGGCTGAGACAAGAGAATTGCTTGAGCCTGGGCCTGTAATCCCAGCTACTCTGGAGGCTGAGACAAGAGAATTGCTTGAGCCTGGGAGGCGGAGGTTGCAGTGAGCCGAGATCGTGACACGGCACTCCAGTCTGGGCGACACAGTGAGATGGAGTGAGAGCCTGTCTCAAAAAAAAAAAAAAAATGATAAAAAGATGCTAGTCACAGATTTGTGGTCTTTATCAGCCATCTGTAAATAGCAATCATTTTTTTCTTTCTATGTAATTTTTTTTTGATAGCCTGACATGGTGTACTGGGTAAAGAGAACTTTGTAAATAAGCCTTTCGTAATGTGGTAGTAAGATGTGGGGTGAGGGAAGTCTTCCATAGCCCTGTGGTTAGGTCTCAGTCTTTTAGTGAGCCCATGCCTCTGGACTGTAAACTTAGGGAGTGGTTCTCAGTTTTTCCCCTTTAGGTGGGACAGGATGGCTAGAGGAGGCTTGAGTTGGGTATTTTTCTTGTGTTACTAAGAAGGCTTGAACCAGCTGGTTGGATATTTCCTTTCCCCCAGGTCAGCTAGGCTCTGATAAAACCCCAGCAGGTTAGGCTGTGATTTGTTTCTTCTGAGGGCAGGCTTTGTTAAGAAGAACAGAATGCTCTGGAGCATTCACAATTACTCATTTTCTTTCCTTTTACTGGAATCATTAAGGGATGTTTCTCTGATATTTACTCTCACAAAAATGTGCCATCTTCCCCATTCCCCTTGACTGGGTATCCCTGGAGTTTTTATCTTCCAGACTTGTCCACACTGAGCCTCCAGCAATTTGTCAATTACAGTTCAGATTCTCCCACCCTGTCACCAGTTCCACATAGGTTTCTGCTCAAGAGCTCCTGCTTTGGTAAATTATGATTCTCTGTATTTACCTGCTTCCCAATTTGGGGGGCAGCAATTTGCCCTACAAGCTCTCTTCTCTTATGGACCTAAGAGGAGCTGTTGATTTTTCAGGTTATTCAGCTTTTTACTTGTGATTAGGGCAGAGTGACCACGTCAAAGTTTCTTATATGTTGGACCAGAAATTGGGAGTCCAAGATTTCTTATTCAGAAGCTTTTAAATTATAAATTTGATTTAATGGCTATAGGGGTAATTTGGTTATCAATGTAATCTAGGCAGAGTATTGGTAGTTTGTTATTTTTAAGGAATTGATTGGTCTATTTCTTCAAAGTTGTTGACTACATGAACGTGAGGTTGTTATGTAGTGATATGGTTAGGCTTTGTAGTCCCCACCCAAACCTCATCTTGAATTGTAATCCCCATAATCCTCATAACCCCCATGTGTCAAGGGAGAGACCAGGTAGAAGTAATTGAATCATGGGGATGGTTTCCTCCATGATGTTATTGTGATAGTGAGTGAGTTCTCATGAGTTCTGATGGTTTTTATAAGGGGCTCTTCTCCCTTCTCTTGGCATTTCTCCTTCCTGATGCCTTGTGAAGAAGGTGCCTTGCTTCCCCTTCACCTTCCACCACAACTGTAAGTTCATGAGGCCTCCCTAGCCATGTTGAACTGTGAGTCAATTAAACCTCTTTCCTTTATAAATTACCCAGTCTCAGGCAGTTCTTTATAGCACTGTGAAAATGGACTAATACATGTAGTATTTCCTTATCATCCTTTTACTGGCTGCAGGATCTGTAGTGATATCTTATTTCATTCCTGCTATTGATAACTTTTGTCTTCTCTTTTTATTTTTTACCAGTATCGCTAGAGGATTATCAATTTTATTGATTTTTTTAAATCCACCCTCTTATTTCGTTGACTTTCTCTATCATTTTCCTATTTTTTATTTCATTGATTTCTGCTCTTATTATTTCCTTTTTTCTGCTGGGTTTGAGTTTGCTTTGATCTTGTTTTTCTAATTTCTTGAGGTGGGAACTTAGTTTATTAATTTGAGATCTTTCCTCTTTTCTAATGTAAGCATTAGAAATGTAAGTGCTGTAAGTTTCTCAGCATTGCTTTAACTGCATCCCACATATTTTGATATGTTGTAATTTTAATTGCATTGAAGTTTTATGTGTTTAAAAATTTTTGTTTGAACTCCATCTTTGACCCATGGGTCATTTAAAAGTGTGTTGTTTAATTTCTAAGTATTTTAAGAAAATTTTATCTTATTACTGATTCCTGGTTTGTTTCTGTTGTGATTAGAAAAACACTCTGTATGATTTTAATTTTAAAACATTTGTTGAGGTTTTATGGCCCAGGAGATGGTCTACCTTGGTGAATGAATGTTCCATGGGCACTGGAAAAAAGTGTCTATTCCGTTTTTTTTGGGTGGAATGTTTTATATGTCAATTGGGTACTGTTGGTTAATTATATTTTTCAAATATTCTATATCCTTGATGATTTTCCATCTAATAGTTTTCTCATTTGTTGAGCAATCAAAAGCTCTTTAGTTTTAAAAAGAGGCTTTTTGGAAGAATCATCATCCTCAATAATAAACAGTTAAAGATCAATTTCAAAGCAACATGTGCTTTCTTTCCTTCTAGGAATATCTCTGTTGTTTCCAAACTCAGGCTAGAATCAATCAGTGGTCACTCTTTCCTTTTGCAAATAACCCAAATTATATTCTAGATTCTTTATTTTGGATGCAGCTGAATAACCTTCCAACCTGACTTATATTTATAGGTTGCTATTTTCTTCCCGTATATTTACATAGTCTGCTAGTTATTCCCCATACTGCCAAATGTCTTCTGAAATAATCAGCTGTCAGAGGTGAGAAAAATCTGTTAACACATGATGTGTGGCATAGCACAGAGCTGTGATTAAAAAATGATCTGGAGTATTAAAAATTCAAGCTGTCCTCTTCTAGCTAAGCTTTAAGCAAGTGCTAGTCACCTGCCCAAGGTCATTTGACTTTTGCCAGATTCTCTGTACTTTGAACGCTCTTGTAATACTTCTTATGTGGCACCATTTACAACTTCCTTGCATACCGTCTAGATATTTTACATGGAACTGCTAAGTAAACTGTGCTTAATGTCTTGGATCCATCCAGTCTCTTGGGCCAGAGCTCTGGGAATCCCTAATCGGCGGTTTCTCTGTTATTGCACACATTGCATGTATCTCCTGTGGATTCTGCCTCCAAAATTCCTTTCAAATTTATCTCTTTCTCCTCATCTCCACTGCCATTGGCTTGGTTCAGGCCCTCATCAAGACTTTCCTGGATAATTCCAATAGTATGCACACTGGACTCACCTTGCTTTAATTCATCCTCCATGTTACTACTGTGAGAATAATCTAAATATAAATGAAATCACATTTCTCCTCCTTTAAGTCCTTCTATAAATCTTCTCATAGGTACTGGGATCAAATTCAAGCGATAAGTTAGC
This sequence comes from Homo sapiens, assembly GCF_000001405.40. Taxonomy (NCBI): domain Eukaryota; kingdom Metazoa; phylum Chordata; class Mammalia; order Primates; family Hominidae; genus Homo; species Homo sapiens. The sequence goes on along the minus strand of NC_000005.10, from coordinate 72,743,876 downwards.
TGACAGATATTTGCCTACCTCTCTAATCTCATTTTCACCAACCTCCCTTCTGTGCTTATTTGCAGCCACTTAAACTGCAATTACCTTAAGTTTATGCTATTTATTGCCCTATGCATTAGCAGTTATTGTTGCTTCTGCCTTACATGAATTTTCTACTCATCCTTCAAGACCTAGGTCAGGCATCATCCCCTCTAAAATGGCTTTCTGGTGTGGGTTGGATGTTTCTCTCATGTTCCACAGCATCTTCTACATGATTCCTTCCATATGAGATGCAGTATTGCATTGTGTTGCGGGCTCTGAAGCCACAGTATGTGAGTGTAAGTCGCCCTTTTTAATTTTTTTTTTTTGACAGAGTGTTGCTCTCTCACCCAGGCTGGAGTGCAGTGGCGTGATCTCGGCTCACTGCCACCTCTGTCTCCTGGGTTCAAGCGATTCTCCTGCCCCAGCCTCCCAAGTAGCTGGGATTACAGGCCTGTGCCACCATGCCCGGCTAATTTTTGTATTTTTAGTGGAGACAGGGTTTCCCCATGTTCACATGCTGCTCTCAAACTCCTGACCTCAGGTGATCAGCCTGCCTCGGCCTCCCAAAGTGTTGGGATTACAGGTGTGAGCCACCGCGCCCGGCCATAAATCAGTTTTTTAAAATGACTACCTGTGTGACCTCTGCAAGTTTTTTAGCTTTTTTCATTCCTCAGTTTCCCTGTCTGTGAAGTGATAACAGTATCTGTCTCATGTGGTTGCTTTGGGTTTTATATTGAGGTGACAAACATGGAGTCCTTAGAATTATGCCTACATGAGAGTCAGACGCTCAATGCATGTCAGCCGTTCCCAGTAATTTATTTTCTTTTCAGTTTGCTGTTTCATAAGATCCTAAACTTTCAAAGGGATGGAACTAGTCTTTGTTTTCTCAGCATCTAGTGCAAAGAAGGCATTCAATACTTTGTGAATGCATAAATGAACTATAAGCACCATATGTAAGGTGTTATTTTACTTGGTGATACTTTCCTATTCCCCAGTACTTTCTGACACATTTAGCTCATACAAGAACAAGCTAGCAGTGTGCATAGCAAGTCTTTAAACAATTATAGTAAATTATAGCATATATATTATATAAGATAGTATATTATTTATTTCCAAAGCAAGGTTTCTTAAGTTAGAGAAGAATAATCTGTAAATTTGATAGAACTTTATTGTTTGGGTGATTTGTTTTGAAAAGTCAGCATTGTTCTTTCTTGTTGGTGTGTGGCATCTTCTATGATACCATGTGCCACTAGCTTCAAATTATGACAAAATCCACATATTGTTCATGTTGTTGACATAGGGGAAAATTCTGTTTCCTATCTTCTTTGAATCTCTCACATATTTTTGCATTTTACACAATGTTTCATAATCATATCATGTGTGCAATAGACTAAAAACAAGCAAGCTCCTGCCATCTCCCTGAGAAAAGGCTGCTAAGTGGCACAAGATTTCATTTTCTAGCAACATTGTCTGGCAAATATATAAGACGTTCATCTTCCTCCATTTCTAGATTAATATGTTTTATTTAATAAAACTAACCACATTGTGTAGCAGTCCATAGTCTTCTGGATGTCTATATTAGAATTAGGTTTGACTGTGAATGATAGAAACTCAAAATAACAATGGCTTAAACAAGTTAAAAGCTTATTTATCTTATGTAAACAGAAGCAGTCCTGAGCTAGAATGGCAGTTCAATCATCAGAGACCAAGGCTCTCTCCAGCATGCTGCTCTGCCATCCTTAATACACAGGTTCAACTCCTAGTTTAAGAGAGCTGTTCCTTTCCAGCCTTCACATCATCAGTCCAGCCAGCAGGAAAAGGAAAACACTCTGCTGCTATTTAAGGACACTCCCTGTAAGTTGCATATGCATTCCCATTTATCAGAACTTGGTCACAGGGCCACATCTAGCTCAAAAAGGAAGTCTTGGGAATGCAGTCTTTGTCCTGGGTGGCCATGTGCTCAGCTGAAAATTGTGGGTTCTATTTCTGAGAAGGAATAAATGTATATTAGATAACTACAACCAGTCTGTGCTACTTTGTCTTTGCCATTTAAGTGTCTGAGCTTACTTGGGTCCAAGATTAAAAAAATAGTGGGGTAAAATGGCCTATTGATGTAAAAAATATGTATTTGATCCTTCAGAAAGGGTCAAAATTAGGGTGTTAGCTAGTATGAGACTAACATAAATTTTAGAAGCTATGTTAATTTTATGAATTGACTCCAAAATATTTTTAAAAATGTTAATATTGTTATAGAAAATGTTTCTCATAAAGGAGCAACACGAAAATAAACTGGCATATGACACCAAAGGCACAGGCAACAAAAGACAAAGTAGACAAATTGTACTTCATCAAAATCAAAAGCTTTGTGTATCAGTGGCCAGGTGCAGTGGCTCATGCCTGTAATCCCAGTACTTTGGGAGGCTGAGGTGGGAGGATCACTTGAAACCAGGAGTTTGAGACCAGCCTGGGCAACATGGCCAGGCCCTGTATCAGAAAAAAAAAAAAAAAAAAAAGAAAAAAAAGAAAGATATACCTGAGATATCTGAGAAGGGAGAAATATCAAGAATATGTGAAGAACTCCAACTCAACAACAAAAAAACCATACAATCCAATTTTAAAAATGGGCAAAGGACTTGAGTAGACATTTTCTAAAGAAACTATATAAATGGCCAAAAAGCACATGAAAAGATGCTCAACATCACTAATCACTAGAGAAATGCAAATAAAAAACACAAGGAGATACCCCTTTTCACCTATTAGAATAGGTATTATTTTAAAAAATCAGTAAATAAGGGTTGGCAAGAATGTGGAGAAACTGGAACCCTTGTGTAGTGATGCTGAGAATGTAAAATGTTATGACCTTGGTAAAAAACTGTATAGTGGTTCCTCAAAAAGTTAAAAATAAAATTACCTTATGATCCAGGAATTTCACTTTTGAGTATATACCCAAAAGAATTGAAAACAGGGCCTCAAATGGACATTTATACACTCATGTTCATAACAGTATTATTCACAATAGCCAAAAGGTGGGAGCAATCCAAGTGTCTATCAGTGGATGAATGGATAATACAAATATTGTGTCTACATATAATCAAATATTATTCAGCATTAAAAAGAAAGGGAATTCTGATGCATATTACAATATAGATAAGCCTTATAGACATTATGTTAGGTGAAATAAGTCGGTCACTAGAGGACAAGTACTGTCTGATTCTACTTATATGAGGTATCTACAATTGTCAGATTCATAGAGACAAAAAGTAGAATGGCGGTTGCCGGAGCCTCGGGGGAGGAGGAGTGGAGATATTTTGTTTAATGGGTATGGTTTCATTTTGGGAAGATGAAAGGGTTCTAGAGATGGATGATGGTGATAGTTGTACAATATGAATACATTTAATGCCACTGAACTATACTCTTAAAATTGGTTAAAATGCTAAATTTTATGTAAATTTTATATTTTACCATTTTATATAAAAATATTTTATATTTTTATACACATGCATTTATAAAATCAGTCTTAAAGGCATTTCTAGAATTTTTTTCCCAAGAATCTTGATCTTATTTTGAAATGTTATTTTTTTTAAAATGCTATAAAACATACACAAAACAGAGATAATAACATATGGAAAAATTCCTAGTTCCCTTTACTTAATGTTAACACTTCAATTTGTAATAAATATTTTCTGTGAATGATTAGACCATTGCCCCAATTGTTGAGTGCCATTTGTATTCATTCCTCTCATTCCAGTGATTTGAAAAGCCAGCTATGAACTTTTCATATCTGTGAACTGAACTGAACTAAAAAAGCCTTAGAAAACCTGAATTACTATAGATTCTGCAAAAATAGCAGCATTGTACAGACCAAGAGTTGGCTAACTTTTTCTGTAAAAAGCCAGATAGTAATTAAACATCCTAGGCTTTGTGGACCACATTAGGCCTGTTGAATAGTCTTTAAAAAATTTTTTTAAACATCCCTATAAAAATATAAAAACTCTTCTTAGCTAGTGGGGCCCTGAAGTAAAAGGCTATAATTTGCTGACCTCTGGAAGATCATGAAGCCCTTTTGTCACCAAGCCACAGTTAATAGGTAGATGTGGGCATGAGATAAAGGTAAGCCAATCTTTAGAGTGCCAGCAACCCCTCTCTGGGCCTGACTCAGATAGAATGAGTGAAGCACATTGGGTTTATTTCCTGAAACTCTGATAAGGAAGCATGTAGAAGTAAGCCACCCCAGGAGGAACAGAGTGGGTCCTAAGTGAGAGACGAGGGGGTGGTTATTCCCTAGAATAGGCTCAGTTCCAATCCCACAGTATACATATAATAAACCACTTTTTGTTGAGGGAATTTATGTGTTCCTTGTAACCAGAAGAACCTAAATTACTTTCATCTATTACAAATGTAAATTGATACAACAGAAGACAGCCTGGCAATATTTAATAAAGTTGAATATGGGCATATTAGTGATCCAGCAATTCCATGCTTAGATAGTTTTCCTAAAAAATTATTGGACATGTGTACCAGAAGACATTTATAATAACACTCACAGCATGTAGCAGAGGGTCCACAGAGTCTCTTTTAACCTGATCAAATCCCAGCTCTGCTCCTTACACAGCTGTGTGACCTCGGATAAATTGCGTAGTTCTCTGTGCCCCGTTTTCCTGACATGTGGGGTGAGAACAATTATTTTATCCTTACAAGGTTGTCATGGGGGTTAAATAAGTTAATATACATACATAATAAGTTAACATACATACATTGTGCTGGGCACAATCCAAATGCTATATTTTTAGCTATTATTACAACTCTCATGATTATAGCATCATTGTTCATAATAGTAAAAAAACTGAAAACAAGCTAAACCTCTATTACTAGAGCATGGGTAAATAAATTGCAGTATGTTTATACTATAGAATCTTATAGCATAGGAGTAAAAAGAATGAACTAGAGCCACATATATTAATAGGTACAAATCTTGGACACATAGTGTTAAAAGAAAAGTCCAGGCACAGAAGAACACATGTAGTATCCCTATGTTATAACATAAGCAAAATTAAACCTATTCTTTAGAGACACACATATAGGTAGCAACAGTACAAATTAAAAATGGGAAAGAAACAAAACTCAAGATAGTGAAGAGGCAGATGGGATTGGGAAAGAGCTTCAGAGACCTTTGTGAGGTTCTTAAGTTCATGAATTTGGTGGTAGGTTCATGAGTGTTCTAAATGTGGAACAATTAACCTTAATGAACCAAATCTTTAAGAAATTTTCTTCAAGAAAATTTACATAGACGTGAACTGCGCAGTGGAAAATCTGGAAATAAGAAGGAAAACAAATAGTTTTAATAGTTAATATGCTCTTTCAAGAATTCATTCAGGAACTAAATTGGTTGAATGAAATTTGCTCTATGAAATACTTTTTGATGGAAATTTTTCACTGCTAGTATACTTATTAGGATGTTTGTCTTAATATGTCTCAATAAATTCAAAGTCATTATGATCTGATAGTCATATTTAGCTGAATAAAATCATCCTGTGCATAGTTAACAAAAACTTATGGTACAATAGACATCGAATTTATATAATGAGCTTTACATATTCATAGGAAAAACAAGGTTTTGACAGAAGTCTGGGTGGGAATCAGGTGTCAGGTAAACCTAAATGGCCAACTAGCTAAAAGGCAAAATAGCAAGAAAGTATTCATCTCTGGAGATAAGAGAAACAGGAAAATACCAAGAAATAGATCATCAAGGCAGAAAACTAACAGATATTTGGGACCCAAACTTGACACTTGACCAAATGGACCTAACAGACATCTATAGAACACTGCACCAAACAACAGAATATACATTCTTTTCATCTGCACATGGCACATACTGTGAGATTGACCACAGACTCAGCCATAAGGCAATTCTCAACAAATTAAAAAAACCTGAAATCATGCCAACCACACACTCAGACCATGGAGCAGTAAAAATAGACATCAATACCAAGAAGATCTCTCAAAACCATACAATTACATGGAAATTAAGCAATCTGCTCCCGAATGACTTTTGGATAAAGGCAGGAATCAAGAAATTCTTTGAAACTAATGAAAATAAAAATACAACACACCAAAATCTCCAGGATATAGCTAAAGCAGTGTTGAGGAAAGTTTATAGTGCCAAATACCTATGTCAAAAAATCAGAAAAATCTCTAACAACCTAACATCCCACCTAGAGGAGCTAGAAAAATTAAGAGCAAACCAACTCCAAACCTAGCAGAAGAAAAGAAATAACCCAAATTCGAGCTGAACTGAACAAAATTCAGATGCAAAAATCCATGCAAAAGATTAATGAAACCAAAAGTGGGTTTTTTTAAGAATAAATAAGATAGTAATAAAAAGGAAGATCCAAATAAACAGCATTAGAAGTGACAAAGGTGACATTACCACTGAACCCACAGAAATACAAAAGAAAACCCCTCAGAGACTACTATGAGCACCTCTATGTACACAAATGAGAAAACCTAGAAGAAATGGTAACATCCTGGAAGTCTACAGCCTTCCAAGATTGAACCAAGAAGAAATTTAATAACTGAATAGACCAATAATGAGTTCCAAAATTAAGTCATTAATAAAAAACCTACCAACCAGAAAAATGCCCTTGGACCAGATGGATTCATAGCCAAATTCTACCAGATATATAAAGAAGACCTGGTAGGCCAGGCACAGCGGCTCATGCCTGTCATCCTAGCACTTTGGGAGGCTGAGGTGGGTGGATTATCTGAGGACAGGGGTTCAAGACTGACCTGGAAAACATGGCGAGACCCTGTCTCTACAAAAAGTACAAAATTCACTAGATGTGGTGGTGCATGCCTATAGTTCCAGCTACTTGGGGGGCTGAGGTGGGAGGATCGCTTGAGCCCAGGAGATCAAGGCTGCAGTGAGCTGTGATCACACCACTGCACTCCACCCTGGGCAACAGAGTGAGGCCCTACCACAAAAAAAAAAAAAAAAAAAGAGCTGGTATCAATTCTACTGAAAGTATTTCAAAAAATTGAGGAGGAAGGACTCTTCCTTAACTCATTCAGTGAGGCCAGCATCATTCTGATAGCAAAACTTGGCAGAAACTCAATGAAGAAGAAAACTTTAGGCCAATATCCCTGATGAACATAGATGCAAAAATCCTCAACAAAATACTAGCAAATCGAATTCAGCAGCACTTCAAAAAGCTAATCCACCTTGATCAAGTAGGCTTTATCCCTAGGAGGCAAGGTAGATTCAATATATGCAAATCAATTAATGCAATTCATCACATAAACGAACTAAAAACAAAAGCCACATAATCATCTCAATAGATGCAGAAAAGGCTTTTGATAAAATTCAACACCTGTTCATGTTAAAAACCTTCAACAAACTAGGCATCAAAGGAACATGCCTCAAAATAATTAGGGCCATATATGACAAACCCATAGCCAACATCATAGTGAATGGGCAAAAGCTGGAAGCATTTCCCTTGAGAAATGGAAGAGACAGATGTTCACTCTCACTACTCCTATTCAACATAGTACTGGAAGTCCTAGCCAAAGCAATTAGGCAAGAGAAGGGAATAAAAGGCATCTAAATAGGAGGACAGGAAGTCAAACTATCTCTCTTCATGGATGATATGATTCTATACCTAGGAAACCCCATAGCCTCTGCACAAAAGCTCCTAGAACTGATAACTTTAATAAAGTTTCAGGATACAAAATCAATGTACAAAAATCAGTAGCATTTCTATATACCAATAATGTCCAAGCTGAGAGCTGAATCAAGAATGCAATCCTATTCATAATCACCACAAAAAGAATAAAATGCATAGAAATACAGCTAACCAGGGAGGCGAAAGATCTCTACAACAAGAATTACAGTAAAATACTGCCGAAAGAAATCAGAGACGACACAAGCAAATAGAAAAATATTCCATGCTAATGGATAGGAAGAATCAATATTGTTAAAATAGCCATAACTGCCCAAAGCAATTTATACACTCAATGCTATTCCTATCAAACTACCAATGACATTCTTGATAGAAAAAAAAAACCGTTCTAAAATTCATATGGAACCAAAAATGAACCCTAATAGTCAAAGCAATCCTAAGCAAAAAGAACAAAGCTGGAGGCAATCTGACTTCAACTGTACTACAAGGCTACAGTAACTGAAACAGCATGCTACTGGTATAAAAACAGACACATAGACCAATGAAGCATGTTAAACAACCCGGAAATAAAGCCACACACCTACAATCATCTGATCTTTGACAAAGTCAATAATAAGCAATGGGGAAAGGATTCCCTTATCAATAAATGATGCTGGAATAACTGGCTAGCCATATGCAAAAGACTGAAACTGGACCCATACCTTTCACCATATACAGAAATCAACTTGAGACGGGTTAAAGACTTAAACATAGAACCCAAAACTATAAAGACCCTAGTGGGGAGAACCTAGGAAATACTATTTATTCTGGACATAGACCTCGGCAAAGATTTCATGACAAACGCTGTAAAAACAAATGCAACAAAACAAAGAAATTGATAAATGAGACCTAATTAAACTAAAGAGCTGGGACACAGCAAAAGAAACTATCAACAGGGTAAACCGATAGTCTACAGAAGGGGAGAACATTTTTGCAAACTAAACATCTGACAAAAGGTTTAATATCCAGAATCTATAAGGAGCTTAAACAAGCAAAAAAGAAACCACCTCATTAAAAAATGGGCAAAGAACATAAACAGACGCTTCTCAAAAGAAGACATACAGGTAACCAACAGGCATATGAATAAATGCTCAAGATCATTCATCATTAGAGAAATGCAAATCAAAACTACAATGAGATACTATCTCACGCCAGTCAGAATGGCTATTATTAAAAAGTCAAAAAATAATAGATGTTGGCAAGGTTGTGAAGAAAAGAGAATACTCATACACTCCTGGTGGGAATGCAAATTAGTTCAGCCACTGTGGAAAACAGTTTGGTGATTTCTCAAAGAACTTAAAACAGAATTACCACTAGACCCAGCAATCCCATTACTGGATATATGCTCAGAGGAATATGAATTATTCTATCATAAAGACACATGCATGTGCATGCTTATTGCAGCACGTTTCACAATAGCAAAGACATGTAATCAACCTAGATGTCCATCAACAGTGGACTGGATAAAGAAAATGTGGTACATATACACCATGGAATGCTATGCAGCCATAAAAGAGTGAAATCATGTTCTTTGCAGCAACATGATGCAGCTAGAGGCCATTATCCTAAGTGAATTAATGCAGAAACAGAAAACCAAATACTGCATGTTCTCATAAGTGGGTGTTAAACATTGAGTATACATGGACACAAAGGCAGGAACAATAGACACCAAGACTCGCTTGAGGGTGAAGGGTGGGAGGAGGGTGAGGATAAAAAGCTACCTACTGGGTATTATGCTCACTATGTGAGTGATGAAATCATTCGTACACCAAACCCCAGTGACATGCAACTTATCCATGTAACAAACCTGCACATGTACACCCTGATCCTAAAATAAAAGTTGGAAGAAAAAATAAATAAAAAAGAATGAATTCAATGTTGAGGTGATCATTTGGATGATAAGTTTGATCAATGAAGCTGGCACATGCAGTTTAGGAGTGGACATATCTGTGGACCACTTCACTTCCAAAAGCCGCTGCATAGTTAGCTGTTTTCTGAGGCAACAGCAAATACACTGCCTTCAGGATATCTTCAGGGGGAGAGTACAGCGATTTCTAGAATACATCAGCCTGTAAGCTTTTATGGCAATGTGTTGAAATAAGAAGTTAATCAGAGCGTTCATGAGGTCTAAAGTGCGAGATGATATGCCTCTACAGGGCACCACTTCCTTTAGGACCTTGTTTACAAAGAATGAGTAATTTCCATGGCCAAAATCAATGCTGGAATATGCTTTCTTTGCTTTCTTTCTGGAGGTTGGGGTTTGATGTCTTTTGGAGTACTTATACTTTTTGGTGCTGGACCTAGCCATTGTGGATGTTGTTCCTCTGATCAGTTATGAATGGAGAGGAGAAGGGCCCAAGAATAGGTGGGAGTGCTCATCTTTATTATTATTATTATTATTATTATACTCTAAGTTCTAGGGTACATGTGCACAACGTGCAGGTTTGTTACATATGTATACATGTGCCATGTTGGTGTGCTGCACCCATTAATTCATCATTTTCATTAGGTATATCTCCTAATGCTATCCCTCCCCCGTCCCCCCACCCCACGACAGGCCCCGGTGTGTGATGTTCCCCACCCTGTGTCCAACTGTTCTCATTGTTCAATTCCGAACTGTGAGTGAGAACATGTGGTGTTTGGTTTTCTATCCTTGCGATAGTTTGCTCAGAATGATGGTTTCCAGCTTCATCCATGTCCCTACAAAGGACATGAACTCATCATTTTTTATGGCTACATAGTATTCCATGGTGTATATGTGCCACAATTTCTTAATCCAGTCTATCATTGATGGACATTTGGGTTGGTTCCAAGTCTTTGCTATTGTGAATAGTGCCACAATAAACATACATGTGCATGTGTCTTTATAGCAGCATGATTTATAATCCTATGGGTATATGCCCAGTAATGGGATGGCTGGGTCAAAAGGTATTTCTAGTTCTAGATTCTTGAGGAATCGCCACACTGTCTTCCACAGTGGTTGAACTAGTTTACAGTCCCACCAGCAGTGTAAAAGCGTTCCTATTTCTCCACATCCTCTCCAGCACCTGTTGTTTCCTGACTTTTTAATGATCACCATTCTAACTGGTGTGAGATGGTATCTCATTGTGGTTTTGATTTGCATTTCTCTGATGGCCAGTGATGATGAATATTTTTTCATGTGTCTGTTGGCTGCATAAATGTCTTCTTTTGAGAAGTATCTGTTCATATCCTTTGCCCACTTTTTGATGGGGTTGTTTGATTTTTTTCTTGTAAATTTGTTTAAGTTCTTTGTAGATTCTGGATATTAGCCCTTTGTCAGATTCGTAGATTGCAAAACTTTTCTCCCATTCTGTGGGTTGCCTGTTCACTCTGATGGTAGTTTCTGTTGCTGTGCAGAAGCTCTTTATTTTAATGAGATCCCATTTGTCAATTTTGTCTTTTGTTGCCATGGCTTTCGGTGTTTTAGTCATGAAGTCCTTTCCCATGCCTATGTCCTGAATGGTATTGCCTAGGTTTTCTTCTAGGGTTTTTATGGCTTTTGGTCTAACATTTAAGTCTTTAATCCATCGTGAATTAATTTTTGTATAAGGTGTAAGGTAGGGATCCAGTTTCAGCTTTCTACATATGGCTAGCCAGTTTTCCCAGCACCATTTATTACATAGGGACTCTTTTCCCCATTTCTTGTTTTTGTCAGGTTTGTCAAAGATCAGATGGTTGTAGATCTGTGGTATTATTTCTGAGGACTCTATTCTGTTCCATTGGTCTATATCTGTTTTGGTACCAGTACCATGCTGTTTTAGTTACTGTATCCTTGTAGCATCGTTTGAAGTCAGATAGCGTGATGCCTCCAGCTTTGTTCTTTTGGCTTAGGATTGTCTTGGCAATGTGGGCTCTTTTCTGGTTCCATATGAACTTTAAATTAGTTTTTTTTCCAATTCTGTGAAGAAAGTCATTGGTAGTTTGATGGGAATGGCATTGAATTTATAAATTACCTTGGGCAGTATGGCCATTTTCACGATATTGATTCTTCCTATCCATGAGCGTGGAATGTTCTTCCATTTGTTTGTGTCTTCTATTTCGTTGAGCAGTGGTTTGTAGTTCTCCTTGAAGAGGTCCTTCCCATCCCTTGTAAGTTGGATTCCTAGGTATTTTATTCTCTTTGAAGCAATAGTGAATGGGAGTTCACTCATGATTTGGCTCTCTGTTTGTCTGTTATTGGTGTATAAGAATGCTTGTGATTTTTGCACATTGATTTTGTATCCTGAGACTTTGCTGAAGTTGCTTATCAGCTTAAGGAGATTTTGGGCTGAGACGATGGGGTTTTCTAAATATACAATGATGTCATCTGCAAACAGGGACAATTTGACTTCCTCTTTTCCTAATTGAATACCCTTTATTTCTTTCTCCTGCCCGATTGCCCTGGCCGGAACTTCCAACACTATGTTGAATAGGAATGGTGAGAGAGGGCATCCCTGTCTTGTGCCAGTTTTCAAAGGGAATGCTTCCAGTTTTTGCCCATTCAGTATGATATTGGCTGTGGGTTTGTCATAAATAGCTCTTATTATTTTGAGGTACGTCCCATCAATACCTAATTTATTGAGAGTTTTTAGCATGAAGGGCTGTTGAATTTTGTCAAAGGCTTTTTCTGCATCTATTGAGATAATCATGTGGTTTTTGTCTTTGGTTCTGTTTATATGCTGGATTACATTTATTGATTTGCATATGTTGAACCAGCCTTGCACCCCAGGGATGAAGCCAACCCGATCGTGGTGGATAAGATTTTTGATGTGTTGCTGGATTCAGTTTGCCAGTATCTTATTGAGGATTTTTGCATCGATGTTCATCAGGGATATTGGTCTAAAATTCTTTTTTGTTGTGTCTCTGCCAGGCTTTGGTAACAGGATGATGTTGGCCTCATAAAATGAGTTAGGGAGGATTCCCTCTTTTTCTATTGATTGGAATAGTTTCAGAATGAATGGTACCAGCTCCTCTTTGTACCTCTGGTAGAATTTGGCTGTGAATCTGTCTGGTCCTGGACTTTTTTTGATTGGTAGGCCATTAATTATTGCCTCAATTTCAGAGCCTGTTATTGGTCTATTCAGGCATTCAACTTCTTCCTTGTTTAGTCTTGGGAGGATGTATGTGTCAAGGAATTTATCCATTTCTTCTAGATTTTCTAGTTTATTTGCATAGAGGTGTTTATAATATTCTCTGATGGTAGTTTGTATTTCTGTGGGATGGGTGGTGATATCCCCTTTATCATTTTTTATTGCACCTATTTGATTCTCCTATCTTTTCTTCTTTATTAGTCTTGCTAGCAGTCTATCAATTTTGTTGATCTTTAAAAAAAACCAGCTCCTGGATTCATGGATTTTTTGAAGGGTTTTTTATGTCTCTATCTCCTTCAGTTCTGCTCTGATCTTAGTTATTTCTTGCCTTCTGCTAGCTTTTGAATGTGTTTGCTCTTACTTCTCTAGTTCTTTTAATTGTGATGTTAGGGTGTCAATTTTAGATCTTTCCTGCTTTCTCTTGTGGGCATTTAGTGCTATAAATTTCCCTCTACACACTGCTTTGAATGTGTCCCAGAGATTCTGGTATGTTGTGTCTTTGTTCTCATTGGTTTCAAAGAACATCTTTATTTCTGCCTTCATTTCTTTATGTACCCAGTAGTCATTCAGGAGCAGGTTGTTCAGTTTCCATGTAGTTGGGCGGTTTTGAGTGAGTTTCTTAATCGTGAGTTCTAGTTTGATTGCACTGTGGTCTGAGAGACAGTTTGTTGTAATTTCTGTTCTTTTACATTTGCTGAGGAGTGCTTTACTTCCAACTATGTGGTCAATTTTGGAATAAGTGTGATGTGGTGCTGAGAAAAATGTACATTCTGTTGATTTGGGGTGGAGAGTTCTGTAGATGTCTATTAGGTCCACTTGGTGCAGAGCTGAATTCAATTCCTGGAAATCCTTGTTAACTTTCTGTCTCGTTTCTCTGTCTAATGTTGACAATGGGGTGTTAAAGTCTCCCATTATTATTGTTTGGGAGTCTAAGTCTGTTTGTAGGTGTCCAAGGACTTGCTTTATGAACCTGAGTGCTCCTGTATTGGGTACATATATATTTAGGACAGTTAGCTCTTCTTGTTGAATTGATCCCTTTACGATTAGTAATGGCCTTGTCTCTTTTCATCTTTGTTGGTTTAAAGTCTGTTTTATCAGAGACAAGATTGCAACCCCTGCTTTTTTTGTTTTCCATTTGCTTGGTAGATCTTCCTCCATTCCTTTATTTTGAGTCTATGTGTGTCTCTGCATGTGAGATGGGTCTCCTGAATACAGCACACTGATGGGTCTTGACTCTTTATCCAATTTGCCAGTCTGTGTCTTTTAATTGGAGCATTTAGCCCATTTACATTTAAGGTTAATATTGTTATGTGTGAATTTGATCCTGTCATTATGATGTTAGCTGGTTATTTTGCTCGATAGTTGATGCAGTTTCTTCCTAGCCTTGATGGTCTTTACAATTTGGCATGTTTTGCAGTGGCTGGTACTGGTTGTTCCTTTCCATGTTTAGTGCTTCCTTCAGGAGCTCTTGTAAGGCAGGCCTGGTGGTGACAAAACCTCTCAGCATTTGTTTGTCTGTAAAGGATTTTATTTCTCCTTCATTTAGGAAGCTTAGTTTGGCTGGATATGAAATTCTGGGTTGAAAATTCTTTTCTTTAACAATGTTGAATATTGGCTCCCACTCTCTTCTGACTTGTAGAGTTTCTGCTGAGAGATCTGCTGTTAGTCTGTTGGGCTTCCCTTTGTGGGTAGCCCAACCTTTCTCTCTGGCTGCCCTTAACATTTTTTTCCTTCATTTCAACTTTGGTGAATCTGACAATTATGTGTCTTGGAGTTGCTCTTCTCAAGGAGTATCTTTGTGGCATTCTCTGTATTTCCTGAATTTGAATGTTGGCCTGACTTGCTAGGTTGGGGAAGTTCTCCTGGATAATATCCTGCAGAGTGTTTTCCAACTTGGTTCCATTCTCCCCATCACTTTCAGGTACACCAATCAGATGTAGATTTGGTCTTTTCACATAGTCCCATAATTCTTGGAGGCTTTGTCCATTTCTTTTTATTCTTTTTTCTCTAAACTTCCATTCTCACTTCATTTCATTCATTTGATTTTCAATCACTGATATCCTTTCTTCCAGTTGATTGAACCGGCTACTGAAGATTGTGCATGCATCACATAGTTCTCGTGCCATGGTTTTCAGCTCCATCAGGTCATTTAAGGACTTCTCTACACTGTTGATTGTAGTTAGCCATTCTTCTCATCTTTTTTCAAGGTTTTTAGCTTCTTTGTGATGGGTTAGAACATGCTCCTTTAGCTTGGAGAAGTTTGTTATTACCGATCGTCTGAAGCCTTCTCTCAGCTTGTCAAAGTCATTCTCTGTCCAGCTTTGTTCCATTGCTGGTGAGGAGCTGCATTCCTTTGGAGGAGAAGAGGTGCTCTGATTTTTAGAATTTTCAGCTTTTCTGCTCTGATTTCTCCCCATCTTTGTGGTTTTATCTATCTTTGGTCTTTGATGATGGTGATGGACAGATGGGGTTTTGGTGCGGATGTCCTTTCTGTTTGTTAGTTTTCCTTCTAACAGTCAGGACCCTCAGCTGCAGGTCTGTTAGAGTTTGCTGGAGGTCCACTCCAGACCCTGTTTGCCTGGGTATCACCAGCGGAGGCTGCAGAACAGCAAATATTGCAGAACGGCAGATGTTGCTGCCTGATCCTTCCTCTGGAAGCTTCGTCTCAGAGGGGCAACCAGCTGTATGAGGTGTCAGTCAGCCCCTACTGGGAGGTGTCTCCCAGTTAGGCTACTCGGGGGTCAGGGACCCACTTGAGGAGGCAGTCTGTCCATTCTCAGATCTCAAACTCTGTGCTGGGAGAACCACTATTCTCTTCAAAGGTGTCAGACAGGGATGTTTAAGTCTGCAGAAGTTTCTGCTGCCTTTTGTTCGACTATGCCCTGCCCCCAGAGGGGGAGTCTACATAGGCAGGCAGGCCTCCTTGAGCTGTTGTGGGCTCCACCCAGTTCGAGCTTCCAGGCCACTTTGTTTACCTACTCAAGCCTCAGCAATGGCGGATGCTCCTCCCCCAGCCTTGCTGCCACCTTGCAGTTTGATCTCAGATTGCTGTGCTAGCAGTGAGCGAGGCTCCGTGGGTGTAGGATCCTCTGAGCCAGGCACAGGATATAATCTCCTCGTGTGCCATTTGCTAAGGCTGTTGGAAAAGCGCAGTATTAGGGTGGGAGTGTTCTGATTTTCCAGGTACCATCAGTCACGGCTTCCCTTTGCTAGGAAAGGGAATTCCGGGACCCCTTGTGCTTCCTGGGTGAGGCGATGCCCCACTCTGCTCTGTGTGCTGCACCCACTATCTGACAAGCCCCAGTGAGATGAACCGAGTACCTCAGTTGGAAATGCAGAAAACACACGTCTTCTGCATCGCTCATGCTGGGAGCTGCAGACTGGAGCTGTTCCTATTCAGCCATCTTGGAACCTCCCTGCTGGGAGTGCTCATCTTTATAGAGACATGTCACAGTCAGACTTCAGAGGCTTCTCTCTGATTGGAGGTTGCTTTACCTATGTCAGAATCACCCAGCAATAGCACTGATTTGTTGTTAAGGGCAAATCTTGTTCTTGACCAACTTAAAGCTTTCCTAAGAAGGAGGATTGAGGCTGATTTCAGGGCAGAAAAGAGGAGTACTCATTCTTTCAACTTGTTTCTTAGCAATTTGCAAGCATAATATACAGTATCGTCAGATTTGCAAAATCCCATCAAACTGGGAGGGTTAGTGAAAGGGAAGGAAAGTTGCCATAGGCCTTTTCTCAGGGCCACTTTGTTCATAAAAGCATTCATAATTTCATTTTATGAGCAAATGAATAATTAAATAAGCCACTAAAGTCTCAAAATGATTATTTTATTTAAAAAAGTATGGCTAATCTGGTTTTAAGAATTGTGACCATTACTTTAAAAATGCTTAAGTTTTTGTCTAGACTCATGCTCTGCAGGAATGAGTATGTACAACCGAAGAATAAAACAAAAACTCCCCTATTTTATTGTTAAAATTGTGACATGTGGACTGTATTTTTTAACCTTTTATAATGACATTAATATTATTCTTGCAAATTTCACAGATTTCATTGCATGGTCTGCATTTACTTGATATTGATTTTTTGTTTTTTGTTTTTTGTTTTTTTTTTTTGCAGAGACAAGTGAACATTTATTTTTATGCCTTTCTTCCTATGTGTATTTCAAGTATTTTTCAAAACAGGGCCCCAGGACTCTCCAGATTCAGTTATGTCCTTGGGCTTGGTCTACTGCTGCAGGAGTCTTAGGGAGCCTTGTACAAATGCTAGAGTGACTCATTTACCAACATTAAACCCTAGGATAGATGCAACAAAGCGGGACTCCTTCTTCCATGGAATGTGCTGATTTCAGACAATGCAGCACCCAATGTAGAAAACGCCGGAATTTTTCCTTGGAACTGGACTGTGATGAGAGGTGCTTGCCATGAACATAAGCTACTGTCTTTTCCTTTCTTTTTTTGAGATGGAGTTTTGCTCCTTGCCCAGGCTGGACTGCAATGGCGTGATCTCGGCTCACTGCAACTTCCGCCTTCCAGGTTTGAGTGATTCTCCTGCCCCAGCCTCCCGAGTAGCTGGGATTACAGGCATGCACCACCATGCCCGGTCAATTTTTGTATTTTTAATAGAGACGGCATTTCTCCATGTTGGTCAGGCTGGTCTCGAACTCCCAACCTCAGGTGATCCACCCACCTCAGCTTCCCAAAGTGTTGGGATTACAAGCATGAGCCACCACGCCCGGCCAGCTAATGTCTTTTCTTTGACACTTCCTTTCCAGTTTTTGAAGATAAAGCAGGAAATAATCTTCTCTGAAGATACTTGATAAAAATTCCTAAAACAGCAAAACACATGCTTCCACTTCATTGATAAAAATTTACCACAGTTTGGCACGTGGGTCTAGTTCAGCTGGCGGATGAGCTGATTGATGCGTTCACCCCAATAGCCAGGTGTGCCCATCTCCTTGAGGAAGCCCACTCTATTTTTGGTAGCATGACAGGCCACTGAGAGGTGGAAAGGGCGCAAGAACCACGAGATCTCCTGTAAATGCTTCCCTGGGAAGGCAATTTCATGAATGAGGTCTTCCAAGCAAATGATGCCAAACTTCCCCAGGTGCTCCTCAATCACTGTGTTGTCTGTCAGAGGGATGGTCTTATTCTTGACCTTGGCTTGTCCACGTTTCAAAATGAGTTCTCGGACAGACTTCAGATTTGGAAATCCCCAGGTCACATAAGGTTCCACTATACACAGCATTTTTAGATTCTGGGGGGTGACTTTTACAAAGACACCACTAAAAATTTTCTTCAGGCGAAGTCTTGCAATGATTCTTTGCACCAGTAAACTCACGCCATCAATCCTTTAGATGCGTACAACAAAGGCCAAGGAATATTTATCTGGCAATTCCAAGGCTTGAGGTTTCACTTCTAGTCTTCTGAAACGTCACGTTTCTGCCGCCAGGAATCATGTAGGAATGATTCCAGTCGCTTAAACCTGAGCCCTTTTCCTTTCTTCTGCTCCTTCTTTGCCAAAAGTGCCTGCTTTGACTGGGTGGCGTTGAGGGCTTGATAAGCCTTCCTCTTTTTCAGGAGATTTTCTGGAACCAAAGGGATTTTTCTTTGCTCTTGCTCCGCCATCTTTCTAGTGGTGCAGCTACTGATCATCTACTTGATATTATAGTTCTGTTATTAACCAAAAGATGTTTGTAAGGTCACTCGAAGATGTGCTTTTAAAACATATTTCACTTGCTTTCTTAATCAAATTTATCCTTAAGTAAAAGAAAAAGACATACAAGTAACTATAAAAATAATAGGCTTGGTGCCATGGTTCACACCTGTAATCCCAGCACCTTGAGAGGCTAAGTGGGGTGGATTGCTTGAGCCCAGGATTTCAAGGCCAGCCTGGGCACCATAGCAAAACCACATCTCTACAAAATATATGAAAATTAGTGGAGAGTGGTGGTGTACACCTGTAGTCCCAGCTACTTGAGAGGCTGAGAAGGGAGCATCACCCGAGCCCGGGAAGTCAAGGCTGTGGTGAGCTGTGATTGTGCCACTGCACTCCAGCCTGGGCAATACAGTGAGACCCTGTCTCAGAAATAAAAACAAAAAACAGTGTATGAACATTTCAATTATTCACAATTGCCACAACTCTTAATGCTGTCACTAAATGTCCTTCACTAGGAGCTTCTTCACAGACAAGGTAGACTGGCTTATGTGTAATTTCTGGAATGTTATCTGTAGTTTCTCCCCTTTCTCTCCCACTCAAGAAAGTAAATCTGAAATGAGGTAAGAATAATGTTACTATAGGGATACTTTGAAAAAGCTCTGAATTCTAAAGACAACAGACATCGTTTGAAAATAGCCATACCATATCGTAAGTAACACACCTCAGACTGTTCATTACACTAAGAGGGAGGCTGCTGCTTCCAGGGGTGCTTGGGAGTGATGGATCTTTAGTCAGCTCTTGCTAATTTTGCTTTCAAATTTCTCTATATATAATTACTTAGTTAGCTTAATTATAGCATAGTTTTATTTGCTGCCATTTAGAAGTAACTATCAGGTGGAGAACATTGATTCCCTCTTCTTCAATATATCAATGTTAAAGAGCTTCCACAAGCCTAACGATCCTGGCCTCTCTTCCTGCATCACTTACTCTTCCCTGGAACAAATGACTTACTGATGGGGAGGTGAAGACCGGACAGCCACGCGGGTCTCAGCCCCTTCAGGATTCTCCCTGGGATATGACTGTGGGGAGCTCTGTCACTGGGAAAGGGTCACTATTTGCCAGCTGCTCGTGACTGAGTAGGTCCTTCTGCTTAATGATTTGGTGCTATATTAGAAGCTTATTGTTGCTCCACACCTAAAGACTGTTCTCCAAATAGCTTACCAGTAATAAAGCTGATGTTTTCTTCTCCACCTTTCTGGCTCCTTTGACTCTCTCAATTGGTTCTGTGCTTCAGTGAGGAGAAGGAAGGATGCAAAGTATTACAGTAGCTAAAAGAAAAGCATTTTTAAAGCCCAAACAATAAGCTGTCCGCTAAGATACTGAATGACCAGAAAGTCCAGAAAATGAGGAATACTGGTTCTGTAAAAGTTATGGCTAACTTAGGGTTAACTCAAATTTCCTTCTAAAATTCAATGAATTATTCTAAAATATGTATGAGTTCACCACTGATAGGCTGTTTTTTTTTTTTCCTTCTCACTTCCTCCTCCTCCAGACAGACTGGGACAAAGGATAAACACCTTTTTGCATAATGGCCTGCAGGAGATGCCCACAATATGATTAATCCAGGCAGTGCAGCAAGTCTGTTTACTTTGCATCTCTCACACCCTGAGAATGGACAGTGTAAGAACCTCTGTCTCTTCTCCCCTTCCTCTCTGCCTCCATCCCAAGATCCCAGCTTTAGAATGAAGCCTGGTGTCCTTCAGCAGGAGACACAATAGATTGAAAGGACTGATGACTAGTATACCAGAGGTCCTCGGTCTCCAACCTATTCAAAAGGCAGGCTGGAGTCCAAAGTCAAGAACTGTTTCATGCATTTTTCCAGGCTCTTGTTTTGTGCTCCATCATATTATGTCTATATAGGACATGGACTATATTGTATCCTCCTTTCCATGATTGAGTAGGTAAAGGATTGGAGTTATAGCGGCTTTTTCTTTCATTGATGACTCAGGATCTTGTAATGATTCAAGGTCATCAACAAGACTACCCGTGATTATCTCACAATAATATAACTGTGGCAGAGGTGACATTAACTCAAAGCAGAAGCATGCACTGACAGGTATGAGTGTACTCTAGGAACATTTTTATACCCACAGTATTAGTTTTCTATTGCTTTAACAAATCACCACAAATCTAGCAGCTTGAAACAACACAGATCTACTGTCTTACAATTCTGGCCTCTCACTGGGCTAAAATCAAGATGTGGTCAGGGTTGCTTTCCTTTCTGGAGGCTCCAGCGGAGATTCTGCTTTCTTGCCTTTTCCAGCTTCTAGAGGCCACTTGCGTTCTTGAGCTTTTCCTCCGTCTTCCAAGCCAGCAGTGGCAGGTGGAGTCTTTCACACATTGCATCATCCTGACCCTGACTCTCCTGCCTCCCTCTTTTACTTAGAAGGACCCTTGTGATCACATTGGGCCCACCCTGATAATCTCCAGGATAATCTCCCTATCTTAAGGTCTTTAGTTTAATCACATCTGCAAAGTCCCTTTTGCCATGCAATGGAACATATTCATAGGTTCCAGGGTTTGAGACATGGATGTTTTTGGCAGTGGGGGTGGGGGTGGGGATTTATTTTGCCCACCACAGCCACCATCAACAGAATGGGATTGTCATAGAAGATCTGGGTCACTGATGGTAAAGTAGTGAGAGATGAAAAATACTGTCCTTAGTAGGTGACCAGAAATATATTCTAAAAAATACTTTCTATATATATGGGTTTTCTTGTCACTTGCTTATTTTTCTTCTAAAAAATAGAGAGAGTTGCCTTGGATTTTTACTTTCTGTGCTGTGTCTCTACATTATAGTTCCAAAAATATGCTTAGTAAAACATTTTACCCTTGGAAGGCAGGATGATGACAGTAGAGGTGAGGTATTTCTTCTTCTTCTTTTTTTTTTTATTTGAGACGGAGTCTTGCTCTGCCACCCAGGCTGGAGTGCAGTGGTGCAATCTCGGCTCACTGCAACCTCTGCCTCCATGGTTCAAGCAATTCTCCTGCTTCAGCCTCCCGAGTAGCTGGGATTACAGGCAACTGCCACCACGCCCGGCTAATTTTTGTGTTTTTAGTAGAATTGGGGTTTCACTATGTTGGCCAGGCTGGTCTTGAACTCCTGACCTCAAGTGATCCACCTGCCTTGGCTGCCCAAACTACTGGGATTACAGCAAGATATTTATTCTTTTCTTTCTTACTTCTCTTCTTCTCACATTCCCTTCTCCATCTCTTCTCTCCTGCTTGCTCTTTTTCACAAGTATTTATCTGATGCCAACCATGTGCCAGGCACTGCATGAGTTACACTGTGCAGATACAGAGATGAAGAAGATATAATTCCCACTCTTAAAGAACTCACAGTTTATTGAGGTAGGCAGACATGGAAATAGCTGATTATTATAAACAGAGAGATAAAGGCTATGCCAGGCATCCATAGGGCGTAAGCAAGGAGAGAGCGAGAGACAGTGGTTTGTAGATCACTTGGCCTCTCAGGGCAGTCTTCTAAGAGGGGGAGTTACTGTTTTAGTTGCATTTTGAAGGACACAGATGTTATTCAGGCAGATAAGGTTGGTGGTGGTGGGGAGAAGGTGTGTGGGGCACGCAAATAAAGTACTTTCAGGAAATGTTTTCCTTTGTGCATGCGGATGGGAGACCCACGGTCTGGAAGAGGCAATGTGGGGCCTGAGATTGACGGTCCCATCTTGTCTGGCAGTACTCTGGTATGGGAGGATGTGGAATCTCCAGAGAGAGGCGCAGGAAGCATGTTTGCCAGGAGATAATCTAGGTACCAGTTAAGGCAATAGTTCTTTAGACTGGGTACACCCTGGAAACACCTAGGGATGTTAAACAAACAAAACCAAAACAACAGAACATCCACGCCAGGGCTAGACCCAGGCTAACTAAATCAGATTCTGCAGGGGCCAGGAGAACCAATGAGCTAAGACAGAGCAAAATATTTGAAAGTGTTGGGGAGCTTTTTAATTTTTTTCTCAAACACAGAGGAAAGGGTTAAGAGGGAGGGAAAAGAAGAAGGATAGGAGGTGAGCAGATGGGAGGGCAGATGAGTGGAAAAATGGCCTCAGAGGGCGACACATGTTCTCTGATCATGAGACTCCTAGCACTGAGACATGAAGAGAAGTAGACTTTGATGTAAACTTGTTTCTGTGCATTATAGATTGAAACAATCTGAAAAGTTCCTTCAGTGTTTGACAAGAAAGAGATCTAGAAGAACTGAGAAAGGCTGAGGAGGGAGGAGCCAGGCTGGTGTCCTCTTTGCTGGGGAGACCAGTTTAGCTTTTGCCTGTCTTATATTTCTATGTTTGGAAATAAAACAACAAACAATGTTCCATGCTCCCCTTTCCTGACTTGTTGACAATTTTCTGGCCTAGGTAATTTCTCTTTGACTTCCCTGTCTTTCACTGCATTCCTAAGGCTAATGTTCCTGACCTCACCAGTGCAGAGATCTCCCACACCCAAGTCACTTGTGTCCTGCTAATCTGAAAGCTGGGTCATTGTTCTCAGGTGACGAGAGAGAGAGAGAGAGAGAGAGAGAGAGAGAGAGAGAGAGAGAGGGATTAGAGTAGCTTTGTGCAGAGTAAGAATGTCATAATAAAGGAATTAGCCTTGAGATTAAGTTGAAGGTTGTCAAATCCTGGATGAGTTTCCTGAGAAGTCCGAAGATCTTTAGTAGAAAACGGAAAATGTACTAGGACAACAGAGAGAAGAAAATTCTAATTTTGTTTTGGGTTCTCATTCACTTATTGTAGTAAAACATAATGAACTAAAAAGCAATTAAAGCCCTCTGAATCAATACTTTTATCACTGTAAGTGGATTTTTCTCTTACTATGCTAAGAGTGTCCTTGTTCAGCACACGGAATTGGCATTGAAGTTGCCCAAGATCACATGCCTGCCAAGTTATGGAGCCAGAAGGTAAACGAGGCCTGTCAGACATCTAAGCTGGGGCTCTTAATCACTATACTACACTCCCTCCCATTCACTGCCCGGAAAGGGAGGATGTTCTAAGCAGGAAGAAAAGAATAAATAAAAACAGTGAGGCATGAAATCACAAGCTACATTCAAGAACTAAGGGGAAATTATTTTGCTAAGAGTAGAGAGATTACGTGTGAGAGAGAGATGGTTCAAAAGGTATGGTCGGGCTGGGCGCGGTGGCTCATGCCTGTAATCCCAGCACTTTGGGAGGCCGAGGCGGATGGATCACGAGGTCAGGAGATAGAGACCATCCTGGCTAACAGGGTGAAACTCCGTCTCTACTAAAAATACAAACAAACAAACAAACAAAAACCACACAATTAGTTGGGCGTGGTGGCGCGCGCCTGTAGTCCCCAGCTACTAAGGAGTCTGAGGCGGGAGAATGGCGTGAACCCGGGAGGCGGAGCTTGCAGTGAGTCGAGATTGCGCTACTGCACCCCAGCCTGGGCGACAGAGCGAGACTCATTCCCAGAAAAAAAAAAAAAAGGTATGGTGGGCTCAGTTTATAATGTCTCAATTGTAGTCTAAGGTATTACAATTCTTCTATAGGTATTTGAGAATCACCAAGAATTGGAAGCATGAATGTAATTGGCTTAAAGTGATGTTTTGAGATGATCGATTTGGAGCCAGGTGCAGGAGGGAATAGAAGAAATGAGGTTAGAGAGTCCAGCAATGCTATTGCTCAGTGGCTTGGGAGGGGCAAAATAGAGGCCTGGACTGGAGGTAATGGGAATGAAAAGGAGGAATCATCTCTGAAAGAATTGGTGAGGTGTGATGATTGATTTACTACTTAGACCAAAAAGAAAGAAGCCTCTAATAAAATGCTAACATGTACTGAGCACCGATGATGTGTCAGGCACTGTTCTACATACTTTCCAGGTATCAGTCGGTTCTCACAACAACCCTATTATACAGGTACTATCATTAGCATCTCCTGTTCCCAGGTGAGGAAACTAAGCGGGCCTCAGATCACATAGCTAGTAGCAGAGCCAGGATTCAGAGCCAAGCACCTTGGTTGCAGGCCCCATGCTCCTTACTCTCAGACACCCTGCACGTAACCATTGTGTCTCGTTCATCTCCACAGGCGTCCAGGCAAGCAGGGAGTACTTCCGCCTCACAGCTGTAAATTAGCTGTTGCCAACAAATAAGTGTCAGAATCATGACTTGAACCCAGATCTTCTAACTCTGTCTCCAGTGCCCTGGCCAAAACTTCATGCTCGAGACTACAAGGGAAAAAGAAAAAAGAAAGATTCATGAACCAAAATAGTGCACTGGGGGCAATGGAGAAGATATGATTTCAGGATTTAGGATGAAAAATCTGATTTTAAGCAACTTCAGGAGTATGCTTTTCTCATTTTATGTTCAGTAGAATTCCTGAGGCTGTGGTCTGTATAAAGGGGGAATCATTTCTTTTCTCAGCAAAAGAGAAGATTCTGAGAGCCGTCATGTAGGTTTACATTCTAGATGAGTCGGAAGGAAAGCGACACCTTTATCTAGGGGGAAAGGATGATTGATTCTAAATTGGGAAGAAAGGATTTAAGGAAGGGAGCCTACACTAAGAGAATATCCTAATACGGTTTTAAAAGCGTGTATCTTCTTCAGTTGTCCTGCAATGCCCTTTTAAGCTGGCTTACACATAAAGAAACCAGAAAGATGAATATATTACACATCATAAAATTAGAGGCTAATAAGCATAATAAGAAAATTATGTCCATTGCAAAATAGCCAACTAGAAACCAGGGGCTGCCAAGTGTTTTCTTTAAGTGCACAGGAATATTTTCCAGTCTAAGTGATATAATAAAGTCCTGCCTTGGTTATACTCAAATAACAAAATCCAGTATTGAATTTGGTGATATCTAAAGACCTAGATCCACTGTCCCTCCAGGGCCGGATGAAAGAAAAGAATTCTCTAAGGAGCTCAGTCTGAAGACATTCATACCAAGGCTAGTTCCCAATGTTCTTGTTGCTGAGTTTTATTTTAAATAAGTTTTATTTCAATGTAGTACAGTCTTTCTCTTGGTTTCCCAGTCTCTCTAGTCTCTCTGGGCAAGGCTGTGCTGCTAGAGACCTCTTAGAGGAATGCTAGACTGAGTGAGGCAATTCATTTCAGAGTGTGCTGGAGGCTGCCATCTGGGGACATAATCTCTCTGGTCTATTGTTTCCCGAAATCATCATTTATGATTAACATCTGCAGAGTACTTTCTGCCTTCCAAAATGTCAAGAGTTGATCAACTGAAAGAATAATACTATATCCTGGAGTAGGCCTTGTCAGTTTCCCTGATGAGGCCCCATCTCCTCTCTCTTGTATAAAAATGTATTATTTTTTCACAAGAAAGGGTTTAGGGGACATCTGCTTACATGGATCTGTCTAGGATCCACAGAATATTGTAACCAAGAGTCTTGGGCCAATAGAACACCTTAGACGTGCTTATTTTTTTCCAGCTATACAGATAAGGCAAGTTATGATATAATTGAGGACTCTAAAATAACACTGTGGTTCTTCTCTGAATGGTGCTTCCAACAGAGCTGGTTCAAGAAATCTCTTGGCTTCTGGGCATTTTATCTTCACTATTGAGAATCTCATCACCTTGAAGAAGTCAAGGCCATACAAAACAAAGAATTTTTAAAACACAGTTTCCTTCCATTTCCTTACTAATCCTTTGATATGAGCAGGCTAGCCCTACTGCTTTACAGGTGAAATTCAGAGAAATTAAGCTACTTACTTCAAAGATGCATACCCCAGAAATATGTTAAACTGAGCCTAGAACTAGGTTTTTTTGTTTTTGTTTTTGTTTTTTTGAGACGGGGTTTCGCTCTTGTTGCCCAGGCTGGAGTGCAATGGTGTGATCTCAGCTCACCGCAACCTCTGCTTCCTGGGTTCAAGTGATTCTCCTGCCTCAGCCTCCTGAGTAGATGGGATTACAGGCATGGGCCACCACTCTCGGCTCACGCTTGTAATCCTAGCACTTTGGGAAGCCAAGGTGGGGCGGGGGATCACCTGAGGTCAGGAGTTCGAGACCAACCTGATCGACATGGAGAAACCCCGTCTCTACAAAAAATACAAAATTAGCAGATCTAGGTTTCTTTACACTGCATTGTACTGCTGGAATCAAAGCACATACCTAACTCTGCAGCCTTAGTGCAGTTGGTGGTTTTCAGGGGACTTAGTAGTATTTGTTAGAGAGTCTCTTTGGGGTTCTGCAGGTCCTTCATTCGTGTAAGAATCTTTGATGTGCACCCCAGTACTTAGGGAAATACTGACTTACATGTCTCAGAGACTCATGAACTATTTCTTTTCCAAAATGCTCTTCTTCTCCTACCTGTCACTTCATGATTTGTTCTACCATCTTGCCATCCAAATCAACTGCAATTTCAACAAAAAGAGAAAAAACTATTATAAAAAGGACTGTGGAAGTAGTCAAAATTGGCTTCTTTTTTCTGCGTGGGCCTTTCCTCTGGCTCCTCACCTCCACTACAGATCGTACTCCTAACAACCTAAATCACTCACTTAACACTTGCATTTCTCTACCTTTTCTCTCTTCACTTAAGTAGGATTTTAATGCACTGAGAGGTAAAAACAGATTATGGAGAGGAGCTCAAATTCTGGATCTGCCACTGAAGTTTAAGCTGCATGTCTTTGTGCATACCCATTCTCTATCAGTGCTTTCTCCATCTTTAGGAAATTCTCTAATGGAAGACAGGGCCTAAAATTCCTAGAATGATAGGAAATGGGAGCTCCTGAGGGTCTTAGTCATTATTATATTCCTAGTGCTAGCACAATTACTTATACCTACTGGTGTTCAAAAAGTAATTCTGAATGAATGAATAGGGCCCTCCCAGAGCAGTTGGCAGGCCACATCTCAGTCTTTCACATTGCAGGGAACTGCAGGGAACAAGTATTTGTGAATGCTGTTGTGCAGGTGCTTTATATGTGTAATCTCATTTAATCCTCGTAATAGCTCCATGAAGTAGGTTTTATGAGCGCTGTGCTCCAGTGAGGGAAGAAAGGATCACAGATAGAGGTGAAGGAATGTGCTCAAGATCATAAGTCAGTGATAGGACTGGAATTGGAAGTTCATTCTGCCCATCTTTGGAGCCTGTGTTTTCTGATACACTGAGCTACTCCCAAAGGACATAGGTATTGTCTCTAGAAGTCACCTTATTTTATTTCACTCTCCTCCACCCCTTCAGAAGGAACCTTGAATACCACTATATTCAAATATTTAAACGTTTTCTCTTGGGCTCGGTTCAAAGTTTTCTTTTTTCCCCTTGGCTGTTTGTCTACTTTCTCACCTATGATGTAAGTATTTCACAAAATGCTCCTGAAGTTAAAACCCAATATAACAATATCAGGAGCAAACTTAGAGAAAAGATGTCACATGACTTAAGAGAGCTATATTTAGCAATGTTTATAATACTGTAAAAATATTTTTGTGGAATAGCTCTTACTACAGAAGTTTTTAAAATACTTAATCAAGAGTTGAGGTTATTACTGATTCTCTAGCATGCAAGCAACCTCCACCTTTTGTAATTGTTAGTCCCCTCCATGGTGAAGTGACTCCATGGCTGAGCTGGGTCTGCTGTGCATCCAGACCCTCAGACATCCTCAGGTGTTAGATCTGCCACAGGAAGCAATGAGATGTGAGATGTGTCGGCTTTATGTCTGAAGATGTCTTGTGCCATGACAAAATTTAACTGGTCCAATATTACTTAACCATACATACTTTGGAGTAGTCAATAAAGATTCCAAATGGGTTCAGAAACCCGGGAACAGGAATGAGCAACCTAAAGCTCTGGAAGTATTTTCATGACAAAATGTTAGAAGCTAAATGTTATGACATTTACCTAATTTTGCTTCATATTATACATGTTTTGTCTTTTCTACTAGACTGTAAGTGACTTGATAAAAAGAATGTTTTTGTATTCCTCCACTGCTCTTATCACAGTGCCTTTTAAAGAATATTTTTTCAATAAACATGTATTTTTCCTATTTATTTTCCTATTTCATATATTACACCTTGCTAAATGCTTCATTGTTTCATTTTGGCCCTCATCAGCAATGTGAGGAAGGTATTTTTTCCCTTAAATTAGTGGTTTCATGGTTATCCCTGTCAGTATATTTACCTTTTCCTATTTCTTATTCTTATTTCTTTTATTTCTATTTCCTATTTCTTATGGAAAACGGGATAACTCTTTTATCTTTCCTAAGTAGCCAACATAAACTCATATTTTTCCGAAATAGTTGATTTCTATAGAATCCACTAGCCTGTTAGAACCAAGGTAATTCTTCTACTTAGAGTAATAAGATAAGGTTCTGGAAGGAAAAGATATTATGCGGATCTCAATTTTCTTAGCTGTGAAGTAAATAAAAAATAAATATGGACTCATGATGCCCTGAATTAATAGAAAAATAATTTCCTGGAGACCAGGAGAAAGTGTTCCTTAGGGGAGATGACCACCTTCTTCTTGGAGCAGCTCCTGCTGGTGTAAGGAATGGCCATGGTCTGCAGACACAGTAACCTTTGGTAATGAGATCACATCAATTTTTTTTTAACTGAGCAAAAATCACTGAAGTTGTTGAGTAATTCATGTAAACAAAGAGGAACAAATTATTGAGTGCCTACTATGTGCTAAGCGCCCTGCTAAATGCTTCATTGTTTCATTTTGGCCTCTCAGCAGCAATGTGAGAAAGATATTATTTTCCACAAATTAGTGGTTTCATGGTTATCCCTATAATTATGTTCACTCACTTGTATTCTGATATACTTCCTCGAATAAGAAAAAAATAGGGTAGGGCTCCAGGTTTTCCGCAAGAAGTTGCCCAGAAGTTCAGACACTCACATGGGATTGTGCTGGCCATGGCAATGCCATCTATGTATGTCTCGGTGGAAAGAAAAAAAGATTGAGAATGGCTGGACTGTAACTTGAAATGTAACCCTGGGCAGAATCACTGGGGTTTCCTATCACTGGGGAAATAGTAGGTGGCTCATTCATACATATTTTTATTTTTAAAGTTGTATTATTAATTTAAGGTATAAGTGAACATCACATCCTCAAGTTATAATTTCTCACATGTTATGACTTAGGACAAGTATAAACAAAAACCCAGGATGATTTACTTACAGACAATGTAGAGGCGAATATTAAGTAATTAATGGTGATATGAATGGATGATATGCAGATATGACAAAATCTTGGAGATGACATGTGATTGACTGGCATTTGGAAAACCAGGGTGCTGCCTGGTCTGAGGTCTGGAGCTCTGTGTCAATCTTTATTGAGTAGCACTCACTCACCTTCTAGGACCCAAAGAATCTTCTCTGGGTGACTTTAGGCACTCCAGATTGGAGTGTTCAAGAGTGGAATAAAGTTGAATCTGAGTCAGACAATCAGTACCCTAATATGTCAGTTCTCCCTTCTAAATATTGGCAGAGAACAAATTTATTTTATAAATTTGTATATATCTATCTATAGAGAGAGATGGGGGGAAGGAAAAGAGAGATTTGTTATAGGAATTGGCTCATGCCATTTTGGAGGCTGGGAAGTTCTGTAAGCTGGTGTCTGCAAGCTGGAGAACCAGGAGAGCTGGTGTTGTAACTTAGTACAGATCCAAAGGCCTGAGAACTAGGGGAGCAGATGGTATAACTCCCAGTGGGAGTCCAAGGGTCTGAGAATTGGGGGCAGGGGATGAAGAGGGGAAAGTGGGTAGGGAGGGAGCTGCTAGTGTAAGCTCTGAGCTCTGAAGA
Source organism: Homo sapiens (assembly GCF_000001405.40). Lineage (NCBI taxonomy): Eukaryota > Metazoa > Chordata > Mammalia > Primates > Hominidae > Homo > Homo sapiens. The sequence goes on along the minus strand of NC_000005.10, from coordinate 72,713,611 downwards.
GCCTAGAATCAGGAGCTTTGATGTCCAAGGACAGGAGAAGATGGATGTTCAGCTCAAACAGAGGGAGTGAATTCACCCTTCCTCCTCCTTTTTGTTCAATTTGGGCCCTCAACAGATTGGATGGTGCCTACATGCATTGGTGAGGGTGGATCTTCTTTATTCAGCCCATGGATTCAAACATTAATCTCTTTTGGAAACACCCTCACAGACACACCCAGAACTAATGTCTCACCAGTCTTCTGGGCATCCTTTAGCCCAGTCAAACTGACACATAAAAACCGTCACATGGGTGAAACTCAAGGACTCTTATCAACCGGCTTTCTGTGGAAGAGACAGAAAACAATCTGTTTTTCTTTGACATTGGTGAGGCTTCCTTGACCCTTGCTTTATTTTATTGTAGTGGTTTTCTTCACTTCTCAGAATGGAAAATAGTCCAGGGACAGTTTATCAAGTACTATCTATGTGCCAGACAGTGCTGACTAGAGAAATGACAGAATCATGCCCCTGAAAAGCTAAGTAAAACATTTTTAAGGGGATCTCGGGATACTGATCAGGGAGATGCAATACATTAAAGATGCTGATTCAGGACAGGTAAGCCCAGTAAATAACAAAGACTTCTAAGAAAATCTCTGTGTATTATACTGTGGTGAAGAGGGAATTGGATTCGAGAAAATTCAACACAGAATCATAGCTGCGTATGGATGGATGCATTTGTGAAAGCTCAGGTATCCGAGGTATCCAGGTTTGCCCTTAAGCCACTACTAAAAGATAGTAGTTACCCTTATTTCTTAATATCTTCAAAGATGGGATTTCCACATTTTCCCCACAATGCTTATACCCAGGCTATTTTCTAATGTCTATCCTAAATCCCTCCTCTTGAAAGTTAAGCCTGTCCTTTCTTGGGGAATGGTTGTCTCATGTTTCTTTCAATATCATGAATGATTGAAAAGAACTTCTTATGAATCTGCCCTCCCTGTCCATCTATATTCCATTCCAAATTCTACTGTTCTCAGCACCTCTGGCCATGAATGCTATCATCCTGTTTTTTCCTTCTTGTATTTTTTTTCTACCCCCAGATAATTGCACCATTACTTTTAGTGTTTCCTTCAAACTATATAAACATAAATTTCTTTTGGCTTGTCATGCCTCCTCCCATATTTCAAATCTCTAATGTTTCACATTCTCCCTTTTTGCATTTTTTATTCTTCTTCAAATTTCTCTTCTCTTATAAACTCTAAATTTTAATTTTATTTAAGGTCCACATCTTTTTATCTCTTAGCTGGATTTAAATTCCTTCTTAGAATCAGTATTGCCTCTTTCATTCCAAGCCTCAGAGTGTATTTAGGCATTTTCATTTCTCTCTCTCTAGAGATATCTTTGGGCTGAAGCTTGATGAGAGGAGTCTGCTTCATGGAGATCTGTAGAGATGGGCTGAGAAGGAAGTGAAAATGCTTTCATGTGCCCACTGCAGTTGGTGCATCCCATTAGGGGCAGTTATTGGGAGGTACATACTTCTTAAGGGAGTCTCAGATTATTTCTTACCTCTGGACCAGAAGAAACATGGACAATGGTCACCTCTCATATGTATGTACCATCGTACATACAAGACAAGGGAGCCCACCGGTTTAAATTGTGCTTTGCTGTGTTCTGAGCGTTATCACTACATTATTCAGTGTGTGAGAATTTGAGGGAAAAAATTATACTTCCACTGTTTTGAATGCTTTTCTGGGCCATAATTTCCAGGACCTGGATCTTTAGGGGTGTATTACTGTTATTGCAAGAAGGGAGGGAGCAGATGGAAAATAAATATACTCAAGGGCTCAGAGGCTATTACTGATGCTGGAGGCAGGTAGTCAGGCAACAGGAAGTAAATACAGTGAAACAGTGGGAAAAAGACATTTACCTTTGGTCTCTTGAGCTGCACGAGTCAGGAGCTAGGGGATGATTAGTCCCAGGGCTTCTGCATGGGGCAGCCTTAACAGGTGGTTCATAGAATATTCTACTAGTATAGCAATTGACTCTGAGCAGCTGCATCTTATAGACCTAAAAATAGCCCCAAAATGAGATTTCTGAGACCCCAGAGCTGCATACGGCAGAGCTGGTGACAGTAATGACAGCTGGGCATCAGTGATATGGAACAGCTCTTTGCAAAGCTCCTTCCATGCCCATTGTTGGAAAGAACCTGGTAACAACCCTGTGAGGGACAAGGGCAAATGTCACTAAGACTCTGTTGTGCAGATGAAGAAACTGAGGCTGAAGGAGCTTAAATAAATTGTCCAAAGCCACGTACTTAGTTTTAATGTTACCCCATGCTTCCCAGGGCATAACAGCTTCAGGGTAGAATTGGATCCTAATAACATTTTCTAAGCAGTATTTCTTTTATTGCTATTCACCAACTTTTGGGAATTCCAGATCTCCTAAAATTCCTTCATAATAATAACATTAATAATGGTAATTGCATTTAAAATTAGCTATTATTGTTTAAGCATTTACCACATGCTCTTTAAACCTCACAAAAATCCTAACACCTCACAGTGTTATTGTTACCCCTACTTAAAATATATATATATATATAAAAAGGTTCAGAGAAGTTTAATAATTTCCTGAGATAATACAGCTAGTGAGCAGCTGGTCTAAGATCATAACCACCGGATATATAGTTCCAGAGTCACGTATTTGCATTAGGACATATTCAGGTACTCATTTAGGGAGTCCCCAGGGATGTTCCTGTGTGCTAATAAGCACAGCCCTCCTGGCAACAACAGCCTTTCCTCCTTTCCCGTGTGTGGCACATTGGGTCTGCTCTGACTCTTGGCCTTGGTGGATGTGGGTCTGGGTCTCTGTTCATGGTGGCTCTGGCTGCTTCATCTCTCTCCCCATTTCTATTCCCTGTTAAAGTGGCAGTAGTCACTTCAGTGAAGGAGGACCCAGTGTAAACTACTTCTCCAAGAATCACAGCCTGATGCTCTGGTTTCTTAAAGAGATGTCAGCAGTAAATACCTTTTTACCTTTTTATGTATCTCTTCTTCCTAAGAACTTGGGCATGAACACAGAGGGGCAGGGCAGAAGGGCATGCTCTTTGATCTGTGAAAAATTGCTCTTCTCTTTCAACTGCTACTTCTCAACTTTACACAAATCATGTTGCCCCCTCATCTCTTTCATGCCTAAGCACACTTTCTTACCTTTCACCTACATAGGGCCCAGGGGGCCATTCAGATGTGAGCAAGACAGTCTGACCTGTCAGAATTAATATTTCCTTTGGGGTCTTAAACTGGAAGACCCATTATCCCCACTGTTACAATCATTGCTTATTATACATGTCTTAAAACCTCTCCTACTAAGTTGTGGATGTGAGGGTTTTTTTTGTTTTTGTTTTTGTTTTTGAGATAGAGTTTCTCTCTTGTTGCCCAGGCTGGAATGCAAAGCTGCGATCTCAGCTCACTGCCACCGAATGTGAGGATTTTTTTGGGGCAACACATCTTTGCATTTCCATACACAGCAGGGTGCTTAATATGTAGTTTATGATATGAATGAAAATATGAATGAATGCATGTAGGTAAACAACATTAAGTAGTGTAGTTACTGTTGATTTTAGATTATATTTCTATCAGAATATTAAATTAAACCTTGGCTTGTACTCATTGGAAAGAATTTACATTTTTATTAAAAAAGAATGTTAAAATAAACCCAACTCATTTCTGCCACAGGGTATTTGTACTTTCTATTTCCTTTCGCCGAATACTCTTCGCTGAATTTTGCATGGCTTCCTTTCTCATTTCTCTTAAATCCAATGTAACCTTCTTATAGAGGCTGTCCATGATAGCTCCATTTAAAATATTATCTACAGACGTTCTTTACTCTTTTACTCTGATCTATTTTTCCTTAACAGAGCTGTTGAATGTTTTCTTATTGTGGGTAAAATAAAGTTCCATGAAGATTGAGATCCTTGTCTTATTTCCTGCTCTATCTCTAGGACCTTGAATAGTCACTGACACGTAAGTAGTGATGGTGGCAGTGGCCCATCTGGAGCAGCTGCTGTGGGAATGCCAACTGCAGCAGGGGAGGCATAGTTGGGGCTGTACACTCCATGGAGCTGGCAGGGCCTGGGAACAGGCAGCAGCCTTGCCCCCTACTGAGTTGGTGGGATGGGAGCCCTGTGATCCTGGGCAGGGCTGCAGCTGCCCAGCCATGGCTCCAGATCCAGGCATCCCTGCACTCTAGGGAGCCCAGGAAGCTCTCCTTCTCCACAGGCTCAGAAGTGCCCACTCCTGCTCCCTGGCCTCTCCCTGCTCCTGGTGCCCGCTCCAATTTCAGAGCAAAGTTGAAGCCAAGCCCAGGCATTGTTGCAACCAGCCCTCACACTGCCTCAGCCCCCTCTGAAACTTTGGGCACCAGTGAGCTCAGGGAGGGAGGCTGGGGGCTGCTGAGGGCAGTTTGGTGCAGGCCTGTAGGTGCCCCTTGGTGCAAGCAGTCTGGGCACCATGGAGAGCATGTTGATAGTTGCAGGAGGCAGACAGATTTCTAGGAGGGAAGGGGTGGGTCCCTGGTGAAGATCCACCTTCGAGCCAGGGATGACCTGCAGCCTTGGGGCCAGGCTGCCAGTTCCAGGTGGGGTCCGTGACCCAGGACGAGAACTTATGGTGCATTTTCCAGGCCTGCCCATGGCCACCTATGGTCCATTCAATATGCACTTCCTCCCTTCTGAGCCCATAAAAATCCCAGACTCAGTCAGACTTGCACACTCATTGGGATTACCTGCCTGCTGAAAGGACCTACCCACTGCAGGTCTCCTCTCCGTTGAGAGCTGGACAACCTGTCTGCAGAAAGGAGCCACTCACTTCAGGTCTCCCGCAAGCTGTTCTGTTACTCAGTAAAGTTCTCGCTGCCTTGCTCACCCTCCAGTTATCTGTATACCTCATTCTTCTTGGATGAGGGACAAGAACTTGGGACCCACTGAAAGGTGAGATTGAAAGAGCTGTAACACAAACAGGGCTGAAACATGCTCCCTATTCACCACCTTGCAGGTGATGAGAAGGAGAGAAGAGCTGCCACCTTTCTGGGAGCCTAGAACTTGGAGCTCCCCAAGCCAGGGCCGTGGCATGCTGTAACACCCTCTTTGGGGCTCTGCAGTTCCTGGTGTCTTTGAGTTTTCTGGCACCATTGCGTTCTCCATGTCCAGATGCTGGTGCCCACAGCGGAAGCTGCTTGCAGTATGTCTGGTCCAGCTGTAGCTTTACATGGAGCCAGCACCTGTGCTGGCAGCTAGAGCTGCCTGCCCTGCTATAGCTGGTACACCTGGCTGTACACAGTGGCCAGACCCTGCACTCACTCACTCACACACCTCTCACTGCTCTGCAGCTGGCTCCCCCTTGGCAGGTATGGGATCTGGGCCAGTAGCGCAAGCTGAGTGCAGGTGCTGGACTGAGTGGGCAGAATGAGCCAGCGGGCACAAGCAAAACCCAAGTAGAGGCACTGCTGGCCACAGAGATTTCCAGTTGGTGAAGCGACACCCTAAGGACCCTGTGACAATAGGAGCTCAATAAATTGTACTGAGTCAATGAATTAAGCCAAGAAAGGCTCCCTAAAGGGGTGTGTGCCCACATGCAGAGGTTTCCTTAGTTTTTGTTAGATGCCACTCTAGTGAAGACATTCAAAGTTCAACAGTTTGGTAACATCTAAAATGTCGACTCCTCAAAAAAGTTAATTGTTTATTGATCTCTTGTTATTGCTCCTTGAAAATGTGTATCTAGACCTATACAACTCTTAGTTCAGAGTCCATTATTTCCTAGTATTTACAGCTGGACAGTCTCATGATGAACAACAGCTTATATGAAAACCTGGTTTTATCTGCCAAAATTGAAAAATAAGTAGACTTGAGTGCAGTGTAGATTTTAAAAATACATTTATACTAAAAAAACAAACTATTTTGCTGACATTAAAATATTTGACAAATTTTGGACCTTTGCTTCTGGTCATGATGAAGTAATAATGATTAGATTTGCTCTCTTGCCTGAAATAAGTAAAAAATAGGACAAAGTATATGAAACAATGGTTCTCAGGATATTGGACATCAGATCGGCACAACAGTGACCTTTGAGAGACGGTAAACAAGCAAGGCGAACCCTACAGTTGCCCCAGCTTACTGTCTTGAGACAGTGTCTAGGCTGTGGGACAGGGAGAAAATCCAGAACAGAGCTTGGCAACCTCCCTGAGTCTAGGGGCTGGAGCTGGAAGTCCAGGTAAGTTAAGCCAAGTGGTTAGAGTTCAAGGACAGAGTACCAGAGAAAGAGAGATGCACAGAGAACTCAAGAGACATGCATAGGGTCCCCTCAAGCATTCAGCTGAGTACTGATCAGCTCATGCATATGTAAAACCCAACTGGGCTCTGGGAATAACCACTCAGAATGATTAGAGGGAGCAACCTCTCGGGCTCACATGGCACAGGGAATAGTGCCTGCTCCCACCAGCGGTGGTGGAAAATGTCATAATTCACAGGGTATCCAGTGAAATATTAAGAAGTATTTTCTCTCAGTAGCACAGCAAAATTAGCTGTATCCTAAATGCTACTCTGGTCCTGCCTGACAAAGCCTGAAAGCAAGACTTGAAGTTTCCAAGTAACTTAACCATGTCCCAGATTGTGATAAATATGAAATACAACCTGCAATTAGGTAAAAAGAAAAAAAAAATCTGTCAGTAGAAACTGACCCCAAACTGACACAAATGTTAGAAATGCTAGACAAAGACATTAAAACAGCAATAACTATATCTGTTCAAGAAGCTAAAGGAAAGGTTGAACATGTTAAGTAGAGATATGAAAGATATTTTTAAAAGACCCAAATTGAACTTCTAGAGATTAAAGCAACAATAAGACCAAAAGCACACTAAATTGTGTTAGTGGCAGATTAGACATTACAGAAGAAAAGACTAGGAAACTTGAAGGCATATCAGCAGAAACTATAATTGACAGGTTCAACAGTCATATCTCAAAAATTGCTAGAATAAGTAGACTAAAATTCAGTAAGAATATAGAAGACTTAACTAATACTATCAACCAACTTGACCTTTTTGATATTTCTAGAACATTCCACTTCATGACAGCAAAATACACATTCTTTCAAGTGTACACAGAACATTCACCAAGGCAGGGCATATTTTAGACCACATAACAAATCTCAATACGTTTAAAATAATTCAAGTCACACACATTATGCTCTTTGACCACAAGTGACTGAAATTAGAAAGCAACTGAAAGATATCTGTAAAATCCCCAAACATTTGGAAGATAAAGAAACATTTCTAAATACACTGTGAGTCCAAGAAGAAATTAATAGAGAAATTAGAAAGTATTTTGAACTGAAGGAAATGAAAATATAACATATCAAAATTTGTGGCATACAGCTTAAGCAGGACTTAGAGAAAAAAATACAGTGCTATATAACTGTGTTAGAACAGAAAAAAGTTCTCAAATCAATGACCTTAGCTTCCACCTTAAGAAAGCTGTAAAAGAAGAGCAAATAAAATACAGATAGGCAGAATAAGGAAACAATAATTATCAGAGCACCATTGAATGACACAGAAGACAAAAATAATAGAAAAAAGTTAATGAAACCAAAAGCTTATTGAAAGGTCAATAAAATGGATAAACCTCTAGCCAGACTGATTAGGATTGAGAGGTGGCGTCACTACAGATTACAGGGATATTAAAAGGATAATAAGGGAATACCATGAACAACTTCTTGCCAATAAATTCAACAATATAGATGAAATGGACAAATTCCTTGAAAGATACAAATTACTAAAGCTCATTCAAGAAGAAATAGATAACCTAAATATCCCTATATCTACAAAGTTTGAGTTTGTAGTGAAAAACATCCCGCAAAGAAAAATTCAGTACCAGATAACTTCAATGGTAAATCCTACCAAACATTTAAGAAAGAAACAATACGAATTTTCACAAACTCTTCCAGAAAATTGGAAAGGAGAAAGTACTTTCCAGCTCATTTCATGAAACTAGAATTGCATTGATACCAAAACCTGACAAAAACATTACAAGGAAAAAAAAATCACAAATCTGGAGCCTGGCTCTGGCCAAAATTCTATGTATGATCTTTTAGGCCTGACCAAGGTAATTACAAAGGTTTTATCTAGCAGGTCTCATGGGGAAAGCTGCCCTGCCAACACCAGACTTGCACTGAAGTTTCTGAAGGGAGTTGCAGTCCAGGACTCAGGCCCCTTGGCTAGCCACTTGGAGAGGCCTTTGGTTGGGACATCGCTGCCAAGACCTCCCTCCTCATTGGAAAGTGGAGTTGGGGAGGATTTGAAGACACTTTTCTCCACTCTGACTCAGTACTCAGTACTTTTCTACTCTGGTCCTTCCCCTTTACCCTCCCTCCCCACCCTCTGGGTCCCATAGAATGGTAGGAGCCTTTTATATGGCGAGCCCTTGACCGTGAGACAATGTCCCTCAGTCTATGCTGAGACATCTGACCCCAACTGGATGTCATTCTATAGGGCAAAAAGGGGACATTGAGGGAACCAGCACTTTCTCCTGTTTGGCCTCTGGCTTATACTATTGCAGTAAGTGATTCAGTTAGGGGTGTCTAATCTTTTGGCTTCCCTGGGCCACATTGGAAGAAGAATTGTCTTGGACCACACATAAAATACACTGACACTAATGACAGCTGATGAGCTAAAAAAAAAAAAAAGCAAGAAAATGTCATCATGTTTTAAGAAAGTTTACAAGTTTTGTTGGGCCATATTCAAAGCCATCCTGGGCCACACACAGCCTGTGGGCCATGGATTGGACAAGCTTGGATTCAAGGCTTCAATGTTATTTTCATCTTGGTTTGTCTTAATGGCTACTCTGACATCCAGAAGCTAAGCACTCTCCAACTCAGTTCAACTCTTGACAAAACCAATATTCTTCATGAAATATAGAAAATCAAACCCTACAATATATAAAAAGAATATGTATCATTACCAAGAGAGGTTTATCCCAGGAATGCAAGATTGGTTTAACATTTGAAAATTAATGAAAATAATTCACCATATTAAAACAAATTTAAAAATAATAATCATATGATCATCTCAAAAGATGCAGAAAGAGCATTTGACAAAGTCTAATAACCATTCCTGATTAAAAAAATAATCTTAGCAAACTAGGAATAGAAGAGAAACATCCTCATTTTGATTAAGGACATTTATGAAAAACAAAACTAACATCATACTTAAAATGCTTTCTTCCTGAGATAGAAACAAAACAAGGTTATCTGTTATCATACTTCTATTGAACTGGAGGTTGTAGTCCATTCAGTAAAGCAAGAAAAAAAATAAAAAGCGTCTAGATTAGAACAGAAGTAGTAAATTAGTTTTTATTCATAGATCATCTATGTGGACAATTTTATGGACTCTACAAAAAAGTCACTAGAATGAATAAGTAAGTTAGCAAGTTTGCAGGATACAAGATCAATATACAATTAAAATTGCATTTATATTTACTAGCAACAAATAATGTGGAATTAAAATTTTAAAATAATATTATTTATAATAGAATTAAAATCATGAAAATCATGAAATATTTAGGGATAAATCTGACAAAAGATGTGCAAGACCTGTGCGCTGAAAACTATAAAATATTGGTGAGAGGGATTAAAGAAGACCTAAACAAACAGAGAGAGATAATGTCTTCATGGATCAGAGACTCAGTATTTTAGAAATTTCAATTGTCTCCAAATTGATTGATAGATTCAATGCAATCTATCAATCTAAATTCCAGAAAATTTTATGTAGAAATTGATAAGCTGATTCTAAAAGTTATATGAAAATGCAAACAGCCAAAGAACTTTAGAAAGGAGAAAGTAGAAGGCTAACACTACCTTATAAGATTTTAGTCTTATAGTAATCAAGGTCAGTATGGTACTGGCATAAAAATAGACAAATAGATCAGCAGAACAGAATATAGAGTCCAGAAATAGAACTACACATATGGGGTCAACCTGATTTTGACTAAATAGCAGAGACAATTCAAGGAGGAAAGATACTCATTTCAAAAAATGGTGGTGTTACAATGGGATATGAAAGAACCCCTGATATTATACACAAAAATTAACTCAAAAGGGATCACGGACCTAAATGTAAAACCTGAAACTAAAAACTCTTACTGTCACTGAACTGAACTGGGTCCATTTGCCAGTACACAATTGAAAGCCAAACACTGAAGCGCTAGGTTTTTGTACAGAGAAAAGTTTGTGGCAAGGCTGTTGAGCAAAGAGATCAGTGCCTGACTCAAATCTGGAGCTGGGGTTCAGGGCAGATTTTATAGTCAGAGGATAATGAGGCATGATGTGATTGGATCTTGCAATGAGGTGATGCTGGGAGGTCTAATTTGACTGGCTTCTACAATGGGGTGACACCAGGGCTTGATCTGATTGAATCCTTGATCCTGCCATTTGCCTTCTGCATCTTAATTTGGCCCCTGTTTCTTGGTCCAAGCACTTATGTTCTGCTCATCGCTGCATGCTTGGTTCATCTGGGTATGCTCAGGTTACATGACCTTCAGCCTGGGGGCGGTCTGTGGCAACTGAAAAACAACTCAGCTTTGTTACATAAAAGTTGAACCAGATTGATTTGGTGATTAAGAAAACATGGGGAGAAAACTCTTTCTGGCCTTAAATTAGGCCCTTCCCTTCCCTCCCCTTCCCTCCCCGTCCCTCCCCTCACGTCCCCTCCCCTCCCTTCCCTTCCTTTCCCTTCCCTTTTTTTTGAGACAGGTCTCAGTCTGTCACCCAGACTAGAGTGCAGTGGTGTGATCTTGGCTTACTGCAACCTCCATCTCCCAGGTTCAAGAGATTCTCTTGCCTCAGCCCTCCAAGTAGCTGGGATTACAGGAGCACACCATCATGTCCAGCTAATTTTTTGTATTTTTAGTAGAGACAAGATTTCCTCATTTTGCCCAGGTTGGTCTTGAACTCCTGAGCTCAAGCAATCCGCCTGCCTTGGCCTCCCAAACAGCTAGGATTACAGGCGTGAGCCACTGCACCTAGCAAAATTAGGCAAATATTTCTTCATGAAACACCAAAAACATGATATATAAAAAAACAAATTAAACTGAACTTCACTAAAACTAAGAACTTCTTCTTTTCAAAAGATCCTTAACTGGCACAAGACAGGGAAGCCCTCTCTCACCACTCCTATTCAACATAGTGTTGGAAGTTCTGGCCAGGGCAATCAGGCAGGAGAAAGAAATAAAGGGTATTCAATTAGGAAAAGAGGAAGTCAAATTGTCCCTGTTTGCAGATGACATCATTGTATATTTAGAAAACCCCATTGTCTCAGCCCAAAATCTCCTTAAGCTGATAAGCAACTTCAGCAAAGTCTCAGGATACAAAGTCAATGTGCAAAAATCACAAGCATTCTTATACACCAATAACAGACAAACAGAGAGCCAAATCATGAGTGAACTCCCATTCACTATTGCTTCAAAGAGAATAAAATACCTAGGAATCCAACTTACAAGGGACGTGAAGGACCTCTTCAAGGAGAACTACAAACCACTGCTCAACGAAATAAAAGAAGACACAAACAAATGGAAGAACATTCCATGCTCATGGATAGGAAGAATCAATATCGTGAAAATGGCCATACTGCCCAAGGTAATTTATAGATTCAATGCCATCCCCATCAAGCTACCAATGACTTTCTTCACAGAATTGGAAAAAACTAATTTAAAGTTCATATGGAACCAAAAAAGCACCCGCATTTCCAAGACAATCCTAAGCCAAAAGAACAAAGCTGGAGGCATCACGCTACCTGACTTCAAACTATACTACAAGGCTATAGTAACCAAAACAGCATGATACTAGTACCAAAACAGAGATATAGACCAATGGAACAGAACAGAGCCCTCAGGAATAATACCACAGATCTACAACCATCTGATCTTAGACAAACCAGAGAAAAACAAGAAATGGGGAAAGGATTCCCTATTTAATAAATGGTGCTGGGAAAACTGGCTAGCCATACATAGAAAGCTGAAACTGGATCCCTACCTTACACCTTATACAAAAATTAATTCAAGATGGATTAAATACTTAAATCTTAGACCTAAAACCATAAAAACCCTAGAAGAAAACCTAGGCAATACCATTCAGGACATAGGCATGGGAAAGGACTTCATGTCTAAAACACCAAAAGCAATGGCAACAGAAGCCAAAATTGACAAATGGGATCTCATTAAACTAAAGAGCTTCTGCACAGCAAAAGAAACTGCCATCAGAGGCAACCTACAGAAGGGGAGAAAATTTTTGCAATCTACTCATCTGACAAAGGGCTAATATCCAGAATCTACAAAGAACTCAAACAAATTTACAAGAAATAAACAAACAACCCCATCAAAAAGTGGGCAAAGGATATGAACAGACACTTCTCAAAAGAAGACATTTATGCAGCCAACAGACACATGAAAAAATATTCATCATCACTGGCCATCAGAGAAATGCAAATCAAAACCACAATGAGATACCATCTCACACCAGTTAGATGGTGATCATTAAAAAGTCAGGAAACAACAGGTGCTGGAGAGGATGTGGAGAAACAGGAACGCTTTTACACTGTTGGTGGGACTGTAAACTAGTTCAACCATTGTGGAAGACAGTGTGGCGATTCCTCAAGGATCTAGAACTAGAAATACCATTTGACCCAGCCATCCCATCACTGGGTACATACCCAAAGGATTATAAATCATGCTGCTATAAAGACACATGCACATGTATGTTTATTGCAGCACTATTCACAATAGCAAAGACTTGGAACCAACCCAAATGTCCATCAATGATAGACTGGATTAAGAAATTGTGGCACATATACACCATGGAATACCATGCAGCCATAAAAAATGATGAGTTCATGTCCTTTGTAGGGACATGGATGAAGCTGGAAACCATAATTCTCAGCAAACTATCACAAGGACAAAAAAACAAACACCACATGTTCTCACTCATAGTTGGGAATTGAAAAATGAGAACACTTGGACACAGGAAGGGGAACATCACACACCGGGGCCTGTCATGTGGTGGGGGGATGGGGGAGGGATAGCATTAGAGAGATACCTAATGCTAAATGATGAGTTAATGGGTGCAGAACACCAACATGGCGCATGTATACATATGTGACAAACATGTTGTGCACATGTACCCTAGAACTTAAAGTATAATAAAAAAAATTTAAAAAAAGACAGAAAAAAAAGAGAATAAAAAGACAAGCCACAGATGGGGAGGAAATATTTGCAGATCATATATCTGATAAAGGACATGTACAAATAATATATAAAGAACTTTCAAAGACTAATAATAAGAAAACAAACAACGCAATTAAAAAATGGACAACACATTTGGATAGTAGTTTTACCAAAAAATATATATGTATGGGAAATAAGCACATGAAAATATGCTGAACCTCATTCGTTACTAGGAAAATACAAATTAAAACTACATTCAGATACCACTACAGACTTGTTAGAATATCTAAAATGAAAATGACTGACTCTCTACCATGTGTTGGTATAGATGTGGAGTAACTGGAACTCTCATCTACTGCTGGAAGAAATGGAAAATACTACAGTCAGTTTGGAAAACAATTTCTAAAAATAATTTCTGAAAATGTTAAACATATACCTACTGTCTAATCCAGTCATTCCTTTCTAAGGTATTAATCCAAGAGAAACGAGCATATCTCCATACCAAGAGTTATACATAAATGTTTTCAAGAACTTTATTTTTAATAGCCCCAAGCTGGAAACAATTATAATATATCCATCAACAGGTAAAAGGGTAAACAAGTTATAGTATGCTCACATAATGGAATTCTATTCAGCAATTTGAAAAAAATGAACTATTGATACACACAGCAATATGGATGGATTTCAAAACAATCACATTGACTGGAAGAAGCCAAACAAAAAGATTAGATAGTGTATGATTCCATTTATGCAAAATTATAGAAAATGAAAACTAATCTACAGTGACAGCAGATCAATAGTTGCCCAGAGATTGTTCATGGGGCGGAGATATGCAGGAAAAAGGCATTACAAAGGGGTGTGAATAATCTTTTGGAGGTAATAAGTATGCTCATTTTCATAATTTTTGGGATGGTTTTACAGATATATTCATATATCAAAACCTCCAATAATGTACACTTTACATATATGGATTATATTGTTCATTAATTATGCCTCAATACAGCTCTTAAAAATATGTAACAACTTTTCATTAAAATCTTTTAAAAAAGAATTTTACTTATTTTGCATTTTTAAAAAGAGTGAATTGAACACAATTCAATACCTTCTGAGTGACTCTGGGTCATCATTGTGAATATGAATTATTATGAGACAGCCTCAAAAATGAACTCAGATGAGTATAAGTGATTGAGTTTATACCTGGGATTTTGGTCTGTTCTTCAAGTTCTTCAGGCCCCTCTCTCTGCTGTCAGTGTTCATGACCCCCTGCCACCAGCACATCCTCCTCTAATCTGAAACTTTCTTTAAAGCACCGTAGGCCAAAGGTGTATTGCCAAACCTTTCTACAGACTAAAGTTTACAGGCCACCTCAGCAGATGCCATCCCCCCTTATTTCTGAATACTAAGAAGTTCTCACTTGCTCAACATCGTTGGGCTAGCCCCAGCCTTCTCTCCCTCTTCATTTTCAAGGTCAATCCCAGCCAGTGGGACATGTGTTACCTTTCAAAGGCATGACTAGTAAACGTTCTCTGTTCAGTAAGTGAATGAATGAAAAAGAGATGAAAAACTTCTATAACCTGACATATGGTATCTTCTTTTTGGTGCCTCTATCTGAGTTGCTGATCTTTCAGTGCTGTTTTCTGGAAATGCTGCACTGTGGGATCCTGCTGTGGCTTGTGGTGACACGGACATTAGAGACCAGGGACCTAAGGTGTTAGTCACATTACATTGTGAACATCTAAGTCCCAGAGATGAAAGGAACAGCGTGATTGCTGTGGAAAATGACATACACTTTGTTTTGTTGCTAGCTCTGTGTATATGGAAATCGGGATAATCTTTGTCTGCCAAGACAGCTAGATATTTTCACATTTCTTTTTCTCCTCTTGATCATCCTAAATGTTTTAAGTTATTTCTGGTGCCTCTTCTATCATTTATTTTGAATGCAGTAAGCCTTTCTCTGCAGGTTTGTTGACGTCTTCTCATTGAACTTTCCTGGAAACAAGCATGTTAATGACATATTTAATGTCGGTATAAGCCATTGATTTGGGTTTGTGATATTTGCTGGAACATTGTGTCCTGAATAAAACATAAAAACACACTAAAATGTAACCTAAGAAACTGAATATTTAAATGGTCACGAATGAGAAAGCACAATCCAATTATTTTTTTCCCCTGGAGTATAAAGAATGTGGAAATCTAAATCTGAGGGATTCATATTTGATTTTAAGAAGTGTTATGTTTCAGAAAAATTCTTTTTAAGAACAAATAAAGAATACAAATAATGACATCTAAAAAGTTTCTTGCTTAAAATTCCTTTAAAAGGTGTAGTATAGATGATAGTAAAAGTCACTTGCTGGCATTTATCATTGAAATGTTGGTCTTTAGAAATGAACTGCTGTAAAAAAATAAATTTGGTATTGCTGCTGTTCTAAAAAAAGCATACTGAAATCATAATCCCTCTGAAGTTGATGACTTCATTTTTTTCATTGTTGAAAACTGTTACTCTGCTATTGGATTAATTAAGAGTCTGTGTTCAGAAATCTTTTTTTTTCTTTTTTCTTTTTTTCATACAGGGTAATGCTTTGTCACCCAGGCTGGAATTCAGTGGCACGCTCAAGGCTCACTGCAGTCTCAACCTCCTGGGCTTAAGCAATCCTCCTACCTCAGTTTCCCAAGTAGCTGGGACTACAGGCGTGCACCACTACACCTGGCTAATTTTTCTATTTTTGTAGAGATGGGGTTTCACCATGTTGCTCAGGCTGGTCTCGAACTCCCGGGTTCAAGCGATCTGACTGCTTTGGCCTTCCAAAATGCTGGGATTACAGGAGTGAGCCACTGTGCCCAGCCTGGAAATCTTAACTTTGAAATAGGAAAACAAAATTAAGGTTTTTTTCTTGCTGTGGTAAATGGTAACATTGGCCCTAATCCTTCAACCCTTGCTGTGTCTCTGTCCTTTGCTATGTGAATTTACAGTTCCCTTCACTCCTGTGAGTGGAGGATATTTTCTCTGCCCTGTGATATTGTGCTGGCTGAAGAGAATAGAACAGAAGCAACAGCATAACAGTTCTGAGTCCAATTCTTTTGTGATTCTGTTTCTCTTGTGCCTCTGCCATTACCATGAAAGAATATGCCTCCTCTCAACTGCCCATAGGTGGAAGAGGGTGAGGGGCACAAGGAACAGAGCCACCCAAACTGAGCCCAGGCTAGATCAGCTGGGCCCTGGCCCACACAGCGATGTGCAAATTAAATAAATGCCTATCGTGGTATGCCACTGAGATTTTATGGTTATATGTTACACAACATTATCATAGCAATATCTAACAATACTGTACAAAGAGAATTTCAATGATAGCACCAAAAATAGTTATCCACAGTGAGTTTTCTAAACATTTGTAGCAAAACGACATATATAGTGTTTTGCTTGTGTGTTAAGATCCTAGATTAAAAATAATTGTGGTAGCAATTCTTAGAAATGTAGATGTTAATCAATCCATGATAATATTAAATTAAATAAGTCATATGAAAAGTATAAAAGTTCGGGTTGTGCTTGCCTTACTTATTCATCTTTTACACAATGTCTGTTACCTTTCAATACATTCAACAAATTCTTACTGAATTTGAAATAAATGAACGAAGGAGTGAAATGTCTTTTCCTTCCTTAATTTTCATTATTTTTTTCCCCTTAAAAGTTTACTACAAAAAGGCAAAACATCTAAAGAAGAGACTTCAAACAACAAACAAACCAATCAGAAATTCACAAATCATTGCTCTAGGTCAGTGGTTCTCAATGGGATGTGACTATGCCCCTCAGGGGAATTTGACAATGTCTGGAGACATTTTTGGTTGTCATATCTAGGGGTGGGGTGCTAATGACATCTAGTAGGTAGAGGCCAGGGATATTGCCAAATATCCTACAAATGCACAAGATAGACACCCCCCCCATAATAAAGAATTATTTAGCCCTAATAATTTTGTGTGTCCTTTGATTATTTTTGTATTCTTTTGTCTTGCAGGTTCCTAAATCTTTCCCTCTTGTTTCTTTTTGCATTCTCTACGCAGTCTCCAAAGATCACCAAAACTTTTCCTTTATCTTTTTCTTCCCCAGCCTTTCCAGAACTGCCTCCCTGAATCTCATGTTACTTTTCAGTTTCTTCCTTGTTGTCTGTATTCTTATCCACAAAAACTCTCTTTCAGTATTTTGACATTGAAGATGGGCTTTCTCTTTCTGGGAGCTATTTTAGCTTAATCCCCTCTTCTCTCTTCCTCCCAGATTTTCTGGAGATCCTCTTTCCCCTGATCAATCTCTGCTAAGGTTTGTAGTGGAAGATTTAGTATAGTGTGTCTGTACATACATTTTTTTTGTTAATTACAGATAATTTAAAGTTTGTAGTGTTACTGGTTTTGATGAAGGTGTGGAATTTGTGTATGTATCTTTTTTCTTCTTTTTGACCTATGTTGTTTTTGGGAGGATGTGTGGAGATATTCAGATTTAGGTAGCCACCATTATCTCAGCTATCCAGAAATGATGTCATTTGTTTTTTAACTTTCCTTGTAGTATCCTGGTTGTAAAGAAGTTTTGCAATTTTGTGTAGTTAAATCTGTCTTTCTATGTTGTTTGTGGACTTTCATCATGCTTGAGAAATGTTTGTTCCCCTCAAGATTGTAAAAATGTAATCTCATATTTTTTCCAGTATGTTTTTTTAAACAAAAATTTAAAAATCTGAATGTATTTATATTGTAGGACATAGGATTCAATTTTTTTTTCTTTTTCTACTTCTATTTTAGAGCAGAGTACATGTGCGGGTTTGTTACAAAGGTATATTGTGTAATGCTGAGGTTTGGATAAACTGAAATCATTACCCAGGTGGTAAGCACAGTACTCAACAGGTAGTTTTTCAGCCCTTTCCCCACTTTCTATCTCCTCCTCTCTAGTAGTCCCCAGTGTCTATCATTCCCATTTTTAGGATATAGGATTCTAATTTTAATTTTTCCTATAGATAGTAGATTTAAAAAATAATATAGGATTTCAGGCAGGTAAGTGTCCTTCCCAAATTCTTAGGCTAAAGAAATATTAAAGCCTGTATAGGGCATTTGTAAAGAATTTTGATGTGAAAATTCCCTGGTGCAACCTATACCAACTTGCGAATAAGCATTTGAAATACAAGTATTTAAAGATTAGGAAATGATTGTGCTCTGTGCACACAATCAGGCATGGCAAATAAATTTTGATTCATGTACCATCTGTAGTTGATAATGGCTGCCTTGGAACTCTGGGTTGAGAAAGGCTGTCAGGCCAAATTTGAGCTCAGCTGAAAAGAAGGACATAATGACTAATGATAGGGAGAAGTGAGTTGTGCATCAGTGGAGATGCTGTGAATACAACACATTGCCGTTCCCATAAGCACCTTTAATTTTCATCATCATTGCCTAGGATGGTGTCTGGCATATGGTAGAGCTTGAGCACAAAAGTTAGGCTGCCTGGGTTTGGTTGGATTCTGGCTT
This sequence comes from Homo sapiens, assembly GCF_000001405.40. Classification (NCBI taxonomy): domain Eukaryota; kingdom Metazoa; phylum Chordata; class Mammalia; order Primates; family Hominidae; genus Homo; species Homo sapiens. The sequence continues at coordinate 72,694,878 of NC_000005.10, read as the reverse complement.
TAGTACTTACTAGTTTTATAACTTTGGGTTGATTATTCAGCCTCTCAGCATTTCACTTTATCTGTGAAATGGGTGTAATAATAACATCTATCATATAAAGTTGTTTTAAAGAATAACAACTTATATGTAAAATGTTTAGAATAGTCCATGATTTATTATAAACAATAGTTATTATTATTATTATTCCAGATGTTAGTTATCTGTGGAATGAATATATTCAGCTGTTTTATTACAATGTTCCTTGTGTGTATAGGAAATTATGCTAGTATCTGTGAGTCTAATGGTGTTAACCACTCTTTTGGAAAGCTTAATTATACTCAATAAGAGAATCATATTCAACCTAGATGTTCTATTTAGTATCTACTTACCCGAATTATAGAAAAATTATATTGCCTTTAGATATTAACCTTGCAAATCCAGAAATTTATAATGTGACCCATTGTCTTAACAAACTCAGAAAAGTTTATTGGGAGAATGAATATGAGGTGTTATGAGCTCCTCAGAAGAAAGTTGCTATTAAGTACAGGATCATAAAATCATGAAATGTGAACTAGAATATTGTGAATCTTTGACATTTATGTCCATAGTTGAATCTATATTAGGCTAATAAATTTCTAAGGGAGTTAATTTTAGTAATTTCAGAAATCTTATTTAAGTACGTCACACTTAAATAAACTTTGCACAGCAGATGCTATAGGTGAGAACATGAACTTGAATCCTATTCTCAGGAAGAGGTTTTCAAAAATAAAGAGAGCATATTTCGATTTGTTTATGTACATTTACTGCAAAGGAAGAGCCAAGCAGTCATCAATAGTGCAGCTGTGGATAACTATTGGCTTTAAGCTTTGCTTTAAATGAATCTGTGTGTGTTCTGCCTTGGATCACTTCCTGAAGTCAATACTCATTGGCCTCAAAGGACCTCTCTGAGATCTAAAAAGATGTCTATCCATGGAGATAACATTTAGGGAGATTACTACTGTGTTTTAAAATTCATGTTTAAAATCCACTCTCTTTAAAAATAATCATTGTTATCTTTCAGGAAACAAATCAGATGCAATTACGTAACTGTGTTTCTATTTTCTGTTGGAAATTTTAGAGAAGATTATCAAGGTTATCTGTGCTCAATGTGTGCATCTCAGATCAGCAGCATCAGCATCACCTGGGAGCTTGTTAGAGCTGGAGACTCTCAGGCTCCACGGCAGACTTCCTGAATCAGAAGCTACAATTTAACAGGATCCTCGGGTGATCTGAAAATGCAATAAAGTTTGGGAAGCACTGCTGTTGGTCATTAGACAATCTAATGAACTAAGACTTTTGCCGAGCATCTGGTAGGTGGAGGGGGTCCATCATACAATTCTGAATGGCAGTCATTTAGATAAGTACAAGTTGGCTAAGGTGGGAATAAAATGTTTGCTCAAATGATCTGTTAATTTTTGTAAAAAGAAGAAAGGGCAATAATACCTGAAGTTATTGAATTGTAATACCCGAGGGTATTAAAATGAAGAAAGGCAGTGTCTGATGGCTGTGTGTCAGGGGAGTCATGCCCTATTGCATAATTAGGAGTGTATTGTTTCTGTTCTCTGCTTTTACAGTCAGATAAACATTGAACAGACATCACATCTGTTTAGTGATTCAGGAGTTGGACTTTCGAGGGGGAAAGTTATCTAATTATAATGTCACTAAACGTGTGCTAATTTCACAACACTCATTTTTCGGTCTTCTATGGAGAGTGAGATTAGGAAACATCCAGAAAGGGCAAGTCAGGTCTGTAGAATGAAGTCAGCAATCATTGGTTAATTTAAACAAAACAGCCACCCAGCCCAACCCATACACAATCATCCTGTTGCCTTCTGCAGACACTTTCTCTGTTGGAGCTGATATCCGAGGACATTTATCCTCTCTTTCCCAGGCTTAAAGCACAGGTGGATTTAAAGCTCTCTTTCGTATGGTTTGTCACGAAGTAACAGTAACTGATAGATGGTGTCTCCACTCTGGATATAGAGCGAGCTAATGAGCTTTGACAATGACCACTGGTTAAAGACCCAGGACTGATGAGTGCGCTAGTGACTCTAGTGACCCCAGCCTACTGATTTTTATTGACAGCCTGTTGACATAACTAAGAGTTTGTGATTTAAGCTTTTTTAAGCCCTTAAATAAAATAAAAATAAGGTCTTTCTAATAGTACTTCTTTGTAATTTGTCTTAATTAAACATACCACCTTTTTTGGAAGCACTCTGTTTTTTAGTTATTTGCAAAATGGCTTTGTCTAAAGAGAAGTGTGTGTGCGGGTGTGTGTGTGTGTGTGTATTTTTTACCATCCTGCCTCCTGCTATGGCAAAACTCAGCAACATATGAAACCCGAGAGCTGTAATTGATTTTTCCATTTCTATGTTCTTGGGAGATGGAAGTAAAAGGGTTACATCAGAATCTTTCTAGAAACATTCTGCTCTAAATCAAACTCTGCTGGTGAGTAATCGTTGTTGCCTTGGTGAGCTTTATTGCCATTTGCTGATGCAGCTTGCTGTAGCCAAACTACCACAAGGGACGTATAATGGGAGCCCTGTATTCAAGCCCTTCTTGGAAGAAATCTATAAAAGAGCAGAGATGTGAACCTAGCAATAAATCCTAGAGGCATTTGTGCTGGAGCCATGAAATGATACCAATAACTCCTTAGTAACATATTAAAGGGACAATAAAGGGAACTCGCCAGGGAATTTTATGTATTAAGGCTATTTTTAATTGAAACTCATCAAAGAGACAACAGAGCATGAGACAGCAGCTGTTTCCCCATTGCTTTTCATTCATTTTAGATTTTATTGTGAACTCTACTTTTATCTTGCCACTTAACTAACAGCTCATTATTTAAAACAGCCTCAAAGATTGGTCAACGCTACTCAAGAGCCCCTAAGTGGGTTCATCAACCTATAAGCTCCACACTTGTTCTCACCCTTTCAGAGCTGCTTTCTGTGATCTCATCTAGACGTCCTCAATAAGTCAGTTAAGTAATCGGCCAGTCAGTTTAGGTTGAGTTGGTGCCTACTATGTGTCTAGTAGTATGCTAAGTGTCACAGAGAATATGAGGAAAGAGAGATCACTGCTCCTCAAGGGGCTCAGAGCTTATTTAGAGGTGCTCAGAATAAAACAAGGGGGCCAGGAGAATAATGCAAAGTAGAGTTAAATGCTAAACCGTTTAAGGAGTGGGGATCTCAGGGTGGTGGGAATAATGAGGGAGGGTTTCTTGGAAGAGGAGGACCCGAGATGGGCTCTGAACAGGAGGCAGAGAGTAAGGGCAAGTGGGAGGTGTTGTAGGTGCAGACAGGGCTGTCTGAAGCATGAGCTTTATGTTAGAGACCGGTGGGAAAACTTGGATGAATTAGGGGTGGGATGTAGGGTAAAGAAGATGATATAGGAGGACTTCACTTGGAGAAGACCAAACTGGAGCCAGAGAGGTAAAACTGTGGTGCCTCCAAGGCGGGAGAAGATAAGGGAAGGGGAAGGGGAAGCGGGTATAGTGGGGGAAGGAAGAGCCGAAGAGACATTGTAAAGGGCTTGAGGTCTCTTTCCCCCATTTTAGAAATTCCTTAGCTAACTTCCTTCCTACTCAATGTTTCTCAGAATGTGTTCTGTGAACCACCTACATTGAACTTGTTAAAAAGGCAGATTTTTGGCAGATTCCTTGGACCTACTAAATTAGAATCATTGGAAATACAGATCTTTAATAATTCCTATACATTTTACCCAGGAGGAAATGGAAGCTCAGGGAGGCTAAGTAATTTGCCCAATTATCACAAAGCTCAGAAAGTAGTGGAGCTGCGGCTTGCATCCAGCCTCCAAAGTTCATTCTGTTTCTATCCCAGTTGCCTCTCTGTTTACTCTATCTCTATGTTGTATGGAGAAACTAGGCTGGCCACATTTGTGTTGTGGCTTTCATGTGTTTATGTTTTTAAAAAAGTTTTTTCTTGTGTGCTGTGTGTTTGCGGGACAAACATTCTGACCATAAAGGGAATAAAAAAGTTATCCTCAATATTTTACCTCATCAAGTGAACTATTTTCATTTATAATGTTTCTAATGGGCTGGGAGAGATAGCGTAAATGTAGCAAAATGTCCACAATTAATCAATCTGGGTGAAAAGCTCTTGGTTCCATTTTTTTGTCTTTCCTTTTTTTTCTATAGAGTTGAAATTTTTCAAGATGAAAAGTTGCTAAAGAAAGAGAAAGGGAAGCGGTTTGCTCCAGTATTCCTCTTTCCACCTTCCCACTGACTGGGAAGCGGCGGTTAGCAGAGCCACAGTCTTGGATTAGAGATAAGAGGGACATGTTGAGGAAGGTGGAGTCTCCCCCACAGCCCTGGACCAGGTACGTCTGTGCTAGTGTTCAACACAGAAATAAACACCTATCTTATTTAACAACAACAAAATGACAACACAACCACTTTTAGTTATCAGTGTGGTTTCTGGACTGCTTGGGTCCAATCCCAGTTCCTCCGCTTGCTAATTAGGTGAGTTATTGAAACCTGTGTCCCAGTTCACATGTTTTAAATGGGCGTAATATCACTTTTCCATAGGGTTGTTTTGAACATTGGTCACAACATGTGACACATGTAGAATAGTGCCTGGCATACAGTAAGCATTCAATACATGTAATTACTATTACATGCATTTAATACGTGTATCACATGTAATTAAATATAACTATAAAACACCAACGAAGTTGACAATGAACTGCAAACCTGGCTCTGAGGGACACTGGGCAAGTTTTTGTGGAAGTCAGAGGAAGAAAGTGAGTTTCATATTGGTTTGGGATTTGAGATAGTTCTGCAATAAAAGGAATGTTGGTGTCAAACTAGGTATAAATCTGTATTTTATGTGATAAACAACCTATAAAAAGGCCATAGGAAAAGCAAGTCTATTCATTTACTTTCAGGCTCCAGTGCCAACAAAAGCCAAGAAGAACCTCTGGAGCAATCAGTCTGTGAGTGCCTGGGATATATTGCTGTTACAATGGGGTCAGTGAGGGCCAGTTGAGAGAGTGCTAGGCTGACAGACAAGGACCTGGGCTTCCAGCTCTGCCACCTACCAACTGTGTGATTTCTCTGGTTTTAGTTTCCCCATCTGCAGGAGGGGGTTTGATTTTAAAGATCTGGATTCTTAAGTAAGTATTGCCTGGAGGAGTTTCTTTGAATTTAAGCAGAGATCATTCAATAATGCTTCACCTTTCATTTCCAATATAGCAGGCAGATATTTATTGTTATGCCAGTCCTTTGATGCCTACTGACTCAACCCATGCCCTCAGCTTTACAGCCTGATGCACTTATCTGGGTGGAGACGTTTGCTTTCCTGCATGGATCCTTGTTCATTTGTTCATTCATTCATTCATTCATTCATTCATTTAATATATATGTATGTGCCAGACTCTAAGCTAGGCTCTGGCTACACAATGATAAACAAAACAGCCATAGTCTCTGTGTCCTGACATGTAGAGTCTCATGGATGAGGCGGCCAATAAACAAGGAAGCCAACAAAAGAAAATATACTTATAGAATTGTGTTAGGCACTATAAAGGAACACAACGAGCATCACTTGGTAGGCTGGCTGGGAGATTTCTGAGGATATGAATTTAGGCAATCATCTAAATTTTAGGGGAAAGAAAGCTCTCTTTTTATTACTCTCAGATATAATCACTTTAGTAGTATTAGGCATTATATCTACATCTATGTCTCTGCTGCTCAGCCTGTGTCTGTATCCGCATCTGTTTCCATTTTCATTTCCATATCTATATCTATCTCCAAGGAAGCATATAGCTTGTATTATTTTACAACTTGCTTTTTTATTTTTGAAACAAATCCCAGGCATCACATCATTTCATCTGTAAATATTTCAGCATATACACATGTTTTTCCTTGGGGGGGTTCGTACTGTACTGAGGTGGTAAGGGAAATAACAATGACAGCTATCAATCATTGCATTTGGGCCACTGAGAATAATTGGACAAACAGTTCTTACTCTAATAGCTTTCCAATAATAGCAGCAACAATCATTAACATTTATTTAACATTTACAACTTTATCCCAATTTTCTCATTTTATTCTGTTAGGAAGCATTTTTTACTCATTTTACAGACAAGGAAATGGAGGATCAGAGAAGTGACACAGACATCCTCAAGTTGACAAAAGAGGAGAGACACTGCTTACACATTGTCAGTCTAGGTCTGAATTCTCTGCATCTTGATGTCTTCTGATCACCAGGATATGCCCAGTGCTCCTAAACTCTAGTTAACAAGATGCATTGGGATTTTAATTGGATATTAATTAATAATTTGGACTGGAAGTGTTTCCTCAGCATGACAGAGCAGATAAGACCAAAGTAAATATTCGATAATGTATTTAGTAAGATCCCACTTTTAAGAACTTACTGGCACATATGCAATGTGAAAGAATTATACCTTCCAAAAAATATAAAGAGGCCCTCAAATTCTAGGAAATACTGGATACCAAGTGAGCTGTTTGATTTCATTTCTGTCTGTGAGTTTTTCAGTTTCTTATAAAGTAACATGTTCTTTCCTAGCATATACATTTGAACACAAATTTCAAGTCTTGAGTCATATTATTAAGCACAAAGAGCTAGATATGTAACCCACGGATAGGGAGGCAACAATGGATGTGCTTCCTCTCCAGCAGAGGAAATCAAGCCCTCCTCCTTGTTATTCCAGTCTATCACAGCAAACTGATTACTAGGATGCATTTTGAATAGCTCATCTAAAATGACTCGAGGCAAGCAGACACTTGAGATTTTATAATCAACCTTTGGGCTTCTATAGATCATTCTTATGCACAGAGGGCACCTTTGACAGATGAATAAACATGCGTGGGTTTTGCTGGGTATTAAACTGGTCATTCTTGTATGCTATTAAAAGATTTTCTATCTGGGTTGCCAGATTTCTGCAGAGACAGAGAAACAAGTATTTTTTAACTTGAAAAGATTCCATGATACTACTAGTAATAATAATAATTAACCTTTCCATCATGCTTTGTAGTTTATCAGGAGCTTCTAATTATCTTATTAACAACACATTGAATTTAGCATTCTTTTCACTTTCAATGTTTTAGATGAGGGAACTTAGACTAAGAGACATTTAGTGACTGGAAACCATGTGCTTCAATCATGGGTTCCAGTGTTTTCTGTAGCAATTTGTAGCTTTGCACACTCAGCAATCATAATGAACAATAAGATTTCAGTTCCAGGGATGGTGCTAATATCTTTCTTGGATGATGAAGGTTATCTAAAGAGGAGACAATCCAATCTATCACCTTCTTATGCTTCCAGCTCTGCTGAGGGAGTGCATTTTGCTTCCAGCACAGTGCTCAACTCACACAGTTCCCATGGAAACCCAGGGGCTACAGAGGTGTCTAGACCCTGTTTGGCACTCTAACCAGAAGTATTCCCAGAGACTACAAGCACACTGCACACCTTGGCTCAGTTTCAAACTGGAGACAGGCAGAGAAAGAAAGATCTTCCTCCCCTACTTTCCCGGGGAGGTCTTGAGGAGACTTCCTTTTTGTTAGTTGTTTCCAAATTGTCCCTATCTGAGTGGTTCTCAAACAGTGGGTCTTCGCGTGGTCATGAAGGGCCTGCAAGAAGATAAGGGCACCAAGCGTGGCCTGTGGCTGAGATAAATGAAGCATCTCTCATATATGTGTTATGATTTTTCAAGTAAATGAGGTTGCTATTGGGCTTAATTAAAATAAAAACTAATTTAAGAGCAATGCTACATAGCTTTTTGCCATGATGTATTTTTGTAACCAGTGATTATGAAAACTACTGCCACTCTCACGTGGGGAATGGCGGAATTGTTTACTGTGAAACTCTGCTCTTACATGCAAGGCTGGGAACCCCTGCTTACTTCCAGAGGAGTAGGGCTGCGATATGCAGCTGATGATGTTCTCTTCTTTATGTTGCTTACAGCTATGATGGCTCCCATTATTAATGGGACACAGAGTCTCATCCTTTGAGGTTAGAGCCACAAGGATCCTCAGAGATCAGCCAGTCAGAGTCCTCATTCTAAAGATGAAGAACCTAAAGCCAGGAGAGGTGGAGTGACTTGCCAGAGGTCATATACTTAGTGGAGGCAGGCTGGACCCAGGTCTGAAGCCCTCTGACTCTTTGAGTCCAAAGTACCCACTCGGCTGCCACTATCTGTAGTAGCCCTTAATTATAATGGCCTCATTATCTGAATCTTCATAGCAATAGGTGGTAGACCTTTGCATTCCCCTTTTATAGATGGAGAGGCTGAGGCACTAGGCAATCGGGAACTTGCCCAGAGTCATCCATCTAGTGTGTATGAATTGGGCTGTACCCCCGGGGCACCTCAAAGCCCATGTGCTTGACTACTGCACCATGTATATATGGGGTCATATGACATTATTTTGTAATCTGCTTTTTTCACTTAAAAATATATCATTAAATTTTTCACTAATGTTTTCTACCCCATGATTTCAATTTTATTATATACATTATACTCTGGTATGAGCAGCTTCACTGTCAAATTTCACTAATGGAAACAGTGCTAAATTTTGCAGAAAATTATCTGTTATTTCCTTAGGCTAAATTCCCAGAAATTAAATTGCTGGGCTAAATTTAGGCATACACATTTAAAAATATTTTGCTATGTGTATTAGTCTGCTTGGACCATCATAGCAAAATACCACAGACTGTGGTTTCAACAATAGAAATTAATTTTCTCACTGTTCTGGAGGCAGCAAGGTTCCAGCAGTGTTTGGTGTCTGGTAAGAGCTCTCTTCCTGACTTGCAGGCTACCACTATGTCCTCCCATGGCCCTTCTCCTGTGTGTGCATCAGAGAGAGAGAGGTCTCTGGCCTCTCTTTCTCTTCTTATAAGAACACCAGTCCCATCGGATTAGGGACTCACCCTTATGACCTCGTGTAACCTTAATTACCTACTTAAAGTCCCTATCTCCAAATATAGTCATTTTGATGGTTAGGACTTCAAAACATGAATCTGGAGGAGGGAGGAACAATTCAGCTCTAAGGACAGTATTCCAAACTGTCCTTTAGTTGGGATGTACAGTTGATGTGTCTACCATTGGTGCATGAAGAGCTTTCCCCTGAACCCTTGTCAACACAGTATTGTTTAAAAATATTTGTCAATTTTATGGCTAAAAAATCATCTTTCATGGTTCTAATTGCAATAATTTTTCATACATATACATTTTGGATGCATTTCCTATTTATTCCGTTTATCCATTTTTCTATTTGTTATTTATCATTTGAGACTTACTTGGGCGTATATACTTTTTGTCATATGCTACTAAATTTTTTTGCAGGTCATTTTTACTTTATAATTTTGTTTATGAGTATCACTTTTTAAATTTTATTGTGATTTATTAGATAATATTATACTTTAAAATATGATTTTTAATTACCAGCGTGTATCTTTGCTTCTTTATTTTATTTTATTTTTATTTAATTTTTGAGATGGAGTTTCGCTCTTGTTGCCCAGGCTAGTGTGCAATGGCGTGATCTCGGCTCATCACAACCTCCGCCTCCCAGGTTCAAGCGATTCTCCTGTGTCAGCCTCCTGAGTAGCTGGGATTACAGGCATGTGCCACCATGCCCGGCTAACTTTTTGTATTTTTCTTTTAGTAGAGACGGGGTTTCTCCATGTTGGTCAGGCTGGTCTCAAACTCCCGACCTCAGGTGATTCACCAGCCTCGGCCTCCCAAAGTGCTGGGATTACAGGTGTGAGTCACCGCGCCTGGCCTTGCTTCTTTATTTTATACAGGAAATACGAATTTATTATAGCAAGCCTAAGAGGCATAGACAAGCAAGACAAAGAAAAAAATCACTTAGATGTAACCCCTATAGACATTTTTGGGTATAGCCCTTCAGACTTAACCATGCAAATATATACATGTGAATATCTATGTTATACATAGCCTTTTAAACGTTTTGTAAAAATGGGATCATACTTGTACCAAACCTGGTTTATGCAACAGCCCAAAGTTGTTTGGTCCTGCTTCTCCTTGCTTGTCTGATGGAGCTGCCCTAGGTAGCCCTGGTGACCACCCCTGCCCCTGCCATTGGCACCACCTCCAACAAGACACACCGTGAGTGTCTCTGGATGGGACCCACAGAGGCCATAGCATTCCCAGTGGCTGCTTGGAGAGGCCAGGCAACACAACCCAGAGAAGGAGGGAGAGAGAGGGCTATTGCCCTGTGGGGGGACTTTGACAGTGAGAAACAAAAGATGGAAGGGACCAGCAGAAAAAGGATTCATCTTGCCTTCATCCAGTGGACTGTTCTGACAAGCAGTGGTATGGGCACCTCTTTAGAGATGTTTTGTTTGTGCAACATTGTGATACTTAATGCATCATGATGAATTTGCTCTCCCTCCTTCCCTGCCTCACATTTCTGCTTCCTTCATTCATGTTTCCTTAGGATTGCACCTCCAAAAAAGCACTGGAGCAAAAATGTTTGCCTCATACTCTATATCCTGGAGAATTTTGGCTAAGACTCTTTTTGTATTTTTATCCCACTGTGGCAAATTGATTTGTTTAATTTTGAGCAATTAGCTTTAACTATCTTGAGTGTTGTGTTGAGAAAGATTCTGAAGCTCTGCTCTAAGCTGAAAAGAGAGTCATGGTTGAAAAGTAATATCTATAATGTGTGTTTGGAATGGGCTTGGCAGAGTGGTAGAATGTGTAAGCTGAATTGACTTCCTGAAAGATCATCCGAGTTTATACAGCAGTATACTGAACCCTACATACATACAGTACTGTGTTTTTCTCCTATACGCATATATGTATAATAAATTCTAATTTATAAATTAGGCACAGTAAGAGATTAACAACAATAACTGATAATAAAATAGAACAATTGTAACAATGTACTGTGATAAAAGTTCTATGAATGTGGCAAATCCCAGCCAGGCACCATGCCTCTCTGCCTTCTTCTCCACTTTTGCTGTTTCCTGTCACTTCTCCTTTGAATTCCAGTGTCCTCTCTGGATAATGTATTTGAAATGTGACTGTTTATACACTATTTTGGTTCTTCTAAGTGGAAGGGGTGGGCATAAAATGCTTCTGGTCAGTCATCTTGAAGCCCACTCCCCAGGTACAGGGAAGTTTTAGGGCAATGAAACTGTGCCATATGATACTGTAATAATGGTGGATACGTGTCAAACTCTCTTTCTCTCTCTCTCAAAATATCTTATCGTCTGTACTAACCTATTTTCAGATTGCAGTTGATCACTGGTAACTAAAACTGTAGATAATGGGGGACTACTGGGTATGATTGTCATTTCTTGTGTTGCAGATTTTCTTCTAAAATAATTTTTCTTTCTCTTGGTGTACACCCTTTAGAAATTCTTTACTGGGAATCTCAGGTTTTGTTCTTCTGAAATATTTTTATTCATTCTTGAATGGCAGGTTTTTGGAGTATAAAATTTGAGGTTCATGATTATTTATTTTCACTGAGCACATTTAAGAAATTATTTATGTGGCCTCCACTGTTGATTTTGAAGTCAGCTGTCAGTCTATTTGTCTCTTCTTTGTAGGTAATTTGTATAGTTTCCAGCTGCTCTTAAGATAGACTCTGTATTCTAAGTATTCTTCTATCTTACTATGATGTGTGTAGGTGTGTCTTTATATTTATTTATTCTGTGTGGAATTCATTGTGCTTCTTGATTAAAAAATGCATGGAATATTCTGGAATATTATTTATACAATCTCTTCAAGTGTTGTCATTCCTTTATTCTTTCTTTCTTTTTTTTTTTTTTTGAGATGAGGTCTTGCTCTTTCGCCCATAGCTCACTGTAACCTCCACCTCCTGGGTTCAAGCGATTCTCCTGCCTTAGCCCCTGGAGTAGCTGGGATTACAGGCATGTGCCACCATGCCCAGCTAATTTTTGTATTTTTAGTAGAGACGAGGTTTTCCCATGTTGGCCAGTTTGGTCTTGAACTCCTTACCTCAGGTGATCCACCTGCCTTGGCCTCCCAAAGTGCTAGGATTAACAGGCATGAGCCACTGCTCCAGGCCTCCTTTATTCTTTTTGTAATCTCTGCTGTTTCTGAAGCTCTGAGTAGACGTATGTTGGTCCTTCTCATTCTTTTCTCTGTACCTCTTAACTTCATTGCTATATATGAAGTGTGTGTATAAGTATGTATGTGTGTGTAGTTTTTGTCTCTTTATGCTGCATTGTGTATAACTTTTTTCTGATTCATTAATTCTTTCTATTTCTAATCTGCTGTTTAATTCATCCATTAAGCTTTTTTTTCCATGATGTTCCTTTAAATATAGTTAATAGACTTTATTTTTTAGAGCAGTTTTAGGTCCACAGCAAAACTGAATGTAAAGTACATAGAGTTCCCACATAAACTCTTGCTACACACATTCCAGCCTCCCCACCATGCACATCCAACACCAGTGTGGTCCGGTTGTTACAATCAATGAACCAAAACTGATACTTCATTATAAACCAAAATCCATAGTTTAAGATTAACTTTTTATGTACATTATATAGGTTTTGACAAATGTTTAATGACACATATCCACTGTTATAGCATTATATGGAATAGTTTCATTGGCCTAAATATTCTCTGTGCCTGAGGGGTGGGCTTCAAGATGACTGACTAGAAGCATTTCATGCCCACCCCTTCCACTTAAAAGAACCAAAATAGTGTATAAACAGTTCCACTTCAAATATATTATCCAAGAGAAGACACTGGAATTCAACAGAGAAGTGACAGGAAACACCAGAAGTAGAGAAGGAAAAGGTGGAGAGGCAGCACCCCTGGCCAGGATTTGCTGAGAGCCGTGAGTAAGTTCTTCATGTGAGGAAAGAGTGAGTGAAAGCCTTCTAGTGCCCCATGTCCTCACTATGAATCATGCAATGCTGGCCACAAAATTACCTCTCAACCCTCCTAACCCCTGAAACCAACATGGGGGAGTTGCCAGGAGACCATGGGATGAAATGACACCAGGGAGGGAGCTCGTGCTGGGTCCCATACCTTTTCAAAGACATAAGAAGCTATAGCAAGGCCCCACTGTCGAACCCATGCTTTGACAGACTGTAGACTGTCCTGGAGCACAGTGGCACTGGGACTGAGGTGTTATGGAAACCCAGGCTGTGGTTGCTGGGACTAGGGAGCGAGCTGGGAGCACTCCTGCAGTTGGGATCAAGAAATGAATGAGGTGTGGGGTGCAGCTGCTAATGCTGGGAAGTGAGCACTGCTGAGATGAAGACCAGAAGGCAAGTGGTGCTTGAGTTGCCACTGGGATTTGGTCACCAGCTGGGTGGGGGTGTCCTGCAGCCTGGTTGGGGACATTACTAGGTCCAGGCTACTGCTACCAGGGCTGGAGGACAAGCCCCACCAGGACTGGGACATGAGAGGGCTATGCATTTTCTACTTGCTGGCGCAGGCTTGGACGCTGAGTATGGCTGCACCCTCTCCAGTGGCAGAGCCTCAGCACTGCTGCTACCACCCCTCAGCCAAGCACTCTGCCAGGAGTCCAAGGGATGCCCCACCCTTGCCTACCATGGCTGCTGCCAACTTTTACCCTTGCAGGGCCTGAATATAAGCCCACCCAACCTGACTTCCCTCCTACACCCCTGCAGCAGAGCACATGGCCTGGGGTCCTGGAATTGCCCAACCTAACCCACCACATAGGGCATCAGGGCACTCCTCCTGGGGGCCTGAGGTTGGGCCTAAACTCTCAACCACTGCCATCTTAGTTGGCACCTACCCGCAAGTGCCACCTGTAGGCCTGGAGACTGGCCCACCCAGCTTATTTCAGCCACTGCCAATATCAACACACACTGCTTGGAACACAGAGAATTGTCCTGCCAATGCTACTGTCATTGCCCATCCCACACTAGCTGCCCAGGGGACCAAGAATCCACCCACTCTCCTAGTTCACCACTGCCACTATCAGCATCTAAGTAAGTAAGCCACTTGGAAGCCCAAGAATTATCCACTTAAAACATAGAATGGCTGAATAAATTTTAAAAGCCGTGTTTCCAACTGCATGCTGCTTACAAGAAAGTCATCTTACCAGTAAATACATAAAGACTGAAAGTTAAGGGACGGAAAAATATATACCATGCAATAAAAACCAAAAGTAAGCAGGAGTAGCTATATGTATATCAGATAAAACACACTTTAAATCAACAACAGTAAAAAAAGAAAGGCAAAGAAAGTCATTACATAATAATAAAGGCATCAATCCACCAAGAGGATTTCACAATTCTAAATATATATGTGCTCAACACTAGAGCACCCAGATTCATAAAGCAAATATTACTAGATCTAAAGAGAGAGACAGACTGTAATACAATAATAGTGGGGGACTTCACCACCCCACTCTCAGCATTAGGCAGATCATCTAGACAGAAAATCTAGATTAAAAAACATTGGATTTGAACTGTACTTTAGACCAAATGAACCTAACATTTACAGAACATTCTATCCAACAACTGCAGAATATACATTCTTTTAATCAACACATAGAACATTCTCCAGGCTAGACTATATGTAAAGATGCAAAATAAATCTAAAAATATTTTTAAAACTTGAAGTCATATCATGTATCCTTTTAGACCACGATGGAGTAAAAATAGAAATCAATACCAGGAGGAACTTTGGAAACTATATAATTACATGGAAATTAAACAACATGTCCCTAATGACCATTGGATCAATGCAGCAATCAAGATGGAAATAAAAGCATTTCTTGAAACAAATGAAAATGGAAATACAATTTACCAGAACCTGTGGGATATAAAAAAAGCAATGCTAAGAGGGAAGTTTATAGCAACAAATGCCTACATTAAAAGAGTGGAAAGATTACAAATGAACGATCTAACAATGTACCTCAAGGAATTAGGAAAATAAGAACAAATCAAACCCCAAATTAGCAGAAGAAAAGGGATAATAAAGATCAGAGCAGAGCTAAATGAAATAGACTAACAAAACACTACAAAGCATCAATGACATGAAAAGTTGGTTATTTGAAAAGATAAACACAGTGGCTCATGTCTGTAATCCCAGCACTTTGGGAGGCTGAGGTGGGCGGATCACGAGGTCAGGAGATTGAGACCAACCTGGCTAATACAGTGAACCCTGTCTCAACTAAAAATACAAAAAATTAGCTGGGCGTGGTGGCGGGTGCCTGTAGTGCCAGCTACTTGGGAGGCTGAGGCAGGAGAATGGTATGAACCCAGGAGGCGGAGCTTGCAGTGAGCCGAGATGGTGCCACTGCCCTCTAGCCTGAGTGACAGAGCAAGACTCTGTCTCAAAAAAAAAAAGAAGATAAACAAAACTGATAAACTTCCAGCTAAACTGACCAAGAAAAGAAAAAAGAACCAAATAAACAAAATTAAAAATGAAAAAGAAGACATTATAACTGATACAACAGAAATACCAAAGTTATCAGAGACTATTATGAACAACAATATGCTGACAAACTGGAAAATCTGGAATAAGTGGATAAATTTCTGGAAACATGAAACTTCCCAAGATGGAATGAGGAAGAAATAGATGACCTGAACAGACAGATAGTAAGTACGAGATTCAATTAGTAATAAAAAGTTTCCCAAAAAAGAAAAGCCCAGGACCAGATGGATTCACAGCCAAAGTCTACCAAACACACAAAGAAGAAATAATACTAATCTTCCTGAAACTATTCCAAAAAATAAAAGGGGGGAATTTTCCCTAACTCATTCTACAAGGCAAACATCACCCTAATATCAAAACCAGACAAGGGCACAACCAAAAACAAACAAAACAAAACAACAAGCTTATTTCCCTGATGAACATAGACACAAAAATTCCCAATAAAAATACTAGTAAACCAAATCCAATAGCACAATAAAAGGATAATAAATCACAAACAAGTAGGATTTATATCAGAATGCAAGGATGTTTAATGCCTACAAATAAAAAAACATGCATATCACATCAAAAGAATGAAGGACAAAAACCCTATGGTTATCTCAACAGATGCAGAAAAAACATTTGATAAAATTCAACATCCTTTCTTCATAAAAACTCTCACCAAACGAGGCAGAGAAGGAACATACCTAAAAATAATAAAGGCATGTATGACAGACCCACAGCTAACAACATATTGAATGGGAAAAACTTAAAAGCCTTTTTTTCTAAGGACTGGAACAAGACTGGGATGTGCACTTTCACCACTCCTAGCCAGAACAACCAGGCAAGAGAAATAAATAAAAGGCATCCAATTTGGAAAAGAGGCAGTCCAATTGTCCCTCTTTGCTGATGATATGATCTTATATCTAGAAAGACCCAAAGACTCCATCAATAAACTCTTAGATTTGATAAATAAATTCAGTAAAGTTGCAGGATACAAAATCAATGTACAAAAATTGGTAGCATTTCTGTATACCAATAATGATATAGTTTGGAAAGAAAATCAGGACACCAATCTCATTTATAGCAGCTACTAACAAATACCTAGGAATAAATTTAACCAAGGAGATGAAAAATCTCTGCAAGGAAAACTACAAAACATTGATTAAAGAAATAGAAGATGACACAAACAAATAGAAAACATTCCATGATGATGGATTGGAAGAATTAATATTGTTAAAATGACTATATTGCCTATAGCAATACACATATTCAGTGCAATCCCTATAAAAAGGTCAACACCATTTTTCACATAATTAGAAAAAACAATCCAAAAATCCATATGGAAGCCAAAAGGAACTCCAATAACAAAAGCAATCCTGAGGAAAAAGAACAAAGCTGGAGGCATCACATTATCTGATTTCAAAATATATTGCAAGTCTATACTAACCAAAACAGCATGGTATTGAGATAAAAATAGACACATAGGTTCATAGAACAGAATAGAGAACCCAGGAATAAACCCATATATTTACAGCCAACTGACCTTTGACAAAGCCAACAAGAGGGTAAATTGGTGAAAGGATACCCTCTTCAACAAATAGTGCTGGGAAAACTGGATAGCCATGTAGAGAAGACTGAAACCAGATCCCTGTCTCTCACTGTATCGAAAAATCCACTCAAAGTGGATTAAAGACTTAAATGTAAGACCTCAAACTATAAAAATGATAGAACAAAACATAGGGAAAACTCTCCTGGACATTGGTTTAGACAAGAATTTATAACTAAGACCTCAAAAACACAGTCAACAAAAACAAAAATAGACAAATGGCAAAGGAAACAATCAACAGAGTGAACAGACAACCTGTTGAATGGGATAAAATATTGTAAACTATTCATCTGACTGGGTGCTAATATCCAGAATATGCAAGGAACTCAAACAACTCAACAGGGAAAAAAATCCCATTAAGAAGTGGGCAAAGGACATGAATAGACATTTCTCAAAAGGAGATGTTCAAATGGCCAACAGTTCTATGAAAAAATGCTCAACATCTCTAATTAAAGAAATGCAGTCTAGGTGTGGTTGTTCACACCTGTAATCCCAGCACTTTGGGAGGCCGAGACAGGCAGATCACTTGAGGTCAGGAGTTCAAGACCAGCCTGGCCAACATGGTGAAACCCTGTCTCTACTAAAATACAAAAATTAGCCAGGCATGGTGGCAGGTACCTGTAATCCCAGCTACTTGGGAGGCAGAGGCAGGAGAATTGCTCGAACCCAGGAGGCGGAGGCTGCAGTGAGCCGAGATCATGCCACTGCACTCCAGTCCAGGCGACAGAGTGAGATTCCCTCTCAAAATACAATAAAAAAGAGAAATGCAAATCAAAACCACAATGAGATATCACCTTCTACCAGTCAGAATGGCTATTACAAAAAATACAAAAAATAGGCCAGGCATGGTGACTCATGCCTGTAATCCCAGCACTTTGAGAGGGGGAGGCGGGTGGATCACGAGGTCAGGAGATAAAGACCATCCTGGCCAACATGGTGAAACCATGTCTCTACTAAAAAATATATAAAAAATTAGCCAGGCATGATGATGGGCACCTGTAGTCCCAGCTACTCGGGAGGCTGAAGCAGGAGAATGGTGTGAACCCGGGAGGCAGAGCTTGCAGTGAGCCAAGATTGCCCCACTGCACTCCAGCCTGGGTGACAGAGCGAGACTCTGTCTCAAAAAAAAAAAAAAAAAAGACAAAAAATAACAGATGTTGGTGAGGATGCAAAGATGAGGGAACTCTTCTACACCGTTGGTGGGAATGTAAGCTAGTACAGCCACTATAGAAAACAATATGAAGATAAAAAAAAAACACCTAAAAATAGAATAGCCATTCAATCTAGCAATCCTACTATTGGATAGCTACCCAAAGGAAAAGAAATCAATATATCAAAGGAAGACCTACCTGCACTCACGTGTTTATTGCAGCACTAATCACAATAGCAAAGATGTGTGATCAACCTAAATGTTTATCAATGAATCAATAGATAAAGAAAAAGTGGCATATACTGAATGGGCAAAAGCTGGAAGCATCCCCTTTGAAAACTGGCACAAGACAAGGATGCTCTCTCTCACCACTCCTATTCAATATAGTACTGGAAGTTCTGGCGAGGGCAATCAGGCAAGAGAAAGAAATAAAGCATATTCCAATAGGAAGAGAGGAAGTCGAATTGTCTCTGTTTGCAAACGACATGATTCTGTATTTAGAAAACTCCATCATCTCAGTCCAAAAACTCCTTAAGCTGATAAGCAACTTCAGCAAAGTCTCAGGATACAAAATCAATGTGCAAAAATCACAAGCATTCCTATACATCAACAATAGACAAGCAGAGAGCCAAATCATGAATAAACTCCCATTCACAATTGCTACAAAGAGAATAATATACCTAGAAATACAGCTAACAAGGGATGTGAAGGACCTCTTCAAAGAGAATTACAAACCACTGCTCAAGGAAATAAGAGAAGACACAAACAAATGGAAAAAAAATTCCACCTTCATGGATAGGAAGAATCAATATCATGAAAATGCCCATACTGCCCAAAGTAATTTATAGATTCAATGCTATTCCCATCAAACTACCATTGATATTCTTCACAGAATTAAAAAAAACTACTTTAAATTTCATATGGAACCAAAAAAGAGCCCATGTAGCCAAGACAAACCTAAGAAAAAGAACAAAGCTGGAGGGATTATGCTACCTGACTTCAAACTATACTACAAGGCTACAGTAACCAAAAAAGCATGGTACTGGTACCAAAACACACATAAGACCAATGGAACAGAACAGAGACCTCAGAAATAACACCACAGATTTACAACCATCTGATCTTCGACAAACCTGAGAAAAACGATCAATGAGGAAAGGATTCCCTATTAATAAATGGTGCTTGGAAAACTGGCTAGCCATATGCAGAAAACCGAAACTGGACCCCTTTCTCACATCTTATACAAAAAATAACTCAAGATGGATTAAAGACTTAGACGTAAAACACAAAACCACAAAAACCCTAGAAGAAAACCGGGTAATACCATTCAGGACATAAGCATGGGCAAAGACTTCATAACGAAAACGCCAAAAACAATTGCAACAAAAGCCAAAATTGACAAATGATATCTAATTAAACTCAAGAGCTTCTGCACAGCAAAAGAAACTATTATCAGAGTGAACAGGCAACCTACAGAATGGGAGAAAATTTTTGCAATCTACCCATCTGACAAAGGTCTACTATCCAGAATCTACGAGGAACTTAAACATGTTTACAAGAAAAAAGCAACACTATCAAAAAGTGGGCAAAGGATATGAACAGACACTTCTCAAAAGAAGACATTTATGCAGCCAACAGATATATGAAAAAAAGCTAAACATCACTGATCATTAGAGAAATGCAAATCAAAACCACAATGAGATACCATCTCATACCAGTCAGAATGGTGATTAATACAAAGTCAAGAAACAATAGATGCTGGAGAGGCTGTGGGAAAATGGGAACACTTTTACACTGTTGATTGGAATGTAAATTGGTTCAACCTTTGTGGAAGACAATGTGGCGATTCCTCAAGGATCTAGAACCAGAAATACCATTTGACCCAGCAATCCCATTACTAGGTACATACCCAAAGAAATATAAATCATTCTACTATAAAGACACATGCACACATATGTTTAATGCAGCACTATTTACAATAGCAAAAACATGGAACCAACCCATACGCCCATCGATGATGGACTGGGTAAAGAAAATGTGGTACATATATACCATGGAATACTATGCAGCCATAAAAAGGAATGAGATCATGTCCTTTGCAGGGACATGAATGAAGCTGGAAGCCATCATCCTCAGCAAACCAACACGGGAACAGAAAACCAAACACCACATGTTCTCACTCATATGTGGGAGTTGAACAATGAGAAAACATGGACACAGGAAGGAGAACAGCACACTGGGGCCAGTTGCGGGGTTGGGTGGGGGAAGGAAGAGCATTAGGCCAAATAGCTAATGCATGCAGGGCTTAAAACCTAGATGATGGGTTGATAGGTTCAGCAAACCACCATGGCACACATATACCTATGTAACAAACCTGCACGTTCTGCACTTGTATCCCAGAACTTAAAGTGAAAAAAAAAAAGTAGTATAAATACACAATAGAATACTTTCCAGCCACAAAAAAGAATGAAATCCTGTAATTTTTGCAGCAACATGGATGGAACTTGAGGTTATTATGTTAAGTGAGATAAGCCAGGCACAAAAAGATAAATCTCACACGTTCCTGGTTACATGTGGGAGCTAAAAAATGTGATCACATGCAGGTAGAGAGTGGAAAGATAGATATCAGACTAGGAAGGGTGGGTGCTGGGGAGAGGGAAGGGTGAAGAGAACTGGGTTGTAGGGTATAAACATATAGTAAAATAAAAGGAATAAATTCAATGCTTGATAGTAGAGTAGGATGACTATACTTAACAAAAGTTGTCACTTGTCATCCTGGCTGTACCAGCTGAAACTTACTAACTTGCCTGCACCTCAGTTTTTTCATTTATGAGGAACTGCATCACCCCCATGAGATCTTGGAGCCCTCTTCTAGCCTGGACATTTGCTGAAGAGCACAGATTCTTTCATGAAACTGGCACCTGCAGCTGTCAGCTTTTGATTTATGGTTTAGAACACAATTTGCCCTAAGTACTTTTAAACACAGATTTTATTTTAGCTTGAGTGTTTTATAGGACTCTTGTGTAGCTACTCTACTCAAGTAGAGTCTTGTCTCACCTTGGAGATATCACTGAGACTGATATCTTGGAGAAAGCCTATGTAGAACCCTGGGGTTTGAATCCTCAGAGTCGATAGTGACATTAGAAGGGAAGGCTTGGTTTGGGGACTGCTGTTTTAATCCTCTCCCTTTCTTCCTTTCACTCTCTCTCCTTCCCCTGATTTCTGCTTGCCTACTTTCTCCCTCATTCCCTTCTTTCCACAAATAAATATTTATTGACCATTTACAATATGGTGTGGAATGCAGTGGTGAACAAAACAAATATGGTCCTAGTCTTTAAAAAGCTGACAATCTAGTGAGGGAGACAGATACTAAACAAATATAACATGTGCAGATCTGTGTCATAACATATTGGCACAAGAAATGACACATCATTTTTTAAAAAAATCAAATTAAGTTTAGCTTGCACAGATAATTATTTAGTCTAAGGGATACAAATATGTTTCTGGGTAGCCTGTTTCCCTTCCCTGGGGTTTGCAAAATCCAGGAGTTTATGAACTCCAAGGAATTAAGAAATACAGGAAACTTGAGAAAAGGCCTCTGGTCTTTAGGCCATCAACTGGCTGTGCAATGATCTCAGTCCAAGCCTCCAGTGTCCACTGGGAGGTCAGAGACTCTGCTGCTCCAGGCACCCACTCTCTTGGAGCCACATGCTATATTGATTTATGGTAATTCACTTGGAAATACTTCAGTTCGAGGAGTGTGATGTAAGTACAAACAAGTTAATCTGAACCAACACCTTGAAGTTGGTTAAGTAATAAAAGAGATGTTAGAAATAATTTTTGGGTAGGTGATATTAGTGGTATTTAAGATATCTCTTGGTTAGGAGTGATGTAGCAAGAGCTGTAGCCCTGGTAGGAATAAAATATTAAAAGCTCAAGCTTGATAATTTGAGCTGGTAGTCCTTCCTTCTCCAGTTCACAGAGGATCCTGTTGACAGTTTCTAACATTAGAAGAATCCTAACAGTCACCAAAAGGTCCCTGACCGTCACAGTCTGATCAAGTTAGCCTAGATCTCTTTCTCATATGCTTGGCCAATAGTGTTTTATATATTTATTTAAATTGACAGGTAAAAATTGTAAATGTCTGTGGTGAACAACATGATGCTTTGATATATATAAACATTGTGGAATGCCTAAGTCAAGCAATTTAACTTATGCATTGCCTTGCATACTTTCACTTTTTGTGCTGAGAATACTTAAAATCTACTCTGTTAGCAATTTTCAAATATTCAATGTACTGTTATTAACTGTAGTCACCACGATGTACAATACATCGCTTGAACTTATTCCTCCCATCAATAATGTCTTGATTGAGGTCCACAAGGCCAGAGTGCATCATGCCCATGACATAATGCCATGTAGGCTCCCCAATGGAGATGGTGCCATCTGGGAAAGGCTGTGTGGGATGAGGCATCTGTCCCCGACCCGCCTGGGACTGACCACACCTCTATTCTTTGTCACCTGCTCCTTCAGTTGCTCCCTTTTCAGATGATCTAGTTCTACATGTTTTGAGATGTAGAATTTAACACATGGTGGACTAAATCTAAAGTCTCTGTGTTCTGCCCTGGGGAAAAGGAAACCTCTCACCACCTTGTGAGGGGAGGGCTTAACACCAATCAGACTTTCTTCTTGGGCCCACTGCTGAGAAAAGACAGCCTGGGGTAATTTCTCAGTCAAGTTATTCTGCTACACAAATAATTACACAAATAACAATTTTAGTTTTAACTTTAATTTCTCTGAATTGTCTATCCACGTTGAGTTAGCTATTTTTGAAGGTCTGATAGAATCTACTTGTTAGGACTTTTCCTGAAAGACATGAGAGAAATGGCAAATGAAACCCTAGACATGAGAATTTTTTTTTGTTTCGGCATACATACACTGAAGGATTCAGGGTAAGCGTATTTCAAAGAAATCACCAATGTCCTTGAGGTAGTAATGATGATTCTAAGGAGAATAATGTAAAAAGTTGAATGTTACATGCATTTACATTGTTCTCTAAGCAATTGGTCTAGATCGGCCCTGGTGGGATATTTTGCTTTCTGAAACCATGCTCACCCACACATACATATTGCAAAGCATAACAAAATCCTTTCAAAGAAGACAAAGCATGATCTTCTGGGTTTTGCACTCCAATGAGTCTATAGTACATAGTACACAGAGATACTTTCTTTTTCTTTTGGCTATACAAACAGAAGGAATCTAGCACTTTGATGAAAATACCAGACTTCTGCTCTGCCTAGAGTGTACACATTTTCCCTGTGGATTTTTCCTCAGTTGAGATGATGAAAACATTGAACCAGAAAAAAACAAAACAAAACATCAATTTATGCTTCCATTTGATGTCCTGCAAAATGGAGACAGGCATGAGTGCAGCACTCAAACAACAAATTGAACCACATGTATAATAAACAGGACTGAGCTTTCCTATTGCTATGAAAACATTATACATTCTCTGATTTGCAACATTTACATATCTCATTATGAGCTAGATGCTTAAAATGCTATAGAGGATTTCATTTCACCTCTTTTGTGCAATACATGGTTTCCAAGTATCTCATAAATCTTTATTTACTGAGTCTAGTGTCTTTTTAAATTTGCGTTTGCAAACTATGATTGCATTATGTTCCTGGAACCCTGGGATATGAATTTACTATTGCATTTATAGGCAGCTTGGTTAGAGACTCTTATTAAGAAATGTTGGGGGAGGAATAATCACTGATAAAGACATATTTGAAATTCATCTGAACACATTCTTTTGTAGCAACAACAGAACTTAAATCTGCAAAAAAGAATACATTTGCTCATCTTTCATTTCAAGAAAACTTCCTTTAAATGTCTTGAATTTATACACTTTGGAATCTTATATACACTGTTAATTTGAATGCCCTTCCTTAAAGGCTGAGCTTTTAAAGAAAATAAATAAAGGGTAGAGCACTAATTGTCATTTTATCCTTGAGGGAGATTGCATTAATTTTTAATTTGCAGCATATTTGCATTTTACAGTGGCAACCAGGTCTGTGCATAATCTAGAGATCAAATTGTTCCTGATTCTCAATCTCTGATGAGCTATGCCACGCTTAGAAGGTGGACAAGCGGTGCATCTTGATGTGGAAAACAGGTTTTTCTTTACATTTTCTCAATCCTAGGAAGAATGGACATCACAAGGAACTGCCAAGGTAGAGAACATCATCTCTGCCCTCTAGAAGCTCACAGAGTAAAGGGATGATTTCCTAAGGATGGGGCTTTCACTGCTGGTGGTTCTGCAAAGATTGTATTCATACATAGACATCTTTTAAAATGTCAGTAATGATACATTTTTTGTAATGTGTATTTGAAAACACTGATATCGAAACCAATATTATTTCTCAGGACAAGGCTAAAGAAGGTGGCAATGCTGGTGAGTTAATACAAAGAAAAGTATATTAGTTTAGTAATAATATGGCAGATACTAAGATAAGGCAAGTTTTCTTCACCAGCTGCTCTAACTGCCTGAATATCTGCAAGAGTCCTCCAGTCTGTTCCTTACCAAATCTTTCCTTCCTTCCTTCCTTCCTTCCTTCCTTCGTTCCTTCCTTCCTCCCTCCCTCCCTCCCTCCCTCCCTTCCTCCCTCCCTCCTTTCTTTCCCTCCCTCCCTCCCTCCCTCCTTTTGAGACAGGGTCTCACTCTATCACCCAGGCTGGAGTGCAGTGGCAGGATCACTCACCACAGCCTTGACCTCCCAGGCTCAGGTGATCCTCCCACCTCAGCCTCCTGAGTAGCTGGGACTACAGGTGCATGCCACCATGCCTGGCTACTTTTGGTATTTTTTGTAGAGATGGGGTTTTTGCCTTGTTGCCCAGGCTGGTCTCAAACTCCTGGGCTCAAGTGATCTTCCCACCTCCACCTTCCAAAGTGTTTGGATTACAGGCATGAGCTGCTGCACCCAGCTTTCCCATCTTATTTCTGCTGGCACCCTACTTTCCCTTCCCAAGCCTCTAGCACCCTTACCCACTCTTTCTAGTATTGGGTAACACGATGGTCATGAGACAGCCCACCCTGCTTCAGCTTGCCCTCCGTGGGCTGCACCCACTGTCTAACTAGTCCCGATGACATGAGCCGGCTACCTCAGTTGGAAATGCAGGAATCGCTGGCCTTTTGCGTTGATCTCGCTGGGAGCTGCAGACCAGAGCTGTTCCTATTTGGCCATCTTGTCAGCCACCTCATGCATTTTAATTACTAAACTCTTTCCTTGAATGCTCTATTTTCAGAGCTTATTTATGGCATGGTCATGCCTTCCCATAGCTGAAAACAAAATTAAGGGAAATAATTGTGCAAAATGTCTTTAACTAAACCTTATAATAACTTTTTTTCTCCAGCTGTATTTTAGGAAAAATTCTCAATATGGCCATTTTTTTTTTTTTTTTTTTTTTTGAGACGGAGTCTCACTCTGTCGCCCAGGCCGGACTGCGGACTGCAGTGGCGCAATCTCGGCTCACTGCAAGCTCCGCTTCCCGGGTTCACGCCATTCTCCTGCCTCAGCCTCCCGAGTAGCTGGGACTACAGGCGCCCGCCACCGCGCCCGGCTAATTTTTTGTATTTTTAGTAGAGACGGGGTTTCACCTTGTTAGCCAGGATGGTCTCGATCTCCTGACCTCATGATCCACCCGAATATGGCCATATTTATACATGCTCCTTTATCCTATTGAAGAGCTAGAATCAGGAATGGACTCCTGTTTACAAATTTCTATGGTATACTTATAATCTGTGCTATATGATGTAATAAGGTGTATCTTATTTAGAAAATGCAGTTCTGGGGATAGAAGCTCTGAGTGAAATCGGTGCTATTTGGTCCTCCTGGCACATCTCCAGAGAGGATGAATGTTCAGTGGTATGGCATGGTGGTTCCATTCTCTTCAGCTCTTTCTGCAGCTGTTGATTAAGCCTCCCTGGCTGGGTTCTAATGGGTGGTGTTTTAATGTTTCCTTTTTCTTTTTGTTTTTTGTTTTTTAGCACCAAAGAATCCTATATTTCCTGTTGATTTGTACTCTTGATTTCCTAGCCATTTTTGTGAATGCGACTTTGAGCCCCCGTTATTCTTGTGATTTGCAGCCAGTAGGATGTTTTTCTTATTTTTGGCAGATCAAACATAGTTACTTGTATACCTTTTTCAGGCATTATTCATCAAAATTATTATCAGAAAAGAAAGAAAATACTGGCAAGAAGGGAGCTTTGCTGAGTAAATGGAATAGACAGTGCTTCTTAAATGGAGAAAAGTAGACTAGATCATATTAGAACTCACTGGTTAAGTGTCACAAACTGTGAGGGATCTGAAATTTGACCTTCCTTGCAAGCTAACAAATTAGCCTCCCATAGTTTCATGGATGCTGGTAGAAGACATGAGACTCCTGGAGAAATAATAGTATTCCTCACAGCAATAGCGGCAGCTAGAGTACTAGCAATTTTGAGTGGGTTCTCTAACCCCTAATTCTCATAGTATGATGCTAATAGGGCCAGATGACACCTGTGCAGGCACTGGATTGCATTACAGAGAGGAACCGTGAGCACAGGAAACCCAAATCTTTTATAATAGACAGTGAGCAAGCCTGCTTTTTGCTCAGGAAAGAAAAGTGCTCTGGGAACCACTCTATCTTCCAAGACTTTTTGTTATACAAACATCCTTGCAAAGATAGTCTAGAACAAGGGAAGTCAGCGCCTTGCTTATAAGACATGTAGAAACATGAGAGACCAATGGACAATTGTTTCCCAAAACTGAGAACATGAAAGAACATGCTTTTCACTGCAGTGACTCCTTGGCTGTGAGAGTTATACATTAAGTGAACAAGTTAGCATCATAATGAATTAATATCAGGACTACATGGGCAGTGCTAAAAGAGGTGTGCTTCTTTCTACTTACCTGATGCTTGTCTAGCATTTCCAGTTAGATTCCAAACACTATACACACACACACACACACACACACACACACACACACACACACACACATATACAAATATATATACACATATATACACACACACATACACATAGACACACTGTTTCACCCTGTTTATCTCTTACAGAACAGAGCACAGAGTTGATTGATAATGCTAAGAACAGTGTAGGAATTTAAGGATTGCTTATTCTTTATAGCTCAGAAGGCAGCTGTCTTGGGTTTCTTCAGGGCTAAAGATAATGAGGTTTTAGCATTTTTTGGCTATGTTATTTTCTAGTATTTTGGTCCAGTGTCTAGCAGAACCCTTGGCAAAAAATGGCCACCTGGAAAATCTGTTGACTCTGGCTCTGGCTACTGCCTTTTCAGCCATCCATGTCCTGGAGGACTTGGCTGAGATCTTGTTGAAAGGAGGCAAAGATGGGCTTGCTTCTCCAGTCAGATTGGGGATGCTGCTTGTGAGGGGTGGGGGAATGGCAGGAAGCCATTCTGGTGGTGAGAAGGAGGACACTCAGGAACGGGAAGAAAGGAAAGACTTCATATAGCTGCGTAATGATCTTGGTAGGTGGTGGGAAGCCAGGGTCTATTTATCTGGTTGTAAGCTGCAGTAATCAATTGCTTTGGGGGTCTTGTATTTTTTCTTATGAAAAATATTATTTCCACTTTTTATTTTTGGTAACATTTCCCTCCTAAATGCAAAAATAATGCATGCTTAGTATGTAAATTTGGGAAACACAGAAACATAAAAAAAAAATGACCCTAGCATTTGGGATCTGGTAACCTGAAGCTCCCTTCCACACTCCCGGTAACATACATACCTTGGTGTATCTGGAGGCTGGATAGTAGAATGGTATTGTGAACAGGGTGTGGTCAGTGTCAAAGACAAAGCCAATCCTAGTTAAAGTGGTAAGTACAGATTTTATCAGTAATATACGATTGCAATGGGGAAAAGGGTCCCGAGTGTACTGCACTCAATTTTAATTTGCACAGAGGTACCCATGGCGTTTCAAGAGAGAATGAGGGAGTGTCGGTGGGAGTGGGGAGGTTGCTCAGTAGAGTCAAGGAAATGTAAAATTACAAAAAGCAGGATGATGGGGAGAGGGTTTGTCCATGTGAAACCCATCTGGGATTGCTAACTGTCGCATATCGAGCTAGGCTCCTACCCTCCCGCAGAGGTTAGGAGACAGGGGCCCCATCTTCAGGAACTGGCTGGAATAAACAGTCAATTCAATTGGCAACCTTGAGTTTTCTCACAGGTACTTTAAGGACACTAGGGTCATCCTAGGGATGCAGCCTTGCACTGTTGGAAACTATGTTAGTGTTTCGTTCAGATCTTCATAGGCCGAGGTTAAGACATAGTCAAGAAGAGTGCTCCAAAGGGCCTGGCTAGAGTTTGATCGAGGAGAATCTTGGCCATGAGGCAGGCTGGGTTTAATTCCTGGCTCCACTAACACTGTAGGTGATTTATGTAATCTTTTTAAGTCTCTGTGTGCTCCTACCTACCCCATTCCATACGTACCTCATTGTGTCTCTCTGAGGATTAATGAAGGTCTGTAGCCCAGTGCCTGGCACATAGTAAGCACTCAGCAAACACTAGCTCTTGTTATTATTATTGTTCTTTTCTCCCACAATGCAATCATAGCTTACATCCTCTTTTGTAACCTGGTTTCCAAATTTAGAGTTATGTCATGAACACTGCTTCTGGTTTTGGGGTTCTTTCTTCAGGAAAATTAATCTCTTTTTTGTTTTGCTTTGTTATTTTGAGACAGAGTCCTGTTCTGTTGGCCAGGCTGTAGTGCAGTGGCACAATCTCGGCTCACTGCAATCTCTGTTTCCCAGGCTCAAGCAATTCTCCTGCCTCAGCCTCTTGAGTAGCTGGGATTACAGGCGCCCACCACCATGCCCAGCTAATTTTTGTATTTTTAGTAGAGGCGGGGTTTTGCTGTGTTGTCCAGGCTGGTCTTGAACTCCTGACCTCAGGTGATCCACCCACCTCGGCCTTCCAAAGTGCTGGGATTACAGGCGTGAGCCACTGCGTCTGGCCAAATGAACCTCTTACTCAGCAGTGGATGTAAATCAGGCTGACCACTGCAGGAAACAGCAAGCTGGTGTCTGAAGTGCCTCGTCCACTCGGGAGTGCATTGCTCTTGGGCCTGACTTGGGAGGTGGCCCGTGAGGAGAAGGCACAAGGTTACAGGAGACACAAACAAAAGTGTAATCCTTTTGAGGCCCACAGAGTGAGGACTCGTCACACTCAGCCCAGGCAGGGGACTCAGGCCCCTTTGTAGAGATGGAGAAAACCTTTGATTTGGGGGATAAAAGAGAATTTTTTGATCCTGTTCATGAAGGAGGGCGACATAATGTGTTTAGAGGTAACCTGATGTCAGGTGCTTTTGCGCCAGACATGGCACACTTTTTTTCTTTAGATCCCAGCTAGAAACCTGGGGAATTCTCTTCCCTGAGCAGTTGTTTGGGCCTGTAGGCACCCTGTGCCCAGAAGGCAGCTTTGTCGAAAGAAAAGAAAATCAAACCCGTGTTCTGCAACAGGCCGAGTTCCACCCAAAGCCCCTCGACCCTAGAGACTCAGGGACAGGATGCCTTCTCTGAGAAGTCTGTGGTGCTGCCCTCTGCTACCTCACCTATTTGGGACTCACACAGTTTTTCTTTTGTCTCCTGGATTTAAATCCCAGCTCTGCCACTTTCTAGCTGGGATACCTCATAGGGCTGTCACAAATATTAGATGCACCTATAAATAAATTACATCAGTGTCCAGTATGTGGCAAACAATAATTATTGTTTTTAATAATCACCATCATATAGCTTCAGTGTTCTCAGCCTGATTGGTGCAGTTATTACTAACTCTCTACCAGATTCTCCAACTCATTGCAATACACACTAGGTCAGGGCCCTTCGTGGTCTTAGCAGATTTAAATATTTTGATACTCACCCAGGAGGGTGCCTTTGTCTTTTGCTTAGAGAAGTAACGTTCCGCTCTGTTTTGGGGCTCACTTTTCCCTTTGGTTGTGGGAGAAGCAGCAGGGTTCATTCTGTTTACTAAAGAGCCAGCTTATCCCCCCAGCCTAGTCCATTCTTTTTTTTTTTTTTTTTTTTTGAGATGGAGTCTTGCTCTGTCGCCCAAGCTGGAGTGCAGTGGCGCGATCTGGGCTCACTGCAAGCTCCACCTCCAGGGTTCATGCCATTCTCCTGCCTCAGTCTCCCGAGTAGCTGGGATAGCTGGGACTATAGGCACCCGCCACCACGCCCGGCTAATTTTTTGTATTTTTAGTAGAGACAGGGTTTCACCATGTTAGCCAGGATGGTCTCGATCTCCTGACCTTGTGATCCACCCGCCTCAGCCTCCAAAGTGCTGGGATTACAGGCATGAGCCACCGCACCCGGCCTCCCAGCCTAATCCATTCTTTATGACAGGATGCAGTGGCCCCTCTTAGAGGCAACTTGCTGTCCAGGAGCCTCAGCTACTCTCTCACTCCAGACAAGCTGGAAAAGGAGCAGGGATTCTTGCAGAAAGGTTTTCTGTGGCCACTGGTTCTTAGGTGGGAGGTCAGAGCTCTCAGAGCTGTTGTTACCAAAGAGGGCTTTGCAGGCATAACAGCAGCGCATGGTCTCATGCATATGCTCTCTTGAATGATTTTTAAACTGGTCACTTCTGGAATACATCCATATTAATAATGCCTTTTGGTTCTGCAGTGATCATAACCCAAGTCTTCAAGCTCTGGGATGAGACAGGGCCTGGCAGGGCTTCCATAGTTCCTCTATGTAGGTAGATAATGTGCTTTCGCCCTTCTCTGGAGCAGGAAGAAAACAGCAGCAATGGAAAGGTAGGCTGGGGCTGGGAGCAGAAAGCTGCCTTCCAAAACAGCACTGTGCTGTGGCGTCTGTCCCAGGATTCAGCCTTCTGTGTTGCGTTGTGGAGCTCTCGGAGTGGTTTTTGGTTCACTGGCTTGCAAAATGATGGTGGCCACCACCAGCTCGGGGGCTGCTAGCAGAACACAGCCCAAGGCTTGAGACTAGAGAATGACACTTAGTGCAAATGAACAAAAAGGCAGAAATGGCTAAATCTCTAGGGCAGTCTGTTAGTAGCTCTCACCTGGCCCTCACCTAACCTGCCTGGGAGAACACCCAGAGCTCCTAAGCAAGGTACAGTTCTGCCCTGCCATGGGATTAGACTTCTTGATTTGAATCCCAGCTTCACCACTTGTGAGATGCTGGGTAAAATGCTTCACCTCTTTTAGCCACAGTCCGATTGTCATACAATGGAGATGCTAATAGTACCACACTCATCATAATGAGGATGAGAATGGACACTTTACGTAGAAGCTGAGCAGAGGCCTGGCCCACAGCAACTGCTCAGGGAATGTCAGCCACGGTGGCATTGATATTACTCCATAAGGGATCTGCGCACTTACCTCACCCTGTCTCCCATGTTGTACACTTCTTGAGTGAAGAGGTGATGTTTCTCTTCCTGTATGGGGCAGTGCAATGAGAAGGGAGCACGCAGACCCTGGAGTCGGCCAGTCTGCACCCGACCTCTGCTGCCTGACAGCTTTTAACTTTGGGCGCATTCCTTCACCTCCTCGTGCTTCAGATTCCTTTCTGTGAATGGGAGAACAATAGGATCTGCCTTCTAGGGGTGTTGTGAGGATCAACGAACTCATCCACATGAAGCCCTTCCACTCAGCACTGGGTGAGTGCCCAGAAAACACTAGCAATGATGGCTCCATGTCCAGGGAGGACCTGGCTCTCTGCCTCTCATCAATTTGGTACTCAACAAATGCCTCTGTGCTGGGTTGGACCCAACATGCTGGACCTGCCTCTTGTGGTTCCTTGCTGTTCCCCACTTTTCCAAAGTTCCATTGAAAGTCTCTGAATGTATAACCCAAGAGCAACAACAGAAATATGTTGGAGGTACCAACTGGCCCTGTTTGACAGGTTCTGAGTGGTTTCTTGGGATGCAGGACTTTTCCGTGCTAAAGCCAGGACAGTCTTGGGCAAACCAGGATGGTCAGTCACTCTACTATTGCTCACAACTTCCATCCCAGGGCTGGTGCTAAGGCGTTTGCTCCTAGAGGCAACTGTCCTGGAGTGGGTGGCAATTTTGGTGATGGCTTTTCCCTCTGCTTTTTAATTAATGCTGCCTCTCTCTCCAATGCTACTAAAATCTGCAGCCTGCAACCTGACACTCTACCCTCAACAATGAATGCTGGGGTGGCTTCCAAGGGAGTAGAATATGTTGGCCAGGGAAGGTGGAAAATATCTTGAGCAGCTCACAGTTATTTCATCAAAGTCTGTTTCCAGGCAATCACACCAATTTCTTGAGAGGTTGGTGCCAATGGGAACTCGGGGCCCATGCAGCACAGACTGGGGGTTGATATACCTGATTCTAATAATCACTTTCTTCTCTGAGCTACGTGACTTTGGACAAGATTCTTAACTTCTGTGGGCATCTAGTTTTCTCATCTGTAAAAAAGGAAGGACATTAGATAATCCATCTAGGACCATTCCCTCATGCTCATCAAGGCAGAGGCATTGGCTATGCTGGCCTGGGTCTGTGGAGGGCAGTGGGAAGAGGATGTCTCACCCTGGGCATGTTATTAAGCCCTTTTAGCCTCATGTATCAAATGAGGATAATTACAGTACCCTGTATTGTTGCTAGAATAATTCTTTAAAGGCTAAGTATCTGGATTCAAGAGACTGGTTTTCATGTGAGCCTGTAAAATCAATCCTTTATTCTATATCCATACCTCATTCTTTAGTTCAATCATTAAATAAATATTTACTCAGCTCTTACTGTGTGCCAGGTACTGAGCTAGGTCCTAGGGACACAATAATGAATAAATTAGCAGGTCGTTTCTTTTCTTCCTCCTCCTCCTTTTTTTCTTCTTTTTTGTAAACAACAATTTATTAAGAACTTACGGTTGCAAAAATTTTAGGTCTCTAACCAGTATAATCCTTCCTTTCCTTTTTAGTACGGAATCCCTGTATTCTAGGATTTGGCAAGCTGTCCACTGAAACATTATTTTTCCCAGCCTTCTTTGCAGAGGTGTGTATGTGTCATGGGATGAGGGCGGTGGGTGGGCAGAGTAATATGTAACTGGAAGTCACTGAGTGGGGCTTACAGGGAAAGCTTTTTAAAGGAGGATGACTCAGTCAGCAGGTCCCACTGCCTTTCCTTGTGTCTCCCTTGTCTGTTCCTAGAACACTCAAGTGAGAGCTTGAGCTCCAGCAGTCATCCTATAAGCCTGAGGACAAGGGCCACAGCCTAGGGATGGTGAAGCCTGGAGCTGGAAAGAGCCTAGGTGCCTGATGGTGCTTTGGAGTCATCATACCTGCACTGCTCTTATTTTATAAGGGGAAAAAATCCTTGCTTTATTTAAGCCAATATTTAAGTCTCTGTTACTAGTAGCTGAATACAATTTCCAGTTGATTTATCTAATATGTATGGAGCAAAATGCGGAGACATATTTAATTGTTTTTCCCTAAACATCAAGAAGTGAAGGCTATAGAAATCTAACACATAAGAACTTAATGTTCAAACTCAAGACATTCATTAATCTTTCTCAATACCTACCAAGGGAAGCTGATGAAACTAGCCTTTTCCTCATATGCTTACTGTAAAAGAGGTAAATTTGAAATACCTTTAAATCCCGGTTTCTCTAAGGTTTGACACCATGGAATAAAATTCACACAATTAAGTGTTTTATTTCAGCTTTTTCTGGGCTTAAGATGATATGCCCAATTCATCTTTTTTTATTAGTAGAGTGCTCACAAATTCTCAAAACCTTTATGAGAAATCCATGTGGTTTTATTCAATCTGCAACCCTAATATGGTTGTATTTTTAATAATGCTAATGGAATTAAAATTTTAAAATTCACCTGGCACATATTTTCACTCACTCCAAGAAATTATAAAAATAGCTGGCATTCACTGAGTACTTACTCTTTGCCAGCCTCTCTGATAAATACTTAACAAGCAAAATATCATTTAATCAGCTCAACACTCCTATGAGGTAGGTGTTATTATTATTGCCATTTTGTAGGTGGGGAAACTGAGGCAAAGGGTGTTTAAATGGTCTGCCCAAAGTCACACAGCTAAGAAGCAGTGATGGGATATGAAGTCAAACAGTCTTAAAAGCAAGCTATCCTGTTGCAAAATAGGTAAGTGGCTTTGAACAAATTATTTTACTGTTTAAAAAGAAAACTTGTACAGTTTTCATATGACTATGTGTCAAAAAGAAGGTATATTTCAAGAAACTTTATGTAAATATGCCCAAGGGCACATTGAATCTGTCCACGATCTTGGCCAATGTCTAGGAAGACCTTTGTCTTAAGGGATGGTAAAATAGATGCCTCTTGATTTGAAGACAACCAATAACATGCAATATTTGTGCTTTGGCATCCTTATTTAGAACATCTGCATTTTTCTAACCATGCAGTTAAGTAGGAAGGTGGGGAAGATATTCAGTATTGAATGCCTGATAAGTCACCAGGTACTTAACGGAATGATAACCAGGTAGCACCTGCCCGTCAGCCCTGTAGGGAGCTAACTACTATTGCCTCTTTAACAGATGAGAGAAGCAAGGCCCAGAGAAATCAAGTGATTACCAAATACTGATGGCCAGGCTCAGGCTCAGGAGGCTCAGATTCAGTTGGTTTGAGATGAGGCCCAGGCATCACTAATTTTAGCAACACCGTTGGTTATTCTATTTTGCAGCCAAGGTTGAGAACCACAACTCTGTACTCCTCAGAGGTAACAAGTGATAACACTAGACCACATACTTGAGCCTTTGGTCAGCAGTTACAAGCGTTTACACTCTCTGGCCTGTGGATCCCTTGGACTCTGTTGCTGTGACCTGGTGCTTGCGCTCTGGTGGCTCCTCCTGAAATGGATTCCTCACCCACAGTACTGGCCAGAATTCTTTGTGCTGATTTTCATTGCCTCACTCTGGTAGAAGAGAACGAAACTCCCAGAGTGTGTGTGAGGTTGGGTTCCCTAGGAACCAGACTCTGCGATGGAGACCAGTGTGCAGGCAGCTTACAGGAGCGAAGGCGGCGGGACTGGGCAGAGGGAAGAGGTGAACTGCCTTGTGGGTGCTGATTCCGTAGGAGCTTGGGAGTCGGAGAGACTCTTCAGGGTTGTGCCACTTGGCAGCAAAAGGGCTGGCCATTGACCAGTCTTTGGATATGGGTCCACCTCCCTCTACTCAGGAGCCTGTGATTCAGAGAAGGGCAATTCCTGTAGAAGGACTCAGCTGGGAGCTGGGAGCTTCTAATACTCCCAGCAGCTGGCCAAATGATTGTTTCAGTCTTGAAGAGGTACTGGGGGGCCCAGTGGAAGGAAACAAAAGGGCCCACCACAGCACTCACTACACAACAAAAAGGAGAATAGGAGAGAAACTCTGTCTGTCTGTGGCTTTGCTGTCACTTTGTTGTTGGCTTCACCACAAGACAGCTGTGAGCATTTACCTCTCTGGGTGCGTCCTGCAGGGGCAGTTCCTTTCTCCAAGCCATGTCTCATATTTTTGCAGTGGAGTATCTCTCTGAATGATACAGATCATCCCAATGAGAGTGAACCTGGAATGAAAACTGGTATAATAGTGTGGTACTAGGCATGAGTCTTACCTTCGAACAAGGTCCTTGGAACCTGGGGTAAGGTGATGTTGGACTCTAGTAGTGCTGTAGGAATCACACCTCTTTTATAGTGAGCCTCCTCTTGTCCTGGAGGGAGACATGACCTCATCCCTCAAGGCTGCTCACTGCAAATGCAATCTTGGGAAATGGCCCAAGTAAAGAGTTGTCAGGGCCTTGCATTCTTGGTGTATCCAGCAAGCTGAACATGAGAGATCCATGGAGGAGAGCAGGAGAGGGCGTTCCGGGAGAAGGAACAGCATATGCAAACTTTTCTAAAGTATTTTCTGTGGAAGCTTGCCTCCTGAAATGTTATAGAGGCTATTGAAAAAAAAAAGAGTTTCAAGGTCAAATACATTACTTATTTAAAAAGGTTGGCAAGATTTTTGTTTGTTTATTTATAACTGATGGGTTTCTGAGAGCCTTTAATACACTAATGAGCATTGTGAATATTCAAAAAGAGGGAACAATATGTAACATTTCCCTTTTTTTCTGGATCTTGGAGCCATTTTTGGTGTAGCACACTGAATGCTATATTGCATTCTAATGGCCGCAGATACTAGGATAAGGTCCCTGTTGGAGTTTTAGGAAGGTCAATAATGCCGCTCAGATTGGAATCCACTGAGAGATAGATCTAGATCAGTTGCATGCAGATAGATATATCACATTTGTTATTGCCAATGCTATGTAAGGAATGTGGCCTAGGTGGTTCAGTAATTCTAATATTCTACCCAGATGTAGGCAGACCTGTTTACCCAGCTCCCAGCTGTGCTGGAAAACCACAGGCCTCCCCACCTTGGAGGAGCAGGTAATGTGTGCTACCTACACGCTAGTAGGCTCCAGGGAACAAGAGAGAGGAGGGAAGGACTCAAATGTTCACAGCAGATTATTCTTCCATGTTCATCAACCAGGTTAGTCAGGCCAGGAGCACTACTCTGATGGACACCCCTCAATAGACATGAAGCCATGAAGACTGGGGAGTAAGTGTTCCTCCCTAACACCCCGTCAAGATTGTATGATGTGTCCAGGTCAGTGTTTTGATGCTAAGCCAGGCAATACACCAAGGGTGCTGAGAAACAGGCTTATCACCCTAACAGAGCTGACAGAGGGACACAATTATCCTCCCAGAGTTAGGGCACTTTACAAGTTTCTCACTGCAGTTGGGGCATTGGGGAGAGAACACGAGGAAGGGATGGAGATTCCTCAGAGTGCCCCCTCAGAGACTGAGTGAGTGACTGTCCTCTATTTTTAGGAAAGGAACCTGCACACTGAAGGTAGAGTGAGTGAAATGAGCGCTGACGCTGATTCTGAGACTGTTGTACCAGACACTGTTAGTGTTCCATCCATGTCTCTTCAGCTGTCCTATTGCAAGCACTGCCCCTCTCTGCCTGAAGGTTTCCTCTTAGTCAAAAGTCTTCCAAGCTGGGAGTTAATGCTCCTTGGAGTAGTCCTTAGCCAATGCTAGATGAAACTTAGAGGTTCAAAACCCCACTTCCTTGCACCTTGGGTGGGATGACTCTAAGCCATGTTCTATAAAGTCTCCAGAAATCCCTGGTGGGATTGAGCCCTGCTCACCCATAGTGGTAACCTGCTTGATGACACATAATTTATTTGCTTCCTTCCCATACCCATCTCACATCTCAAATAAATGACTTTCACTCAAATCCTTGTCTCAGGATCAGCTTCTGGGTAACCCAAACTAAGACTCATGTTATCCACAACATCCATCCATTCATCCTTCCATCCATCCATCTATCCATCCATCCATCCATCCATCCATCCATCCATGCATTCATCCATGCATCCATGCTTTCATCCATCCATCCATGCATCCATGCACCCATTCATGCCTCCCTCTATGCATCCATCTATCTGCTCATCCATCCTACCAAGCTATCATATGCCAGGCAACATATGAGGTTCTCAGAATAAGGGATAATAAATCACAGCCTTTGAACTAAAGTTGCTCAACTGAATTGCTTTATATTCCCCATATCACCAGGCAGAGATACTCAATACACCAGATACCAAAGG
Organism: Homo sapiens; assembly: GCF_000001405.40. Lineage (NCBI taxonomy): Eukaryota > Metazoa > Chordata > Mammalia > Primates > Hominidae > Homo > Homo sapiens. The sequence continues at coordinate 72,657,062 of NC_000005.10, read as the reverse complement.
GGCATTGGAAATTCTGAATAATCTTCTTTTCAAAGGCTTGAAGAGGGTTGTCAAGCTGAGCCATCCCCGCTGGGGCAAACAGTGCCTGGCACATGGTGGATGTTCAAGAAATGTTCACCAAATGAGTGTTCAAATAGGCAGAGTGCACAGATGGATTCATTGTAAAGTAGGTCAGCTTTCTCTGGAATCCCTTGCTTTCTGAATCCTTGCCCCAAACTGTAAATTTATAGTAAATTCACAATTTAAAAGATGATCTCAGAAAATCAAAAAACTCACTTAGGTCAGGTGAGTGCGAGATCCCTTGGAGGAAAGTTTTACACTTAAAAGAAGAGGCAGCAGGGAGATAGATGAAACCAAGTGACTGGCGCTGAAGGCCCGCTGCAACAGTGTGCAGAGATGTGGAGTGGCAGTCTTTTCTGGCACCTTTCAAATCACAGAATACAAATAAGGTTAGTCCCAACTGCAAGAATGAACAAGGCCATGTTTTGAGTTCTTAGGTTGTCAGTTACTAAGTGCAACCCATGAGCCATCATTTGTGATTCTTATACAGTTGGGAGTTGTAAGAGTGACAGCTCTTAACCTTTCTCCTTTGCAGTGTGGAGGGGTCTGATGAGGCCTGATCCCTGATGAGTTGCCACAGGGCTGAAGCATGCAAATGGCTTGTGTGATGGGAGAGTTCGTACTAAGCTGTTGATTCATGGTGGGCTGCTGATTCGTGGTGGGCTCTTAGAGACTATGAGGCAGAAGGGGCTTGAGCTGGTTCTTAGAACATGAGTAGGATTTGGCTAGGTGGAGGAAATAGTAACAGTCCCTATTTATCAAGTACTCTGTGCAGGCTCTGGGATAAGAGCTTCTAAACAGAATCTCATTTAATTCTCCCAAAACCTAAACAAGCACCTCTATCATTATTTCTGTTTCAAAGACGAATGATAGAAAGGTTAAATAATTTATTCATAACAAAACAATTAATAAAAGACAGAGCCAAAGTTCAGAGTCAGTGGACTTCCTTAAGGGCTTGTACCTTCAGCAACCCTTTTGAACAATGCTACTGCTGTGCTATTTCTTGGAGGGGAGGGAGGGAGGGAATTTAAAAATGAAAAAAATAAAAAAGAAAAGGAAAAAAAGAAAAAGAAACCATTTTCCAATGATCATGACCTTGAATGTCAGGATGAGCTTCTATCCACTGCTTCCTTGGTGGTGGCATTCCTTGTGGGTATGGCCTAGTCAGAGTGGAAGCCAGGGCTGTTTCCAATCCCTTTCATTCAGTACGTAACACACCACTGAGCATTCCTATCTGAGTGCTGACAATGGTTCCTTTGGGTGTGGGTTCAGGTGTCTTATGCAGAGGAGTCTTCAGTGACCCAGAAGGAAGCTAAGGGGTGAACAGGCCGAATTCTTCTGCTGGTCATTGAATGCGGCCACAGGCTATGGAGCTGAGGCATCTGCCGTCTCTGCAAGGGCTCAGCCAGAGACACACTGGAGTGTCGAGTACCTCTGCTGCACCGTGGCCTTGCCGTGCTTTCTCATGTAGCTCATCTCCTGCCACCCTGGTTTCTTATTTTAATTTTTAATTGCGGTAAAATACACAGAACAAAATTTACCATCGTAACCATTCTTAAGTTCAGAAGTGTTAAGTACATTCACATTGCTGTCTAAATGATCTGCAGAACTTTTTCATCTTGCAAAAACGTGAACTCTGTACCTATTAAATAACAGTTCTCCATTCGCCAGTCCGTGGTGACCACCATTCTACTTTCTGTTTCTATGAATTTGACACATACTTCACAGAAGTGGAATGGTTCAGTATTTGTCTTTGTGTGACTGGCTGATTTCACTTAGCATAATGCCTTCAAGTTTCATCCTTGTTGTAGCACATGTCAGAATTCTCTTCCTTTTAAGGGCTGAGTAATATATTGTATGTCTGTATATGCCACATTTGGTTATCCACTCATTTGCTGATGGACACTTGGGCAGCTCCCACCTTCTAGCTATTATGACTAATGCTGCTGTAAACATGGATGTGCAAATGTCTCTCCGAGATCCTGCTTTCCATTCTTTCGAGTAAATAGACCATCGTTTTCTATGTTCAGTGGCCATCGTAGAGGGAAAAGAGGAGGAAAATGGCAAACAAATAAATAAATGGAAAACTCCAAGATGCTCACAGAGGACTCCATAAGAAGCCATAAAGATAGTGTAACAACCCAACAAAGGAGGAGCGAAACCTCACAGCCCTAGCAGGCAGTTTCAAAGACAATTGCTCAGCCCAAAGAGTCCAACAGCTCTCAATCTTAGTGGGGCTAGAAAAGAATCTGGAGACACCATATCCAACTCCCTCTTGATCTTTTCAATCTGACATCCCTGTTGCACCCTTGCTTTAGGTTCTGCATTCAGCTGGAGCATTATTCAGAATTTGTTTTTACAAAGGATGGAGTCTAGATAGGAAGCCCTAAATCCAAGCCATAATGACCAGTGACTCCCAGCTCTGCTCCAGAGGCCCAGACAGGAGGCAAGAGCCTTGAAAGATTTTTCTCAACCTTCAGCTAGCCTGTCTCCTTAGCTGTGGAAAGCAAGCCTCAGCCTGTCACCAGGGCCCAATCCTGTACCATCTGGGCTCTCAGGGGAAGCTGTATGAAAGCGTGAGTTGCTGCAGCCTTGCTATTTAGGGCTGGCTGCATGGCAGATGTCCTTTACACAGAAGCCATATGTACCCCTCCCTCTGTGGGGAGAGAGGAGGAGTGCTGCTCGAAGGTCCCCATGAACCTTATAGGGAGGTCTCCATGTCCTGTAAAGTGGCCTGGTCCTGGGGGATGCAGGGTGGCCCTCAGCACAGGGAGGGATGCCTTGTGTCTCTGGGAGGGACTATCTCTTCTAAGGCTTTCAGCGACAAGTGCCGGACTGTGGCTGGGTCCAGGGAGAAAGGGGAGGGCAGAAGGCAGTAGAAATCAAGTCAGGGCACAATATTTATGTGCAGAAAGCCCAAAAGAGAGGCCTTGGTGTCATTTGTCCCACTCTGCACTAAGTACTTTTCTGGCTGGCAGCTCCACTATGAACTAAGTGGAAAACAGGCCTGGAAGGGAACAGGGTATGGCTGGTCCCAGATGTGTGCCTCCCAGAGCCTGTGCACTCTGGATCACAGTGAGAGTTTCTTGTGGCTGCAGCATTGGGAATGCAGACCGGCCCCTCCTTAGAGGTCTGCACTTAGCATCCTGTTAGAGCTGCAAGGGGCCCTGGAGATCATCTGGTTCAAGCTGGTCATTTTATAGTTTTAATCAAGCCAGGAATGTGAAATGACTTGCTCCAGGCCACACAGTGTGAAAAAGAGCAGATCCAGCAGTGTGACTCCAAAGTTTCTTCCTTCTGCCCTGCAGGGCCTCCCTGAAGGGTCAAGTTACTAATATCGTCTCCTACTAGTTGTCTCAAGTGTGATAAACACAAGTTTTAATCAAGGAATATGACATCATGAGGACATATACCATGCAGGCAGGTAATAACAAGTGGATGCAGGAGGTAGAAAATAGCTTTGGCCAATGTAGGAGATGTCTCTTTCTGTAATCTCCTTGTGATTAATTAAGTTCTCAAAAAATGCCCCCCTTCACAGAGAGAATCTAGATTCTCAGGTTCCATTTAGTTAGTCTCTGGAGTTGAGCAAATATCCTGTCTCCTTTTTATCCAAGTTACAGAGCCCAGACCCTGCAATTGTTCAGCCATTGCTCATCCCTGAGTGTCTTCTATGTTCCAAAAGTGTTCCATATATTATCTTTAATCTTCACGACAGTCCCAAGTGTCAGCTACAGTTACATGTTTTCAGGTACAGAAACTGAGGCTGAGAGTCTCTTATTCGTTCAAAGCTCTAAGACGAGGGACACACACACACACAGAGGACTGACTATGAAGCACCTCCTTCCAAAACATCCCAACTCTGGTGAGAGACTCCTGGGGAGCCAACTCAGTAACACATGAGACCCTGGGATTCATATTGTTTATAAAGTGAGACCCTGAAGCTGCACAATTAGCCCATTGATGTTATTCAAGGCTGTATTTTGAGGACTGGGCACTAGGATGAACAATCACGCAAAGGGTTATGAACAAGCTAGCTGCCGATTCACCCTGCAGTTTCTAAGGGCATTTAGAGCTCAGGTCAGAGCTCTGATCTGCCTGCATCAGAGATCTTCTCCATCGAAGGACAGGAGTGTGAAGGGGCTGCCTGCCTGGCTCAGATGATGATGCTCTCCTCTGCAGCAGCACCTGCTGCGTGTGCCTTTTCTGCAGAGGCATATCCAGGAGGGAGCCTGTGAGGTACTGGACATCAGACAGGGCTGGAGGAGACCTTAAACATCATCCAGACCAGTGACTTCCAAATGTGTCTTTATCCATACAAGACTTTACAGGGAAGTCATAGTAGATGCTGTTGGTGCCTTGCACATATCCCCTTCACTCACCCAGGGGTCTTCTGCAGCAGTTTTCAGCAGCGTCTGCATAAACATGTCCCTGCCCCCATGCTGAGCAAGCCCAAGGTGTGCTCTGCCGTCTCTCAAAGGCCCAGCACTAGAGAGTTCCGTTGTCACAGCCACGCCCCTGCAGTATTGCTTCTTTTGTTGACCTTCCTCCCATCCTTGTCCCACTTCTCCACTCCTTCATGGTGCTTTTTAAGATCATCTCCCAAATAAATGGATTGCACCCAATTCTCGTCTCAGGGTGTGCTTAGAAGAACCAAACAAATACAGATAATCCTAGGTTCTAGGGGAGCTCTGAGGTAGCCTTAGTTTGCCCAACTCAGAAAATGTTAGTCTTGTTCAGTGCCTTAGGAGATGGCTAGTCAACCCGCTCCTTGAGTATCATATATCTTCCTATCTCCCCATCCCCAAGACGCTTGTGTAGTACATATAGAAGGATCAAGTCTCTCTTAGTTTTAAGTGATGGGTAACTCAAACTGGCTTAAGCCAAAAAGAGAATTTATTCACACAGGAAGTGAAAAGTTTGGAGAGTTGAGCCTGGACTACCAGCAGCCCAAATGGCACCTTTGTGAAAATTTAAATGTGTCATCATGAAGGCACTATCTGGCCATCTGCCAGAAAACTTTTTAGTAAATAAACAAACCAGAATGACTTTGAGGTGAATGGCACATTCCAGCCCTGAGAAGAGCTGGGCTTAGGCTGCATCCAGATTTCTGTCCTCTCTCTAATGTCTCTCTCCTGCCATCTCTTAGAAATGCCTTCTATAGGGTTCATTCTCAAGTGGGCTCTTCCCTCATGGTGACAAGGCAGCTGACAGCAGTTTCAGGCTTATATCCCATTTTCTCAGCAACCTCGGTATAAAAGATCATGCCTGCTTCTTCCAACTGTACTGACCAAAGCCCTGGAATTATGTCTTATTTGCTGTGATTGGCCTGATTTGTGTCACAAGACACAAATCATGAATCAATCAGTATGGCTGCAGTGATGTCATGCTCTGCTTGGCCACGGCTGGGTCTCACGTCCATGGTGGAATTAAGGGAACATGTTAGTACTCCCACCCCAGCCCTAACACCCTGAGACTGGGAGGAGGGCTGGGTTCCTGAGACAAATCAGGGAGCATTGTTGGAAGAAGAGTAGTGGCTATGGAGGCTGAGCAGGCGAAAACAGTAGATGTCAATTCTAGCAGCGTGGCTGAAACTTGAATGTGCATGAGTCACCTCGGGATCTTGTTAGACATAGGTTCTTGGGGATCATTCTTAAAGATTGTAATTCAGAAAATCTGCGGAGGGGCCCATGAATTTGCATCTCTGAGAATGCTGATGTTGCCAGTGCCTGAGCACACTGCGTCATGGTACACTGCGTCAGTGATCATTAGATTTCTCAAGCTGCTGCTGAAGCCCTTGAAGCAGTGTGCCCTGGAGGCAGGCTTCTTTGAAGATCTGCGAAATATGGCCATAGAGAAAAACACGCAGCCATATTTTCCTCTCTCTCTTCCTGTTTACCAGAAGACAATGGGACTTGGCCAAAGGATGCTTGTGTGGTGTTCCTCTTTGAGGAACGTTATATGACAGCTTGGGTACCCCACACAAGACTCTTTACCCCTGCATATCTTTCCCTAAGAGAATTTTTGATTTGGGAAGAAGAAGGGATAGAGAATGCAATTAAGGACCCAGGGCTAGTGTGGAACAGATGAAAGTGATTTGTCTTTCAGGAAGGATAATGAGTTTCTGAAAGTAGAAATAGTGTAGGGAGGGACTGGATTTTTAAGAAGCCTGAAAAAGGCCAATGCCCTGGAATGGCTATATACTAGGATGGGATCCTTTCAAACACATCCAGATGTACCTATGGACTGACCTGCTGAGCTAGGAGCTGGGTTCAGAGGAGGTCTGATTGCTTTTACAGCTGCAGAAGTAGGGGCAGCAAGCTTGCATCCTATCTCACCTACTTGGCCAGCAGAAATGCTAACTTCAGTGCAGCATGATAGAAACATAATAAAGATGTACTGTGAGCCACATATGCAACTTAAAATTTTCTAGTAGCCAGATTATAAAAGTAAAAAGAAAGAGGTGAACTTGATTTTAATAACATATTTTATTTAACCCAATATGCTCAACACATTATCATTTCAGCACATACTCAATTTAAAAATTCCAGGTCTACATGGATGTAGCTAGAAGACATCATCCTCAGCAAACTAACACAGGAACAGAAAACCAAACACCACATGTTCTCACTCATAAATGGGAGTTATACAATGAGGACACATGGACACAGGGAGGGGAACATCACACACTGGGGCCTGCTGGGGGGTGAGGGGGTGAGGGGAGGGAACCTACAGGACAAGTCAATAGGTGCAGCAAACCACCATGGCACATGTAAACCTACGTAACAAATCTGCACATTCTGCACATGTATCCTGGAACTTAAATAAATAAATAAATACATATTCCATTTCGAATCCCACTCTCACACAGTTATGATTCTTCAGCATAAACATGAAAGCATGATTTACTTTAGAATTCAAATGTCAACTCTGGAATATTATAAAGGCAATGACAAGTCATAATAATTTCATGAAGTCATCCTTGCTAGAAAAAGCTGTCCGTCATCTGTAATACATACATACATTGTGACTGAGCCATTTCACATTGTTCCCCATATAAAAACCTTTGAAATGTGCTGTGCATTTTACAACACAGCACATCTCAGTTTGGACTGACCACATTTCAGGTGCCCAATAAACACGTGGGGCTAGTGGCTGCTGAATTGGATGGTACGTCTTTAGTCCTGGCAGACCAAAGCTGCCCACCATCTCTTCCTCATTTTCTTCCTCTTACAGAGCACTGTGGGTATCGTTTGGATGCTGAGCAGAGATAGTACCAGGTCTGGCAAAGGCTTAGCTTCAACGGTGGTGGTGGCTGTGTAGACTCAGAACAAAGCATGACAACTGGCTTGTTTTGTGACGAGGCCTCTCCTGCCTTGCTTGCCCTGTGCAATGTGTGAGTCATTGTGGGAGGCTGGGAGGAGGGGAAGGATGAGGTTCTCTCTATTCTGAGGGCTCGTCACGGGCCCTCGGGTGTGTGGGGGCAGGAAAGAGGGACTGACACAGTGGAGAATGGGACAGTGAGGGGCTTTGGAAGAAGGAGCCTGGATTCACAAAAATAGATCTGTACTCTGGGGTGGGAACAAAACTCAAAATACCATTTGTCTGTGCAGGGGAGGAGCAGGACGAGGGAGAGATGAAAGAGCTACACGCTTTTATGATTCAAACACTCAGGAAAGAGAATGAAGACCAGAGCCATTGGAAATGTCAGGCTCTGGGATTCTTTTTAAAATCAGATCTTAGAGTTGTCTCAATTTTCCAGAGTTTTGTCTGAAGAGCCATTTTTCTTTCATGCATCACACACCTGTTTTCAGTCCTTCCTACTTGATTTGAACATTAAAAAAACTTGCTTCATGAACAGACTTCCACTGGGTTCTGAAATGTGCAGATGTGTCATCTTTGAAAAGCATCTGGTCAAATGGTCCCTCACAAGACAGGGCCATGGAGCTCTGAGTCTTTTGGGAAAAGCACTTCACCCTAGAAAAAGTGACAGTGATCTCCAGGACTCATCAGTAGTGGCTATGAGCTCAGGCTGGGTTTGGCTCAGCCATCCTGTTACTTTTCTAGGCCTCTGTGAAGTTATTTAATCTCCCCAAGCCTCAGTTTCTTGTTCCACCACATGTGAATAATAATAGTTCTTACCTCACTGGGATGTTGGGAGGATTGAAAAAAAAAAAAAAGATGTATATTATGCTTAGCTCCATGCCTGGCACAGGTAATCATGATGGTTTTTCTGCAAGAAACACCAGCTCTTCTGGGCTCCCAGCCAGCCTCTGCAGTTCAGTGATGAGGCTGGCCAGGGAGAGTCTTCTCCTTTACCAAATTGCTTGGCTTTAAATTAGACATGACTGTGTAACCTGACAGATGCGGGAGATGACACACAGAGAGGAGGGAACTGGCTGTAGCTGCTTAGGGAATTGGCAGAACTCAAGACAAAACCCAGAATAACTATTTTCCAGTGCTTATTTAACAGGGTCTTCTGGCACCTGTGAGTTAAATTTCAGAAAGCACAGAGAGGCCATGGAGAAGGCAGGGTTTGAGTATGTAGCTGCAGAACAAACGCAGCAGCCTGATATAAAGGCAAATATGAAACCCTGAAATGCAAGTCTAACATATTCAATAGGATTGGTGAATATGTAGTCATGAAAAATCTTACAGTGAATATTGATTTGACATGGGAAAAACACTTTTGATCTATGTCAAGTAAAAAAACAGGAAATAAAACTGCACATAATTTAATGCCATAAATTTAAAATCAATCAATCAACCTATCTATCTATGCCAAAATGCTCTAAACCAGATGTTATGTTTCTTATCTCTGTTGGGTAATAGCATTTTTTCTTGAGGCTTTGGTGTATTTTCTACAATGAACACTTGCTACTTTCATAATCAGGAAAAACAATACAGGTTATAAAATATTTCCAGGCTCCAGTTCACACCAGGAAGCCTGCAGCTCATTCTCATCTCTCTCAGCCTAGCAGGACTCCTAGAGGCTTCAAAGCCTGCTTTGTTTACAAAAGGATGATTATGTGGGTGTCCAGGGAGATAGACTGATAGAGAACAAAGTGAGACATGTTTTATTGAAGACGATAACCAGAGTCAAGACGCTCTCCAACAAAAACCTTCAGTGAATTCAGTGGATGGCTGGTACAGAGTAAATTGGGTAAATGGCAAATGGGAATGTTAGCAAGCTCTGTGGTGGAGGACCATAGACTTCTTCATCTGTCTCTATGGGGCAATAATTAAAAATAAAGTTCAGCATGATTGTGATTTTTATTTAGTTGGGGATCAGTTAACCCAGTTAATCAGGAGTCTGATGAGGTCAGTGGCTAGGGTTCCTCCCTCCCCCTCATCTCACTGGGTTTCTGACCAGCTTGTCTCCAAATCACACGGGAATTCTGCTTCTATTCTCTCAGGCCCTAGAGTCTCACCTATGGCTGTCTTCCCATGCCTGTCCATTCTGTCTTTTTGCCCTGATTGAAGTTCTTTGGAGTTGGATCCAGTTGTTCTTCTCTGCCCAGCCTCTTTGGGTCTGTCCATTGTCTACACAATCTTTGTTGTGTTGACCCTACATTTGGCCCTTTGCTGATTCCTCAGATCCCTTCCCTGTAGCTTTGGGGCAATCAGCCTTGCTCCTCTCCCATGTCCACTGAGCTCACCCAGGTCACAGCCCTGCTCCTATGTGCTCAGGAGAGATGTCTGGACATCACTGGCCCTCTGGCTTTGCTCTGTGCCACTGCCACAGAGTCTCTGCAACTCTGTTATTCTTGACAGCCATTCTCCAGCCATAAGTCAGCACCAAAGCCTGGGAGATGGGACACTGAAAGATTAAAGAGGCCCACCCTATGACTTGGTTCTGCCACCCCTAGTTGGGAGACTTTGGGCAAGGTACTTAACCTCTCTCAGCCTCAGTTTCCTCATCTGCAAAGTGGTGACAATAATAGTCATCTGATGAGTTGAACTGTTACATGTAAAGTATGTCCAAGTTGTTTGGCACATAACCGGTACTCAATAAGTGTTAGTTGTTACGATGTTATTATTTTATTATTATAAAAGCAGCCTAACCTAAGTGGTAAGAGGATAGGCTCTGGAGTCAGACAGACTTGGTAAAACTGCTCTTCTGACTGTGACTACCTGTGGCATACCCTGTGTGCCTCAATTTCTTCTTCTGTAAAATGGGACAATACAGAGCACTACCTCTAGGACTTGCTGTCGAGATAAAATGAAATAATGCAATGATACACTTTCAAAATGCCTGATATATAGCACCATAAAATGTTTGCTGTTGTTTATATGACAGATGATGGTCAGCTTTTTCTAGCAAGGATGACTTTATGAAATTATCATTACTCATCATTATATTTATAATATTGCAGAGTTGACACTTGAACTCTACAGTAGATCAAGCTTTCATGGTTGTGCTGAAGAACCAGAAACTTATAAGGGTGAGATTAGGACCAGAATTGGCCAGCCGGGTTTTCCCTCTGTCCAGGAGAATGAGCTCATTTTGTCCTAAACCAGATTCTATTTGTCTTGAGTGCACATGAGCTGAAACCAAGGGGCCTCTGAATTGGGGAATGTACTGGCCAGCAGCAATGTGTTTGGAAGCATACATGGATCACAATGTTAAAGATGTAGCCTCATTGCTTCACATAAGGAGAAGTGAGAATCCTCTCAAAAATTATCATTTTTTTTGTTCAAGAATATAAAAATGACTCAAAATCATCCTAGGAATCACTAGGTACAGGAAAATATGACCTCATGGAGTACTTGGAGATGGCTAGATGTCTTCTAGAGAAAGGCAGCCTTTGACATCGTTACGAACCCTCCCTATTTTAGAAAAAAGTCATAAAGCTCAAGGAGGAAAACTTTCCTGCTTGCAAGGAACATGGTTTATGAAAGTTAAGCCTTGCCATCATTTCAGTCAGTCACAGATGAATTCCCATTTATTTCCTGAATGCTTTTGTAGCAAAATCTATTTGTTAGAAAGCAGCAAAATAGATTTCTAGATTTGCCAAAACAAGTCACTCAAGTACTAATGTAATAAGAGGTTGCTTTGTATATTAAATGAGGCTTTGATATCAGATATTCAAAAGTTTTTTTATCCATTGTTCTATTAAAGATGACTGGGCTTTATTAACCAGGTACCAGCTGCTTTTTCTAAGAAAAATAAGCACCAAAGAATCCAGGGACCAGGGCTAAGCTGTGAGTACATCAGTAGAGAGTGGAACATCAAATTGAGACCTCCGTTTTTATATCTAGACTTCAGGGCCACATTATCTATGCACCCAACACCTAGATAATTGGTGTATGCAGCAGGGAAAATGTCGTCTAGGTTAAGCCTGTTTACTAAGAAGCTCAGCAGAGAACAGCCCGTTGATCCTGACCTCAAGGACTATAGATTCAGCAGAGATGATGAAAAAGAAAGAGGTACCCGAAAACCAAACAAAACCACAAACTCAGCAGCTATCCTCAAGTAGAGTTTTTCTCTTACCCATTAAATAAAAGTGTAAAAATAAGCTGTGTAAAAAAGGAAAGTAAGGTCTATCTGCAAATGCAACAGTCAGTATTTTGTATGTTTTACAAAGGCAATGATCAGATATTGTTCACTAAACTCTAATGCATGTCTAGTGTGTGCTATGGCAAATGTCATGCAAATCAGTCTAAATACAGCAAGTCGTCTTTATGCTTTAACATGCTTACAAATTGCAGCAGGTGCGTGTTAAAAACATGGACTCCCTGGCACCACCTCCAGAAAATCAGATCTAGTAGGCCATGGGTGAGTCTGAGAACTTTCATTTTTCTTAAAGAATCACATTAGGTGGTTCTGATGCAGATGGTCCACAGACCACACTTGGAGAGACACTTGATATAGCAAATACAGTAAATTATAAGCCAAATCAGAACACTACACATTGTAAAAGCAAGAAAATTAATAAATCCACAAATAGAACTATGTAATAGTTGCATGAAAAAAGCCAACATAGCTAAAAAGCTGTCTCAAAGCTGTGTTTTTAAAAACTTGCAGGTAAGTGTTTGAAGGGGCTAGTTAACCCTTATATGAGGCACAAAAGTGAATTCAAAGCCAGCTAGGTAATTTAATAGATGATATTAATCAACGACTTACATGTTAATATTTAATGGTAGTCCAGTGATTCTCCACCCTATATGGATGCATGTTAGAATCATGTGGGAGCTTTTGATAAGCTGATCCCTGAGGCTCCAGCTCCAGTGACTGATTGACTCAATTGATCTGGACTGGGGCCTAGGCATGGGCATGGTTATAAAGCTGCTCAGATGACTCTGATGTACAGGTATGGCTGAGACTCTGTCTACCTCCTGTACCCATACTCTCTCTTTCTCTTCTTTCTCTCTCTCTTAAGAAGATAGGTTAGGAAAATACAGTCAGAGAGATTAAGCAATTTGTCCAGGCTATAAATGAAGTTACCAAATACTGACCTAAGCTCCAAAGTAAAAAAAACTAGACAACAAAATGGTCAAGGAAAGGGAAGTTACCCTGGTTGAGAGGAGATATGTGAAATCAAGCTGCTCTGGTCTCCCTGCAGCTCAGGAGGAGAAAAATCAGCACTGAGCAAAGAGAACTGCACAAAAGACTATCCTGTGGGAGCAGAAAGCTTTAAAAAGGGGACGAGTTAATGGGTGCAGCACACCAACATGGCACATGTATACATATGTAACAAACCTGCACGTTGTGCACATGTACCCTAGAACTTAAAGTATAATAAAAAAAGGGGATGCTTTCTTTTGATGAAAAGGTACAGAAAAGCACTAGAAGGTATAAAGAAGTGTTCCAAGGAGGCAAATTAACCCCTTCCTCTCGGTGAGTAGAAACTCGGTGGATAAGGGTTGCATGATATGGAGGAGGCAGCTTGATTGCCCTTGTCCTTCCCCCAACCAATGCTCAAGGCGAAGTTACTCATTGTTGTTAACGGCACTCTCTCCCTGGAGCCTAGGCCCAGCCTCAATGTGCTTAGCCGAGCACTCACCTGTCACTAATTGATCAGATTGGCTGCAACTTCAAATCTATCTGCCTTCTCTGGCATAATGGAAAAGGTATGGTCTTTGCACTTAGAACCAACTTTGAGCCCAGCTTTGCCCATTCCTAGCTGTGTGGTCTTGGGCAAATTACTTAAGTTCCTGAGTTTTAGTTCTCTCATAAGTTAAAAAGAATAGTTTAACGAAGAAGACAAAAAATACATATCTCATAATATTTTGTGAGGCAAGGACAAGAAGAGTGTCTGGCACATGGTAGGTCCTTAATAATGATAACCAGAATTATTGGGTGTCTGGGAATAAATATGATAAACGGCCTTGAGGTAGAAATATGAACGTAGGTAAGACTCCAAAATGGAGCCTTGGAAGGCCTCCCTTAGTGCAAACCTTAGCCCGTGTGCAAATCCACATTTGAAAAGGAACTTTCAAGCTGCGAATGAAATAAGCGAGACTCGCCAAATCACATGAGCTCACTGTATGACCCGCTGGCTACACATGGAAGAAATGCTGCTATGACAAAGCAATTCTCTGCTCTGTGATGTTTGCAATTAGTCCCTCAATTAAGAGAACATTAGGAAAAAGAAAGTCACTCAGGGGCCAGAACCTGAAAAGAAGAAGCCAAAGAAGGGAGGTCTCTGCCTATCTCCCCTGCCCACAGGGCCATCTTCTCTCATCTCATCCTAACCGCAGCCACACGAGGTCTATTATTATCATGATGGCACCTAGTTCACCAATCAGAAAATTGAGGTCAGAGAAGAGAAATATCCTTCATGGAAGTGGTGGAGCTGAAATCTGAATTTATGTATTTAAACCCCAGAACCTGAGTTCCTTACCAGGTATTAGACACAGTCATCTAGACTCCTTGGTAAAAAAACGAAGAAACAAAATTCTTCCAGGGAAACATGCGTGTAATATTCTTCTGCTCTTGGGTCACTCCGATTATTGAAATAATCTGTAAGCAACAGCCATTTCCACTAAATAAGAGCCCTGTTCCTCCTGTCAGTTATATTTAGTTCAACGAGAGAATTATGGAGGGCAAAGTAGTTGTAAGCTAGTCAGTGGTTATTTGTGGATGTTTATCAATTTGCTTTGATTTGCCCATATTAAAGAATGAGAGAATTCAAATACTTTATTAAATATTCTTCCATGTGAGAAACTTCATAAAGTAACACTTCAGGTCCTTTAATAGTTTGAACTGCTGTCCTTGGCAAGGAACACAGAACCTGATATGAAGAAAGTAAAACAAATCCAGTATCTCTATGTGCTCTGTGCTACATACAGAATCAAGATAAAATCTCATGGAACAAAAGTTAGGTAGGTAACTAAGAATGCACAACGATAGTTTTCTTCTTTTATACTGGATTATGAGGGCTGTGTGGTATGGTATCTCTGGATTGGTGTCCATGAGGTTGGGCCTCTCAGCAGCAGAGATGGTAGGGCCCTCATGGAGGGGCTGGGGTTTGTGGTAGGTATTTGGATAGAGCTGGCAGAGGCTTAGAAACCAATGGCTTTTAAACCTTCTCAGAATGCACTTTCTTTTCCTGCAGGTAAGAGAGAGAGCATTTTATTTTAGAGAAGGATTTGTGGTTTGAATTAGAATAGCACTATTGTGACAAAGTTGGCTTTCAGTCTAAGTGATATATTTGCTGAAAATTGTATCTGTGCCTTCAGCGGGAGCTCACAGTGGTTTATAGCTTACAACTATGTTTTGAAAATAAGTCCATAAGCAGTAAGAGAGCAGAAGTTCTTTAGAGTTATGTTGATTTAAATGTCATTTTCTATCATCCTAGGAGTTACGATGGTATAGGTTTGGTTCCCTGGATGAATGTTGGAGCTAGTTCTTTCATATAGCAATATAGTTTTGAATGCTTCTAGGATTTTATGAAAAAAAAAAGGTATTTGATATTTGGTCACATTTGAACTAAATCCTTGAAGTGCTTAAAAATGTGCTGGGAAATTTTGACAAAATTTTCTCAAATGGTGTCTATTTCTTTCTTGTAAATCCACCTATCAAAAGGTGAAGTGAAATGTCACATCAGGTAGATCAGGGATTATTCATTTGAAAAGTTTATGAGATGATATGGTCCAGGCCATGGAAAGGATTAAGTATTCAATGAAACCTAGAGAAACCTCAAAGACAGTCAGACCAGAGATCTCAGAATACCAAATGGATCTTCAAACCTCTCAGTTTCCCTCAAGCTCTAAAATGCATGGATTGCATGATGTGACGAATGTTAAAAATGGCATCTCAGACCACGTCTGCCTGAATTTTTGTGTCCTGGAAACTGAATTGGCAAATGGAAGGCAAGGCCTAACTGGCAATGCTTAGACAAAAAAAGTGCCCAGAAGTCTCAGTATATTTAGAATGATACTTTGCTCAATAGAAAATTAATGAGGTAGAGAAAATGATATTTTCAAGTCTTCAAGGATTCTTTGGAGGAAACGAGGCTAAATAATGGCCATCTTAAATTGCAAAGGCAGAAGCCAGGAATCGCAACTGTTAAATTCAGTTTAGCCTAAAGCTGCCTCCTTACATATTTTATATTCAGTAAAGGTTTCTCTGTACATAGTGAACTATAACCTACCTGGATGTGTAAATAGACCATAACCTTTTACCAGGTTTAGGCCAATCAAAGGTGGCCAACTGTTTGAACCATGTTCAAATATGACAAACACCTAGTTGTAACCAACCCAGCTGTGGCTGTTTCAGTATCTCATCTCTGTTTTCTGTACATCACTTTTTTTCTGTCCATAAATCTTCTTTGACCATGTGTTAGCATTGGAGCCTCTCTGAACCTGTTCTTATTTGGAGGCTACCTGATTCATCATTTTTTGCTGAATTAAGGTCTGTTAAATTTAGTTTGTTTAAGGTTTTTCTTTTTCTTTCTTTTTTTTTTTTATGAGACAGAATCTTGCTCTGTCACCCAGACTGCAGTGCAGTGGCATGATATCAGCTCACTGCAACCTTTGCCTCCTGGGTTCAAGCTATTCTTCTGCCTCAGCCTCTCAAGTAGCTGGGACTACAGGTGCATGCCACCATGCCTGGCTAATTTTTGTATTTTTAGTAGAGACAGGGTTTTACCATATTGACCAGGCTGGTCTCAAACTCCTGACCTCATGATCCGCCCGCCTTGGCCTCCCAAAGTGCTGGAATTACAGGCATGAGCCACCGTGCCTAGCCAGGTTTTTCTTTTAACATTACATTTGAACATATGATCCATCAGTCCTAAAGAAACTAAAAGCAATGCAAAATGAATTGGTAATGAATTCATGGAAAATACAAGCACTATTCTAGAAATGGGTTATGAATCACTGAATTAGGAACATTAAGAAGCAAACAGATTATTCTATTCTGGGAATTTTATGTGCTTTCTACTTGCCTTTATTATTTTATTTGGCTAGTATATTTTACTATTTCCAATATTAGATCTTTTTTCAATTATTAGTAACTTTTTAATAACATGAATCCTTAGGTTATAATTTAATTTAGGAAATAAATAGAAAATAAAATATTTTTGAAATATTTTAATAGCAAGATTTTTGGTAGGGGGCAGGGGAGGGAGTGGTAATAAACAAAAGAACTAAGTTGCATATTGCTGGTCCTAAAATATCCTTTCAAAGCTTACTATGTGTCTCTTTATATTTACCATTTTGAATTGTATTTGTTTTCAAAAACTAATTGGCAATGGAAATTTCTTTTAAACATTCCCATCTGAATTTCTGCCCCATAGTTAAATCAGTTGGCTGATGTTATGTTCCGCTACATAAACCAAATTTGTTTCTACTTCAAAAACTTTGTAAAACATCTGTAAAGCAATCATTGGAAAGGAAATACTAGCCAAATAATTGTTAACAAAATAAAATCAAGTGGATTTTGAGTTGTTCAGATAATCAAAAGTGCCAAGAGTCAGTGCTTTGGCCATGGGGGCATCAAACTTAAGTAGAACAATTCAGGCTTCTAATATTTCTGAATTGTTTGCACTCAGCTTTGCATGACTTCTGGATTGGGTAGACAACCAGTACGTTCTATCCTAAACACTCCTGTCCTTTGCAGCTTTGTGGTGCTCCAGGGGGAAAAAAAACCCTGATAATTATAACCAGAAAAGAGGAATAGAAAAATCTAAGGCCCTAGGTTTTAAAAAGACTCCTTTAGAAGTGTTATATTGGGTTTAATTTTCAAAAAGGACATGTTCGGCCAGCTGTGGTGGCTCACGCCTGTAATCCCAGCACTTTGAGAGGCCGAGGTGGGCGGATCACCTGAGGTCATGAGTTCAAGACCAATCTCGCCAACATGGTGAAACCCTGTCTCTACTAATACAAAATTAGCTGGGTGTGGTGGCGCATGCCTATTGTAATCCCAGCTACTCAGGAGGCTGAGACAGGAGAATCACTTGAACCCAGGAGGCAGAGGTTGCAGTGAGCCAAAATTGCGCCACTGCACTCCAGCCTGGGCAACAAGAGCGAAACTCCAAAAAAAAAAAAAAAAGGTCATTGAGTGGGACTTCTGGAAAAACTACTTAAAGTGGGTTTGATTCAGCTGGAAAACACATCCATTTGCCATTTTCTCCTTCCTTATTCTTCCTCATTAGAATGTAGACACGATGGTTGGAGTTCCAGAAGTTGTCTTGGACGATGAGGTAGCTTTGAGGATAGAAGCCTTTGGCTAAGGAAGGTGGAGCACAAAGACAGAAGACGAAGAGCATTCCTGAGGACTGTGGAGTTCCATGCCAGCCTTGCATTGTCTATCTTGTTACTTCTGTGGGAGAAAAAATACAGTAAACCTCTATCTTGCTTAAGCTCCTTTCCTTTGAATTTTCTGCTCTGTGTAACCTAGGCATAATTTATGTACAATGTAACCATACACGATCATCACCTATGTGCTAGATGTGGAAACTCATGACTTTAAAGCAGGGGTCCTGAACCCCTGGGCCATAGACTATTAATAGGTCTGTGGCTTTTTAGGAACCAGGCCGCACAGCAGGCGGTGGGCAGTGAGCAGTGGGCGAACAAGCATTACCGCCTGAGCTCCGCTTCCTGTCAGATCAGCAGCGGCGTTAGATTCTCATAGGAGGGTGAACCCTATTGTGAACTGCTCATGTGGGGGATCCAGGTTGTTCCCTCCTTGTGAGAATTTAATGCCTGATGATCTGAGGAGGAACAGTTTCATCCCGAAACCATCCCCTCCCCTTCCATCCGTGGAAAAATTGTCTTCCACGAAACCGGTCCCTGGTGCCAAAAAGGTTGGGGACTGCTGCTTTAAAGGATGGGTAGCTGCAAATTGCTTAGCTGCAATCTTAACAGTCACCTATTGTCCTATTATTGTTTAAATAATCACAATGATGTTGCTAACATGTAATAGTAAGGCAATATTCATATAAATCCATCTTCCTCTAACATAATCTATCTTAAATTAATCCCTAAATCATCTCTCAATTGAGAAAGCATCTATGATAACGTATCTCATTCCCACTTCCAACTGGTCTTAGTTTTATCCATGTAAATTCTGATTCTTTATATTTCTTTCAATTTCTGAATATGGTTCAGGAATACCAACTATGTATTATATACGCCACCTCTCTTCAATCCTGTGTCCATCCCAGATATTAATAGTTGATGGTGGCATTTTCTCTATGTCAGCCTCTTTCTCATAAAACTTTCTACCTAGTGCCAGGCAGCTCCCAGAACTTTATCAGAATTGGCAGCAGACATACATTTATTCTAAGCCACTTTCAACAATTTTTAAAATGTTGGGTGGGGCTGAATATGATAAATTAATTATTTTTCTTCAAGTTGACATGTTGGAAGAATTCTCTTTGTGTATTATAAACTTCCAGCTTGTTGAACAAATGCTGATTTTATGTCCTAGGTTTTGAGGAAAGGCAAATGGGGGCACATTTTGCTGACAGTAGCTCTGGTTTCAATACAAATTAGTGAGTTTTAGTGAATAGGCCACATTTATTGAGCACCCACTGTTTACAAAGCATTAAATAATGAGGATATTTACAAAGTATTAAATAGAGACGGAAATCCAATGGTCCCTGTCTTTATGGAGTTATAATCATTTTAATGAGAGCAATAGAATAAACAAAAAAAATTTAACAGTTGTAGCTGATGGTTTGTCAAAGACCTTCAAGGCAAAGAAACTTAAATTGTAAATGTTACCTCTGCCACAACTGTTGAAATAGTAATAGCCAATCCTCAAGAGGACTTCTGTGTTGGGCTCTGTGAGCTATGACTTTTCTATGGGTAGTGGGGCTGCATGGCTCATCCCCATTTCCTCACCCCCAGAACTGCTCTCTAGATACACAAAGGTGGACTTGCAACAGCCATGTCCACTACATGACCACTGGGGCCACTCCCCATCCTGACCATGGTTGATTGACCTGATGCAAACTGAGCCAATGACATTCTCCCTCCCTGGAGTTTGCCTTTGGAATGAAGAGGCTAGAGACTGTAAACACTGAAGCCAAGCCACACATGCCCGTGTGTTCCAGAAAGAGGGGCACAACTGCTGCTGCCAGGATCCAGAGTTGTTCTAAATCCTGCTCTCTCAGATTTGCCAAGCTTAAAATCATTAAGAACTGCACTGAGGTCTATATGCAATAAGAACACTTCCATCACTCTCTTTCTTAAGATCTTTCTTAAACATTGATACCCCAGTGTTTCAATAATTTCCCTTCCCCCTCCCTCTCTCCTTCTCTCCCTCCCTCTCTTCCTTCCTCCCTTCCTCCCTTCTTTCTTCCCTTTCTCCCTCCCTCCCTCTCTTTCCTTTCCCTCCCCTCTCCTTTCTCCCTTATCCTTTCCTTCCCTTCCTTCTCTTCCCCTGCCCCCCAAGCTAGCCAGAATCAGATGTTATTACTTGCAATGAAATACCTTTTATTCATACAGGAAATTTTTTTTTATTATACTTTAAGTTTTAGGGTACATGTGCACAACGTGCAGGTTTGTTACATATGTATACATGTGCCATGCTGGTGTGCTGCACCCATTAACTCATCATTTAGCATTAGGTATATCTCCTAATGCTATCCCTCCCCACTCCCCCCACCCCACAGCAGGCCCTGGTGTCTGATGTTCCCCTTCCTGTGTCCATGTGGTCTCATTGTTCAATTCCCACCTATGAGTGAGAACATGCGGTGTTTGGTTTTTTGTCCTTGTGGTAGTTTGCTGAGAATTATGGTTTCCAGCTTCATCCATGTCCCTACAAAGGACATGAACTCATCCTTTTTTACGGCTGCATAGTATTCCATGGTGCATATGTGCCACATTTTCTTAATCCAGTCTATCATTGTTGGACATTTGGGTTGGTTCCAAGTCTTTGCTGTTGTGAACAGTGCTGCAATAAACATATGTGTGCATGTGTCTTTATAGCAGCATGATTTATAATCCTATGGGTATATACCCAGTAATGGGATGGCTGGGTCAAAAGGTATTTCTAGTTCTAGATCCCTGAGGAATCACCACACTGACTTCCACAATGGTTGAACTAATTTACAGTCCCACCAACAGTGTAAAAGCGTTCCTATTTCTCTACATCCTCTCCAGCACCTGTTGTTTCCTGACTTTTTAATGATCACCATTCTAACTGGTGTGAGATGGTATCTCATTGTGGTTTTGATTTTCATTTCTCTGATGGCCAGTGATGAAGAGCATTTTTTCATGTGTCTGTTGGCTGCATAAATGTCTTCTTTTGAGAAGTGTCTGTTCATATCCTTTGCCCACTTTTTGATGGGGTTGTTTGTTTATTTCTTGTAAATTTGTTTGTATTCTTTATAGATTCTGGATATTAGCCCTTTGTCAGATTAGCAGATTGCAAAAATTTTCTCCCATTCTGTAGGTTGCCTCTGATGGCAATTTCTTTTGCTGTGCAGAAGCTCTTTATTTTAATTAGATCCCATTTGTCAATTTTGGCTTTTGTTGCCATTGCTTTTGGTGTTTTAGACACGAAGTCCTTGTCCATGCCTATGTCCTGAATGGTATTGCCTAGGTTTTCCTCTAGGGTTTTTATGGTTTTAGGTCTAACATTTAAGTCTTTAATCCATCTTGAATTAATTTTTGTATAAGGTGTAAGGAAGGGATCCAGTTTCAGCTTTCTACATATGACTAGCCAGTTTTCCCAGCACCATTTATTAAATAGGGAATCCTTTCCCCATTTCTTGTTTTTGTCAGGTTTGTCAAAGATTAAATAGTTGGGAAAATTATTTCTTTAATCTTCACCACAATACTGGTGGAGTTGTGGGGGGAGGTGGGGAAAATATTGTGTCCCCAGTTGTCAAATAAAGCTAAGGCTTATGGAATTTGACCTGAGGTCACACAGCTATTAAGTGGCAGAGCCAGGACTCTGAGACAGCTAGGCCTGTGCAAGTCCAGAGCCATTACTTCCAGAAAATGTTTGATCTCACAGGTGGTGAAACAGGATTTGCCCATCTTCTGTTTCCCAAATCAACAAATTGCCTCCATATAGCCATGATCCTGGGCACAGGAATAGCAGCTCCCTGACATGTAGGCTACCTTGTCTTTTCCTTTTGGCCTCACCTGCTTTTGGACACCAGCCTTTGAATACAAAAAACCCTATGTGGAAGATGACAGCAACATCAGTAATCCCTTACCAACAATCCCCTAGCCATGTCCCCTTCTTTCTAAACATGTAGTTTAAAATCTACTTCCAGGAACGTTTTCTTGATTGATTTTATCCAGCAAGTTTTTATTTTTAGCATGTTTTTATTATTATTTAAATAATATTTTTATTTTATTTTATTTTAGATTGGAAAGAAAGGGAGGGAGAAGATGATAATACTCAAATCTCGGTGCCTTGCATCCTGGGCAGCTTCTCTTTTTATAGAGTGGGATATATCTTATCTTGTTCTTCCAGAATTTCTCTTTCTACCCTGCTCTCTGGCCAGAAGGATGACTGCTTGGACCACAAAAAATGGGCTCCATTTGGTCATGGCCAAGGGAGGGGTCCCAGTAGAGGATTACAGAGATGAGGAGATGAAGATTGGGGTAGGGATTCCCTGCTTTCCTCCCTATGAGGAACCTCAGGCTGGCTGTTTCTCTGGACAAAACACAACTTATTTTCCATTATACTTCTCTTCACTACTCTCTCATTTTGAATTCCAGTCACTATATTTTCCCCTCCTTCCTTCAGCTCTAGGGATGGTGGTAGCTCCACTGTTCCTATCCCTGGGATTCTGCACCTTCCCTTACAGTTTCCCTATGCCCTGCCTGCACTATTGTAAACAGTCTCTCCTTAGATCATCCTCGTATGAGCACACTTCTGCTTCCTGCTGGGTTCCTGATTGGTACTAATTGTAATGCTTCTCCTAACTGGTGCTTCTTCCTGTGTCCCCTCATACTGCATCATTTTTATTGGCAAGCAAACCTGCTGTCCTGTGGTCAGTGCTCTCTGGGAGAGTCCAGTCATTCAATTGGATATTCAACAGGCAAGCAGTTGCTCTGTGGATGTATATCACATTAGGCCAGCCAGGAATCATAAATTCACATTCAGAGAGAAGATAAGGCTGGTGTGAGTGCGATTTACAGAAATCATTCATTACATTCCCTTCCCACTCATGCCTTTTAATGGTAGCACTGTGTGTATTTTTGGGTGGCATGCTACCAGTCTTTCTGTAGAAAGGAGAGGGGGAACTGCGGATGTTGATGCTTTTTGTACAACCACTAATTGAGTTGGCTCTGAAAATTGAGTTCTATTTGAATTCCTCAGACGATGTGGACAAATATGCCCAACCTCATTTGATAATTGAGGACACTGAGGTCCCTAGGAGGCTAAATAACTTGCCAGATCACATGAGCAGTTGATGGCAAAGCCAAGGCTAGACCTGGGTCTCCTGATTCCTGATCAGAGGCGCTCGTCCATGAGTAGTAGCCTGTGTTATTGTTTCTCAGTACTATTCAGCTTAAGTTTTTATTTCTCTGCTAGAGGAGTTTTTCTCATCTTTGTTTTCTCTTACCAACTGTATTGCCCCCAGACTGCCCACATATGAAGCATACAGCAAAAGAAAAGGGCATGCTACTGGGAAAAGGAGGAGGGGAGGTGGGTGCTGAATCAGAGGCTGACAGTTTCTGCTGGCTGCCTGGGAGGGAGCCCTGCTGGGCCTCCTCTCCTATTTTACTTTGACAACTCCGCCACATACCAAAGGCATAAACTTGGCCTTCTCTGAGCTTGTTCCTTCTGTCCCCCAGATTGTGCTGGATGTTTTAAATGAAATGCATGGGAGTGGATGACTCACATGTGGGATGGTAATGAAATTTTGGAAATGAGTACCTACAGAGAGGCAGAAAAATTGCAGGCCCTGCAGGACTTCAAGATGCTGAGAGCTTATCCACGATGCAAGGGAATTATAAAAGTCTCAATTTAGACTTATTAAATAAGTAGGACAGGAAATAATATAAAATATATGGTACAGTAAGTTGATTTTTCAAAAGGTTCTCTTTCTCTCTCCGTTTCACTCCTTTCCCTGCCTCCCTCTCTGTGACTACCTACACATACACAAATAGGTGTGCGTGCTCAGAGATTCTATTACTGACACAAGATGAACTCCTTTTCTCCTCTTTACTGTGACCTAAGATGCATTTCAGCATGATGACTTTGGTAACAATTTTTGCACAATAGTTCTTCAGATCTGAAGACTGTCTTGCTTCCAGATTATAGGCTCCAAGTTTTGGCAAACATGATGCCATTTTGTAATCCTCTCAATGGTTCTATGGGTGTGAGCAGCACACACAGTCTCCTTATGTTGCAGCAGGAGAAACTAGGTGGGGAGGAGGGATAAGAAGCAGACTTACTGTGTTGTGGAAAAGTACTAGCTGGGGAGTCAGGAGGGCTGGATGCTGGCCCCGCTCTGCCGCTGACCAGATATGCAAGACCTCTGACCTCCATGGGACTCTGTTGATAATTTGGGCACTGAAGGACTTGCCAAGATGATTGCTAAGCTTCTTCCCAGTGCTAACATTGTGTAATGAGACATTTTAATTGTGTGTTACAATTTACATACCATTTCCACGTCTATTCCCCCAATCTTTACAATTCATCTAACAAGGCAAGGAAACTGGAACCCAGAGAGGATAAGGGATTGGTTTTGAGGACACAGAACTCATAGATAGCACAGCCAGGTTTAGAAACTGAGTTTGTGACCCCAAAGCCATGTTCAGCCTGTGAAGTTTTTTAAAAGGTATATGTGCTTTCACTTCTTATGGTAGAAAATGTGTGATTTTTCAACACTACTTTTTTAAAAAGGTGACTTTTCAAGTATATCAATCTGAATATTGTGTTCAGTCGAGCATGGTAATTTTCCATCCCAGAGCTGCTCAAGAGCCAGGCCATGAGTTGCTCTGAAGAAGGGCGAGCTTTGATCTCACTGGAAGCTAAAGTCCTCTGTAGAAAACCATCATGCAAAGTGCACGGTCCATGTACGTGGAAGTGTGCATTCAGCCTTGTGTTATGGAGGTGTCTCTGGGAATGTTCTCTTTACGCAGTTGCATTTGGTAAGTCAAGTTATATTTTGCATAAGCAAAACTCATCTGCCCTTTAAAGTGGTCCTCTTAAGAAATTCTTGCATAGTTTAAAAAGAGAAAGAATATTTTCTAACCCAACTTTACTTGGTCACATTCCTAGCTAAGCAACAGAGCAAGGGGGACTTCCAACTAGGCAGAAGGGGGAGACTTTGACCAAAGAGGGCGAATGGAATCAGCTCCCAGTAGTCACTGCTGCTCACCGCCCCTTCAGGACTGAAGCACTTGTTCCTGCAGCTGCTGGGAGTGTTGATTGTCCATAGCTCACAGCTGAGCCCCTGTACCAGGGTCTGCCTAAACTCAAGAGGGTGCCTAAGCCAAGGCTACGTTTCAATTTCCTGAGGCAGCCTGTATCCCATGACTGCTTGATACGGCGGTATTCACAATATAAAACCCTGGCCCCTTTGCTCCAACTGAGGACAACTCTGCAAGGCCAGTCAAGCTCCAGAGCTCAACTGTGGGCTTGGCTGAGGCCTTTGTTGTGGCTGCATCACAGCCCAGCTGATCCCTTTGCCCAGTCCTGCCTTTCTCACTCCCACGTAAATGTATTGCACCCCAATCTCCACCTCAGAGTCTGCTTCCTGGGACCCTGATCTGTAATACGCATCTTCCTTTCTCTCCATCCTGAGATGGAAGATTCTACAAAACTCCTTTTCTTTGATTATTATCAGCAATTCTCCTGGATGAACTTGGGAGGTGAGAACCAATATGGAGGAAAGCTGGTTGTGGCTGTTTGTGAATATTGCTTCGTGTGTACATACTGTTTTGGAAATTGGGAGCTGCCTTTCAAAACAAAGCCATACAAAGAATAAGTGATTTGGCAGAATAAATGGAATATAGAGAAAATGATGCTGCATAGTAAATTTAGAGGAAATTCTACCACATATGCAAGTACTTCAGGTAGGAAAAAATAAAGTCCTCTCTGCCTGCTTCCTGAGGGTCCTGTCTTCAGGCCACCCCATGTCTACAGCAGCACGATCGGGTGCACCTTCCTTCCCGTAACTTCACTGATGGTGCATTTCCTGCATGAATTCTCTACCCTAAGTGTCAGGGTATTTGTATTTGCCTTGTAATTAGCTTAATATGCTGTGAATTTTTCTCCCTAACAGAGAAGTAAAATATTCAATTATAAAATCTAAATAACTCTGCATAAAACTAGCTATATCCTAAATCATGGTCAAAACATCATAAACTGGTACCATAATCAATAGCATTTCTCAGGTTCTAATGTTCTAATGTTTTTGGACAACCAAATCATCTGTGCTGAGGGCCACACACAACTGAATTCAAAGACTGTTATGGTGCACGGGAAGTTATAATTGAATGATGTTGTCTGACTATCGGGTTGCTACATTTTTAACTATAGGTTAACAAGTATGAAAAAAACGTAACAACAACAATAAAAGCCACGCTAGCCTCTAACAATCAGGTCAGTTCTAACATGACTGTGAGGAGATTAGGTAGAAATTGTGACGTATAATTTGGAGAGAACTCTGGGATGGGAGTCTGATTTTGTAACTTTATCAAACTTATTCTAGTTATTGCACAATGATTGTAGAAGTGCTTAGAAATGTGAACAGCTTTTATAAATGTCAAATTATTTTATACATTAAATATGAATTATACACTCAATTTTCAATGTGGTTCTTCTATATGATAGGCAAGTACGGAGCTCCTAAGGGGACTTCTGCAGCTCCCACTGCCTTCCAACGCACATGGCAGCACAGCAATGCTGGCTTGCTTTTCCTTATTAAGAAGGAAGTCAGCTAAGAGGTGAATGTGACAAATGAGCCCCATAGAAGCTCTCAAGCCATTGACTTGGGATGCACTGACATTGGAGTTGGGTTTCTGGGGCTGTCATGATAACCAGGTCAAAAGATTCTCACAGCAAAGTGTCACTTGCCGGCAGGTGCCACACTGTGGCCCCTTGGCATCACTCATTTCCAGCTATACTTAGGAAAGCTAATCAATTTTTCATCTTCTCTTGGGAGTGCCAGCTTGAAAAACACAGTGTGAAAAATGCCCCTGCCTTCTGCCACAGAGGGAGTCCATGCAGAGAGCCCTACTGGCAGGGAAGGCTCTGAAAATAAGCCACTGCATCAAGAAACAGGTGGTGAAGGGGAAGTGGGGGCATAGCTCCCACAGTCTTATTTCTATGTGTAGCATTTGAAACTGAAGAAGGAGTTAGAACTAGCTCTCGGCTAAGTCTCACACTCAGAAATTCACGCAAGAGCTTGCTGCTGCCAGACACACCACTGCATGACCAGCATGGTGTTCTCTGCTTTTGGAACAAACTTAACTCTTTCAGAGGTGGTTGTGTTCTTGTACCTAAATATTCTCTTCATCCTAAAAATTCCTTGTATGGAAGAGTCATGCTGCCCTATATATAGGAAATTCAGCATATGGGTTGAAGAACTTCTGGGGACTGGATATATATTAACATACTAGAGTTGGGTTGGAGCTTTCATTTCCATTTGGTGGCTAAGAGATTCCTTCCTTAAGCTCTTCAGCATACAGCAGAGTTGCTTCAATTTTTATCTTGGAGGAAGAAAAGGGAGCTTGTGACCCACAGGAGGCACAGCTAACCTAAATTTGGAGAGAAGAGAGAATTCTATGACTTACCATGGAGTTAGGCACAAGGAGAAAATCTTTTCTGTTTCATGGTGGGGTGTGTGTGTGTGTGTGTGTGTGTGTGTGTGTGTGTGTGTGCGAGTTCTCTCAAATTCTAGGAGCATAATCCCTGGGCTTTTTCAAATCTGTCTGCTCAATTATTTCTATAAGGGGAAAACTCCAGCAGGATTATAGGCTGCAGAAAAAGTCAAAATTAGAGACGGAGGCAAAATGAGTGGTAGGGTTTAAGGTAACTGGACTAAGGATCTGACAACCCAAGTTATACTCCTCACTGTATCATTTATTAGCTCAGACACCATGGGAAAAAATCACTTTTACTTATGCAAGCCTTAGGTTCACCTAAGAAGATAATACAGGTAATTATAGCTGCCTCTTCCACCAGCACTCCTTCTCTTGGCCCCATACACTTCACAGTTGTAAGGATGGGCATGAAAGTTTTTTGCAAACTATAAAGCACAATTTTTCCAGAATTGGACACATCTTGCTCAAGTGCATGCATGTGAATATGTGTAAGTGAATACCAGGCTGACATATTGTTGATGTTCAAGCTTTCCATTTTAACTTTCAGTTTTGTTTGCTAATGGGGTAAATTGGAGGGAACCATGTTAAGAAAGAGAGATTGCTTGTGATATTTATGATGTTCATGGCAGGGTGGATGCATTAGCCAATCTGCACTCGCCTGTGGACAGGAAGTTTACAACTGTAGAAATTATGCCTTGGTTAGACTCTGTCCTGGGATGGGGCTACATTATTCTTCGGGCAGTGACAGGTGGACCTGTGACAAGGTTCCAAGTCAAAAGTCTGCTATAAGAGAAGAATGTCAAAGGTAAACATTGGGAACTCAACATTGCTTTTTTCATTCCTAGAAAGTCCAATTATGGTCCAAAATATTTTCCATTGCATCTCTCTGGCCTGGAAGACCCTTATCTGATCTTGAAAAAATGTTTAATTTAAGAACTCTTTAATGTTTTGTTTTGATTTGGTTTGGGGTGAGATTCTTAGGGAGAAAGAAATCTTCCTTTTTTTTTTTCTTTTTAAAATAGATATTTTTACAGGAAAATCCTCTAGGATTAAAGGAACAGTGTCTATATGGGGAAAGATAACTGCATTCTGCAATACCTGTGGAACTAGTTGCACATGCTTTTGTATGCAACTTAAAAAAAGGATTGTTTTCCCCTCTACTGCAAGGAAAGAACTGGATTCCAACACCACTGTATTAGGCCAAGTTCCCTTAGTATGGCTTTCAGATGCAACAGACAAAGTACTGAATAACCCTCCCATTGGCACTGCCCTAAAATTGCATGGCTAACCTTAGAAGCCAAAGCAGGTGAAATTAAACAACAGGCCAAATGTAAAGACAAGGTGTGTGTTTCCATGAAAAAAGGATCCTCAGGTTTTCTTGTCAAGTTCAAGACCAGTGAATGCTTAGAAATATTTCCTAAGAACATTTTTAAGAGAGAGAGGGAGAGAGTGAGTGAGTGAGAATTTTTCTTAACTTTTAAGTTCAGGGATACAAATGCAGGTTTGTTACACAGGTAAACTTGTGTCATGGGGGTTTGTTGTACAGATTATTTCAACACCCAGTTATTAAGCCTAGTACCCATTAGTTATTTTTCCTGATCCCCTCCCTCCCCTCACTCTCCACCCTCTGATAGGCTCCAGTATGTGTTGTTCCCCTCCATGTGTCCATGTTTTCTCATCATTTAGCTCCCACTTATGAGTGAGAACATGCAGTATTTAGTTTTCTGTTCCTGCATTAGTTTGCTAAGGATAATGGCCTCCAGCTTCAACCATATCCCTGCAAAGGACATGATCTCATTGTATTTTATGGCTGCATAATATTCCATGGTATATAAGTACCACATTTTCTTAATCCAGTCTATCATTGATGGGCATTTAGGTTGGTTTCAAGTCCTTGCTATTGTGAATAATACTGCAATGAACATACGAGTGCATGTGTCTTTATAAAAGAATGATCAATATTCATTTGGACATATACCAAGTAATGGGATTGCTGGGTGTATATCCAAAGGAATATAAATTGCCACAGTGAGGAATCACCACACTGTCTTCCACAATGGTTGAACTAATTTACACTCCCACCAACAGTGTATAAGCATTCTTTTTTCTCCACAACATCACCAGCATCTGTTATTTATTTATTTTTTTTTACTTTCTTAATAATAACCATTCTGACTGGTGTGAGATGGCATCTCATTGTGGTTTTTATTTGCATTTGTCTAATGATCAGTGATGTTGAGCTTTTTTTCATATGCCTGTTGGCTGCATGTATGTCTTCTTTTGAGAAGTATCTGTTCATGTCCTTTGCCCAGTTTTTAATGGGGTTGTTTGTTTTTTTCTTGTAAATTTGTTTAAATTCCTTATACTTGCTGGATATTAGACCTTTGTCAGAAATATAGTTTTCAAAAATTTTCTCCCATTCTGTTGGTTGTCTGTTCACTCTGATGATAGTTTCTTTTGCTGTGCAGAAGCTCTTTAGTTTAATTAGATCCCACTTGTCAAGTTTTGCTTTTGTTGCGATTGCTTTTGGTGTCTTTGTCATGAAATCTTTGCCCGTGACTGTGTCCAGAACAGTATTGCCTAGGTTGTCTTCCAGGGTTTTTATAGTTTTGAATTTTACATTTAAGTCTTTAATCCATCTTGAGTTAATTTTTGTGCATGGTGTAAGGAAGGGGTTCAGTTTCAATTTTCTGCATATGTCCAGCCAGTTATCCCAGCACAATTTATTAAATAGAGAATCCTTTCCCCGTTGCTTGTTTTTGTCAGATTTGTCGAAGATCAGATAGCTGTAGGTGTGCAGTCTTATTTCTGAGTTCTCTATTCTGTTCCACTGGTCTATGTGTCTTTCTTGTGCCAGTACCAAGCTGTTTTGGTTACTGTATCCCTGTAGTATAGTTTGAAGTCAGGTAGCATGATGTTTCCAGCTTTGTTCTTTTTACTTAGGATTGCCTTGGACATTTGGGCTATTTTTTGGTTCCATACAAATTTTAAAATAGTTTTCTCTAGTTCTGTGAAGAAAGTCACTGGTATTTTAATGGGAATAACATTGAATTTATAAATTGCTTTGGGCAATATGGCCATTTTAATGATATTGATTCTTCCTATCCATGAGCATGGAATGTTTTTCCATTTGTTTGTGTCATCTCTGATTTGTTTGAGCAGTGGTTTGTAGTTCCCCTTGTAGAGCTCTTTCACCTCCCTTGCTAGCTGTATTCCTAGGAAGAATACCTGAATTTTGGACAATTAGTAATAACAGTGTAAATTTATACTGGTATATTTCACTTTTTCTCCAAAGAACTCAGTGAACCACAAATATTCAGCACTCACCACTTTCTTAGTCCTCATATCTTTAAATTCATTTTATCCACAGACTTCAAGTAGTTTTCTATCAGCTTTTGAATCTCAGTAGAGGTGGGAGTGGTGAGAGGTGAGGCTGTGTGGCCATTGGACCTGTTTATTGGTTAAGACAGACTTGGATTCAAAGGATTCTTCTTTTTGCAGGTTATGGTGAGGTTTTTTGGTGAAACAGAGGCTAGGGGCCTGTTGGCACACCCAACACCCTCTATTTTGTTGATCTAAACTCTTGATGGTCTTTTTGCAAAGTGCATTTCTGTATTGTCTTAAATTACTTGAACCAGTAAAATTTTCACTACTCTTCCTTTGCTCTCATGGTAAACCAAGCTCTTGATCCTCTCCATCAACATCAGTGAAATAAGAAAGCAAAGGACTAGAAGGGATTGGTTTCTCTGTGTAGTTCTGCCAGGCTTTGATTTGTAACTGGAAAATCACTGGCTCTGGGCTAACCTGAGTTTCTGCATCTTTTTTTTTTTTTTGACGGAGTCTTGCTCTGTTGCCCAGGCTGGAGTGCAGTGGTGTGATCTCGGCTCACTGCAACCTCCGCCTCCCAGGTTCAAGCAATTCTCCCACCTCTGCCTCCCGAGTAGCTGGGATTACAGGCATGCGCCACCATACCTGGCTAATTTTTGTATTTTTAGTAGAGACGGGGTTTGGTGAGTTTCTGCATCTTTATTTTTAACTTGGCAGTGCTTTCCTCACTCAACCTGTAGATATCTGTAGTAAATATAACTGTTGTCTGTAATGACACAATAAAGCAGGAGAGGTACACTTTGGATATGTAACCTGTATGTCTCATGAAGTGCTATGAATTGTCTGTTACCACACTTCATAATATCTTGCAATTTTAGTAGGTGAAAATATGTTAGCCTCTATTTGCTGACTAAGGCCTTGCCCCTACTATCTTACAATTGAGAATGTTAAAAATGTTCTCAGTTCAGCAGTTAATATACATTGAGTATCACATTCCAAGTATTAGATAAGGAGCTAAGCCTCTTTCTAAATTATAAAGGGGACAGGGGAAAAATGGGAGCCAACAAGCCATCTGTAGTACATGCCCCCAGCACAGTTCTGCAGAATTGAAGGCAAAAGTTGCCTGTGAAACCATGGTCAAGACAGCCATCTGGGAGGAAGGGGCTCTTGACCTTGGGGCCATCTCCGAGCATTTGCCTTGTGGCAAATGAAAGCTGAAGCATTGCTCTATTTTTCAATATGCCCAACTCACTCTAAGCCTGAGGATGATCACCATGCTGCATGAATTTTGTAACCAGCCTGTGAAATTTGGCTGCTGCCCCACGGCCAAATTTGAGAGTGGTTGCTGGGCCTGGTCCAGCCATAACCACCCTGGCTGTGGTTGTAAATCACTGGGAGGTTGTGAACGAGTGTCTGTAAAAGGCTGGTTGCTTGAAGCTCTTTTTCTTCTTGGAAACTGCAGAGAAGTAGATACCAATAGTTGAACATGCCCTGCTTTGGATGGAGCCCCGGCATCAGACCTCTCCTCCCTAGTCCAATCTCAGGCCCCATCCTCTTCTCTGTTTCTTTTTAGTGTGCCTGTCCCTGTCCCCCCAACCTAACAATGCTGCCTTGGTTTTTAAAGCACATAACATTCTTCCATGAATCAAGTCATTATAGTTGTTTTGAATTCCAGAGCATTTGATTGATGTGACTGTTTGTATAAGCAACATCCTCTTCTACTCCGAATAAATTTCCAGCCCCTCTTTGGGAAACTGACTCATAGCAGAGCTATGACACTGAAGTGCGAGGATTGGAGATGGAGAGTGCTGTCTCCAGTTAAATTGGAGATGGTGCTTAGAAATCATCATTTAAACCACCCCCCGCCCAAAAGGAAAAATAAACCTCCAGATGCACTGATCCTATTTCCTCAGGACTCTCAATTCAGGGTGGTATCATTGCCCTACAATGATCAGAACTCTTTTGTGTTTTGCTATATCAGTGGCAATCAGCATCATTAAAATTCATGACAGTGTAATTTTATATACTTTTAGAAATGATCTAGCAATGATCTAATAATTCAATGTATTAAAATGAATGCCAAAATTCAAGAAAAAATATCCAAGAGAAAAAACAAAGAGAAACAGACTGGTGGTATAAGAACCCAAAAATCATTAAAAAAAAGAAAGAAACACCTAAAACATTTTGGTTTGATTTTTACCTTGGGGTGAAGGCAACAATGCTGTCTGAAACTTTGAAAACCATTGGTAGAGAATTGAAATGAGACAAAACAAAATAATAAAGAACTGGAATAAAAATCTTCACCAAGTCTGTTACCCTGCACAAGAGCCAAATGTAACTTTGAAACCTGATGCCAATCCCAAGTGCTCAAAGTTACTGCCTTTGCTCTTTTTAATATGCTGGCTGATTATGGAGCTAATAATACATATAATTGAAAATCGCTGTTGGATCCTTTGAAGTTTGCTGCCATATAATATCCTACGGAAGAAAGGAAAAAAAAATTTAAACCCTTGGGGAGATTCTTCAAACAATGCTTTAAATATTCAGAATCAACAGTTAATGGTGTTAGACTTACCTCAAGAAGTTCATCATGATTAGAAAATATACTATTAAGTCAGAAAAGCACTCTAATAGTTTCTATCTCTAATAAATGTCACCAGGCAGTCATTGTCTGAATTACTTAATTTCTGCCTCACTCTGGCTCACATTAATATTTTATTTCTAGAAAAGTATGTGACCAGAACAAAGTGCCCAAATCAGTTCTTGTCAGCCAACTTCATCCATGACTTTGGAAGCGACGCTGCTAAGACAAAGTGGTTCTTTAGGAGAGACAATGTCATGCTGCCGAGGCTTTCATTTTAGGACAGGGTTTTGCAGTGAATTAATAGCCTCTGGAAATGGTGCAGAGCTACAATAACAGCTTTCTCGTTTTGATTATAAGGCAGAATGGTTTCTGGTTTTCTGTAATATTTGCATTGTGAATGGGATTCCGTTTTTTCTCATTTAGATGCAGTGATCAGGTGAGAGGAATCTAAGCCTGTTCCATCAAAGCCCTATATTGTGACCAGAATACAAATTACTTGATTCTGGTTCTTTTAAAAATGTAGCTTATTTTAAAACTGCGAGAGTCTTAAGGCAATGTAAAAATGAGAATCTGAGATGGTGCTCAAGCTGAAGTCACTAAGTGTTGCTCTGGGTTCCACGCATGGCAGCCAGCTGCATACCTCTCC
The DNA here is from genome assembly GCF_000001405.40 of Homo sapiens. Lineage (NCBI taxonomy): Eukaryota > Metazoa > Chordata > Mammalia > Primates > Hominidae > Homo > Homo sapiens. Next base: position 72,623,250 of record NC_000005.10, on the reverse strand, counting down.
ACCAAAATGCTTTCATCACACTACTCTAATGAGCTGGATCTTTAAGAGTATTGATGGGAATACAGCTTAAACAGTCAGGATGGTGGGGAGGAATGTTATCTCAAACCATCACCATATTCACAACTCCAAGGAGGTTGCTAATTGAGATAAGAGGCATCATAGCCCATCAATTGAGCAGACAGGTGTGAAGAGTGAGAAAAATGGAGTGGTGGGTTCTAGTCATCCCCTCAGACCTGGGAAAATTACTGAAGTGCCTTTCCCTTATTTAATTTTCTTCCCACTAAAAATGGAATGGTGACGGTGTGTACCTAATCATAATGCTGATCAAAATCTCTGGAAACAGCTTTTTCAGAGAGAAGGTTTCCTAATCTTAACAATGTAAAAAAATGGCTTAAGGCTAAACTAGACTTTTTCAAGGCATAGTGAAACCTCTTGTTTCATTACTAAGGTTTATACTTTTAATCAGTGCCATTTCCAAGCCCCTGGCATTTCCTATGTAAAAAGATTTTGTATAACAGTTTAGCTCCACATTGAACACTAATTCCTCTTTCATGTGACTGTCCTAAAAATATGTGAAACAGCTGTCATGATGCCCTAAGTATTCGTCCTTCCAGGCTAAACAAGTCCAGTTCTTCATAGGCCAAGGTCTTAAGCGCCCTTGTTGTCTTAGGTCATCCTAGCTGGATGGGTTTCTGTTTACTGAGGTCCGCGTTAATGGTGAATTACTGGGAGCAGAGCATGGGGCTCCCATTGTGGTCTGTCCATGTGGAATCTGGCAAGAATTTTCACTACACATATTCAGCCTACCATGGCTCTTTAAAGACAGCTGAAGTCTGATCAGTTATTTTTGGAGGCTACATCAGATCACTGGCTTATGTTGAACTTGGAGTCAATTAAAACTACAAGTCTTTTTCACACATGCTCCTGCTAAGCTACCGTGTGTGTATGTACCTATATATAGTTATTATCTGTTGAGTGCTTATTATAGGCAAAACAATGTGCTAAATGCTTTGAATCTTTTGCATCTCATTTAATCCTCTCATTAACCCAATGAGGTAGTAAGTAACCTTAGCTCCACACTGGGTTAGGCTGAGGCTCCCACCAGTAGAGACTTGCCTAAACGGGTCTGACTCCAGAGCAGATAATCTTGAGCTTGGTGCTATTTTGTCCTCTGTACTGATGTGATGTTTTTGTTGCTGATCTTTCTTGGAAGACGGACACAGAGGGCCCACCACCAAAAAGCAGGACTATGAAATATAAATTGGGTTGGAACTGCTCATCCTTTTAGCCTACTGGAATCTTGTTGGATCCTGATCTTGCCCCCAAATATATTAGCCATTCCCTTAAAGCTTCATGCCGCCCATGGATTTCATCAGCTGCCATTGCTCTTTTTATTCAAGTCATTACCTCAAAAAATAGAACCAAGCCAAGGACAGAGAGCTCCAACCCACACCAGACCAACCATCATGCTTGGCTTTGGTCACTATTCTGATCAAGTTACAAGCCCATTGTACTGTGACTCAGTCACATTTTTCCTTCTTTTCCATCAGCAAGATCACCTTGCCAAATCCCTTGCTAAAATTCAACAGCAAAATTTCTAAAGCATGCTTTTAATGAGTCTAGCACCATTGCCACAGAGAGCAAAAGGGCCAGTGTGGCAAAAGTTGAACAAATGAACACTACGAACACATAGTGAAATTGTGTTGGTTTTAACTGATCATCATTCCCCGTGCTAAGGGAGCAGGGACCAGCCCCAACTCTCCATTCTAGACTCTGGTCTAGGACTGATATCAAGGTCACCAGCTTCTAGTTTACAGCATCAACCTTCTTTCTTTTTTGAACATCTGTTCTACATGTGACCATATTCACTTTTTCTGTAGTTTTCCCCATTTTTCAAAATTCTTGAAAGATCAGTGACAGTGGTTGGATGCTTTCATTGTACAGGTTCTTTTTGTATCTTGAAAGGTATTTTTTTCTTGGCAAGGAGATGTGAACATATTTAGGAAATTACCATATCTTTTGAAACTTTTCCAGGCTAAGTAACAATTTTATTTTACAAAGAAGACAAAAATAAAATGAAAGTTAAGTGATTCTGTAGGGCCTTTCACTTGATGATCTGCATTTTATTCCATTTCCCTTTAAACTATTGAAATGCCTTTGTTCTATCAGTAAAGTGTTATATCATTATGTCTCAGTATTGGATCTGCTTTTAAAACTGGTGTTCCCGGTGGCTCACGCCTGTAATCCCAGCACTTTGGGAGGCCGAGGCGGGCGGATCACGAGGTCAGGAGATCGAGACCATCCCGGCTAAAACGGTGAAACCCCGTCTCTACTAAAACTACAAAAAATAGCCGGGCGTAGTGGCGGGCGCCTGTAGTCCTAGCTACTTGGGAGGCTGAGGCAGGAGAATGGCGTGAACCCGGGAGGCGGAGCTTGCAGTGAGCCGAGATCCCGCCACTGCACTCCAGCCTGGGCGACAGAGCGAGACTCCGTCTCAAAAAAAAAACAAAAAAAAAAAACTGGTGTTCCAAGGTGTGTAGACACCCTCGGATGTGATTTTTTAAAATGAGATAAAATCATGGGACACATTACTAATATCCTAGAAAAACAAAAACATTAGGAGATAGACCCCATACTATACTGGATATTTATAAACTTTAACATACAGCACAAATAAGATGATTGGAGAGAATAGAGCTTCTTCAATTTTTCTGTACTTAATGGCTTGACAAATAATATTAATAGCTAATTTGATTTTTCTATCACGCCCTTACACCACTAAACTTGAGTCTGATACAATAACTTAAATGGTCTCTGTGGGCAATGCATCATTTGAATAAAAACAGTCTCTGGAGGTTGCTTTCATCTTCCAGGAAGGTTACTTCTTCCCTAAGATGTCATCCAATATGGGGGTTTGGGGAGAGACCTTATATACTCTCATGGCATTGTGCAAAGATGAGATGCTTAGCTTCATGCTGGTTTTCTGTTTGTATTGGCTTATTCTTGATTGGCCTCTAAAGCAATGACCTGGGTGCCTTTGGTTTTCGGGTTTCTGGGTGCTGTAGTGGCCTCCACAGTTGCTGTTTTTGACCAGTACTTGTGATCTGTTATTTTGGCTTGCATATGCTCCCTGGAAGGATGGGCCATCTCCCCCTTAAGGACTCAACTTCCTTTCAGATCTCACAGGAGGCAGGTCCTAGGATTTCTGTGACTTCTCCAGCAGTGCCCTGGGCTAGTGGTTCACTCATCCTTTGCTATGAGGTCAGCTTGTCCACCCCAGTGACCTTCAATTCCATATTCATCCCATGCAGGAACTGGGTTAGCTCCTGAGTACCAATCAGGCCTCCTTCTGTGTGACCATGTGTTTTGACCTCTACTCCTGGAATCCCACGTGGGAACTGAAAGAAGATGCCCTTGCCTTTCATGCTCTCCTCCTTGTACCTGTCATCCCCATTCCTGCAGGCCAAGCCTCAGGAAGGAGTAGTCAGGAAAAGGTCTTACTGTTTGCCCCTCTGCCTTCTTTCACTTCTCTGTCCCCTTTCCAATTTCTCCAAGGCAGGAAAAAGAGCTGGCATTTCTTTGGTTTCCCCAAAATTATGACCTGTTTCTTTCTCGTTCCAGCTAAGCTATGGTGGTGAGTGTACCTATCTCCTCTGCCCTGCAGTAATTCTTTCTCTCTGAGCTGAGTCCGCAAAGTTCAGATGTTGAGAGGCCAAGGGGAAGACAGAAGAATTAGAATAGCTTTGTCTCAAGGCAATGAGTGGCCTGGCTTTCAAGGCTGCCCTCCTGCTGCTTGTTGTTATAAGCTATACATGCTCTTCCTTGCTGTGACTTTCCCTGGCCTCTCTAATGAAGCACCTGGCAAAGAGTGGGGCACTTAGGCTCTCTCCATCTCCATTTCTGAAGAATCATCTTCATTCACTTAGGCAGCCATAATTACTGTTAGACAGAAAAGAGGAAATTATAGCATCTTTTCTTTGGATGACAAAAAAAAGTCTTGCTTTCATAAAAATTTCTAGTAAATGACTATGGCACTTTTGGGAAGCGCCTTTTGAATTCTGAAGGTTTGCTTCCATAAACCCTAACAAGGTGCATTTGATCAAAGAGGAAATGGCCCTGGTTCAAGGCAGGAGAAGGGATCTGAAGTTAGGAGGGCTGAATTATCAACCATTGGTAGAAACTTGCTGGGCTGATTACACCACTCACTTAATTCCTGCCTGCCCTCTTTCCTTGTATCTAAAGGGAAACAAGAAATGCTCACATGGTTAACACATGAAAAGTAAGATGACACTAGAAAAGGAAGTGACTACACATTGCCCAATCTTTGCCCCTATCCTTTTTGACCTCTTTTCCATATATACCTTGCCAGTTGCTTCTAAAAATATAAATCCGCTGGTTCCACACTTCTAGAGCCACGTGACTGTAACCCAACTCCTGGACCAAGCAGCGAGAGTGAAAATATTTCTCTCACTGTTCTGTCCCTCCCATCAATGACATAGAGGGTAAGCAAGGCTGAGATCGAGGGACAGAAACTCTTAGATGATAAAATTGTGGTCTCCACAAAATGTAAGGAAAAATTGTTCCTAGTATTTTGTGAATTTTTGTTTTATAAAACATAGATCCTCCATTTCTTTCATTTAAATTGTTCAAATGTGTGCTTGATCTATCTGTAAAGATAGAGAAAAAGGAGATTTCTTTTTCTATTATTTCCAACCATTATCAACCATTTGCCTCTATCACTTTTGGTCTGTTGAACAATTGTTTCCTTCCAGTGGTCTGAGTGATTGTCATCTGGGGTCTGAGTGATTGTCATCTGAACATCCTTGGGAGGGTGGAATTTTACCTTGAGCTGAGAGTGGGCAGGGCACCCTGTGCTCCATCTTAGAACTCATCTACATCTGAATTCATCTTAGAACTGGCAAGACCAGAAGCCAGCTCTCAGCGCACTAGGCAATAGACCTGAACTCCTGAAAAAATGAAGTCTGAGGTGCAAGGACACCTTGTTTTTCCATGAAGTAAATGTTTAAACATTGAGTTGGGCCCAATGGCCCACACCTGTAATCCCAACACTTTGGGAGGCCAAAGCAGGAGGATCCTGCTTGAGGCTGGGACTTCGAGGCCAGCCTGGGCAACACAGCAAGCCCCTGTCTCTACAAAAGAAAAATAAGAAAATTATCCAGGCGTAGTGGCGTGTACCTAGTGCCTGTAGTCCTAGCTGCTCAGGAGGCAGAGAATCACTTGAGCCCAGGAGTTTGAGGCTGCAGTGAGCCATGATCTGCAGCTATTGCACTGCAGGCTAGATGACAGAGTGAGACCCCATCTCAAAACAAAACAAAAAAGGTTTAAACATTGATAATGACCCCAGGTTACATCTGGCTGAGATAAAAATTTCAGGAGCCAATGTAAGTAGCAAAGATACTCCTTTCCTCTTGGGAAAGAGGGTAGTTCTCCACTCTCACCTTTGGTTAAGGTCAGCCATGGACCATAGCTGCTGGTGGAACTTGAGGTGATAACAACCCAAATACTCTCAGCTGCCAGTCTATGCACAGGGGCATTAACACTTACTGTTGGTATAAGCCTATTTGTTTTATGTCTGTCTCAATGCTCTGTAGTTTTTGATTGCTTATAAAGGAAAGGAGGAAAACATTAGAGGCATGTTTTTGTGGTTTTTCCTTTTGTTATATCACTCTCTCTCTTCTTCCCACTCATACAGGATGGTCTTATCCACTTCTTTCCTGTCAGTCAAGTCTCACCAGTACAGTTGAATGTCTTCATGAGGTCTAGCTTGGCTATTCTAGCCCACAGTGAAATTTTGTTTATTAGTTCATTGCTTGCTCACTCACTCATTCATTTTTGTTTTAAAATTTTTAGTGAGGTACAACTATATTCATTAAGATGCACAGTTCTTAACTATGCAGTTCGATGAGTTTTGACAAATGTATGTAACCACCAACACCCTAAGCAAGGCCTAGAATATTGCTGCCATCTTTCCTAGTCAATTCCTGTACTCTGAATTCTATCCTCTAGATCAGTTTTGCCTGTTCTTACCACATGTACTCGCTTTGTGTACAGTTCCTTCTGTTCAACATAATGTTTTTGAGATTTATCCATATTGTTGTATATATCAGTAGTTCTTTCCTTTTTGTTGCTAGTAGAATTCTATTGTATAAATTTATCACAATTTGTTTATTTGTTCTTCTATTGGGAGAATGTTGGAATTGTTTCTAAATTTTTTGCAATATAATAAAGTGCCAGTAAACATTCTCAAACAAGTCTTTTTGTGGACATCTATTCTCATTTTTCTTGAGTAAATACCTAGGAGTGAAATTACTGGGTCATAAGCCGGGTGTATGTCTAACTTTGTAAGAAACTCCCAAACTGTTTTTCAACATGGTTGTACCATTTTCAATCCCATGGGTAGTGACCATTGGTATGGTCAGTCTTTTAAATTTTTTCATTCCAATTAATGTGTGGTGATATATCACTGTGGTTTTAATTTGCATTTTCTTGCTGGCTAATGAGGTTGAGCATCTTGTTATGTGCTTATTGGACATTTCATTTTCTCTTTTGTAAAGTGTCCATCCAAGACTTTTTATTTTTTTAATTAGACTGTCTTTTTATTTTTGATTTGTATGTTTTCTCACATTTTCATTTCTTGTGGAATATATATTGCAAATATTTTCTCCCAGGTCTGATAATTTTTGGTGAAGAGAAGTCAAGTTTATCAATTTTTATTTGATGATTTTTTTTTTTGCATTCTCTAACAAATCTGTGCTTGTTTGATGCTGAAAAGACATTCTCTTATGTTTTCCTCTAGGAACTTCCTAGTTTTAGCTTTTATATTGGAGCCTGCATTCCATCTTGAATAACTTTTATATAGCATGAGAAAAGTGTCAAGGCTCATTTTTTTGTGTGTAGATATCTACTTTTCTAGTATCAGTTGTTGAAAAGTCTTTCCTTTTTCCTCATTAAATTGCATTGGCACATTTTATCATAAATCAATTAACAGTATTTGTGAGTTTCTCAATTGTCTATTGAATTCAAGCGACCTATTTGTCTATATTTATGTTCATACCATACTTTGTTAATTATTGTAGCTTTATGGTAAGTTTTAAAATCTGGTAGTTTATATGCTTCAACTTTATTTTTTCCTCAAGATTGTGTTGTCTACTCCAGTTCCATTACATTTCCATGTAACTTTTAGTTTCAGCTTATAAATTTCTACAACAAAGTCTTTGGGATTTTAATGGAAGTACATTGAACTTATAATAAGATAGATCAATTTGGGGACAACTGACATATTACACTATAGAGTTTTCCAACCCATAAACATGGGGTATACACACACACACACACACACACACACACACACGTGCATGTACATAAACATTGACCTTGTTTTGAGGCTTTGCTGAATTTGTTTATTAAATCTCATAGTCCTTTTTTTTCTTCTTTGAGGATTCCTTGGTATATTCTAGGTACATAATCATGTTGTACATGAATAAAGACTTGCTGCTGTGTGCAGTGGCTTATGCCTGTAGTCCCAGCACTTTGGGAGGCCGAGGCAGGTCGATCACTTGAGCCTAGGAGTTTGAGACCATCCTGGGCAACATGGCACAACCTTGTCTCTACAAAAAATACAAAAATTAGCCAGACATGGTGGCACGCGCCTGTGATCCCAGCTACTTAGGAGGCTGAGGTGGGAGGATTGCTTGAGCCCAGGAAGCAGAGGTTGCAGTGAGCCATGATCACACCACTGCACTCCAGCCTGGGTGACAGAGCAAGACTCTGTCTCAAAAAATAAATTAAATTAAAAATAAAACAAAGACTGTTTTACTTTTTCTTCTTTTTTATTTTTATGCCTTTCATTTGTTTTTCTTATGCCTTTATTGATTTCTTAAAATCTAATTTTGAAATGTTTTTGGCATTATTTCTTCAAATATTTTTCTGACCTAGTAAAATCCCTTAGCCTTTGGCAGCCCTTTCTCCCCAGCTGTCCTCACTCTTATCTAGCTTTTACCCCTAAGAAACTGCCATAGCTTTCTGTTTATCTATGAAAGGCTTGTCTTTAGGAATTCAGTTCATCAAGGCTTTCTTGCATCAACTGCTCTTCAATGATTTTTATATTAATTAGATTTTTCTTTTTACATGTATTTGTATTATCTCATGTAATCTTTGTGAAGCCCTCTGAGGTTTGTATCATTTCATATTCAATAGGCATGTGACTGAGATAAAGCACAATTAAGTCACTTTGTTAGGTTCACCCAACAAATAGTGGCATAGCTGAGATTTGAACCCTGCTAACTGACTCCAAGGCTTGTGCTCTGGGTCACTATGAGTTTTCTTTGTGTCTTGCTCACATATTCATCACCTAAAAACCATGTGTCACATTTAGCAGCTCTTCAAATATTATTTATACAATGAATGAGTAAGGGGAACCTGTTTTTGAAACTGTCAAACTACTTACTTGAAGAACACATGGGGAAAAGCTTCGTGATGTTGGTCTGGGCAAGGACTTTTTTGGATATGACCCTAAAAGCACAAGCAACAAAAGTGAAATTAGAAAGATGGGATTACATAAAAGTAAAAAGCTGGAATTACTCCTGTAATTCCAGTACTTCGGCAGGCTGAGGCGGGCGGATCATGGGATCAGGAGATCGAGACCATCCTGACTAACACGGTGAAACCCCATCTCTACTAAAAAGATACAAAAAATGAGCCAGGCATGGTGGCAGGCACCTGTAATCTCAGCTACTGGGGAGGCTGAGGCAGGAGAATCGCTTGAATGCGGGAGGCGGAAGTTGCAGTGAGCCGAGATCATGTCACTGCACTCCAGCCTGGGAGACAGAGCAAGACTGTTTCCAAAAAAAAGAAAGAAAAAGAAAAAAAGAAAAAACTAAAAGGCTTCTGTGCAGCAAACAGTCAGCAGAGTGAAGAGACAACCTACATAGTAGGAGAAAATATTTACAAATCATATATCTATCAGGAGTTAAAATCCAAAATACATAAGGAACTTGACTCAATAACAAGAAAACAAATAACCTGATTAAAAAGTGGGCAATAGATCTGAATAGATATTTCTCAAAAGAAGACATACAGTGGCTAACAGGTATACGAAAAAATGCTCAACATCACTAATCATCAAGGAAACACAAAATAAAACCACAAGGAGATATCACCTGGCACTTGTTAGAATGACTATTATCAAAAAGATGAAAGGTAAGTGTTGGCGAGGATGTGGAGAAAAGGGAACCCTTCTACATGGTTGGTAGGAATGTAAATTAGTACAACCATTATGTAAAACAGTGTGGAGGTTCCTCAAAGAATTAAAAATAGATCCACCATATGATCCAACAATCCCACTTCTGGGTATATAGCCAAGGGAATTGAAACCTGTATGTCAAAGAGATATCTGCACTCTCATGTTCACACAGTAGTATCACAGTAAGCAAGATATGGAATCAACCTAAGGTACATCAATAGTTGGATGGGTAAAGAAAATGTGGTATATATACACAGTGGAGTACTACTCCACCTTAAGTAAAGAAGGAAATCCTGTAATTTGCAACAACATAGATGAACCTGCAGGACGTTAGGTTAAGCGAGATCAGCCATGCCCAGAAAAACAAATACTGCAGGCTCTCACTTATATTTGGAATCTAAAGAAGTTGAATTCTGAGAAGCAGAGTAGAATGATAGTTACCAGGGCTGGAGTGGTGGAGGGGGAAGAGGGTTGAGGAGAAGTTGTTCCAAGGATACAAAATTTCAGTTTCAGATAGTAAGAATAAGTTCCAGAGATCTATTGTACAACATGGTGACTATGGTTAATAACAATGTATTATAGTCTTGAAAATTGCTAAGAGGGTAGGTATTAAGTGTTCTTACCCCCAAAAATGATAACTGTGTGAGGTACTGCATATGTTAATCAGCTCAATGTAGCCATTCCACAATATATATATATTTTAAAACATCATGTTGTACATGATAAATATGTACAACTTTTATTTTTCAATTAAAAAATGAATCAACTTTTAAAAGGCCTATTCTCTGGTGAGTAAGCACTTTCTGCTCTTAAAGTTCATACTAATAATCTGGCAGTTTTAAAAATGCATTATAAAATAAAGTATGAGATTCTATGCTGACATTTAAGAGAAAAATTTTGATAGAAGACAGTGTCAGCACATAATATGCACTCAGTAAATACTTACTGAATGAGTGATCACAAGACAGGCTAATGTTACAGTAAACCTCCCTGTAGATGATATTATATATTTGTGGCTTTTGGAGAAGTACACGATGCACATTTGTTTTCAACTCCTGCCTTATGTTCTGACTTCTTCCAGCCTTCATAGCATGCAACCTCCAACCCTGAGAAATGTTACAGGGTAGGAGGCTTGAATTGCACATTCTTTACCGGACCCCCACATTAACTGAGATATCTTGTCCTACTTCCATTTGGCTCACTCTTCAGAAAGACTCTTTGAAAACAATTCATTTCCTCAGCCGATCATAGCTCCACAAAGAAAGGTGTGAGCTGGTTACAGAGAGTAGAAAACCAGGGCCAAGGGGCTCTTCCCCCAGAATTTGAAGTGGTGATGCCCATCCTCAAATACAGTGTGGGGACACAGAAGCCACTGCAGGCCCAAGCTGTGGCAGCAAAGTGGTTTTCTTCCCCTGCCTTTTTCTATCTCCGTAGGATAATTCTTTTGTTTGGTTTGAAGGATGGTATTCTAAATGCTAAGTACTTTCTAAAGTTAAGGACCAAATGTCAGACATCAGCCACCTGGTTTATTTGCAATTTGGCGTTATCTGCACATCTGTGAATGGGTGTCTCTCAGTACATTCCTGCTAACCATCTCTAGTCACCTTTCTCAGATCTCCTTGTTGAAACCATCAATAAATATGTCCTTCAATGGCCTCAATAGTAATGTTAGACTCTTAAAGCAAAGGTAATTTTATTTTGTAGGAATGTGCAGAGAGGAACTGGAGGAAGGAATTATTGAGTCTCACTAACTTTCCAGTGGCTTTTGAGGCTGGACGTAGAAAAGGTGCTGGGTGTTCCCCATGACTCTTCAATGATTAGTGCTCACCATGCTGTCCATCAGCAGGGGCTGAGCTAAGAGACTTTGACTCTAACTGTCCTTAAATCCCCTGGAGGCAGGAATCATCTTGTTGACCTGGCACAGAATACGGGCTCAGTTGGTCTCTTGGGTGAATAGAAGAAGGAAAGATCATGTTGACATGATGAGACTTGACCCTGTCCACCCCTACGTGGACTCACTGCACCCCTTTCCTATGGGCCAGCCATTTTCCATTTGTGAGCAGCATTAGCTTGAACCACTTATTGGGGATTAATGATTCCTCTTACTTACGGGAACCTGAGCTAGAAAATATTTGGTTCTAATGGTGTTGGCAAAGATTCAATAGATTGTATTATGATATAGATTTTCCTGTGTTGTGTCTCTTTTTTTAAGTTACAAAAAAACTGTTTTAGGCTTAAATGTATTCACCAGCCATTTAGTACTCTTAGACACACTGCATATTTAATGTTCCACTTGACTGCCTACTGAAAGAAATAAATGCATAATAAAATGCTTTGGAAAATGCTTAATTTTTCAACTGTTGATTTAATGCATAACAGTTCAATAAGGTGGTGGATCGGCCTGGTCTACAACTATTGAAAAATAGAAAAATTACCCTCACTGGAATGTTGAATCTGTGAATATTAAGTCTGTCAATGTAATTTATGACTCTGCAGGTAATATACTGGTAATTTGCATACTAATTACTATGGTGGAAGCCAAACGACTTTCATTCACTAAATTATCCTGCCTAAGTGGAAGCCAGCAACTGCCTCTCTGCGCTGGGGAGAAGCTTGTTTAGGAGGGAGGAAATGGAGCTCTGGCCAGGAGGCCTCTCAGAGCTGAAGAGGCCCCCTGCTGGCAGGCTGCAAAGCCCACAGCTTTGCCCAGAGCCCAGTGTCGGCTTCTCAGATCCAAAGCCCAGTGGATTTTCCAAGTGATTCAAATTCAGAAAACAGAAGAGTGAGGTCAAAGGAGTTCGCTCTAGGCAAAAACAATACATGTTTGTGTGTCCAGTAACAGAAACGAATAGAAATTTGAAGGCAGAAAAATAATCCGTCCCAGCTTCCTAAAAGGAATCCTTTTAACGATAGGCATCTGTTCTTTAATTCTCTCAAAAAGAGGTTTGATTTTCTTTTTGTAAATAGGAGTGTGTTTGGAGGATTGTGGGAGAATCAAATGATGTTTTAAGTGTCCTGGGTGCAGTATGCATACGAAAAGATATTCAGCCTCCTCAATCATCAGGAAAGAAAGCAAAGCAAAACACGGAGGCATAATCTTCTAGCAAAAATTAAAAAGATTGAAAGCTTTTATTATTGTCAAGGGCATGGGGAATGAGCACAGTATAAATTGGCATATCTATGAGGTGGGTAGTGTAGTAGTAGTCATCAAAATAAAAATGCACATCTTCTTTGATGCACCAATCCCACTTCAAGAAGTGTATCCTATAGAAATACAAATGTATAGTATGACCCATTTGAAATTACTGCTATTCAACCATTTTTTGATATACACAAACAGCAATTTGAAATGATTCAACTTAACACAAGGGTGTTCATTGTAGGAATTTTGTAATGATGACAGTTTAGAAAAAGTCTAAGAGTTCAGCAGGAGGAGACTGATTAAATAAGTAGTGGTACCTACGAAGCTTTTCTTAGGTAGAGCTCACCTACACTGACATGGAAAGATGAGCATGGAAGATAAAATAAACAGACCGAGTTGTGTAACATTATACATAATCCTATTTTTGTTTTTTAAAAGTGTAGCATGTGTGTATATGTATTTTGATTTGTGTATAATATAAATGTAGAAAAAGATTGGACAGCTATATCCTAATGTTTAACCATTGCTCTTTTTTTTTAAGACAGAGTCTCGCTCTGTTGCCAGACTGGAGTGCAGTGGCACGATAGCAGCTCACTGCAACCTCCGCCTCCCGGGTTCAAGCGATTCTCCTGCCTCAGCCTCCCGAGTAGCTGGGATTATAGGGGCGTGCCACCACACCCAGGAATTTTTTTTGGTATTTTTAGTAGAGACGGGGTTTCACCCTGTTGGCCAGGATGGTCTTGATCTCTTGACCTCGTGATCCGCCCACCTCGGCTTCCCAAAGTGCTGGGATTACAGGTGTGAGCCACCGCGCCCAGCCAACCGTTGCTCTCTTTAAACAGTAGGACTTGGGATAGAGTCTAGGGAAAGACTTTTTAGCCTTTTGTGTTATTTGAATTCAACATAGCCATAGCTCTTTTTACAGGTATTAAAAAACCCATAAAACAAAAGATAATGAAAATAAAGCATAAAAGTGATAGGGATTTACTCAATTAAAAAGAATGGTGAACTAAGTTTATATGCAGTAATATAATATTTG